>NC_000023.11:118023504-119451442 GCF_000001405.40 Homo sapiens
GATCTTAAACCATTCTCATGCTGGGATAAAACTTTCTTAGTCAAAAAGAGTTTATTCCCTTCATATATTCCATTTTTCTTTTTTGACGGAGTCTTGCTCTGTCACCCAGGCTGGAAGGCAGTGGCACGATCTCAGCTCACTGCAACCTCCGCCTCCCAGGTTCAGGCGATTCTCATGCCTCAGCCTCCCAAATAGCTGGAATTACAGGTGTGCACCACCATGCCTAGCTAATTTTCTTTGTATTTTTAGTAGAGACAGGATTTCACCATGTTGGCCAGGCTGGTCTTGGACGCTTAACCTCAGATAATCCACCCTCCTCAACCTCCCAAAGTGCTGTGATTCCAGATGTGAGCCTTTTCCTATGTTTTACTGTATTTGGAATTTGAAACTGACCCATAATTTGTATATGCATGCAAGCAACGTTTTGCTCAGGTTTTGACATTTGAACTATGCAACTTCCCATTATTTTCTATGTTCTGGATCACATTACTTAGAATCAGAATTATATTTCTTTCAAAGGGGCTTTATTTATAAGAAAGGTTACAAGAGAAGACTCAAAAGTCATTGTGTTATAAACTAGGGTCCATAAGACTAGGTCTCTCTGCAATGCCAGATTTAGCTCAAGTTATCATTCAGTTACCTTGCCATTTACAAAGGTATTAGCTTAGAATTAAAAGTACAAAGAACTTTTCTTCTGTAAAGTGGTCTTATTAATCACTTAGATCTTATGTGGAATCTAGGCCATACATTCACTTCTCTGGTTTGCGGTCAAGAATGCATTTATAATGTGAGGGCTAAAACTGTAAAACTTTTGGAAGAAAACCTCAAATTTGGAAGAGCAAAGATTTCTTGGGCAAGATACAAAAAGCACCAAGCATAACAGAAGAAAAATGATAAACTGAACTTCATTTTAAAAAGAACTACTGCTCATCAAAAGACACAAATACCAGAATTCGAGGGTAAGCCATGGACTGGAAGGAAATATTCACAGTACAAATACCTATATATCCAGAGTGAACTAAAACCTCCTAATAATCAAAATAAAATAATAACCCATTTTTAAATGGCCAAAACACTTGAACATATGCTTCTAAAATATATCCAAATAGCTAATAAACATAAGAAAACCTATTCATATCATTACACATGAGGAAAATGAAGAGTGAAAACCATAATGAGGAAGTACTACACACCCACAGAATGGCTAAAATTAAAGAAGCTAACAATATCAAGTGTTAGTAAAGATTCTCACTTATTATTGGTGGGAGTATAAAATGGTACAACTATTTTCAAAAAACGTTTGGTAGTTTCTACAAATGTTAAACAACAGTAGCTTACTCTATGTCCCAGCAGTTCCACTTCTAGTATACTGTAAATCCAAACAAAATGAGTGCATGTGGCCAAAATAAATTTTATACAAGAATTCTAATAACAGTTTTATGCATTATAGCCAAATGTGGATGCAACTTAAATGACTATCAACAGGAAAATAGATAGAATAAATTGTTGCATATTTAAACAATGAAATATTACACAGCAACAATAAAGAAGGAACTACTGATACATGCAGCTATAAATTCAACATCCCCTGATCTACTCCTGTTTTCACCCAACATGGCCACATATTATCCCTGCTATGATTCCCCTATTTTCTGTATCTGTGAGCAAGTCTGTTTTACAGCCCCTAAGCTGAATATTCCACCCTAGCCCAGATGATAGTACAGTAGTCCCTGCTTATGCATGGTTTCACTTTCCCCTGGTTTCAGTTACCCATGGTCAACCACATTCTAAAGAAAATATCAAATAGAAAACTCCAGGAATAAACAATTTATAAGTTTTCAATTGTGTGTCATTCTGAGTAAGATGATGAAATCTTACACTATCCTACTTCACTCCACCCCACCCACGACGGGAATTATCTCTTTGTCCAGCATCCTTGCCGTAAATGCTACCCACCCATGAGTCACTTAGTAGCCAGTTCAGTTAGTAGATCAACTGCTGAGGTATTTAGTGCTTGTGTTCACGGAACCCTTATTTAACTTAATAATGGCCCATAGTGCAAGAATAGTGATACTGGTGACTTGGATATATCAAAGAGAAGCCATAAAGGGTTTCCTTTAAGTGAAAGGGTCAAAGTTCTTGACTTACAAAAGTATGTTCTCCCTCCACCAGAACACACGTTTTAACTACATAAGAAACCTGCACATCCTGCACATGTATCCCAGAACTTAAAACAAAATTAATTTTTAAAAAACACATGCTGAGGTTGCTCAGATCAACAGTAAGAAAGAAATCTGTTGGTGAAATTGTGGAGAAGGAAGAAGCAGCTTGTGCTAGTTCTGCTGTCACACTCAAACTGCAAAAGTTATGACCACAGTGTATGAAAAGTGCTTAGTTAAGATGGAAAATGTTTATATTTGTGAGTAGAAGAGATGAGCAGAAATATGTTCTGATTGATGACAGTTGGATTCGGTACTATCCTCAGTTTCAGGCAACCTTGGAGCCTTGAAATGTATCCTGCATGGATAAAGGGGGACTACTGTATACATTCCAACAAACAGGCACCCATCATGTTATTTCTCTAATTGGATTATTATGGAAAATTCCTTCTATGGTATCTGTCAAGTAACAGTAACTTTATATATGTTCCCTTCCTACCTCAACCTTTCCTACGTTTTCTGTTCATTTTACAACATGCCTGTATTTTAAAATACCTCGGAATTGAAAAACACAAATACTACATTTTCAAAATAATTAAAATCTCACTTTTATATTTGAATAATATGAGGGATCTTCAAAAAGTTCATGCAAAATGTGTATTTTGAAAAAAACTATGCATGGATTTCAATTTTTTTGCATGAAAATAAACTCATAGTAATGTGTTATAAATGCCTGAACAGGACCCAGTTTGAAGCACTGAGTATAAGACATCAGTTTGAAAAGAGCCTCTATCAAAGCAACATGAATTCTGCTAAAACTGAAGCAAGAACAAACATCAAATTTATCACAAAGTTTGGGTGGAAGAATGATGAAATCGTTGATGCTTTATGAAAAGTTTATGGGGACAATGCCCCCAAAGAAATCAGCAGTTTACAAATGGATAACTCATTTTAGAAAGGGATGAGATGATGTTAAAGATGAAGCCCTCAGCAGCAGATGATCCAAATGAATTTGCAAGGAAAAAATTAATCTTGCTCATGCCCTAATTAAAGAGGACCAGCGAATAACAGCAGACATGATACCCAACACCATAGATACCACAGTTGGTTCAGCTTACACAACTCCAACTGAAAAATTCAAGTTGAGCAAACTTTCCACTTGATGGCTACCAAAACAATTACACATAGATCAGCTGCAGACAAGAAAAG
Source organism: Homo sapiens (assembly GCF_000001405.40). Classification (NCBI taxonomy): domain Eukaryota; kingdom Metazoa; phylum Chordata; class Mammalia; order Primates; family Hominidae; genus Homo; species Homo sapiens. Next base: position 118,026,873 of record NC_000023.11, read on the forward strand.
AGCTTTCAATGGAAAATTTTAAACAAGTAGGATCAAGATCCTGAAGTATTTCTTCAAAGAATTGTAACATGAAATGAAACATGGCCTTACCAGTATGATTCTGAAGACAAGCACAATCAAAGCAATGGCTAGGAAAAGGTAGAAGTAACCCAGTCAAAACAAAAGCAGACTGGTCACAAGCAAAAGTCACAACAACAGTTATTTTGGGATGATCAAGACGTTTTGCTTGAGGATTTTCAGAAGGGCCAAAGGACTATATCATCTGTTTATTATGAGAGTGTTTTGAGAAAGTTACCAAAATATTACCAGAAAAATGCCTAGGACAGCTTCAGCAGAAAGTCCTTCTTCACCATAACAATGCTTCTGCTCATTTCTCAAACAAGGGCAATTTTGTGAGAGTTTTGATGGGAAATCATTAAGCACCCATCTTACAGTACTAATTTGGCTCCTTCTGACTTCTTTTTGTTTCCTAGTCTTAAAAACCCTTTAAAGAGCACCCATTTTTCTTCACTTAATAATGTAAAAGAAACATCATTGATATGGTTAAATTCCCAGGACGCTCAGTTCTTTAAATGGCTGGTATCAACACTTAAAAAAGCAACTTGATTTGGGTGGAGCTTATATTAAGAAACAGTTGTTTTTTATTTTTATCTTTTATTTCCATTTTTTCCATGAACTTTTAAAAGTTCCCTCATACTAGCTCATATATACTGCTTACTATCTGCCCAGCTCACTCACTCACACCCGCTCTCTATTTTTTCTCTCTCTCCACACATACACACACACACACACACACACACTTTCATACATGCCCCACCTTTCACACTTATTTAATCTTCACAACAACCCTGCAATGTAGGTACTATTATTAACACCATTTCATAGGTGAGGAAATTGAGGTATAGAATGACTACGAAACTTGCCCAAGGCTATACCACTAGTAAGCATCAGAGCCAGGATACAGACAACTCAAACATACTATTCCAAATGTTTCATCCAAACTGTACAATCAAGCTACTGGGAATAAGACAGACTCTGTCACACCTGCAAACAAGGCTATTTTTCTTTAAATAATAAATTTAAAATCCTAATTTGTCAGAAGAAGCTTTAAATATCTCATAGTAACTCCCTGAAAAGGTTTTAACTGGATTTTTAAATAATATAAATATATACAATCACAGGACAATCCTATTTTTAAAAATGTGTTGTTGGCACTTCTATTCTTAAGCTATGGATACCTGTATTTATTCAGATATGCCTTTAAAACTAAAAATTCAAATAAATATCTCCACTGATTGTATTCCAGGTGCTCATAATTTATACCAATTACATTTTCTAAATATATTCTCTATTTTTTCATTATCTCAGGAAACATTGTCACTAACATCCTCTTTATTCAATTTCTTTGTCACTTAGTCATTCTCTAACTCATTCATACAGTAAATACTTACTTTATACCAAGTATTCAACAAATATTTATTGAATGCCTGCTATGTTAGGTATATAAATAGGAAAGACGTTATATAAGTTAAACTATTTCCATAAATATACCGGTTACGAAGTATTGCAGCAACCAATTCCCCTCTATGCAGATGATCCATCACCTCTAAAAGTTGGATAATGACCTGTTCAGGAGGAAAAGAAGCCAATATTTACTATGAAGATTAACACTGGAATTTTCAACTTCTGTTTTTATAATATTTTTATACTTTTCATGGTTGAATTAAAGGAAAAATGTATGCCCCTGTACTTAATGTTCATATTACATCTTAAGAAAATTAAGAAATTGAATCTTATTTAAAAAACTGAAAGTAAAAATATCTATGAAATTTAATAGTGAATCACTAAATACTATTGACTAAATTTCATGTGAAATCAGTAACTAATGATTATCCATGGAAAAGCAACCAAGTGGAGTAGTCCTCCCTTATCCATGGTTTGGCCTTCTGCAGTTCAAAAAATATTAAACGGAGAATTCTCAAAATAAACAATTCACATGTTTTTAAATTGCACACCATTCTGAGTGGCAGGATAAAATTTCACACTATCCTGCTGCACCTCACCTGGGATGTAAATCATCCTTTTGTGCAGTGTATCCATGCTATATATGCCACTTGTCTCCTAGCCACTTAGTAGCGGTCTCAGTTATCAAAAAAACATAGTATATATAGGGTTCGGTACTCTCCACGTTTTCAGGCATCCACTGGGGGTCTTGGAACATACCACCTGCAGACAAGAGGGACTATTTATACAGGAAATTGGAATAAACTGAGAATCAGAAGACCTAAGGACCCTGTATGAAGTTGGGTTAGACAAGAGAAGTTAGAAGGGGGGAGTTGAGGCAAATACATGCCACATAGATACACACACATAGAGACAGCACTGATTCCCATGTTACCTCAGGAACTTGGGGTCTGAGAAGTCTATAAACAGGGAACACAATTTTAGAATTGGTTGCAAAAAAATATAAGCTAGAAAGGTATAGTACTTTGAAATTCGAAAGACATAAAATAGCGGATAGAAATATTTTCTTGGCCTGCACTGAATTTTTGTTTTGGTGATTATTTTTGTAGGAAAAGAGTAGGTGAGTTTTGGTAAACTCAACTATATCTAAAATATCTACATTTTAGTAATGCCGATGTATAACACTGGGAAGGTAGAATATATTTTATGTATTTATTCTATTCGTTTCAGATATATTGGGAAGCAAAATGTAAATTTTACTTAAATATCTCTTGTTAATAAAATCAATTTATTACATTGGGAAAATAAAAATGCATAATACGCAATTTAGTTTATTCATAAAGTTATGTTGGCTGGGTGCAGTGGCTGATGCCTATAATCCCAGCACTTTGGGATGCCAAGGCGAGCAGATTGCTTCAGTCCAGGAGTTTGAGACCAGCCTGGACAATATGACAACACCCCGTCTCTATAAAAATACAAAAATTAGCTGGGCATGGTGGTATGTGCCTGTAGACCCAGCTACTCAGAGGGCTGAGGTGGAAAGATCTCTTGAGCCCAAGAGGCAGAGGTTGCAGTGAGCCAAGATCACAGAACTGCACTCCAGCCTGGGTGGTAGAGTGAGACCCTGTCTCAAAAAATAATAATAATAAAAGAAAAGAAAAAGAAAAAAGAAGTTATGTGAAGATCTAAAATAATTAAGCAAGCAGGAGGAGGGATTCTTCATTGTCGTCAGCCCTCTTCCAGCCCCTGAATTTAAGGAAAAGAAATAGAAGAGGAAAAAAAACTCTATTTATTGGGTTTTCATAATTCTAAAAAGCAAATAAATCAAATGACATCATTTATGTTTATTTGTACAATCATTTTTCTGCTTATAATTCTGTTATTACAAGTAAAGAAACTGAGTAGGTTAAATGAAATTAATATTTTACACACTCTCACATGAACTGACCTTCGATTTACCTTTTCTAAAACATGTTAAAGTGATGAGAGAATTTGAGATGTTAAAATTTTTTAATTATGTTTAGACTATACAATTATTTAGAAGATGTTGAAAAGGGAAAAATCTATATCTAGATTACTACTAGAAATCTGATAATGTAAAACTAAATAACTCATGCCCTGTTTCACTAATTGCATCTAGGATGAAACATACAGGTCCTGAAATTAGGTATGCAAATTTTCTCTTAATCTCTGCTATGGTTTGAATGTGCCCCCAAAAAAGAATGTGTTGGAAACTTGACCTCAATGCAACACTGTTGGGAGGTGGGGTCTAACAGGAGGTGTTTAGCCATGGGGGCACCACCCTCATGAAGGATTAATGCCATTATCATGGGAATGCGTTCCTTATAAAAGGACAAGTTCAAGTTCATCTTCCTCTTGTGTGTTCTCTCTCTCCCTCTGCCTCTTTTTGCCCTTCCAACTTCTGCCATGGGATGACACAGCAAGAAGGCCCTTGTCAGATGCCAGCCTCTTTTATCTTGAACGTCCTAGCCTCCAGAACTGTGAGAAATAAATTTCTGCTCATTGTAAATCAATCTGTTATATATAAATTATAATGTACTCTGTTATAGCAGCACAAAACAGAATAACACAGTCTTCTTATTTCAACCAACCCTCCTACTGTGCCTGGATTTCTGAGTCTGGGATATTCTTATTCAGATTCTCCAGAAAATAAACTATTTGGTCTCCTGAGGAGCAGGGAGTAGGTGATAGGATATGGAACTGCAGCCACTTATCATAAAGATTTTCAACAAATAACTCATGTATCCAATCTCATGACACATTCCTGCCTTCCACAGACCAGGTACCTCCAAGTCTTAAAATATTAGGAGTTTTATGGGAAGAATTAGTTGGTTTCTCTCAGAAGTTCATGTAGAAGGAGATATTCAAGTTGAAACTTCCATTGCAATAAGTAAAAGTTAGTTTGAACCTTACAACTATCAATGCTCCTACTCCTGTTCTCTTTGTCTTATTGAGTTTTTCCATTACCTTACTCTCTTTTTCATGAAGTTAGGAAGGGAGAAGTAAACACATGTGATCAAGTTTATGTGGGATTTAACTTTAACTAAAACTTTTAGCCAGGGAATATATATAGATATATATATTTAGATATATATATAGATATATATATTTAGATATATATATAGATATATATATTTAGATATATATATATACACACACATATATATTTAGTTATATATATATTAGTTATATATATATTTAGTTATATATATATTAGTTATATATATATTTAGTTATATATATATTTAGTTATATATATATTTAGTTGTATATATATTTAGTTATATATATATATTTAGTTATATATAATATATATAACTAAAATTTTTAGCCAGATCATATATATAGACAAATATATATTTGAAAATTAGCGGAGGGAGCCAAGATGGCCGAATAGGAACAGCTCCGGTCTACAGCTCCCAGCGTGAGTGACGCAGAAGACAGGTGATTTCTGCATTTCCATCTGAGGTACCGGGTTCATCTCACTAGGGAGTGCCAGTCAGTGGGTGCAGGCCAGTGGCTGCGTGCACCGTGCGCGAGCCGAAGCAGGGCAAGACATTGCCTCACTCAGGAAGCACAAGGGGTCAGGGTGTTCCCTTTCCTAGTCAGAGAAAGGGGTGACAGACCGCACCTAGAAAATCGCATCACTCCCACCCGAATACTGCGCTTTTCCGACGGGCTTAAAAAACAGCGCACCAGGAGATTATATCCAGCACCTGGCTCAGAGGGTCCTAGGCCCACGGAGTCTCCTGATTGCTTGCACAGCAGTCTGAGATCAAACAACAAGGCGGCAGCGAGGCTGGGGGAGGGGCGCCCACCATTGCCCAGGCTTGCTTAGGTAAACAAAGCAGCCAGGAAGCTTGAACTGGTTGGAGCCCACCACAGCTCAAGGAGACCTGCCTGCCTCTGCAGGCTCCACCTCTGGGGGCAGGGCACAGACAAACAAAAAGACAGCAGTAACCTCTACAGACTTAAATGTCCCTGTCTGACAGCTTTGAAGACAACAGTGGTTCTCCCAGCACGCAGCTGGAGATCTGAGAACGGGCAGACTGCCTCTTCAAGTGGGTCCCTGACCCCTGACCCCCAAGCAGCCTAACTGGGAGGCACCCCCCAGCAGGGGCAGCCTGACACCTCACAGGGCCAGGTACTCCAACAGACCTGCAGCTGAGGGTCCTGTCTGTTAGAAGGAAAACTAACAAACAGAAAGGACATCCACACCACAGGCCCATCTGTACATCACCATCATCAAAGACCAAAAGTAGATAAAACCACAAAGATGGGGAAAAAACAGAGCAGAAAAACTGGAAACTCTAAAAAGCAGAGCACCTCTCCTCCTCCAAAGGAACGCAGTTCCTCACCAGCAACGGAACAAAGCTGGACGGAGAATGACTTTGACGAGCTGAGAGAAGAAGGCTTCAGACGGTCAAATTACTCCGAGCTAAGGGAGGAAATTCAAACCAAAGGCAAGGAAGTTGAAAACTTTGAAAACAATTTAGAAGAATGTATAACTAGAATAACCAATATAGAGAAGTGCTTAAAGGAGCTGATGGAGCTGAAAACCAAGGCTTGAGAACTACGTGAAGAATGCAGAAGCCTCAGGAGCCGATGCGATCAAATGGAAGAAAGGGTATCAGCGACGGAAGATGAAATGAATGAAATGAAGTGAGAAGGGAAGTTTAGAGAAAAAAGAATAAAAAGAAATGAGCAAAGCCTCCAAGAAATGTAGGACTATGTGAAAAGACCAAATCTGCGTCTGACTGGTGTACCTGAAAGTGAGGGGGGGGAATGGAACCAAGTTGGAAAACACTCTGCAGGATATTATCCAGGAGAACTTCCCCAATCTAGCAAGGCAGGCCAACATTCAGATTCAGGAAATACAGAGAACGCCACAAAGATACTCCTCAAGAAGAGCAACTCTAAGACACATAATTGTCACATTCACCAAAGTTGAAATGAAGGAAAAAATGTTAAGGGCAGCCAGAGAGAAAGGTCGGGTTACCCTCAAAGGGAAGCCCATCAGACTAACAGCAGATCTCTCGGCAGAAACTCTACAAGCCAGGAGAGTGGGGGCCAATATTCGACATTCTTAAAGAAAAGAATTTTCAACCCAGAATTTCATATCCGGCCAAACTAAGCTTCATAAGTGAAGGAGAAATAAAATACTTTACAGACAAGCAAATGCTGAGAGATTTTGTCACCACCAGGCCTGCCCTAAAACAGATCCTGAAGGAAGCACTAAACATGGAAAGGAACAACCGGTACCAGCTGCTGCAAAATCATGCCAAAATGTAAAGACCATCGAGACTAGGAAGAAACTGCATCAACTAACGAGCAAAATCACCAGCTAACATCATAATGACAGGATCAAATTCACACATAACAATATTAACCTTAAAGGTAAATGGGCTAAATGCTCCAATTAAAAGACACAGACTGGCAAATTGGATAAAGAGTCAAGACCCATCACTGTGCTGTATTCAGGAAACCCATCTCACGTGCAGAGACACACATAGGCTCAAAATAAAAGGATGGAGGAAGATCTACCAAGCAAATGGAAAACAAAAAAAGGCAGGGGTTGCAATCCTAGTCTCTGATAAAACAGACTTTAAACCAACAAAGATCAAAAGAGACAAAGAAGGCCATTACATAATGGTAAAGGGATCAATTCAACAAGAAGAGCTAACTCTCCTAAATATATATGCACCCAATACAGGAGCACCCAGATTCATAAAGCAAGTCCTGAGTGACCTACAAAGAGACTTAGACTCCCACACATTAATAATGGGAGACTTTAACACTCCACTGTCAACATTAGACAGATCAACGAGACAGAAAGTTAACAAGGATATCCAGGAATTGAACTCAGCTCTGCACCAAGCAGACCTAATAGACATCTACAGAACTCTCCACCCCAAATCAACAGAATATACATTCTTTTCAGCACCACACCACACCTATTCCAAAATTGACCACATAGTTGGAAGTAAAGCTCTCCTCAGCAAATGTAAAAGAACAGAAATTATAACAAACTATCTCTCAGACCACAGTGCAATCAAACTAGAACTCAGGATTAAGAATCTCACTCAAAGCCGCTCAACTACATGGAAACTGAACAACCTGCTACTGAATGACTACTGGGTACATAATGAAATGAAGGCAGAAATAAAGATGTTCTTTGAAACCAACGAGAACAAAGACACAACATACCAGAATCTCTGGGATGCATTCAAAGCAGTGTGTAGAGGGAAATTTATAGCACTAAATGCCCACAAGAGAAAGCAGGAAAGATCCAAAATTGACACCCTAACATCACAATTAAAAGAACTAGAAAAGCAAGAGCAAACACATTCAAAAGCTAGCAGAAGGCAAGAAATAACTAAAATCAGAGCAGAACTGAAGGAAATAGAGACACAAAAAACCCTTCAAAAAATTAATGAATCCAGGAGCTGGTTTTTTGAAAGGATCAACAAAATTGATAGACCGCTAGCAAGACTAATAAAGAAAAAAAGAGAGAAGAATCAAATAGACGCAATAAAAAATGTTAAAGGGGATATCACCACCGATCCCACAGAAATACAAACTACCATCAGAGAATACTACAAACACCTCTACGCAAATAAACTAGAAAATCTAGAAGAAATGGATAAATTCCTTGACACATACACTCTCCCAAGACTAAACCAGGAAGAAGTTGAATCTCTGAATAGACCAATAACAGGAGCTAAAATTGTGGCAATAATCAATGGTTTACCAACCAAAAAGAGTCCAGGACCAGATGGATTCACAGTCGGATTCTACCAGAGGTACAAGGAGGAACTGGTACCATTCCTTCTGAAACTATTCCAATCAATAGAAAAAGAGGGAATCCTCCCTAACTCATTTTATGAGGCCAGCATCATTATGATACCAAAGCCGGGCAGAGACACAACCAATAAAGAGAATTTTAGACCAATATCCTTGATGAACATTGATGCAAAAATCCTCAATAAAATACTGGCAAACCAAACCCAGCAGCACATCAAAAAGCTTATCCACCATGATCAAAGGGGCTTCATCCCTGGGATGCAAGGCTGGTTCAATATACGCAAATCAATAAATGTAATCCAGCATATAAACAGAACCAAAGACAAAAACCACATGATTATCTCAAAAGATGCAGAAAAGGCCTTTGACAAAATTCAACAACCCTTCATGCTAAAAACTCTCAATAAATTAGGTATTGATGAGACATATCTCAAAATAATAAGAGCTATCTATGACAAACCCACAGCCAATATCATACTGAATGGGCAAAAACTGGAAGCATTCCTTTTGAAAACAGGCACAAGACAGGGATGCCCTCTCTCACCACTCCTATTCAACATAGTATTGGAAGTTCTGGCCAGGGCAATTAGGCAGGAGAAGGAAATAAATGGTATTCAATTAGGAAAAGAGGAAGTCAAATTGTCCCTGTTTGCAGACGACATGATTGTATATCTAGAAAACCCCATTGTCTCAGCCCAAAATCTCCTTAAGCTGATAAGCAACTTCAGCAAAGTCTCAGGATACAAAATCAATGTGCAAAAATCACAAGCATTCTTATACACCAACAACAGACAAACAGAGAGCCAAATCATGAGTGAACTCCCATTCACAACTGCTTCAAAGAGAATAAAATACCTAGGAGTCCAACTTACAAGGGATGTGAAGGACCTCTTCAAGGAGAACTACAAACCACTGCTCAAGGAAATAAAAGAGGATACAAACAAATGGAAGAACATTCCATGCTCATGGGTAGGAAGAATCAATATCGTGAAAATGGCCATACTGCCCAAGGTAATTTACAGATTCAATGCCATCCCCATCAAGCTACCAATGACTTTCTTCACAGAATTGGAAAAAACTACTTTAAAGTTCATATGGAACCAAAAAAGAGCCCGCATCACCAAGGCAATCCCAAGCCAAAAGAACAAAGCTGGAGGCATCATGCTACCTGACTTCAAACTATACTACAAGGCTACAGTCACCAAAACAGCATGGTGCTGGTACCAAAACAGAGATATAGATCAATGAACAGAACAGAGCCCTCAGAAACAACGCCGCATATCTACAACTATCTGATCTTTGACTAACCGGAGAAAAACAAGAAATGGGGAAAGGATTCCCTATTTAATAAATGATGCTGGGAAAACTGGCTAGCCATATGTAGAAAGCTGAAACTGGATCCCTTCCTTATACCTTATACAAAAATCAATTCAAAATGGATTAAAGACTTAAATGTTAGACCCAAAACCATAAAAACCCTAGAAGAAAACATAGGCATTACCATTCAGGACATAGGCATGGGCAAGGACTTCATGTCTAAAACACCAAAAGCAATGGCAACAAAAGCCAAAATTGACAAATGGGATCTAATTCAACTAAAGAACTTCTGCACAGCAAAAGAAACTACCATCAGAGTGAACAGGAAACCTAAAAAATGGGAGAAAATTTTCACAACCTACTCATCTGACAAAGGGCTAATATCCAGAATCTACAATGAACTCAAACAAATTTACAAGAAAAAAACAAACAACCCCATCAAAAAGTGGGCAAAGGACATGAACAGACACTTCTCAAAAGAAGACATTTATGCAGCCAAAAAACACATGAAAAAATGCTCACCATCACTGGCCATCAGAGAAATGCAAATCAAAACCACAATGAGATACCATCTCACACCAGTTAGAATGGCAATCATTAAAAAGTCAGGAAACCACAGGTGCTGGAGAGGATGTGGAGAAATAGGAACACTTTTACACTGTTGGTGGGACTGTAAACTAGTTCAACCATTGTGGAAGTCAGTGTGGCGATTCCTCAGGGATCTAGAACTAGAAATACCATTCGACCCAGCCATCCCATTACTGGGTATATACCCAAAGGACTATAAATCATGCTGCTATAAAGACACATGCACACGTATGTTTATTGCGGCACTATTCACAATAGCAAAGACTTGGAACCAACCCAAATGTCCAACAATGATAGACTGGATTAAGAAAATGTGGCACATATACACCATGGAATACTATGCAGCCATAAAAAATGATGAGTTCATGTCCTTTGTAGGGACATGGATGAAATTGGAAATCATCATTCTCAGTAAACTATCGCAAGAACAAAAAACCAAACACCGCTTATTCTCACTCATAGGTGGGAATTGAACAATGAGAACACATGGACACAGGAAGGGGAACATCACACTCTGGGGACTGTTGTGGGGTGGGGGAAGGGGGGAGGGATAGCATTGGGAGATACACCTAATGCTAGATGACGAGTTAGTGGGTGCAGTGCACCAGCATGGCACATGTATACATATGTAACTAACCTGCACATTGTGCACATGTACCCTGAAACTTAAAGTATAATAGTAATTAAAAAAAAGAAAAGAAAATTAGCACAGCTCCAATATGGGGATGGAAGAGAGATAGACTAGATATCTAGAGATCAGTTAAGAAAGTTCTTCTACAGTCAAGAACTGAGATAAGAGCCCAGACAATGTCTATGAGGATAGCCAGAGTGAACTAGGACTGATTGACTAAAAGATCATGAATAGGTATTACAGGGATAAGGAGATCACAAACAAAATCACAAAATCTGTTTAAATAACTGGGATGAGGATGAAGATATCAAGTGAGGTAGCATGTAGAGAATAAGGAAAAATATTGAAAAAAGGAGAACAATTGTTTGATGTACACACATTTATGTACCATAGGACACACCAAACAGTGTCTAACAGAAAATTGAAAAGATTACATCTAGATTTAGATTGGAACTAGAAGTGTCAATGTAGGAATATTTAGCCAATTAAGTAACAAGTGAAGTGATGAGATTGGGAAATGTTACTCAAGTGAAGGCAATCAGAGCAAGATGGCTGAATAGAAGCCTCAAGTGATCATCTCTCCTGTAGGAAGACGAAATTGAACAACTATTTACACAAAAAAGAACTTTCATAACAACCAAAAATCAGGTGAATGATCACAATACCTTGTTTTAACATCAAATTAAGGAAAAAGGCCCTGAAGATTGTAGGATATACAGCCCTTAATCGCCTACATCACCACCCCTCCATCCCCTGGCAGTGGCCACATTGTGCAGAGGGAGAATCTGTGCACTAGAGGAGAGAGATTGCAGTAATGGGGACTTTCCATTGGAACTCAGTGCTACCCTGTCAGAGTAGAGAGCAACAAGGGGAAAAACTCAGCCAACGACCATGGAGGGAGCATTTAGACCAGGCCTAGGAAGAGATAAATTGCTTATCCCAATGATTAGAACCTGAGTTCCATCAAGCCCTGCTACCATGGGCTAAAGCGCTCTGGCATTCTAAATAAAGTGAGAAGGCAGTCCAGGCCACTAGGACTGCAATTCCTAGGCAAGTCCTGGTGTTATGCTGGGCTCAAAGCCAGTGGATGTGGGGTGCACATGACCCAGTGAGACACAAGCTGGTGCACCCAAGGGAGTGCTTGCATCAGCCCTCCCATAACCCCAGGCAGCACCGTTCACAGCTACAGGAGAGACTCCTTCCTTCCACTTGAGGACAGAAGGGAAAAAGATGATTTTGTCTTGCAACTTGCATACTAGCTTACCTACAGTAGGCTAGGACAGCAGGCACAGTTCTGAAGCCCCCATTCCAGGCCCTAGTTCCCAGATGACATTTCTACAGACACCCTGAGCAAAAAGGAAACCTGCTGCCTTGAAGGGAAGGACCCAGTCCTAAGCAGGATTAATCATCTGCTGATTAAAGGGCCCTTGGGCCCTGAAAAATCAGCAGTGGTAGTGAGGCAATACTCACTGTGGGTTTTGGGAGAGACTCAGAGCCATGCTGGCTTCACATGTGACCCAGAACATTCCTAGATGTGTTAGCTATGTGGAGAGACCACAGTGGGGTAAAGGACCAAGCAGGCTCCTACAGTCCCCAATTCTAGGCCTTGACTCCTGGACGGTATTTCTGGACCTGCCCTGGCCAGAGGGGAGCCCACTGCCCTGAAGAGAAAGACTCAGGACAGGCAGCATTCACCACAAGCTGACTGAGGAGCACTTGAGCCTTGAGTGAACATCACTGGTAGCTAGATAGTACTCATTACAGCCCTGGGGTAAGGATGGCCAAAAGGAGTGGCTCCTCTGCTTCAGGAAAGGAGGGGGAAAAGTGGGGAGGACTTTGTCTTGCAACTTGAGTGCCAGCTCAGTAACAGCAGACTAGAGCACCAGGTAGATTCCTAAGGTTTCCGACTCTAGGCTTTAACTCCCAGACAGGATCTCTGGACACACCCAGGGCCAGGGAGAACTCACCATGCTGAAGGGAAGGACACAAGCCTGGCTGGATTCACCACATGCTGATTGTAGAGCACTTGGGCCTTGAATGAACATAAGCAGTAGCCAGGAAGTGGTTACCATGAGCCTTGGGCAAAACCCAGGGCTGTGCTAGCATCAGGTGGGACCCAGTGCAGTCCCAGTGGTGGTTGCCACAGAGGTGCTGGTGTCACCTCTCCCTCAGCTCTAAACAACTCAGAAAAGAGAGAGAGAGAGACTCCATTTGTTTGGGGGAAATTAGGGGAAGAGAACAAGGGTCTCTGCCTGGTAATCCATAGAATTCTTCTGGATCTTAGCAAAAACAACCAAGGCAGTATCTCCAAGAGTTTGCAAGAGCCACAGCGTTACGAGGTTTGAGATGCCCATTAATGAAAATATAGCCACAGTGACCAAAGACTTAGATCACAACACCCATGTCCCTTTAAATACCTGGAAAGCCTTCCCAGGAAGGATGAGTAAAAACAAGTCCACACTGCAAAGATTAAAATAAATACATAACTCTTCAATGCCCAGACACCAACGAAAATCTACAAACGTTGAGACCACCCAGGAAATATGACCTCACCAAACAAACTAAATGAGGTACCAGAGACCAGTCTTAGAGAGACAGGGATATGTCACATTTCAGATGGAGAATTCAAAATAGCTGTTTTGATGAACCTCAATGAAATTAAAGATAACACGGAGAAAGAATTCAGAATCCTATCAGACGAGAGCTGAAAAATACAAATGACATACTGAAGAATGAGTCAGAGTCTCTCAACAGTAGAACTGATAAAACATGAGAAAGAATTAATGAGCTTGAATATAGGTTATTTGAAAATAGAGAGACAAAAGAAAAAATAAAAAAGAATAAAGTATACTTACAATATCTAGAAAATAGTCTCAAAAGGGCAAATCTAGGAGTTATTGGCATTAAAGAAGTGGTAGATAGAGAAATGAGGATAGAAAGTTTATTCAAAGGGATAATAACAGGGAACTTCCCAAACCTAGAGAAAGATATCAATATTCAAGTATAAGAAGGTTACAGAACATCAAGTAGATTTAGCTCAAAGAAGACCACCTCAAGGCATTTAATTATCAAACTCCCAAAGGTCAAGGACAAAGAAAGGATCCTAAAGCAGCAAGAGAAAAGAAACAAATAACATACAATGGAGCTCCAATACATCTGTCAGCAGGCTTTTCAGTGGAAACCTTATAGGCCAGGAGAGAGTGACATGACATATTTAAAGTGTTGAAGGAAAACAAAAAACTTTTACACTAGAGTAGTATATCTGGCAAAAATATCTTTCAAACATGAAGGAGAAATAAAGACCTTCCTTGACAAACAAAAGCTGAGGAATTTCATCAACACCAGATCTGTCCTAGAAGAAATGCTAAAGGGAGTTCCTCAATCTGAAAGAAAAGGATATTATTGAGCAAGACAAAATCTTCAGAAGGTACAAAACCTACTGGTAATGATAAGCACACTGAAAACCACAGAATATTATAACACAGTGAAATATAATTACAACTTTTCACAGCATAAACAGTATAACAAGATATAAATAGAAACATCAGGCCAGGCACAATGGCTCATGCCTGTAGCCCCAGTACTTTGGGGGACCAAGGTGGGTGGATCACTTGCACCCAGGAGTTCAAGACCAGTCTGGGCAACATGGCAAAACCCTGTCTCTACAAAAAACACAAAAACTAGCCAGGCATGGTGGTGCATGCCTATAGTCCCAGCTACTAGGGAGGTTGAGGTGGGTGGATCACTTAAGGCCAGGAGGTCTCGAGGCTACAGTGAGCTGAGATCACACCACTGCACTACAGCCTGGATGACAGAGTGAGACCCTATCTCAAAAAGAAAAGAAAGAGACAACAAAAAGTTAAAAAGCTAGGGGAAGAAGTTAAAGTGTAGAGTTTTATTGGTTTTCTCTGGTTTTCTCTTGCTTATTTGTTTGATTATTTACACATTCAGTATTAAGCCGTCAACAGTTTAAATAATGAGTTATAAGATATTATTTGAAAGTCTCATGGTAACCTCATATCAAAAAACATATATCAGATATATAAAAAATTAACATATACAACCAGAGAAAATTATTTTCACTAAAGGAAGACAGGAGGGAAGGAAAGGAGGAAGAGAAGACCATAAAACAACCAGAAAACAAATAACAAAATGGCTGAAGTCCTTACAACATTGAATCTACGTGACTAAATCCTACAATCGAAAGACACAGATTGGCTGAATGGTTTTCAAAAACAAGACCCAAAGATCTGTTGCCTACAAAAAGTACACATAACCTGTAGAGAAATACTTAGTTCAAAAATAAGGGAATGGAAAAAGATATTCCATGCAAATGGAAACCAAAAAAAGAGCCAGGATAGCTATATTTATATCACAAAACATATTTCAAGACAAAAACTATAAAGAGACAAAATGGCATTTTATACTGATAAAGGGGTCAAGTCAGCCAGAGGATATAAAATTGTAAACATATATGCACCCGACACTGGAGCACCTAGGCATATAGAGTAAATATTATTAGACCTAAAGAGAGCAATAGATGCCAATACAATCATAGCTGGAGACTTTAATAACCCATTTTCAGCATTGGACACATCACCCAGACTGAAAAATCAACTAAGAAACATTGGACTTAATCTGCACTATAGAACAAATGGAACTAATAGAAATTTACAGAACATTTCATCCACCAGCACAGAATACACATTCTTCTCCTCAGCATATGGATCACTTTCAAGGACAGGTCATATGTTGGGCCACAAAACAAGTATTAAAACATTCAAAAAAATTGAAGTTACATCAAGCATCTTCTCTGACCACAATAGAATATAACTAGAAATCAATAACAAGAGAAATTTTGGAAACTGTACAAACACATGAAAATTAAAATATACACTCCTGAATGATCAGTGGGTCAATGAAGAAATTTAGAAGCTGTTCTCTCACAGCAGATTTTATAAAAAGAAATTAAGAAGGAAATTCAAAAAATTCTTGAAACAAATGATAATGTAAACAAAACATACAAAACCTATAAGATACAGTGAAAGCAGTACTTAAAGGAGAGTTTATAGTTATAAATGCCTACATCAAAAAGATATAAAATTCTAATAAACAACCTAACAGTGCATCTTAGAGAAATAGAAAAAAAGCAAACCAAACCCAAACTTAGTAGAAGAAAAGAAATCATAAAGATCAGAGCAGAAATAAATGACATTGAAATGAAAAAAAAAAATACAAAAGATCAACAAAATGAAAAGTTGGTTTTTTGAAAAGAGAAACAAAATTGACAAACCCTGAGCCAGACAGAAAAATGAAGAAAAGACCCAAATAAATAAAATCAAAGAAGAAAAAGGAGACATTACAACTGATACTGCAGAAATTCAAAGGATCATTACTGGCTACTATGAGCAAATACATGACAATAAATTGGAAAATCGAGAATAAATTAATAAATTTATAGACATATACAACCTAGTGACACTGACCCATGAAAAAATCCAAAACCTGAACAGACCAATAACAAGTAATGAGATTGCAACTGTAATAAAGTGTCTCCAGCACAGGAAAGTACAGGATCAGATGGCTTCACTGATGAATTTTACCAAACCTTTCCAGAAGAAATAATGCCAATCCTACTCAAACTATTCCAAATAATGGAGGAGGAATGAATACTTCAAAACTCATTCTACCAGGCCAGTATTGCCCTGATACCAAAACCAAACAAAGACACATCACAGAAAGAAAACTATAGGCCAATATATCTGATGAACATTGATGCAAAAATCCTCCACAAAATATTAGCAAACTGAATTCAACAACACATTAAAAAGACCATTCATCAAGATCAAATGGGTTTTGCCCCAGGGATGCAAGGATGGTTCAACATACATAAATCAATCAATGTGGTATATAATATCAATAGAAGGAAGGACAAAAACCTTATGATCATTTCAATTGATAATGAAAAAGTATTTGATAAAATTCAACATCGCTTCATGATAAAAAGAAAACCCTCAAAAACCTGGGTATAAAAGGAATACACCTCACCACAATAAAGGCTGTTTATGTCAGACCCACAGCTAGTATCATATTGAATGGGAAAAAACTGAAAGCCTTTCTTCTAAGATCTGGAACAAAATATGGATGCCCACTTTCACCATTGTTATTCAACATAGTACAGGAAGTCCTAGATAGAGCAACCAGACAAGAGAAAGAAATAAAGGCTTACAAAATGGAAAGGAAGAAATCAAACTATCCTTGACTGCAGATAACATGATCTTATATTTGGAGAAACCTAAAGGCTCCACCCAAAAACTATTAGAACTGATAAATTCAGTAAAGCTGCAGGATACAAAATCAACATAAAAAATCAGTAGCATTTCTATATGTCAAAAGTGAACAATCTGAAAAAGAAACCAAGAAAGTAATCCCATTTATAATAGCCACACATAAAGGAAAATACCTAAGAATTAACCAAAGATGTTAAAGACCTCTACAATGAAAACTATAAAACACTGATGAAAAATTGAAGTGGACACAACAAAATGGAAAGATATTTCATCTTCATGGATTGGAGGAATCAATATTGCTAAAATGTCCATACTACCCAATGCTATTTACAGATTCAATGTAACCCCTATCAAAATACCAATGACATTCTTCACAGAAATAGAAATAATAATCCAAAAATTAATAAGAACCACAAAAGACCAGAATTGCCAAAGTTACTCTGAGGAAAAAAAAAAAAAAAGGAAAATCAGAAGAATCACATTACCTCACCTCAAATTATACTCTAGAGCTACAGTAACCAAAACAGCATGGTGCTGGAATAAGAAAAGACACATAGACCAATGGAACAGAATAGAGAACCCAGAAATAAATCCATACATCTTCAATGAACTCATTTTTTACAAAGGTGCCAAGAATATGCATTAGGGAAAGGACAGTCTCTTCAATAAATCATGCTGAGAAAACTGGGTATCCATATGCAGAAGAATGAAAGTAGACCCCTATCTCTCACCATATAGAAACATCAAATCAAAATGGATTAAAGACATAAATCTAAGACCTCAAACTATGAAACTTCTAAAAGAAAACATTGGGGAAAGACTCCAGAATATTGGTCTAGGCAAAGATTTCTTGAGCAATACCTGATAAGCACAGACAACCAAAGCAAAAATGGACAAATGGGATCACATCAAGTTAAAAAGTTTCTACACAGCAAAGAAAACAATCAACAAAATGAAGAGACAACGATAGATGGATAATTTGCATCTATTTTTTCCCACATGTAAACCATCCATCTGACAAGTGATTAATAACCAAAATATGTAAGGAGCTCAGCAACTCTATAGAAAAAATTCTAATAATCCAATTAAGAAATGGGCAAAACAGGCTGGGTGTGGTGGCTCATGCCTGTAATCCCAGCACTTTGAGAGGCCAAGGCAGGCAGATCACAAGGTCAGGAGATCGAGACCATCCTGGCTAACACAGTGAAACCCTGTCTCTACTAAAAATACAAAAAAATTAGCCGGGCATGGTGGCAGGCGCCTGTAGTCTCAGTTACTAGGGAGGCTGAGGCAGGAGAATGGCGTGAACCTGGGAGGTGGAGCTTGCAGTGAACCAAGATCGCGCCACTGCACTCCAGCCTAGGCGACAGAGCAAGACTCCATCAAAAAAAAAAAAAAAAAGAAAGAAAAAGAAATGGGCAAACTATCTGAATAGACATTTCTCAAAAGAAGACATACATATGGCAAACAGGCCAATAAAAAGGTGGCTGATATCATTGATCATTAGAGAAATGCAAATCAAAACTACACTGAGGGCCAGACATGATGGTTCACGCCTGTAATCCCAGCACTTTGGGAGGCTGAGGCTAGTGGACCACTTGAGGTGAGGAGTTTGAGGCCAGCTGGCCAACATGATGAAAATCCATGTCTACTAAAAGTACACACAAAAAAAGTAGATGGGCGTGGTGGTGCATGCCTGTAATCTCAGCTACTCAGGAAGCTGACAAGAGAATTGCTTGAACCCGGGAGGCAGAGATTGCAGTGAGCTGAGATTGAGCCACTGCACTCCAGCTTGGGCAGCAGAGTGAGACTCTGTCTCCAAAAAATAAAAATAAAAATAAAACTACACTGAGATATCATCTCATCTCAGTTAAAATGGCTTTTATCCAAAAGACAGGCAATAACTAATGTTGGCAAGGATGTAGATAAAAGGAAACCCTTGTCCACTGTTGGTGGAACGTAAATTAGTACCACTACTATGGAGAACAGTTTGGCAATTCCTCAACAAACTAAAAATAGAGCTACCATATGATCCAGCAATCCCACTGCTAATTACAAACCCCAAAGAAAGAAAATCTATGTATCAAAGAGGTATCTGCAATCCCATGTTTATTGCAGCACTATTCAATAGCCAAGATTTGGAAGCAACCTAAGTGTCCATCAACAGATGAATGGATAAAGAAGATGTAGTACATATACACAATGGAGTACTATTTAACTACAAAAAGAATGTGATCTTGTCAATTGCAACAACATGGATGGAACTGGAGGACATTGTGTTAAGTGAAATAAGCCAGGCACAGAAAGATAAACTTCACATGTTCTCACTTATTTGTGGGAGCTAAAAATTAAAATGATTGAACTCATGGAGACAGATGGTAGAATGATGGCTACCAGAGGCTGGGAAGGGTAGCTGGGTAGGGAGAAGTGGGGATGGTTAATGAGTACAAAACTACAGTTAGATAGAATAAATAAGATCTATTATTTGATAGCACAACAGGAGCAACTATAGTTAATAACAACTTAGTTGTACATTTTAAAATAACTTAAAGAGTATAATTAGATTGCTTGTAACTCAAAGGATAAATGCTTGAGGGGATGGACACCCCATTCTCCATGATGTGCTTATTTCCAATTACATGTCTGTATCTAAACAGCTCATGTATCCCATAAATATATACACCTACTATGTGCCCACAAAAATTATAAATAAATAAAAAGCAGAAAAAGAATATATTCCCCATGAGAAGGTGGAATCCCAAAGAAATGGAAGAAGACAAATTAGTAAGGAAAACAGAGAGAACGGTAGGAGGGAAACTATGAGAATTGTGAGATAAAAGCTAAAAAGGAAGAGTAGTTCAACAGCATTCAACAAATTCAAGACCAAGTAAGATACATCTACTTGATTTAACAATTATAATATGAGTGGTGACCTTTACCAAGAGCAGTTTCAATATCAGTGGGGAGAACTTTACTGCAGTGGCTTGAAAAACAAAACAAAAATAAATAAATTATTTCAAGATCTTGTGAGGAATGCAAATACAGCAGGGAGTTACTCTGGGGTAAAGATGGCCTTTCAAACAAGTAAGAGAAGGGGGGATGATTGAATAAGTGATTTCAGGACAACTGGGTAGCCATTTGGTTGTGTTTATTTTTTTTAAAAAGCAGAGGTTATCCACTATTTCACTTGTTGCCCTGAAATACATTCCAGAAGGATCAAAATTTAAAGGTAACAAAATGAAGCTGAAAGAGTACCAAAAGAAAACCTAAGTGAAATTATTTATAATCATGCAGTGAAGAAGGCAAGCAGCACCCAAATATCAGAAATCATAACAGACTATTCAATCTGATCATAGAAAAAAATTAAAACTCTGTACTTCAAATATGCCAAGGCCCTCAGGCAACTGATAAACTAGGAAAAATAATTCATAACACACATGACAGGCAACAAAGGGCTAATAATTTTAACTTACACAAATTAGTGAAAACAATAACATATAATGGTAAAATAAGGAAATAATATAAGCAAGAAGCACATATAAAACCAATATTAGGTTGGTGTGAAAGCTATTGCAGTTTTTGCCATTAAAACTGCAATTACTTTTAATGACAAAAACCGCAATTACTTTCGCACCAACCATAATAGAAACAGGAAACAAATAAATGCTATTTTAATTGAGGCACTGTTTTCACCTATGAATTCACACACATGTGCATGCACATGCACAACACATAAAGCCTGTTTATAGCCTTTATTTGTGAGAAGGAATATGAGATGGGAGAGATGTTTACTTTTAATCCTGTATTTTTTTTGCTCAATTGATTTTGAAATAAAAAGACAAAAAGGATCTGGTAAAAAAGAGTAAGGAGAGGCCGTGGGCTCGAAGGGAAACCAGGAAGGTGTGGTAACCCAGAAGACAAAATAAGGTGTTATATGAAGAAAAGAGTAAGCAAGTGTGTCAGATGTTGCTGAGAGATTAAGTAAGGAAGTGAGAAATGACAACTTAGTGTAGTGACAGAGAGGCAACTGGAGACCTTGTTAAGTAAGACTGGGTTGTGTGGAGTAATGGAGATGAGCTGATTAGTATGAGTTTAAGAATTAGAAGGGAGAGAGGAAATAAGTACACAACTCTTACAAGGAGTGTTCCTTTAATAGAGAGTAGAGAAATGGGTGGCAGTTGGATGAGACATAATGTACAAGTAGTTAATGTTTTGTTTTATTTTGTTTTCATAATAGGAGATACTAGAGCAGGTAAATCTGAATAGCATTACATTAGACAAAAATGTAAACTGAAGAAGTAAACAAGTACACATATGTACACACATATACATACACACTCACACACACATACACACAGATATAGAAAAAGGACAAAAATAATAAGGGAAATGATAAATACCAAATTTTGGACAGTAGTTCCCCCAGGAGAGGATAGTAGGAAAATGCAATTGTGGAAGGATACTCTAGGAGCTTCACCTGTATCTTTTTTTGTTGAGGATCTAAAACAAAAATGGCAAAATTTTGAGGTTTTACACAGCTACATGGTGGCTACATGGGCAACTGTTATATTGTACTTTTCTGCATGTTTGGAATTTTCTAATAAAGAAGAAACAAAAAAAGTAGAAAATATTATTTCTGCCCTGAAGTCGGGACTATGTAGATGTGCAGACGGGATATGACATAGAAAGGCCAACATTTTTTTTAAAGAGCTTTCAAAGAAATAAAACCAGACAGAACAAAAATATAACGAGACAAGTATTGTAATTAAAAATGCACACTTTCCCCTGGCCATGACACCCTCATGAATAAAAGGGAAACTAATCATTACTCAGAGCACATACCTGCCAACGACCTAATTGTAGTTTTGCCCTTAAAATATTCAATATAGCTCACCAGAAACAAAACTGACAAAACTGCTTATGATAGTTGAGATATCTTGCATAAGTTCAAGCAATTTTATTCATAAGTATTTAAGTAATTCACAAATCTAATATTTCTCAAGCACCTATCTTAGATAATATTTCAAATAAAGATTCCAGTTTATGACCTAGCGTTTAATTAAAACCCACTGTATCACTCTTTCCTACTCTGTCCAAAAACTAATAGCTTTAAAATAATCAGATTTGAGATATCCTTAGCCAATTTCACACTACATAAGGTAAGTCTCACTTATGAATTAAACTGATGCTATATAAAAGAAATTTTAGGAGTTTCTCTAGTACTCTGTCTTCAAATAAAATTTTGATAAGTACTGTGGTAAGAAAAGAAAACTGACAGAAAGGATTAGTGAAAAATGCTAAACACGACAAAATCAAAAAACCGCAAAATCTAGAAAAACTGCACATAATTGCACTCCTCTAAATTAAATTATATATAGCAGCATTACAAAAATTCAAAATCATCTTGAAAATGCAAAATCTGAAGTTTAACAGAATTGTGTTCTTTAAAAAATAGTTTGTTAGACAAAAGTTGATTTTTTTAAATGTCCCAGAGTGTTAGATCATAGAATCATTTAGCTTATTCTCCTCTCCCACCTGTGGCACTAAAGAGGTCTTATCCTAAAATACCTGAGCACTAACTGTTGCATTGAGTGGTGATTCTTCACTACAGTAAATCTAAAAATTGATAGGTCTATCTGGTATGCTCCCACACACGCACCCTAACAAAATAACAGTTGCACTATACTAAAGGTTGCAGCTAAAGCCTATTTCAGAACGCTCATTTTAAGTACATGATCAGCCTGCCTGGTTTCCCCTTGACCAGCATCTTATGCTACAACTAGGGGGTCCAGAGAGGTATGTTCACAGCTACTTTTAGGTCTAAACTCCTACCAAAAAGACTGGATTCCCATGTTTCTTAGGTTTCTCCCTTTTCCTGGCCAAGTGCCAGAGTGGCTGACACACTCTTCTCAACAATTTCAGCTTCCCTTCTATAGTCACTGAAGCAATCTGCCCATGTCACCACCATGTGGTCACTATCATTGTACTTCATGTTGGCTATAGGTATACACCATACACCATGCAGTTCCACTGCTTAATATCATTCCTCCCGTCTTTTCTTTCTTTCTTTTTTTCTTTTTAGACAGGAGAGTCTCACTATATTGCTCAGGCTTGTCTCAAACTCTTGGCCTCAAGCAGTCCTCCTGTCTCGGCCTCCCAAAGTGTTGGGATTATGGGCATAAGCCACCACACCTGGCCTCCTTCTTTCCTGACAAGATCCCTTGGTAGTCCCTTCTCATGTTGTCATTCATAATAGGCTTTAGGAATGCCTTTGAGGTATATTGTTGGCTCATGGTATCATCTGACTCATCATTGCAATTGGCTTTTTTGCCAATATTGAAAGTATTATCCTTGTATTAATGCAATTCTATATGATTTTCTAATGGTGGTGACCCTCATATGGCAAAGACTGAACTTCATCTTACAAACATTCATTAAGTATCAAATGCCAGGCTTAGGCTTAGCTGTCTTTATTTCTTTCAATTTCATAATGTTACAATTCTTACTTATCTATAGGAGTGATCTTTGAATCAGACTTCCCTCTGTCAACCACTAAAATCCTCACCCTAAATTGTATACTTAATTTCCTTCTTTCTTTCCTTCTCTCTCTCTCTCTCTGATTTACTTTTTCCTTATTCACCTAATTAAGGAATTAAGAAATTAAGGAATAATTCATGTCTCATCATTCCCCTCCCATCTTACCCATGGATGTTAACGATTTGTCTCAGCCTATTCAGTCAGTGCTCATTCTATGTAATCCACTGAGCCCTGATACACACACATCTTGCAATTTAAAAAATGTGAGAAATGAAAATATGAGCAAGACAGCATAAAATTATTATTTACATCAGTGGTCTCCAAACTTGAGCATACATCAGAGTTTGGAGACATGTGAAGCACAAATTGCTGGAAAGAGTTTCTCCTTCAGTTGGTGTGGGATCGGTCTAGAGAATCTGCATTGCTAACAAGTTCCTGAGGAATGTTGCTGCTGCAGGATCATAAATGATTGTCTAAAAATTAATGATTTATAGGTAACATAAGGTTTATGGAAAATGCAAAAGTATCAACTGAAAAATTAGCACAATGAGAGGCCCATTACAAGAATGTCAGGTCCATGAAAACAAGGATTTCTTATATTCCACCAATATCATATTCTATAAGTACTGGAAAAAATACCACCTACCTGAGAGCAGCAAAGTTTGTAAAAAAAAAAAAAACTTACAAATGTGCTTTAAAAGATGTATGAAAGACATATGAAAAATAAAATTTATGGCCGGGTACGGTGGCTCACACCTGTAATCCCAGCACTTTGGGAGGCTGAGGTGGGCAGATCACGAGGTCAGGAGATCAAGACCATCCTGGCTAACCTGGTGAAACCCCGTATCTACTGAAAATACAAAAAAATTGGCCGGGCGTGGTGGCGGGCACCTGTAGTCCCAGCTACTCAGGAGGCCGAGGCAGGAGAATGGCATGAACCCGGGAGGCAGAGCTTGCAGTGAGCCGAGATTGCACCACTGCACTCCAGCCTGGGCGACAGAGTGAGACTTCATCTCAAAAAAAGTAATAAATAAATAAATAAAAAGAAAAATAAAATTTTATGGAAGCACATAAAAGAATAAATGACCCTGAATAAATGGAAACACACACACTCACGCGCACATACACACACACACACACCATATCCAGGAACAGACAAACTCAAAATCATAAAGATGCAAACTTCCCTCAAATTGAATACACAAATTCAATACAATTACAATCAAATTCCCTAAAAGAGTCAGATTTTTTGTGGAGAAGGTGGACATTTTGTACGTTGAATCTGTAGTTCATTGGGAGAACTGAACACATAAAAATTGTCCAATAAGCTTAAAAAAGAAAAATAAGCAATAAACATCATGGCTGGTGTTTGGGGAGGGTGGTTGTGGAGGCAGAGGCAAGGAAACTTTTTCCAGTGGATATTAAAATGTAGTAAAAAATATATATAGTAACTATTACAGTGTGGTACTAGTGTGGGAACAGACAGAGGAATGAACAGAGTCGAATCTAAAAATAGATCAAAATACATATGGTTATTAACTATATCATGAATGTGGCAATTGAAATCAGTAGGAAGATAAAACTTCTCAAAAAACACTTTAGGGGAAACTGGCTATGCTGGGGAGAGGAGATTAAAATCCTATCTATACCATATGTTTCAGATAGATTAAATATTGCAATATGAAAAAATCGTAAAAGAAGTAGAGGGCCGGGTGCGGTGGCTCACGCCTGTAATCCCAGCACTTTGGGAGGCTGAGGCGGGCGGATCACGAAGGTCAGGAGATCGAGACCATCCTGGCTAACACAGTGAAACCCCGTCTCTACTAAAAAAAAAAAAAAATACAAAAAATTAGCCAGGCGTGGTGGCAGGCGCCTATAGTCCCAGCTAGGCGGGAGGCTGAGGCAGGAGAATGGCATGAATCTGGGAGGCAGAGCTTGCAGTGAGCGGAGATGCGCCACTGCACTCCAGCCTGGGCGACAGAGCAAGACTCCGTCTCAAAAAAAAAAAAAAAAGTAGTAGAGGCCGGGCACAGTGGCTCACGCCTGTAATCCCAGCACTTTGGGAGGCCGAGGTGGGCAGATCATGAGGTCAGGAGTTTGAGACCAGCCTGGCCAACATGGTGAAACCCCGTCTCTACTAAAAAAAAAACAAAATACAAAAAATTAGCTGGGCGCACCTGTAATCGCAGCTACTCAGGAGGCTGAGGCAGAAGAATTGCTTGAACCCAAGAGGTGGAGGTTGCAGTGAGCCAAGATCGTACCACTGCACGCCAGTCAGGCCGACAGAGCAAGACGCCATCTCAAGAAAAAAAAAAAACTAGAAGACAGATAAAGGAGAATTTTTTAAAACAATTTTTAATGAGTCACAAAATCTTTCTAAGGGTTGACACAAAACTTAGAGCCCATAAAGAAAATAATGTTTAAGTTTGCTGGTTACAAAAAGTTGCAATTGTATATGGTACAAAACACCATAAACATAATTAAGAAGAGGCATGGGGGTGTGAGATTGGAAGCCAGGAGATGTGCAACATAGGCAAATGTTTAATATTCATTATACATAAAATATTCTAAAAACATAACAGAAATACCATTTGACCCAGCCATCCCATTACTGGGTATATACCCAAAGGATTATAAAACATGCTGCTATAAAGACGCATGCACACGTATATTTATTGCAGCACTATTCACAATAGCAAAGACTTGGAACCAACCCAAATGTCCAACAATGATAGACTGGATTAAGAAAATGTGGCACATATACACCACGGAATACTATGCAGCCATAAAAAATGATGAGTTCATGTCCTTTGTAGGAACATGGATGAAACTGGAAACCATCATTCTCAGCAAACTATTGCAAGGACAAAAAACCAAACACCGAATGTTCTCACTCATAGGTGGGAATTGAACAATGAGAACACATGGACACAGGAAGGGGAACATCACACACTGGGGCCTGTTGTGGGGTGGGGCGAGGTGGGAGGGATAGCATTAGGAGATATACCTAATGTTAAATGAAGAGTTAATGGGTGCAGCACACCAACATGGCACATGCATACATATGTAATAAACCTGCACGTTGTGCACGTGTACCCTAAAACTTAAAGTATAATAATAAAAAAAAGAAAACATAATGAAACAAAGGTGAGCAATCCTGTGAGCAAATATTTCAACAGGCCTTTCACAGAAGAATGGCAATAAAAAGAATAAGCATAAGAAAAGATGTCCAATCTCAATTTGTGTGTGTGTGTGTGTGTGTGTGTGTGTGTGTGAGAGAGAGAGAGAGAGAGAGGAGAGGAGAGAGAGAGAGAGAGAGAGAGAGGAGAGAGAGAGAGAGAGAGAGAGAGAGAGAGAGAGAGAGAGAGAGAAACCAAGAGAAAATCTGAAACCACAGAATATAAAACACCTCTCAGGGTCCTAGTTACCATGGAAAATCCTATTTCTCCCACAATAAATTACAAACAAGAAAAAGACAATGAAGGAGAAAGAAGAAAAACGCTTACAAAAGATTTTAAGTGGAAATCTATAGATAAATTGAGTGAAGATAAAAAACTGCTGAGCATTTTATAGGGAAAACTAAGTGGCTTCATGTATTAAAGCTTTCAATTTGGGATGCGTTTAAGCAAGCAGGTGCAGGTTGTTTCTTTTTTTCCTCATCTCCATGCTAACAAGCTATAATTCAATTTGCCCTCCATGTTCCAAAGGGTAAAATTCTTAAGTGCTTTTATATTACAGTGATCACCTTATCAGAAAGCTGTTTATCCAAGCAAAATGAGATTCACAAACTATCTTAAAACAAAAATGCCTATATCTCTAATATAATAAAATATTATTAAGTTCCAAGTAACTCTTGAAATCTAGATGCAAGCAGCATTTTTATAACATGATATTCTTCTAGTATAGTAAAAGAAAAAAAAACATCATTTTGCTTTCTTTGTGCAAGAGGTCTTTAAGCTGAAGAATTCTGGTTTTTAAGTGAATCTATAGCTGAAATCTAAAGTCCGTGCTCAAACACTAAGCAACATCTAAATAACAACAAGAAGACATAAAAGTATTTCTTTATCAATGACAAGTTTATTATCACATTTCTTAAAAAATAAGTATTAATCTTTTGCTAAAATGACATAGGCTAATATGAATTAAGAACCCTCTTTAAGGTCCACTCTGATTTATACATCACAATCAGTCTTAGAAATATTGTGAGTACTGTATTAAATTATAAACTGCCTCCTTAGGAGTTTATCATATTCCTCAATATTACATTAAAAAGACAAAGTATTTCCCTCTAAATAGATGAAATACTGTTTAACATCCTATTCGATCAAAAGCCACAAGTCAATTAAATGTAAAACAATTAAAACCTGTTCTGATAAAATTCATATAGTCAATGTACTAGAGTTTTAACTCTTTTTAGTAAGTGATTTTCAAATATGGTAAAAAAAAAAAAAACTGGCAAATCACCAGTCAGAACTCCTTAGAAAGCAGTATTTCAGATACAAATCTTTCCAGCAGAAATCACCATGTTACTAAATTAGGTCACTCTACTTTTACTGTGCAAGGGATTCAAGGGAGTACAGCATGCAGGTCTGAATAAAGGTAACAGTTTTTCTGGATCTATAACAAATATTTTTAGCAAATTTAAGAAAATGACAGAAGACATAAAGAGAAGTGTAGGTAGCTCTATCTTTTCTACAATCTTCATAGCCACAGTAGAAACCATCTTATGGAACACATTCAGACCCACAGTTCAACAATAGATCAAAAAAGTTAAAGTAGGATATGGTTTACTTTATCATTTGATATAGAACTAAGGCTGTTGATTTGCACAAATGCCTGTTAATTAAATCTTGGCATGGCATCTTAAAATTAACCTCACTACCATGATGAATGCATGAACTGTCAGTTACAGATTTGGTTTCTTTAAAACAGATATAGAATATAAAGACACTTGCAAAACAATCTGAATTCAGAATCTTTAGGACTTTTTACAATTTCCCCCAAATCTTCTATAACCACAGGGCCAAAACTGATGTAAAGTAAGTGAGGGTCTCACCTCAACCACAGAAATTTAAGGGGTTGCAAAAAAAATTCAGTAATAAAGATGAATATGCTAGGCATAGTGGCTCATATCTGAAATCCCAGCAACTCAGGAGGCTGAGGCAGGAGGATTACTTGAGCCCAGGAGTTTGAGACCAGCCTGGCCAACACAGCAAGACCCTCAGCTCTAAGAAAGAAAGATGAATAATAATTTAATGTAATATTTTTAAAAGTCTACAACACTATACTTGATGATAAAACATTAGATGCTTGCCCCCTAAAATTAGGAACAAAACAAGGATGTCTGCTCTCACTACCTCTATTCAACATTGTGCTAGAAGCTCTATCCAGGGAAATTAACCAAGAAAAGGAAATGAAATTCATCTTGGAAAACTCAGGGAAATAATTTTTAAAAGAAAAAAAGGCACCCATATTGGAAAGGAGGAAGTAAAACTATTTTTACTTTATTTTTTCAGAGCAGATGACATGAGCTTGTACGTAGAAAATCCTACAGAATTGATGGAAGACTATTAGAAGTAAAAAAATGAGTCCAGCAAAGTTGCAGGATACAAGATCAATATACAAAAATAGATTTTATTTCTATACATGTGCAATAAACAATCTGAAAACGAAATTTAAAACAATTCCATCAATGTAAACATAAAATACTTGGAAATAAATTTAACAGAAAAAGTACAAAATTTATATTCTGGCAACTATAAAACATTGCTGAAAAACAGAATAAGATCTAAATAAATGGGAAAACATACCATGTTCATGGATTGGAAGCCTTAATATTGTTAAGATGGTAATACTCCCCAAAGTGACCTGCAGATTTAACACAATCCTCATCAGACTCTCAACTGACTTATTTGTAGAAACTGACTAGCTAATTGTAAAAGTCATAATTAAGTACTCAAAAGCCACATGTAGCTAGTGGCTATTGTATCGGACAGGAAAGCCTTATCTGTCCTGGGTAAAAAAATACCTTTTTACCCTTTCAATTAATTTACAGTAGATAATATACTTACATAATAATTATTTATATTAAATTCTCTTTGTTCAAATAACTCATGTGATTTCTTTCTCTTGATTAGACCCTGGTTGATACATTTATTCAGGTAGTTTCATTATCAAGGCAGCATGGTAATAGGCCTTTAGAAGCTTAATGACATAGGTTCAGCTGTCACTTTCTAGCTGCACAAGCAAATTACTTCATCTCATTAATTCTCAGAATGTTACTAGGTAAAAATGGGGAGCCAATACCCACTTCCTCAAGTTTGTTGTGAGGATATATGAACAGCTGACATATAATAGGTGTTCAATATATTTTACTTTTTTATTCATTTCTTTATTATCAGCCTCCGAGCACTTAAATCTATCTATCTCAGCTACAGCCTCCCAGAGTATTTATTCCCCTGTCAAAACCACACTGTACTTTGTCCCTGTTCCTTGGGACTTTTTTTCAGCAAAGATTAATCTTTAAAGGTAATCACAGCAGAACAAAGCTGGAAGACTCACACTTCCCAATTTCAAAACTTACTATAAAGCAGTGGTAATCAAACAGTGTGGTGTTGGCACAAGGATAGATCAATGGAATAGAATTGAGAGTCCAGAAATAAAGCCACGTGTCTATGGTTAACTATTTTCCATAAGTGTTCCAAGACTGTTCATTGAGGAGAGGAAAGTCTCTTCAACATATGGTGCTGGCACAACTGGATAGTCACATGCAAAAGAATGAGGTATACACCATATACATATACATTTGTGTATACCATATACAAATATTAACTAAAATGGATCAAAAACCTGTTAAGAGCTAAAACTCTTAGATAAAAACAAATTTTTATGACCTCACATTTGGCAAAGGATTTTTAGACATGACACCAAAAGCATGAGCAACAATAGATAATTTGGACTTAATCAAAATGTAAAACTTGTGCATCACTGGACATTATCAAAAATGTGAAAAATCGGCCGGGGCCGTGGCTCATGCTTGTACTCCCAGCACTTTGGGAGGCCAAGGTGGGTGGATCACGAGGTCAGAAGATCGAGACCATCCTGGCTAACACAGTGAAACCCCCATTTCTACTAAAAATACAAGAAAAAAAATTAGTCGGGTGTGGTGGCGGACACCTGTAGTCCCAGCCACTCGGGAGGCTGAGGCAGGAGAATGGTGTGAACCTGGGAGGCAGAGCTTGCAGTGAGCCAAGATTGTGCCACTGCACTCCAGTCTGGGCAACAGAGCGAGAGTCCATTTCAAAAAAAAAAAAGTGAAAAATCCTACAGAATAGGAGAAAATATTTGCAAATCATATACCTGACAATAAATTATATGTAAGGATATACAGCAACAACAACAATTTAAAACTGGACAGCTTCCTTTAGGCCCAAACAGTCATCTTCCAGTAATCTACCAAAATGATGAATACAAAGAGAAAGACAGGCACTGGTACACGTTTTCTAGGCTTTTTAGAAAACATGAAGTTATCCAATGTCAAAATAGCCAGAAGTGATGATGCCAGGAATCTAACCCAGGACTGTCTGATTTTAAAGCCTCTCCATTACATAGTGTTACCACCTTAGCCCTTTAAATTCTGATGTCAGCCCACTGTTTCTCATACTGATATCAATAATTGCAGCTCAAAGTCAACAGTCTATTAACAGCTTTGATTTGTCTTCTAAATATGAAACTACAGAGTAGTATCTCCAGAAATCCCTTCCCCTACTCCCCCCCTCATTTTTATTTCTCTTACACACACTAATTAATTAAAGTATGCCACACTAATTTAGTGCTCTGTCTTTATCAGCTTCCACCTTCCTATTATGCTCTACTTTATTTCATTCTACAGTTCCTCTCAGAGTTCCTAAACACCAAGTGCTTTCATAGTTCTCCACTCTTAAATCCATGGCTAGCGTCTTGATCTTTCAAAACAATTATAATCCTTTGCTATCCTGATGAGGTATTACTTCTTCTGGGTCAATAACTATAGCTCAGTTATGCAACGTGCCCAAATGAATGCTGGTCATGAATTTATCACCCAAAATATTTGTTGACTTTTCCTTTTAAACAGGATAAATTAAAGCACAATTTCTTTCATTAAGGCAGAAAGAATTTTACTTTCCAATAATAATCAATTGCAAAATGTCACTAAAACAATCTACTGGAAAAGTACCTGAACTTCTGACTATTAAGCCAAACTATCCCTTTTAATAGACAGACTGAAAATTGACATCATTTTATAGTATGTCTAGAATGAACCAATTTTGCAGTAACTTCATCTATTCAAAACACAGTAAAGAAACAAGTAAAAAAGAGGCCTCAGAGACAGAATAGATATCACAAAGCTCAAGCACAAATGCACATTCATGTTAGTAACTGACGCACACCTTAGTCCTTCATGTACAATTCTAAATCTGTTTGGCCAACTGGTTTTGAGCATGCAAAAAATCAGAAGAAGGAGATAAGGAGCTGAAGGAAGGCACACTAAGGCATGACATAGAAGAAAATGCAAAAGCTGTTCAAGGAACATAAGAAGAGTACAACAATCCGGGATCATATATTGTAGAAGCAAATAGTTCTACAAGTCTCAACAGATCCTACAGCATCTCTAAAACACTTTACTGTAACAGCTGTAATGACAGCCATGAGTCAGCAGGAAAAAATTTAACCAAAGTATTGAAAATGAAAAATACATTGATATTAAGGAGATAAAATCAGTTGTAAATAAAAATACAATAAAACAAAATTCTGGAACAGTTCATCTCCTAAGCATTTAAGAAATCTGAAGTTTTAACTGTTACAAGCAGCATCTTCACTTTTCTTCTCACGCTGTTTCCACTACAAATATAGCAAATTCCCTAAAGCTATATCAATCATCTTAACCCTGCTATCAACGTATAAGGGAGCACAGTCAATGATGACATCCATTTTAAGCGATTTGGGGGCTTACTAGGAAATTTCACTCTATATCACTATAGAAATTCATTTTTAATGAAGAAAGTGCATTTCAGAGATACAAATTTTATCTAAACCTTCAATACCAGTAGTACAAATAATATAGCAGACTATGTGCATTAAAATATAACTTCTTTTCCAAGCATCAGGACATGCACACACACCCCCAACTTGCTTTCAGGTAAGGCGTGCTTCAGGTTCTTGGTCCTACCAATTAAATGTTCCAAACTCCCTCTCTGGGCTACACTGACCTACAATATACCAGATGATGACCCTTCCATTCTCAGGGAAGAGACATTATATTATAATGGTTAAGAGCATGGGCCCTGCAAATAAGCTATCATGGTGTTCAATTCTAGCTCTACCACTGAACTGTGTTACCGTGAGCACTTAACTACCGTCTGTAAAACAGAGACAGAGACAGCATCTAGCACTTAGCATTACTCATAAATGTTGGTAATATGTAATTTATAGCACATCTACAAAGAATCAGGCACTGTGCAGAACATTAGGAATATAAATATGAACGAGGAACAGTACCTACATTCAAAGAGTTCAGTCTCATGGAGAAAACAGACATAACAGAGCATATAAATGCTATGAATGAAGGTATGTGTGCTAAGGCACTATGCAATACAGAGGAAGAATACTTATCTCAGCATATTCCCAGGGGACAGGTATACTGTGTCTTAAAGGAAGTTATGTAAGCAAAACAAAGGTTACAATAATATCTCCTGAGGCACAATGAGGGTAATCCTTGTGCATCATGTAGACCTGGATGTGAGGTACTATGACTTTGTAAAGTGTTAAATGCATATTATTGAGTATAAAGGTATTGAAAAAGCCCTATGACCCGCAAACCTCTCCCTCATCCACGAATCAGGCAGCCTGAAATCCCCACAATAAATGTCCATCTAACAAGTATGCCATTACATCATTTTTGAAAATGCAAAGTATACCTAAAAATGGAAGCAGATGAAAAAAGAAGTATTATTTATAGAATTCTTCCACGTACCAGACACTTTACATTAGTTACTTTACCAAATCCTCACAACAACCCAGAGAAGAACGTATTATTACCCTCATTTTACAGATTAAAAAAAACAGAGGCTTCTCAGAGTTTATTAATATGCTCAAGGTCACCATTGCTAAGTGGCTGAGTCAGAATTCTAACCTTGAAAATCTGAACTGCAACCACTAAATTATACTGCTATCTTGGTATACTAACATGGAAATAACACATATTAAGAAGTATCAATCAGTCATTGTATTAGTTTGCTGGGGTTGCCATAATAAAGTACCACAAACTGGGCAGCTTAAACAACAGATTCAACATGTCAGCACAGTTGGGTTCTTCTGAGGTCTCTCTCCTTGGCTTCCAGATGGCCATCTTCACATGGTCTTCCCTCTGAACCTGCCTATGTCCTAACCTCTTCTTAAAAGGACACCAGTTACATTGAATTAGAGTCTACCATGAAATACCCTATCTCCACACTTCACCACATTCTGAGATACTGGTGGGGTTGGGACTTCAACATCTAGGTTTCAGGAGGGCACAATTCAATCCACAACAGTCACACTGAAAAAAGACTCCTCTTCCAAGAGAAAATGGGGATTAACCTTAAGTGTTTTTAAATCATAAATAAAATTTGTGGAGGTTGTTTTTTAAGAAATGCAAGCATATACATTTAGCTAGGAATAGCCAATGAGTCCAATGCCCCTGAGGAGCATTTTGGAAATGTGTTGGGGTACTTTTACCACTCAAAATTATTGAGAGAAACCACGAGCATTTGGTGGGCAGAGGTAAGTGTTATGGAATACATGGAGCAGTCCCAAACAGTAAAGAATGGCCTCATTTCCCAGAAGAGGGAAATACTCTGCCAGGTGAAACTTAACACAATAAACACCAGGAACTGTGTATACTAATACACAGGTAGTATACGAACTGTGTATACTAATACAGGTAGATTTGACAAGAAGTTAAGAAAAAAGCCCAATAATTTAGGACAAAGTCTTTACGGAGGCAGAAGCTTGAATCAAATAAAGATGTTGTCTCAAAACTAAATTATATATCCACTCTATGCACTACATACTAGAGCATTTCTAATTATATATTTGTTGAAAAGAGTTTAGTATAATAGTGCAGTTACTGCAAAAGCAATGGAACCTCTGCAAAAAATGGCAGAGGATATTTGAGTCCATTCTTAAAGATTACAAACAAAGCATTATTAAATTCGTAGAGACATATGAACCATAGGGATCTCAATAAAAATTACTGAAGTTGAATTTTGAAGAGCAAATTTTTTAAAAGAATAAAAATTACTTAAATTAATGTTTCAAATTACGAAATTCTATGTGTTAAAAAAAATGTTCTGTAACACTAAGAAACATATCCTGTAAAAACCCATATTGAAAGTATTCATTTGGTGATTGCCTGTTATTTTTCTATCTTTTTGGTATAGAGACATCTACTGCCCCATCTTCTCCATACCTTACTGTTTTATTGTTTCTCTTTCTAATCCATCCTCTCTATTTCTCATCACCTAGAGAAGAATTTGGTCATCAAGGTCTTTTGAGGCACCAGGAATCTAAACCATGTCTTAAAGTGGTAGTATTTCAAAATAGGAAATATGCTTTCTGTGATGCCTCATCAGGGTCTTGTTCTCTATCACAATATAGGAAATTACTTTCTCAGTACCCTTATAAATATGGCCCAAGTCCTTTGTGAGAATATCGTACTTCCTCATTTTCTTCATTTTGAGAGTCTGTAATTTGTCATGACATGTTTTCTCGGCTTCAAGTATTTCCTTCTTTCTCTTATTATATACAAACAAGTCTCATCTGTGGTTATTTATTCTAACATTTTTATGTTATGGTCCACATGTACCACTAATTTTTCATTTTCTGTAGTTTTCTATACAGAATTACCTTGTTACTTCTCATAAACCTGAACTTAATTCTTTAGAAGTAGGTACAAGCTTCATTTCCAAGATTAGGCTACAGACATTAAAAAACTTTTTGTTTTAAAAAAAAAAGAAGTAGGTACAAGCATTCACTACTTCACTACATCTTCTAGTACAGTTGGGCCCTCACAGTCATATCCTGAAATACGTACAGTTTCACTATAAATTATATTTATTTATTCTTTATATTATAATCATGGTATTGATTTTGTTATATGTATATAAGTAGGTCACACTATCTATGAATTCTATTTCCCACTAATTAAACAAACTGCTACAAAATGTTTAAAAGGGTAAGGTCAACGTCTGACAGGGTTGAAAGCCACATATGGTGACTTACAGAGACCTGAACCAGGAGAACACAGAAACTGTCCCTGAATCTGGTGAAAAGGAAAAGGAAAATGCTCTTTTCTACTGGTCCTCTGACTAAACAGCAAACAGAACTAAGAAACTGTAGCCAAGAAATTGGAAGCAAAGAATAAGTAAAAGAAAAAAATAGAGAAGTGGTTTATAAGAAACCAAATAATTAACTGAATATGCAAAACTGACTGCCGGTAGTGCTTTCAGATCTAACCTAGCAGCAGCCTAGCATTGGGGTTAAGGGATGATCTAAATAGATATGCAGAGAGACTAGTTAGAATTTCAATCGTGAAAGACTGCCAATAAGCTGGATTTCACTAATAGGTCAATTAATTAAATCCATAAACCATGCTCACCACTACAGTAAAATTTGGTTGTACATCAATGAACCTGTATATGTGCTGTACTTTAGAGGAGTGGAAAAAGGGAATCAAGAAGTTAGAGCGAATAAAAGGTCAAAAGATCACAATACCAAGAGTTTAGCTTCAGAAGAAGAAAACTGTGTCACTAATAAGCTCCCATCCTGTCTCAAAGCTTACCAATGAGAAAAACATTAGAGGTACTGAAATGAACTACAGAGGACAATTGGTTCAACCCATTAACTCTAAGTGGGCTTCATTTCCCCTACACTGGGCCAATATCTGGGCCAGTAACTCAGGGTTACTTTTAATTAGGTACTTTCAGAACAGAAATGCTGAGAGCAGTTTGGTCAAAACTCTTTTATGTTTGATGCTTAAAGTATGTCATGCTATATTAGTTTGTCCCTAGAAAAGATAGCTTGTAAAGGAATAGCCAAACTATTAAAGAACTAAAATAGCATGATTTTGGTTGCTCCTTTTATGCCCTAAAGGGTAGCAGCAATGTGAACTCTGGAGCATCTAGCTCATCCTCATCTCAAATTCCTCTATTTCAAAAAGGTCATTGTGAATTCTTAATAAAGAATTAAGCTAGATTTACTTTATATCAAATTAATTTTAAGTCATGAGCCACATTTGATCAGACTACTTACAAAGAGAGCACAGTCTTATCTTTTGCTAAAGTCTTAATGCATATTCTTCACCATGCAGAGACAAAAATTATTATAGTTATTTTAGCAATTACACCCTAGCAGCTGTTATATATTTTTTTCCGACTAAGTCTGAAGTTACAATAAACCAAATAATTGTTCATTTTAATTGTATTGGACAAGGCCATTTAGGTTGATAAATTAGAAGGTAAACCATCATTAACTCACAGGTAAAATTCACAAATATTTGAAGGATAGTTTTTCCTCTATATCATCAATACCAGACAACTTAAACTTGTTTTATGTAACTATTACATAAAGCATTTATGTTACAAAATTTGTCTTTAACAATAATTTCTAAAGCATATATATTTTCTGATTTTTCACTTAAAAATGTGTTTTTGAAAAATAACAGGTTTCAAGTGAATAAACATGGAAAGCTTAAAATACTGCCTTATACTATTTAGCCAGTCTTTGCTTTCCTCTTCTTGTTTGTTCAGACTAAAAAAGAAAGGTCAGCTTTCCCTTTTTCCCTCCAATTCCCAATTTAGCATGCATTAAGGTTTAGAATATAAGGTTAAAAAACATTTCTCTCCAAACTGAAGAAGCCACTGCTATTTTAAAATATTGATTTATCACTGTAATGACCTCTAAAAAATCCATGTGCTTAAGTGACTAACATTAGGTAACTGACATGACTCTCTTTTTGCTCCAGATATGGAGAAATGATTATCATATGTTTGACACTGAGACTGTCTTAAGCACACAGACAAGAAAATGAACTGAATAGCTTCTGTATAGTCCTACTTATAGCCTCTTTTAGAAAAGTTTAATAAATATACTTTCATACCCCCAAACAGTAGAGTGAAGAGAGAAGAAACTGTAGAGTCACACAGACTTGAGCTTAAATGCTAGCCTCACTACATATTTGCTAGCTGTTTTCTGTGTGTTTTAATTTCTTCACTGCTTCTAGGATAACAACGCCTACTTCTCAAAGGGTGGCTATAAGGTCTGAATGAAATAAAATATGTTAACTGACTGACTAGGCAGAAACACAATAAATGTTGGGTCTCATATCTTCCCTTCCCTACAACTTGGAATTTTAATATATCTAAATGAAAACTCTTCAGAGGTAAATTTGTAATGCATGTCTAATATTTTAAATATTAATTTTCTTTAGCCTATAACACCTTCAACTGCTGGATCGACAAGACGTTCACTATGTGGATGACTACCACCTTTGAAAATAAAGAGTACTCTGTGGTCAATATATTTGACTAAATTTGTTATATAAGCTTAATTATTTTTAACATGAAAGTAATAAAAGAATAGTCATCCTTTGATGTCAGTGTGACTTTTCTAGTTTTGTAATCCTTAACTCAGTCTTTTTTAATATACAATGAACTTTTTATAAACTTCTACATTCTGAAAACCAAATTAATTAAAATTCATTTTAAAAGGTAAATGTATACCAACCAGCATTTTGTGAACTTGCAGTAGACCCAGCACCCTTCTCAGTCTCTGAGAACTGCATACCATCTACCCACAAGGCAAACATGGGTTGTTCTTTCCAATCTAACTACCTTTGGGCCATGCTGATTAGACCAGAAGTGGAACTTGTCCTAAACTAATTATATATACTATCTCTCCTGGGAATTGGAGCAGAGCAATTCTAGTCTGGCCAGAAGTAATCCCAGGGTCTCAGGGCAGTCATATGCACAGAGAAATCAGAGAAAGCCAGTCTTCAGAAAGACAGAGGTGTAAAGGACTCACATAAAAAGAAACAGAGCCAACGTAGCCTGGAACACAAATGATACAAGAAGCAAGAATAGCTTCCAAAGTTACTGAGCCCTTCTAGCTTCCTGCCCTTGGCCTCCCTAGGCTCCATTAGGCTAGAGCAAGCTCCAGTGTGTTTCTGCTACATAGAAGTAAAAGAAACTCAACTAAGACAGGAATAGGTAATGAAACACAAATACGGAAGAGTTATAGCTCCTCCAGGGCTGGACATCGCTATTTTAATAGATACTAAAATTCTACAGTATCACAATAAGTTCCTTCTATTACTCCATTTACTGTTTTTTTTCTGACAACATAGCTGATAGTATATTATCTAAAAATTTGTAAAGTCATAACAAAAATTAAACTGTGCTTAGAGAAAAACCAAGTAGAATTGTTACAAAGCAGACAGAAAAGGGTAATGACAGGTAATATTTATTTAGTAGTGGAGGTGGTGAAGATTGTGAGTTCCAATTCAGGAAGATAGTTAAGCCAGTATGCTTTTTAAATTATCTGGAACCAGTCATGAGACATGAAATCTGTTTAGTGGGTCAGGACAAGTGTTTATTTTTAATGAAACAGAACTACAGGGGTAAAATAGTAAAAATAAATATTGGTAAGTATTCTTTCATGAAACGATTTGCTCCAGATACTACACACTTTTAAGTCACTAAATTATGAAATCAACTATAGTTCTAACTTCTGGCCAGGGTCAAAAGAGCTTAAATGTCACTAACAATCCCATGCTTCCAAAATACCAACTGGAGGCAATAACTCCTAGTAACACATTTTCATAACATATTTATTTTATGAGTTAAACAAATAAAAGTATTCCTAGCAAATAAATCTTATTTGCTTTAAGTTAACTCAAAGTGGATCACAGATCTAAATATAAAACCCAAAAATATACAACTTCTGGAAGAAAAGATAGAAGAAAATCTTCAGGATTTTAGGTTAGGCAAAGATCTTGTAGCTATGAAAAACATGATCTACGAAAGAGAAACCTGACAAAATGATCTTTATCAAATTACAATATTTTGTTCTGAGAAAGACTACCAAGAAAATGAAAGGACAAACCACAAACCAGGAAGAAAAATTGCAACCCACACATCTGATGAAAGATTTACATCCAGAATCAATAAAAAAATTACAACTCTACAATGAAAGAAAATCTAGTTTTTTTCCTTAATGGGCAAAAATCTGAACACATACTCAAAGATATATGGAATAACAAATAAATATATGGAAAGATGCTCAAAATCATTAGTCATTAAGGTACGTGCCCATGAACACAATGAGACAATTCTTTATTCTTCCCATTGGTATATACATAGAGAGTTTCCAATAGTTTCTCATTGTAAGTACAGTCATGCATCACTTAACAATGGGGATAGGTACTCAGAAATGTGTCATTAGGTGATTTCATCATTATGCAAACATCATAGAATACACTTACACAAACCTAGATGATATAGCCTATTATATACCCAGGTTATACGGTATAGCCTATTGTTCACAGGCTACAAACCTCTAATGCATGTGACTGTACTGAATACTGTAGGCAACTGTAACATAATAGTCAGTATTTGTGTATCTAAGCATATCTAAACTTAGAAAAGGTGCAGTAAAAATACAGTATAAAAGATAAAAAATGGTACACCTGTATAGGGCACTTAGCATGAATGGAACCTGCAGGACTGGAAGTTGGTTGCTCTGAGTGAGTCAGTAAGTGAGTGGTAAGTGAATGTGAAGGCCTAGGACATTACTGTATACTGTTGTAGACTTTATCAACACTGTACACTTAGGTAAACTAAATTTATAAAAAAATTTCTCTTTCTTCAATAATAACCTTAGCTTACTGTAACTTTTTTTATATGCTTTTAAATTTTTTTTAACTTTTTGCCTCTTTTGTAATAACTTAGCTTAAAACACATTATACAGCTGTAAAAAATATTGTATTTCTTTATATCCTTATTCTATAATCCTTATTCAATTTTTACTTTTATTTTACTTTTTAAACTTTTTTTTAACTAAGACACAAGCACATAGGCCTACACAGGGTCAGGATCATAAATACCACTGTCTTCCACCTCCACATCGCATCCCACTGGAAGGTCTTCAGGGGCAATAACGTGCATGGAGCTGTCATCTCCTATGATGATAATGCCTTCTTCTGGAATACCTTCCGAAGGACCTGCCTGAAGCTGTTTACAGTTAGGTTTTTGTATACATAGAAGGAATATACTCTAAAATAACAATAGAAAGTATAGTAAATATATAAACCAGTAACACAGTCATTTATTATCAAGTATTATGTACTATATATATAACAGTATTGCTATACCTTTATACCACTAGAAGCAGCACAGTGGGGTCGTTTACACCAGCATCACCACAAACACGTGAAGAATGCTTTGCACTACAACATTAGGAGGGATCTGACTTCACTAGGCAATAGGAATTTTTCAGCTCCGTTATAATCATATGGGACCACAATTTCGTAGGCAGTTAATCACTGGCCGAAAGGTTATGTGACACATGACTATAATATCGCATTCTTATTTACACATCTCTGCACACACACAATTTCTGTTGGATCCAGCCTTCAGAACAGTATCACTAGAAAAGCACAATGGGTAGAGAGGAAGATGGCCGACTAGAAGCCCCTAGCCCTCCTCCCTTCCATAAAGACAAGCAAAACAACAAATAAACAGCTATATTTTAATGAAAATAACTAATGGAGAACACCAGGGTGCGTCAAAGGAGTAACACAAACCTTGGTGAGCACAGAAACTCAGGAGAGTCACATAAAGAACGGAAGGAAATACTAGGACTCCATCACCCCATCCCCCATGTGAGATAACCTGGGAACCAGAAGGAACTTCTCTCTATGGTGCAAAGGTAGGCAAGAGGATCCCAGCAGCCCCCATCAACCCTTTGGATACCTACAATCCTCACTACTGGGGTCCCCTGCAGTCCTCACTAGCATTAAGCTCAGCTGAGGGAGCTGCCTAGAGACCACAAAGCTGTGCTCCCCCCACAGATAAGAAGCCAACACTGTGCCCCACCCCAAGTGGCCCACAGGGCTACTGCACTGAGAGCTAATGCTAGAGTATGTCTTGCCCCAGGATGAGTACGAGTAGTCACAGCACATCTTCTTCCCTGAGACTAAACTGCCCTCAAACCACCCCTGCTTAGTGGCCCTATATCCTCAAGTCCAGCTGTGAACAACTGTCCCTTCCCTGTGGGGCCAAGAAATGGTGGAACTGCTCCACCCACTCCTTCCCCCATCCCCTCAGGCAGAGTTGAGGCTGCGCAGTCCCTCCTGGGGAACCCATACTTTGGCAGAACAGCTCCATCTTCTCCCAGCCATGCCTGCACCCTGCCCCTAGGGACCTGAGCTGAATCTGCACTCTGCTGCTGAGCAAACAGCGCTTTGGTGGAGCCCTGCATCCTGGTGAAAACAGGGCCATCCAGAAGAGTCACACACACACACACACACACACACACACACACACACACCCTCACCTGAACTGAA
Source organism: Homo sapiens (assembly GCF_000001405.40). Lineage (NCBI taxonomy): Eukaryota > Metazoa > Chordata > Mammalia > Primates > Hominidae > Homo > Homo sapiens. The sequence continues at coordinate 118,069,165 of NC_000023.11, forward strand.
ACTGAAAATTGCCCCCTTGGGAGTTGGTGCCTTTGCTGAGCTGAGCAGCTGCACATCCCTTCAGGAGGTATTCCAGAAAAAAAGCATTGTTACCATAGGAAATGACAGCTCCATGCACGTTATTGCCCTGAAGACCTTCCAGTGAGATAAGATGTGTAAGTGGAAGGCAGTGAAATTGATTATCCTAACCCTGTGTAGGCCCAGGCTGATGTATATGCTTGTGTCTTCGTTTTTAACAAAAAAAAGTTTAAAATGTAAAAAAAAAAAAAAAAAAAACAATTTTAAAAATAGAAAAAGGCATATATATGGTAAAAGCCAAGACTTCACCATTATACAATATACCCATGTACCAAAATTGAACTTGTACCCCTTACATTTATACAAATAAAAAACAATATTAATTCTTCCAGTTCATGAAAAAAGAAAAATGCTTATATAAAGAAATTATATGTATATATGTACGGATATAAAAAAAGAATTTTTGTATAGCTGTGCAATATGTTTTTGTTTCAAGCTAAGTGTTATTACAAAAGAGGCAAAAAGTTTTAAAAAATTAAAAAGTGTACAAAGTAAAAAGTTACAGTAAGTTAAGGCTAATTTATTACCAAAGAAAAAATATTTTTTATAAATTTAGTAAAGCCTAAATGTATAGTGTTTATAAAGTCTATAGTAGTGTACAATAATATCCTAGGCATTCACATTCTCTTCTCACTGACTGACACCCATAACAACTTTCAGTCCTGCAAGCTCCATTCATGATAAATGCCCTATGCAGGTGTACCATTTTTTATCTTTTATACCATATTTTACCATACCTTTTATATGCTTAGATATATTTAGATACACAAATACAGATCATTATGTTTCAACTACCTATAGTATTCAGTACAGTCACATGCATTACAGGTTTGTAGCCTGTGAGCAACAGGCTATACCATATAGCCTAGGTGTGTAGTAGGCTATACCACATACGTTTGTGTAAGTACACTCCATGATATTCACACAATGACAAAATTGCCTAAGGATGCATTTCTCAGAATGTATACCTGTCGTTAAGTGATGAAGGCTGTGTAAGCATTTAAGGCTACAAATTTTCCTGTAAGTTTTGCTTACGCTGCACCTCACACGTTTTGCTATGCAGTGTTTGTTATTGCTCAGTTTTAAGTAGTTTACATTTCTATTAGGATTTCTTTCACCCCATGTGTTGTTTAAAAATGTTTTTCAATATCCATACATGGCTATTTTTAGTTGTTTCATATTTTTAGCATAATTGCACAGTAACCAGAGAATATACTCTAATTTTCAGTCCTTTCACTAGTTGTTGAGACTTGTTTGATGGCCTAGTATATGGTCAATTTTAATAAATGTTCTGTCCATACTTGTGATAAGACATTTTCTCCACTTGCTGAAATATTCTATGTATACTCAATAAATTAAGCTTGATAATTGTATTCAAATTATGTATAACCATAATAGATTTTTTTTTGTCTGCTTGTTCTATCAGTTACTGAGAGAGGTGGTTTACAATTTTCCACTCCAATTGGTAGATTTGTCATTTTCTTTTTTTTAATTTTTAAATATTTTTATTTATTTATTTATTTATTATTATACTTTAAGTTTTAGGGTACATGTGCACAATGTGCAGGTTAGTTACATATGTGTACATGTGACATGCTGGTGCACTGCACCCACTAGCTCGTCATCTAGCATTAGGTATATCCCCCAATGCTATCCCTCCCCCCTTCCCCCACCCCACAACAGTCCCCAGAGTGTGATGTTCCCCTTCCTGTGTCCATGTGTTCTCACTGTTCAGTTCCCACCTATGAGTGAGAATATGTGGTGTTTGGTTTTTTCTTCTTGCGATAGTTTACTGAGAATGATGATTTCCAACTTCATCCATGTCCCTACAAAGGACATGAACTCATCATTTTTTATGGCTGCATAGTATTCCATGGTGTATATGTGCCACATTCTCTTAACCCAGTCTATCATTGTTAGACATTTGGGTTGGTTCCAAGTCTTTGCTATTGTGAATAATGCCGCAATAAACATACGTGTGCATGTGTCTTTATAGCGGCATGATTTATAGTCCTTTGGGTATATACCCAGTAATGGGATGGCTAGGTCAAATGGTATTTCTAGTTCTAGATCCCTGAGGAATCGCCACACTGACTTCCACAATGGTTGAACTAGTTTACAGTCCCACCAACAGTGTAAAAGTGTTCCTATTTCTCCACATCCTCTCCAGCATCTGTTGTTTCCTGACTTTTTAATGATTGCCATTCTAACTGGTGTGAGATGGTATCTCACTGTGGTTTTGATTTGCATTTCTCTGATGGCCAGTGATGGTGAGCATTTTTTTCATGTGTTTTTTGGCTGCATAAATGTCTTCTTTTGAGAAGTGTCTAGAAAACCCCATTGTCTCAGCCCAAGATCTCCTTAAGCTGATAAGCAACTTCAGCAAAGTCTCAGGATACAAAATCAATGTACAAAAATCACAAGCATTCTTATACACCAACAACAGACAAACAAAGAGCCAAATCATGAGTGAACTCCCATTCACAATTGCTTCAAAGAGAATAAAATACCTAGGAATCCAACTTACAAGGGATGTGAAGGACCTCTTCAAGGAGAACTACAAACCACTGCTCAAGGAAATAAAAGAGGATACAAACAAATGGAAGAACATTCCATGCTCATGGGTAGGAAGAATCAATATCGTGAAAATGGCCATACTGCCCAAGGTAATTTACAGATTTAATGCCATCCCCATCAAGCTACCAATGACTTTCTTCACAGAATTGGAAAAAACTACTTTAAAGTTCATATGGAATCAAAAAAGAGCCTGCATCACCAAGTCAATCCTAAGCCAAAAGAACAAAGCTGGAGGCATCACACTACCTGACTTCAAACTATACTACAAGGCTACAGTAACCAAAACAGCATGGTACTGGTACCAAAACAGAGATATAGATCAATGGAACACAACAGAGCCCTCAGAAATAACGCCGCATATCTACAACTATGTGATCTTTGACAAACCTGAGAAAAACAAGCAATGGGGAAAGGATTCCCTATTTAATAAATGGTGCTGGGAAAACTGGCTAGCCATATGTAGAAAGCTGAAACTGGATCCCTTCCTTACACCTTATACAAAAATCAATTCAAGATGGATTAAAAACTTAAATGTTAGACCTAAAACCATAAAAACCCTAGAAGAAAACCTAGGCATTACCATTCAGGACATAGGCATGGGCAAGGACTTCATGTCTACAACACCAAAAGCAATGGCAACAAAAGCCAAAATTGACAAATGGGATCTAATTCAACTAAAGAGCTTCTGCACAGCAAAAGAAACTACCATCAGAGTGAACAGGCAACCTACAAAATGGGAGGAAATTTTCACAACCTACTCATCTGACAAAGGGCTAATATCCAGAATCTACAATGAACTCAAACAAATTTACAAGAAAAAAACAAACAACCCCATCAAAAAGTGGGCGAAGGACATGAACAGATTTGTCATTTTCTTATTGTTCAGTTTTGCTTTATGTATTCTGAAGCTATGCAATAGATCCACAAAAGTTTAGAATTGTTTTCTCTTCCTGATGAATTGAAGCCTATATCATGATGTCAAATGGAGAAAGAGGCTGGGCATAGTGACACATACCTGTAATCCCAGCACTTTGGGAGGCCGAGGTGGGAAGACACTTGAGCCCAGGAGTTTGAGACCAGCCTGGGAAACACAGTGAGACCCCCATGTCTCCAAACATTTAAAAATTAGCCAGGTGTGGTGGTGAGTGCCTCTATTGCCAGCTACTCAGGAGGCTGAGGTGGGAGAATTGCTTGAGCCCTGGAGGTCAAGGCTTCAGCGAACCAAGACTGTGCCACTGCACTATCACCTGGGTTACAGAGTGAGACACTCTCTCAAAAAAAAAAAAACCCCACAAATGAAGAAAGAAGTCCTCATTCCCTCTATTTCTCCCTTCTCCCCTATATTAGTCTGTTTTCATGCTGCTGATAAAGACATACCAGAGACTGGGCAATTTACAAAATAAGGAGGTTTAATGGACTTACAGTTCCACATGACTGGGGAAGCCTCACAATCATGGTGGAGGGCAAGGAGGAGGAAGTCACATCATACATGGATGGCAGCAGGCAAAAAGAGAGCTTGTGCAGGGAAACTCCCCTTTATATAACATCAGATCTTGTGAGACTTATTCACTATCACAAGAACAGCATAGGAAAGACCTGCCCCCATGATTCAATTACCTCCCACTGGGTCCCTCCCACAACACGTGGAATTTAAGATGAGATTTGGGTGGGGACACAGCCAAACCATATCATCCCCCAATATCATCCTCTCTACATATACTTGGCTGTGGATATAAGAGTAGATTGACTGAAATTTCAGCCCTACCTGTACTAGGGGTTGATGTTAACATTATTGTGATACAAATGTAGAATATAACAATAGAAAGTCATAGAAGAGTTAAGGAATAATTTTGAAAGTTGTGGGAAGGGATGTTTGGAAAAGAATGGTTAAACTTTCTAACAATATAAAGTTGGCTACCCAGACTGTATGTCCAGCTTACTTTTGTAACTTTTACTCACTTCCACCAGTCATGACTACCCATTTCTCTTCCTTGCCAGTAACTGTCATGTGAGCCTGCCTCTATTTCACCCTCGTATCTGTCAGGGAGGTCACTCTAGATCAAATCCTACTGTTTCAATGCTGGGACAGACCTTAAAAGATTTTATTATCTTCCTACCCTTAACATACTTTATAAATGAGGAAACTGGGGTCCTCATAGCTAACTAATTTGTAGCAAAGTAGAGATTAGAAAAAATGTCTGTCCTTTCTGACTCCCTTGTCCTATTTTTTCTGCTTTTTTCCATTTTAGTTGCTCATTATAGTCACAGATTTTGCTATCTGCTGATTACTGGAATGTTCTACCTGTATAAACTGTTAAAAAACTGTTTGTTTCTTCTTAGGAGTCTCCTTGGTGTGAAAGAACACTATGACCTTAGCAGAAATGTAGGTTCTACCTAAGGGTTTGTTTGTGAAGTAAAACCCTCAACCATAAATCTGTCAGCCCTTGTAGGTTGAGAAAAAACTGGTTCTCATAAGGGTTCAGAATCTCTTTTAATGCATATTTATGAGTCTGACCTGGCAGCAGACATTCATGTGTATTTCACCTAGTGTAATAAATTTGTTGGCCTCATCCTGCTGTGGGGGTTCCACCTGCATTTTTCTTAGTAAATCGTGTTTTCTTCACTTATCATGCAAACTGCCAGGCCAGGAAATTTTCCATGGATGTCCCCACTCCTTTGGATTATGCTGCTGCTTTCTGTATGAGCTGGCTGGAGCAAGATAGGGTAAATACCACACATCTTTCAAGCAGGTCACTGAATTTATGACCATGGCAAACATTTTCCACTGGCGATTTTGTAAGAGCTTATTGTCAAGTTGTAAACTCTATATAAAATCTCTGTGCCCATAATTATTATCTACATTTGAAAACTGGACCTCCAGTAAAGTCATTTTTGATTCAATGCCACCCACCCCCAAACTGTTTCACTATAAAAATTTGATAAGATTTTCTTAGGTTTGTGAGGCTGCTTCTCTTTCTTTTCTTTCTTTTCCTCTGTCCCAACATGTGCACATTGAATTATCCCTCCCGAAGTGTTCCCTTCCCTTCTGGAGATTCACTACTTATATTGAGAGTTACTGATAGAATGCACTACACATATGAATAGTATGGGGGAAATAATACATTGTAAACTACTGGTTCAGCCCCTTTGGATTGGAAATTGTTTAGATTATCTGTGAGGCTTTTTGACTCAGTATCTCAGATCATTGCTCTTTTCCCAAGTTCAATACACTACAGTTAATATTCTTGTGTCTGTAAAGCTTCTGAGAGGTGACAAAGGTTGATTTTAGTCTTTGTTAGACAACATATATGGGTTAACTAGGCAAAGTGGGGAACGGAGTGGGCATTCCAGGCAGAGGGAGCCACATAAGGGAGATAAAACATAAACCACAGCAGAAAAGTCAGTTTGTTTGCTGTGTGTGGAAGACGATGAGAATTAGCAAGTGATCAGGTCCATACTGAAGGGTTTATGTGTAACTCAAAAAAAGATTTTTTTATACTGATGATACTGGGGAGCCACTGAAATACTTTCAAGCAAGAGTGACTTCAGAATAGCATTAGCAGTATTTCTCAAAATGCAGTTGAACAAACTGAAGGAAGGCAAGTCCTGAAGTCAGTGGATAAGTTAGAAAACTGATAGAGTAATTCAAACTAAAGAATCTGAACTAAGAAAAAAGAGAGAGGAAGGATTAATTGAAAGCTATTGAATGGTTTCACTACTAGAATGGATGCAGGAGTGAAAAGTGGGGAGGAATAAAGACTAAAGCTCAGGTTTCTGGCTTGCTTGGTGCAAGACCTGCCATTACTTGGTGCAAGACCTGCCATTCCCAGTGACATGGAATAAAAGAGGAAGGGGGAGAGGAAAAAGAAAATCATGTAGGATAGGATGAGGAGTTAAATTCTGGGCAGGTAAAAATCAAAGCACTGTGTGCCATCCAAGTTATCTACTAGACACAAAAGAATTAATAAATTTCAATGAGATCTTTCTTATTATCAGGAGATATTCTAACTGAAGGTTGGGTATGCTTTACCAAAAGTTCATTATTTGCTCACTAGTGTAATAGTCTGCTAGGTTCTATTTCTGTGTCATAAGATATTTGTGGGAAAAAAACTGTTTTCAAATACTTCATTAAAATAGTTAAGACAGTTTTTTTTTAAGTAAAAGCAAGTTTATTAAGAAAGTAAAGGAATAAAGAATCGCTACTCCATAGGCAGAACAGACCAGTTTCTAATTTTATGTTTATTTGAGCACTAGAAATTTCAGCATTAGTGATTATTAATATTTATAATTTATTTTACAACAGTTTTTGTCCCTTCTATTTCTTCTTCCTTAATAAAGTTAAACTGCAGTTTCAGTTGAGGTCACTGGTACCTTATTTAGAAAGAGGAGCATAAGAAGAGAATGTTGTAATGTGTTCCAGGATTGAGGTTTATTTTGAAATTAATTCTTCTGAGAGATTTTTTTTAAATGTGACTGCAATGTAACAAAACTCACCAATCACAAGATAAATTATTATACACAATTGGGATTTATCTGCAACTTTAAAATAACTTGGAATTTTTTTGGTTATGTGATCACTATAGTTTCTGAAGCATTATCATTTAGTTAGACCTTTCCAGGAATTTGTTTAGCATGCCTTAGATAAAACTGCTTCCTTTTTAAGGAGGTGGCTCCCACTGCAGTCGTTGCATTGGGAGAAGGACTGGGAAGAAGAGACTTGTGGAGCATCTTGTAGAGAAAAAAAGGTCTCATGGTTAATTTATGTGTCAACATGGTTATTTGGTGAACCATTATTCTAGACGTTTCTGAGTAAAGCAGGTTACTTTGCATAAAGTAGGTTATCCTTCCTAATGTTGATGAGTCTCATCCAATCATTTGAAGGCCTTAATAGAAAAATGACTGCTCCTTTTCTGTCCCCCACCCCCAAACAAGAAGACTGCCTTTGGCTGGGGCTTCAATATTAACTCTTCCCTGGGTCTCCAGCCTGTAGGCTTCCACAGTTCCTTAAAATCTTTTTTCTCTTTCTTTTCTTTTCTTTCTTTCTCTCACCTCTCTCCTTTCTTCTCTTCTCCTCTTCTCTTCTTCTTCTCTCTCTCTCTCTCCCTCTCTCCCCTTCTCTCAACCCCCACCCCTTGATAGATAATCTCCTAATGGTTCCGTTTCTCTCTGAACAACCCCGACTAACACAGGGAGAAACATACTTTTGCTTTATTATTGTATTTTGCTTTCCACATCCACCTCTGTGTTTCCTCTTGGCTTGGTGCTTTCTGGAATCATGTGGCACACTTGATTATGCCTGAACTTCAGTGAAAGTGCTAAGACCTTACAGTATAGCAAGGCACACTGCTAGCTGGTGTGGTGGGTCTCCAATGAACTAGGCTAGGTACTTAATGAGTTTACAACTGGAAGCAATCAAACATCTATATGAGGCAATGCCAAATGTGATCAATTCTATAAGAGAAAGTTAAGCAGTATGCAGTGGGAATCTACAAAAAGTAATTACTTCTGCTTGGGTGAATGAGGACGTTTGGGGCTGGTCCTTAAGGATGGATGAGGTTTAAATTACTGCCTTGTGGAGGGTGTGGGAGTATAAAAGTATATTCAAAAACGAGGGAACATGGTGAGAAAAGGCCTGGGACCAGGGACGTAGGGGGTGCATTATGATTAAGGAAAGATGTTACGTATTATGCACCAGTATTTTGTGGGGAGCACTCACCAAGGAGATATGCTCAGAAATAAACAGGCCCTAGAAAGGAAACAGCCTGCTGTTTTCTCTCAGCAGCCATGTAATACAAATGTGCACAAATACATGTTTACATGTATTCTCTGTTTTCTTCCATCAAAGTTGCTTCTGTTTGGGGACACCACAGCCTTACCACATAACTTGGCCTGTTCTACTATCTGAGACTGATTTTTACCTCTGGATTAAGTGTCACTCAGGGAGAAAATGAACCTTGGGGTCTGACAATCCCTACTTCACAATTGTATTCATAGTCATAGGGGCTTGCAGCTTCATGGGAACATTTATTCTTTGCTAGTGAGGCATTGTTTTGCAATAATTCAAAATGAGATGGCATATATAAAAGTACCTTACAAACTCTAAAGTAATGTACAGATGCAGACATTATTATAAGTTTTTTTCCTAGAAACAGTGGATATTATGTGAATGTCATATTCAAGTTTTTGAGCAAAGCTCTTACTCTTTCTGCAATTGAATATCTGTGTAACAACTTTTGTTTTAAAAGTTACTTTTATTTTCAAATTGGCCATTTTTGAACCTCATTCAAAGTATTTAATTAGTAGACGCAGCAGAAGGGGCTCCTTATAGTTTAGCGTCACCTGTAGCAGTTTATTGGCAAGTTCATATTTCATAATCACAAATGGTGGTCCAATTTATAATGCAAATCACATGGGTTTAATTTTAAAATTTTTAATTAGGTTTATTGAGGTGTAATTTACATATAGAAAAATTCACACTTTTTAGGTGTACAGCTGAGTTTTGACAAACATATAATAGTCATAATTACAACCATAATCAAGATACAGCATAGAACAATTCCATCACTGTCCAAATTTCCTTGATGTGGAATCATCCACTTTTCACCCCCATTCTCCAGCAAGCACTAACTTGTTTTCTGTCCCTATAATTTTGCCTTTCCCAGAATGTCATATAAATGGAATCATAATATATTTAGCCTTAATGAGTCTGACCTCTTTTAGTTGATTAGCATTAACGCCTTTGAGATTCATCCAAATTTTTGTATGTATCAGTACTTTGTTCCTTTTTATTGTTAAGTAGTATATTTTGGTGTACATACACCACGTTTGTTTATTCTATCACCAGCTGAAAACCACTCAGGCTGTTTTCAGTTTAAGGCAATTATAAATAAAGCTACCATAAACATTTGTATACATATTTTTCTGTGAACATAAGCTTTTACTTGTCTATGGTAAATACCTTTGAATGAGATTGCTGGATCATATGTTAAGTGTATATTTAACTTTGTAAGAAACTGCCAAATTGTTTTCCAGGGTAGCTGTACCATTTTGTACTTCCATCAGCAATGTATGAGAGTTTTACTTGCTCACAATCCTTGCCAGCACCTTCGCATTGTCAGTTAGGTATTCTTTTTTTAATTTTAGACATTCTAGTAGGTTCCTAGGGGTATCTCATATTCTATTGCAGGTAAATTATACCACAGTAAAATTGATCATCTAAAAATAAAAGACAATCAACAAAGAAGGATAAAATAATAGTAACATACAAAAGTGACTAAGAATAAAAATTCAAAGGAGAAAAAGAATTCATAAAATTCAAAAGAAAAGCACAAATAGGGCAAATGATTTGAAATTGTAAATTCGCAGAAAAAGAAATGTGAATATCCGAGAAGCGTAAGAAAAGATTCAGCCATCTCTAGCTAAATATCAGGACATACAATAAGGCTTAAAAGATGTATAGGAAGTCTAGCCAGAGCAATCATGAAACAGAATGAAAAAAAGGTAACCAAATAGGAAAAAAAGAAGTTAAACTATCCCTCTTTGCTGATGATATAATTCTATTATTAAAATACCCTAAAAAATCCACCAAAACGCTACTAGAACTGATAAACCATTTTAGCAAGATTTTGGGATACAAAACCAATGTATGAAAATCGGTAACCTTTGTATACACCAATAACACCCAGGCTGAGAGTCAAATCAAGAACACAATCGTATTTACAATAGTCACAAAGAAAATGAAATACCTAGGAACACCAAGAACCAAGGAGGTAAAAGATCTCTACAAGGAGCACTATAAAACACTGCTGAAAGAAATGAAAGACAACACAAATAAATGGAAAAACATTCCATTCTCATGGATTTGAAGAATCAATGTCATTAAAATGGCCATACTACCCAAAGCAATTTACAGATTCAACGTTATTCTTATGAAACTACCAACATTATTCTTCACAGAATTAGAAAAAACTATTCTAAAATTCATATGGAACCAAAAAAGAGCACAAATAGCCAAGGCAAAAAGAAAAAAGCCAGAGGCATCACACTACCTGATTTCAAATTATACTATAAGGTTACATAACCAAAATAGCATAGTACTGGTACAAAAACAGACACATAGACCAATGGAACAGAACAGAAAACTCAGAAATAAAGCCACACACCTACAACCATCAGATCTTTGACAAGGCCAACAAATACAAGCAACGGGATAAGGACTCCCTATTCAATAAATGGTGCTGGGATACTTGGCTAGCCATATGCAAAAGAATGAAACTGGATACTTGCCTTTCACCATATACAAAAATAACTCAAAATGGATTAAAAATTTAAGAACTCAAACTATAAAAAGTGTAGAAGAAAACCTATGAATACTCTTTTCAACATCAGCCTGGACAAAGAATTTTTGGATAAGTCCCCAAAAGCAATTGCAACAAAAACAAAATTTGACAAACGAGACCTAATTAAACTAAAGAGCTTCTGCACAGCAAAAGAAACTGTCAACAAACAGACAACCTACAGAATGGGAGAAAATACTTGCAAACTATGCATTCAACAAACGTCTATTATCCAGAATCTATAAGTAACTTAAACAAATCAACCAGCAAGAAACAACCCCATTAAAAAAACGGGCAAAGGACATGAACAGACATTTCTCAAAAGATATACAAGCAGCCAACAAGCATATGAAAAAATGCTCATCACTAATCATCAGAGAAATTCAAATCAAGACCACAATGAGATACCCTCTTACACCAGTGAGAATGGCTGTTATTAAAAAGTAAAAGAACAACAGATGTCAGTGAGGCTGCAGAGAAAAGGGAACACTTATACACTGTTGGTGGGAATGTAAATTAGCTCAGCCACTGTGGAAAGCAGTTTGGAGATTTCTCAAAGAACTTAAAACAGAGTTACCATTTGATTCAGCAATCCCATTACTGGGTACATACCCAAAGGAAATTAGATCATTATGCCAAAAATACACGTGCACTTGTATGTTCATCATCATACTATTCATAATAGCAAAGACATGGAATCAACCTAGGTGCCCATCAATGGTGGACTGGATAAAGAAAATGTGGTACACAGACAGCAAGGAATACTATGCAGCCATAAAAAAAGAAAAAATCATGTCCTTTGCAGCAACATAGATGCAGCTAGACGCCATAATCACAAGCGAATTAACACAGGAACAGAAAACCAAATGCTGCATATTGTTACTTAGAAGTGGGAGCTAAACATTGAGCACATATGGACATAAATATCGAAACAATAGACACTGTGGACTACTAGAGGGGTGAGGGGCAGAGTGGGGCATGGGTTAAAAAGCTACCTATTGGGTATTGTGCATGCTACCTGAGTGCGATATACCCATGTAACAAACCTGCATATGTGTACACCCTGTATCTAAAATAAAAGTTGAAAATATTTTTAAATACTCCCTAACAAGAATAAATTATTTTTCTATCAAATTGTGTGCACACCTGTGCCAAAAAAAAGTACATCAGATATGTCAAGGGGGTGGGCAGATAGTTAAACTCACTCATCATGGGAGCATGGGTTTTGGAACAACTTGTCAATATCTATAAAAAAATAAGAATACAAATACCATTTGTTACAGTGATGTTGATTTTTGGTTTTTTTTAACTGATACATAATAATTGGACATATTTTTGGGGTGCACATAATATTTTTGATACAAGCATATAATGTGCAGTGTTCAAATCTGGGTAACTGAGTTATCTATCACCTCAAACATTTATCATTTCTTTGTGCTGGGAACATTTCAAGTCTTCTAGCTATTTTGAAATATTCAATAAATTATTGTTAACTACAGTCACTCTATTGTGCTATTAAACACTAGAACTTATTCCTCCTATTTAACTGTATGTTGGTACACATTAACCAACCTCTCTTCATTCCTCCTGCTACCCTTCCCAACCTCTAGTAACCATCATTCTTCTCTCTACCTCCATGAAGTCAACTTTTGTATATGAGTGAGAATATGCAATATTTGTCTTTCCATGCCTGGCTTATTTCACTTAACATAATGACCCCCAGTTTTATCCATGATACTACAAATGACAGGATTTAATTCTTTTTAAGGCTGAATAGTATTCCATTGTGTGTGTGTGTGTGTGTGTGTGTGTGTGTGTGTGTATACATATATCAGCTTTTCTTTATCCAGTCATCCTTTGACATACAGTTAGGTTGATTTCATATCCTGGCTATTGTGAATAGTGTTGTAATAAACATGGGAGTGCAGATATTTCTTCAATATACTGATTTCCCTCCTTTTGAATATACAGTCAGCAGTGAGATTGCTGTATCACATGGGAGATCTATTTAGATTTTTTTAGGAACCTTCACACTATTTTCCACAGTGGCTGTACTAATTCACAACTCCACCAACAATATGTAAGTTCCCTTTTCTCCACATCATCCCCAGCATTTATTTCATGTCTTTTTGATAATAGCAATTCTAACAGGGGTGAGATGATATTGCACTGTGGTTCTGATTTGCATTTCTCTGATGACTAGTGATGTTGAGCATTTTTTTAATATATCTGTCAGCCATTTTTATATCTTATTTTGAGAAACAGCTCTTCCGCTCTTTTGCCAATTTTTTAATCATATTATTTTCTTTTTTGCTATTGAGTTGAGTTCCTTACATATTCTGGATATTATCTCCTTGTCAGATGCACAGTTTGAAAATATTCTCTCACATTCTGTAGGTTGCCACTTCACTCTTGATTGTTTCCTAGCTGTGTAGAAGCTTTCTAGTTTGATGTAATCCCATCTGTCTATTTTTGCTTATGTTGTCTATGCTTTTGAAGCTTAGCCAAAAATTTCTTTCCCCAAAGAATTTCATAAAGCACTTCCCCTATGTTTTCTTGTAGTAGTTTCAGGTCTTAGATTTAATTCTGTAATCCATTTTGATTTGATTTTTTTGTATATGGTGAGAGATAAGGGTCTACTTTTCATTTTTCTGCATATGGATATCCTATTTCCCCCAGCACCACTTATTGAAGAGACTTTCCTTTCCCTCACTGAATGTTCCTAACACCTCTGTTAAAATCAGTTGGCTGTATATATGTGTATTTGTTTCTAGGTTCTATATTCTGTTCTAGTGGTCTATGTGTCTGTTTTTATGCCAGTACCGTGCTGTTTTCCTTACTCAGGCAATGTGATTCCTCCAGTTTTGTTCTTTTTGCTAAGGATAGCTTTGGCTATTCTAGGTCATTTGTTGTTCCATACAAATTGTAAGATTGTTTTTCTCTTGTTTTTATAAAAACTATCATTGGTATTTTGGTAGGATTGCATTGACTCTGTGGATCACCTTGGGTAGCCAATATAGACAACTGTATGGAGGTTCCTCAAAAAACTAAAAATAAAACTACCATATGATCTAGCAATCACAATTCCAAGTATATATATGTATCTATCATCATATACCTATGCCCTCGTGTTTACTGCAGCACTATTAACAATAACCAAAATATGGAATCAACCTAAGTGTCCATCAATGGATAAATTAATTTTTAATGTTGTATACATACACAATGGAACACTATTCAGCCATAACAAGGAATGCAACCTGTCATTTGTGACAAAATTGATGAACTTAGAGGACATTATGCTAAGTGAAATAAGACAAGAACGAAAGGACAAATACCATATGATTCCACTCATAATGAGGAATTTTTTAAGTTTATCTCATAGAAGTAGAGAGTAGAATAGTGGTTATCAGAGGCTGGGCGAGAGTGGGGGGCAGGTAATGAAGAGAGGTTGCTCAACAAAAAGTTACAGTTAGATAGGAGGAATAAGTTCTGGTGTTCTATTGCATGGCGGGGTGACTACAGTTAACAATAATGTATTTTAAAATAGAAGAGAGGATTTCAAATGTTCTCACCGTGAAGAAATGACATGTATTTGAGATGACTGATATCCTAATTACCCTGATTTGATCATTACATAATGTATATATGTATCAAAACATCACATTGTACCCCATAAATACGAACAATTATCATGTATCAATTTAAAACAAAATAAAACTGTTTTAAAAGGCTAAAAATAGATGCACTATGCATCTAGTTTAATAAGCTAGAAAAACAATGTTATAAAAATCAAAGAAAGTACAAATGGAGAAATAATAAAAAACAAAAATAAATGAAATAGAAAACTAAAACAATAAATGATCAAGAAAATCAAAATGTGGGTTGTTGTAGTGGCTCATGCCTATAATCCCAACACTTTGGGAGGCCAAGGTAGGCGGATTGTTTGAGGCCAGGAGTTTGAGATCAGCCTGAGCAACATAATGAAACTCTGTCTCTACAAAAAAAAAAAAAATGTTTAAAAACTTAGCTGGAAGTGGTCACATGCACCTGTAGTCCTACCTGCTCTTGGGAAGCTGAGGCAGGAGGATCCCTTGAGCCCAGGAGTGCTATGATTGCACCTTTGCACTCCAGCCTGGATGACAGAGTGAGACCCTGTCTCAAAAAAGAAAGTTGGGTTGCTGAGGATTTTATTAGCTGAATAATAGTGACAAACTTCTTAAAAGACTGATCCAGAAAAAGAGAGATAGCATGAATATATTAGAAATAAAAATGAACATCACAATGCTACAAAGATTCAAAAGATTTTAAGAAAGGTTGTGAGGAAACAGGTACTTAGAGGAATAAATTGATGAAACTTCTCTGAGGGGCAATGAGGATACATTTATAAATGCACATGCCTTTTGCTGCAGAAATTCCAACTCTCAACTTTTATCTCACAATTGTACACAGAAATGTGCAAGGCTGTTTTCAATATCAATCACAAAGTCCATACCTAACCATAATGTCTCTATGTAGGAGACTATTTAGATAAATTATAAAACATCCAAATGACACAGTACTATGGAGTTATTAAAAATAAGGTAATAGGCCAGGCATGGTGGCTCACACCTGTAATCCCAGCACTTTGGAAGGCCGAGGCGGATGGATCACTTGAGACCAGGAGTTTGAGACCAGCCTGGCCAATATGGAGAAACCCCATTCTACAAAAATAGAAAAATTAGCCAGGCGTGGTGGCATGTGGTGCGGTCCCAGCTACTCGGGAGGCTGAGGCAAAGAATCACTTGTACCTGGGAAGCAGAGGTTGCAGTGAGCTGAGATCATGACACTGCACTCCAGACTGGGCAACAGAGCAAGACTCTGTCTAAAAAATAATAATAATAATAATAATAATGAGGTAACATAACACACACAAAATTATACACAAATGCTAACAGCAGCTTTATTAATAAGTAAAAAGTGAAAATAACCCAAATGTCCATCAACCGATAAATGAATAAACATAAGTAGTAGTATATTCATACCTTGTAGAATTATTCATCCATAGAAAGAAGAAAGTACTAATACATGCTATAACTAAGACGAACATTGAAAACGTTATGCTAAGGGAAAGAAGCCAGACACAATAGGCCATTTATTGTATTATTCCATTTATATAACATGTCTAGAATAAGCAAATCCATAGAAACAGAAAGCAGAATCATAATTGCCAGGAACTGGGGAGAGGGGAGATAGACTTTATTATAGAACAAATGGGATGAGTAAAAGGAGATAGATATATATATATATTTCAATAGTTTGGGGGGTACAAGTGGCTTTTGGTTACATGGATGAAGTGTATAGTGGTGACGTCTAGGCTTTTAGTGTACCTGTCACCCAAATAGTGTACATGGTACCCCACAGACAGTTTTTCATCCCTCATTCTCCTCCCAATCTCCCTCCTTCTGAGATTCCAGTGTCCATGATATCACTCTGTATGCTTTTGAATACCCCTAGCTTAGCTCCCACTTAACAGTGAGAACATATTATATTTGCTTTTCCATTCCTGAGTTACTTCACTCAGGATAATGGCCTCCAGTTCCATCCAATTGCTGCAAAAGACATTATTTCAGTCTTTTTTATGGCAGAGTAATATTCCATGGTGTGTGTGTGTGTGTGTGTGTGTGTGTGTGTGTGTGTGTGTGTGTATCATATATTCTTCATCCACTCATCAGCTGATGGTCACTTAGTTTGATTCCCTATCTTTGCAGTTGTGAATTGTGCTGCAATAAACATATGCATGAAGATGGATTTTTTTTTTGAGACGGAGTTTTGCTTTGCTGCCCAGGCTGGAGTACAATGGCACAATCTCGGCTCACTGCAACCTCTGCTTCCCGGGTTCAAGCAATTCTCCTGCCTCAGCCTCCCAAGTAGCTGGGACTACAGGAGTGCGCCACCACAGCCGGTTAAATTTGTATTTTTAGTAGAGATGGGATTTCACCACGTTGGTCAGGCTGGCCTTGAACTCCTGCCATCAATTATCTGCCTGCCTTGGCCTCCCAAAGTGCTGGGATTACAGGCGTGAGCCACCATGCCCGGATGTCTTTTTTATATAATGGCTTTTTTTTTCCCCTTTGGGTAGATACCCAATAGTGGGACTGATAGACTGAATGGTAGACCTACTTTTAGTTCTTTGAGAAATCTCTAGACTGTTTTTCTTAGAGGTTGTACTAATTTACATTCCCACCAACAGTATATAGGCATTCACTGATGAAAATGTTCTAGAATCAGATCACTGTAATGGCAGCACAACTTTGTGAACATACTAAAAAAAAACACTGATTTGAATACTTTAAAAAGGTGAATTGTATGGTATGTGAATTATATCTCAATTTTTTTAATTATATGAGAAATAAAAGAATAAGGTAGGTATTTATGTCCTGATATAGAAATATTTATAATATAAAGTTTTGTTAAGTAGCCATAGATCAATGTGTATCACGTACTTCCATTTGTGTTTAAAAGAGGATATACACACATGCTTGTATTTGCATAGAAAACATCTGTAAGCAAAGTAAATAAACAAAATGATAACAATGGCTGCCTCCAGAGAGAGAAGACTTATTTTTCATGGATACTTTGGGTTTCTGTAAATGTTTTGCCATGTGTGTTAGATGCCTTTATAATTTAAAAAAATAGAAAGCATATGAAATATGTAGATTGAAATTCTTCCAGTCTATGAGGCATGTATTAAAATGTGTTAGTCCTATATGTACCTATGATGAAATACAAATTTGGTGAAATCATAAAACATAACCTTAACAAATAAGGATGTTACGCTACAAAAAAAAACTATTATTTTTTACTGCTAGACATGACATTTAAATACTCTAAAAATTGGAAAATAAAGGATTTCTCTTATTGAAAATGAGAAAAATACAATATTTAAACTATGCCCAAGCCTCCAAAGTTTAGGCAAAATTTGAAATAATTCAAATCATAAAATCTCAAAGTTCAAAGGGAACTTTACAGATCAAATGGGTCCTGCCACTTACACAATGCTTAATTTCCCTCTAAACTCTCATCCCTGTTAAGAAGTTAACTAGCCTTCCCTTAACCACCTCTAGTAATGTGAACTCCCTATAATTTGAGATGGCCCATTCCGTACTTCAATAGCTTTATCAGAAAAATCTCCTTATACCGAGGTGACATCTAACTCTTTGAAACTTCTATCCACTGAATCTACTCTTTAAAATATATATATATATACACATATATATATCTTCTGTGAGTACATTTATTCATTTATCTATTTACTTATATAAATTTATCTTAGGTTAATTAAATTATGAAACACTCTAAACCAGACATAATCATCCACATTTTTATCCCGAGTATACTTTTTCAAAATAAAAATTAATAAATTTGGGGACCTCTTTATCTAAAAGAGTCTGGAAATAAGATTTCTGACTTCTTTCCTTTTATGTATGCATAGTACAAAATTAAAGTACAGTTTAAATGCTTAAAGAATTACATTTCAAAAAACTTTATCCAAATCTCTTTTATGGGAAAGGTCACTTTCTACCAAGTATTACAATTACTTTTGCCCTTCCCATCTGCTCCAGTAGACTCTTTGAGGGCAGCTTCTAGGTCTGATTCTTCCCTCACTGTACCAGCTAATGGAAAATATAGTGGCCCCAGGATCAGAGAATCTGAATTCAAGTCCCAGTTCCTTCTAAGTAGCTTGTTACTTTTCCCAGGTCTCTTAACATTACTGGGCTTCAGTTTCCTCATCTATAAACTCAGAGGGCTGATATATAGAGAGCTGTATTCAGCTCTGAATATTTTACACTTTTAGGATAAATTTTATTTATGACCATCAATGGATCTTCTTCCCCTTTATCAGTGGATTTCACCTGCAAGAGCAGGGGAAAGCAATGCCACTGATATTATTTTGAAGCCATATTCTCTAACTCCTTTAAGAGTAATACAACAGACAGGGCAAAGTAAATTCACAGTAAGCTACTGAAGTACCTAGGAAATTTATTGTTAAAGCAGATAGCCTTTTCCTCAATCCAATCTACATTTACTGTTTCAAAGAATGTAAAACAATACCCTGTGCCAATATTTTATGTCTCTAAACAATTTCGATGAGAATTATGTGATCACTAGTTAACCGGTACTGCAATAATGTATACGTTAATCATTACTTAAGCATTATATATAATACATTACTGAATTCAGTATGATACTCATCCCCATTCTGACTTCAAAATTTTTCTCTCATGAAATCTGTCATCTATATATCACTTCACTTTTATTACCCTTAACGCAAACAGGATTTTAAATAAGTAAATTCTTACAGATATAACAGACACATATGTGGTACATGTTTCTTAGATTCAGCATTTTGCCTTACAAACTAAGGAACTGTTGCCTACATAATGATAACTTTAAATAACTCTATTGACAAAGCAGCAAAATAGAATATAAAGCCACTCCAAAATGTCTCCTGAGTTAGGACAAGGAATAGTTTCTGGTTTCAAGATATAATCAAACTATAATAACTTACGAAAAAGTCAGCAAGGCCAAAATAAGTCAAACTTCCTCTGGAAAGATGAGGTAGATGCATTTTTTTCCTTATTTCTCCTACAAAATATGGCTAACAATCATGGATATTGTATATAAAAACATAAAATGGTTCTGAAAGGTGGCAGGAAGAAGCAGATGGGCTAGGGACCTCAGGACCCAAGGAATAGCACAGTGGAGATTTTCCTGGGTGTTCTTTTTGCCTAATATATTCAAGGTATAAAGCTGAAGAAGTTGGCAACCTAGAAATGACAGTGAGCACAAACCAAAAACACAGAAGAAGAAAAGTCTGCTCTCTCTAGCCAGAGGATCAGAAAAAGGGCAGAATATTAGGACAGAAAATTTTTAGACAATAATTACTCTACTCCAGCTAAACACTACAGAAAAAAATATGGCTGCACCCTCATCCACGTCACCAAAGGCTTAGTGGGAATCCTAGACTTCCACCTTCACAATGCTGTAATGAAACACACTCCTTTCTGCGCTGGGATGGGGTCAGAAGAGGCCCAGTGGAGAGCCAGGACTTTCACCACTATCCAGTGGCTGTGAGACCATCCCCCTAATGATGTCAGTGAAGGCTATGTGTAAAGCAGTAACAAGGCACTCTTAGCCCTCTCAGGCAGGGAGATATCACTGGAGGTCTAGTGAGGAGCCAGGACTTCCACCCTCACCCACCAGTAAGGAAAAACCACCCTCTTAGGTATCAAGAGAGGTCAATTAGGAAACCTGGCTGTCTAGACCCACCTGGCAGTAATGAGGCAGTGCCCTCCCTCCCCTGACACAGCAGTATCAGATGAAGCCAGCTAAGACAGAAAGTTTCATTCATAGGGCAAGATTTTAAATAGAAGAAAGAAAAGAAAAGAAAAGAGAGAGAGAGAGAGAGAGAGAGAAAGAAAGAGAAAGAAAGAAAGAAAGAAAGAAAGAAAGAAAGAAAGAAAGAAAGAAAAAAGAAAGTTTCAATGAGATCCAGAATCTTACGATATAATGCCTAAAATGTCCAGGTTGCCATCAAAAAAATCATTTGCCATACCAAGAACCAGGAAGATTCAGCTGCATTAAAAAAGTATCAATAGGGCTGGGTGTGGTGGCTCACACCTGTTATCCCAGCATTTTGGGAGGTCAAGGCAGGTGGATCACTTGAGGTCAGGAGTTCGAGACCAGCCTTGCCAACATGGTGAAACCCCGTCTCTACTAAAAATATACAAATATTAGCCAGGAATGGTGGCGTGTGCCTATAGTCCCAGCTACTCAAGAGGCTGAGGCAGAAGAATCGCTTGAACCGGGGAGGCAGAGGTTGCAGTGAGCCGAGATCATGCCACTTCACTCCAGCCTGGGCAACAGAGCAAGACTCTGTCTCAAAAAAAAAAAAAAAAAAAACTGGATCCCTTCCTTACACCTTATACTAAAATTAATTCAAGATGGATTAAAGACTTAAATGTTAGACCTAAAACCATAAAAAACCCTAGAAGAAAACCTAGGCAATACCATTCAGGACATAGGCATGGGCGAGGACTTCATGTCTAAAACACCAAAAGCCAAAATTGACAAATGGGATCTAATTAAACTAAAGAGCTTCTGCACAACAAAAGAAACTACCAAAAGAGTGAACAGGCAACCTACAGAATGGGAGAAAAATTTTGCAATCTACTTATCTAACAAAGGGCTAATATTCAGAATCTACAATGAACTCAAACTAATTTCCAAGAAAAAACAAACAAACAACCCCATCAAAAAGTGGGTGAAGGATATCAACAGACACTTCTCAAAAGAAGACATTTATGCAGCCAAAAGACACATGAAAAAATGCTCATCATCACTGGCCATCAGAGAAATGCAAATCAAAACCACAATGAGATACCATCTCACACCAGTTAGAATGGTGATTATTAAAAAGTCAGGAAACAACAGGTGCTGGAGAGGATGTGGAGAAATAGGAACACTTTTACACTGTTGGTGGGACTGTAAACTAGTTCAACCATTGTGGAAGTCAGTGTGGCGATTCCTCAGGGATCTAGAACTAGAAATACCATTTGACCCAGCCATCCCATTACTGGGTATATACCCAAAGGATTATAAGTCATGCTGCTATAAAGACACATGCACACGTATGTTTATAGCGGCACTATTCACAATAGCAAAGACTTGGAACCAACCCAAATGTCCAACAATGATAGACTGGATTAAGAAAATGTGGCACATATACACCATGGAATACTATGCAGTCATAAAAAATGATGAGTTCATGTCCTTTGTAGGGACATGGATGAAGCTGGAAACCATCATTCTCAGCAAACTATCGCAAGGACAAAAAACCAAACACCGCATGTTCTCACTCATAGGTGGAAATTGAACAATGAGAACACATGGACACAGGAAGGGGAACATCACACTATGGGGCCTGTTGTGGGGTGGGGGGAGGGGGGAGGGATAGCATTAGGAGATATACCTAATGTTAAATGACGAGTTAATGGGTGCAGCACACCAGCATGGCACATGTATACATATGTGACAAACCTGCACATGGTGCACATGTACCCTAAAACTTAAAGTATAATAAAAAAAGTATCAATAGATGTTGACAGCAAGATGACAGCGATGTTAGAATTATCTGACAAAGATTTTAAAGTAGCCATCATAAAAATGCTTCATTGAGCAATTATGAAAACATTTGAAACCAAGAGCCTCAGCAAAAAAATAAAGTCTCAGTAAAGAAATAGAAGATATAAAGAAGAACCAAATGGATCTTTTAAAAGCAAAAAATACAATAATTGTAATAAAATACCCAACAGATAGGCTCAACAGCAGAATGGAAAAGACAGAGGAAAAATCAGTGAACTGTAAAACAGAAGAACACTAATTATCCAACCTTAAAAACAAAGATAAAATAAACTGAAAAAAATATGAATACAGAATTAGGGACTTTAGGGACTATAACAAACGATCTAACATTTGCAATATGAGAGATAAGAAGGAGAGAGAAAGAGGGTGGGGCTGAAAAAGTACTCAAAGAGATAAGAAACCTACAGAATCGAGAAGCCATGCAAATCCCAAATTGAATATACCCAAGAAAATCCACTCTAGGATAAAGAAAATGTGGAGATACACAACACACACACACCATGGAATACTACTCAGACATAAAATGGAATGAAATAATGGCATTCACAGCAACCTGGATAAAGGTAGCATCATTATATACATATCAGAATATTCTAAGTGAAGTAACTCAGGAATGGAAAACCACCAAACATCATGTATTCTCACTCATATG
The DNA here is from genome assembly GCF_000001405.40 of Homo sapiens. Lineage (NCBI taxonomy): Eukaryota > Metazoa > Chordata > Mammalia > Primates > Hominidae > Homo > Homo sapiens. Next base: position 118,091,995 of record NC_000023.11, read on the forward strand.
CGGGAGCTAAGCTATGAGGATGCAAAGGCATAAGAATGATACATTAGACTTTGGACACTCAGGAGAAAGGGATGGGGGTGGCAAGGGATAAAAGACTTCACACTGGGTACAGTGTACACTGCTTGAGTGATGGGTGCAACAGAACCTCAGAAATCATCACTGAAGAACTTATTCGTGTAATCAAACACCACCTGTTCCTCAAAAACATATTGAAATTAAAAAATACATAAATAAAATAAGAAAATTGACTCTAAACCACATCATAATCAAACTTTTGAAAGTTGTTAACAAATAAAAAATTTTTAAAGCAGTGAAAGAAACACCTTACCTATCAGGGGAAACAATTCACATGACAGCAGATTTTTCATCAGAAACCATGGAGGCCATAAAGAAGAGACACAAAGGATTTTTCAAGTGCTGAAAGATAAGAACTGTCAACTCAGAATCCTATATCAAGCAAAAACAAAATCTTCAGGAATAAAGGGGAGATTAAAGCATTCTCAGATAAAGGAAAACTAAGATTTTGTCACCAGCATACCTACCCTATTAGTTAAAAGAAGTTATCTAAACCAAAAGAAAATGATAAAAGAGGGTATCTTGGAACATCAGGAAGGAAGAAAGAACATGGTAAGCAAAATATGTGTCAATACAACAAATTTTCTTTCCTTCCCCCTCCTCTTGAGTTCTGTAATTTATGTCTCTTATGGTGAAATATTTCTGTATCATCATTGTGGAGGTGGTTACATGAATCCATAATGTGATAAAATGTCACAGAACTATATACACACATTGTACCAATATCAATTTCTGGGCTATGAAAATATACTACAGTTACATAAGATGTAGTCATTTGGGGAAACTGGGTGACAGGTACCCAGGACCTCTCTGTACTATCTTTGCAAGTTCATGTGAATCTGTAATTATTTCAAACAAACTTTTTTTTCTTTTTAAAAAGTTTAGTCAAAACCAGGCTACTTCCTAATAGTGAAAAAATTTTAAAACAAATTCTATCAGCATCAGTTAAAGGCAAAGTCATTCATAGTCTGGTGGTCTTCTTTTTCATTTTCTTTAATTATTTGCCAAAATAATTGACCATAATAATGAGTAATTTGCCTGCTAAAAGTGCCTCCACTAGTTGATAACAATTACATTGCTAATTTGTCATTTACCTCATTCTTTATGTATTTCTTCTTGTATAAACGTCTTAAATAAAATGGCTAGAAAGATAAATTTGAAACTAAAAGCCAAAGTTCCTTTCATAACCAGATAATACTAGTTATATAAAATAATAACTAACATTTATTAAATCTTATCATATTCTAGGTACTATGCTTAACACTCACATACACTACTTTATCTAATTTCTATAAAATCTCTTGTTCCTCCATTAGAGATGAGGAAACCATGACGCAATAAAATGAAGTAACACAAGTAGCAAATGACAGAATCAGATTTTAGGTCAGGTTTAGAGTCCACAGTCTTAATTAAAACTATACCATAACTTTATATTCACAATGTTCGAGTACCATTTCATGTAATGAATACACAGGATGTGTGCTGATGTATATTGAACGATTCCTATTACATGCTACTCTGTAAATTATTTTAAGTATTTTTAGGATTTCAATCAGATTGGAAACCAAAACAAATGATTTTCAATAGGTTATAGCTAGGAAATCATCTAAATTAATTTTGTAACTTATTAGTACATTCAACAGCATTACCTTCCTGAAATATTATGACAAAGTCTTATAATAATGTATGATGCCAAAAACTGGTTATTACAGGTTTTCATGTTGTTATACAAGCATAAGAAGTATGATGGGCTAAAGTTTAGCAGATGTTCCAACAGAGTAGGAAAAGGAATCACAGAAAAATTATACTTTTTCTCTCGGGGGTGGAGACAAGATGGCCGAATAGGAACAGCTCCAGTCTACAGCTCCCAACGTGAGCGACACAGAAGACGGGTAATTTCTGCATTTCCAACTGAGGAACGCAGCTCCTCACCAGCAACGGAACAAAGCTGGACAGAGAATGACTTTGACGAGTTGAGAGAAGAAGGCTTCAGACGATCAAACTACTCTGAGCTAAAGGAGGAAGTTCGAACCTCCTCCTTTAGTTCAAGGCAAAGAAGTTAAAAACCTTGAAAAAAAATTAGATGAATGGCTAACTAGAATAACCAATGCAGAGAAGTCCTTAAAGGACCTGATGGAGCTGAAAACCACGGCATGAGAAATATGTGACGAATGCACAAGCCTCAGTAGCCGATGCGATCAAATGGAAGAAAGGGTATCAGCGATGGAAGACGAAATGAATGAAATGAAGCAAGAAGAGAAGTTTAGAGAAAAAAGAGTACAAAGAAATGAACAAAGCCTTCAAGAAATATGGGATTATGTGAAAAGACCAAATCTACGTCTGATTGGTGTACCTGAAAGTGACAGGGAGAATGGAACCAAGTTGGAAAACACTCTGCAGGATATTATCCAGGAGAACTTCCCCAATCTAGCAAGGCAGGCCAACATTCAGATTCAGGAAATACAGAGAACGTCACAAAGATACTCCCCGAGAAGAGCAACTCCAAGACACATAATTGTCAGATTCACCAAAGTTGAAATGAAGGAAAAAATGTTAAGGACAGCCAGAGAGAAAGGTCGGGTTACCCACAAAGGGAAGCCCATCAGACTAACAGCTGATCTCTCAGCAGAAACTCTACAAGCCAGAAGAGAGTGGGGGCCAATATTCGACATTCTTAAAGAAAAGAATTTTCAACCCAGAATTTCATATCCAGCCAAACTAAGCTTCATAAGTGAAGGAGAAATAAAATACTTTACAGACAAGCAAATGCTGAGAGATTTTGTCACCACCAGGCCTGCCCTAAAAGAGCTCCTGAAGGAAGCACTAAACATGGAAAGGAACAACTGGTACCAGCCACTGCAAAAACATGCCAAATTGTAAAGACCATCAAGGCTAGGAAGAAACTGCATCTACTAACGAGCAAAATAACCAGCTAACATCATAATGACAGGATCAAATTCACACATAACAATATTAACCTTAAAGGTAAATGGGCTAAATGCTCCAATTAAAAGACACAGACTGGCAAATTGGATAAAGAGTCAAGACCCACCAGTGTGCTGCATTCAGGAAATGCATCTCACATACAGAGACACACATAGGCTCAAAATAAAGGGATGGAGGAAGATCTACCAAGCAAATGGAAAACAAAAAAAGGCAGGGGTTGCAATCCTAGTCTCTGATAAAACAGACTTTAAACCAACAAAGATCAAAAGAGACAAAGAAGGCCATTACATAATGGTAAAGGGATCAATTCAACAAGAAGAGCTAACTCTCCTAAATATATATGCACCCAATACAGGAGCACCCAGATTCATAAAGCAAGTCCTGAGTGACCTACAAAGAGACTTAGACTCCCACACAATAATAATGGGAGACTTTAACACCCCACTGTCAACATTAGACAGATTAACGAGACAGAAAGTTAACAAGGATATCCAAGAATTGAACTCAGCCCTGCACCAAGCGGACCTAACAGACATCTACAGAACTCTCCACCCCAAATCAACAGAATATACATTCTTTTCAGCACCACACCACACCTATTCCAAAATTGACCACATAGTTGGAAGTAAAGCTCTCCTCAGCAAATGTAAAAGAACAGAAATTATAACAAACTGTCTCTCAGATCACAGTGCAATCAAAGTAGAACTCAGGATTAAGAAACTCATTCAAAACCGCTCAACTACATGGAAACTGAACAACCTGCTCCTGAATTACTACTGGGTACATAATGAAATGAAGGCAGAAATAAAGATGTTCTTTGAAACCAATGAGAACAAAGACACAACATACCAGAATCTCTGGGACACATTCAAAGCAGACAACATACCAGAATCTCTGGGACACATTCAAAGCAGTGTGTAGAGGGAAATTTATAGCACTAAATGCCCAAAAGAGAAAGCAGGAAAGATCTAAAATTGAAACCCTAACATCACAATTAAAAGAACTAGAAAAGCAAGAGCAAACACATTCAAAAGCTAGCAGAAGGCAAGAAATAACAAAGATCAGAGCAGAACTGAAGGAAATACAGACACAAAAAACCCTTCAAAAAATTAATGAATCCAGGAGCTGGTTTTTTGAAAAGATCATCAAAATTGATAGACTGCTAGCAAGACTAATAAAGAAGAAAAGAGAGAAGAATCAAATAGACACAATACAAAATGACAAAGGGGGTATCACCACCGATCCCACAGAAATACAAACTACCATCAGAGAATACTATAAACACCTCTACACAAATAAACTAGAAAATCTAGAAGAAAAGGATAAATTCCTCGACACATACACCCTCCCACGACTAAACCAGGAAGAAGTTGAATCTCTGAATAGACCAATAACAGGCTCTGAAATTGAGGCAATAATTAATAGCTTACCAACCAAAAAAAGTCCAGGATCAGATGGATTCACAGACAAATTCTACCAGAGGTACAAGGAGGAGCTGGTACCATTCCTTCCGAAACTATTCCAATCAATAGAAAAAGAGGGAATCCTCCCTAACTCTTTGATGAGGCCAGCATCATCCTGATACCAAAGCCTGGCAGAGACACAACCAAAAAAGAGAATTTTAGACCAATATGCCTGATGAACATCGATGCAAAAATCCTCAATAAAATACTGGCAAACCGAATCCAGCAACACATCAAAAAGCTTATCCACCATGATCAAGTGGGCTTCATCCCTGGGATGCAAGGCTGGTTCAATATACGCAAATCAATAAACGTAATCCAGCATATAAACAGAACCAACGACAAAAACCACATGATTATCTCAATAGATGCAGAAAAGGCCTTTGACAAAATTCAGCAACGCTTCATGCTAAAAACTCTCAATAAATTAGGTATTGATGGGACGTATCTCAAAATAATAAGAGCTATCTATGACAAACCCACAGCCAATATCATACTGAATGGGCAAAAACTGGAAGCATTCCCTTTGAAAACGGGCACAAGACAGGGATGCCCTCTCTCACCACTCCTATTCAACATAGTTTTGGAAGTTCTGGCCAGGGCAATCAGGCAGGAGAAGGAAATAAAGGGCATTCAATTAGGAAAAGAGGAAGTCAAATTGTCCCTGTTTGCAGATGACATGATTATATATCTAGAAAACCCCATTGTCTCAGCCCAAAATCTCCTTAAGCTGATAAGCAACTTCAGCAAAGTCTCAGGATACAAAATCAATGTGCAAAAATCACAAGCATTCTTATACACCTATAACAGACAAACAGAGAACCAGATCATGAGGGAACTCCCATTCACAATTGCTTCAAAGAGAATAAAATACCTAGGAATCCAACTTACAAGGGATGTGAAGGACCTCTTCAAGGAGAACTACAAACCACTGCTCAAGCAAATAAAAGAGGATACAAACAAATGAAAGAACATTCCATGCTCATGGGTAGGAAGAATCAATATTGTGAAAATGGCCATACTGCCCAAGGTAATTTATAGATTCAATGCCATCCCCATCAAGCTACCAATGACTTTCTTCACAGAATGGGAAAAAACTACTTTAAAGTTCATATGGAACCAAAAAAGAGCCCGCATTGCCAAGTCGATTCCAAGCCAAAAGAACAAAGCTGGAGGCATCACACTACCTGCTTCAAACTATACTACAAGGCTACAGTAACCAAAACAGCATGGTACTGGTACCAAAACAGAGATATAGACCAATGGAACAGAACAGAGCCCTCAGAAATAACGCCGCATATCTACAACTATCTGATCTTTGACAAACTGGAGGAAAACAAGCAATGGGGAAAGGATTCCCTATTTAATAAATGGTGCTGGGAAAACTGGCTAGCCATATGTAGAAAGCTGAAACTGGATCCCTTCCTTACACCTTATACAAAAATTAATTCAAGATGGATTAAAGACTTAAACGTTAGACCTAAAACCATAAAAACCCTAGAAGGAAACCTAGGCAATACCATTCAGAACATAGGCATGGGCAAGGACTTCATGTCTAAAACACCAAAAGCAATGGCAACAAAAACCAAAATTGACAAATGGGATCTAATGAAACTCAAGAGCTTCTGCACAGCAAAAGAAACTACCATCAGAGTGAACAGGCAACCTACAGAATGGGAGAAAATTTTTGCAACCTACTCATTGGACAAAGGGCTAATATCCAGAATCTACAATGAACTCAAAAAATTTACAGGAAAAAAATAACCCCATCAAAAAGTGGGCAAAGGCTATGAACAGACACTTCTCAAAAGAAGACATTTATGCAGCCAAAGGACACATGAAAAAATGCTCATCATCACTGGCCATCAGAGAAATGCAAATCAAAACCACAATGAGATACCAACTCACACCAGTTAGAATGGCAATCATTAAAAAGTCAGGAAACAACAGGTGCTGGAGAGGATGTGGAGAAATAGGAACACTTTTACACTGTTGGTGGGACTGTAAACTAGTTCAACCATGGTGGAAGACAGTGTGGGGATTCTTCAGGGATCTAGAACTAGAAATACCATTTGACCCAGCCATCCCATTACTGGGTATATACCCAAAGGATTATAAATCATGCTGCTATAAAGACACATGCACACGTATGTTTATAGCGGCACTATTCACAATAGCAAAGACTTGGAACCAACCCAAATGTCCAACAATGATAGACTGGATTAAGAAAATGTGGCACATATACACCATGGAATACTATGCAGCCATAAAAAATGATGAGTTCACGTCCTTTGTAGGGACATGGATGAAGCTGGAAACCATCATTCTCAGCAAACTACCGCAAAGACAAAAAACCAAACACCGCATGTTCTCACTCATAGGTGGGAATTGAACAATGAGAACACATGGACACAGGAAGGGGAACATCACACACCAGGGACTGTTGTGGGGTGGGGGAAGGGGGGTGGGGGAAGGGGGGAGGGGGGAGAGGGGAGGGGGAGGGATAGCATTAGGAGAGATACCTAATGCTAAATGATGAGTTAATGGGTGCAGCACACCAACATTGCACATGTATACATATGTAACAAACCTGCACGTTGTGCACATGTACTCTAAAACTTAAAGTATAATAATAATAAAATTTAAAAAAATTATACTTTATTAAATGCTTTTAATTTTCAGAAGGGTACATAAGGTTAACTTTATATTATTTTCAAGTACAAAGATATTATGGAAATAGGTATTTATGCATTTCATTTTACACCATCTGAAACAAATACTTTTGAAGGTTTCCCAAAAAAAGTTGTACAAATTTTCTAGACTCAAATTAATATAACTTAAAACTTCATTAAACTGAAAATTTCCTTCCAACTCCTAGTAGAAAGACAAATGATAATATAAACTGTTTTCATTAGGTCCTAAAAAGTAAGTATTAATATGTGTCTGAAGCTATAAACTTATAGACTTTCAAAAGGCTAAGTTAAAGCCAGCCATGGGTTAAAGCCATGAGTTAAGTCCAAGTGTACACAGCTATTAAATAAATGCACTCGGCTGGGCACAGTGGCTCACACCTATAATCTCAGCACTTTGGGAGGCCAAGGCAGCTGGATCAATTGAGGCCAGGAGTTCGAGACCAACCAGCCTGGGCAACACAGCAACACCTCGTCTCTAATAAAAATTTTAAAAAAAATTAGCTGGGCATGGTGGCACACACTTGTAGTCCCAGCAACTTGGTGGGGGATTCCTTAAGCCCTGGAGGCAGAGGTTGCAGTGAGCTGAGATGGTGCCACTGCACTCCAGCCTGGGTGACAGAGCCAGACTCTGTCACAAAGAAAGAAAGGAAAGAAGGAAAGAAGAAAGGAAGGAAGGAAAGAAGAAAGGAAGGAAGGAAGGAAAGAAGAAAGGAAGGAAGGAAAGAAGGAAGGAAAGAAGGAAGGAAGAAAGGAAGGAAGGAAGGAAGGAAGGAAGGAAAGGAAGACACCCTTGACTATACAAATGAGCTATACTATTTATATAACAAATCTTTCTCTGTGTACATACTTTTTGTCTATACAAAGTCAAAATTTCCTCACAGGCACATGAAGTAAAGGTTCTCCCCTCACGCTTTTCATTTTTAGATGATGCTTAATACACTAAAGAGAGCTCTGCTTATTGTTCTTCTTATTTTTGCCAAAATACAGTATAACATTTTCACTTTCTACAAAACAATTTTTGAATAAAATGGCTCCAAAATGCACCAGGAGAGTTCATGCCACTAGTTAATTTATGCAGTCTCCGAATGGCTGGCAAAATAGCATGGGCCGATGCTGCAGCTGCTACCACGTTCTCAGTTACTTCTGGAATTTTTACAGTTTATTGGCGTAACGTGAAAATTTATACAATTATCTATGGTATGTCATGACTAATACATATGCAATACTAATACTATAAGCTTGCTACTTACACTCACTTTCTCCATTAAGAAAAACACTGATATTGTTATGTTAATTATCATGGGAATTGATAGTATATCATGTTTTTGCTTTTGAGCAAAAACGAGAACCCATTAAGTTCATATTTTTAAATTGGCACATTAGACAATATGCCAGTTTCATGACCCATTCAGCCTTCAACCCAGCCCACCTATCAGTCAGATACAACATACAAAAACTGTATTACTCGCCTACTTAAAACTGCCAATGGTTTCCCTCAGCAGCCTGGTATTTAAATCCCTCCATTTTCTGGCCCAATTTTTCTGTATTCTCTCTTACTACTAAATATCACTCAACTAAAGAGATCTCAAAATTCTCCCGTATATCCTTGTCTTTCCACTTTTATTTATACATTGCCTATATCTTGAATGTCTTCTCATATCAAAATCCTACCCAGTGACCAAGGCTCACTGCAAAGCCAAGATCCTTGATCAAACCTACCCTGACTATTCCAATCATTTCTATTCCTTCGGCAATTTTTTCTCAATCACCTCTTTCATGTCTATACATATCATCTGTTTAACGATATTGCAAGATCCTTGAAAGTGGAGGCCCTTGAGCAAGTAATTTAACTTCTCTCTATATATTAGTCGTGTGTCCTTTTAAAATCTTCTAGAAGGGTTGGATTAAATGATCCCTAGGGCTCTTCCTAACTCTTACACATCAATTGTTTGTGCCTTCTATAATTCATATATTAATCATCTGATGTTTATTTCAAATTATTTTATTTTATCAATACCTCTTACAAAATTACCCAGTCCTAGCTACTGGAAAATACTCTAAGTACTGCAGTTTCCAGATGGTAAATAGGAAGAGTTGACATCTTAATCAAGGAGTCATAATTAGTAAACTAAATATTCATTCATTCATTTTCTTACCAACAAACATTAAGTAAACTCAACTCTGGAGCAGGTATCATGACAGACAATACAGATAACTGAGTTAGCCCCTGTCCTCAAGGAATTCATAATCCAGGGAGAGAGACAGAGAAGGAAAAACACTACTTGTAATACAGGTTGCTAAAGAGAGTCATGAACAATACTATGGAAATACATGAAAGAAACACATAACAGGGGTGTGAGGTACAGGAGGCTCAAGAAAACCTTCCTAGAAGAGGTGCTATCTAAACTGAAACCTCAAGGACAAAAAGTAGGCAGCAGTTTAGGATGAGTAGTGATATCGTTTGGCTCTGTGTCCCCACCCAAATCTCATCTCAATTTATAATCCCCAAGTGTGGAGGGAGGGACCTGTAATCCCCATGTGTCAAGGGAGGGAGGTGATTGGATCACAGGTGCAGTTTTCCCCATGCTGTTCTCGTGATAGTTCTAATGAGATCTGATGGTTTTATAAGTGTTTAGAAGTTCCTCCTTCACTCTTCTCTCTCCTGCCACCTTGTGAAGAAGGTGCTTGCTTCCCCTTCACCTTCCACCATGATTGTAAGTTTTCTGAGGGCCTCCCCTCAAAACTATGAGTCAATTAAAACTCTTTCCTTTATAAATTATCCAGTCTTGGGTATTTCTTTATAGTAGTGTGAAAACAAACTAATACAAGTAGCAAGTACAAATGTGTGGTAAGAGAGCATGGCTAGTTTGGGGAAGTCCAAGTAGTCCCCATAAGGCTGCAACTTTGGATGGGGTGAGAGAGGTGCTAAAGGGACAGGCAGGAGTCAAGTCATGATGGACTTGTATACTCTGCTGAGAAGTCTTAATTTTTACCATGAAGCAAATGTGTAGCTGATGTCATAGAGATAATATCTCCAGATAAGTCAAAAATTGATGAATGATTAAAGGTTTACATTAGGGACAATGTATAGCAGAGACTATTAGTTATTCCCCAATATCTGTTCTTCCCGGCTCATATAGTAATAATTATTTTTGCTTGTCCATGCAGTGAAGGGCCACATTTTCCAGCTTAGGTATCACCATAGGATTAAGTTCTGGCCAGTGGGATATGTGTGAATGTGATGTGTGCAAATGCTAAACTACATCCTTAAAGGAAAGGAGTGTGTTTTCTCCTGCCACTTTTCCTATTCCTTTGAATGGAATGTTCTTAGAAAAGAACAAAGAGAGTGCATATAATGCTGTGAGTACCTCATAGAATGAAGATAGAACTTTGTTCACCACTGCATCCCCATCACCTGGTTTAAAGAAGGTAGTCACTAATTTCTGTTGAATTAATTTGTGTAAAATACCTCATTTTCTCTCATTAGAGAAAGTGCTGCCCTACATAGTAAGGCTAATTAAAGCTAGCGAATCTTCTTTATGTGCAGATAAAGCAGATCCCCATATAAAACAGGTAGATGGACCTAACCTACATGCAGAGTCATTCTAAACCATTTAAGACTTTACCATTTTAGGCACTGATTTAAGCAGAAAATCAAACTATTGTGAAGTAATAGTTTATGAGTATAATGTAATGGGTTCATTTTTTAAAATCAATAAATGATATACCAAGTCACAGAAAACTCAATATTCACATTACTCAAAATCCTCTCTCCTAAATTATGTGATACTTTCTCATTCAGCATGACCCTCTTATATCAGACCAATTTGGCTTGTCTTAAATGAACAGGTTTCTAATGTCTTTTAACATAGCCCAATATCACAATGGCTTAATAACCAAAATCTAGTTGTGAGAAAAGGTAGCATCATACATATATGCCAGAATTTCTAAATCGAGCATGCTTTCTGTTTTTAACTCCACGGCACCTGACTCCCTGACTCCAGGTGATGTCAACTGTTGAGCTTAGTGATAAAGAGGAGCTTTCATCTAATTAATATAAAGGTATGCATAGATTTTTTATTCTAGTGACAGCAGTGCCACCTTAATTGATTTTATCCTACCTACTAGCTGTGAGATCACCACACCTTTTGCCATACATGGCAAAGCAGAAATTCCATCTATGCAAATAAAAACTTTACTTAAGATTCACAGGAAATCATTTTATCAACTCACTTTAACTTCAACTAAAACTACTTTGGCCCCTGAGTAGAAACAACCCAAGTAGATAATAGGCATTTAAAAATACTGAAAAAGTGTAAAATGACATTTCAAGATCATTCTGAAAGAAAAATTCGGTAAAATTAAAAGTAAGAAAAATTGTAAGAAGAAAAAGAGAGCAACCTAAGATTAACACATTTTAAAAGACACCTATGTTCTTTAAGACATTTAATTATGTCTGAAGGTCATTTTTTAATAATAGAAAGGAAATAGTAATTATTTAGTCTGAAAGATAACACTGACTGTAGCTTATTACTTTAATGAAGACCTGGGAACAGCCTGCCTCCCCCAACACACACAGAGATATTTGGTTTGGTAACTCCCACTGGACAGAAACACAGTCCTTGACTATAAACACTAACTGTATCTTTTTTGAACCCTAAATAGCTGAAAAGTCAGTGGCCGAATTTTTTTTAATTCCAGTTATTTCATACTATCTGTACATAGTATCATGGAATACATTTTATAAGACATTTTTCAGCCACATGCAGTCGCTCACACCTGTAATCCCAGCACTTTGGGAGGCCAAGGTGGGAGGACCACTTGAGCCCAGAAGTTCAAGAACAGCCTGGGCAACATACCGAGGCCTCATTTCCACTAAAAAAAAAAAAAAAAAAAAAAAAAATGCCAGGCATGGTGATGTGCGCCTGTGTTCCCAGCTACTCAGGAGGTTGAGGTGGAAGAAACATTTGAGCCCCAGAGGTCAAGGCTACAGTAAGCTGTGATCATGCCACTGCATTCTAGCCTAGAAAACAGAATGAAACCCTGTCTCAAAAAAAAGACATTTTCCATAACACACCACCCCAATACTATGCCCCAGCCAAAAAAAATGGCGTGGAGGAGTTGCTTTTACCTCAATCATCTGTCCACTAGTAACCTATATCAGGTATAACTTTTAGAAGTAATTAAAAATATCAGTGTATACACATAAAATTTCTCAGAAATCTTTGGCTCTGGCCCACTATAGAGCATACACAGACAAGGAGGTAGCCACTCATACTAGTGGGTTTAGCAGTTTTGTTTTAAATACGAGTCTGGCTTTGCTATTTAGAACTAAGATCAATACCTTTATGACAAATACAAATATACAATCAACTTGAATTGAGAATTCAAAATTAGATCAATACATACTGCCTTGAAAGACTGTCACCGATCAAAATTAAATTCAAAGGAGGAGGAGCTCTACAGCAATTTGGAGCTAGACTGCAGAAAAACAGCATGAGGTCTGTGTTAGACTGAGCATAAATCATGAACATTTTGATAGACAAGCAGTAGTACCAACAGACACACTAGTTCCATCCTCTTTGTGGCCACATTTGTTTCAAAACAAATTTCTCTTTCTGAGGTGATAAAAATGTTCTAAAATTGTGGTGACAGTTGCTCAGCTCTGTGAGTATACTAAACATTACTGAATTATATTACTTTAAACAGGTAAATTGTATGATGAGTGAATTATATCTTAATAAAGCCGTTAAATATTTTTTTCGACACAGGATTGTGAAGTCAAAATATTGTACACAAAAACAGAGCTCTGATTAGCTGTCAGTAAAAAGATTGTCAATTTGTTTTAACCTCTAAAGTTTTTTTCCAGTTTAAAATAAACACGCCCACACACATATACCAACACACACCTGTGCACACACATGCACATATGTACACATAGCTTTGAGCATTGAAATATTCAGAAATACGTTCCTTGCTTTTCAATAAGACCTCCTTTAAAAGTGCCTTCTTCAAACTATCTTTCCAACTTTAACACCCTCATCTGATCATTTCTCTTTATTTCTCTAGAATCTGTTTTCTAACATGCCTTTTTTAGATATCATGCTCTGTTATATAATGGCCTCTGTCAGAGATAGCATGAAAGGAAGTGTTGTGGTTAAAAGCATAGACTCAAGAATCAGACTACATGGATTTTACTCCTAGTTCTTATACATATTAGGTGTGTAACCACAGGCAAGTTATCCAGCATCTATATGCCTCAGTTTCCTCATCTGTAAAGTGGGGCTAATAATAGTTTCTACCTCATAGTATTGTTATGTGGTTTAAATGTATCAATGCATCAGATGCACTTGGAAGGGTCCCAGGCTCATAATGAGTGCAATAATGATTTATTAGTCACTGGCTGCTTGGTAATAATATTAGTATTGGCCGATATCAAATTGACTCATGTTCTCTGTTGCCCCTGGCAAGACTGTAACCTATTTCAGGGCAGTGAATACATTTTCTCCCTCCTAGTAGAGTGCTTTACGTATAATTGCTTGTTCATAAATGTTCACGTGGATACTGTACCTATATGATACCAAAAGTACTTATAAAATTCTTACTGAATCCAAAACTCATTTTGATAAATACCAAATTGCTATCACAATTACTGACATTTTGCTTTAACCCCATCAATTGAAAGGCTACAGATATTAAAGGATCCTTTGGTCTAAACAGCTTTTTTTTTTTTTTTTTTTTTTTTTTTGAGATGGAGTCTCGCTCTGTCGCCCAGGCTGGAGTGCAGTAGCGCGATCTCAGCTTACTGCAAGCTCCACCTCCCAGGTTCACGCCATTCTCCTGCCTCAGCCTCCCGAGTAGCTGGGACTACAGGCACCTGCCACCACGCCCAGCTATTTTTTTTTTTTTTTTGTATTTTTAGTAGAACAGGGTTTCACCATGGTCTCGATCTCCTGACCTCGTGATCCGCCCGCTTTGGCCTCCCAAAGTGCTGGGATTACAGGCATGAGCCACCGCGCCCGGCCAAGAGCTTTTTATATCATTAGTACAAAAGCATTGGATTAGAAACTAAAGGCCTACTCTTAGCTCCACCTCACAGGATGTAACCCTTCTGCAATTTACTTAAACTCATTGTGCATATTCCACAGGAATAAACAGAATAAGAACAGTTAATCATGCTTCAAAAGAAAGATGCTCTAAAAATAAAGGGTATTATCTTTATTTAAGGTTTGAGCTAATGACCTAATGGTAGAGTAAGTCTAATTTTTCTAAAAAATATATAAATTTGAATACTGCCTTTTTATCATCAAATGATACTGAGAATGATCACTATTTATAAATGTAGACATCACTGCTAATAAATAATATATTTCATCAATATAGTGAGCTAAGCTTTTCAAGCACTTGAATATACATTATCTTAATAACGGTCATAAAAACCTGTGAATATACAGTATATGACCAATATGTTACCTGGTCTTTTCCCTTCTGTGCACCTGTGGCATTTCATCACCAAGGATTATCTCTCTCATCATTTGTCTGACATTGGAACTAAAGGGCATCATGTAAGAAAGTAGGAAAGGTAGATTCATGTACTCTCAACTTAAAAGATTAGTCTATCCCTCTAACACCTAAAGCTGTTCTCAATACTCCATTTAGACTTATCCATTCATTTATCAAAGGTACTATCAAACTTTTATCTTCTCTTAGGGTATTATTTGATTTGTTATTACAGTAACCATGATAAAAACTTGAAATAACCATAACAACTCAAAATCCATAGGAAGACATTATTCACAACAGAATTATACCTCTTCCCAATGGCTTAACTATTACAAATGCTTCAGTATTTTCTTCTTTGGGGACTTAAAATCTGGAACAATTAGAGATAAATCAGAAAAATGTGTGACCCCTGTGATTATCAGAAAACCAAATGTTTTCATGTTTAAAAGATAACATTGTTCATAGTATACATTATCCTGCATAACCCTTTTCCTTCAAAATGGATATTAAAATTTAAAATCCTATTAACCCAAACAGTATCACATTTAAATATATATTGGGCTAATTGTATTAAAAACTGACATTTTTCTTGGAATCAATGTGATGCCATATTTGAGTAAGTAATAAGCCAACATTCACCATAAACTTTCTTGTCTGCCAGAAAACTAGTGTTACTTCTAAACAGTCTACTCACCATTTACGAGATGCACATTCGAAAAATAGCATTCCAGCTAGGATTAAGACAATATAAACAAAGAAGACACACAATTTCCCCTCACATTTCTGCTTCATATATGATTGGCCAAGGTCCTATAGTATGCTCCAAGTTATCAACTAATTTAGCCACAAATCTATGAAAATAATAATAAGTATAGTTATATTTCATATGTGGCTTAAGTGTGCTTAGCACTCTATACGCATTATTAATTTAATCCTTAAACTAGATGAGATAGTTTACAAGGGAGATAAACAAGGCTCAGAGAGGTGAAGCAAGTTGCCCAACAAAAGGCAGTCAGGATTTGAACCCAAGCCTATGATTCCAGGGTTCAAGATCATAGCCATTAAGCTCTACTGCCTTTCCACTAAGAAATATCTGAGAGTGAGGCCAGGTGCAGTGGCTCATGTCTGTAATCCCAGCAAACTGGGAGGCTGAGGCAGGAGGATTGCTTGAGCTCAGGACCAGCCTGAGCAACATGGTGAAACCCTGTCTCTACAAAAAATACATAAAATTAGCCAGGCGTGGTGGCATGCACCTGCAGTCCCAACTACTTGGGAGGCTGAGGTGGGAAGATCACTTGAACTTGGGAGGTTGAAGCTGTAGTGAGCCTTGACTTTGCACCACTGCACTCCAGCCTGAGTGACAGAATGAGACCCTGTCTTAAAAGAAAAAAGAAACATCCAAGAGTGGAACAGAAAACTTTGTTGAAATGAAGTGATCTTTAGAAATGTATCACCATTTTTTTAAAAGTGGGACCAAGAAAGAAAACTCTACAAACTACAAGCAAAACTCTTATCTCCTTTTACTGAATAGACTGTAAAAGCACTTCACCTGTAGACGATAAAGACCATCCACTAATCACAATCCTCTATACCCATGTCCTTACAAGATTTGAGCAGTAACACAACAATATAACAATGTCAGGCCCTGTGAACTATGTCTGGCATGGAACAACAACAATGAAAGTGGGACTGCAATAATGAAAATCAGTTGAAAGATTTAGTGTTTGACTTACTCCATTTACTTTCACCCCCTTTCTTCACTTGCCTTTTTCTTCTTCATCTTTCTCATCTGGAGCAAATTAAACCATCACGTTGTAACAGGCATTCCTCCAATGCTCTGCTGGCCTATTTTCAAAACCATCTCAAACTGTAGAAACCTTTTATCAACCTCAAAGCACTTAATCCTTGACAACTTTCTTCTAGTATTAACTATTTCAGTGGCCAGCAATTAACAAACCAATTTGTATACTATGCTGTAAATGAAAGCAGCTTTAAAGTTAGCAAAAGTGAACTTCAAATCAGTGAGACAGGCAAGTGTGCACAGAACAAGGCAAAGCTTTGACACCATGAACTGTGCTGCTTTAAGTTTGTGGTCCTTGTGTTCTAATAACCTCTAGCCTTTTTTAAAAATTTTTTTAGATTTTTTTTTTGAGACAGGGTCTCACTCCGTCACCCAGACTGAAGAGCAGTGGTGTGATTGTAGCCCACGGCAACCTTGAACTCCTGGGCTCAAGGGATCCTCCTGCCTAAACCTCTCGAGTAGCTGAGACTATAGGCGTGTGCCTCCATGCCCAGCTAATTTTTAAATTTTTTTTTGTTCTTATAGAGACAGGGTCTCGCTTTGTTGCCCAGGATGGTCTTGAACTCCTGGGCTCAAGCAATGCTCCCGCCTAGGCGTCCCAAAGTGTTGGGATAACAGGAGTGAGCCACTGCGTCAGGCCTAATAACCTCTATTCTGAAAATATCATTCCCTAGGCAGGTCCTTCATAGTCACTCTTAGCCATTACCCACCAACATTAAAAACTCTGTAAGAACTCAACACATGTTTAGATTTAGACCATTAGACCAAGGGTAACCAACATGTACCCTTGAAATTGCGCAACAGAGAAAAACATTTATGTCCATTAACTTTCCCACAGGTCATCATGGGAATTTACGGCTATGAAAATGTTTGGGTGTTTGACTAAAAGAACAGATTCGGGCAGTACAGCACCACCTCAGTGCTTTCCAAAGGGTCATCTCAGGGTTACCACAGCTGCCCTTGCAAGCAGAGACTTTCTCTGAAATATTGGGGTTTGCCTCAGATTTTCTATGAATATTGCGTTCTAAGGCAGAATGTATCTGAATTTGTTTAAAGATTTTTAAATAGCTACCAGTTAATGTTCTCCTAAATCTCTGTGTAAAACAGATGCTTCAAGAAAATACAAGCTGCTTTATTTTGTGGCTCCTGGGAGCACCACCTTGTCACCACCCTGCTCAATCAGTACATGTGCTCCACTTTGAAGGACCCAAAGTAATGGAAAGAGCACTAGACAGAGATTCTATTTGTTTAGACTAGCACAATGCTTGGAATATAATAGGCACTTAATAAGTATTTGTTGAATGAATTGGCAGAATAGTTTCAAGGACTAGTTTTCAACTGCAAGAAAACTGCAGAAAAAATCCTTTGAGACATGTAATTACTGGCAACCCCACAAAACCGAAGGAAAAAAAAACAGGCCAGGTACAGTGGCTCATGCCTGTAATCCCAATACTTTGGGAGGCCACAGCATGAGGATCACTTGAGGCCAGGGGTTCAACACCAGCCTGGGCAACATAGTGAGACCTCATCTCTACCAAAAACAAAAGAAAATACACCAATTGTGTATTGGTAAAGAACAAGAAAATCCATGTTGTTTTAGTTTAGTTAGAAAGGAAAAGGCTGTCAAGATGTTATATAAAGATAATACTGAGGGGGGTTGTGTTAGGATAATTAAAACCCAATTCATATCATGGACGCTAAGAAGAGTTTTCAATTAACTCTTGGGTTTTCCTTTGCATGTTTTTAATCTTAATGATGTCAAGTTTACAGAGGAAAATAAAGAATTGTAACGCACACTCATGTCCCCATGTAACCATGCAGGGCGCTGGGGCTAAGGAAGGTCAGGAATCATGTCTCATTTGTTTTCTACCTTTCTCTTTTCTACTTTTCTATTTCTTTTTCTTTTTTTTTTTTTTTTTTTTGAAACTGAGTCTCGCTCTGTCACCAGGCTGGAGTGCAGTGGCACGATCTTGGCTCACTGAAACCTCCAACTCCCTGTCTCAAGCGATTCTCCTGCCTCAGCCTCCCAAGTAGCTGGGATTACAGGCACATGTCACCACGCCCAGCTCATTTTTGTATTTTTAGTAGAGACAGGGTTTCACCATGTTGGTCAGGATGGTCTCGATCTCCTAACCTTATCATCCGCCCGCCTCGGCCTCCTTAAGTGCTGGTATTACAGGCGTGAGCCACCATGCCCGGCCTTCTCTTGCTCTTAATACAGATTTCTATACACATTAGCAGTTCAATAAATGTTCAACAACTGCAAAAAAATAAGTGTCTAATCACATTAAATAAGTTCTTAACTGAATTTCTTACCCCCACCCCCACAAAAGACTCTCTTGTGCTAAAGAAGCATAGGTTGGTTTAAATAACAACAGAAAAACAAAAACTAAACTGCTCTGAATGGTACCAGATGAGAGTACTAACAGACGAGTCTTGGCTCATTTCAATTACATGACCCTGCCATATCTATTTTCCTATGACATGAGAACCACACAGCCAGTCCTCTATTTACAGTTATTGCATGAGTAAATCAGTATATATTTACATGGTAACTATTATGAGCAAGCTATTGGGAAAGATAAAGTAGTTTATTTACCTCCCTAATCTCCACCACCCACAGCAACAACATACTATGTGCAAGGCCCTGATTTAAGCAGTTTACTGCAAGGTGTACAATCTCATCGAAAAATCTTGGTGCCAGATGTGTTTCTGAATTTAGAAATGTCCAGACCTTTAGACAGGAAATATACTTTATATACCATATGTTATGTAATACACCATTAGGGTCTATGGTGCAACCCCATAAACATATTAGTAATTCTATAGCAAAACAAAATAAAGATCAACATTAAGTAGAATAAAGACTATAAATACCCTATGTCAGTTTAAGTCAGGTTTTGCCACCACATGAGTTTTGGCATCTAAGTTACCAAATAAAATCTTTTTCAGTTTTCAGAGCTTTAGAAATTTAAAAATTGCAAACAAATTGTGGGCCTAGGCCGGGGGAGGTGGTTCATGCCTGCAATCCCAGCACTTTGGGAGCCCGAGGTGGGTGGATCACCTGAGGTCAAGAGTTTGAAACCAGCCTCGCCAACATGGTGAAACCCTGTCTCCACTAAAAATAAAAAGTTAGGCCGGGAGCAGTGGCTCACGCCTGTAATCCCAACACTTTGGGAGGCCGAGGCAGGTGGATCACGAGGTCAGAAGATCGAGACCATCCTGGCTAACATGGTGAAACCCTGTCTCTACTAAAAATACAAAAAACTAGCCTGGCGTGGTGGCACGCACCTGTAGTCCCAGCTACTCGGGAGGCTGAGGTAGGAGAACCGCTTGAACCCAGGAGGCGGAGGTTGCAGTGAGCCGGGATCATGCCACTGCACTCCAGCCTGAACGATAGAGTGAGAGAGCGAGACTCCGTCTAAAAAAAAGAAAAAGAAAAAGAGAAAAGAAAAAGTGGGCCTAGCTAATTCATGTAATCTTTGCAAGTACCATAAGAGGCAAGTTCTATTACCCCTTTTTTACATATGAGATAACTGAGGTACAGGGAGGTTTACTGACTCACCCAGTGTCTCACAACTATTAAGTCTCCTAGCTGGAATTGAAACCTAGGTGGCCTAGCTCCAGAGCTTGAGCTCTTAACAAGTATGCTCTACAACCTCTCTCAGAAACCACTTCGGAACACCAAACACGTGAAAAGTAAAACAGTATTAAATGATCTAACATCAAAAAATTAATAGGAGAAACATCACAAGACAGTATTTATTCATTATTCAATAACTATTTATAAAGTGCATACCATGTGCTGGGTGCTCAGAATACAACAATGAGCAAACCGGATGAGGTCTAGGTCGCCTTCATGAAGCCAGAGGCAAGTGGGGAGATGGCCAGGCATCAAATAAGCATAATTATGACACAACAGGGCAAGTGTGTGACTGCTGTTCACCTTCAGAGGGGGAGATCTAGTTCAATGGGGAATAGTGTAATAGGACCTGGAATTTGAAATGACAAAAAAGAAAGGCATGGCATCCATTTGACAAGCACCCACTGTGCACGTACTCTATGCCAGGAATAATGCTAAGCACAAAAGTTCCAAACTGGGGAAAATCAGTTTAAACCAATAGAGATTTGTGAAAGGGAATAATAAGGACATATGGGAAAGTAGGCTGGGATCAAATCAAGTTGACCCTGCAGGCACTGATGAAGGTTATTTTGCAGGTTATTCCCCCACAATATTAGGATTTACTCCTATGGAATGTCAATAATCATCTGCATTCCTATTTGGGACCAACTAGACCTCAAAGCTGGATTGCTTTCAAGGAAGGGCTTAGGGCAATAAATTCATTTAAGCCTCAGGAAACACAGTAACCCTAATCTCTCAAGGAATAAAGGTATGGCCATTTGAAAATGTTGGAGAGGCAACAGGTAAAAGAAAATGATAAGCCCTTCTTAAAATTCCAAAGGCCCTTTCTAAAACCTAGGTTATTCCTTTATACAAAATAAAATTTCCAACCTTCCAAAGGAAACATATTTCCATGAGAAAATAAGATATCATTCTTTGAAAAATAAATTCTTAAGTTGAACAATGATCTGATTTTTAATAAAGTTGGTGACAACTTACCTTGTAGCACAAGTCACAATGTGACAGTGGAAAGTAAACTGCCTTTTAACATACTCACCTCAGGGTTCCCATTCCCCCATCCCCTTACCTAAACAGAGTAGAGGAACCGAATTACATGATTATTTAGCATACTGATCATAGAGTTTTTTTTATTCTCAGGTATTAATATAAATGACTGAATGAGTAGACATTCTATTTATCCTCTGCAAAACATTTTTTTTTAAATTTCCCTGGATAATTTTTTTAAGCCAATGACCTTCCCCAGGAAAGACTCTTCAGTGGCTTCCTATTGTTCTGAGAATCAAACCCAAATTCTTTCTCAGGACCTCCAAGTCCTATTTATCGGTTATTGAGCTGCTTCTAGGCTCTGTAACATCTTCTTTAATCCGCCATGCTGGCTTGCTTTCTGCTCTTCAAAAACGCCAAGTCTCTTTTTCCCCCCTCAAGGCCTTGGCTCTTACTCTTCTCTCTGCAAGAATGTTATCTCGGGAATGTTCTCCCAGATCCTGACAAGGTAGGCCTATTCTCTCTTCTCTTTCAGGTCTCTGCTCAATCATCTTCTCTGAAAGGCCTTTTCTGACTTCCCACACTAAAGTAGGCCCTTCCTAGCTATCTGTATCATATTCCCCTACTTATTTTCATTGCTCTTACTACAGTCTATAAGGATCTTCTTCATTTGTTTGCTCGTTTATTGTCTGTATTCTCTGGTAGAATATAAGCACTGTGATACTCCACAAGAGCAAAGATCATGCCTTATAAGGTTTATCATTGTGCCTAACACAGGGCCTTGGCACACAAGTACCCAGTAGATTTTGTAAAATGAATTAGTAAATGAATGAATGATACATAAAAACCTGATTGTTATGAATATCAGTAACTTGAGAAAGCCATTTTTATAATTTTGAGATATTTTCTCTAGGGCTATTCATTTCTCTACAGTCTTTCCACATTTTCTGAAATAATTCCTGGAAATTTGTTGTATTATTTCATAGCAATAAAAATACATCGGTTTCAATCAGTGGATTTAAGAAAAAAATATTTTCAAGAGGTTTTAGTGGTTTATCAAACATCAATAAAAATCAAACAATTTGAAAATTGGTCAGTCTCATTTCACTACTGCAAGTCAAATTACATGAAGAAGCATAATTTGAAATGTACATAAAATGAGAAAGAAGATAATCCAATAAGTAAGTGCAGTTACATTTAGTAATATCAGAAATATCCAGTCTGCTAACCTCTAGGTGTACCAGATGGACTATCAAACACATATTGAGTCATATTGAAGATTCAGAGCAAAATGCTTATGGCTAACTCATCCACCTTTATTCTTTTCCTGGCAAATATAAATAGTCTTACTATGCAATCACATTAGCAGCAATCTTAGCTTAGATTTTGTATCAATAATAAGCATGAAAAGAAAAAAGTAAGAAAATAGTATAAACTCTTTTCCTTGAAAAAGTTGTAAGTTTTTATGTATTTTGAGAATAGTTTGCTAAGAAAATTACAGACTTAGAAAGTGGGCCTATTAGAATAAGTACCCTTTCCCTACTACATTCCATTTTTTAATAAACCTCAAGTAAACTCAGGAATTTACCAAATCAATTGGGAAACTACAAATCATCTGCAAGTTATCTAACTAAATTGATAAGCAATAGGCCTTACTTTTCTTGTGAAAACTACTTTCTTCAGAACATCAACTGAGCCTTATATAATCACACTACACTTTTTGAAGTGTGCTTATAAAAATGGCAGATTGAAAACCTTGGGCTTTTTAATAATTGAAGCTCTTATTTATCTGTTTTTTAAATACATCATTTGATGTTGCAGCAGAAACTACTCTCATCTCACTGCCATAAGACGTGCTACCAGGACAGTGAAATTTAGCCATTATCTTCATTCACAACCTGGTTTCTTCTGAGATTGCTGCCAATTAGTGCACACTGTGTCAATGGCAACACTTGGTCATACATCAGGCAAACAACTCTTTTACCGTTAAGTATGAGGATATTAATAAGAACTTGCAGTTAAGGGAGCTAATATTTTTAGATGTAAAATGATGTCATAAATGCTGAATTATTTCATTTTTCTCAGTTTTTAAATTTGAACACTAGATACAGTCTATTTCCAAAAACACAGCTGCGTATGTCAGCATGTGCTTGTTCACTGGTATTTGCCTCCACTTTGTGCTTCTCCATTCAGCTTTCTTCACACACTAATTGCAGTATGAAAGTGAGCAAATGAACCTCAGTATGGGAGCTAACACCACAACTACATGGGGAGAAAGCGATATCGCTAAGAGTGAGTAGTCTTTTTTGTAACTACGTGGTTTTAAAATATGCTGCTTTTAGAGGGTTTATACAAACATGAAATCTACTGTTAAGAAACTGTGGCTTCAAAAAAAAGAAAGCAGGTGCCCTCCAGAGACAGTTTTAAATCCCAGCGTCTCTTAGTCTCCATTCAATGTGCTTAGTTACCAGCCTATGCTAACTTGAGCGACTTTATCCCAAACCACTAAAGTCCTCTGACTACATTAAAACGATTAACATCCTAGTTTACAATTAGAGAAATGGAGCCAGGCATCACAATTCCCACCAATCCTCTCTCTCAGGCCTGCTCAGCAGCCAGGGAAGAATCAGATTTAGGACCATGTACGAAGATTGCGTACCAACATATATACATACATTTTAAGTGGCTATTGTTCTTGGACTAAGTTAATGAAACCTAGAAAGAAACTTTAAAGTTCCCTAGTTGATATTTACTAAGGCTATTTAGTGAAGGAATGATCTCATCACTTTCAGTAAACTGTAGCCTAGACTATAAGCCTCCAAGAAAATCATTAGTCAACTGTAATTAAACAAACAAACAAACAAAAAAGTCAAAATATTCAGAGCTGAAGACATTCAGAGCTAAGTTAAAAGCTTCGAGGAAGAAGAGGAGTGTGCTCCTGACTTGGGAGCCAGCAGAGGAGCCTCCTAAGTTAGAAGATTCTGAAGGAGAGATGGATTAGGAGGCACAAAGCAGAAACTGTTAGAGGGCAAGAGACAGTAGGGCCGGGGCGGGCAGCGGGACCCCAGACCGTCAGGGCAGCAACAGCGAGGCCCAGAGGAGAAGATCTTGGAGAGATGACAAAGAAGCACAGGAAAGCCGGGTTCTGGGGTCCTAGAAGAACCCAGGCGTCCGACGGAGCCAGAGGGACCGGCAGAAAGGGATGCGAAGGTGTAAGGATGAGGGCGCGCACCAGCACGCGGGAGAAAAAGAGGGGGCGGCGGGCAAAATGAAGCTGTTTCCCTGCTCCTCTGCTCCTCTGCCCCTGGTACAGATCGCAACTCCTCGCCGCGCACCGCGCAGCGCCGGGTCCGAAGGCAGGGAAGCGGCTGCTGGAGCCCCTGTGACTTCAGGACCCTGCCTCACCTTGCTCGCCGCGTCCTGGCGTCCCGCCGCTTGTCCGCCGGGTGCTGCGCTCCGAGGGCCAAAGAGGGAGTCGCGCGGCGCAGCCGGGGCTCCCTCCTGCTGCGAGGCACCAGCACCCGCACCTTCGCACCCTCTGCTCGCCCCGACCACTTCACCCTGTCCTGGCGCAGGCGGAGAGCACGGACCCTAACCCGAATGCCGCTGCAGTTATTTTCAAAAGTCCCCGTTCCAGGCTTCCCAGGAATAGGAGCTGAGCTACTGCGGCCGCAGCGGCAGAGCCTCCGCCTGACCTCACCAGGGTGTGGGGGGGCTGCTGAGGGAGGGGGGCGGGAACCCAGTTGGGGAGGGAGGGGGCAGTGGGGGGGGGAGCGCGCGGGCGGGGGAAACATGGCGGCGGGGGTGGCCCCGGCGGCGCCTGCGCGGGAGGCAGGGTGGCGGGGAGCCGGGGCTAGGACGGTGTGTGGGGTCCGAACGGAACTCCCAGGCTGTAGCGAAAGCGTGACAGGGCCGGACCCTGAAGCTGAATGACCGCTAAGTGGCCCTCACGCCTCGGAAACCGGGAGGCTCTGGTGTGAGCCCACATGGATTCTAGTGCCGGGAGGCAGAAAAAGTGAAAAGTGTCAAGTATCCAGGGACAACAGTGCAGCCGCCCCGGGTTAGCCACTCCAAGGAGGTCCACCCGTGCATTCTGCCAGCCGTGGCCTCGGCCTCCTCATAGTCACGGCGGGGCCCGAGCAAAGGGTGTGCCCTGGAAGCGGTGCCACCTCACCTCAGTGGGGCCCACGTCTCAAAATAAGCCTGACCCAGGCTCTCACACAAATATCACTCTTCTAGTGGGATAAGCGCTTCATCCCTCCCCCTCCCTGCTGCAGTACACAACATTAAGAAAGAGGAAGGATAAAAACTACAAATAACAGTTTAACATTTTACTGAGCGTCTGCTATGAACCAAGCACTGAAGCATCAACTTACCTAATTCACAGCTACTCTACAAGTTACACACTATTGTCTCCATTTTACAAGTGACAAAACTGAGGTGTATAGGTTAACCAAGTTGCCAGAGGTTACATAAATAGTAAGTGGCAGAGCGGGACTCAGGATCCCAAGCGGTGTGATTCTGGTACCCAGGCTCTTAACCACTATGCAAACTGCTTCCAAACTCTGGTGGGACTGCTCTTCTAAGTCAGAATCTTGATTCTGCTCTATCAGCCTAGCCCCCAAAAAAAACCCCAGTCAAGCCTGTTTTTCCCCTTGCTTGTCTTCTATTCATTCTTTGCCTTCTTGACGGTTACAGCCTGGGGCCACCTTCTTACACCTATTCCTTTGCCCTTTCTACTTATAATTCCAGACTCCTCCTTGGGAAAATAAAGGGAGTTTGCTCTTAGCAACCAGTTTAATCACTATTGTGATTTTTTTTCTTTGGCTGTTTTTTTCTTCTTCTTCTTCTTAAGGAAGTGATGCGGTGAGTGTGGAATCTTTATGTTTTCTAGGATTTCTCCCTCTGGGATCTGAGATCTTCAACATTGCTGACTTTGTATTTCAACTTACATACACTGAAATTCTAGTAGTAGGTTTTAGGTAAATTTGAGAATAATCAGCTACTCAAAAACTTGCTAGAACTAAAGATAATACCACATTGTTGGACTTTACCAAATAATCAAAGAACTCCAAATATACATAGAATTTGCATTATTACCTTTTACGTGCAAGTGTATTGAACCCAATTCCCCTTTGTTAACAGGAATGCTTCCACTGGCTTCTCCACTATGCTTATTCAATAATTATTGTATACCTACCTTACACACTAAATGCTTATTGGGTAGAAAGCACCTTGTACAGAAGTTTACAATCTCACTGAGGTGATATATTCCAAACAATCACTTTTAGCATGTATCAAAAACCTGGCACACAGGTTAAAAAAAAAATAAGTACAAACTGAGCTGGTGTACACTCGAGTCACTGCTTTGTCCTGCCATAAAAAGGTTCAAGTGGGGTTACTTTATAATAAGTTTCTCCCACAGAAATGCCAGTAAAAATGGGATAATCCAGTGTGGGCCAAGCAGCCCTTATCTACACAAAGAGAAAACCCTCATAGCAAGGGTGTTGAGATGGGGGCAACTGCAGGATCTGCATTTGAACTGCCAGTAGCTTGCACAGATTCTCAGTTTAAAAAAAAAGAAAAAAGAAAAAGAACTGGCAATAAGATATTACAAATATGCTTATCCAATAGAAGTCCATTGCTGTTTGGGTTCGGATGCTTTATCTGAATACTTAATCTACTGGATAGAGCACTAGACTCAGAGTCAGAAGACAATTTATGTGCTATGTGACATTAAGTTAGTGCTCTGAGAGTGTTTTCCCAAATTTCCAGTGGGGAGCAAAATAATACTGGTCTGATATGCCCCACAGCATTGTTTTGGGTTTCAAATAAGATAACACATGGGAGAGTATGTTGCATTTGGAGAAAAGGTCTTTAAAGAGGTAATTCAGTTAAAGTAATGTCTCTAAGATGGGCCCGAATCCAATATGACTGGTGTCCTTTTAAGAAGAGTTTAGGACTTAGACATATATGCACATAGAGGAAGGACCATGTGAGGATGCAGTGAGAAGGCAACCACTTGCAAGACAAGATGGGGCTTCAGAAGAAACCAAACTTACCTACACCTTGATCTTCCAGAATTACAAGAAAATAAATTTCTGTTGTTTAAGTTACCCAGTCTATGGTGTTATACTTTGTTATGGCAGGTCTAGCAAACGAACATAATGGGAAGCATTTCAAATGCCAGCTAGAGTATCCGCTGACTTAGTTATTGTTCATTGCTAAAAACACACACATTAATTATCTGTTTCCACGTGTCAGGAGTCCAGGTATGGTTTAGCTTGGAGCACTGCTCAGGGTCTCACAAGGCTGCAATCAAGTTTTTGGCTGGGCTGTGTTCTCATGTGCAACTCAGAATCTTCTTCCAAACTCATTCAGATTGTTGGCCAAATTCAGTTCCTTGCAGTTACAGAATTAAGACCCGTAGCATTTACTGGATCTAGAGGCAGCCCCTCTCCATTAGCAGTTGACAACATGGTTGTTCTACTTAGCCAAGGCCAACAGAAAAACTTCTTTCTCCTCAGGAGGGGTCCAGTGCCTCTTTTAAGGTCTTTTACCAGATTAAGTCAGGCCCACCCAAGATTATCACCCCTTTGATTAACTCAAAAATTAACTGTGTGCCTTGATTACATCTGCAAAATCTCTTCACCTTTGCCACATAATGTAACCTAATCACAAGAGTGATAGCCCAGCATATTCACAGGTCCCAACCATACCTAAGTGGAGAATGTATAACAGAAGACAAGAATCTTAGGACCATCTTAGAATTCTCCCTACCATGCCCCAAAGATTTGACAGCACCAATTAATTATACAATTATAAAAATTAACTAAGAGACCATACAGGCAGATGTGGGCACACACATAACATACATACACACACACACACACACACACACACACACACCAAAGTACACAGAGCTGGTAGCTGATCCCTAATCGGTCTAAAAGCATTTGCAAGCTTGCTGTGTGCCTAATGTGAAACTAAAAGATTTCAACTGCATTAATTCTGACTAAAAAACAAATTGAAAACTATTTAGGATACATTTTGTCTCTCTGGTAAATTTGCATTTCCTCAAAACACTCATCTCATCAATTATTGAATGGAGCCTATTATTGAATGGAATCTATTATAAAAAAAAAAACCCTCACAGGGCTTTGGGTAGCATACACAGAAGGGTCTTGCTTTAGAAGTTAGAGATAAATCTGATTAAAGATGTGTAAGACCTGTCCTGAAAACTTTAGGCTTAAATAAATGTAGAAATATACTGTATTCATAGGGCAGAAGAATTGATATCATTAAGATGTCAATTCACTCCTAATTGATTTATAGTTACAGCACAACCCCGATCAAAGTCCTAGCTGGCTTTTTCTGTAGAAATTGACAAGCTGATTCTAAAGTTCATATGGAAATTGAATAAAATAGCCAAAACAACTTTTACAAAGAGCATTAGGGGGATAATACTACCTGATTTCAATTTTTACTGTAAAGCTACAATATTCAAGACAGTGTGGTATTGATCAATGAAACAGAATAGAGTCCATAAACAGACCCACAACGTATATGGGCAAGTTATTTTCAACAAATATTCAAAAGCAATTCAGCTTTTTGAGGAACCTCCATACTTCTTTCCATAGTGAGAGCACCAGTTTATATTGCCACCAACAGTCTCCACATCCACGTCAATACCTGTTATTCATCCTTTTGACAATAGCCATTCTAACAGCTGTGAGGTGATATTTCACTGTGGTTTTAATTTGCATTTCCCCTGATGATTAGAGATTTTCAACATTTTTTAATATATTTGTTGGGGATTTGTATCTCTTCTTTTGAGAAATGCCTGCTCAGATTCCTTTCCCCTCTCTGGGTATATATTCAAAGGAATTGAAATCAGTATGTTAAAGAGATATCTGCACTCCAGTGTTTATTTCAGCATTATTCATAGTAGTCAAAACGTGGAAGCAATCTAAGAATCCATCAATGAATGAATGGATAAAGAAAATGTAGTACATATACACAATGAAATACTATACAACCTTAAAAAAGAAATTCTGTCATTTGCATCCATGACAACATGGAAAGAATTGGAGGAAATTATGCTAAGTGAAATAAGCCAGACATAGACAATACTGTATGATCTCACTTATATGTGGAATCTAAAAAAGTCAATCTCATAGAAACAGAAAGTAGAAAAATGGTTATCAGAGGCAGGGGAAGGAGGAGGAAGCATGGGGAAAGTGAGGATGTTGATCAAAGGGTCCAAAGTTTCAGTTAGACTGGAGAATAAATTTTAGTGACCTATTGCACAGCATGGTGACCGCAGCTAATAGTGTATATTTCAAAACTGCTAAAATAGATTTTTAGAATTCTCACCACAAAAAAAAGATAAGTTGGTGAGGTGATGGATACGTTATTTATCTTGATTAAATCTTTCTATAATGTATACATAGACGCAAACCTCACATTGTATCCCACAGATATGCACAATTATTATTTGTCCATTTAAAAAATTTAAAGGCAATTCAGTGGAGAAAGGGTAGCTTTTTTCAACAATGGTGCTGGAACAACTGGACATCCATGTGAACTAAGATCCATACCTAATACCATCTACAAAAATTAATTCAAAATGCATCATAGACCTAAATGTAAAATCTGGAGCTAGAAAATTTCCAGAACTTTGGCAAAAACCTTTGTGACCTTGGGTTAAGCCAAGATTTTTTAGATATGACACGAAAAGCATGGTCCACAAAAAGACAAATTAAGAAGTTGAACTTGATCAAAATTGAAAAGAAACAACTCTTCTATAAAAGACACTGTTGACAGAATGAAAAAAGAAACTACAGACCGGTAGAAAATATGCAAAAATCATATCTAATATTAAAAAACTTGCATACAGAATAAAGAACCTTCAAATCTCAATAACAAGAATATGAACAACAAATTAAAAAAAAAAGGTAAACTATTTGAACAGACACCACCAAAGAAGTTACATCAAAGAAGCATGGCAAACAAGCACATGAAAAGATTATCAACATCATTAGTCATTAGGGAAATGCAAATCAAAGCCACAATGAGATAACACTACAATGTACTAGAATACCTAGCACTAAAAGGAATAATTATAGTAAGTTTTTGCAAGGAACTACAACTCTGATATGCTGCTACTGTGAATGAAAAATGGTACACTCATTTTCGAAAATAATTTGGCAGTCTTTTAAAAAGTTAAACATACACCTACCATATGATCCGGCCATTCCACTCCTAGGTATTTACTCAAGAGAAATGAAAGCATATGTCCCTACAAAGACTTGTACATTAATATTCATAGCAGATGTATTAGTTATTAACTAAAAATAGAAACAACCCAAAAGTCCATCAACAAGTGAAGTGATAAACCAGTACATCCATACACTGGAATACTACCCAGCCATAAAAAGGAATGAATGTACTACAATATGATATGCATAACAATATGGATGAATCTCAGAATAACTATATCCAAGCGAAAGATGCCACACAAAAAAGTATGCACTGTATTATTCCATTTATATAAAAGTCTATAAAATGAAAATGAATCTGTAGTGATAGAATGCAGATCAGTGTTTGCCTAGGGATGAGATTGGAGGGAGGGCAGAAAGGACAATTGGGTACAAGAGAACTTTTAGGGATGATAAGTATATTCCTTATTGCTTTTATGGTAATGTTTTCACAAAACATGTCAATATTTATCAAATTGTACACTTTAAATATGCACAGTTTATTGTATGTCAGTGATACCTCAATAAAGCTATTAAAATTAGTCATGTGCCTTGACAAACTGCAGTATCTCTAGTTTACTCCCTTTTTGTGAACAAGAATACAAAGACAGGAATACAGTCAAGGCTCAGGAATGGTTTGGAATCAGGGACTAGAGTGCCGGCAGGACTATCTCTGTCTCTTTTCTGCACAGTACCAGGAAATCTACTTCATCATTCTCTTTTATCACAGAAGAGGATTTTATGCTTTCCAGGCTGCATGATAGGACTCAGTTGGTCACATATCCCTGGGTTTTATCTCCTCTATTCAACAGACCAGACAGACTGAGGCTGAAATCTCTGAAACCTAACTCTATATTCCACTGGAGGCTCTCTGACTGGCCATTTTGGTATCAGGTACCCAGTTCTGGATCAATGAACCAATCTCTGGCCTAGATTGAATCTAAACTAGATGGAGAAAGTCTTAGCCTAGCTGTTAAGAATTTGGGAAAACAAGCTGGGCATGGTAGCTCACACCTATAATCCCAGCTAGCAGGGAGGCTGAGGCAGGAGGATCACTTGAGGCTAGGAATTGGAAACCACCCTGAGCAACACAGCAAGACCCTGTCACAATAATAATAATAACACTAATAATAATAATAACTTGAGGATATAGTGGTCATGACTTCAAGTCAGTATTGAGGCTTCAGTTAGCTCCAAGAAGGCTTTTGTTATTTGCAACCAAAAGAGTTCTAACAAAATCACCTAGCATTTGTAATGGAGATATCAGGCAAAAGCTAGAGACATCAAGTAGGCAACCACAATTTCTAAGGTCTCACCAAAAGACCTCCTGAGGCCTCCTCTTGCTATAAAAACGTATTTCATGGTCCTCATTGTAAACTCAAATTCTACCATATTTAGTAGAATACATAACAGGGGCATCCAGAAATTTAAGAAAAAGGAAGCCTCCTATCTTCTGTTGTCACCCTACCACATAGTTTTCCACCCATGCTCTGAAGTTAGGACCGTTAAATAGAGAACAATGGGAAAGACTAGCTTTTAATCAAATTGAACAAAGGGCATATCATTCTCATTATAAGTAGCTACACTGTTGTAAGTAGCAAGAAATCTGGGATGCCACTTAATACAAGAGGGGTCATTGCTCCCCTCACACAACACCCTAGGAACACAGAAAATGACATGGACAATGTTGGAGTTCAGGGGGTTATTTTATTATTTTTAGAGAAAGGGTCTCCCTCTGTCACCCAGGCTGGAGTGCTGTGGCATAATAAGAACTCGTTGTAGGCTGGGCGCGCTCATCCCAGCACTTTGGGAGGCTGAGGCAGGCGGATCACTTGAGGTCAGAAGTTTGAGACCAGTCTGGCCAACATGGTGAAACCCCTTCTCTACTAACAATATAAAAATTAGCTGGGTGTGGTGGTGCGTGCCTGTAATCCCAGCTACTCCAGAGGCTGAGGCAGGAGAATTGCTTGAACCTGGGAGGTGGAGGTTGCAGTGAGCTGAGATCGTGCCACTGCACTCCAGCCTGGGCAACACAGTGAAACTCTGTCTCAAAAATACATAAATAAATAAATAAATAAATAAATAAATA
Source organism: Homo sapiens (assembly GCF_000001405.40). NCBI lineage: Eukaryota > Metazoa > Chordata > Mammalia > Primates > Hominidae > Homo > Homo sapiens. The sequence continues at coordinate 118,124,452 of NC_000023.11, forward strand.
AATAAATAAATAAATAAATCATTGTAACCTCGAACTTCTGGACTCAAGTGAGCCTCCCTCCCCTGCCTCCCGAGTAAAGAAAATGCCATTTTATTGTCCATACATTAGAGATTTTACTAAATACCACTCATAAATTACAGTGACATCATATTATACCAAATGTTAAGAATTCTATAGAAAAAAAATGAAAATTATAAAGGGTTTGCATTGCACATGAAACACCAGCAGTTATATTACTGACCAGTCAGAAGAGAGATAGGCAGCAAGAGCTGCTTACTGAGTATATAAAGTTTAGAACTGAACACTTTTTTTTTTTTTTTCGAGATGGAGTCTTGCTCTGTCGCCCAGGCTGGAGTGCAGTGGCACGATCTCGGCTCACTGCAAGCTCCACCTCTCGGGTTCATGCCATTCTCCTGCCTCAGCCTCCCGAGTGGCTGCGACTACAGGCGCCCACCACCACTCCTGGCTAATTTTTTGTATTTTTAGTAGAGATGGGGTTTCACTGCATTAGCCAGGATGGTCTCGATCTCCTGACCTCGTGATCCACCCACCTCGGCCTCCCAAAGTGCTGGGATTACAGGCGTGAGCCACCACGCCTGGCCCAGAACTGAACACATTTTTAAAATAAAACAATATTCTGTCTACATTTGTGAAGATTTGGAACCACAGAATGTTTTTAAGAAAAAAAAATTACATTACTTTCAAGTATATAGAGAAATGCAAATTAGGCTAAGAGTTCATAGAAACCCTTAATAGACCCGCTATACTAATCAGAAAGATAATCAGCCAAGTAAGGTATCCAAGTCTTCTCATATATTGTTTCCTGTAAGGACACTATTCCCCAGCCCTATTTGCCTAGACAACTTCTACAAGTCTTCAAGTCTCAGCTTAGTGCTTTTCTCCAGAAGACCTTTCCTGATACCTTAGACTAGAATGAGTATTTCTGTAATATTCACAAAGCACCCTGTACTCCTCAAATCATAATGTCATCCTGTTAATGTAAACCATTATTTATCTTCTTGCTAGAATGTAAGCCCCATGAAGACCAGGTCTGTCTTGTTCCGTTACTGAATCCCAGTGTCTGAAACAAAGCCTGTCACATTGGGACTGCACAAATAAATATTGTTGACTTAATTTATTAACTCAAATCACTAAAGAATTACGTTGTGTGATGGACTAACTATATTAGCATACCAACTGTACCTAAAAGAGGACATCAACAGTATTTATTCTTCTAAGTTCTTTATACTCTCCTGATACAATCTTGTCTATAATACTGATGTTCTTGGCAATGCTTTTATTTTTCCACAGATAGGGCAAAATCTCAGTTTCTGTCTAAATATTCTCAGATTCTCAACTAGTGAAGTACACATTAATGAAGCTATACTGCATCCTGATTAGATTATTCTTGAAACTTCATAACAACCACTTCATTTCAGGGATTAAAAAGTTTCAGAATGTGATATGTCTACTCAACATGAATGATTTTAACTATGCAACTCTTTTTGATTCAGGCCCTGTGTACCTTAGCCGCCTAAATACAGAATTTTGGTATAAATCCCACATTCATACATTCAAGATACAGGAAATTACATTTCAATGGCATTTGTAATTTATTGGCACTTTTAGTAAAATTGTTTTTTTTACAACTGTTTCCTTACATTATAAATTATATCCAGCCAGAGGCTGCTCTTTAAGTATCCACACTCATCTTGCCCAACGTCAACACTATGCTAATTAGAAGTGTAGCCTCATTTGAGTGTCGGAAAGGTCCTGAACTCTTCCAGGCCTCCCATCTCACTCCTCACCCCAACCTGCTCACCAATCAGTACTTGTCGTTCTTGGGTTTGACATCTACTGATATTTCCTTCATTATTCTTAATAATGGGAATAATGAGTTGACTTTATTATTTATTAAGTGCAATGATATGGCAGATACTGTACTCAGCCCTTTAAAAACATTATCTCATTTAGTCCTTGAAACAATCCAGTGAGGTAGATGCCGTTAATGTTCCCACTTCATAGAGATGAGATCTGAAGCACAGGAAGTTACATAACTTCCTTAAGGTTTCACAAGTATTAAGAGACAGAGATGGGCTTCAATCCTGGGCAGGGAAGCTCCAGAGCCTATGCTACAACATTTTTATGAAAATGTTAGTATATTGGTGTCACTCAGGGGAGGGCTTTCCCTCACCTTCCACCTTGCTCTGGCCTTCTCAGTGAAACAGGAAAAATTAATAAATTATATTACTTTTACTCAAGATAATTCGGTATAAACATAGCCAATGGAACATCTATCTTTTTTCAATGTAAGTTTCATCATCATTCCTCTTCCTAATCTCTACCTATGCTCTATGTATTTGAAAATTACTATGGAAGATTCTCTTTACAACATGAAAATTATATATAGAATATCAATTTATCCCCACATTCCTTGTTATTGACAGCTCTTTTTTCCATGTTCAAACTTAACATTTAAAAACTGAGGCCGGGAACAGTGGCTCATGCCTCTAATCCCAGCATTTTGGGAGGCTTAGGTGGGTGGATCACTGGAGGCCAGGAGTTTGAGACCAGCTTGGCTGACATAGTGAAACCCCGTCTCTACTAAAATTACAAAATTTAGCTGGGCATGGTGCTGGGTGCCTGTAGTCCCAGGCACTCAGGAGGCTAAGGCAGGGAAGAACTTGAACCCAGGAGGCAGAGGTTGTGGTGAGCCGAGATCGCACCACTACATTCCAGCCTGGGCAATAGAGCGAGACCCTGTCTCAAAAATAAAAATAAAAACTGAGTTATGCCAGGCGTGGTGGCACATGCCTGCAATCCCAGCTACTCAGGAGGCTGAGGCGGGAGGATTGCTTGAGCCCAGGCATTCAAATCCAGCCTGGGCAACAGAGCAAGACCTAGTCTACACTAAAAATAAAAAACAAAAATAGCATGGCATGGTGGCATGCACCTGTAGCCCCAAGTAGTTGGGAGGCTGAGGTAGGAGGATCATTTGATCATTTTCACTCCAGCCTGGGAAAATGAGTGAGACCCTGTCTTCAGATTGATGGATGGATAGATAGATAGGTAGATAGATAGATATTTAATAGATAGATTTTAATTTTAAAAAATAATGTTAATTTTAAAAAATTATATGAATAAAGAGTGTTAAATTTTTGAGTTGGAAAGAACCTTAAAGATGATCCAACCTCTTTATCTTGCAAGTGAAGATCTCTGGATCAACACTCAGTATGCCAGGCATTTAGTTAGTTAATTCTGCAAATATTTATTGAGTACCAACTATGTATTCGAGATGGTGCAGAAGAGACAAAATTATGACTTTGAAAAGCTTATATTCTAGGAGGGTAAGATAATAATCAAGAAATACTATAGCATGATAATTCCAGGTAATGATATGTGTCATACAAAATAAAACAAGGAAATGGTTTATAGTAAGTGAGTAGTATACATACTGAGTGACCTGGGATGGGAGAAACTAATTCTGAAGAGGTGGTCAGGAAAAACTGCTTTTAAGAAGTAAAATTTACACCGAGCCCTGAATGCTGAAAGGAAGTCATCCAAGCAAAGATCTGAGGGAAAATCATTCCAGAGAAGGAATGGCAAATGAAAAGCCCTGAGGTGGGAATGAATTCCATGCATTGAAAAAATAAAAAACAGGCATTATAGATGAAGAACGGTAAATTATGGGCAGAGTGGTAGAACATGATGTCATAAAGGTCGATCAAAACAAAATCATTTAGGGTCTGTGCACCATATCAGAAGATTTTGATATTATTCTAATTGCAATAAGAAACCATAGAAAGGCCGGGTGCGGTGTTTCACACCTGTAGTCCCAGCACTTTGAGAGGCCGAGGCAGGCAGATCACTTCAGGCCAGTAGTTCGAGACCAGCCTGGCCAACATGGTGAAACCTCGTCTCTACTAAAAACACAAAAATTAGCTGGGCGTGGTGGCCCTCACCTGTAATCCCAGCTACTGGAGAGGCTGAGACAGCAGAATCGCTTGAACCCGGGGGGTGGAGGCTGCAGTGAGTGAAGATTGCACCACTGCACTCCAGCCTGGGCAAAAGAGCAAAGACTCCATCTCAAAAAAAGAAAAGAAAAAATAAAAAGAAACCATAGAAAGCTTTGGAGCAAGGCAATGATATGATCTGTCTTAGTATTTTAAATGACTAAGTGATGCTAAAATCTTAAGTCTGAGTACAACAATAGTTATACTTATCACTAGTTTTCATTTGTGTACAGAATTGACCGGTTATGAGTTGAGTTTATTATCAATATTTTAAGAAAACAATGCTGCCTGTGACATCCCGCCCCGGGGCTAAAAGTGTCTGCCACCTTCATCCGCAACAGCACGGCCATCCAGGAGCTGTTCAAGCGCTCTCCGAGCTGTTCACCGCCATGTTCCGGCGCAAGGCGTTCCTGTACTGGTACACGGGTGAGGACATGGAGTTCACCGAGGCCGAGAGCAACATGAACGACCTGGTGTTCAAATACCAGCAGTACCAGGATGCCACGGCCGAGGAGGATGAGTTCAAGGAGGGGGCCGAGGAGGAGATGGCCTAGAGCCTCCAGTCACCCGGGAAAGCAGGGAAGCAGTGTGAACTCTTTATTCACTCCCAGCCTGTCCTGTGGCCTGTCCTGCTGTGTGTGCACTTGCTGTTTTCCCTGTCCACATCCCATGCTGTACAGACACCACCATTAAAGCATTTTCATAGTGAAAAAAAATCAGTTAATCAGTTTCATAGTGAAAAAAAGTCAGTGAAATAAAAATCAGTTATCTAGTTAACTAACTAGTTATCTAGTTAAAATTTTCTGTCCTATCCGCCTAGGATGACCCTCCTACATAACTATTATTATTTATTTCTCATGTATTCTTTCAGAATTTATATTTTTTATTTGAGAGCTAAATCAGCAAAACCATATTTTTATGGTTTTTGAAGTAGCGAATGGGGCAAAATGGGGAAGATATGAGGGCATTTGTTAAAAGAGAACAATTTCTGCATAGCGTGTTTGCTACTGGGTTTTATTAAGTAACTGAAGATGTATTTATTAAGTCCCTTCTCAAGCATGATCCTAGGTGCTGGCTATAAATGTATTCCATATAAGAACATTATCAATATACTATGGTGAAACCAAAAGTAGGTTTTAATGGATAACTTTAATTTCATATGTAATAAAACAATTTTTATAAATGCAATATTCTCTAATCAAGAAATCCAAATTTTCTACTGAATATGTTAAAGGAAAGTGAACATTTAGAAAACAACTGATCAAATACAAACAGCTGGAAAGAGTAAATGAGAAGTTAAAAGAAAAATACAGGAAACTTGGGAAAATAGCTTTAGTCATTAGCTTTCAGCCACCAGGAAGATGTCCAACCAAAACTAAGATTTAAATGCCTTCAGGGAAAAAGTTTCAATATTTAGCAGTTTAGTTACTAAGAGAGTATCTGGCCTAAATTCACAATAGAGTCACTCATATTTTAGGTTACCTCATACTAATTCATTTCTCAAGCTTTTAACTACATTGGTGATATGATGGACACAAAAACATTTTAAAACAAAGACCACACAGGACTTTTAATATTAATCTGTATTGGGCTAGCAAACTAAATACTGTATGTCCTGATAGAAATCATAACGCAAAGCAACTACATAACATCATGCTGCACACAATGCCAGAAGAAAGGTTTGGTCAATCATGAGAGATCACCACTCGCATTTATGTATCCATGCATTCCCCTCCTGGTCGTGTGAAAGAGCTTTCACAACTGAATCAGTTCAAGTAGGTCCACAATGTCTTTAAATATCCTTCAGGGTTCAGCATCTCATTCTCAAGTGATACTTTTCCACCCATTTTTGTGAGTATACTGAAGTTTTTTTTTCCTTTTTTGATAGAATTGCAAGGAGAAATATGGTCAAATTTTGATATCAAAAGCAAGCAGGTTTTTAAAGTAGATTTTTTTTAAATGTACTTCATCTGAAGTTTCCCAACTCTGCTACTTTTTTCTATTATCCTTATAGAACCAGATTGTTGGGAGGTAGAGATACTATTAATGGAATAGTTTGGATGGAATACAACATAAGCAAGTGATGCCTTTCAGTGGAGTGAAATTCAGGTAAACTTTATATTACACAATTGTATTAGTCAGGGTTCTCCAGAGAAATACAACCAATAGGGGAAATACACACACACACACACACACACACACACACAAACACACACACACACACACAGAGAGAGAGAGGGAGGGAGAGAGAAACTTATTTTTAAGGAATTGGCTCACCTGATTGTGGAGGACGGAAGGCTGGAGACCCAAGAAAGGGTTGCTATTGAAGCTCCAGTGGAAGGCAGTCTGTTGGCAGAGTCCTTCCGTCTTGGGAGGGTGGTAGTGAGTCTTTGCTTTATTAAGGTCTGTAGGTCAGATCATGTAAGCTGGAGTTCAAGGCAAGGGTTGAACCTCAAATTGAGGAACTGGAGTGAAAATCAAGAACCCAAAGCAGGAGGCTACTTCTTTAGACTGAGCAAACCAAGTCGGGGTTAGAAGGATAACTTGGAGTGAGTATGTTCAGGTTTCACTTCAGGTCTACAGATTGGATGAGGTCCACTCACATTGTGGAAGATATTCTACATTACTCAAAATCTACTGATTTAAATGTTAATCTCATTTTTAAAAATACCTACACAGCAACATCTAGAATAATGTTTAACTAAATATCTGGGTGCCAAGGCCTAGCCAAGCTGACACATAAAATTAACTATCAGAACAACCAATCACCAACAAATATTTCTTGAGCAATAGAGATATTCCTGGAAAGTGGTACATACATATAATTTTTATAGATAGAAGCCCCATGGGGCTTCATGCACTAATGTCTTTCCACCTGTAGTCCAGTCCTGCTAGTTTTTGAGGAATCCAAACAAAGGCAAACAACCCAATAAATGGTAGATTCAGCTACCCTATGCTTCACACCTGGGAGATTAATGGTCAGGTAACTGTTGCTCTTCTCAAGCTGGAAGACCTGAAGTGAAGCCTGAGCATACTGCTTTGAACTTTGGACTCTTTATTATTTTCTTTTTAAAGTCAAGGACTTGCTCTATCTCGACTTGCTCTATCTCCAGGCTGGAGTGCAGTGGCATGACCATGGCTCACTGCAGCCTCGCCTTGAACTCCTGGGCTCAGGCGATCCTCCCACCTCAGCTTCTCAAGTAACTAGGACTACAGGCATGCACCAACATGTCTGGCCTTTTTTCTTTTTTTTTTTTTTTTTGAGAGACAGGGGTCTTGCTACGCTGCCTACACTGGTCTTGAACTCCCAGCCTCAAACATTCCTCCTGCCTTGGCCTCCCAAAGCACTGGGATTACAGGTATGAGCCACCGCACCTGGCCTGGATTCTTGATTTTTCACTCCAGTTCCTCAATTTGAGGTTCAATCCCTGCCCTGAAGTCCAGCTTTTACCTGACTGGAGCCCAAATGCTCCCCTTCCCCCATGAATTGGTGCTGTTTCAACTTACCAACAGCAACTATTTACCCAACTCCAAACAACACTACATGGATGTTCCTAAAGTCTAGAATTTACAACAGTTTAGCTGTTTAGAAAGCTTTCTCACCAAACACCACTCCCTTTGTTTCCTTGTCCTTGGGAGACAGTATACAGACCCATTAGTTCTTTTAATTTTTTTTTTCCTTTTTCATGTTCTACCCCTTCTCCACTAGCCTGTGCCAGCTTGCACAGATTATGGAAGTATATGAAAAGGGAAAAAGGGAAAAATGAATGATCCAGTTGTGAAATGAACAATCTCACTTATCCATTCTGCAGGATCTGATTCCTGAATATCATATTTTCACAGAACCAAGTACATCCATATTTGAGTGTGGATTCAGCTACACCTTCTAGAACAAAACTGAGAAGTATACACTATAAACAATACAAACGTGATATATTTCATAAGTCTTACTTTAATTCTATCACGAAGGGACTTTCTTTGTATGAGAATCACATATTCTAAAATTACGATCTTAACAGAAAAATGTACTACAAAAAAAGATTTTCAAAGGTGATTAATAAAATCATTGTAAATACATTTCTATACAATATTAAACCAGATTTGTCCAACAGTGCCTAGTTTGTAAATCAGACACCTATGAAAGACACATTTTTAGCTGATGTATATTTTTTATATACTGGATGACAATTTTTTTTTTTTAAATGGAGTTTCGCTCTTGTTGCCCAGGCTGGAATGCAATGGTGCGATCTCAGCTCACTGCAACTTCCACCTCCTGGGTTCAAGCAATTCTCCTGCCTCAGCCTCCCGAGTAGCTGGGATTACAGGCAAGTGCCACCATGCCCGGCTAATTTTGTATTTTTAGTAGAGACGGGGTTTCCCCACGTTGGTCAGGCTGGTCTCAAACTCCCGACCTCAGATGATCCGCCTGCCTCGGCCTCCCAAAGTGCTGGGATTAGAAGCGTGGGCCACCGCGCCCAGCCCTCAAAGCATTTTCATAGCCATTATTTCACCTGGCAGAGATGAGGACTCAGACACATGGAAGAAGGCAAGAAGCCTAGTTGTCAGAAATGGTGAAACGATGTCAAGGCAACAACGATAACCCAATACTGAAACTCAGATGGCTAGTCTGGAACTGCCTGACTTGCCCCTGTCTAAAGTCAGGATTGGTCCAGGGACACAGGTGGGATTGGATCTGTGAGTGGGTGGCAAGCAAGTTAGTTCCTGTCTATGGAGGCAAGCAATGGGGCTATGAAACAGGTAGCACCTGACGGCAATTTCATCCAAAAAGGCAAACAGCTCTAGACATACAAATGAAGGGACATCTTGACTTTGGCACCCTGGAGAATATGACGAATTGGGTTGAACCTTTGAGAATTATTACCCACAGCAAATACACCAGAACCTGGAGTAATCAAGTTGAACAGAAAATCCTTAGCAGCAGTTGACATTGTTGTTCACCATCACTTCTTGTTGAATCATCCCCCCATCGCTCCCCTAGATTTCCATGATAGAATCTCCTGCTTTGCCTATTGCCTCTCTGGCTACTCCTTCTCTGTCTCTTGCAAGTTCCTTTTATTGTCTTTCAATGTTCCCTAGCTCAAAGAACAGTACCACCAGCCACCTAGTTATGCAAACCAGAAATTTAGACACTTAGAATTTTTCTCTACCCCTGCCCCATGTCCAAATTACCATGAATTACTATAAAGTTTACCTGGTAAATATCTCTTTAATCTATTCACTTCACTCCATCACCACTAACCTGGTCCCAGACACCACCACCTCCAACCTTGAATACTGGAACAGCCTCCTGGGATAGAATCTTGGCTCTCCCACATTCCAGCTGTGTGTTCTTCAGCAAGTGTATTCACTTCTCTGAACTTCAATTTCCTCATAGGTTAAGTGGGGACAATAACAGTAGCTACCTTGCTGGGTTGTTGCAAAGATTCAGAGACAATATATATAAATCCCTTTCAACAGTGCTTAACGCAGTAAGTGCTACATCAATGATAGCTTTTAAAATATTATCTGCATTCTCACTCACCCCCCTTCATTATTCACACTGTAGCCAAAGTGCCATTTTCCAAAATAAATATGATCATATCCTCCGCACCACCACTACACACAAGCACCCACAGAACACTCTGACGGATTCCCAGTGCACTTAAGATAAAGTCAAAACTGCTTAACATAGACTAGAACAAGGCAGTGCATGAATTTCTTCAGCATGAAGCCACAAATGAATTTTCCATTGTACTTTCTTTCACCTTCCTACTAGCCTACTAGCCTACTAGCCTTCTCTTACTCCTTTACACCCAATCTGCTTCCTCTCACCCCATAGCCTCCCATAGCCTTGTTCTGCCTGCCTGAAATGCTTTTTTGTTTTTCTTTTTTGAGACGGAGTTTCACTCATGCCACCTAGCCTGGAGTGCAATGGCCCGATCTCATCCCACCGCAACCTCTGCCTCCTGGGTTCAAGTGATTCTCCTGTCTCAGCCTCCCGAGTAGCTGGAATTACAGGCAACTGCCACCACACCCAGCTAAGTTTTGTATTTTTAGTAGAGATGGGGTTTCACCGTGTTGGCTAGGCTGGTCTCAAACCCCTGATCTCAGGCGATCCACCCGCCTTGGCCTCCCAAAGTGCTGGGATTACACGCATGAGCCACTGCGCCCAACCAATGCTTCCATTTTGTAACTTCACCTTTTCCTTTGGTTTTCAGCTCAAGCCTCACTTCCCAAGGAATGCTTTCTTGACCAAAGATGTATAAAATGCTCTGAAGCGGCCACATACCTCTCCCGTATTACATATATCACAGTGGTCATTTTTTATTTCTTTGTATGATTAGAGGATTAGTTTTTGCTTTCCTGACCTGTTGGTAAGTTTCGTGACAGTAAGGAACTTTTTGTTCACTGCTACCTCACCAGCATATAGCACGTATCTGGCACATAATAAGTGCTCAACAAATTGACAGACTCAGTGAAAGAATGAGTGAGCCACACTTGTGCATAAGGATCAAATGGAAGGAAAAAAGAAATTGAAAGTTGTAATCATGTCTGTAGATGAGATTGTAAAATGGTCTGAGCCTTGAAACAGACTGTGGAAGCTAAACTTCTTTTTTCTTTTTTTTTTTTTTCTTTGAGATGCAGTCTTGCTTTGTCACCCAGACTGGAGTGCAGTGACAGGATCTCGGCTCACTGCAACCTCCACCTCCCGGGTTCAAGCAATTCTCTGGCCTCAGCCTGCCGAGAGGCTGGGATTACAGGCACTTGCCACCCTGCCTGGCTAATTTTTGTATTTTTAGCAGAGACAGGGTTTCACCATCTTGGCCAGGCTGGTCTTGATCTCCTGACCTCGTGATCCATCCACCTAGGCTTCCCAAAATGCTGGGATTACAGGCATGAGCCACCACACCTGGCCAAAGCTAAACTTCTTAAACCAAAATTGTGTTTAAAGAAAAACAGGACAGAGAAAGATGGAGTTTAGACTAATAAGAGAATCAGGGTGGAAGAGAGAGGGTTGTTGAATCCACTAAATCACGACGAAACAACTAAGCAGGATTTTAAAGTTGCATGCACATGCGTGTGTGTGTGTGTACACACATGCATATTTGCATTTAACAGTCCTTCACTTTCCAGGTTTTTAATCACTCCTAAGCTATTTTTGATGGGAAAAGAAAAATCTAGGAAAAAAAGGGAGAAAAAAATTAATAAGGATTCTTTTTAAAAATTGAGCAGCTAATGTATTTTTCTGACTCTGAGGCTCACACCATAGCAGTTTATAATAAAACAAACATTCAAGCTAAGAGCCTAGGATTTGAATCCAAAGTTGCTGATGTCAGAGAGTTTTTATCTTGAGTCTATGCCTACAAAATTCATTTGAAAAAAAAATGGTTTGCACAGAGACCATAACAAAGCCTAACTATGTTTGAAAGATGTTTTTTGTTTTTTGTTTTCATCTTGCGAGAAATGTAAGACCAAATTAAAGTTGCATATAGCACATGGATTGGGGTATTTGGCTTGTTTGTTTTTTATTTTTTGCTTCCTGTATGACATTTATAGTTTCAAGATTTGTTATAAATTATTTTTTAGAAGAGCAAAACAACACTGAGACTTAACACCATAAATGTTTTCCTAGGGCACAAACACACACATTTTTCATTATTATGTTGTTCAGAAATCCTAAATCTTTGACAGAGTAGCTATAGGTCATTAAGCAATTTGCCTCCCTATTCTGAGACTCAGTTTAGCATTTACAAAATGAGTTAGTTAAAATAGATAATGTCTAAGTTTCCTTTAATATTTTTAAATGTTAATTGTGGTAAAGAACACATAACATAAAATTTACCATCTTAATCATTTTTAAATGCATCGTTCAGTGGTGTCAAGTATATTCACATTGTTGTCCAACCAATTTCCATAAATTTTTCATCTTGAAAGACTGAAACTTTATACCTATTAAACAACTCCCCATTTCCCCCCTTTGCTCAGCTCCTGACAACCATCATTCTGCATTCTGTGTCTAAGAATTTGACTTTAGTTACTTTATATGGGTAGAATCATACAGTATTTGTCTTTCTATGACTGGCTTATTTCCTGCACACTGATAATCAACCATATGAAAAAATAAAATGTGACTGGCTGCTTACTTCACTTAGCATAATGCCCTCAAGTTTCACCCTTGTTGTCACAAATAATAGGTTTCCTCTTTATTAAGGCTGAATAGTATTCTATTATGTATACACACCACTTTTTTTTTTTTTTTTGAGATGGAGTCTCGCTCTGTGGCCCAGGCTGGAGTGCAGTGGTGCAATCTTGGCTCACTGCAACCGGTGCCTCCCAGGTTCAAGCGATTCTCTTGCCTCAGACTCCTGAGTATCTGGAATTACAGGCATGTGCCACCAAGTCCAGTTAATTTTTGTATTTTTAGTAGAGATGGGATTTCACCATGTTGACCAGGCTGGTCTCAAACTCCTGACTTCAAGCGATCCACCCACCTCGGCCTCCCAAAGTGCTGGGATCACAGGTGTGAGCCACCGTGGCTGGCCCACATTTTCTTTTTTAAATAATTTTTTAAGAGATAGGATCTCACTCGGTTGCCCAGGCTGGAGTGCTGTAGCATAATCATATTTCACTGCAACCTTGAACTCCTGGACTCAAGCTATCCTCCTGGTTAAGCCTCCCAAGTAGCTGGGACTACAGGAGCACACCACCACACCTGGCTTTTTTTTCCCCCCACAGACTGGGTCTCTATGTTGCACAGGCTGGTCTCAAACTCCTGGGCTCAAGCAATCCTCCTGCCTCAGCCTCCCAAAGCACTGGGATTATAGGGGTGAGCCACCATGCCCAGTCTACACTACATTTTCTTTATCAATTCATTCATTGATGGATATTTACTTTGCTTCCACCTCTTGGCTATCACGAATAGCTTCTATAAACATGGGTGTGCAAATACCTCTTTTGAGACCCTGCTTTTAATTCTTGTAGATATATGGTCTGAAGTGGGATTGCCGGATCATACAGTAGTTCTATTTTCAATTTTTTGAGGAAATTTCATACTGTTTTCCATAGCAACCACACCATTTTACATTCTCACCAACGGTGTATAAGGGATCCAGTTTCCCCATATCTTCACCAATACTTTTATTTTCTATTTTTTTTTAAGAGTAATCATCATAACAGACGTGAGGAGATACCTCATTATCATTTTGATTTGCATTTCTCTAGTGATTAGTGATGCTGAACATCTTTTCATGTGCCTGTTGGCCATTTGTCCATCATCTTTGGAGAAATGCCTATTTAAGTCATTTGCCCATTTTATAACTGTGTTGTTTTTGTTGTTGAGTTGTAATTCTTTATATATTCTGGATATTAACCACTTATTGAATATATGACTTGCAAATATTTTCTCCCATTCCATAGGTTGCCTTTTCACTCTAATGATTGTGACCTATAATGCACAAAAGTTTTAAAGTTTGATTTAGTCTATTTTTGCTTTTGTTGGCTGTACTTATGTGCCATATCCAATAAACAATTGTCAAATGCAATGTCGTGAAGTTTTCCTCTATGTTTTCTTCTAGCAGTTTAGTTTTATAGTTCTAGGTGTTACATTAGATCTTTAATCATTTTGAGTTAATTTTTGTATATAATGTAAGGTAGGGGTCCAACTTTATTCTTTTGCATGCAGATATTATTTTCCCAAAACCTTTTTTTTTTTGTACAGACTGTACTTTCTCCATTGAGTGATCTAGCACCCTTGTCAAAAATCATTTGACCATATTCACTAGGGCTTATTTCTGGGCTGTCTATTCTATTCCATTGTTCTACGTGTTTGCCTTTTCGTCAGAACCACACCATTTTGATTACTACAGCTTTGTAACATGTTTTGGCATCAGGAAATGTGAGATGTCCAACTTTTTTCTTTTTCAAGATTATTTTAGCTATTCAGCGTCCCTTGAAATTCCATATGAATTCCAATCCATGAACACAGGGTGTCTTTCCATTTATTGGTGTCTTTTTTAATTTCTTCTGGCAATGTTTGTAGTTTTAGTGTACAAGTCTTTCACCTCCTTGGTTAAATTTATTCCTAAGTATTTTATCTAAGTATAGTATCTTTTTGATGCTATTGTAAATTAAAGTGTTTTCTTTTCACATTACTCATTACTGGTGTATAGAAATGCCACTGATTTTGGGGTGTTTATTTTCTATTCTGCAACTTTACTAAATTCATCTAACAGGTTTTTTTGTGGAGTCTTCAACATATATGACTATGTCATGTATGAACAGCGATCATTTTACTTCTTTCTGTCCAATTTGGATGCCTTTTCTTTTTCCAGCGTAACTACTCTTGTTAGACCTTCCAGTACCATATTGAATCCCTCTAAAACTTATCAATTTCTACGTAAACATTCGTATATTTTACAAATTGTTAAGCTGACAGAGTTGACAGCCTCTTCCTCCTCTATCCATTTTCTTAAAATAATTCACTGATGGCTGCCAACTCTTTTCTCCTTTTTGTTCCTCCTCTAGCATTGCTCCCCCAACAACTGAGCTCAGACTCTTTTGTGTGTGTGTGTGTGTGTGTGTGTGTGTGTGTGTGTGTGTGTTGTTGTTGTTGTTGTTGTTGCTGTTGCTCAGGCTGGAGTGCAATGGCACAATCTCAGCTCACTGCAACCTCCGCCACCAAGGTTCAAGCGATTCTCCTGGCTAATTTTTTGTATTTAGTAGAGACAGGGTTTCACCATGTTGGTCAGGCTGGTCTCAAACTCCTGACCTCAGGTGATCCACCTGCCTCAGCTTCCCAAAGTGCTGGGATTACAGGCGTGAGCCACCGCACCTAGCCAACTCTTCTTTCAAAGAAAGTCTGAATCGAAACTCAGACTCTTCTTTCTCTTGATTTAAAACATGGTTTCAAGGCTGAGTGTGGCTTATGCCTGTAATCCCAGACCTTTGGGAGGCAGAGGTGGGAGGATCACTTGAGGCCAGGAGTTCAAGACCAGCCTGGTCAATATAGCAAGACCCCATCTCTGCAAAAAAAAAATTTTTTTTCCAAGATGGAGTCTTGCTCTGTCACCCAGGCTGGAGTGCAGTGGTGAGATCTCAGCTCACTGCAACCTCCGCCTCCTTGGTTCAAGCAATTCTCCTGCCTCAGTCTCCTAAGTAGCTGGGATTACAGGCACCCACCACCACACCCGGATAATTTTTGTATTTTTAGTAGAGACAGGGTTTCACCATGTTGGCCAGGCTGGTCTCGAACTCCTGACCTTGTGATCCACCCACCTCAGCCTCCCAAAGTGCTGAGATTACAGGCAAAAAAATTTATCAATTAGCTAGTTGTGGTTGTGTGAGGCTGTAGTCCTAGCTCTCAGAAGGCTGGGGTGGGAGAATCATTTGAGCCCAGGAGATTGAGGCAACAGTGAGTTATGATGACACCACTGCACTAACTCCAGCCTGGGTGACAGACACTGTGTCTCTCAAACCAACCAAATAAATAAATAAATAAATAAATAAATAAAACATGGTTTTGGCTTTTTGTATTCCACTGCTACATGTGATTATAATGGATCTTTGTTATCCAGAAGTACCTCACATAAAGAACACATACTGGGCCAGGCCAGTGGCTCACTCTTGTAATCCCAGCATTTTGGGAGGCCAAGGCAGGAAGATCACTTGAGGCTAGGAATTTGAGTCCTGCTTGAGCAACATAGTGAGACCCTTGTCTCTCCAAAAAATAAAAGAAAAAATTAGCCAGTCATGGTGGTATGCTCCTATAGTCCCAGCGACTCAGGAAACTGAGGTGGGAGGATCCCTCAAGCCCAGGAGTTCAAGATCAGGCTGGACAACATAGGGAGATCCCCGTCTCACAAAAAAATTTTAAAAATTAGCCAGGAGTGGTGGCGTGTGCATGCAGTTCCAGCTATTTGGGAAGCTGAGGTGGGAGGATCACTTGAGCCTGGCTGTCACTTGAGCCTTGAGCCAAGGCTGCAGTGAGCTATGATGACACCACTGCACTCTAGCCTGGGTGACAGAGCAGGATCCTGTCTCTAGAAAAAACAAGAACAGTTTATTCTTCTATTTCTAATAATCCATACTCCTAAGAATACCAATAAAATATTCACAGTAGACTCTTCCTGCTACCAATGCATACATTTAAGTTCAAAGGCCATAGAAAATTCTCAAAAAAAAATCCCCTCTCCACTTGTTAGTTGCTATCTCAGTTCATCTTCCATGAAAAGAAAACTTCTCTTGTCCTCAGCCCCCAATATAAAAAAAAAGGAGGGAGAGGATTACGTGGTATGTCCTTGGCTGCCTCACAGAGTTGACCAGCTTGTTCTTTATGTCTTTGGGCCCATAAACACAAGCAAACAGATATTAATACTTTTCTCGAAGGCATTCAGCCAATTCCTACATAAATGTTCTTTTACCTCCAGGGAGATGACTGTAAATATGAATGGTGCTTAAGCTATTAAATGTTAATATGCTTAGCTCATTAAATCTTCTTAGGAATAATCTGCAGTAAGGGAGGGTCTATTAACATTCATATGCCTGCCTATCTGTATGTCTGCCAGGGCATATGTGGTACCCAAAGAAGTACGGGGTAAGTCTCAACCAGAGCACAGCCTAAGTATGAATGCTGCTAAGTGGCACACCTGCTGCCAAGGGGAGCCAGCCAGTCCCAGATGTGAGTAACATAGGGGAGCACTAGAGTGTTGAATATGAGAGTCATGGTGGATCGGGCCTTTTGAAAGAAACTGTCTTCAACATGTCAAAAAGAAAGGGGGAAAAGGAGGTATGGGTTACAACTTGGATTACCCTTATAGGATATTCTTATTTTTCAAAATACCTCTAGATCCTTAGAATTTTTAATTATTAAATATTAGATACCTACAATGGAATGTCTGCAATGTGTCTGCAAATTATAAAGTATAGCCATAATACCTGTAAACCCAATGTCCATCAAGGAGATGACGGAGGTCTGCTTTTGGCCTCTGTATTCTGGCCAAGTCTACTATTTGGTTTTGATTTTGGGCTAGGTCTTTGGAAAGCTGAATAGCCAATGCCCACATCAACATCATTTCGGTTTCCCTGAACTTGTGCATGATCAGAGAACAACATTTGGAATTATTATATCAAAATATCGAAATATTCAGTTTCAAATGTAAGCATTCTAGATGATAATTGGACTGAAAATTGGCTCTGTTCTCTAGATGTCAAAATTCTCAATCACTCGGAGCCTAAATACACATCTATTATTGCAGGAGTAAAATGCTGCACTAATAAATAATGATTGAGGAAGCTGTTAAATTTATGTACAAGCACCATGACTACGCACGTCAAGTAGTTAAATTAACAGGGAATCCTAGCTACTCAGAGGCTGAGACAGGAGAATCACTTGACGCCAGGAGTTCAAATCTAACCTGGGCAACAGAGCAAGATCCTATCTCTTAAAAATGAACAATAGGCAAATAGGTTGAGAGTTAGTATAAATATTTTAAAAGAGTGTGTTTACTTGATAACTATATGAAAAAATTATATACTTTTCAAGCTAATAAATGTTTATAAAAATTACATAATAATTCCAGAGCAAATAGTATAAATTAGATTGGATAGTAATTCAAATATTTTTTATTAGTTTGACGTACTTGTGTTTCCCACATGAAACAACATCATCTTTAAGGAATGAAGTTAACTTTCAAGTATCTAATTCCATATAGGCCATAAATAAGCCTTTTAAGGAAAAGTCCCATTTGAGGCCTTAGTATTTTGTGATGATGAATTAAAAATCAGCATTGTCACCTCTAAGTTTCACAAGGAGGAAAACTCCAAAATCATTTATAACTACATCCATGACAAATCATCTTCAACCACATACATAATAGAGAATATGCAGAGTATAACAAAGATGAAAATATTAAAGAAAATAGAAGCACCCTAAAAATAGCTTGGTTCTGTACTGACCTCAGTTGACAGTGAACATCTATTTAGTTTCATAAATGTGTAGATCAGGAGCAATCTAACAGTTAACAGTGTTAAAAAAAACACTGTTCCTATACTGAAGGTAAAACTAAAACAATTTGGATATTAAACGGTTTAATAATGGAAGTATAGCAATAATACATTTTTTAAATGAAGTTTCAGACTTGTTTTATCTCACAAGTTCATTCTACAATGATGATATTTGGTTTGGGCTGAATATTACACTAGACCTTTTAGTATTTTGTATTTGTCATTTCTTTATTGCTATTTATTGTTTTACCACATATATTGCTTAGCTTTGCTCATAATCAAACGTTCCATTTTTAATTTTTAAATATATATAGATATAGATATAGATACATACATACATACATACATACATACATACATATAATTTTTTTGAGACAGGGACTTGCTCTGTTGCCCAGGCTGGAATGCAGAGGTGCAACCATGGCTCACTGAAGCTTCGACCTCGCAGCCTCAAGTGATCCTCCCACCTCAGCCTCCTGAGTAGCTGGGACTACAGATGTGTGCCACCACGTCTGGCTAAATTTTTTTTTTTAGAGAGACAAGGTCTCCCAGCCTGAACTTTCTATAGATGATATTATACTACATGAAACATTCTGGATGTTGACACTGGAGGTGAAATTGCTTTTTCACTCAATATTATGTTTATGAGATTTGTTTTCTTTCCTACATCATGTTTCATCTTATGTTTATACATATATTTATTTATCTATTTTCTGTCATTGGATATCAGTGTTGAACATTGAGGCTGTTTATTTCTCTTTTTTTACTATTATTATCAAAGCTGCTCTAAATATTTTTGTACATGCCTCTTTACTTACATGTACAAGAATTTCTCAGGAGTATTCCCTGGAGTTGAACCATTGGGTCGTAGAGGATGTACATCTTCACTAGATAATACCAGTGTTTTTGAAAGTGGTAACACTAATTTATACTCTAGCCACAGTATCCATACCTATTCTTTCCATGTAACTTCACAGAAATCTTGTGGCAATACTAAGGTTTACAGGGAGAAAGGACATGGGATTGTGAAATAAGAATTATTATAGGTGCCAGAAGACCTGCTTTGGGTTCTGCTACTAACTTGCTGTGGAAATTTAGACAAGCTGCTTCATTTTTCTGGGCCTCAACTTATTCACCTCTCAAATGAAATGTTTGGATAAGGAAATCTTTGTGAACTTTCTTTCAGCTCCAAAATTCTCTTATCTCTAGCTTACAGTTGAGAACACTAAAACACAGAATGATTTGCTCTGCCCAAAGCACAGCATATCAGCAGAGCTCAAGTTCCTCGTATGCGAAGGGAGGCTAGACTATATGATTTTGGATAGCACTTCCTATTTTATAGTTCTTGTGCAATAGTCCATAATTTCAGAGCCAAGGTTAATCACCATGCATCGCATTAACTGATCTATTACTACAAACTTTAATTAAGTACATTGTATGTGCAAGTAAAAAATTATAGATACCAAGGAGGTAATGGGACATGTCCCTTGCCTTTCAGGAGCTAACAATGTAACAGAGGAGCTAGGTAGGTAAGCCAAGACCTATCCCACTATAGTGAGATAAGTGCTATGATGCAAATGTGCACACACCATGGTAGAAAGGAATACTAGTTGAGGGAAGTAATGATTGAATGGCATTTTGAATGGCAAGTTATCTAGATGATGGAGTGAAGTCTCCAGAATTTATCCCATACTCTGGGTTACTGGCTGTCACCCCCTCTGAAATGTAATTTCTCTGAGGTCTCAAATTGGACTTTGCCTGCCTTGTTCTTTGCATTTTTCCAAGCATCTAGTGCAGTGCTTGGTGCAGCATAGTCTCTCAATAAATAGTTGTAAAATGAATGAAGAGTAATAGTACCTTATCATCCTAAAACATGTGATCGTTTACAAAAATGCTACTCTATACATTATTGTAATTGATCTTATCAGGTCCTTTTGGTACAATCAAAACACATGGGATTGAAAAATGGTCCCTCAGATGGTAAGCATGAAAAGAGAATTTTAAAACACCTGATAAAGTTGTTGTTGTTAACTATACAATTCTGCTCTTAGCAGAAGATGTTGCTTATATATGAGGAAAAATTAAATCTGAAATGAGAAAAAAAACTCTCTGAAATATAGTATCCTTCATCATTCCTGATTGGCAACACAACGATCTCCTATTAAATGCATGAGGCACTCTCTTCCATATTACTGCCCTGCCTCTTTTGCCTGTATGTGCTCAAGAAATCAGAAAACAGACCTAGGACTAATTGCTATGAAAAATCAATTCCTGTCGTTTTCTATTTTTATCATGACAATGAATGTCGGATTGTTGTATCTGAATTCAAGAATGGGTATTATTCATGTAGAAGAAATCAGACATGAAACAAAGAGCAGCTCTGTATAAAGAGTGGGGTTGAACATTTCTGAACTACTTCAGAACTACTGCCTGAGATACCTCTTCAGTGTCTCATTCCTATTAATACCTTATTTTCCTACAAAGCTGAACTGCTGCTTCAGAGCTACATTTTAAGACAATTATTCCAGATCTTGGCAAAGACCCAATCGGGGTCTCTGAGAATCTACAAAGGGGTTGGCAAAGAGTAGAAGCAGTGAGACTTTGCTGTTTCCCCAATCTAAATAGAGTCGTTTGGTTACTTTGTCTCTTAGCACCTGTGTTCCCTCAGGTGCTAAGACCTTTATCACAATGAAGCTCCAGTTTACCCAAAGGTTAAGTTCTAAAATCAGCATATGGGGTAAAAATAGCAGAGTCAAGATTACTATTAATAACCACTTAAATCTCCCATAAAATAGCATATAGTTGGTTTGTGAGTACTACCTTGTATGTAAATGTATTCTGTGAACAGGAATATTCTATATATAATAGGTTATATAGGGAAAATATAACTTTCCATATTTTAACTACATAAAAGGAAGGTTGTTCAGAACAGAAATCACAGAAGTGCACCTATTCTGTTACTCTGTTTATTGGTGTAATTATTTAATGCTGATCACTCCCACTAGTCTTCAATCTCCATAAAGCCAGGAAACATATCTGATTTAGATGTTTTCTGTATCCTAAATGCCTACCTCAGCTGTGCTCAATAAACAGATGTCAACCGACTGACTTAAAGTTGAAATGGGAGGACACAGTCAGGATAAAAGATTCATTGCAGAACCAGGCTGTTCTGCCACCATAGTGACCTCAATAACAATGTGCCCTATGAGCTGTTGGGCCCTAAAGATCACCCTGCTGGTTAGCAACACTCCAGCTAGCTTCTGTATCACTCTGCTTCCTTCCTTCCTGCCTGCCTGAGAGGTAGACCAGAAGGAGATCTGCGATGGGTGGCATCTGTACACTAAAGGTCAAATGATAATCATTTAAGTACTATTATTTCTAACTTGGATCAATAAAAGTGTGGACTTTTATTATTTTATAAATTTAGCCTGCGATTTTACTTTGAGAATTTCTATGTTTACTGTTTTTAATCACTCCTATATGTGAATTTTATCATTTCAGAAAGGTACCCTTTCAGTTTCCAGCTCAGAGAAGGCCAAGGTGCAACCTTCTTCAGTCATCCTGAATCTGGGTTCATCTAACACCAGCTGCCTCATCATGCCACCTAAGTTCAACCCCAATGAGATCTAAGTCATATACATGAGGTGCACTAGTAATGAAGTCGGTGACACATCTGCCCTGGCTCCCAAGATCAGCACCCTGGATCTGTCTCCAGAAAAAGGCTGGATATGACATCACCAAGGGAACTGGTGACCGGAAGGGTCTGAGGATTACAGTGAAACTGACCATCAGAAGAGACAGGCCCAGACTGAGGCAGTACCTTCTGTCTCTGCCCTGGTCATCGAAGCCCTCAAGGGACCAGCAAAAGACAGAAAGAAACAAAAAGCATTAGACACAATGGAAATATCACTTTTGATGAGATTATCAACTTGCTGGACAGGTGTGGCACTGATCTTTAGCCAGAGAACTCTCTGGTACCATTAAAGAGATCCTGGGGACTTCCCAATCTGTGGGCTGCAATGTTGATGGCCGCCACCACTGTCATGACATCATAGAGGACATCAACAGTGGTACAGTGGAATGCCCAGCTAGTTAAGAAGTACGAAGGAAAATATTTCAATAAAGAATCATTTGACAACCAAAAAAAAGGAGGGGGGAGGGCAGATAGTACTCTTGCTCAGACCTTAACAAGATCTAGAAAAATGACAGAATAATCTGCTCCCATCTGTCAGTTAGGTTTCACTGTACTGACAACTTCAGCTAACATCATGGACCATGAAGAAACAAGATGAAAACACACAGGAGGGGAAACCTGAGACTTTTTTTTCTAGGCATGTAATAAATACATACAAATAAAATGCCTCGACGGACCAAAAAACAAGGGAAATGGGATTATGAATGAGCTTTATTTTCCTTCTTATATTTTTCTGTGTTTTTATAAGTGTTCTATAATGATTATATGTTTTTTAAATCAGAAGAAGGCCAGATGAGGTGGCTCATGCCTCTAATCCCGGTACTTTGAAAGACTGAGGCAGGAGGATCAATCGAACTCAGGAGTTCAAGACCAGCCAGCATAGCAAAACCCTGTTTCTACAAAAAATAAAAATAAAAAAAATTAGCTGGGCATGGTGGCACGTTGCTGTAGTCTCAGCTACTTGGGAGGCTGAGGTGGGAGACTTGCTTGAGCCCAGGAGACTTGTTTGAGCCCAGGCTGCAGTGAGCTATGATGGTGCCACTGCACTCCAGGCTGGGTGACAGTGAGACCATCTCTAAAAATGAAAAAAGAAAAGAAAAAAAAAAGATTGTGAAAAAGAAAAGTTCAGAGACACTGAAAATCCTGAAAATCTAACTGTGATTATACTATTTTAATTGTGTAAAGATGCTACTTGATTATTTCTAACTTGGGTCAATAAAAGTCAGTCTCTCCCAATTAGTACTCTTTTTGAGACAAAATTGCAAATTGCACTCTGATCACACAACCATCTGTTGACTTCAGTTTGTCTTGCATTTCATTCACCACCTTGAAATAAGTACCACTTCTAAGATGTTATAAATGAGAGGCTTAGTAAGGGTTAGTGAAGAAAGGAGGAGACCATGGACAGGCGCGGTGGCTCACTCCTGTAATCCCAGCACTTTGGGAAACTGAGGCAGGTGGATCATCTGAGGTCAGGAGTTCAAGACCAGCCTGACCAACACGGAGAAACCCCATCTCTACTAAAAATACAAAATTAGCTGGGCGTGGTGGCACATGCCTGTAATCCCAGCTACTCAGGAGGCCGAGGCAGAAGAATCACTTGAACCCGGGAGGTGGAGGTTGCAGTGAGCCGAGATCACACCATTGCGCTCCAGCCTGGACAAGAGCGAAACTCCCAAAAAGAAAGAAAGAAAGAAAGAGAGAGAGAGAGAGAGAGAGAGAAGGAAGGAAGGAAGGAAGGAAGGAAGGAAGGAAGGAAGGAAGGAAGGAAGGAAGGAAGGAAGGAAAGGAAGGAAGGAAGGAAGGAAGGAAGGAAGGAAAGGAAAGAAGGAAGGAAGGAAGAGGTAGTCCAGCCACACTGCTTGTTTCCACACATTTCAAGTGTGACTACCACCTTCTCACCAACCACCCCTTAACTTTTAGCATATTGACATTCTTTTTTTTTTCAAACAGGGTCTGCTCTGTGGTCCAGGGTGGAGTGCAGTGGTGCAATCTTGGCTCACTGCAACCTCCGCCTCCCAGATTCAAGTGATCCTCCCACGTCAGCCTCCCACATAGCTGGGACTACAGGCGTGCACCACCACACCCAGATAATTTTTGTATTTTTAGTAGAGACGGGGTTTCACCATGTTGGACAGGCTGGTCTTGAACTCCTGACGTCAAGTGATGCGCCCACCTTGGCCTCCCAAAGTGCTGGGATTACAGGCATGAGCCACCACACCCAGCCAACATAGTTGCATAGATCATTTCCTTGCAAATTTAGCTACCATTTGTATAATCCACATTCTTCAACTGCATTCTATAAATGCAAATACATATGAGGAGAAATAAGGAAGTAATTTAATCACACAGGTAAAAAGTCATGGAACAGTTGTAGCTTCCCCATCTTACCTCAGGTCAAGCACTGCATGATACATATACATCCTTTTAGAGATAAGGTTAATTTCCTTTATATGCCTCAAATCTCATTGAATTAGAGAACTATTGTATTGTAGTTTAAAATTAAAGGAATGGAATTGGATGGAATGCAATATCACGGGAAGCACACTGGGCTGATCTCAGTTCTGAGCTCTGCTACCAAGTAAGAT
Organism: Homo sapiens; assembly: GCF_000001405.40. NCBI lineage: Eukaryota > Metazoa > Chordata > Mammalia > Primates > Hominidae > Homo > Homo sapiens. Next base: position 118,148,748 of record NC_000023.11, read on the forward strand.
TTTGGGTTAAATGTTAAATTAGAAAGTTGAAATAAAAGAACTCCATAGGGCATTTGAGTTCTAAAATTTCATTATTTTTCAGATTCTAAACTGCAAGCATACCACAATATGTTAAGTGACAGCTCTTTGTTAGCAAATAAGTCTTTTTCTCTAGCAGCACCGGGATTTTTGCATGACATCTATAATTCACATCATTCTGGCATCTATCTAAATATTCCTACTAGTGAAACATAAACTGCTTGTAGTCTGTGGCAGATTGGGCATGTAGCTGTATTATCTTCATCTGTGATCCACTTAGGCCTACTTAATTCTACCAGGTGAAGCTGAGTCAATGCTCTGACATGGGTATTCCAAGGTCCACCTAGGTCCTGCCTCTAAAATTAAGCTGGAAAAACACTACCCAGTGCAATTCCAACTCACTATCTAGCACAGACTGAGAGCAACTATGTTACTTCATTTAAAATGAAATAAAACTTTGTAAATTGGCATCATGACGCAATTTTACACAAAGAGTATTGGCCAAGGCCAGGCATGGTGGTTCATGTCTGTAATCCTACACTTTGGCAGGCCAAGGCAGGAGAACTGCTGGAGCCCAGGAGTTCAAGCTTACGGTAAGCTGTGATCCTGCCCCTGCACTCCAGCCTGGGCAACAGAGTGAGACTTTGTCTCTAAAAAAAAAAAAAAAAAAAAGTTTTAAAAAACAATAATCTCACTATACTTCTATTCATAGTTTGCATTACCAATTTTTGGGCCTTATCTATTCTAAGTGGATCACTCCCAAATCTTCATCTCCATCTCCAGTTCAGAATAATCTCCTGAGTTCTAGACTCATATCTCCCACTGCTGAATGGCATCTCTTCTACTTTTCTGTCCATAGACCCCTGAGACTCAACATACTCCAAAATGAACTCATCATCTCCTGCCTCTGTTCCTTAAATCTACTCCTCTTCCTGTGTCTATGATCTCTGAGGACAGCAATGCATTCATCTTGGGGACTTGGGTTTTAAACTTCAGCACATCATCTTTGACTCCCCTTTCTCATAAGTAATCAGTTGTCATGCTCTGTCAAGTCATGTCAATCTGCCCCTCAGCATCTCTGTCATCCATCTTCTCCCCGTATCCACTGCCCTATCCTCTAGTTAGGCACTATTCTCCCTAATTCTAGTCTCCAATTTCTCCCCATCAATCCATCTCTCACATTGCTGCCAAATAAACTTTCCAGATGCACAGATATAAGATTTATATTCCCCAACCCCAAAACTTTCAGAGGCCCCCAATTCCTATAGAATATTGGTTTTCAGACATTTTTATTTTTCAAAATCAAATGAATGCTATCTTAGACAAAAACCTGTCACAGAACTCCGGTGTATAAAACACAAAAAAGTGATATCTTATTGAAACTGCCATTGCAGGTTTGTGGCTGAGACAGTGAAAGAGATCTGACCTAACCAACTCCATCTTGCTTCTGGCCTCCAAGCTGTCCTTGTTCATTCCTGGGTGTAGGCTGAAATAACTTTGGGAGGAACTTAGTTTACAGTATATAGTTTAAAACAAAGATGATAATAGCCCTTTCCCAAAACAAACCTCCTTGCCTGTGGACTAGACTGTCTTTGTAGGACTAACAAATTAGCCACAGAATTACAAGTTATGGTTTAGGAGTCACGCAGCTGAAGGCTACAAGATTCTGACCCTCCCTAAACTGCTCCTAAGATCAGTGCTTGAGATATTTTGCAGACCCTGCACTTGATGGATCAGCTGATACCACCCAGATCAATAAACTGGCTCATCTGATCTTGTGTCCCCCACCCAGCAACTGACTCAGCAAGAGAGGACAGCTTCAACTTCCCATGATTTCATCTCTGACCCAACCAATAAGCACTCTTGACTCACTGGCCTTCCCTCACCCACCAAATTATCCTCTGATCCCTGAATACTCAGGGAGACTGAATTGAGTAATGATAAAACTCCAGTCTCAGGCACAGCCAGCTCTGCACGAATTACTCTTTCTCTCTTGCAATTCCCCTGTCTTGAGAAATCGGCTCTGTCTAGGCAGCAGGCAAGGTGAGCCCATTGGGTGATTACATTATTAACATGAATTTCTTTTGTAAGTTAAAAATCATTACATCTATGTATTTTGAAATCAATCAGTGAGAAAAATGGGGCTCTTTTGATAAACACAAAAACCTGAAATCAAGGGCTAGGGAACTACATTCTTATATTAACATCCAATTTGATTCTGTTTTTGCTTTTGTTTTATAATAGAGCTGGGTCTTAGGCTGGAGTGCAATGGCTATTCGCAGGCACTATCATAGCGCACTGCAGCCTGGAGCTCCTGGGCTTAAGCAATCCTCAATCTCCCGAGTGGCTGCAACTACAGGTATGCCCCACCATGCCCCACTTATTTCTGTTTTTTTATTTTGGTGGTACAGTATTGAGAAAATTCTTACCCATAGATAAGTAGCTGCAAATGCTAACAATTTTAGCAGTTCATCTTGTAAGATACTTTATTTGTACAAGACACTTTACTATAAAGTCTACACAAAATGGGTCAAGAGGTAGCATAATTTTAATTGTCTCTACTATGCTAATTTTTATGTATTTTACATAGTTTTAATTTTATTAGAGTTTGAAAATATATATATATACTTTGAGACAGGATCTGGCTCTGTTGCCCAGGCTCGAGTGCAGTGCCATAATCTGGGCTCACTGCAGCCTCCGTCTCCTGGGCTCAAGCAATGCTGCTGCCTCAGCCTCCCGACTAGCTGGGACTACAGGCACACGCCACCACACCCAACTAATTTTTGTATTTTTTGTAGAGACAGGGTTTTGACATGTTGCTCAGGCTGGCCTCGAACTCCTGAGCTCAAACCATCCACCTGCCTCAGCCTCCCAAAGCACTGGGATTACAGGCATGAGCCACCACGCCGGCCTCACCATATATTTTTAAAGGAGAAATTTAAACCAAGTATCTGTAGACCCCAGAAGCACTTATATAGAATCTTAGAACTCATGAAATGTAATTTGAAACCCTTGCCATAAAAGAATGTGCTTGACGGCCTAGCCTCAATCTATTTTTCTTATCTTATTGTTTTCTATTGCCTTTTACACATATTTTGTAATGAGACAGGGTCTCACTCTGTCACCCAGGCTGGAGTGCAGTGGCTCAATCTCAGCTCACTGCAACCTCCACCTTCCAGGTTCAAGCAACTCTGATGCCTCCGTCTCCAGTGTAGCTGGGACTACAGACATGTCTCACCACGCTTGGCTAATTTTTGCATTTTTTGGTAGAGAAAGCATTTCGCCATGTTGGCCAGGCCAGTCTCGAACTCCTGATCTCAAGTGATTCGCCCGCATTGACCTTCCAAAGTACTGGGATTACAGGCATGAGCCACTGCGCCCGGACCTTTCACACATGCTTAAAAAGAAAGAAAAGTTGTTTTGCTTTTTCTAATTATTGCTGTGAGAATGTATATGTAAGAAAAGAAAATAGTAAAACAGAGAAAAATTCCCCTTAATCCCTAAACCCAAGTATAACTACTATAAATGTTTTAGTGTAATTTCCTTCCTAGTATGATTGATAGTTAGGTTATAGAGAACTATGCCAAGCACTTAAATAGAACTGTGCCAAGCACTTAGATATTATCTCATTAAATACTCACAAACACCCTATTATGCAATTAATTTTATTATTTTCATTTTACATTAAGGAAACAGAGGATAAAATAGGTTGAGTAACTTGCCCAAGGTCACATAGTAAATTGCAGAGCCTGGCTTCACACCAATGTGTCTGACTCCAGAGACTATGTATTTAACCACAACACTGTATGGCTTTCCTTTTCATGCCCTCTTTCACTTACTTTAACTCTGCCCACTTTAATTTACTATTCCTTGAAGACATCTCCCTCTGCTCATGCCATTTCCTTTGCTAGGATTTCCCTTTTCTCCATTTCTGCCTAGTCAAATCCTGCTTGTCATTTAAATGCCACCTACTCCTGAAAGTCTTCTCTAACCCATTTTCAGCTCTCCCTTCTAGAACGCCCAATAATACTCTTTCCTGTACTTTTTCATCTACTCCCTCATCCTGTATCAACCTCCTCCCTTCCCCAGCCTCCCACACTCTAACAAAGACAGCAGGAGTTTACTATATTTGTCAGTGCTGAGTGACTAGTGGCCTTTCTCCAGTTCCCACGCTTTGGACCTGGTGTTGAGCAGTTACTCTAGGATGCAGCTACTGGGATAGAGGGAGGTGGCTTGGTGCTCTGATACTAAGTAAAAACTGGAGCTCCTCTGCACACAAGTCAAGAAAACTGTTCCTTCTGTGATCTTGGCAAAGCCAATCTGCCACTCCTCCCCCCACCCCCCCAACACTGCACCCCTGCTCCCAGGGCTCCCTGTTGCTTTTTTAACTTCTTTTCCCCTCAAGTCTGCCCTTGACATTCCTTTGAAGAGGATTTCCTCTTGATAAGTCATTCATAATGTGCAATAATGCCAGTTTTGTGATCTGTCCTGGGTTCTGCAAGGACAGCCTTGGTGGCTAAACAAATTTTCTTTGCTTTATTTCAAAGTTTTTGTGGCCCTCTAAGGAGGCCATTACAACTGAAAAGCAATGTTCTGGATCTGAGATCATGAAATGTAGTTCCATTGGAACTGTGTTTCTGAGCTTCACAAGTCATCTCTAGGGATCCTTGAAAGAAAGTGCGGACATGTTTATCCAACTCACTTGTTAAGGGTGAAAGCAATGGATTGTCTGTACATATGCCAACTGGAATGCAGCAGCCTCAAGTGACTAGGACTAGAAGCCATGAACCTTCTGGGTGCATGCCATTTGTGGAAAGACAGTTTGCTGATGTATTTCTGATGTATTTCCACATTCTTATTACAGGGATGTGGGAAAATGTCAATCTCCAGCCTGAACTTTGCCTTGAATTCAAGATTTATACATCCAACCGCTTACCAGACATCTTTAACTGGATATAGGACAGACATCTCAAATTTAACATGTCTAAATGAGTTCCTGATATTCCCTCTGCCCCCACCTACCCCACCCCCTAGACACAAACCCTTCTCTTCCCTCAGTCTTCTTATCTCAGCTAAGGGCAACCTCATTCTTCTGATTGCTCAGATCAAAAACTTTAGTGTCTAATGTGGTAATATATTTGGGGAAAAAACAAACCTTAGTGCCATTCTTGTCTCCTCTTTTCTCTTTTCCCTTCCACCTCAAGGTTTTGTACTTGCTCTTCCCTCCACCTGGAAGGCTCTTTCACCAGATCTCCACAAAGCTAGCTCACACACAGTAATCACTCAACAAACATCAAGTGAGTAAATGTTGAATGAATGAAAGATGCCAGATTTGAATGAAGAATGGTTTCACCCTAGTTTAAAACTTTTTAAACTGCTTTCAGAGATTACATGGGGAAGGGACCCAAAGGAGTAAGGTTCTTGACCTCCAATCCCCTGCCTTTACCAGAAAAGACCCAAATCTTACATATTGGTCTTCCATGCCAGCCTTATTTTAAAGGAAACATTACTTGGATAGTATTTTTTGTTTTGTTTTGTTTTGAGATGGAGTCTCGCTCTATCACCCAGGCCAGAGTGCAGTGGTGCAATCTTGGCTCACTGCAACCTCTGCCTCCCGGGTTTAAGTGATTCTCCTGCCTCAGCCTCCCGAGTAGCTGGGAATACAGGTGCGTGCCACCACGCCTGGCTAATTTTCTGTATTTTTAGTAGAGATGGGGTTTCACCATGTTAGCCAGGATGGTCTCAATCTCCTGACCTCGTGATCTGCCCGCCTCAACCTCCCAAAGTGCTGGGATTACAGGCATGAGCCAGCATGCCCAGCCAGTTTGTTTTTTTTTTTTTTTTTGAAAACTACTGCTCTAATTCCAAAGAAATTAGATATCATAACCTCCCCAGGCTAAGAACAATGACCTTGCTTCAAGGGGCTGGATCCACCAGATATTTCCTTTTTTAAAAAATTATTTTCCTCAAGAGACAGGCTCTCACTATGTTGCTCAAGCTGGACTTGAACTCCTGGCCTCAAGTGATCCTCCCATCTTAGCATGTGCCACTGCATCCAGCTATACTAGATACTTTCTAGTTCCATGTTCCTCAAATTGGGATCCTATGATGTGGCTTGGGAGTCCTAGGGAATGCCATGGAATATTAAAATGACACATTTTCCTGAGCAGCAATTTTACCCCAAAATTTGAGAGTAAATAATAATTTTCTATTCAAACAAAGAATGAAGCAGAATAAAAAGTTCTCATATATTTAGACAGTAAAAGACAAGCTTTAACAGAAATTAAGTACTTGCAAGAAGCCACTTTAAACTACTCCTTGACTCGCCAGAGGGTATATACTTTCCCTTACCATTAGAAGAAGTAGAATTATTTGAGAAGCACTATGTCCAGGTAAACTTCTGAACTGTGAGGGGAACAGAGGAGATTAGAAATAAAGAGGTGTCAGGCTAAGTGCAGTGGCTCACACCTATAATCCACGCACTTTGGGAGGCCAAGGCAGGAGGATCACTTGAGCCCAGGAGTTCGAGATCAGTGTGGGCAACATAGCAAGACCCTGTCTCTACAAAAATAAAAAATTAATCAGCTGTAGTGGCATGTTCCTGTGGTCCCAGCTACTCAGGAGACTGAGGTGTGAGCATGGCTCAAGCCCAGGAGTTCAAGGATGCTGTGAGCTATGATGATACCACTGCACTCCAGCCTCGGTGAAAGAGACCTCATTGCTAAAAATAAATAAATAAATAAATAAATAAATAATAAAATAAAAAATACATTTAAAAAAATTTTTAAAGAAAATATGTTTTAGTTGGAGGCCTTAAGAGAATGTAGGCAGAACTACTTCCCCAAAGAAGCCTGGGCCAGCGGAAAGAACAGCAAAACCCTGAAATTGCAGTGAAGCATTTATTTCATTCAATACATACTTACTGAGTACCTACTCCATATTCAGTACTAAAATGTAAAAAGTATAACATGAAAGGTTTTTTTTTTCTTTTTTTGGTCAACCTACTCACCAAACATGGTTTTTTAAACATGAAAATGTTTTTAACAGTTACCACAATTATAGTTATCTAACCAACTAAAAACAGTGCTGGTAGCAATTAGGGACAGTGGAGCTGGCAAATATATGAACATCTTAAGTGTCCCTACTGATTGATAAGTCTGTGAACTCATTGGCTATAATAAGTCTGCATCTAGGAAGCATAATTTTTACTGGCAGCATTTTCCATAGTGGCTCTCATTTATAGTGGGTTCATAATTATTTATTGACTTCTTAGGAAGGAAAGTACCAGAGTCATGGATGAGGGGATGATTGATCTCCACAACTGATCTATGTAGCTCTTCCACAGTCGCAAATAATAAAGATGAAGAGCTCTGGATTGAAAAAAAGAAAGAAACCCCAGCTCTTGTACTAGCTCTGCCACTAAATCACTGTGTCACTTTCCCTCCCTAGGCCTCAGTTTCCTCATCAGTAAAATGAGGACTTTGGTGGATGAGATCTCTCAAATATTCCTTCTAGCTCTGATATTCTATGAGTCTATAAAACCCACATTCATAGCCAAGCCACTCAGTGCATGTACATATCTGAAACAGTTAACAACCACCACCACTGTGTAAGCGAATACGCAGTCAGGGAAAACCCCGTTAAACAAATGGACTTTACTCCATATTCTCATTGTCAACAGAGAGGAGAAAGAGTTCAAATTCCAAGAAACAGCACCACTTCACCCTCCTCCCACCCCATTCCAACACAAGATTATTCTTTAGCACTTCAAAAGTCATATCAGAGATTGTCACAAGTCCAGATCCAATCTACCAAACCCCACTTGGCATGTTGGCAGACGTGGGAAAGCATTGAACGGAATGTGGTCAATTACTATTAAAGATTTAGATATGATCTGGATTTAAATCTACCATGGTCTAAACAAAAAGTTAAGAGAACACAGGCCCACATAGGAAGGTGAGAAAGTCCACATGGGAAAAGAAGTGGATGCCTGCTCAGTCCTTGGCTCCGCTTCAGTTTTCTCTGAGAGCAACAGCATTTCTTTCTAGATGCTGTCTGGCCACACACCCACCTGACCTCATTTCAGGGGTTTAAAGCATTTAGCTTTCAGGTTGGGTTTTTAAAATACTATCAAATAATGAGGGGTCATAGCTAGAGGGCCCTCAGAGAGGAACTAGGCCAGGGCTCCAACTGGTAGCAAGTGGATTGTATTCAGCACGTTTTGTGAGATCAGCATAGATTTAAAGAAATGGTGGATTTAAAAAATATATTTGATAACAGCACAAGCCCTCCTGTTCTTCCAGGTAGTCACCACTCCTGGACTTCCACTGAATAGCCTGGGGCCAAAACACTCTTGAGTTTGAGCTAAGACAGAGACCAGACTTTCCCATGACACCACTGCTGCCCTCTAGTCTCCCTCCCCTTGCAGCCACCAGCCGCTATCCAAAATCAGCTCAAGCCTTCTCTGAGAAGACTCTTAATTTGGGCCTGACAGTACTTCCCCCTGCACTTCCTTCTATACTTTGGCATTGCAACAAATGTGGGAAAGCACTTTCAAGTGGGCCTATGTACTAACCCATGGGTCTTTCTCTCCATTGCAGACAGGGGACCAGTGCAAGCCACGCTGGGGTCAGCAAGGTGTTTCGGTGCTGCCAACAGCCAGAGCTGAAGGTTCGGACAGTCATGCAAACACAGGAGCCTCTGTGTATTTGCAGTTCACTAGAAGGCAGGTCCATCCAAGGAGTTTTAGTTACCAAGATATTGAAAAAGACAAAAATACAAAAAGACCTGGTGACAGAAGGCTGCCGCCTGGAAAGTAAGCAACGTAGTGAGTCACTAAGGTACTTTATTTGGGTTTCTGTAAGAATGTCTGCCATGTGTCCCAGATTGTCCTGGACATTCCCACATTTCAATACTATGTCCTACTGTCAGATCACGTGTCCCAATTTGTTGTTTCAAAAATGTAAGTACTAGGCCGAGACATATATTAGTTCTCCACGAGGAGAACAAGACAGTCCTGACAATATTTATTTGGTGAGGAGATGAACAAAAGTATCTCAGGTTTTTTTCTTTTTCTTCCCCTCAAATTTATTTTTTTTAATAAATAGAGACAGGGTCTCACTCTGTTGCCCAGACTCGAGTGCAGTAGCATGAACACAGCTCACTTCAGCCTCAATCTCCTGGGCTCAAGCGATCCGCTCACCTCAGCCTCCCGAGTAGTTGGAACTGTAGGCACACAGCATCATGCCTAGCTAATTTTTTTTTTGGTGGAGCGGGGAGGAGACAGGGGTCTCATCATCTTGCCTGGGCTGGTTTCAAACTCCTAAACTCAAGTGATCCTCCTGCCTTGGCCTTTCAAAGTGCTGGGAATACAGACACAAGCCACTGCAATGGGCCTCAAACTTCATTTCTTACCTCTAACACAGGCTGGCTTTTATTCCCACTCTCATCTCAAACTAAGACACTAGAATTTGTACGTGGCAGTGATGGAAGCTGGCATAGAAAAGATAAAAATTATAAAATATTATTTAAATCAAATGATGCAAATTGGAGGCCTACAGGCATTGTCTATGTGGTGCACATGGTTTATTGTATCTTTTTTGTAAAAAGTACTAACATTTAAAAAGTGGGAGATTTCACATGAAAATCTATATTTCCATCTTTTCTTGAAAAATCAGAAAGTCAGGCAATACTGAGCCCATATTTTCCTGTGGCAATGATTGGCCAGAGCTGAAAAGAAGCTGCCCCATTAGACCAGACGTGTATTCTCTGTGCATGTGGTGAGGTAGCCACATTCCTTGCCATTCCCTACTGCCTCCTTGACACTGCAGTTGGGTATCAGGAGCCCTTTATCATTGCATTTTGAACTGTTCTTTTCCTTCCAGTAAAGAAGGTGAAATATTTCTCCTATCCATGCCTAACAAAAATAAGAAAACAAAAGATAAATATGGACTCTGTATTTCAAGAAAAAAATGGGGAGAAGAGCATTTTTTACAGAAGTGAAGAATATTACTATATATTCAACATGCAAAACAAATGTGTCTTTCATGAAAATACAATCTGGCTGGCGTCACTCATTTAAATCACCTATCTGCCCTGACAGGCATCTGAGTTGCCACTTCTGCTTTAAATGAACAAATATTAGTCCTAGTGCCCTTTGCAGCTAAGAGGACAGTGCCTACTTAGATTCCAGAATTTTCTTCTGTTCTATTATTTAAACAGATGCTGACTCAGGAAAGTAGGCAATAAAACTCTTTCCTTAGCTGGGCAGGGTAGTGCCCACCTATAGTCTCAGCTACTCAGGAAGCTGAGACAGGAGGAACCCTTGAGCCCAGGAGTTCGAGGCTTCAGTGAGCTATGATCGTTCTACTGCACTCCAGCCTGAGCACTCGAGTGAGACCCTGTCTCTTACAAGAAAAGGAAGGAAGGAGGGAAATCGGAAAGGAAAGGAAAGGGAAGGGAAGGAAAGGGAAGGGAAGGGAAGGGAAGGGAAGGGAAGGGAAGGGAAGGGAAGGGAAGGGAAGGGGAGAGAGAAAGAGAAAGGAGGGAGGGATGGAGGGAGGGAGGAAGGAAGGGAGGGAAGGAGGGAGGGGGGGGGGAGGGAAGGAGGAAGGGAAAGAAAGAAAAAAGGAAAGACCTCTTTCCTTTTAATTTTTTTATTTGTTTACCTTTCCTATGGTGCTGATCCTTTTTATTTAAAATGCCCCAGTTGTGTAGGCATATCTAATCCATTTTAGGATTATCTAATGTATCTAATGCCACAAGGAATACACACACACACACACACACACACACACACACACACCCTCTAGTTGATTTTATCTGTATAATAAACTCTCACTCTGAGAGTGGAATTTAAATGATGCTATGCTGCTCTTTGGTATCTTCCACAATAAGAGGGCACGAAATACTGACAAGGACTGATATACTCCTATACGCTTAATATTTTGCCCAGAACTCTTTTATAGTATATATCATTTTTCTATTACGTATTAGACAGTTTGTAACTCTCCCGTTCAACCTCAAGTTGGCTGAAAATATTATTTGTGTCTAGTTCATCTTGATGTTCTCATGGCACGTAGTACAGAGACTTGCCCTGCGCAGGTACTCAAACTATATTGGATGGATGGATGGATGGATGGATGGATGGATGGATGGATGGATGGAGAATGGATCAATGGATGGATGGATGAGAGAATGAATGACTCTCTCTCATCATCCATCACTGCTTAACCATTTTGTTCTCTTGCTTCATCATTTCTCCTTTGAGGGCCTGTAGGTGGAGTTAAAAATCTGGCTACAAAAGCAAGTGAAGGTAGTAAAGAAAAAATGAGTTTTTCACACTTAGATGAGGCATAAATACAGTTCCTTAGTTCAACACAGATATAGATATATAAGACCATTCAGTCAGTCATGATCAAAGTCACCTGCTACTCTGAGATCTACCTCACCCCAGCAGGCTGTTTCACCAGTAATTTGTCTCTTAGTTCAGCCTCATAATCATCTCCTGTGAACACTAGTTCTAAAAGGCACTGCCTAAAATACTGGGCTCTGTTTCCACCCAACTCTGGCCCAACAACTTACAATACAATTGAGGATATAAATTTTGGAGAGAACATAGTTTGTTGGTATCCAAATTCTGTCCTTTGATTACTTTTAGAGTAGACCATGTTTCAATGCACTATAAAGTTTGCTAACACTAATTATGCTTTTCAATTTTTTATTTATTTTTATTTTTTGAGACAGGGTCTCACTCTGCTGCCCCAACTGGAGTGCAGTGGCGCGATCACAGCTCACTGCAGCCTCAACCTCCTGAGCTGAAGCCATCCTCCACCTCAGCCTCCCAAGTAGATGGGACCACAGATGCATTCCACCACTCCTGGCTATTCTTTTATTTTTTTGTAGAGACAGGGTCTCACTATGTTGCTCAGGCTGGTCATAAACTCCTGGGTTCAAGAAATACTCCTGCCTCCGCCTCACAAAGTGTTGGGATTACAGATATGAGCCACCCTTCCCAGTCATGCTTATTTTTTAAAGATTACCTCTTCTACAGTCATTTTTATTAGTAGTTAGTTCTGCCAGGTATGGATAAAACCATAAGTGGTTACTAAGACTATACCTGGTTTTTATATCTTATTCCTTTCCATCCATTCAAATGGTCCTTGTTCCTATCCACCGAAACATTTACCCTAGATTTATCCTAGACCATAGACCATTATAGCCAGAAACGATTTTAGAGATTGCCTAGTCCAACTCCCTCATTTTACAATGTGTTAGTTCCTTATTGATGCTCTAACAAATTACCACAAACTTAGTGACTTAACACAAATTTACTTTCTTATAGTTCATAAGGCTAGAAGTCCAAAAGCAGTCACACTGGGCTAAAGTCCAAGTGTTGGCAGTGCTGGTTCCTTCTGGAGGCTCTAGGAGAGAACCCTTCTCCTTGACTTTTTCAGCTTCTAGTGATTACCTGTATTCCTTGGCTGGTGGCTCCTTTCTCTATTTTCAAAGCACATCACTCCACCCTCTACTTCCATCATCACACTGCTTCCTCCTCCTCCTCTGAATCCTCTTGCCTCTTTTTGTAATGACCATTGTGATTATACTGGCCTCACCCAGATAATCTAGGCTGATCCCACCATATCGAGATGCTTAATTTAATCACATCTACAATGTCCCTTTTACTGTATAAGGTAACAGTCACATCTTCCAACGATTAGGACATGGACATATTGGAAAGGGGCATTATTCAGCCTACCACAATAAATGAAAAGTTTGGGGTCCAGAAAGGGGTAGTGACCTGGCCCAGGTCAAGTACTCAGTTAGTGGCAGGCAGAGCCTACACTCTAGGTCTCCTGATTTTCCAACCACCATTCACGACACAGCAAATCTTTACAGGGTTAAGCACTTTGTGTCTTCCAAGGTAACAATCAGCTAATCTGATAAACCATCTTGAAATGGCTAGAAAATGATAATCAGGATCCACCTCCCTTTTCCAGCGAATATCTTTTTATTCTAGCATGGCCTTCCAGAGTTACTTTACGGTGAGAATGTCAGAGCAGATCAAGAAGTGGGGGTCACTGGGAGTGACCAGAGGAGAGGTGGGCCAGACTAGACTTCTCAGGATGATCAAAAGTGTTGGAGGCTGAGCTGATTAGCAGTAATGTATAACCTTGTTGAGAATTCTGAAAATTACTTTATACAAGTAGAATATAGAATGTATTACCATCAATATATGAACAAATTCATGAATAGTATATACTCTCTCCTATTGGCATCCATTAAAGATCAGAGAAAATAGACATTTTTCAGCAGGTAACAAAAATAAACACATAAGGGAAATTATAAAGTATATTCATGAACAATGAATCAAATTAGTATAATTAAGCTCTTATCAAAGCAGATGCATTTTTTCTTAATGGTATTAATGAGAGATTTTTTAAAGGATCTTTTGAAATAGAGTAGTATGATGAGCACCATATTCCTAAATAATTTCCTTCACACTTAAGCCGAATCTATAAATTTCATATTCATGACAAGTTGAATTCACCACCTCCTAGCCTGACTGTGAATGAGTGGTTGTGACTTTTCAGAGAGCATAGTAGGAATACTGAAAACTTCACTTTTCATTTATTCTGACACTACATAGAAAGCACAAATTCTACTTACAATAAAGAACCATGACAAAGTAGCACTCCATCTTTTGGTTACAGTCAAATTCACACTAAATATAAAATTATTGATTGCTGCCCAGACATAAGCTACAAAGCATGACTCTAAAGATCAATGAATTTAAATGGCACCAAAACTGTAGTGAACATCTAGTCAGACAATAAATTTAGTATAGTGTATCCCTAACGGGGAATTATCATTAGACTCAATACTTCATCTACGTGGGCAAACATGTCTGTACAGAAACAGTACATTCCTCTCTACAGGCAAGCCATAGAAATCCAGTTTATGTATTCTATTACTAACAAAGAATTCACAATGAAAACAAAAAATAGTCTTTTGAAGAAAATGATGGGACCTCCAAGCAAAACAAAGTCAAACAAATTCGATATCTTCACACATAAGTCTGACTCACAACCATTAGATTCTTATTGTTTCTTCTCCAGGTTAATCAGCTAACATTTAACCCAGTCATTGGAGACACAAGCCCTCCCTCGAGGATGCCAGGTCCTATCCTTGTTCAAACACAAGGCATCTTCTCTTCAGTCACCTAAGCCTGATCTACCAAGGTCCCTGGAGCTGTCAGCCCTTCTTTAACAAGCCTCCTTTCTCTTGCTGTGTGGGGAAAGTTTCCATCCTCTCTAAGTCTCAATTTCCTCATCTGAAAAATGGGGATAAGAAAACAATAAATATCTCATAGATTTATCACGAGAATGAAAGATGTAATTTTAATATAGAGAACCTGGCTGGGTGCTTGCCACACAGTACGTGATTATTAAAAGATAACTAAAAATGATAACAGCAATGACAATTATGAGTTTTCTCCACTTAATTTATATCCACCTGGACAGATGAGATCCTCACACTTGCTGTGTTTCCATCAACTTAGGTACAATAATTCCAATTTTTTCTGCAAGGTCTTTTACTTGGCCAGCCCTATCCCCCACCCCCGACCCCATATCTGGCCTGAACATAAATTCTGGTCAACTGCCAATCTTTACAAATGATGAAATTAATATATCTAAAGCCCACAGTTAGACTGACACAAAATCATGGAATTCTAGAGCTGGAAAGTACCTGAAATATCAATATCACCTAGTCCAAGGTTTCCCAACTTAGATTGTATTGTGGTCCAGGTTAATATTGAAATTCTTTACCTTGGACAGCAGGAATAAGATAGGGAAGGTGAGGAAGGGCAAGGCAAGAGCCAGGAGTTGATTTAAAATGTTGACTTGCTCTATTATGGACTGGCTGTTTGGAAAGATCAATGAAACCCAAACCTCTTCTTATTACAAAGGGAAAATCTAGGAGCCATGCAGGTTAAGAAATTGGCTCCAAATTATACAAAACATTAGTGGCATAGGTTGAATTAGCATCCAAATTTCCTGGTTCCCAATCCAGTGCTCCTTCTTCTATACCATGCTGCTTCTGGGCACATCTTTATATTTGAATAGACTCTATTGAGCTTGAGGCTGTAAAAAATTATTAACATGTCTGGCCTAACAATTTGAGATGTGTATACACACCATTAAGGGTCTTTTAAGCAGCCAGGCCCTCCCCAAAAGGATACATTCTCAACTGTTTGCCTTGTCTGCACCAGGGCTCCAGCTCTTTTCACCTCTAAACTATACTGGCTGCTGGCTCTGCTACTCATCATATTCTGTATCCACCTAGCCCTTTACAGCTACATAATGTTATTTTCCTCCTGGTAATAATCTGTGGTATCTGGCCCTCGGTAACTATTCAGTGTGGAATTGCAGACTAATGGATCAAATGAGTAACTACAACTTTGCCTCTCTGTATTGACAATGGAGCCTCATGCATCCTTGGATAGCAACCAATTTAGATTGACCCAATTCTCAGGACCTTCCTACACAACAGCAACTATAGGGGTTGGGAAGTTGAGACTTAGGGAGCTCATTGCTTAGGAAAGGCAAGACTAGTTCACAAGCTGATGACTGATGATGAGTAATACAGCTCTTAAAAAGGATGAGTTCATGTCCTTTGCAGGGACATGGATGAAGCTGGAAACCATCATTCTCAGCAAACTATCACAAGAACAGAAAACCAAACACTGCATGTTCTCACTCATAAGTGGGAGTTGAACAAGAACACATGGACACATGGAGGGGAACATCACACAACGGGGCCTGTTGGGGGGTAAGGGGCTAGGGGAGGGATAGCATTAGGAGAAATACCTAATGTAGGTGACAGGTTGATGGGTGCAGCAAACCACCATGGCACATGTATACCTATGTAACAAAACTGCACATTCTGCACATGTACCCCAGAACTTAAAGTATAATAATAATAATTTTTAAAAGACTGATTTTAAATC
This sequence comes from Homo sapiens, assembly GCF_000001405.40. Taxonomy (NCBI): domain Eukaryota; kingdom Metazoa; phylum Chordata; class Mammalia; order Primates; family Hominidae; genus Homo; species Homo sapiens. The sequence continues at coordinate 118,164,775 of NC_000023.11, forward strand.
CCAGCACTTTGGGAGGCCAAAGTGGGATGATCACTTGAGGCCAAGAATTCAAGATCAGCCTGGGCAATATAGTGAGACTCTGTCTCTACCAAAGAGAGAGAGAGAGAGAGAGAGAGAGACTGGTTTTGATCCTAACGATCTGGTCATGTTTTACTAGAGTTTTTTATAGGTTTAACTTCTGCCTGATTTCTTCTTCATTTTACCTTTCTTCACTGGACAACCTTAGCAGAGTGCCTGGCAAATAGCCGGCAAGCACTCCGCAAAGGTGTAATTAACTCAACTTCCTCTTGCTACTTGAAATCTGCTTCCCAATCTTCTCCAGGACATGTGACTGGGAGTCGTATGGAGTTCAGTTATCCTTAAATTTAAAAGAAAAGGAGGCTGGGTGTGGTGGCTCAATCCTGTAATCCTAGCACTTTGGGAGGCCAAGGCAGGCAGATTGCCTGAGCTCAGGAGTTCGAGACCAGCCTGGGCAACATGGTGAAACTCCGTCTCTACTAAAATCCAAAAAAAAAAAAAAATAGCCAGTCGTGGTGGCATGTGCCTGTAGTCCCAGTTATTCAGGAGGCTGAGGCAGGAGAATTGCTTGAACCCAGGAGGTGGAGGTTGCAGAGCCGAGATCGTGCCACTGCACTCCAGCCTGGCAACAGAGCAAGACTCCATATCAATAAATAAATAAATAAATGCAAAAGAAAGATGGTCTTCAGCATTATGACCTTTGGTATGCTGGATTTTTAGCAGTGCTGACTTTGGTTTTTGCTTTGTTGGCTTGGGGTTTGTATTTTCTCCATTTTCTGATACATATGGCCTTGCCTGCCCTAAGCAGTATAAGTGTAGGAAGCTGCCTGAGTTTTGGCAATCCTTCCCTCCAACCTCAGCCATGACATATACAACATAGTACAGGCAAGATGCTAGCTAAGTGGAGAGCTTTGACAGCTACCAGACTTGGGTTCAATTCTTGGCTCTACCACTTACTTCCCAGCTGTGTGACCTTAAGTTATTTCACTTTTTTGTGCCTAAGATTCCTTATCTATAAAATAAGAATAACAACAATACCTACCAGTGGTATAAGAAAAAAATATACTTGACTCTGTCCCCGGTTCCTGGCACAAAGCTCCTAAAACCCTTGGAATTTCCTGAGTGATAGGAGTGTCTTGTTATTCATAACAAATCTTTTTCAAACAGACCTGGGTTTATTCTATTCAACTGATGCAGGGTAGGACCCCTAGATAGCTTCTGGATGGGAGCTGGTCACAAGAAAGACTAAATGTGACTAGAGTGTTGGAACTTTCAGTCCCACTCCCAGACCTCCAGGGAAGGGAAGAGGGCTGGAAATTATGTTCTATAAAAACTCTTGAAAAAGGAGATCTGGAGAGCTTCTGGGTTGGTTAACATGTTGATGTGCTGGGCAGGAGGGCATGGAAGCTCCATGTAGGCCCCACCCCAGGCCCTCATGTCATTTCTTTCATTTGGCTGTTCCCAAGTTGCATAATAAACCAGTAATCATAAGTAAAATGTTTTCCTGAGTTATTTGAGTTTTTGTTTGTTTGGTTGGTTGGTTGGTTTTTTGTTTTTGTTTTTGTTTTTTTGAGACGGAGTCTCACTCTGTTGCCCAGAGTGCGGGGACACTACATCAGCTCACTGCAACCTCCATCTCCCGGGTTCAAGCGATTCTTGTGTCTCGGCCTCCCGAGTAGCTGGGATTATAGGTACCCGCCACCACACCTGGCTAATTTTTGTATTTTTAGTAGAGACAGGGTTTTGCCATGTTGGCCAGGCTGGTCTCAAACTTATGACCTCAAGTGATCTGCCTGCCTTGGCCTCCCAAAGTGCTGGGATTACAGGAATGAGCCACCGCGCCTGGCCTGAGTTCTGTGAATTATGGAATTATTGAACCTGGGAGGGGTTGTGGGAATCCCTGAATTGGTAGTCAGCTGGGCAGAAGTGTAGGTCATCTGAGAATCCCATTTGTGGCTGGTTTCTGAAGTGGGGGCAGTTTTGTGTGATGAAGCCCTTAAACTGTGAGGTTTGGACTAACTTCAGGTAGCTAGTGTCAGAATTTAATTGAATTGTTGGACACCCAGTTGATGTCCACAGTGAATTGGAGACTTTTTTGTGTGTGTTTGAAAAAATACATCCCGTATTTGCTGTATTTGACACCAGATACAGCTCAATCTTGGCCTCCTCTCCATCTCCACTGAATCTCAGCATGCCTCACAGCTGAGTACATATGGGTTCGACTTAAAAGGCAGAACAAGACACACACAAAAAATAGACTACCTCACAGAGTTGTTGTGAGGATTAAATAAAATAACCTGTGATATACAGATTAGTGATTAATAAAGAACAGCTATTACTATTAGTTGCACGACTGCTTCTTCCATGGTTCCTGAATCATGCCCAGTGTCTTCTGTCAGAACCCCAACCAGGTTGGCTATGACCCTCAGTCCCCATCTAACCCTAACCACTGCTTTTCTTCTTGGACTAGACCTGTCTCTCTCTCTCTCTCTCTCTCTCTCTCTCTCTCTCTCTCTCTCTCTCTCCCTAGCTACTAGCTGAATTCCTGCTGAAATTAGATGGTCATCCATACCCAGCCATCTACCCCAAAGCATGATATTGCCATGTGCCTCAGTCATAGCTCCACCTGTGCTACTAGGCCCAAACCATCAGATGAGACCCTCTGGACATAAATACTTGCCAATTCCAGGTGAAATTTGCCCCATCTCCTCAGATGCTGGGATGTGGATAGCAGGCAACTATCCTTGGATGAGAGCCTTAACTGCTGATTCAGCTCAATCTTGGCCTCCTCCCCATCTCCACTGAATCTCAGCATGCCTCACAGCTGAGTACATATGGGTTTGACTTAAAAGACAGAACAAGACATTCAGGTAATGGTGGTCTCATGACTTTCAGAGTGGCTGACACTAACAAAGATCTTAACGCTAACTTCAAAAAGAATTTAAGACTAAGTACCAATCTTCCTGGGATGTTCAAGGAGGTTACCTTTTGTCTAAAACACAATCGTATTTTTTTCCATGTGATTCACACATTACCAGAGGTCTCTGACTTCCTTTTGAGTGTCTACATATTTCAGCAAAAATTTTTAAATATTACACTTTCTACTAACACCCCCCAGAGAAGAAGTACATAGAAAGGACTATTGAGACCATTATGACTCTCCTGTAACAAGAATCTGCTTGTCTGAGACCACCACAGGAGGCAGAATGAATGGTACTTCTCTGTTGATTTTCTTAAGGATCCTAATCCAATTACCTTCAGTTCTCAAGTCAAAATAAGACTTTCCTGGACAAAGATAGAAGTGAATTCATTCGGACAAGTGAAGTCTGTTGGTTCAAAACCAAACCCCAAACCATCATGCATATGTATCTTTCTTTATATAACAGACTTGTTTCTAAATGTGCTGCACGTGAAAAGGCTTTTTAAAAATAAATTGGCCCACATTTTAAGCACGCCAGAGGAGCTTGCTATTTAAAGGAAACTCTGTCAGACATTTTGTACAGCAAATAACCACCCATTAATTTATTTGCAAAATTTGGATTTCCACACATTGCTTTTACTTTAAGGGAAAAATGGTAACATATTTTCTACCAATTCCCAGAAGTACAAAATCATGACCAGATCATGCCAGAATCTTATCATTTCTGCATTATAGCAACAATCAGCTAGAATTGTCTCAGTTCCTGGTTACTGACACATAGTGCCATAGAATCTCAAAAGGCCTTGACAATCAGGATCCCACTCTACAACAGATCTAAAATAAGCTACCACCCCAGAACCAAGACTACCAAAAAAATGACCAAGCTGGCCACAGAGATATTTTTATGCCTATTCCAAGCACAGATCACAGATCATATACCAGGTAAAGGTACACATTCTAATCAGAGGGATAAATGCTAGAATCATGTGCCAAAAGTGGCACCAAATGTGGCACCCAAGATGGCTGCAGGACACTTACATTCTAGTGCAATCAACAACGTGTGAATGGGCCAACATACACTGGAGTCACTGGTAAACGGCAGCCAAATTTTCCACAGGGGATGTCTGGAAGCCAGGAGGGAGAGAGCAGCAGTCCAATTTAGAATTACTGAGCTGGGGGATATTTAGAAGGAATGAGATGAAGAAAGAGAAGTTTTCTCACCCTTTCCCAGGCAGCCAGCACCTTGTCCCATTTACTGCCCTAAGTTTTTTCTACTTTTTACAACTTCTTTATACTTTTTGATATTTCAGAAGCCACAGGCATCCAAAACCCCACATTTCCTGACAGCTCTCTCTCTCTGCCTGCTTCCAGCTTACCCACCAAACAAACCCTTCAGAGTTTCTCATCTTTGTTAACATGTACAGGACTCAAATGGTAGGATTAATTTCGTCTAATTTAAACAATAATTCACTTTGAATATTTACGTATAGGCTCCTTTCTCCTATCAAGGATTTGGGATAGCTTTCATTTGAAAACAGAAAACAACAGAAGAGAACGATAAACACAACTTTGGGAGTTTTGTGAGACAAGATCTTGCTATATTGCCCAGGCTGGTCTTGAACTCCTGGGCACAAGAGATCCTCCTGCCTCAGCCTCCTGAGTCGCTAGGACTGCAGGCATGTGCCACCGCTCCCAGCCGAAACACAATTCTACAATGGCAATTTTAAGGGGATGGGGTGTAATGAGGGTGGAGAACAAAGCAACATAGTTCAGCTGGGTAGTATTTCTGGTGAATGGACTAAATACAGGGATATAACTTAGAGAATCCTGGGGAATAAGTGGTAAATTTATGCCTTTGACTCTCCCTCTCAAATATCAATTGTCTCAGTCAGTCTTTCACTGAGAGAACAGGGGTGTACTTGAACTGGGCTATAATTGGGGAGATTTCCCTTAGGTGGTAAATAATTAAGTGCCAAACTGAGTGGCAGTCAGTGCTCTCAGAGATCAGAGGCAGAGAGATCACTGGGCACTGTAGCAACTGGGAAAGTTTTCCTGGAGCAAGCCAGAGAAGAGAAGGCTGGAATTCTGCATGCCTGAATGACTTATTTTCCACTACTGTTTCTCAGTGATCATGCCTACCCTCCCAGAAGCTTGGTAAAAAGGGAGCCTGTTTCTCATACAGCTACTCAGCAAATGAACGAACATCCCATCTCATAAAAATTTCAGGAGATTAAATCTAAATCTTTATACCTGATAAGTGAAAACATTTGGCTATTTGGGGTCTAGAGGAGTCAAATGTTGGCGACTATAATTGCATGGCTTTCACTAGGATGGAAGCAACTGCCCCTGAAATGATCTGTTGTCTGTAGCCCGGGAAACTGTGTCTATAACTTGCTCAGGTGCCTTAACTCTTGGCAGAACTGATGTTCAAGAGTCCTGAGGTATGTATGGGGTCATAGGCTGGGTTCCCTACCAAGGTGCATATCTGTCTAAAGACCCTACTTCTCACCCTACCTGATTTGGCCTGCCAGAGACCACACATATTTACACATGTATTCAACACAGCTCTCACCAGAAGGACATCTAATATGTACTAAAAATAATTAAAAATAGGTAACACTTCCATAGCACTTATTGTGTGCCAAGAGCTATTCTAAGCTCATTACATATATTAAATCATTAATCCTCATGAGGTAAATATTGTTATTATTGCCATTTCACAGATGAGAAAACTGAGGCACAGAGAAGTAAAGGGACTCGCCATGAGTTTCACAGTCAATACATGGCAAAGCGGCAATTTCAACCCAAGCTGTCTGGCTTCAGAGTCTTTGCTTTTAACAATTACATTATGCTTTCTGGTCTGTAGAGCAAGAGGCAAAGGACTAACTATCCTGTATTATGCACGTTGGTTCAGATGGCATATAACATATAGCCCAGATAGCAGGGTGATTATCAAAAGAACACATACTAGGCTACCAACTACATGTTATAATTTGAGAAGAGCTGGACAGGATCTCCTGCCCAAAAATCTCTCTCGCCTCCTGCAAAAATACCCCAAATTTCCACCATTAGAAAGTGTCACTTCTCAGCCAGGCGCGGTGGCTCACGCCTGTAATCCCAGCACTTTGGGAGGCCGAGGTGGGTGGTTCACCTGAGGTCAGGAGTGCGAGACCAGCCTGACCAACATGGTGAAACCCTGTCTCTATTAAAAATACAAAAATTAACCAGGCGTGGTGTTGGGCGCCTGTAATCCCAGCTACTCCAGAGGCTGAGACAGGAGAATTGCTTGAACCCAGGAAGAGGAGGTTGCAGTGAGCCGAGATCGTGCCACTACACTCCAGTCTGGGTGACAGAGCAAGTCTCTGTCTCAAAGAAAAAAAAAAAAAAAAGGAAGTCACTTTTCTATATCTTAGAGTCTTTTCCATTTTCAAAAATCCCCTATGAAAAGGTGTCACTGAGAAAGGTAATCTCTTAAATAATTATCAGGCATCTACAGTGTGATTTTTAAAACAGTAAATTGGGCTTCCAGTTAGAAGAGGGGTTCTAATTCTGACTCTGTCAATTATTACCTATGTGACCTTGGGCAAAACAAGTGGATCTTGGTTTCTTTATCTGTTAAATGGCAATGCTAACACCTTCTGCAACTCCCTCATGGGATTGTCATTGGAATTTAATGGTTGCAAAAGCATTTTGCAGACTTTAAAAGATTATACAACTATAAGGTATTATTGTGATCAGCTAAACCTCTGGTAAGATTAGATAAGTTAGTTAACAACCAGAGAAATGTATGCAGCCAGTTTAAGGTGGATAGACCAACAAGGCATAGTCCAAAACAGAATTATGTCACAAGCTAGGCATGGTGGTACATGCCTGTAGTTCCAGCTACTCAGGAGGCTGAAGTGGAAGAATCACCTGAGCCCAGGAGTTCAAGGTTCAAGACCAGCCTCACAACATAGTGAGACCCCATCACACACACACATACACACACACATGAATTATGTCACAGGCAATTCAAAACTGTCAGCCTGGGCAGAGATGGCCACCACCTGAGTGAGTCTCTTCAGGCAGGCTAACACTTTAGCATGAATCTCCTCTGGTTGTCCCTGGCTCTTCTTGGCTTTGGCCTCTATGACCGGATACTCTGGATTGGCATTTCAGGTTCCAGAGCCCCAGGCTTGGTCTTAGGTTCTAGGTCTTAGTGCTCTTTTGTGAACTTTCTCCTCTAGTGTGCTGGTTCTGGCAGCAGCTCCACCTGTGGTCCAATACAGCTTTCCACTGACTTCCTCAACTCACTCAGCCTTCCAGTTACAGCAACGCCCCAGATCCTTGCTTATCTGCCTCAGTCAACAAGTATCTATTAAGTGCCTGTTATGTGACAGGAACAGTGTCCCTCCACCAGGTAAGTGGTTTCTATGTCTGTAACAGCAGGGAACTGGAGGTGACAGGCAGGGCACAGGGGCACCAAGATGCAGGAGAGGAACATGGAAAAGTAAAAGGCAAAAAAGCAGACGGGAGCGGTGGCTCATACTTGTAACCCCAGCACTTTGAGAGGACCGCTTGAGGCCCAGAGGTCAAGACTAGCCTGAGCAACAGAGGGAGACCTAGTGTCTATAAAAAATGTTTTAAAATTAGCCAGTGATAGTGACACGTGCCTGTGGTCCCAGCTACTTGGGAGGCTGAGGTGGGAGGATCGCTTGAGCCCAGGAGTTTGAGGCTGCAGTGAGTTGTGATTGCACCACTGCACTCCAGCCTGGGTGACAAAGTGAGACCCTGTCTCAAATAAATTATACAAAAAGAATAAAAGGTAAAAAAAAAAATAGCCTTGTCTGCTTCACTCTTTTGCAGAACAGAGTGTAATTGTTACAGAGGGAACTTGATGAAGCATTTACTGTGTGTTGCACACTTGGGACAGGTAGAAAGACATGCTCCCTGAACTAGAAAGACAATATAATGGGGGTAAATAGACAATTACAACTCTCTGCAAGGGCCTAAGCACCTCTAAGGAAATATCATTTTGTAAAGAATCTCTCTTTCTTTGGTCACCAGTTTCTCCCCCTAAAGTTGCTAAAGCCTAAAAGGCCTTAGGTAAAACATAATACAGCAGTTTGAATTGAGGTGCCAATGCTGTGTTTGAAATATAAATTGTGATAGGCTACTTTTTTCTGCCATATATATTTTCCCCTCATTTCTTTTTTAAGTTTTATTGGGATATAACCTACATACAGTAAAGTGCACAAATCTCAAGTGAATCACTCAATAAAATTTTACTTATGTGTATACCCATGTAACCACTACCCACATCAAGCTAGAAAATATTATAGCACACCAGAAACCTCTCTTGTACCACAAGATCAATCCCATCTGCACCACAATGAAGTAACCACTATTTTGATCTCACGTAATAGTCTTTTTATGTTTTTTTAGCACTGGGGAGTTAGATTTGTCTGGGAGCTCCAGCTCCTGAATACTGGACCTTCTTCAATGTACTTGGGCAGCCCAACCCCTAAATATTTTGCCATCTTCAATGTGCTCAGGCTGCTCAGACTATTTTTCTGACTATTCTCCCTCCTCCATAACAACATCCAGCTGTCACTAAAAGGAGGGAAAGCCAGAGGAAACAGACACAAATAACGTTTATTCCACTGTTGGAACTTACTGACAAAGTGTTATCACTTTGCTAGAGGGCCAAGAAAGGACTCAGCTTTGTTTGAGAGCCCATGGGGTATTTAGGACAACTCCACCTAATCTGTTACCCTATTAACAGCATGCCTCACTTGAAGCAGAATGAAAATGTCACCCTTATTTTCCCTTTGGGTTAGAGAATGTCCCTTTATCTTCTCCACTGGAACTCAGGAGAATGGAGGGTATCATCAAATTTGCTTGTGCTCTCTCCATACACTGTGAATCTGTGTCGTGCTCTAAAGGTCCACCCATCTAACAAGGCTGCTCTTTGCTTCACCTGTGCAATGAAGGAATGAGTATATAATCAAACCAACACATAATAGAAGCAATCGTTACACAATATCAACGATAATGAAGGTTGATACATGATACAATGGGATACAAGAGGAAGGAGAATCTGAGTGCAAAAATCCTTCCCAGAGGAAGCTGTGCTTGGGTTCATTTGAAAGAGGGAACAGCGGCCAGGTGCGGTGACTCACGTCTGTAATCCCAGCACTTTGGGAGGCCAAGGTGGGTGATCATGAGGTCAGGAGTTCAAGACCAGCCTGGCCAAAATGGTGAAACCCCGTCTCTACTAAAACTACAAAACTTAGCTGTGCGTGGTGGCAGGCGCCTGTAATCCCAGCTACTCGGAAGGTGGAGAATTGCTTGAACCCAGGAGGCGGGGGTTTCAGTGAGGCGAGATCGCGCCACTGCCCTCCAGCCTGGGCAACAGAGCGAGCTCCGTCTCAAAAAAAAAAAAGAAAAGAAGGAAGGGAGGGAGGGAGGGAGGGAGGAAGGAAGGAAGGAAGGAAGGAAGAAAGAAAGAGAGAAAGAAAGAAAAAAGGGGGAACAGCATTGGCATAGGTTTGGATATATGAAAGGACATGGAATTATCTGGGGACTCAGCTCAATGTTGCTACAGCATGAAAAGATAGATGTAGAGGAGATAACGCTAGAGAAAAAGATAAAGCCCAGATCATGAAGGACTTTATATGACCTACAAAGAAGTTTAGATTTATACCATAGGCAATGGAGAACCACAAAACTAAAGAATTTCGACTTCGAGAATGACCCAAACAGATTTGTATTTTTTAAAAGTTACTCTTCCAGCAGTGTGGAGAACTTAATAAAATAGGGGTGAAACTGAAGACTGCTGCAATGATCCAGTGGGGGCCTGATGAGATGCCTATAGAACATTCAAGTGGAGATATTCTATAGGTAGTCAGACATGCAGGTTTGGAGCTTAGAAAACTGGGCTAAAGTTAAGCTTCAGAGTCACATGTATATAAATGATCGTGTTTAGACTGTTCAGGGAGAAATACAGGACAGAGTACAAGGCCAAGGTTAGAGCTTTGTGAAACAACACTGAAGGTGTCAGCCAAGGAAGAGGAGCCAGAGAATGAGGTAAGAGGTAAGATAAATAAACAAAAATCAAAGATTATCACAGAAGCCAAAAGAGGGAAGATTTTTGAAGAAGGAGTGGTTAATATTTCGTATGCTGTAATGCATTGCAAGATAAGAAAACTGTCCAGTGGTTTGGCAATATGGAGGTCACTGGTGACCTTAGTGAGAACAGTGTCAGTACTAGATCACAACACATTAAAGAGTGAACGGGAGTGAGGAAGCAGAGGCAAGTAGTTAGCTTAGCTAGAGCAGGAAGAAAGGAAACAGAATATCTAGAGGGGAAAACCATAGCTAAAAGGGGCCGTGCATACGATGGTATATAACATTGCCAGAAAATATTATTCCACTGGAGGTGTTGTAAAATGGAGCCAGGTATCTGATTAAATACTGGCCAAAATAACTTTTAAGACAGAGATTTTATGATTCCTGCCGATAAAGGGTGATATGGCTGGAGCTTCCAACATAAAGGTTTTCTCAGGTTCAGAGGAGCTTCCTGAACTGTCAAGGTGGAACAAAAAAAAATTAAATACATTTATTGCTGTAAATATAAAAAATGATTGGACAGTGAGAATGCAACAGAAACCATTTTTAGGCCTTTGGTTTTTAAAGGCCTAAAAGGCTAAACAAAAACACAACCTATGCAAAGGTAGGATACAAATCATTTGTCTTTCTAGGATTTTACCGATTTGGTGTATAGATAGAATTTTTAAAATCCTGTGTGGCTGCAATTTACTGACAGAAAAAACAAGTTAAAATGCAGTGGCCCAGTCCGGTATGGTGATGCGTGGCTGTAGGCCCAGCTACTCGGGAGGATCACTTGAGCCCAGGAATTCAGGACCAGCCTAGGCAACATGGCAAGTGACTCTGTCTCTTTAAAAAGGCCTATAATTTATTATTTAACATACTTCTTTTATTGTTTGTTTTAGAGACAGGGTCTCACCATCTTGTCCAGGCTGATCTCAAACTCAAGCGATCCTCCTGCTTCAGCCTCCCAAAGTGCTGGGATTACAGGCGGGAGCTACCACACCTGGCCTATTTTTCTTACTAAGTACATGAAAACATCTTTAACATCTTCACAACATGGGCTAGGAAGATATGTAATTAAAACTGAGAGCTAAAACTCATGGATGATTCATATATTCAGTCAACAAATATTTATGGAGCACCTATATGAGCCAGGCATTGCTCTAGTCACTGGATGTTAACAACAACAACAACAAAAGATGTATTTTTGGCTCTTGGTACAATGAGCAAGAAAAAAAAAACGATGTTTATGTAATTCTTTCTGAAACTTGATCAACACAGTTAGAAGAACTGCCATCTTTTCCAACATATTTGGGTTTGTGGTAATTTATATTTAAGGCCATATTTATCTTACTATATTTAAAGCATGGTATATTAGGACAGGGGGACCATAAAGGATCACTGGCCTATCCTATCCCATTTCACAGATGGCAAAATTGAAGTGACAAGAAGTTTAAAATACAACTTTCAACTATTAGAGCCAGGGTTAGAACCCAGAATTCAGCACTCTCTCTACCAATGAAAATCACACAGATAAAACCACATCTCTCCCCAACATCTGCACTCACCTCTACTACCTCTTTTGATCAGTTTTTCAATAATCAGTTCTACATTTTTCTCTAAAATAAATAACAAAGTGTCTATGACTCTATGACCCTTGGGCACTTGGCCCAGATTTAAAACATAGAGCTTAGTAACTGCAAACATCTCTCATCAATGCCTTCGTTATTGGGAGGTGGGAGTGGGGGCAGCTGGCAAAGATTGCCTAGCTTTGGGCATTTAGCTAAAAAGGCCAAAATTCCAGGAAGATATTGGGGATGTTTTATCTTCATTGTCTGGCTTCTAGGGAGGAGAATGTGTTGTCTTAAAATTTCTATTCAGAATTTTAATTAAATTGTGGCCTGTGGCAAAATAGAAAGACATTAAAATCAAATACTAGTGTCTTTTTGCTTATTTTATGGGCTCTCATCTCTGACTAGTTCTTGCTGAAATAATTAAATGTCTTTTCAGCAAATGGACTGTTCAGGCTATTTAGTTTAATGTTTCTTATAACCTGGCAAGTATGTGCTTTATAATTCAGTAATTTCTGTTCTTCTCCCACCCCCATTGCCACATATACACTTTTCTCCTCTCTCCCCACACAGCCTGGCTAGAAGGTTTCTGTCCATCAGAATGGCATGAATGCGCCTGAAGGCCAAAGCCTCCTCACACAGACTGGTGGAGATTGCTGGAGGCTAAGCACATTGCATTTGACATTAATGGGTCAGAGGTGCTTCTAGATTGAAATTGGTGAAGGTGGGGAGAATTCACAGTGTAGTTAATGAGGCCTCTTGGTCTGAGACTGACGCCTGAAATCTCATCTTTACTGATCCATTGTATTGCATGAAGGGAAAACTGCTCTTAAAAGTATATAAAATCTAGGTCGGGCATGTGGCTCACACCTGTAATCCCAGCACTTTGGGAGACTGAAGTGGGTGGATCACTGGAGGTCAGGAGTTCAAGACCAGGCTGGCCAACGTGGTGAAACCCCGTCTCTACTAAAAATACAAAAATTAGCCAGGTGTGGTGGCGGGTGCCTATAATCCCAGCTACTTGGGAGGCTGAGACAGGAGAATCGCTTGAACCCAGGAGGCAGAGGTTGCAGTGAGCTGAGATCACGCCACTGCACTCCAGCCAGGGTGACAGAGCAAGACTCGGTCTCAAAAATAAAAAAAAAAATTTTAAAAATTTTTATATACATATATATTCCACATGGGAAAGGGGGCAGTAGAATTTACCTGGAGGGAGTAGGAGAGATGCTGTTCTTCTGTCTAGTACAACACCATTATACACGCTTTGGTGATAAAGTCAAAGCCTGAGGCACAGTCTGAAATGGGGAGATTTAGTCAAAGGGGTCTAACTGCCTGCATAACAAAGTAGAAAGGAGAACTTTCTCGGGATAAAGAGATTGTTCTTGTGCAAAATTATTTTTGCTTCCCCTGAACAGAGCCCCAGAAATAGGAGCTGGAAAGAGAGTGCAAGAAGAGAGGATGAAGATGGTAAAAAATTAACTGTGTAATTCTAATAGCTAACTTCCAGTGCATGTTTACTATGTTCTTCCAGGCATGGGGCTAAGTGCCTTTCCACATTACTTCATTCAATCTTCCTAACAGTCTTATGAAATAGTGACCATTAGTCTCTTCATTTTGCAGATCTGTAAGTTGTAGTTCAGTGACATTATATGACTTACTGAAGATCTCACAGATACTAAGTAACAGAGTGGGCAGTCATACTTGTCTCCCCCTCTAACTTCTCCAAATGAAAGGGGGAAATAGTGTGAACATTCAAAATCTGGGCCTACAAGCTCTTAGGTTCACTTCACCTGAATAATAACATTGATAACAATGTTCGCAATAGGCTGACAGGTATTGGGTGCTCATTATGTGCTAAACACTGTGCTAAGCATTGTACACAAGTCAGTTCATTTACTCCTCATAACAACACTGTGGGGAAAATATTTTAATTCACTCTATTTTACAAATGAAAAAAAAATGAAGTCTTCAAGGTTAAGCAACTTGCCCTAGCTAGGAAATGGAAAAGCTGTGGAGTAAGAGCAGCCCCCCACAACATGGTGGGATACTAGGGCCTAACAAGAGAGCGAGCTACCAGTAGGACATTCTTTATAGAGACAGAAGACAGCCAAGGGTCCCCTAGAGAAACTGCGCCTTCAAGCCTAAAACAGCCTGAAGGCTGAAAAACTGGACTGCTGGACTGGGATGAAGCCCACCCTTTCCTAACTGATTCTTTCTGAATAAGGCCACCACCTGCGCACTGGGAGCATAGGGTGGCGCCTCGGGAAGTTCTCACCCCTTGCAGGTGGGAGGAGCCTGGCCTTTCCTGTTCCTGTGTAGTGACCTGGGATTCAATCTGTGAGGCAGGAAACCTGCTAGCAGGACTCTCTCTCGCTTCGCTAAGAGCTATTTTTTATTTTTCTTTTTGCCTAATAAATTCCATTTTCCTCACCCTTCTATGTGTCGGTGAGCCTAATCTTTCTTGGTCATGTGACAAGAGCCCAGTTTTAGCTGAACTAAGGAGAAAGTACTGCAACAATTCTTTATAATAGGATGTGGCCAGGAATCTTCTGGAACCCTGATATTTTATATCAAATTTTACATTGCTCCTACTCTATACTGTGATTTATCCTGAAAAAGTAAAGCTTGTAACATTTATACCCTATGCAGTGGAGACATAATAGAGAATTAAATATTTCAGTGTTGGGATAAGGACTGCTAAAAACAGAGAAAAGAAAAAAAGAAATATTTGGTGAATGAATGAATGAATGAGTTCTATTTATCATCAGTAGTTTTCCATTTTTAAATTCTGCTGCCCTGTAAGCTCCATCTCTATGATGAGTTGAATCCTTTTACATGAGTTTTGAATGCACCAAAGTTTTGAATAATGAAAGGTAATGAATAAGGGAAAGGACGTATTTGTGCTTAGATAAATAAGACGTGGAAAAATCTAAAAGGAAATAGCTCTCCCAGGGCTCTCATTGTCTTGGTAAGGGGAAATCTGCTGTGAGAGCCAGGCATCCAAGGAGAGAAGAAAAGTAAAGAATGCCAAGAGGAAGGGTGGAAGTGAGCTAAAAGGGAACCAACACTTACTGAGTGCCAATACCAGGCCCTTTTATATACTATAACTCGTGTAATTCTCACAGGTAATTCTCACAGCAATCCCAATATCTCTATTTTATGAATAACAAAATTTAGAATCAAAAATTAAATAACTTGCCCAAAGACTCACATATAGAAAGAGATGGAGCTGGGGTTTCATCTCTGATCTGACTTTGAGTTTGAACTCTGTCTAGAACACTCACTGCCTCTTCAAGTAGAGAGTTGAAAGCTGAAGGGCATTTAAATTAAGTGAAGAAAAGAAAACATTTCAGGCTTAGAAAGACAAAATATATGGCAAAGAACTTGTGGAAAAGTTCAAACCAAAAAACAAAAAAAGACCTTAGGAAGCTGAAAGGCAGGCTTTGACTAAGATAACCTTTAGGAAAGCAGTAAAGCCTGGAACTCTAAATTCTCTGTTATCAGTATTTCCTCACTCGGTAATTGTAGCAACTCAGCTGGAGCAAAAGAGTAACAGCTGTGGCCAAAAAGGCAGACCAGAGCAAGCAATGCAAGATGGTGGCGGGTAAAGACAGCAGTGTCCCCAAGCCTACCGCTCAGAGACCTTTCCCTAGCCTTTGAATGGCAGAAGGGATGGCAGGGCTTACTGTCAGCCCACAGCATCTACCCCTCACCTCTCTTGACTTTATTCCTGATAATCCGGCCCTGCACATACAGCTATCAACAATTAGTTTTTTTGGAGCCTCACAGTTTTCGGTCTTCTTTTCAGGATTACACCAGGTCATGCAAGTCGTATCTGGCCCTTGGAAATAAACACTGTTCCCTACATCTAAAATACCCACTTCACTTGTGTTTTTCCAGTTCCTCCAAGGAGTATATGTCAAGACCATATTAAACATGGAAAGATGGTATCAGGAGAAATGCCCGTATGAAAGAAAATCAGGAGGGAGCTATGATGAAAGTCTGACCCTGAATGAGGGAGAGGAAGAGGAGGTTGGGTGGAAGCATCCTAGACTATTGTGTAGACTAAAGAAGCTTCTGCAAATTCTTGAGCCAAATTTGCCCAACAAAGGTGTCCACATGTCGCCCAGGAATGAGTCTGTCTTACTCTCTCCACAGTACTCAGTTATGGGAGGCGACAGCCCATGGGAAGTGCCAGAACACAGCAGCTGAGGCCCTCTGTCAATTACACTTTCTATTTTAGGAGGTCTTCCAGGCACATTCTAATGGCCCCATTAGAATCTTCTCTATCACTTCTTCTTCCACAAATCTAAGCTCAAGGATCACTTTATAAGAGACACCTTTCCTGACCCCAACCCTCCACCCCAATCAAAGTAAACTTTCCTTCAGAGAAGTCATCTCAGTTTATATTTATATATTCATTAGTGTGATTATTAGATTAATGGCCATTTCCCTTGCTAAGTTTTAAACTCCGCGAGTGCAGGGACCATGACTGTCTTTTTCACTGCTTTGTCCTCAGTGCCAACCACAGTGACTAATAGGTACTCAATGAATGTATGTTGAATGAATGGATGTGCATAAATAAATGTCAATGAACAGATATGGGTTAAATAACCAATTATGCTCCTCAACCTAATGGAAACTATATAAAACCCAGGGCTAGGATGAGGCAGACATAGCTTTAAGAGTTGGCAGTGAATATGTAGGTAGGTTCAGGATAAAATGGCGACCAAGGATTCTCAAGCTGACATGAGCAAATACAAGCTGAGGCTGGCACTTGCTAGGCCGAACTGACTGGGATTCATGCCAGGGAAATTACGGTTAAAAAAAAAAGAAAGAAAGAAAGAAAGAATGACTAAGAAATAAGGCCATGCCAACAAAGTCTGTGGATCTTGGCCTTATTTTTAGCTCAGGTCTTCCCTGGTAGCCCCTCCTAGTCTTAAAGGGACCACATCCTCTGATGAGGAGAGACTGGGTTGGGTGATGGGGTGGTAGTCATTGCTTAACACCCGTCTATTGACAGCCCTACCATCCTCCAAGAGCTACTTGAAATTTCACCTTTCTGAGACTCAGCTTTCTCTTCTCAAAAAGGGACAAAATTTAACCTCATAGAATTCTTAGATTAGGATTAGAGAGAATAATATGATATTATTTCTAATAATATGTCATGGGATCCAACATACTTCCCTGCAAACTCTTCATATGTTTGTGCCAAAAATAAAAGAAAGAACAAAAATTAAAACAAAACAAAATCTTCCCAGTGATTCTCCTGATGAAAACATGGCTTTGGACACGAATATACACAAAATCTTCACACATTTCAAGACATTTTGGAAATACCTTGTTAAAATGGACAATCCCTGATTTAGTGTACTCTGAGTATTGGCCTGTAGGTCAGAAGATGTAGAAAATCATAGAATTCTAGGATCTCTGAGCTGAGAGAGTCTTTTAAGATTAGTCCAGTTTGCAGTAGTGAGCTTCAAGGATGCCAGAGAAAATCACTCATTGTCAAGATCCCATGTATCTGTACATCTTCACAGATTGGGACTTTGAAAGACCGTTGCTAAAATTCATCCTCTTCTCCATAGCTGGAGCAAAATGTGAATTTAGTCCGCAGCCAAGTGTAATGAGGATAAAGCTAATTTCAGCCTGGGACTAGGGTATAAATTCATGCATATTTCTTAGAAAAGTCATGCTGCATCATTAGGGTAATTATTCAGCCAACACTGTTGCAAATCACATAAACAGTTAATCTGTTCCAATTTCTGATTGTAATTAAGTGATTATGTGGTCCTTAAAGTCCAGAGTCTTGTTCTATTCTTGTCTCTTTTACTGACTCACCGAGTGAGGGGACTAACTCATTTAACCTTTCTGTGTCTCATCATCTGTAAAATCTGGGCTACAAATACTTAAACTGTGTACAAAGCCATTTATACTTCAACAGTTCATTCAGAGCATAACACATCACCTCCTAAGTTAAAACAATAATGCTTTTGTTAAAACACATTAACTCCAAGATGGACTTCTATTGAATTTGTCAATTATTTCTTGGAGCCTACCACAGTGAGAACACAAGTCAGAATAAAATGCAGTTCCCGTCCTAAAATGGTGAGTCCCGAACACCAGTCCACAGACTTCAACTGGTCTGTGACAATGTTTTCACAAGTCCATGGCAAAATTTAAAGACAAACAAGAAGATAATGAAGGGAATGTTTCATGACTTTAAATTTACATTCAGTTTTAAAGACTTTCCTTTATTACAAGTCTATTATGAGTATTTCCTTTCCATTTTTTTTTCTTGGCAATGAAATGTTCTTTATTTTTTTGTGGCAGTTGTCTCTTTTTAACATCCTCACTTAGCATAACAAAAAAATTGGCAACTGCTGGTCGGTCTATTTTTTTTCTTTGAATTTTGTTGGTCTGTTAACTCAAGATGTATGTGAACCGCTAAATCACTTACCACCTACTTAAGGAATATGATTAATCCAGTTTATAGTTTAATCTAGAAAATTGCTTACATTTGTTACTTAGAAGTTCTGTTCTGGGAATTGTTTGTATTTATAATTATGAGCTCCAGAAAAAGAAAACAGATTTTAAGCTCAAGATATTGCTTGAAAAACAAAACAACACCAAAAGGAACAAAGCCAATAACAACCAAATGGTGTCAGTCACGTTAAAAGACCCTCAATAAATATTTGTTGAATATGTAAATAAATTATCAACTGAAACAAATATAGATTCAAATAATATCTAGCCAGCAGCTACTAAAAAAACAAGCCTGGGCCGGATGCAGTGGCTCACGCCTGTAATCCCAGCACTTTGGGAGGCCAAGGCGGGCAGATCACTTGAGGTCAGGAATTCGAGACCAGCCTGGCCAATGTGGTGAAACCCCCTCTCTACAGGAATACAAACATTAGCAAGGCATGGTAGCAGGCACCTGTAGTCCCAGCTACTCAGAGACTGAGGCAGGAAAATCGCTTGAACCTGGGAGGAGAAGGTTGCAGTGAGCTGAGATTGGGCCACTGCACAAGAAAGGAAGGAAGGAAAGAAGGAAGGAAGGAAGGGAGGGAGGGAGGGATAGAGAAAAGAAAAAGCCTGATGGGCAAAAGCAGAATTTTCACTCTTTGATCAGAATAACGTGGAAAATGGCTTCTTTTCAACTAGAGATAACTACTGAGTATTATACCCTCAGCCTAGGAAAGGCCTGTAGCTCATTTTTCTCTCTTGACAACAGGAAATGAAAGCAGTCAGAGAAAACTGAAAACATTTAGAAAATTATTTAGACTCATAGAAATTAGGGACAGAGACCAGAAATCCCCCAACTCATTCCCTTCAATTTAGATAAGGAAATAGGCTCAGAGAAACTTGTCCAGGTTACCTATGCTTTGGGGTTTGGACCATAAGAACAAAACCAAGATACTGCTGTCATCTAGTGGCAGTATACCCTAATTGCAGGGAAAATTATCTAGGCATTGTTTTAAAGATTTATCGAGTATTCAAACTACAAACTTAAAAGTTTTTAAATACTTCCAAAGGTCAGAGGAAACAGAGACATAAAGGTAGGAAACATTCAAATTAGAATTCATGGAGGAGGGAATGTACTCTGAGGGTAGTGAGTTGCAGAAGAGCAAAGGTCCAGAGACAAAATGAGTATAAAGTATTTAAGGAATGTTGAGGGGCAGTAAATAATAATTGACTTGTGAAAATATCTACTATCTTCAGGATTTCTCCTTTGATAGAATTCATCAACACCAGATTAGCAAAGAGCTTTTACTAGTAACCAGCCACTAGAACATGGAAATAGTCTTGCTCAACTGAAGCTCACATTAAAAATTATACTCATGTTACACAAAGATACACTGAGTAAATACAAAATAGCATATGTGCAAGGCCATTGGAGGCAGTGTTATTTGCAGTAGCAAGGGACTAGAAACAAATGTCCACTAATAAAGAACTAGTTGACAACAAATAGCAGATGTTGGCAAGGATGCGGAGAAAAGGGAAAGTTTATACACTGTAGTGGGAATGTAAATTAATACAACCTCTATGGAAAATAGTATGGAGATTTCTCAAAGAACTAAAAATAGAACTACCATTTGATCGAGCAATTCCACTACTCGGTATCTACCCAAAGGAAAAGAGATCATATCAAAAGATACTTGCACGTGTATGTTTATCACAGCACTATTCACAATAGCCAACTAAGTGTCTCTCGATGGATGATTGGATAAAGAAAATGTGGTTTCAATGAGATACCATCTTACACCAGTCAGAATAGCTATTATCGAAAAGTCAAAAAACAAAAGATGCCGGTGTGGCCACAGAGAAAAGGGACACCGTTGGTGGGAATGTAAATTAGTTCAGCCACTGTGGCAGGCAGTGCGGAGATTTCTCTAAAAACTTAGAAATATCATTCAACCCAGCAATCCCATTACTGGGTATATACCCAAAGGAAAACAGATCATTATACCAAAAAGACACATGTACTTGTATGTTCATCGTCATGCAATTCACAATAGCAAAGACATGGTATCAACTTACATGCCCATCAATGGCGGACTGGATAAAGAAAATGTGGTTACACATGCCGCATGGAATTCTACACAGTCATAAAAAAAAGAACAAAATCACATCCTTTGCAGAAATATGGATGCAGCCAGAGGCCATTCTCCTAAGTGAACTAACTCAGAAACAGAAAACCAAATGCCACATGTTCTCACTTATAAGTGAGAGCTAAACATTGGGTACTCATGGACATAAAGTGGCAACAATAGAAACTGGGGACTACTAGAGGGTAGAAGAAGTGAGGTGAGCAAGGGTTGAAAAACTATTAGGTACCCTGCTTAGTACCTGGGTGACGGGCTCATTCGTATCCCAAACTTCAGCATCATGCAATATACCCAGGTAACAAACCTGCATAGGTACTCCCTGAATCTAAAATAAAAGTGGGGAAAAAAAGAAAATGGAATATTATTCGGCCATTAAAAAAAGAATGAAAACATGTCTTTTGCGATAACATGGATGTAACTGGAGGCCACAATCTTTATTTTATTTTATTTTTTTTTTTGGAGACAGAGTCTCACTCTGTTTCCCAGGCTGGTGTGCAGTGGTGCAATCTTGGCTCACTGCAACTGGAGGCCCTAATCTTAAGTGAAACAACCCAGAAACAGAAAGTAAAATACTGCATGTTCTCACTTATAAGTGGAAGCTAAACAATGGGTACACAAGGACATAGAGTGTGGAATAATAGGCATTGGAGACTTCGAAGGGTGGGAGGCGGGTGGGGGATGAGAAATTGCTTGATGGTTATAATGTACACTATTTGAGTGATGGTTACACTAAAAGCCCAGACTTCACCACTATGCAATGTATCCATGTAACAAAACTACACTCGTACCACTTAAATTTATACAAATAATAAATAAACTTACATTTAAAAGGACTAGTTTAATAAACTATGGTACATCCACACCTGGCACTACACAGCTGTTAAAAATAAAATAATGAGGAAAATTTCTATATACTGATATATCTCCAGCATCTACTATTAGAGGGAAAAACAAGTGTAAAACCACGCTAGTAGTATGCCACTTTTTGAATAGCCTACTCTAAAGGAAAACACACGCACACACACACACACACACACACACACACACACACACACACCCTACATACACATATTTGCTTTTATTTTCAAAAAGAAATGAAGGAAAGGTAATCAAAGACTAATAAAGATGGTTATCCATACTGGGAGGTGACAGGGTGGAGGGGAGGGATGGCCTCGAGACTTCTTTGAATATATCTTGTTATATAGTTTGACTTTGGAACAAAATTAATCAAAAAGAAAAAAATCTCTAAAAATAGAAAACAAACTGAAACAAATGAACTTAACTTTACAATAAGTTGGTGACAAATCCACATGGAGAAAAAAAATTTCAACTTCACTTTAAAACACAGAATTTTGACTGTTCATTCCTAATTGGACACATTCTCAGGACACAGAGAACCACAAAGAAATTCTAAACTGCATTTAGTAGTCTTATTGTTTTTTTTTTCATAGAGTTAACCATTTGATTTATTTATTTATGTATTTATTTAGAGACAGGGTCTGGCTCTGTGGCCCAGGCCAGAGTGGAGTGGTGCAATCATGGCTTACTGCAGCATCGACCTCCCCCGGGCTCAGATGATCCTCCCATCTCAGCCTCCCGAGTAGCTGGGCTTCAGGCATGCACCATCATGCCCAGCCAATTTTTTCTAGTTTTTGTAGAGACAGGATTTCATCGTGTTGCCCAGGCTGGTATTGAACTCCTGAGCTCAAGCGACCTACCTACCTCAGCCTCCTAAAGTGCTGGGATTACATGAGTGAGCCACCATGCCCAGACAGTTTTCTCATTAATGGTCATATTGTTGTTTTTATTTTGGAACTAGTTAGGTAATTATGTTGATATTATTAAGAGCCAAGATGTTCAAAATAAGAGAAAGGAGATACTCATATAAATTCAAAGAATTTAAGTAAAAACATTGTAATCTTAAATTTGAATTAGAAATAGCACTATAAACTCATTTGTTTCTTTTTTTCTTTTTAAACAGAAAGGTAATTGCTGTCTCCGACCACTACAAAGACCTAAAAGTAGTAACTACTAATAGCGATGAGCACCACTAGTACAAAAACTGTAATCTCTGAATATCATTCCCCACAAAATAAAACCACCACTCCTTAGAGAAATGGCTGACTGCAGGTCTGGGGCAGGGACTGTACTAGATGAACCAGGAATGTCCTCTTGTACTAGAAAGCAAGGAAGTGATCAGCAACTACTATGATCATGTCAAAAAGCCTCAGGAGCCAACTTGAAAGGGCTCCCACTGGCCTAATATGGGTCAATCTGGATATCAAAATTAAAAATCACTGTGATTTATTGAAATACATCAAATACATAAAAGCCCATAAATTTATAATGACCTAATACAAACACATTAGTCATCATTGGAGCCTGCTAGGACACCAAGTCATCCTGAAATGTTTTAAGTGAAAGGCAAGAATCAAGTAGGTGTCCTGCCTTTCCTATGAGAACTGTACTTTAGGGCTGGGAGCAGTGGCTCATGCCTGTAATCCCAGTGCTTTGGGAAGCTGAGGTAGGAGGATCACTTGAGCCCAGGAGTTCAAGACCAGCCTGGGGAATATAGTGAGACCCTGTTTCAACAACAACAACAAAATAATAATTAGCTGGGATGGTGGCACCTGTAGTCCTAGCTACTCAGGAGGCTGAGGCAGGAGGATCGTTTAAGCCCAGGAGTTCAAGGCTGCAGTGAGCTACCATCACGCCACTGCACTCCAGTCTGAGTGACAGAGTGAGACTCTGTCTCAAAAAAAGAGAGGAAAAAACAGAACTGTATTCTATGATAGCCACATAATTGATGAGGGAAATTTCTTCTTTTTAAATTTATTTTTATTTTTTTCTTGTTTTGGGAACTGCTCCCTTCCAATTTTTTTTTTCGGAGGGGGGATTCTTCTTGATAGAAGAATTCCCACTAATAAATTCAGAAAAAATAACAGCACTGAAAAATCATTAATTTCCAACCCCTAATGAAATAATGGATCTAGGCAATAATCATCAGTGGATGCTAAAATCATTAAGTTAAAGGTTGATGGGGCAATTTCTACTGCAGGAATCAGGCTGAAACCACCTGAACCCCACCAATCAATCTTAGTATTATAAAAAGTGAGGCATCCAGACTTACATAGGCTTTCAGATGGGATGCAATAAGGAATAAACAACACCACTCATGAGGGATTCTTGCCTTAAACAGTGAACCTGATTTGTTCCAAGGAAGTGCATAAGAAAAAAAAAAGTGAACCTGAATCTAATCAAATCTCTAGTGGGGGGATGACAATCATGGAAACAGAGTTTTATTTGTATTTTATTAAGGAATAAAAGACCAAAACAATCCCCACAGCTAGGGCAATCTGATTGCCCCCAAATCTATTCCTATACACTCAGTCTGCCCCAAGCTCTGGAATGAATCTTGTTTATTCATTAAACAGAAATTAAGGAGCCTGTTTTCCATAACTCAGATGACTGCATGGGGTCAACCAGGTTATTAACCCTCCTATAACACTGTCTTTACCCCAGATCCAATTATTGGTTGCCTACCTTAATCCTTGTTCCTACATTCCTATCTGGTTAATTTGCCTGCTGCCTCAGTTGCTCTGAAACAGGGGCTTGGCTTTACTCTTACTCAGACTAGGGCCCTGACCTTGAATCCCAGCCCAGCTTCTGGGCCCCCACTCCCTGTTGCTAACCACCTACTTGCACTCTTGTGTCTTGCCCACTCCCTGGCTGCCTGTTTTAAATTTCTTGCCATCTTATTGGGTGTTTCTTGACCTGAAATATTGTGTCAATTTGACCCATACTCTTAAGAGTTGTATAAAATATCAGACCATGTCTTGTTAGTTTATAACATCTTGAGGCAGGTTGGTGACATTATTCTTGTTTTGAAATGAGACTTAAACAGCATGTAAAATATTTGTTTCTGGCCCCACATCACATCTGGGGCAGCACCTCTGCAAGCATCCTCAGTCTCCTTAAATGAGGAGCAGTATACTCAGCTCTGAATTCTGCTGCAAGCTAGTTGGCAAATGATTCCATTCTGTCCAAGCCATGAATCCCTCCCCTTCCTCTTCTCTGTGTCACTGCTGTGCCTTCCTAGCCATCTGCTCTTTCTCCAGTCCACTCTACCCATGCTCTGATGGGAATGCATTTTCTGCTCCCTATCTTTAACAGCTTCAGCAAACATGTCCGTTTCTCAGTGACTGTTTTGACTCCGTGGGTACACACTTCTATTTTTAAATGCTTTCTATTGTAAAGTAAAGCAGATAAGGAAAACCACACAGACACAGACATATGGCTTAACGAATTTGTATAAAGCAACACTCTTGTAACCATCATCAGGTCAAGAAATAGATCTTTGTCAGTCACCCCAGAAGCCCCCTCCATGTGTGCTGCCCAGATCATAAGTCCCCTCTTTGCTCATACATAACAATTGTCCAGATTTTTATAGTAATCAACTCATTGCTTTTTTTAAAAAAAATCGTTTTATCACATAAATGTGCATCCTTAGATACTATATTTTAGTCTTGCTCATTTTTAAAAACTGAAATTTCTTTTAAGTCTCTTTTAATCTACAGATTCTCCCTCCATTATTTTCTTTTCCTTATAATTCATCTGTTGAAAAACCCAGGCTCTTTGATGAATAGAGTTCCTTGGTCTGAATTTTGCTGATCAGTGTGCCAATTAACTGGTTATTTTACTGAACTGAACTTTGGCTTCCCCTCTTCCCACCCATCTTACTAGGGCAGGACTGCTGCTTATAGGAGCTCTCTGGGAGCTCTCACTCCACTCTCTAGCATGACTGATTGAAAGAAAACAGTTGCCTTGCTCCCAGCTGCTGCCACTGAGGGCTCCACCTGGCTGTTTGAGTAGCTGGCTGGCTGGTATCAGGAGCTCATCCACGTGCCTCCAGCGTCCACTTCATGCTTTCCCTTCCTCTTGATGAGAGACGCATTGTGATTCCTGAGAACTGGAAAGGTAGAAACTGGAACATCCAGAATGGTATTGCCCCTTGAATTTCTGAGAACCCCAATCTCTCCCATTGCTGGCCAATTTCTAGTGGTGCATTTGGAGGATTAAGCAACATACAAAGCCCCAGTTGAATTCCTATATGTTGGCCTGGTTGATTAAGATTCTGGGGATTTGATGTATTTTAAAGGTATTTTATATGTTTAAGTATACTTTATGCAGCTTAAAAGAAAAAAAGTTGGCCGGAAGCAGTGGCTCACATCCGTAATCCCAGCACTTTGGGAGGCTGAGGCAGGCAGATCACCTGAGGTCAGGGTTCAAGACTAGCCTGCCAACATGGCAAAACCCCATCTCTACTAAAAATACAAAAATTAGCTGGACGAGGTGGCGGGCACCTGTAATCCCAGCTACTTGGGAGGCTGAGGCAGGAGAATCGCTTGAACTCAGGAGGCGGAGGTTGCAGTGAGCTGAGATCGCACCACTCTACTCTAGCCTGGGCAACAGAGCGAGACTTCATCTAAAAAAAAAAAGAAAGAAAGAAAGAAGAAAGAAAAGAAAGAAGGAAGGAAGAAAGGGAAAAGAAAGAGAGGAAGGAAAAGAAAGAAAGAAGTTTAAAATCTAAATACAACAATATTTCAGTCACACTCTGTGTTAAATTGGGTTTTTGTGGGCACACCACAAACTCTAATCAAATATAGCATTGTTTCTATGGGAGACCAAATGCCAAATTCCAAGTATGCCACTAACGAAATGTGGGAATAGTCCCTTTATATAAGTTTCAGGCCTGCCCATCTGGTCAACTATATCATTTTAGATTCCCGTTTAGGCAAATTGGAACGTGGAATTATTGTCTCTCTCAAGGCCTTTTCCTAATGAAGGCTTACATGTTCTTACCCCTAAGCATCTCCTCAAATGACTTAAAATATAATTTCCTTGTCTATATCCAAATAATGGAAAATAATGATTCTCTGTTTGTGATGTAAAAGGAAGACCAAGAATATTATTGCTTCAGGCAACCAAATATTCAAAATTTGACCACCATAAAGAATGTCATGATACTCACCAACCCACCAAAAACTCTGGAAGCCAATACAGTTATCAGACAAACTGAGCATCTCTCCAGGAAAAACAACCCCTCCCCATAAACCTTTTCAATTTCCAAGCAATATATGGAATTATTTAGGACTTAAATGTGAATCAGTGGCAGCTGGGAAATTTCTAGATTTTGAAATATGATAGTTTCCATTTGCTTGCAACCGGTTAATAATCTGTTCCACTTTAAAAGCATCACATCAAAGATAGAGGCAAAATGTAATAATAACAAAAACAAGATTTATTTCATTCTGGAACTCCATGGTAATGATTCTTCAGTTTCTTAGATTTATGACTAATTAAATTGGGTCCAGAAACACCAAGTTCATTTTTAAGGCATTTCAAATAAGCCAAATAAGTATATTGAGCCAAGACTCATTCATATTCAGATTTCTAGGACACTCTGATTTGATAATATATGTTCCATACAATGCAGTAATGGTTAAATCAGGGCTCTATTGAGGCTTGAGCCTCATGTAACAGAGCTGCAATTTAATGCAGCATGGCCTTTGAGTGCTATAGCAACAGCACCTGCTATCTTATTTTAATAAGACCCAAGAGATATTCTGGAGGTTTCTATTTTACTAAATTTTCACTTCAAGTTCTAGCTCTGTTTAATATTCTTGTAATGTGAAAAGGGAACAAGAGACTTTAGCAAAGCTGGGAAGATTCAAAATTTGCTACGGGAATATTAGACAGTCCAGGAAAAAATGCTAGGATGGCATTTTCATATGTCATGTTCTCCCTATCTAAATGTGTCATTATAACAAATAATACAAAAGTGTAGATACTTGAAAGACTATCCAGTATGTATACTTAACAATTTAAGATTTCTAATACATAAAATCTCATCCATGCCTTAAAAGAAAAACAGCAACCCAAATGAATTACATATTTCATGATCAACAAAAGTGAAATGATGTTTATTATCAAAATATAAAGAAGGCTTCAAAGCTAAAACTTTTGAATCCAGTAATTATATAGAAGAGTTTTTCTGATTAATATTTGTATAATCTTGGACACAAAAATTTTAAAATACGCATTTACTTTTAAGCACATATGGAACATCTACTGTACAAAAATTGACCCTGTAATAGGCAATAAAGAAGTTTCAGATCACACCAAAGAATCAATATCCTACTGACCTCACTAGAAAAGAATAACACAATAATTAAAATAACATTGGAAATGAAGAGTATTTCTAAATGATTCATTAGTCAAAAAGAAGAAATCCTAATGGAAATTAGTCAATGCACAAAACTGCAAGTGAAAACACTATGTATCAAAACCTGAGGGACATAGCTAAAGCAGTAATTGTAAGTAAACTTATTTCTCAACACTTGAAAAGAACAGTCTATAAATTAGTTCATAAGTCCTCTTTCCGCTTAATAAAAAATAAGCAAATTAGTGACCATGTTGTCCAACCCAAGAAGTTAGAAAAAGAAAAACATAACAAAGATTACAGAACTTAATAAAATAATTCAAAAAAAAATAGTGACCAGGCCCAGTGGCTCATGACTGTAATCCCAGCACTTGGGGAGGCCAAGGTGGGAGGATCCCTTTTGAGGCCATGAGTTTGAGACCAGCCTGTGGAACAGAGTGAGCCTTCGTCTCTACAAAAAAAATGAACAAAGTTAGCTGGGCATGGTGATGTGTGCCCGTAGGCCCAGTCCTTGGGAGGCTGAGGTGGGAGAATTGCTTGAGTCTGGGAGGCAGAGGTTGCAGTGAGCTGAGGTCATGCCACTGCATTCCAACCTGGGCAACAGAGCAAGACCTTGTCTCAAAATATATATATATATATATGGTAAAGAGGTATAACAAAACCAAAAGTTTATTTTCTAGATACATAATAAACTTTAGGAAGAGACTTGGCAGAAACTTTGGGCATCTCAAGCACACAGCTGATTTTGCCCTCATTTTGCCTTTTATGATATAGGTCAAGGTTGTGAAAAGTAGTGTAAAGTTCACTATACAAAGATTAGAGTCTGGGACACACCCAGGACATGGGTTCCAAGAATGACTATAAAATAACTATTTTATAACTCAATAAAATAGAGGAAAATATGGAAAAATAAATGAAAAGGTGGAGAATTTCACCAGAGAATTGAAACACACACACACACACACACACTTAAATAAATATTCTAAAACTGAAAAATTAAATATATATAAGATTAAAAGATATAAGGGTAGGAGAAAAGAGTCATTATATTCAAATCATATGATTAGATTATCTGCATAAAGGGACTAATAAGAGATATTAGCAATACTGTTAGATAAAAGATTAATATGAAGATATTGGCAGGCACGGTGGCTCACGCCTGTAATTCCAGCACTTTGGGAGGCCAAGGCAGGTAAGATCACTTGGAGTAAGGAGTTCAAGACCAGACTTGCCAACGTGGTGAAACCCCATCTCTACTAAAAATACAAAAATTAGCCGGGCGTGGTGATGCGCGTGGTGAGGCTGAGGCAGGAGAATCGCTTTAACTGGGAGGTGGAGGTTGCAGTGAGCTGGGATCACACCACTGCACTCCAGCCTGGATGACAGAGCGAGACTCCGTCTCAAAAAAAAAAAAAAAAAAAAAAAAAAGAAAATACCTGTTGCATTCTTATATACCCACAGCAAATAGAATATGCAAATTAAAAAGAAGACAAACTTTAAAAAATAGCAACAAAATTATGAAGTATCAAAAAATAAATAACAAAATATATAAAAGACTTTTGGGGAGAAAATCATAAAACTTTACTGGAAAACAAAAGACCTTAAAAAGAGAGAACTATATCATGTCCTTGAATGGGAAGACTCACTTGGTGCGGTGGCTCATGCCTGTAATCCCAGCACTTTGGGAGGCCAAGGTGGGCAGATCACCTGAGGTTGGGAGTTCGAGACCAGCCTGACCAAAATGGAGAAACCCCATCTCTATTAAAAATACAAAATTAGCCGGTGTGGTGGTGCATGTCTGTAATCCCAGCTACTAGGGAGGCTGAGGCACAAGAATCACTTGAACCCAGAGGTGGAGGTTGCAGTAAGCCAAGATCACACCATTGCACTCCAGCCTGGGCAACAAGAGCGAAACTCCATCTGAAAAAAAAAAAAAAAGACAACTGGCCGGGTGCAGTGGCTCTGTAATCCCAGCACTCTGGGAGGCTGAGGCAGGCAGATCACTTAAGCTCAAGAGATCGAGACCATCCTGGCCAATATGGTGAAACCCTGTCTCTACTAAAAATACAAAAATTAGCTGGGCGTGGTGGCACACGCCTGTAGTCCCAGCTACTTGGGAGGCTGAGGCAGGAGAATAGCTGGAACCCAGGAGGTGGAGGTTGCAGTGAGCCGAGATCGCGCCACTGAACTCCAGCCTGGTGACAGAGAGAGACTCTGTCTCAAAAAAAAAAAAAAAATAGAGAGAAAGAAGGCTCAATGTCATAAAGATGTCAATACTGCCAAATTAATCCTTAAAGTTAAGCAATTCTGATCAAAATCCCATTACGATCCTTTTAGAGATTTTGTAAATTGATTCTAAAATTCACAGGAAAGAGCAAAGAGCCAACAAGAATGAGGATACACATGAAGAAAAGCAAAGCAGACGGAACTGGCTTTACAGATTTTATTATAGAACTAGAGTAATCACAACTGTGTGGCAATGGTGCAGGACAGACAGATAGCCCAATAGAGAAACAGAGTCACCAAATAGAGAAACAGACACACACAAACTTGATACATAATAAAAGTAACATTACATATGAATGGGGAAAGAATGAAGTATTCAGTGAATGGTGCTATTTATCATTTAAAACACACACAGAGGCCGGGCACTGTGGTTCACGACTGCAATCCCAGCACTTTGGGAGGCTGAGGTGGGAGGATCACATGAGCCCAGGAGTATAAGACCAGCCTGGACAACATGGTGAGACCCTGTCTCTACAAAAAATAAAAATAATTAAATATAATAATTGAAAAATAAACGTAAATATACACACACACAATTCAATATAAATATGAGAATAAAACCTAAAGATTTAAAGACAGGGTCTTTCTCTGTATCCCAGGCTGGAGTACAGTAATGCAATCATAACATACTGCACCCTTGAGCTCCTGGGCTCAAGTGATCCTCCTTCTTCAGCCTCGCAAAATGCTGGGATTATAGGCATGAGCCACCAGGCCCAGCCCCCAAACATTTTTATAAGAAAAGAAACTATCTCTATGACTTCAGGATAAGAATTTAACAGGATACAAAATGTACAAAAGCATATAGGAAAAGAATGATACATTGTCTGATTGAAATCCTAAATGTAAGCACACTATAGAAAATGTAAATACAAACTACAGATCGGGAGGAAATATTTGCTACTCCCATAACAAAGGATTTCTATAAAAATATATAAGAATTCCTGTACATCAATACCAATCCAATAGGAAAATTGGCAAATAATAATAGCTAACATGCATTGTTTACTTTGTATTAGGCACTGTTCTAATTGTTTTATATATATTACCTTATTTAATCCTTAAAGGACATGAATAGGTAATTCACAGAAGAAACTCAAATGGTCAATAATTTATGAAAATATACTCAGCCTCATTAATAACTATTAAAATAACAAAAATTTTTTTAAAAGAATAACTAAATTAAAATGACAGGTATTTCCTAGCTACTAGATTGGCAAACATTATAAAATCTGACAATACCAATTGTTGATGAGAATGTGAAACTATATTAACTCACGCACGACTGGTAGATTTACTACACTAGTGCAATTATACTGGTTTAAATTATTACCTTTACTTTGGAGAGTAATCTGTTGATATCTGATAGAGTTGAAGATACAAAATTCCACTCCTGTATATTCCCTAGAAAAACTCTCATACAATGCACAATGTACAAGAATGTTCATTGCAGCAATAGCAAAAGAAAAAAAAATAGAAGTAACCTAAATGTCCATTAACAGAAGATAAGATAAATTGTGGCATAGTCATACAATGGAATTTCATTTTACTATAGTCAAATCAATGAATAAAACTCCATTAATTCATCTGAATTCAATAACACAGTGGTGATCATTTTAAAAAAGCAAGTTACAGGCCAGGAGCGGTGGCTCACGCCTGATATCCTAACAATTTGGGAGGCCGAGGCTGGCGGATCACCTGAGGTCAGGAGCTCAAGACCAGCCTGGCCAATATGGTGAAAGCCCGTCTCTACTAAAAATGCAAAAAATTAGCCAGGCATGGTGGCACATGCCTGTAATCCCAGCTACTCAGGAGGCTGAGGCAGGAGAATTGCTTGAACCCAGGAGGTGGAGGTATTGGTGAGCTGAGATCGCACCACTGCACTCTAGCCTGGGCAACAGAGTGAGACTCTGTCCCAAAAAAAAAAAAGGAAGTTATGGAAGGTTAAATACCAGGTGGTCCCATTAGTAAAGTCTGAAGACATGTAAAACAATATTTTGAGTGTTTTATTGTTTGTTTGTTTTGTTGAGACAGGGTCTCGTTCTGTCACCCAGGCTGGAGTGCAGTGGCATGAACATGGCTCATTGCAGCCTTGACCTCCTGTGCTCAAATGATCCTCCCACCTCAGCCTCCCAAGTAGCTGAGATTGCAGGTGCATGCCACCACGTCTGGCTAACTTTTTTCGTTTTTGTTTTTGTAGAGACAGGGTCTCTTTTTGCTGCCCAGGCTGGTCTTCAACTCCTGGCTTCAAGAGACCCTCCCACCTCGGCCTCCCAAAGTGTTGGGATTGCAGATGTGAGCCACCGCTCCTGGCCTGACAGTATTGTTTATGGAAACCTTCACAGATGTTAAAACTACTAAACCAAACATGAGAATGATAAACACCTAATGCAATACCCTGGGCTGCTGTTCGAAACTCCAGGGAGAGTAATTCACATTGTACAGCATAGAATTGTTTTTCAGGAAGAGCCATTCACAGGCTGGAAGGAAGGAAAGAGGATGGGATTTGAAAGATGCAGCCAGGGGCCTTCAATTGTACCTGTCATGTTTTATCTCTAAAAAAAAATAATAATAAGTAAAAAAGAAGAGAAGAAAACGAGGCAAAAATGTTAGATTTGAAAGAAGTGGGTGGTAAACACCTAGGTGTTCCTGATGTTTTCCTCTATGCTTTTCTGCATTCTTGCAATATGTCATAATAAAAGATAAATGGATGTGGAGGAAGGCACTCATCCAGCAGCACAATTGCTAAACAGAACCAAACTGAGAAAGACAAAGAAAAGAGCAACAGTGAAATGGGGAGTGCTCATCACTGATTTAATTAATCTAAAGAGAGATTTTTCCTTGATGTCCTTCCATAAATTTTGTTAAATTCAGTCTCCTATGCATACTACACTCCTACAGATCTTTCCTTACCCCCACCCACCCCCCGCCTCCATCCGCCAGCACTTCTTAGATGTGTCCAGTCTGGGTATTCCCAAAACCACCCTTTTTCTGAGCTCTTCCTTCCCTTCAATAGTTAGGGGTGGGGGAGTATTTTGAGCCCCCACTCCAAGTACTGAGAGAAGTCCATTGCTCTTTCCCACAGCTGATATTTATTGTGCACTCAATTATGGGTCTGGAATTATTCCAAACATTTTACCACCGTTATCACATTTAATCCTCGCA
This sequence comes from Homo sapiens, assembly GCF_000001405.40. Taxonomy (NCBI): domain Eukaryota; kingdom Metazoa; phylum Chordata; class Mammalia; order Primates; family Hominidae; genus Homo; species Homo sapiens. The sequence goes on from NC_000023.11 coordinate 118,197,655, forward strand.
GCAACTTTATGAAATAGGTTCCATTTTTAGCCCCACTTTCAGGATGAGGAATTGAGGCTCAAGGGGTTGACTTCTTTATGGCCACACTGCTAGTAAGTAGTGGCCCCCTACTTGGTCTAATTTCAGTACTCTGAAATTTCAATTTCTCATTTCCACTAATCTCTTGATCTCAGTAACATCTTGACTTTTATAGCCATTCTTTTCTATGTCTCATACAGACCTAAACATAGAATGCAGCTCTTTTTCCATTAATCACCCCTATCAAAAGGATATTACATGTAGAAGCCTTTTGAAAGAAGATGACATTACTCACAACATAATAAACAACTTAACATGAAATATTATCCCTGTCCAGTCCCATCTCACCGAGTGTCTCATTGTTCAATTTTATTCCTCATGTTTCCCATCTGCCATGTTGCACCTCTTTTTCCCTCCTCTTCCCTTCCCTTTTCCCCCCTCTCATTATTCTTACCTCCCTTCCACTTCACATCACCTCCATTAAACTCCTGTTTTTCAAGCCAACCATTTTTATAATGAGAAATTTAATTCTTTCTCCTGTGTTTTATTTTCCCCTTTCAAACAATGCCCAGAGTTGGGGTGAGGGATGTTGGATTCACCATTCAAACTCAAACATGCCATCTAGACATTTCCTTAAACAAAGAGGTATCTCCCTGGACAAGAATGATGCCTCTTTTCTTTTTTTTTTTTTCTTTTTCCTATATCTGTAACAATCCTGACACCATAGATGACCCTTTTCTTGATGTAAAAGTGTCTGCAGTTGGTTCTTGTTTTAAATAAAAAGAGTTTCTTTTTCTTCTCACCACACCAATGCCTATGAGATTTATTATCCTCTTTATTTCACATGATTTGCATCACTTGATTTTATGTATCTCATTTGAAAGTCTGACATTAAACAACAGTTTCCTCAAAATAAAGCAGACTCCATAAAACCGCTGAACCATCTGCCTGACTAGTGTTATATGTCCTCCTTAAAATTCATATGTTGAAGCCCTAACCCCCAGTACCTCTGAATGTGACCTTATTTGGAGACAGGGTCTTTACAGAGATAATAGAGTTAAAATGAGGTCATTAGGGTGGGACTAATCCAATATGACTGCTGTCCTTACAAGAAAAGGAAATGTGGACACGGGCATGAATAGAGAGAAGCTCATGTGAAGATACAGGGGAAGATGACCCTCTGCAAGCCAAAGGAGAGAGGCCTGAAACAGATCCTTCTCTCACAGCCCTCAGAAAGAACAAGCCCTGTCAATTTCCGGATTTCTGACTTCTAGGTTCCAGAACTATGAGAATAAATTTCTGTTCTTTAAGCCACCTTGTTTGTGGTACTTTGTTACAGCAGCCTTAGCAAAATTAATATAACTACAGAGTACAAGTTATTGGGCTTAAAATTCAGGGACATCCAAAATGTGGTCCCAACCTCCTTCTCCAGTATTCTCTTACCCTATATACTTTCAACCACCCAAAGCTCCAAATGATACCACTTGCTGTTACTGCATTTGGCTCTACCCCCTCCCACACGCATGCCTTTGCTCAGGCTCTGACCCCTTGCTTGGATGGATCTCTGCCTCTGGCCATCTACCTGCCCTTTAGGGTCCACCTCAAATACGACCTGCTTTAAAGACTGCTCTGAGTTGTTCACCTAGAAACTCCCTGAAGCCAATCAGACAGATCTGGGTTTGTTTTGTTTTGTTTTGTTTTGTTTTGTTTTTTGAGACGAAGTCTTACTCTGTTGCCCAGGCTGGAGTGCAATGGTGTGATCTCAGCTCACTGCAACCTCTGCCACCCATTCAAGCAATTCTCCTGCCTCAGCCTCTCAAGTAGCTGAGACTACAGGCACGCGCCACCACATCCGGCTAATTTTTGTATTTTTAGTAGAGACAGGGTTTTACCATGTTAGCTAGGCTCGTCTCAAACTCCTGACCTCAATTGATCCTCCTGCCTCCACTTCCCAAAATGCTGGGATTACAGAGGTGAGCCAGTGCACCCAGCACAGATCTGGGTTTGAACCTAGCTCCACTACTTACTAGTCGTGTGGCCTTGAACAAGATGCTAAATGTATCAGAGTTATATATGAGCGTGAGAAAAGTTACTCATTTCATAAGGTAAGTGTTGCGAAGCTTGAGTGAGATGATGCCTGTAAGGCGCTTAGCAAAGTGCTTGACACAGAGAAAGCATTGTGGAAATGCAAGCTTTTATTTTTATTTTTTATTATCTGAATCACAACGGCGTTTTATATAAAGCTCCCTTATGCCACTTATCACATCTGTATTGTCTTGTTAATGGGATTGATCATGTAAATCGCTACTGATTTAAGACAATTATGCACAGTCTTCTACAGAATCAAGAGAGCTATCAATCTGTCAGTCCTGACAGTCCTTTCCGTATCCAGGCCAGGTGAAGTTTCCACTCTTGAGTCAAATTCAGCCTCAGGCTCCACACCTCGTGGTGCCCTTCTGTCACATCCTCTGAGTGTCAACTCTGCAACCCTACTCTCTGTCACTCTGCCGCAAGGGACCCACAGGCTTTGGTTTCTTGGAGGCTGCCCAGCAGGTTTTCATGCCAGAGTCATTGTTAATAAGTTTGGTATTATAGTCCTTTGTCAATTAAGTCCTTCAGCACCAGACAAACCTGGGCTTTATTCCCAAGACCATCATCGTAAGCTGTGTGACTGACCTTGGGCAAAGTACTTGACATCTCTAGGACTCACTTTACTTATCTGTAAAATTAAGATAATAATTATTCTACCTAATAGGTGCCTGTGAGGAAGCAGTCTAAGGAAACGGTATTTGGCACTACTGAGCACTAAGTAAAAAATGCCATTATCACCACATTTCTTATAATTCATAGTAGATTATAAAGTCCTTGAGGATGGAAAATATCTGCACATAGCAGACTCTATAAAAGTTTGTTGAATTAAATTCTGAATTTTGATGTAAACAAACCTGAAATGTTTATATCCATGACATTTATTCTGAAAGAAACAGGCTTGCATCTAAATGAAATTAGAACAGAGAAGTACATTGTTTGGATATGATCAAGCTTAAGTTATAATACTATGTAGCTAACAGATAAAGTGGGTTGGAATTTTCCATGTCATTTTTGCTATTCAGGAAGAGGACCAATGAAAAGTGTTGAATGAACAATTCACTGGGTTGTTTTATTTGAGCTTCATTTCCACAGTTAGGAGAAAATATAACCACTTGAAATTTTAATTGTCTTTCCCAGGTGATGACGGCCAGATCTGGTAATATGAATTAACCTCCATTTTTAACATCCCTTTTTTGGTGGGCTCAGTGGCTCACAGCTGTAGTCCCAGCTACTCAGGAGGCTGAGGTGGGAGGATCGCATGAGCCTGGGAGTTCGAGGTCACAGTGAGTTATCATCATGCCACTGCATTCCAGCCTGGGTGACACAGCAAGGCCCTGTCTCAAAAAAAAGTCCCTTTTTGGATAGTTGACATTGTCAAATCACCTTTCCTCTCACAGAGATTTAAAAGCAAAAACAAAACAAAACTTTTATGGTATAATTGTACAGTTCAGGGGGAAACTGAGCCAGGGAAGTTGAGCCTGGGGGTCTACAGGCTGCAGTATGTCAAGGGGGTCCATGTGGAAATCCAAACCCTTGAGATATTTTTTTGAAACCTCAGTAGATAGAAGCTGGGAGAAAAGAAAAGCAACAACAACAAAATGTTATTTCCAAGTGGCAAGCAGTTTCTTTCTAGCAAGTAGTGGAGTTGTCAATGTTCCTTTAAAGGAGACCTTTCCTTTGTTCTGGGAGAAAACACCCAAATGAACCCTTTATGCAGATGTTAAACAAAGACTTTCTTCTGAAGTGAAGATGGGAATTCAATTTCCTCCTTTCAGGGTGATAATGTTAAAGGTACCCTCTTTGGAAGCAGAGCTACATCTCTGTAGACCAGGATACATTGAGAGAAAGTATGTCTCTGCTGGAAGAGAAGTGGCACAGTGTCCATCCCCTGCCTCATTCTCTGGACCCATTTTGGGCCTTGTAGTTAGAGGAGTGGGTCAGAAGTAAATTGCAACTCTTTCCAGAGGAGATTTTATGATATTCTATACATAAGATAAACTGCTTTGGGGCCACGATGACAAAACGGAACAGAGTTGGGAAAAGGACCATTATCTTGGCCTCTTCATCTATCTTTTCATTCATATGTTCAACAAATCCTTATCACAAACCTACTTTGCACTAGGCACTGCACTAAGTGCTAGAGAGAGTGGTGAACCAGATATTCCAGATGCCTCTCTTCATATCCCTTACATTCTGGTGGTGTATTAGTTATCTATTGCTGCATAACAAATTATCCCAAAACTTCGTGGCTTAAAACAACAAATACTTATTATCTCAGTTTCTGTGGATCAGGAATATTGTTGTGGCTTAGCTGAATGCATCTGGCTCAGGTCTCTCACAAGGCTGCACTTGAGGTATCAGCCACGGTTGCAGTCACCTCAAGGCTTCATTGAGGGAGGACCTGCTTTTAAGCTTACTCATACGGCTGCTGGGCAGGCCTCAGACTCTTGCTGGCCATTGGCCTGAAACATCAGTTCCTTGCTACATGTACCTCTCCATAGGGTTACTCAAAAGATGGCAGCTGGTTTCCTCCAGAGTGAGGGCTCAAAGAGGGAGAGAGGCAAGAAGGAAGTTACAGGTTTTTTTTTTTTTCAATCTAATCTCAAAAGTTACATTCCATAACGCTTGCAAGGCTCTGTTTTACAGAAGCAAGACCAAGTCACTAGGTTGAGCCCACACACAAGGGTAGGAAGATACATAAGGGCAGGAATTCCAGGAAGCTGGGATCACTGGGAGCCATCTTAAAGACTATCGACCACAGGTAACAGAGTCAAGCACTACTCTGGCTCCCCCCAAATCACTGGCCATTGTGAATGTATATTTTCCCATTATATTCCAAACTTGTTTTTGCTGGTATAGTAGAGGAAAGCTACCGTTTTGAGGGTACAGGCATCACTCATACTTAGTGCCTAAAAACATGTTAGCTAACAAATTTCCAAAAAGCAGGAGCCCATAATCTATTGCTTATTGGGGGGTTGTTTTTGTTTTTTAGAGACGGGGTCTCACTCTGTCACCCATGCTGGCATGCAGTGGCATAATCATAGCTCACTGCAGCCTTGACCTCCTGGGCTCAAGCAATCCTCCTGCCTCAACCTCTCAAGTAGTTAGGAATATAAGCACATGCCACATCTACAATTTTTTTTTTTTGGGTAGTGATGGGCTGCAAATGTGGCTATGTTGCCCAGTCTGTTCTCAAACTCCTGGGCTCAAGCTATCCTCCCACCTCAACTTCCCAAAGTGCTGAGATTACAGGCATGAGCCACTGCTCCCAGCCGAGTTTATTGTTTCAAATTTTAAAAAGGTATTCCCAGCCTATCTAGTAATTCCAATTTCCTCAAATATCACTAAAGCACTTTTAGATACCTGTATAGTCATCAATCAATAATTTCAATATAATGCAAAGCATTTAAAATAGTAATTACCTAATTAATTAACCCTTAATGACTCCATTTGTGGCTATGTTTGCATGCAATATGCAAAGATACGGTACAGCGTCAAATGCAGTAATTTTCCTTCTAAGCTGCAACAATCACATACTTTAATGTAAATAAACAATAAATATGTTAAAGATACATAATTGTTACAAATGACATTTGGCAAAATAAACATAGTGGTAAAATTTTAAATGATGTATGCATATGGGTCCATTATAGCAGGTCTTCAATTCAGATAGTGAAATCTGGGCATAAATTTTTATGTCAGTCTAGGGACTATTTGGAAAGTGAGAGTGAAAGCTACCTGTATTTATTTTTTATTTACCATGTTTCAAAAATCTCTCATTAGTACTAATTGACTTTCAGTTCATTCTCTTTCTTCCTTTCTTTTTTTTTTTTGAGACAGAGTCTTGCTCTGTCGCCCAGGCTGGAGTGCAGTGGCACGATCTCGGCTCACTGCAAGCTCTGCCTCTTGGGTTCATGCCATTCTCCTGCCTCAGCCTCCCGAGTAGCTGCGACTACAGGCGCCCACCACCATGCCCGGTTAATTTTTTGTATTTTTAGTAGAGACGGGGTTTCACCGTGTTAGCCAGGATGGTCTCCATCTCCTGACCTCGTGATCCGCCCGCCTCGGCCTCCCAAAGTGCTGGGATTACAGGCGTGAGCCACCGCGCCTGGCAGTTCATTCTCTTATAGTTTACAAAAGGAAATCAAAGTGTCACTAAATAATGACCATTCTTGCCTCCACCTTGTTCAATAGCTAGACTTCTTGTTTTTACTCTTGGCTTATAACATTGGCTATAAAGTAAGCCCTGTTAAGGTTAGTTTTATTGAATAAATAAAAACACATACCATGATTTTTCATGGAAAGTTTAACTATAATAAAAATGGTAATTCTTCCAAAATGAATAAGTTTAATGCAATTCCAATTAGAATTCCATCGTTTTTGTATTGCATTATTTTATAACAGTATGTTATCTTCATGCTTAGATAGAAAAATAAATGTCTAAGAATATCTAATAAAATTATAGAAAAGACAAATAGTAAAAGATATTTGCCATCCCAGGTTTAAAATATATTACAAAGCCTTTGCAGAATAATATAATATTGGCATATGAATAGACAAATAGTTCAGTGGAACAAAAAAGTATAGAAATAGAGACCAGTGTATATGAGACTTTGATATATGACAAAGATGGTAATTCAATTGAGTAGGAAAGGGTTAGTTTATTTAATCAAAAAGTATCTGGCACAATTGACTACCATTGAGTTTCACTATCCACCATACCCCACTTTTAAAAGTAAATTTCAGACATGGTACAAGAATAAGTTTAATAAAATAATGACTGCAAGAACACTTAGGCAAACATATATGTAATGCAGTAGGTTTGGCAACCTTTTAACTGAGATAGAACACCCAGAAACTATAAAGCAAAGCCTAAACATATTGGTTATATAATTTTTTAAACATTTCTATGAAAAATACCATAAGCAAACTGAAAGACAAATGATATGTTGGGAAATAAAACATACATATGCCAGATAAAAGATTAACATCCAAAATACTCAAATAGCTCATTCGAATTCATAAGACAAACAACACGGTAGGAAAATAAACAAAGAATATGAAGTGCAAATCCTAAAGTTCATTAAACAATAGCAGTTTGAGAAAAGCAAATTTTAAACACATAAGGAGATATTTGTCACTCCTTTGATTGGCAAATGTTTAAGCGCTAACACCTACTGTTTGGCAGGACAGGAAAGGAGAACTATACTCTCATATATTTATGTGAGTAGTTACACCCTTTTTGGGAAAGCAATCCAGAAATATCTATAAAAATCAAAACTATCCATACCCTTTGTCTGAGCAATTCCACTCCTGTAAATCTATCCCAAATTAAAAAAAAATACCAGTATGAACAGAGTTACACAAATATATGCACAAAGATATTTACAGCAGTATTGTTTCTATAGTGACAGAAAACTAGTAACAAAAGGCACGCCTTTCCACAGAGAAAGAAATGAATTAATAGTGAATCTATACCAAGGAATATTACAGGCATTAAAAGGAATTAATTAGATCCATACCAGTAAACGTGGAGGAATTTTACTGTTGAGAAAGAAAAGCTAGAGGCAAGGTAAAGTATATAACTTGATACTTTTTTATGAACAACTGTTTTTAAATCCTATATATGTATATGTCTATTTTCTAAAAAAAATTTTTTAGAGACAGGGTCATGCTATGTTGCCTAGGCTGGACTTGAACTCCTGGGCTCAAGCAATCCTCTCACCTCAGCCTCCTGAGTAGCTGGGACTAAAGGCAGGCACCACCATGCCTGGCTTTATATCTGCTTATTTTTAACATAGTTATATGAACCTGAAGAAAGAGATGAAGAATATACACACCCAATTGTTAACACTGGGTTAACTAGGGTAACAAGGAAGCAACTAAAAGTTGTAAAACTGCATGTGTGTGTAAATACACACAAGAGGTGAATGAGAGGAGAGCAACCAACATATTAATGGTAGTTATTTCAGGGTGATGAAATTGCGGGTGATTTTTCACTTTATTCCTTACATTTTTCCCTATTTTATTTTTGTATTTTTAACTGCAAACATGTTAGTTATCTAATCAGAAAAAAAAGAATGTCTGTTTTTATGGAATAAAAGACAGGAAGAAGAAAGCAGTATTTAGTTTAGTTTTTTGTGTGTGTGCCAGTGTCACTTGCCAAAATAGTGTTTAGTTTCAAACGGCTGTGCATGGATGGAATTGAACACAGCTAGAAACAGAGAAAATGATTTGGAAGCTATCACAATAGTGTAGGTGTGCCGTGATAATGATCTATCCTAGGGTGACGGCTAATCAAACAGAAAGAAAGGAATATAGTTAAAAATTGCTTTGGAAAAGGGACCAAGAAGGCTTGGCAATTTGGGGGCACCCACACGTCCACGCACACCACTCCAAAGCATTAAACCAGAGCATGCAGGACAGTTCTTCAGTTGCATGGGTCAATGGCACTGTGGTACTGAGGTTTGTGACTCCTAATAGTTGGTATTCCCATAAGCAAAACAGGCAGGGTTACAGCATTTTTATTTTCACTAAGAACCTCATCAGTCCTTAGCCAGGCATATTTCCTTTGCTCAAAGGTGAACGGGGAGAAGTTTTTGTTTTTTAAGAGGGATAGGGAGCGACTATAGTAGACTTTGCTGTGGGATCATTTTTATCAGTTAAGCCACTGTACAAATTCTTATAAGTGAAATACTCATGTATGCATATATAAATGTACATGGGTTTATAGACATAAACACAGTCGTGTCCCACATAAGGACATTTCAGTCAAGGACAGATTACATATATGACGAAGGTCTCATAATAATGGGAAATTACTGAAAAATTCCTGTTGTCTAGTGATATCACAGCCATCCTAACGTCATAGGGTCACACATTACCTTTTTTATGTTTACATATGTTTTGAGTATTTAGCATTGTGTTATATTTGCTAAAAATATTCAGTACGGCAATTTGCTGTACAGGTTTGTAGCCTAGGAATAATAGGCTATACATATGGCCGAGGTGTGTAGTAGGCTATTCCATCTAGGCTTGTGTAAGGACACTCTGTGAGGTTTGTACAACAGAGGAATCATCTGATGACGCATTTCTCAGAATATAGCCCCACCATTAAGCAATGCATGACTATATATGTTTTTCTACCACTTTATCTACCTATATGCCTATCTATCTGTGTATTTAAACTTTCTTTTGTTCAGGAAAGGATTTAAAGTGGTTCCTAAATACATAACATTTTGTACTTTGAAGAGAGCTACCTCTTGAAAAATAAGTTCCTTCAGCCTTTACTTTCAGGCCGTGTGTCTCTGTCTGTAAGGTCCAGGAAAGAGCATTATCAATCTGGTGACTTTGGCTAACTGAAATGCTAAAGTAAACTTTCTGAGAATTGTTCCAATCTATCACTGTACAAATGATTTGGAAGATGGTCAAACAGTCTAAATCCCATTTGTTGCAGCCAATTCAGTCAATAAATGCTTGCTGAACTGCATGTTATAGTCAATATAAGCAGGCATTGAACAACTCTAACTTCAAAAGCAGGTCCAAAAAAGGAGATAATCATCTGTAAAGCGCTCCAAAGTCAGGCAGTTATGGTCATAGCTAAAGTGAGACCCTGCTGACACAAACCCTGTTCATCTCCAGCAAAGTTTGCTTTTGCCTAGAATGTCTTTCCATATCCTTACTGCCCCCTGCTTCTTCCCCATGAAGGCAGCTTGATATAGTGGAGACAGGGAAGCCTGAGTTCAAAGCCTAACTCTGACATTGACTAGCTATGTGACTTTAGATGATTCATTTGGTCTCTCTGAGCCTCAATTTCCCCATCTGCAAAATGGAAATAATCATAGCTAGATCACAAGGTTTCACTGAGGGTTAAGCCTGAAGTTCCTGGCTCTGATTAATATTAATTCATTCTCTTACCCCCTTCTCTGCCTTGATAAATTCAACTTATTCTTCTAGGCCCACTAAAAATGTCACCTCCTTTGTGACACCTTCCTTCAACCTCTCTACAGATATAGTTAATTGTGCCTTCCTCTGCACATTCATAGCACTTGGATCAGATCCATACTACTAGACTACTTACTTACCACTAGACTACTTACCACATTACATGATTTTCATATCTGTCTCAATAGAGTCAAGGCTCTTTGAGGCCATGGCCTATATTGTATTCATTTTTATATGCCACAGTATCTTGTAACTGTGCCAGTGCTCACATATAATAGATACTCAGTAAATATTTGCCAATGAGTGTTCAGGTATAAGCAAAGAAATAATACCAGTTTGATATTTCAAGTAAGTCTGGTGGTATGACCTAGTTAAGTGTCTCACTTTGAGGTTTTGGTTTGCTTTTGCATCATTCATCTATAGAGTTGTCTAAGAGGGTAAAGAGACCTGTTGGCAAGAGAAGAAACAATGTGTCTACTTTATTTAGATTTTTAAAAGACCTTTGACAACTAGGCATAATTCCAAGGAAAACTTTGCATGTAGGCAGAAAACTGCCTCCACAGCCACTCCACCTCCTCATGCTGAAATCCTACCCTTTCCCATGCTGTCTTTGGTATCACTTCCCGCAGGAAGCCTTTCCTGATTCCCCCTACCTCATGGGGTTCCACGCTGCTCTGGATGGCAGGTGCATTTTGCCTGTCCTCTTTTGTGGCACATCGAATAGTTTGTTTTTCATATATAGAGTTCCTTGAATATGTGTCTAATCCCCCTACCAGGCAAAGAACAAGAGAGAAGAAGTGGGTCTTACCTCTAGCATCCCTGCAGCATCTAGTATGAGACTGTATACATAGTAGGTATGTAATCTACCATTGTAATCAATGGATTGAATATATAAACGAGTGCCCGCTGAGTGAGAGACACTGCATGTAAAAGCCCTGCTAGAATGGTCAAAGGTGAATCTCCCAGGAATGTTGACATCAGAGAAGGGGAAGAGGAAACAAAGGCAACCAGCTTTTATTGAGTATGTGCTCTTTAAGCTCTTTCATATGCAGGAAGAAAAATCGATTTGGGTGTCTATTACGTGCTAGGCTCTGTGTTAAGCATTTGGTCATACATTGTCTCATCTGGTCTCCTGACAAGAACCCTAAGGGACAGTCTTATTCTCCCCTTCATCACTTTTATCCTTTCCATATATATATATGTGTGCATGTGTGTGTGTGTGTATATATATATATATATATATATATATGTGTGTGTGTATATATATATACACACACATACACACACAACACACATATATATGTGTGTGTGTGAGTGTGTGTCGAAAGGGTCTGATATAATAGATATATACAATATCAACATATATAGATAGATATCAACATATATATGTGAGTGTGTATATATATATGTGTGTGTGTATCCTTCTATGATATCAACCCCTTTCAAGGGTCTGATTATATAGATGTATATTTCAACATATATATATATCAACATATATACACATATATCAACATGTATATATGTATGTATATCTTTATATTATATCAGACCCACAGCCAAGGAAAAGGTACAGTTCCTGATCATAAGAGGTTCACCAGATGAGTGAGAAAGACATTCATGTAAACAGACTATACAGAACAATAAGAAATCACAATACAGAACAATAAGAAATATTTTGTAAAAGAACTTTGAGAAAGTTTCATACTTAAAGATTTTTTAAGCCTACTATGTTTGTTATCAAGACAACACTTACAAGTGCAGTCATGACTTCTGTAATCCAATCTGTTCTCCATGTCCTTTATTCTCAGCTGATGGCTTAATCTGCTCACTGGAATGATAAAGACCATCCTGTATGAGCAATCTGGCTGCTGCAAGTCACCTTTAAAGTTAGGCCTGAGAGGCCGGGGGCGGTGGCTCAGGCCTGTAATCCCAGCACTTTGGGAGGCCGAGACGGGTGGATCACGAGGTCAGGAGATGGAGACCATCCTGGCTAACACGGTGAAACTCTGTCTCTACTAAAAACACAAAAAAATTAGCCAGGTGTGGTGGCGGGCACCTGTAGTCCCAGCTACTCGGGAGGCTGAGGCAGGAGAATGGCATGAACCCGGGAGGCGGAGCTTGCAGTGAGCTGAGATCGCGCCACTGCACTCCAGCCTGGGCAACAGAGCGAGACTCCGTCTCAAAAAAAAAAAAATAGCTAGGCCTGAGATAACCTGGGGATTACAAACTCAAAGCCCACCCTGGCTAAGCAGGCAGAGTGTGAGTGCATCTGCATACACGGTGTGAGGGGTGGGTGTGTGGTTGATTAGAGAGCAAACAGTCCATCTAAAGGGTGCAGTAGCTACTCCGCTCCAGCTGACCCACATGAACTAATGCAGGCCTAGTGTTGCCAGAGCGTCTGGATTTTTCAAGAGAAACCAGAAATGTGAGTTTGTAAATTGTAAAATCTCCTGGTTTTTCATTGTTGACTCAAAATGTTTGGAATGTTGTATAGGCCAAATAAAACACAAACACCATTTTGTGCTCTTTGATACAATAAAAACAACACAAAAAATTAACTATCATGGACTTGACCTCAACATACTGTACCTTGCTGAATCTCTCCTGGACTCTGCATATGAAAGCACTGCCATCATCACTCCCTGCTATCCACATCCTTCACCCTGGAACCAGTGACTTCCTTTAAGACAAATCCAGGGCCTTTTCTCCATTCTTATAAGCCCCGACCACTGCAGCACTTAGCCAATATTGCTGTAAGACCCCAGTTACTACTTGGACCAAGACAACAGGAACAAGTTTGGATCTCCATCCCCACTGCTACTGCCTTATAGCCAATCATCTTGCCATCTCCTGGATAGAAACTGTGGGTTTCTGTCACATTTCCTGACTGTGTTCGATGCATTGTGCTTGAGCATCTTGAGTCCTCTTTTAATACCTTATTCTCAAAAACACAAACCTGATCATGTTGATTCCCTATTTAAAACTCTCCACTAGTTTCCCACTCTCTTCCAGCAGGATGTCCAAGGCTCTTCATGCCCCAGCCCCTTCTTGTTCCTTCAGTCTCATCTCCCATCACTCCACACCTTCCTTAATCCCTACTTTTGACTTAGCCAAGCTATTAAAGCTCCCTGTAAATGCTACGCCCTTCAGTGCCCCAATACCTTGGCAAATAATGCTGCCTTTGCCTAGAAAATCTTTCTCCTAGCCCCCTTCTCCAGGGAAACTCCAACTACTCCTTTGACCTCAACTCAGATTCAGCTTCCCTGGGACCAGCCCCATCAATATACCCAACTATGTTGTACTCTCCTATGGCCCTCTATGAAATGATCAGAGCACTTATCTCACTACTATAATTGTTTGGCTCTTCTGCTAAACTATAAAGGCCTAAAAGATGAGAACTTTTAAAAAAATCTCTGTATTCCCACTCTCCAGCATAGTGCGTGGCACATGGCCGACACAATAAATGTTTGCTGAATGACTGTGAATTTCTTGTATTAATTAACGAGTGTCTTTATACCAAAAAAAGACCCATCTCAGTGCAGCTTAGCATGAGACAAAAACAGCAGGGAACACACAGAAGAGAACATGTAGGACTTAGACAAAGAGAAAAAGATAGAAATCCAGAATACACCAGAACAGCAACAATTTCCTAATCACAAAAGATAGGGGTCTTCCCCAATTCCTTACTGAAGAGGAAATTGAAAATAACATTAGAACTTGGCAGGGCACAGTGGCTCATGCCTGCAATCCCAACACTTCGGGAAGCTGAAATGGGAGTATCACTTGAGCCCAGGAGCTCAAAAACAGCCTGGGTAATATAGTGAAACCTAGTCTCCACAAAAATTAAAAGAAAAAAAATTTAGCCAAGCATGGTGGCACATGCCTATAGTCCCAGCTACTTGGGAGGCTGAGGTGGGAGGATCACTTGAGCCTGAGAGGCGGAGGTTGCAGTGAACTAAGCTTGCACCACTGCACTCCAGCCTGGGCAACAGAGCGAGAACTTGTGTCAAAAAAAAAAAAATTAAAACCTGCCAATATAGGATCTGTGGTTTGTTGTAGATAATTATGTTATGTTGTGAGTTGGGAGGATCGCTTGCAGCCTAAGAGTTATGTTGCCTGCATTGAGTCATTTTTAGCTAAGTCTTTTTGTTGTGTTAAAGTACTGTTAGCTGAACTGTATGGACTCCACCTGGCAAATGCAGTTAAAGTTCTGATGCCCAGAGGGGGAAGACCAGGAAAGGAGCAGATTTTCCCAGATGGGACCTTGACATGGCTTATGTTTCTGCTTGGGAGTGCTACCAGGACCACATTCGCAGCCGCTCTCACATTTGCTCCTCACAGCTGCACTGAGCACCAAGCCGAGGAGGTATTATTATCCCCATTTCAGAAATGAGGAAACGAAAACTGCAAGATTAAATAAGTTGATTTTTGTTCCTCCTGCCTGGGGCCCCCAAGATAACAGCAGCAGCTTCACCAATATTCCTGCACCTGCCTTAGTCCAGTCCCTCCTATGGTAAACCCCAAATTTTGGAGCTAAGAGGCTTCCGTAATGATCTGCCTCAAGCCTCCGTGTTTCACAGTGAACTCATGTTTTTAGCACTTTCACCAACCTGGGGGAGGAAAAGCAAAGGGAGACTGGCCAGAAACCAGCTCCTTAAATCCCTCGGTTTCCCCAGCAGGGGCCCAGGCTGCATCATGTGCTCTTGCCAGTCACTGAGATTTTCCTCTGCAGTTGCTGGTATCCATATGCTCCACTTGTGGCCTTAGCTCATCTCTGCTGCTGTGGCCCCTAGCCTCAATGTATTCAAATAACAGAAACTCAGCAGCAGAGCCGTGATGTGACTTGCCCTATGAATCCAGGGAAGGGAGGAGCAGATACTGGACTTGACATCAGTTTTTCTGACTGCCAGTGAAGAGCTCTGTTTACCACACCATGCTGTCTTTTAAAAGGCAACAGAAGCTGGGGCATGTCAAACAGTATCGTATCACATGAAGAGCTTTGCTGCTGCTGCTGCTGCTGCTGCTTTGAATATCAAATATTATAGCCACCCCTTATCAAAACGCTAAAATGGAATTTCAACATCTTTTGAGCATGGAGAAATTTTTAATCAAAAAAGACTCTACAAAAAGGAAATTAAAAACACAAACAGACACCCAAAGAGGAAAACTAGAGGCGATGTGTTGCTATAGAAAGAAGGTGTTAGACAAACCACAAAAATGTATCAGCAAAACCACTTCTCTTAATTCTAGCTCCAGGAACCATTTGCAACAGAAACAATGCACATGCTGCTCCTGCAGAGAAGCCGGGTGAGCAGTCAGCCCAGCCCACAGAAAGAGTGACCAAAAAGTCACAAGCTATTAACTTGAAAAGAACTGAGGACTACAAGCTATAAGCAGAAAGTGACAGAGCCCTCAGTCAATCTGCAGAGATTAACTGCATGCTCATTAATTTCTCTTCAGTATAGTCCAATAAGCATGGTCCAGTGTTTTAAAGTAGATCAAGACAGTGGCTCCTCACCCTGCAATGCTGCAGAGACCAGGAGGCAGGTCAGTGTCTCAGGGAGAGAAGGTAGTGCTGTCAGTGAGTTCCCCAAAACACCCCAAGATTGGGTGTGTGTGTGTGTGCGTATTTACACACAATCATCTATGGGCATTATAACTACAAGATATCCATTCCATAGCCCTATAGGGCCTAGCTCACAGGAATCACTAAATTAAATTGACCCAATATTAATAATAGCCAATAATTATTGAGCATTTTAATGTATTATCTCCTTTAATCCTCTCAATAACCTTGTGAAGTATGCACTTTCATTGTACTCGTTTTACTGCTTACACAGAAAGGTGAAGGGGGCCAGGTGCAGGGCTCACACCTGTAGTTCCAGAACTTTGGGAGGCTGAGTTGGGAGGATTGCTTGGAGCCTAGGAGTTAGAGACCAGCTTGGGCAACGTGGAAAAACCCTGTTTCTACCAAAAAAGTATTAAAATATTAGCCAGGTGTGATGGGGTGAGCCTGTAGTCCCAGCTACCCAGGAGGCTGAGATGGAAGATCACCTGAGCCCAAGGCTGCAGTGAGCCATAATAGCACATCTGCACCCCAGCCTGGGCAACAGAGTGGGATCCTGTCTCAAAAAAGAAAGAGAGAGAGAGAGAGAGAGGGAGGGAGGGAGGGAGGGAGAGAGAGAGAGTTCTTCTTGGAGCTTTCTCTGTGCTGATGCCTACTTTCAGGTTTCAGACTGAGTTCTTCTTGGAGCTTTCTCTGTGCTGATGCCTACTTTCACGTTTCAGGCTGTGTTGTGTTTAGGCTGGGGAATATCTTGGAGATGGAGGGGTGGGTAGATTGGGGGGTGGGAGTAAACTCACCATCGATTTGGTAATATTTGAATTCAGGTTTTCTTCCCCAAACGGCCTGCTACTATCTACTTTTCAGCATCTTCAAATAGCTGCCCCATGAATTCTGTCCAGTAGGAAATGGTGGGTGGAAGCATGCTTACTCCATCTTGCCTGGAGCTGAGGGCCCTTTATTTCTTCCTTGGAGATCCAGTTGTTGAACACTTATCAACACACTACAGGCTGATTGTACCAAGTGTTGGTATAAGCAAGGAGACTCCTTATGCAATCTTTCACATTACATTCAGGCAGGTCTACCATTTTCTATCTGTGCCTCTGAACAATTAGTTGCCACACCACCCTGGGCCTCAGTATCCTCATTTGTAACTTGAGAATAACCCCGTCTTTATGGCCAGGCGCAGTGGATCACGCCTGTAATCCCAGCACTTTGGGAGGCTGAGGCGGGCGGATCACGAGGTCAGGAGATCCGGACCATCCTGGCTAACACGGTGAAACCCCATCTCTACTAAAAATACAAAAAAATTAGCCAGGCGTGGTGGCGGGCGCCTATAGACCCAGCTACTCGGGAGGCTGAAGCAGGAGAATGGCGTGAACCCAGGAGGCGGAGCTTGCAGTGAGTCGAGATCGCGCCACTGCACTCCAGCCTGGGAGACAGAGTGAGACTCCGTCTCAAAAAACAAAAAAATGCTCTTCTATGCAATTGTAAACATTCTTGCAATAATTGAAAACATAGAAAATCTCTAAAAGAAATAGAAGATATAAAAGAGAAGTAAACGTAAAATTTATTTATTGATTTGTTTCTTTTTGAGACAGAGTCTTCCTCTGTTGCCCAGACTGGAGTGCAGTAATGCGATCTCACAGTGGCTCACTGCAACCTTCACTTCCCAGCCTCAAGAAATTCTCCTGCCTCAGCCTCCCCAGGCACGCACCACCAGGTCCAGCTAATTTTTTCGTATTTTTAGTAGAGACGGTGTTTCACCATGTTGGCCAGGATGGTCTCGAACCCCTGACCTCAAGTGATCCGCCTGCCTTGGCCTCCCAAAGTGCCTCACAGGCGTGAGCCACCACACCCAGCCCAAATGTAAAATTTAGAAATGGAAAACACAATAACAAAAATTTGAAACTCACTCGAAGGGATCAATAGCAGATTGGAGATGACAGAGGAAAGAGCCATTGAACTGAAAGATGAATGAAAAGAAATTATCCAATTGAACAAGAGAAAGAAAGAGATTTTTTTAAAACATATCTGATTTGTAGTGTTTGCTGATTTCTATACTGAAAATATTTCCACCATGGCCCATGTCAAGGTACCAACTACACATTAGTGAATGCATAGTCAGGAAGAGGTGCACACAACTGGCTGTTATCCATAAATATTGCTCACTCCTCAGGCAAAACCAGCAGTACTGTGGGCTATTGAGTCTCAACCTTCTGACCACACACACCCTGAGGCTGTTGATATCCTTTTTAGGCATTCTCAACTCCCTCTGAGCCGTCCCTGGTGTTCTCCTCAACCTGATTTCAAATGGATAAAAACGTGCAGAAGGCATACAGTAGGATTGCCAGGGCCATCCCCTCCATCTCTAGAGGAAGTCTGTATGTGTAAGACAACATTTCTCCAACAAGGAAATGAGCTAAATGACTTCAGCTAAAACCAACAGTATATTTCTCAAATTAGGAGCCTGATGTCTGACACAGATAAAATGTGGAAAACATAACCTAGATGAGCAAGTACAGGGTGGGCACACACCCTATATATGGAATGGCAAAGCTGGGCTTATAATTGATCCTCAGGTCTGTCTTGTCATTCTGGAGCTTTGTACCAAAAGCCGCTGTAGCATTCCAAATACAACCCCATGTTAAAATTACTCAGCACCCTCAAGAAAGGCTGAAAAACACGGTAGGCTGGAAGTTTCAGTGACAGGGATGCTATTCTGATTAAGAGTCAGTTGTTTGTCAACAAGCAAAGTTTCAGGGTAGGGACGGTTCTGAAATTCTTATACAGGGCTCCATGACATCAAAGATCCAAAGATCATAAGCCCCTGCAATGGCTTATGAGTATTAAATCCTCAAAGCCACAAATATCCCAGAAAGTTCCTCTCCAACCTAACCATCTCACTTGTACACAACACCCAAAGGTCCAGAGTGAACGAACGACTTTCTCAAGGTCATAAAACTAATGAGCCATAACAAAAAATGCAGTCTTCTGATTCCCAGTCCCGTGTTTTTTTCCTGACATCACACTTCCTCTTACACTTCCTTCCCTGAACAAGATTTATCTGGCTAATGGTAATAGAGATGAAAAAGTATTTGTGTGGTTTAGAGGAGAAACAAAAAAAACTAATGGGCCAGTCACAGTTGACTCTGATAGCATCAAGGAGGAGGTCAAGCTAGTGATATTGTTGTTGTGTAAGGTAGAAAATGGAAACGCATTCTGAATCGAGGAATTTGGATAGTCCCCTCTAAGAAGTTAGCAGGAACACTGTTTTGAGAAGTGCTCAGGGTGCAGCTGCAGTGTTATTACAGAGCTGTTGGGAAAGCCCAGTGCCCAAGGTGGTAAATGTATTCTAGGTGCTCCCTGCTACCACCCCGCCTCTGTAGCATACACTGCCAAGTCTGGTCAATTGTTTGACAAGGCAGCTGTGTGCATGCCCGTTAATTACACTGTGGAGCACCAAAGTGCAGTGTCAGGCAGCTGCCTAGAATATCAAAAGGCTGCTCGTGGGACAGGCCAGCTATAAGGGCTCTCTTCAGAGAAGTCCATACAGCAGCTGACTCTCCCTCCCCATCTCCCCCTGCCCTCGCCTACGCAGCCCCCTTTAAAGTCTCATTATGAAGGTTGGAATTCTATATTTTCACAGAGTTACTTTAGAATCCATAATGGAACAAGTGTTGTTGATCTTTCTGACATGCCTGAACGAGATGAATGTGAATACTATCTTACATTTCTGCCTCTCCTAATGGTAATATTTCCCTTGAAACCAATGTATCCTTTGCAATATGTTTACCCCATCTGATTAGAATTACTTTCAACTAATTCTATGCTTCCAAAATAATGGCAGCTAACACTTACATGGAGCTCCATATGTGCCAGGCACTTTATATAAAGTAATTTATTTACTCCTCACAATAACCCCAGGTAGATGTTATTAGTATCCCCATTTTATAGATGAGGAAACTGAGACTTAGAGGTTAAGTAATTTGTCCATATCACACGGCCAGTACACAGCAGAGCTGGTATTGAAACCTAGGCATGTGCCTCCTCCATCTCCATGTTTTGTTTTTTCTTTTTTTCGGAGTCTCGCTCTGTCACCAGGCTGGAGTGCAGTGGCACGATCTCAGCTCACTGCAACCACCGACTCCCTGGTTCAAGTGATTCTCCTGCCTCAGCCTACCGAGTAGCTGGGATTACAGGCACATGCCATCGCGCCCAGCTAATTTTTGTATTTTTAGTAGAGACAGGGTTTCACCATGTTGGCCAGGATGGTCTCCATCTCCTGACCTCATGATCCACCCAACTCAGCCTCCCAAAGTGCTGGGATTACAGGCATGAGCCACCATGCCCGGCCTCCTCCATGCTCTTAACCACTACAATGATACTGCCTCAACCAAAGCTAATGGTGCAGGCCCATCAGCCAACATTAATCTAGCTTCTATAATGTGCATATGTTTGATATTTTGTTCTACTTGCCGCCTTTAGAGTCAAGTCAATTTTCTCTACCTGTTTTTCCACAAATACAAGGAGGGAAAATTCAATGCCCTGGGGTGACACTGGGTGATCAAAGTTGACTGGGGTGATCAAAGAAGGCTTCATGGAAGAGGCGGATCTTGAGTTGGACCTTGAAAGTTTCAAGTCTGCCTATCAGAGGTTAAAGGAGTTAGAGAGGAGAGGTTATATCTGGCAAAGGGACCAATGTGAGCAAATTCACACAGGTAGGAATGTACATAGGAAATAAGTTAAACTGTGAGGCTGAGGTACTGCTGGTGTGCCTGGATCACAAAGAGATTTAGCTCCAATGTGAAAGATGGACTGATAGACTGGTATATGGATAAGGAGAAGGAGGAAGAAAGGAAAAAGTTGAAGTGTATGTATGTGTTTGTGTGTGTTTACATGTGTGTGTACCTGTGTATGTGTGTGTATATGTGTGTACATGCGTGTATGTGTATGTGTGTATATGGGGGGTGTGTATGTGTGCATGTATGTGTATGTACGTGTGCGTATGTGTGTGCATGTGTCTGTATGTGTGAGCATATGTGTATGTGTATGTGTGTATGTGTGTGTCTGTGTGTGCGCATATGTATGTGAGTATGTGTGTGCACATGTGTGTATGTGTGTAAGTGTGGGTATGTATATGTGTGTCTGTGTGTGTATGTGTCTGTGTGTATGTGTGTGCACGTGTGTGTGTGTGTGTGTAAAATAAGAAAAAGCTGGAGAAGCTGGCGATCATTCATCCATAATTTGTTTTCTCTCCCCCCTCCTTCCACCAAGACTCTGTCTGTCCATCACATGAGTTATTCACTGCCAAGCAAAAGCCTGATACTGCTGCATTCATAATTTTCTGAAAGTTAAAATCCAAGTGATTACAATTTTCTATTTCTGCCCCCTAAAAACAGGATTAAACTTTTTATGAAATTCTAATGCCTAACCTAATGTTCCAGCTTACTGAAAGCCCCCAATATGCAGCCACAGCAGTACATTTTCCACATTCTTAAAGCTTACTTCCTTTCAATACCCTCAACTGTTATTTTTGCCTTTTGTAAAAAAAAAAAAAAAAAATTGACGTATCATTTACATACAGTAAAATTCATCTTTTATTAAATTAGTTCTATGAGTGTTGACAAACCTCCAACAAAATCAAGATAGAAAACTGTTCCAATTCTCTCATGCTGCCCCTTTGTCCCCACCCTGCAGCTCCTGGCAACCACTGATCTATTTTCACATAAATGGAATTATACAGTACGTAGCTTCTTTCACTTAGCATACAGCATTTGAGTTTCATCCATTTTGTCATGTGAATCAGGTGTTTGTTCATTTTTATTGCTGAGTAGGATTCTACTTTATAGATGTTCTATAACTTTTAACCATTCACCAGTTGTAAGACGTTTGGGTGGCTTCCAGTTTTTAGCAGTTATGAATAAAGCTGCTATAAACATTGGCATACAGGGTTTTGTACAAACATAAGTTTTCGTTTCACTTGGGTGGGTAAATACTTATCTGATAAAAGGCTTATACCCAGAATATATAAAGAACTCGGAAAACTCAATAATACGAAAATAAATATTCCAATTTTTTTTTAAAGTCAAAATACTGGCTGAGCGCGGTGGCTCATGCCTGTAATCCCAGCACTTTGGGAGGCCGAGGCAGGTGGATCACGAGGTCAAGGGTCGAGACCATTCTGGCCAACATGGTGAAACCCTGTCTCTACTAAAAGTACAAAAATTAGCTGGGCGTGGTGGTGCTCGTCTGTAGTCCCAGCTACTCGGGAGGCTGAGGCAGGAGAATTGCTTGAACCTGGGAGGCAGAGGTTGCAGTGAGCCGAGATCACTCCACTGCACTCCAGCCTGGCGACAGAACAAGACTCCGTCAAAAAAAAAAAAAAGTTGAAATATTTCAACAGACATTTCATCGAAGAAGATAAACTGATGGCAAATAAGCCCATGAAAAGATGCTCGATATAATTAGTTGTTAAGGAAACGCAAATTAAAACCAAGATGATATACCACTGTGCACCTATTAGAATATAAAAAAAATTTAAACTGAAAATACCAAGTGGTGGCAAGAGTACAGAACTACAGGAACTCTCAAATATTGATACTAGAAATTCAAAATGGTACAGCCACTTTGAAAATCAGTTTAGCATTTTCTTATAAAGTTAAACATAAACTTGCCGTACATTCCAGCAATCCCACTACTAGGTGTTTACCCAAGTGTTTTCAATCACATTTCCAGGATGGGTTTTTTTTCCTGCCTTCTTAATCAGAGTAAAGTGAATATAATCTAATTATAGCTTGATGACTTGGGTCTAGCATTATAAGCACTATTGGATTATACTGGGATCCTGTTTTAATGTCTGGCTTCCAGGAAGAAAAAAGCTGTGTCTCCTTTATACCACTTTATGTTCTAAGTACTAAGAATACATACAGGGAGGCAAGAGAGTCCCTATCTAACAGGTGGAGATAATACTCAAGGCTGTTGTGGCCCATATGATTGTTTGTCTTTTGCTCAATAGCCTCTGACTGCTGAGCTTTTCCCAGTTTTTGCATATGTCTTTTAAAATTCTACTCCACCCCTGCATTCAAGATTTTGGCTGTTATTTCTCCTGATTCTCAGTGGACCTGCTGTTAATAGCCTCTCATCTAATTTGCTGTGGGCCAGCAAGCCAGATAATGAAGTCTATTAGAATTGTGTACAAAATAAGGTTACTGATTAAAGTTAGGACCTGACTGCCTCTCCTGATGCTTCTCCCACAGGATAAAGTCCATGGTCTTGATGATAGTTATTTTGACCTCTTAAAGGCCTTCTTTGTTTCCTTCCAGGTTCTGGACATCTTCCAGAAAGGCCACCTAAGATTACTGGCAGTCTAAACTACAGATAATGGGGATGGTACCACAGTTCACATCTACTATAATCTAATCTGTTGAAACCTTTGCTCTATCTCCATGCTGTGCAGAAGGACAAGTGAGCTTTATGATCTAGGGGAACTAGGTTTGCATAACTTTAATGTAGTTAACAACAGAACAATAGAGAACAAGCCATTAACCCAAAGAGCAAAGGCAAGGCCTGTTAGGACAGGAAAATGAGTGAAGATAAAATATATGCCAAGTTCTGCCTCCTACGCCCAAAAGCCTCTATTTCTCATTGGGACTACTGTATTTCAAAGAAAGTGCAAGTTTTTTTTTAAGTGTGTATATCCCATTTTCTATCCATCTTGAATGCAAAGTCATTCAGCACATACATCAGCCTCTCACTGCAACTTACAATTGTCCTTCTAGATTTGAAAGGCTTTGTGACCTCACAGAGGGACTGAATTACAACTAAAATTTAGCAGTAGAAACAGCTGTTCCTATGGATGCTTTCTTTCCTCTTCCACCTTGTTAGAGTAAATCTTCAGAAATTCAAATAAAATAAAGAAACTACTTACCTTCTTAAATAATCTCTGCTTTACCAAACAGAATCATACCTTCTATTGTCTTCCTTTTTAAAAAAAAATCAGTGGGTTTTGGGCAAGGTCTGCTTTGTGCCAAATACATTGTCTCAAATACATCAGCGATTTCCATTCCAAAGAAGAGTTCAGTCACTTGCTGAATAAAATAATTTTCCACAGCACAGGAAATGAGGAGATTGGATATTCTATCAGATGGGCAACTGAACAAACAGGGCTCCAGGTGGCTAATGTCACAAGGATGAAGGCGCCCAGGGGAATAAGGAGGCTTTGGAGTTTCAATGGCCTTCTCTTCATCAACATCCAACAGAACGTAATTGCATTTCCACCACGATAGCAGGATTTTTCCAACCATCCCCCAGATAATAATCTATTCTAATGTAATGCAGTTTCTTTAGAAGGACACAATTTATTGCAATACTGAGCTATTTATTTCCTTCCTTTCCTTTAATTATCTATCTTTGACCTTAGTCTTAAAAAAAAAACTCTCTTTTTGTTGGCTAGTTCCAGCTAAAGGTACCCTGTTGAAGAAAATGGACTCCTGTTATTTCTATGAAAGATTTTAAAAGGTTGAGAAAATATTTTGTCTGTTTTATTTTAATTAAAATTGACTATGACATTTTTCTTTCCGAGAAACATCATTTCCAAGCTCTGCTTCTGACGTAATTGCATGCTTTTAAAAAAAAAAATCCCTAAATGGCTTTGTGTCAGTGAAGTGACTAATAGCATTCACCACTCATAAAAAAAATAGCTCGTTTATGTTAGCTACATTTAGATAGTTGTCTATGCAACATGAAGTTAATTTGATTAACTTAGATGAGCACTGTACTGCTCATGGCACATCTTCTTCAAAACCCTTAAATGATATTAAGGAAATATTGTCAGCTCTTTTGTGTGATCATGGTTTTGTGGTTATTTTTGTAAAAAATCTTTATGTTTCAGGGACACATGTATGAAACAATAGGATGCCTAGGATTTGCTTCCACATAATAAGGGGTAAATGGGGCATGAGATTAAATGAGAGTGGTCATAAGATGACAATTGCTGCAGCAGGGTGATGGCTGCATGAGGAGTTGTCATATTGTTCTGTTACTTTTGTATATGTTCAACATTTTCCATAGTAAAAAAGTGAAAACCTTTAATCACTCTAATGCCCAAAAATGTATCAACTTCTCAAGACAGAAAGGCTAAAGAGGAAATAAAATTATAAAGAAAAAGAAAAATTTTTTTAAGTATCAACTCCTTAGTCTGTCTTTCAAAGCCTTGGTTAAACTTTGCATTTACAAAGCTAATTTGTAAACCTAGCCTCTCCCTATTCTCACTCATGTAACCTCTGCACCAGCCAAACTGGACTACTGACAATCTACTGAAAATGTCTGGTATATACTCACTTCTGGATTCTAGCACATTTGATCCCCTCTGCCAGAAATGTCTTGCCTTTCCCATATCTATTTCTGTCAAATTCCATCCAGTCCCATATCAAATGTCACTTGTTCCATGAAGGCTTGCATTAATCCCTCATTGGAAATCAAATCTTTTCCCATCATAGTCTGTTTGCATTGTCTGTTTAATTATTACATGATTACCTAATTAAATGAGGTATAAACTTAATGGTAAAATTGTTCACAGAAAATAATGATTTGGTATAGTTCAGTGTAAAGATGGTATTAGATCAAAATTTTATTGAATATTTACCTGACATGCAACACTGTGATTTATTCTTGGAGCATTATATAAAGAATGGAATCTGGTCCCAAATTAAGTATCTCTGTACTTAACTTCTAATCACAGATTAGAATGATGGAAGGGAAAGCATGACATTATCAGTAAGCATTTACTGGGTGCCCACCAAAAAACGGGAATGCCCAAACGCTAGTCGTAACCATTTGCACAGACACAGTTTCTATCCCTCCAGAGCTTTCAAACTAAGCCTTAAAATACAGTTGTCCCTTAGTACCCATGAGGGATTGATTCCAGGACACCTACATATACCCAAATCCTTGCATACTCAAGTCCCACAGTTGGCCCTGTGGAACCACCATATAGGAAAAGTTGGTCCTCCTCAAAGGCAGTTTTGCATCCCAGAAATACTTTTGTTCCTCATTTGATTGAACAAAAAAGCCACATGTAAGTGGACTTTTGCCGTTCAAACCCCTGTTCTTCAAGGATCAACTGCAGATGCAGATGGACAGGCCCAGATAGACAACAAGTGTTTCTATTTCAAGAGTGAGCACATTTGACATGGGAAATCTTCTCATGATACAATATTAAGTTGAAAAAAGGACAGAATACTAAACTATATATATAATATGACCCTATATATAAACATGACCCTAGTTTTGTAAGAAAAAAGCAGTTTCTATATATAGAAAAAAAGAAAAAGGAATTACAAAAAAGTTAACAGTAGTTATTTCTAGGTGATAACATGAGAGATAATTTTTCTTTCTTTTAGTTTTTTGGTACCTCTAAAATTTTTATAATGTGCAGCTATATTTACATAATGAGGGAAAGATAATGATTTTTAAAGTATATTTAGAAAATTAAATCTCATGCCATATACCAAATGGATTAAATATTTGAATCTGAAGTACCAGAACCATAAAAATACTAGAATAAAACGTGGGCAATTTTTTTATAATTTCAGGGTGGGAAAGATCTAAGATGCCATATAACCCAGAAGCCATAAAAGCAAAGATTGATCAATTTGACTATATAATCTAAAAAAATTGTATCACAAAAAATCATTATCAGGAAATCAAAGACAAACTGGAAAAAATAGCAACACGCCCTACAGACAAACGGCCAGTTTCCTTAATATATAAAGGACCCCTACATATCAATAAAACTAAGGCCAAGAACCCAATTACAAATTAGACAATGGATAAATATAGATAATTCACTTAAAAAGGAAATAGCTATTTCTCTTAAACATATGAAATGTGTTCAGTCTCATAAATGTGCAAACTAAATCTAGAATATGTACAACTACAATATGTATCAGATAAAGAAAGATAAAAATAACACATTCTGTTGCAAGAGTGTGGGGAAATGGGCACCCTCATACATTGTTGATGGGATTAATAATTATTTTGATTGCAATAGAGACAATTTGGTAATTTCTATCAAAATTAAAAATATACCCACCCTTTGACCCAGCAATTTCCATTCAAGGGATTTAACCTACAGATATACTCCCATATATACAAAAAGACCTTTACAAAAATAGGCATTAGAGCAATGTTTGTAATAGCAAAAACTTTGAAACCATCTAGATGTCCGTCAACAAATTATGGCTCATCCATACATTGAATTGGGCATTTTTACATGTACTGATATGAACTACCTCCAAAATAATGCTAAATGAAAAAAGTTGAGTGTTGATGAGTGTATAAAGTATGTTATTATTTGTATTGTGTAAATGCTTAGAATGTCTTTGGAAAATAAATACAAGTTGGTGGTAGTTATTGCCCTGGGGAAGGAAATCGAATGGCTGTGATTAGAATAGAAGGACAACTTTTCACTTTTTGAGTTTTTTAAATGTATTTACTTATTTTTACTGCTTGGGATTTGCACCATATGCATGTATTTGTTATTCAAAACTTATTTAAAAGTGATGAAAGTTTAAAAATCCCTTAAAAAGTAGATATATGGGAGAGTAATAGTTTAAAATATCCATGTTCCAACAAGCTTTGGATCAGTGTATGAAAGCTTAAGCCGGCAGATAGAGGGCAAGGTCACTGATTTTTTGAATATAGAAAGAGAATGTTAAGCTATCAAAGTTAAACAATGATCTGAGAGCATCTGTAAGTTAGGAGAGAAGAAAACCCACATAGCCCTACAAATATAAAATAACATTCAACCAAGATTCATGAATAGAAAAAGAAGAAAACTTAAAAAGTTATACTGTACCTTAAGAAAGAATATAAGTATGTTACCTGAAAAAATCTCCTGACACTAATGACAGAGATATAATAAGAGGAATTAAGGAGGTAACAATAAAAATTCAACTTTCCATTGTATTGGGATACGATCACGTTATTAGAAGCTCTGGTCCAATTTTTTGATAGGGGATTCAAGCTCTGTCTATAACCAAGGGGAAGTCTTGGGCAATTTGTGGTCAGGTATGCCACAGAAGAATCAGTGACTACTTTTCTTCCCTGGGAATCGGCCCAGCACACACACACACACACACACACACACACACACACACACGCCCCACAGTTCAGCAAGAAGCCCTTTCCTTTTTTTGTTGTTGCTTTTATTTCTCACTGCTTTTCTGCTCTCTTGACGCCAATGCCATGCAGATGAGTCATCTGACAACATCATTGACTTTAACTTTTGTTATTTATGATCTTTATTACAGTCTTACCCTTCACTGCTCCACTAACAGACCCACCCATTTTGCCCCAGGAGCAAACCAAAAGAAATTTGATTTAAAAGGGAAACTGTAGTCAATCAGAGCCATGCTGATCCGTTTAAGAACAGTGAACAGACAGGATCTAGGGAAAATTACATAAACCTTCTAAATAAGTAAATTAAATATCACTCAAGACACAATGGCTTCTCTCAAATGAACACTAAGAAGGCAGCCAGAAACAGGTTTTAGGAAGAGCCACAAAAATGATCCAACTTAACGCAAAACCAGTAAAGCAAATTCCCTTGTGGTGGGTAGACTGCTGAGAAGCTTTCTGGGTGAGGTGTTATTCAAAAGTTCAAAAAGTACAGGGTAAGCCACAGGACACTGGGAAATACCCAGAATGCCCTCCGTGTGCCACCATAAGCTATTTAAAAGAGCTGGCTATATTTGGTCTCATGAGACCACAGACTAAGTCTAGATTTTCACACATATATTCCAAAACCAAGTCATATGAAATGTTTATTGTACCTTGTCTGCATTTTACATGTAAATTATCGTATGGTTTCTACAATGGTTTGCTTTTCAGTTTTATCAGGAATGCTACCTGAGTAGAAGGTTGAAGCAGAGTAGGAGCCTTGACATTGTCTCTCCTGACATCTAGTGGATGGATACCAGATACCACAGTAATTATAATATTTTCAAAGGATTAATTTTGAGTATGATGGATATTTCTCTCTCTCTGTCTTTCATATGCTTTTCAAAAATGATCAAAGTTTTTTTTAATCATGTTTAAAGGTAGAAAGCAAAACTAAACCCCTACTGAATTACACATACATACTGGTCTGTCATATCCACCCAACGTTTTTCTTTTTTTCTTCTTCTTTTTATTTCCTTTTCTTTCTTTCTTTCTTGAGACAGGATATCACTCTGTCACCCAGGCTGGAGTGCAATGGTATGATCTCAGCTCACTGCAGCCTCCGCCTTCTGGGTTCAAGTGATTCTCGTGCCTCAACCTCCAGAGTAGCTGGGATTATAGTCGTGCACCACCAAACCCGGCGAATTTTTGTATTTTTAGTAGAGACAGAGTTTCGCCATGTTGGCCAGGCTGGTCTCGAATTCCTGGCCACAAGCAATCCACCTGCCTTGGCCTCCCAAAGTGCTGGGATTACAGGTGTTCACCACCATGCCCGGCCTACAGCCATGTTTTTCTATTTTTCCTTAGGATGACCCCGTAATTCCACAGACTCACTTTTTGTAGGCATCCAAGACAGCAAGGCCTGGTGATGAAAAGCATGGATTCTGTATTCATTTTCTGTAGTTGATGGAGCAAACTATTACAAACTCAGTGGCTTAAAACAATACACATTTATTACCTTACACTTCTGAGGTCAGAAGTCCTAAAAAATCATGGTGTCAGTCCAGCTGCATTCCTTCTGGAAGCTCTAAGAGAAAATACAGTTTCTCACCCTTTCTGGCTTCTAGAGGCTGCCCACATTCCTTGGCTCCTGGCTCCATTTCTCCACCTTCATACTTCAGGATACATATCTTAGTCAGTGACCCAACCTTCAATGACACGACAGTATTTGTTTGTCTCGGATCAATGTCCAGCTTGCAATGATCAATTAAATTATAAGAACATTTCCGGGGGCAGAGGCATTGCTCTGCAAGAGAAAATGATCTTTAGCCCCTAGAAGATGTGTTTGTTACTCAATATTTTTTAGGTATATTGGGCATTATATAGGGGTTCAGGAAATCTGGCTCCTAATTCTAGATCTTTTATTTATCTGGGCACTTAGATGGAGTATACAGTGGTATATAAAGACACCCGGAGAATTACCACCTAATTTCCAATCTCCCCTAATTATTTATTTTCCCCAGCTTTATTGAGGTATAATTGACAAATTAAATTGTATATATTTAAGGTGTACAATGTGATGCTTTTCCCTAATTTTTTTTGTAGAGATAGTGTCTCGCTTTGTTGCCCAGGCTGGTCTTGAATTCCTGGACTGAAACAATTCTCCTGCTTTGTATTCCCAAAGTGCTGGGATTACAGGAGTGAGCCACCACATCCAGCCAATCTAATTATTTTTCAATACTTGAATTTGAAGGAGAAAAGGCAAGGTGCAAGAAGCCATTTATTCAACAAATGGAGGTAAGATAATATGAAAATAATTCTGGAAAAAGATGACATTGAACCCTAATGCAAATAATGAAATGACCTATGCTGGGTGCAGTGGCTCACACCATAATCCCAGTGCTTTGAGAGGCCAAGGCAGGAGGATCATTTGAAGCCTGGAGTTCCAAACTAGCCTAGGCCAGCATAGCGAGACCCTATTTTTACAAAAAAAAATGAAAAACTTAGGTGGGCATGGTGGCAATCACCTGCAGTCCCAGCTACTCAGGAGGCAGAAATGGTAGGATCTCTTGAGTCCGGGAATTTGAGGTTACAATGAGGTATGATTACACCACTGCACTCAAGCCTAGTTGAAAGAGTGAGACTCTGTCTCTAATAAATATATACATAATTTTGAAAAGAAAATGATCTATGTAAGATTCTTTCCTGCAAACGTATTTTGATAAGTCAGAGGAAGGAGACAGTGTGAATGCCTGAAAGGCTAAGGGCTTGAAGTTTTGATTGGGGAGAGGCCAGGAATACCCACGGCCAACAGTCTCCTTCATGAAAGTACAGACGGCTGGCTCACTGTGAGGAAATTTTTAAGATCTTTAGAAATGTTATGACAAATACAAAAACCTTTTGCTCCTGAGACAGTGACTCTGGAGATGAATGTTGTGCGAGGAGATATTTACTTGCCTCTTGAGGAAGTTCCTTTCACAAGACCCTTACCCCTCCATTGCACACCTTTTCAGTGAAATAGCACTAGAGATAAAAAAAAGAATGCTGTGCCCTTCAACCAAATGGGAAAGAAGTGTGGACTAGATTCATCCAATGGGGACCAGAGTGGCCACAGAGAGAGATAGCGTTTATGGCAAACTTGAAGAATAACAATCAGGAAGACCAAGTTAAGTTACCAGTCCCATTGTAAGAAAAAGTCAACTTCTGCAGGACAGGAAGCTCTCACTGAATAGAGCTTTTGGCAAGGCCTGACAAAACAAAAGCTGTCATCCCTACTGAAGTGAGGTCAACATGGAGATATGAGGAAGGGGCCATTTCACTTTTTCCTTGACATGTTATTCAGTAAGTATGTGTGAAAATGGTCTGAAAAGCAACATTCCTTCCCCAAAGCCTAATGCCTATCAAGACACCTGGGTCACAGCTTCCAAAGCACCAAGATATCTTTAGCCACCCCAAAGGAGAAAACTTCATTTTGTGCACAGTCTAAAAGGTTTGAGACCTGAGTTCTGGGATAACTTAAATGGGAGAAATTATGGTTTCCAGGTATCCAACACTTTTTTTTTTAATGGAGTCTCGATCTGTTGCCAGGCTGGAGTGCAGTGGCATGATCTCGGCTCACTGCAACCTCTGCCTCCCGGGTTCAAGCAATTCTCCTGACTCAGCCTCCTGAGTAGCTGGGACTACAGGCGCACCACGCCCAGCTTATTTTTATATTTTTAGTAGAGACTGGGTTTCACCATGTTGGCTAGGATGGTCTCGATCTTTTGACCTTGTGATCCCCCCGCCTCGGCCTCCTAGAGGGCTGGGATTACAGGCGTGAGCCATCATGCCTGGCCCCAGGTATCCAACTCTTTTATAGGCCAATAGTCAGGCCCATTAGTGTGAGAAGCCAATCAACACTGAATAGGCAGAATAGATTCAGTCTGCCCTATTTATTCCTCATCATGGCATTCATTATTTAGCAAACAACTACTTACAACTCTGCAGTCCAGGAATAGAGCTGGGCCTCTAAGCAATAAAGGTGAATAAATTGTTGTCAAGGGACATACATTCTAGGAGAGAAGGACAGACATCTACAAATGCAGTAAAAAAACAGTATGTGCTTTAAAAGCGGTGTGAATTATGTGCTATATCATGTTATGTAAAGCAGAGATGATTTCTGCCTTGGGAAGGAGGGGCTGGGAGAGACACAGGGAAGCTCAACTCGGAAGTTGATCTTGAGCTGAAACTGAAAGGTGGAAATACTCTGTCTGAACGTGGTTTATTCTCTTCTATTATTTAGCTATTTATTTCAGGGAATGTAGTTCTGGCCTAGCCCCATACCTGGACCACTCTGCCACACACACACATATTTGGTCGGTTCTCCTCCCCTTAGTCTGTTCCACCGACTAACTGTTACTGCCAGCTTCCCAGGCTCTCATCCCCCTCATGCTTCCTCTATCTATTTATTGGTGCTTAAAATCACCTGTTGCAACAGTAATCCTTTGGGAATTAGGGTGACACATGAAGCAAGCTGTTTATGCCAACTCACAACACTCCCCTCTGACAAGATACTGTCTTGCATCAAACAAACTTTCTATGACTGAAGATAAGTTGATAATGACAGAGTCCAAATTTAAAGGAGCAACAACTGCCCCTCCTCCCCCTCAAAAAAAAGAAAAAAAAGAGAAGAGAGGAAAATTTCTTGCCCCATTCTAGACACAGAAGCCTGTAAAAACTGAGTAAGGATAAAAAATACCCTTCTACAGTTTGAGATGCCCAAGGGAAGAGTAACAGTTTAGTTGAGTGGCAAGTACATATGATAAATACTTAAGTAAACATCACTTCATGCTACAAAATGTCTGGTTTATTTATCTATTTACTTATTTATTTATTTTTAACTTATTTATACACTGTACTGCACTTGCTTCTGAAAAGATTTGATACAATTTATAGTTTTTAAAGTGCATGGATACATGTACCAAAGATGATGAAAATAAAGCTATAACTTACATACATCAAATCTCTAATAGAGACAGGAAAAGTGAATTTATCGGGAATCAGGGATGAAATAACTACTATTCAGTATTCAATAATCAAGTATTCAGTTTCCCTCTGAACATCCTGAGGGCCAAAAATAGCCAAGCCAAGGCAACCCCTCCCCCTAAAAAATCCATAGCTCTTGCTGTCTCAACAACTCTGATTCTTCCATAGAAATAAACTTTTTCCAGGTACTAAATTCAAGATGGCATTTCTCACAAGAGTTCTTAGTTAAAGACAAGGAATATTGCAATAATTTTCAATCATTCTCTGAAAGATACAGAATTGCTTTATGTGACCATGTATTGTACTACCTCTCAATAAAAGTCACAGATATTATGTCCAACTGTATTTAGAGGACCTGAGGGAGTGTCTGCTTAACATCTTAGTGGCTGTCTCTCAAATATCTTCAACTACTCTTTCACAGCAGCTGACCAAAGTCATTTCAAGATGGAGTTCACCGGTGAGTGCCTCAAACACAATGTTTGAGATAGGGGTCAGCATGCCTGTGTAACAGAAATTGGGGAGCCAGGATAGTGAAAATGAAGGAGCATGGTATACAGTTTATCATTCACACAGCTGGTTGGCAGGACCAACTTCTGTGTGTGTGTATTTTTTACTTTTTTAGCAAGAGTGGCCACTCTGCACAAAATGTTAAGAGAAACCAGAACTTCCCAGGGCAAGACCGTGTGTCCCATGGGTACTCTGAACTTTCCCATCTCTTTCTTTCATCAAATTTTGCCTGTCCTATTTCTGTCAGTGCAATTCTGCTTATTAACAGTTATTCCGTAAAAATAATTCTAGTTGTCCAATAAAGATTCAAATGAACAGATAAATATTAGTCAGTATCTCCATAAAGCAGATCCAATGTATTACCATAGAGTAAAACTACAATCAACATCCTAACGCCACAGTAAAATAAACTAGAATTTTAAGGTCATCGTTCCCTGCCTTAGCAATATATATTCAGCTTGACCTTGAAAAGTGACTAGTCTGCAGAGCTTCCTGTTGATCAGTGTTTCCTATCAATGGAGGTAGAATCTGGTATAACAAACAGATTGTACAGAGATGGTAGGTCTAATTGTTTCTACTGTGAATGAAATTTAACAATGATTCTGTTGACTCATAACTCCATCAACAATTTGAGGTCTCATTCCTATACCCTATCTTGCCTTTCAGTCTTCCAAATGGAAGAAAAAACTGGATCCATTCCTTACACCACAAACCACAAACCAGGATAAATTCCAAATGAATTAGAGACTTCAATGTAAAAATAGAAATCATTTTTTAAAAATAAACTCTTTCCTACTTGGGAGGCTGATGCAGGAGGATACCTAGAACTCAGGAGTTCAAGGCTGCAGTGAGCCATGATCATGCCACTATACCCCAACCTGGGCACTAGAGTAAGACAGAAGAAGAAGAAAAGAAGAAAGGAAGAAAAGAAGAAGAAGAAAAGAAAAAGAAGAAAAGAAGAAGAAGAAGAAGAAGAAGAAGAAGAAGAAGAAGAAGAAGAAGAAGAAGAAGAAGAAGAAGAAGAAGAAGGAGGAGGAGGAGGAGGAGGAGGAGAAGGAAGAAGAAGAAGAAGAAGAAGAAGAAGAAGAAGAAGAAGAAGAAGGAGGAGGAGGAGGAGGAGGAGGAGGAGGAGGAGGAGGAGGAGGAGAAGGAGAAGAAAAGAAGAAGGAGAAGAAGAAGAAGAAGAAGAGGAAGAAGAAGGAGAAGTAGGAGGAGGAGGAGGAGAGGAGGAGGAGGGGAGGGGGAGGAAGAGGAAGGAGGAGGGGGAGAGGAAGGGGAGGGGGGAGGAGGAGGAGGAGGCGCTTAACAAAAATGTGTCTTAACTTTTTTTTTTTTTTGACTTTTGAGGCAGGGTCTCGCTCTGTCACCCAGGCTGGACTGCAATGGCACGATCTCGGCTCACTGCAGCCTTAACCTCCCAGGCTCAAGTGATTCTCCCACCCCAGCCTCTCAAGTAGCTAGGACTACAGGCACACGCCACCATGCTTGGCTAATTTTTTAATTTTTTGTGGAGATAGAGGTCTCACTATGTTGCCCAGGCTGGTCTCAAACTCCTGAGCTCAAGCGATCCACCTGCCTCTGCCTCTCAAAGTGCTGGGATCACAAGCGTGAGCCACTGTGCCAAGCCAATTAACTTCTTTTTCTAATAAAGGAAACTAATATTAGGTTACCTGCAAGATGGTTAAACATACTTTATTAAAAACTGAAACTCATAATTACAAAGTTAATTTGGGAGAAAGAAACAAGTAAGAATAGGCAAGAAACTCCTGAAAAATAAGAGCCCAGGGGAGGAGCACTAACTCCATCTGATATTAAAATATACCATTAAAAACCTCTATAATTACAATTGAATGATAAGACAGACCAATAATAGAATATAAAATATAGAAATAGATCTAATTACATACGCAAGTTTGGTTTATAATGAAATTAGCACCTCAAATCAGTGAGGAAAACATAGACTTCTTAATAAATGCTATTGAGATAACTAGACAGCCATAAGGACAAAGGATAAAATTGGATCCATTCCTCACACCATAAACAGGATAAATTACAACTGGATCAGAAATTTAAATGAACAAAAAACAATATCAGTAGTAGAAAATATGTGTGAACTTCTCTATAACCTAGGAAAGAGAAAATTCTATGACTCAAAATTTAACAGCAAAAGAAGATAAATTTGATTACATGAATTTTTTTCAACTTTTGCATGCCAAAAAACCATAAGCAAAATCAACAGATAAAGACAGAAGATGTTAATATCCAGTTCTGAATTTGAAATGAAAATATTAGTCGAATGTATAATAATTTCCTAGCTTTGTTCACTGAAAAGATCTGGAAACAATATTCAGCTCAGTATTAATGAGCATACCAAATGCCCTGATTTTGGTATCTAATAATATTTTTCATTAAAAGGAACCATTTCTCCTTGAAGAAGTGGCTGATTTCAGGACTGAGCGGGAAATGTATATGTTGAGACTGGAACATCTTGTTACACCAGACATGAAGGAAGCTATGAAAGGCTTCTAGGACCATGTCAAAAGGAGTCAGAAGCCAGATTGAAAAGTCCCAGTTGCCAGAGATGGGACAATTCCAGTATCAATAAAAATACTAGCTTCAGTGTACTGAAGCCCATCAAATATATTTAAACCTATGAGTTCATTATGAGGCTAAAGGAAATAAAAATTGGTCACTGTTGGAGGAAGCACGTAAACCAATTCATTATTTTGAAAGATGGCAAATAGGGGGAAGAACTCCAGCACTCATCCTGCCTTGCCTACATACCCTGTAACTCAAGGTAACCAAATAGGAGATATAGGAAAGTTTTATTTATTATGGAAGTATTCCAGCTGATAAAGAAGGGATGATAGAATTAGAACATCACCATTTTGCAACCTTTAATGAGTTAATGTATGTAGATACTGAACATCAATGGTGGGTGACTAACATTCTAAGAGACAACCAGACCTTGTGCGCTTCCTGATAGAAAATCAACAAAACCACATAGTTGGAAACTTCAGGACAAAGGATACAGTTTCATGAACAAATAAATTACAATAAATTAAGAGATAGAGAGACAATGTATAGATTAAAAGAATTAAGATACCTAGAAAATAATCACAAAATCTGGTTCTTTTTTGGGTGCTGAGTTAAACAAACAAGCAATGGAGAAAATGCCATTCATGGGGCAATTTGAAATATGAACACTGACCCAATATTTGATTGTTTAAGAAATTATCAACTTGCAGGTGCAATAGCAGTATTATGGTTATTTTTAAGTGTCCTTATCTTTTAGAGATACATACTAAAACATTATTGATGAACTTTATTTCATCAAATTTAATTCATCAAAATACGATGTTATTGATGAACTTTATTTCACCAAATTTAATTTGTCAAAATACTATTTTGCCTTGAAATAATAAAGGTGGGGAGAAATGGGCGAGGGTAGAGATGAAACAAGACTGACGGTCAGTTGATAATTGTTGAAGCTGGGTGATAATTACATGAGGGCTCATCACACTAGTAGTAGAGTGCTGGATCTCCACCTTCCTGCTCACAAAAGCCCATTTTTTTTAATTTCCAAGAATTTTGTCATCACAGTCATAGTTTGAAATTGACCATGTTGGGAGTATGTACATCATGAAAATCAACACATGCTAAAAATCAGCCTCCTCCCCAAAAGCCAGTGGTCAAAACATTTACCAGCACACTACTGCTACTCTGTCTACTTTTGTACATTTCTTACTCAACAAATATTTATTGAGCACCTTCTATGTGCCAGACACTGGGCTGGATGCTAGGAATACAGGAGGGAACGAAATAGACACCATCTCTGCTTGTATTGATTTCCTAGAGCTACCATAACAAAGTACCATAAACTGTGTGGCTTCAAACAAACAAATTTCTTCTCTTGCAGTTGCAGAGGCTACAAGTGCAAAATTGAGGTGTTGTCAGGGTTATGTTGTTCCCTCTGAAACCTGTGGAGGAGTCCTTCCTTGCTTCCTCCTAGTTTCTGGTAGTTTACCAACCATCTGGCCTTCCTCTGCTTGCAGCTACATAACTACAATCTCTGCTTTTATCATCATACAGCATTTTTCCTATGTGTCTGTGTCTTCACACAGCCATCTTCTTATAAAGACACCAGTCATATCGGACTAGGGGCCCACTCTACTCCAGTATCACCTCAT
Source organism: Homo sapiens (assembly GCF_000001405.40). Taxonomy (NCBI): domain Eukaryota; kingdom Metazoa; phylum Chordata; class Mammalia; order Primates; family Hominidae; genus Homo; species Homo sapiens. The sequence continues at coordinate 118,235,155 of NC_000023.11, forward strand.
CTTTTTTGTTCTGTTTTTGTTTTGTTTTCTTTGAGACAGGGTCTCACTCTGTTGCCTAGGCTGGAGTGCAGTGATCTTGGCTCATTGCATCACTGCAACCTCCACTTCCTGGGCTCAAATGATCCTCCCGCCTCAGCCTCCCTAGTAGCTGGGACCACAGGTGTGCTCCACCATGTCTGGCTAATTTTTTTCATTTTTTGTAGAGATGGGGTTTCACCACGTCACGTGGGCCAACCTCATTTTTTAAATTAATTTTTAATTTTGTTAGAAAAAAACAGAAAACGTATTGGTGGAAATGTAAATTGGTATGGTCATTAAGGGAAATGGTATGAAGGTTCCTCAAAAAAATTTAAAATAGAACCATCATATGACACAAATGAAATCAGCACCTCATAAAGTCATCTGTGCTCCCACATTCACTGTAGCATTATTCACAATACCCAAGACATGGAAACAACCAAAGTGTCTGCCCACAGATGAATGGATAGAGAAATTGTGGTATACATATACAGTGGAATATTATTCAGCCCTCAAAAAAGGAGATCCTGACATTTGCAACAACATGGATGAACCTGGAGGACATTATGCTAAGTGAAATAAGCCGGACACAGAAAGACAAATACCACATAATCCCACTTATGTGTAGAATCTTAAAAAAGTGGAATACATAGAAACAGAGAGTAGAACAGTGGTTACCAGGGGCAGAGAGCTGGAAGGGAGGGGAAATGGGGGCCTATAGATCAAAGGGTATAAAGTTGTAATTATGTGGGATGAATAAGTCTAGAGATTTAACGTACAGCATAATGACTACAGTTAGTAATATTGTATTGTATACAAGAAATATGCTCAGAGAGTAGCAAGAGTAGAAGGAATAAGGTGCTCTTACCACCAAAAAAGTAGCTATGTAAGACGTATAGGTTAATTTGCTTGACTGTATTAATTACGTCACTTGGTATCATTGTATAGAAAAACATCATGTTTTATGCTTTAAAATATATACAATATAAATAAATAAAACAAATAAAAATAAATGTTCCTTCTTAATCATTTTTAAGCATAATATTTAACAGTGATAAGTATATTTACATTGCTGTGCAACAGATCTCTAGAATTTTTGCACCTTGCAAAACTGAACCTCTATACCCATTTCCCCTAGCCCCTGGCAACCACCATTCTACTTTCTGTTTCTATGAGTTTTACTCCTATAGGTACCTCATATGAGTAGAATCATATAGTATTCATCTTTTTCGTTATTGGCTTATTCCATTTAGCATAATGTTCTCAATGTTCACCCGTGTTGCAGCATGTGACAGGATTTCCTTTTTAAAGGCTCAATAATATTCCATTGTATGTATATACCATGTTTTCTTTATCCATTCATCTGTCGATAGACACTTAGCTTGCTTCCACCTCTTGGTTATTGTGAATAATGCTGTATTGAACATGGGAGTGCTAATATCTTTTTGATATCCTGCTTTGAATTTTTTTCTTTTGTACATGTTTTGATATTCCAATAATAAAAGTAAAAAATATGTAAAGAAATAGAAAAAGGACTATAATTCAGGGAATAAAATACATGGAAAGCATAACTAAATTATGATACAAATGGGATTTTTATAAGTATTAAACTCAATTTTTTAAATAAAGAAATAGTCTATCTTTTCAACAGTTAAGTATTGATCTTATCTAGAAATAGAAGCAACTAGAACTAAATGAGATTTTCTAAGCGAACATTGCTTTTTGCAAAATAATTGTAATCGATGTACATGTATCAAATAGCAATTCTTCATTCTAGCATATAAATCAATGAAAGTAAAAATGAATTTTCTTATCATATTCATTTTCCAGCACATAATGTTGGTATTCTGTTTTATGTACAGGAACAAACACTTGAATTGGATGCCTAATGATTCCTTTGATTGTGAATACTGAATTGTAATTAAGATGCATAAACTTAGCTCCCATATTTGTGTTGTCTCAGTATTTGTGAGGATGTAAATTCAAACATTTCTAAGTTTCAAAATAATTGTGATTATTAGAGTTGAAGTGGCTCTTTTCATTTTTGTATTTTGCCGGGTTTTATGTCAGCATAAATTAGCATAAAATAAGTAGTGAATGATAGGGTTGAAATATGGTTATTCTTTTCATCTAATGCGTTACAATAGAGGAAAATAAAACAATCATTAGTGAGTGAATGGGAAATCAGATGGAAGAGATTTAGAGTACCAGTGTTCTGTGTTTCAATAGTTTAAGAACCCAATATATGCTTCAGAATTATGAATATTTGTTTCCACAGAAAGTCTTCCGAGGCTGCCCTTTGTTCATATGACTTGGCTCCACATTTGTTAATTTTCTACATTTTTTTTTTTGAGACAGAGTCACACTCTGTCACCCAGGCTGGAGTGCAGTGGCGCAATCTCGGCTCACTGCAACCTCCGCCTCCTGGGTTCAGGCTATTCTCTTGCTTCGACCTCCTGAGTAGCTAGAATTACAGGCACACACCACCATGCCTAGCTAATTTTTGTATTTTTAGTAGAGACGGGGGTTCACCATGTTGGCCAGGCTAGTCTTGAACTCCTGACATCAAGTGATCTGCCTGCCTCATCCTCCCAAAGTGCTGAGATTACAGGCGTGAACCACCATGCCCAGCCCAATTTTCTACAAATTGTAGATAATAATATGATCCTAGAAACTATACTGTTTTTTTATTCTTGATCTTGTATGCCTTCAAGATATATGCATGCCATTCCCATGTAGGCCTAGAGAACTCAAGGAATTGGTATTAAAATTCATGCCTTCAGCAAATTTTATTTTCTTAGATACAAATGCAATTTGGTCCACATTCCAGGGGAAACCTGTGAGGATGTAGAGCTACAAAATGGCTGCAGATATCTAAAAGATTAAAAGCATGCTTGGGCAAATACCTATTCAGCAGGGGCACATAATGAACAATTATGTTGATACATCCTCTGTCTCAATAACACGGCCAGGGGCGCAGGCACAATGCAGAGAGCATGCTGGGGGGACTCAATAGGCCACTGGGAGAACAGAGCAAGCTGATGGGGAAATGTGCCATGGACCGCTTCAGTCTTTGCCTACTGGCTACCCTAACCTGCTTAGGAGTACTACCCCACACTCTACAACAGTGGCAGAACTAAAATTTAAAAAGTAAGTTTGTAGACAGGCAGCAGCCAGAGGTTAGAAAAGAGAACTAAAGCCCTTGCAAATCTGGCCTGGAGCATGCCAGCCTATAATTTTTCTGCTAGAAACTGGCTATGTAATTCTTCTCCCAGGGTACAGACTTGCCACCTGTGCTCTCCTCTAATTATCTTTGATCAGGTTTATGCAGTAGGAAGTTATGTTTCAGTGGCTGTGATTGGGCCCAGGGCATAGCTAAGTCTATAATTACTAGCTGGTTAAATCAGAGCTCTTCTGGAATTTAGCAGCCATTTGTGTAAACTGCCTCAATATTTTTAGACTGCAAACTTGTCCTTTTATGCCTCTGTAGGAACTCAGAGATGAACAAGTAATAGTTAAGAAAAAGCAAATTTTTCAGTGAATTAACAAATGTGCAGAACTAAGAGAGCTAGCCACAGACAGGAAAAATGAGTAATCACTGTAGACAGAAGTTACATACTCCCTCAATAACCTTTCATGAGGTAGAAAGACATGCTTTTAAGGGTACTTCCAATTTTGGAATACCAATACTTTAAAATGTGTTCCTCCAATTGGCCACTGAGTATATTAGTTGAAAGACAGCTTTCAGAAAACCCAGATTCAAATCTCAACTCTTCCACTTATTTTCTAGCTGTGTGATGTTAAAGGAAATCATTTCACCTCTCTGATCCTGATTTCTCATTTTAAAAAACTTCCTAACAATACCACAGAGCCGTTGTGAAGATCAAATGAAATAACATAGAACATTCAGCACCATTCTTGGTACAGTAATGGCACTTAATAAATGCTTGGTGATGAAAATAATAATAAATTCTATTATTAAAGTAAACAGGTTTTCTGGGGTCCCTAGGAGAGAAGGGAGATTCCTTTGCCTGTGTCCCCTCTCATCACCCCCACCCCTTGATTGCTAATTAGAATTACATGGCAGAGTTAATAAGGGGAATTCTTTCCAGCTGAAGTGAGCGAGCCATGTTTCTCCTTGAGATTGAGAAAGGCTATTCCCAAATGGTGTGCTCTTTTTCTCCCTTTATAATGTCCCTGAAATGGTACAGTTGATGAGGTTAAAGAAAATGGTACATAAACAACAAGATAATTATTTCCAAAGGACATGAATACTCATATAATTTAATGCAGGTGGTGCTTAATAAACAATCCTTTCACTGAGTAAACAAAAGAGGGAAATTGTGAGTAATTTAGAGACATCTAAGTGAAATCACTTATGGTTCCTTATGCATGTATATCTTATGACTTATCTATCTATTTTACTGCTCACCTCTCAGATATGTGCCATTGGAAGAACGTGGCAACACAAATACATGCAAATATCCTTAATCAAATGCATATGTGTAGATCCTGCACTTTGCCTAGAGAGGTGAATAAAAAGAATTGGAGTCACTTGTTTATGCACTTGGGCAGCTGTGCTGTTGGACCAATGCCACACTGATTCCCCACTGAAACAAAGGAAGCAAACTCTGTTTTCAAGAAAATAATGCCTAACACTTTGGCCAAACAGTTGTCTCCAAATGTTAACCTCCTTAAAGAACACCATGGTAATTATGAATGTACGATTAAACAACATTTGGAAAGATTACCTGTGTGGGTGAGAGATATTTAACTTTTCTCATCTTAAGCCACCAGTACTGTGGTCATTTACTTGGGCTTTAAAGGGCAATGCCTGACATTTGGCCTTTGGTGGATTTTACAGGCCGCTTGTAAGCTTAAAGGTTTTGCCTGGTTAAATCAAGTTTTATCACAGAGGCTATTTGCAACTTTATGCTCTGTCTCACAGAAATGTCAGTGTTTGCCTTTGCTCTGAACTGGGCATAGAAACTCAAGGAACATCCCAGACTAGCTCTGAAAATAGAATATCCTTGGCTTTAGGTCTATGTTTTAAACGTACCACAAACAACCTGTATGAAGCATTCATCTTCACTAAGAATGCTGTAAGGCTTCTGGATGACCGAGCAACAAGTCTTTTGGGAGAGACTAAATGCTCATAACTCTCCGCCACATTGTAAATTGCCAATGTGTGTTCCTTTATTCTCTTCCTGGGGGAGGAAAAACATCTTTGATAATAAGCTTGAGAAATACATTTTCTATGGATTCTGTGGAAATAACTATCTCATTCAGTATGGGAAGTTGAACCTCAGCTGGGCTTGCACTGCAGCTTGGCAGGCTTCTTGTTGACTCCCTCGGGAATTTCTTAGAACAGTTGTTCTAAATCCAAACTGTTTCCCCTGCTCTCAAGCCCCCAGTCCTACTCCAGCTGTCCCTCTTCTCACATATGACCTCACCACCTACTTCACTGCAAAGACTCTGGCCATTCCCCTTCTTCAAACTGCATAATGCATAACGCTTTTGCCTGAACTCTACAACAACCCTTCTGTCTCAAAAAAAAAAAAAAAAAGAGCACTGTATCTCAGGTATGTCCTCTACTTGGATACTTGATCCCAAGCCCTCTTCGCTTCTAAGAGAACTTGTTCCATTATCTATTTTTAGTGGCTCCTTCACCAAGGTCCATGTTCAGAGTTCTCCCTACTTTTGACCCAAGTTACCATCCTATTTCTCACCTTCTTTCCATAAGCCAGATTTCTCACTGACTCCTTTCTCAGCATTGGGTCACTTCCTAACCCTTTGCAACCTAGTTTCCACCCGCCACTCTATGACACTGTATTCAAACTGCTGCCTTGAAAGTCAGCAATGACATAACCATAGGCAGATTCAATGTTTTGTTGTTGTTGTTTTGTGTGTGTGTGTGTTTTTTTTTTTTTTTTAGAATTCACCCTGCTTGACCTTACTGAGGCTTTTACCAATGGTGACCACCTCATTCCTTTTAAAACTCTCTCCATGGCTTCCATGGAACTATGCTGATTATTATTATTATTATCGTAGAGACAGTTCTTGCCATATTGCCCAGGCTGATCTCAAATTCCTGGGCTGAAGTAATCTGCCCACCATGGCCTCCCTCAGTGTTGGGATTACAGGGATGAGCCACTGGACCTGGCCCAGGCTAATTTTTCTCTGACCTCTTTGACTGATTCCAGTTTGTTTCCTTTGTTGGCTCCTCTTCCTCTATCTATCCCTGAAATGTAAGCATTCTCCACAGATCCTGTCCTTAGCCCTCATCCTTTCTACTCTCTCTTTTAATGCATATATTCACTGTGTCTTTTGAGAGAGGATAAAATTTTGCTGCTGTGAGTTGAATTAGATATTTGGGGCAGCTACTTTAGGTGATCATTTCACATATTCAATTAACTTCTCAACATGGATGACTACCTAATTCCTCTCATTCACTCATGTATACATCCATCAATTATTCACTGAGTGCATACCATATAAGTAGAGTTGACTATACAATTTATTCTTCAGTGATGTGGAGCCAAGATGGCCAAATAGGAACAGCTACAGTCTACAGCTCCCAGCGTGAGCAACGCAGAAGACAAATGATTTCTGCATTTCCAACTAAGGTACCAGGTGCATCTCACTGGGGATTGTCGGACAGTGGGTGCAGGACAGTGGGTGCAGCGCACTGAGAATCAGCCAAAGCAGGGTGAGGCATCGCCTCACCCAGGAAGTGCAAGGGGTTGGGGAATTCCCTTTCCTAGCCAAGGAAAGGGGTGACAGACAGCACCTGCTAAATCGGGTCACTCCCACCCTAATTCTGCGCTTTTCCGACGGTCTTAGCAAATGGCACACCAGGAGATTATATCCCGTGCCTGGCTCGGAGGGTCCTATGCCCACGGAGCCTCGCTCATTGCTAGCACAGCAGTCTGAGATCAAACTGCAAGGTGGCAGCGAGGCTGGGGGAGGGGCGCCCGCCATTGCCCAGGCTTGAATAGGTAAACAAAGTGGCCGGGAAGCTCAAACTGGGTGGAACCCACCACAGCTCAAGGAGGCCTGCCTGTCTCTGTAGACTCCACCTCTGGGGACAGGGCGTAGCCAAACAAAAGGCAGCAGAATCCTCTGCAGACTTAAATGTCCCTGTCTGACAGCTTTGAAGAGAGTAGTGGTTCTCCCAGCACACAGCTGGAGATCTGAGAACGGACACACTGCCTCCTCAAGTGGGTCCCTGACCCCCGAGTAGCCAAACTGGGAGGCATCCCCAAGTAGGGGCAGACTGACACCTCACATGGCCGGGTACTCCTCTGAGACAAAACTTCCTGAGGAATGATCAGGCAGCAGCATTTGTGGTTCACCAATATCTGCTGTTCTGCAGCCACCGCTGCTGATACCCAGGCAAACAGGGTCTGGAGTGGACCTCCAGCAAACTCCAACAGACCTGCAGCTGAGGGTCCTGACTGTTAGAAGGAAAACTAACAAACAGAAAGGACAGCCACACCAAAAACCTATCTGTACATCACCATCATCAAAGACCAAAGGTAGATAAAAACACAAAGATGGGGAAAAAACAGAGCAGAAAAACCGGAAACTCTAAAAATCAGAGTGCCTCTCCTCCACCAACACAGCTCCTCACCAGCAATGGAACAAAGCCGGATAGAGAATGACTTTGACGAGTTGAGAGAAGAAGGCTTCAGACAATCAAACTACTCCGAGCTAAAGGAGGAAGTTCAAGCCCATGGCAAAGAAGTTAAAAACATTGAAAAAAGATTAGATGAATGGTTAACTAGAATAACCAATGCAGAGAAGTCCTTAAAGGACCTGACGGAGCTGAAAACCATGGCACGAGAACTACGTGACGAATGCACAAGCCTCAGTAGCCTATTTGATCAACTGGAAGAAAGGGTATCAGTGATGGAAAATCAAATGAATGAAATGAAGCGACAAGAGAAGTTTAGAGAAAAAAGAATAAAAAGAAACAAACAAAGCCTCCAAGAAATATGGGACTATGTGAAAAGACCAAATCTACATCTGATTGGTGTACCTGAAAGTGACAGGGAGAATGGAACCAAGTTGGAAAACACTCTGCAGGATATTATCCAGGAGAATTTCCCCAATCTAGCAAGGCAGTCCAACATTCAAATTCAGAAAATACAGAGAACGCCACAAAGATACTCCTCAAGAAGAGCAACTCTAAGACACATAATTGTCAGATTCACCAAAGTTGAAATGAAGGAAAAAATGTTAAGGGCAGCCAGAGAGAAAGGTCGAGTTACCCACAAAGGGAAGCCCATCAGACTAACAGCTGATCTCTCGGCAGAAACTCTACAAGCCAGAAGAGAGTGGGGGCCAATATTCAACATTCTTAAAGAAAAGAATTTTCCACCCAGAATTTCATATCCGGCCAAACTAAGCTTCATAAGCGAAGGAGAAATAAAATACTTTACAGACAAGCAAATGCTGAGACATTTTGTCACCACCAGGCCTGCCCTAAAAGAGCTCCTGAAGGAAGCGCTAAACATGGAAAGGAACAACCAGTACCAGCCACTGCAAAAACATGCCAAATTGTAAAGACCATCGAGGCTAGGAAGAAACTGCATCAACTAACAAGCAAAATAACCAGCTAACATCATAATGACAGGATCAAATTCACACATAACAATATTAACCTTAAATGTAAATGGGCTAAATGCTCCGATTAAAAGACACAGACTGGCAAATTCGATAAAGAGTCAAGACCCACCAGTGTGCTGTATTCAGGAAACCCATCTCACATGCAGATACACACATAGGCTCAAAATAAAGGGATGGAGGAAGATCTACCAAGCAAATGGAAAACAAAAAAAGGCAGGGGTTGCAATCCTAGTCTCTGATAAAACAGACTTTTAAACCAACAAAGATCAAAACAGACAAAGAAGACCATTACATAATGGTAAAGGGATCAATTCAACAAGAGGAGCTAACTATCCTAAATATACATGTACCCTATACAGGAGCACCCAGGTTCATAAAGCAAGTCCTTTGAGACCTACAAAGAGACTTAGACTCCCACACAATAATAATGGGAGACTTTAACACCCCACTGTCAACATTAGACAGATCAACGAGACAGAAAGTTAACAAGGATATCCAGGAATTGAACTCAGCTCTGCACCAAGCAGACCTAATAGACATCTACAGAACTCTCCACCCCAAATCAACAGAATATACATTCTTTTCAGCACCACACCACACCTATTCCAAAATTGACCACATACTTGGATGTAAAGCACTCCTCAGCAAATGTAAAAGAACAGAAATTACTCCTCAGCAAATGTAAAAGAACAGAAATTATAACAAACTGTCTCTCAGACCACAATGCAATCAAACTAGAACTCAGGATTAAGAAACTCACTCAAAACCGCTCAACTACATGGAAACTGAACAACCTGCTCCTGAATGACTACTGAGTACATAACGAAATAAAGGCAGAAATAAAGATGTTCTTTGAAACCAACGAGAACAAAGACACAACATACCAGAATCTCTGGGACACATTCAAAGCAGTGTGTAGAGGGAAATTTATAGCATTAAATGCCCACAAAAGAAAGCAGGAAAGATCTAAAATTGACACCCTAACGTCACAATTAAAAGAACTGGAGAAGGAAGAGCAAACACATTCAAAAGCTAGCAGAAGGCAAGAAATAACTAAGATCAGAGCAGAACTGAAGGAAATAGAGACACAAAAAACCCTTCAAAAAATCAGTGAATCCAGGAGCTGGTTTTTTGAAAAGATCAACAAAATTGATATACTGCTAGCAAGACTAAGAAAGAAGAAAAGAGAGAAGAATCAAATAGATGCAATAAAAAATGACAAAGGGGATATCACCACCGATCCCACAGAAATACAAACTACCATCAGAGAATACTATAAACACCTCTATGCAAATAAACTAGAAAATCTGGAAGAAATGGATAAATTCCTCTACACATACATTCTCCCAAGACTAAACCAGGAAGAAGTTGAATCTCTGAATAGACCAATAACAGAATCTGAAATTGACGCAATAATTAATAGCTTACCAACCAAAAAAAGTCAGGACCAGATGGATTCACAGCCGAATTCTACCAGAGGTACAAGGAGGAGCTGGTACCATTCCTTCTCCAATCAATAGAAAAAGAGGGAATCCTCCCTAACTCATTTTATAAGGCCAGCATCATCCTGATACCAAAGCCTGGCAGAGACACAACAAAAAAAGAGAATTTTAGACCAATATGCCTGATGAACATCGATGCAAAAATCCTCAATAAAATACTGGCAAACGGAATCCAGCAGCACATCAAAAAGCTTATCCACCATGATCAAGTGGGCTTCATCCCTGGGATGCAAGGCTGGTTCAACTTATGCAAATCAATAAATGCAATCCAGCATATAAACAGAACCAATGACAAAAACCACATGATTATCTCAATAGATGCAGAAAAGGCCTTTGACAAAATTCAACAACTCTTCATGCTAAAAACTCTCAATAAATTAGGTATTGATGGGACATATCTCAAAATAATAAGAGCAATCTATGACAAACCCACAGCCAATATCATACTGAATGAACAAAAACTGGAAGCATTCCCTTTGAAAACGGGCACAAGACAGGGATGCCCTCTCTCACCACTCCTATTCAACATGGTGTTGGAAGTTCTGGCCAGGGCCATCAGGCAGGAGAAAGAAATAAAGGGCATTCAATTAGGAAAAGAGGAAGTCAAATTGTCCCTATTTGCAGCTGATATGATTGTATATCTAGAAAACCCCATTGTCTCAGCCCAAAATCTCCTTAAGCTGATAAGCAACTTCAGCAAAGTCTCAGGATACAAAATCAATGTGCAAAAATCACAAGCATTCTTATACACCAATAACAGACAAACAGAGAGCTAAATCATGAGTGCATTCCCATTCACAATTGCTTCAAAGAGAATAAAATACCTAGGAATCCAACTTACAAGGGATGTGAAGGATCTCTTCAAGGAGAATTTCAAACCACTGCTCAGTGAAATAAAAGAGGATACAATCAAATGGAAGAACATTCCATCCTCATTGGTAGAAGAATCAATATCATGAAAATGGCCATACTGCCCAAGGTAATTTATAGATTCAATGCCATCCCCATCAAGCTACCAATGACTTTCTTCACAGAATTGGAAAAAACTACTTTAAACTTCATATGGAACCAAAAAAGAGCCCGCATTGCCAAGTCAATCCTAAGCCAAAAGGACAAAGCTAGAGGCATCACGCTACCTGACTTCAAACTATACTATAAGGCTACAGTAACCAAAACAGCATGGTACTGGTACCAAAACAGAGATATAGGCCAATGGAACAGAACAGAGCCATCAGAAATAACGCCACATATCTACAACTATCTGATCTTTGACAAACCTGACAAAAAAAAAGAAATGGGGAAAGGATTCCCTATTTAATAAATGGTGCTGGGAAAACTGGCTAGCCATATGTAGAAAGCTGAAACTGGATCCCTTCTTTGCACCTTATACTAAAATTAATTCAAGGTGGATTAAAGATTTAAATGTTAGACCTAAAACCATAAAAACCCTAGAAGAAAACCTAGGTAATACCATTCAGGACACAGGCATGGGCAAGGACTTCATGTCTAAAACACCAAAAGCAATGGCAACAGAAGCCAAAATTGACAAATGGGATCTAATTAAACTAAAGAGCTTCTGCACAGCAAAAGAAACTACCATCAGAGTGAACAGGCAACCTAAAAAATGGGAGAAAAATTTTGCTATCTACCCATCTGACAAAGGGCTAATATCCAGAATCTACAATGAACTCAAACAAATTTACAAGAAAAAACAAACAACCCCATCAACAAGTGGGGGAAGGATATGAACAGACACTTCTCAAAAGAAGACATTTATGCAGCCAAAAGACACATGAAAAAATGCTCATCATCACTGGCCATCAGAGAAATGCAAATCAAAACCACAATGAGATATCATCTCACACCAGTTAGAATGGCAATCATTAAAAAGTCAGGAAACAACAGGTGCTGGAGAGGATGTGGAGAAATAGGAACACTTACACTGTTGGTGGGACTGTAAACTAGTTCAACCATCGTGGAAGTCAGTGTGGCAATTCCTCAGGGATCTAGAACTAGAAATACCATTTGACCCAGCCATCCCATTACCGGGTATATACCCAAAGGATTATAAGTCATGCTGCTATAAAGACACATGCACACGTATGTTTATTGCAGCACTATTCACAATAGCAAAGACTTGGAACCAACCCAAATGTCCAACAATGATAGACTGGATTAAGAAAATGTGGCACATATACACCATGGAATACTATGCAGCCATAAAAATGATGAGTTCACGTCCTTTGTAGGGACATGGATAAAGCTGGAAACCATCATTCTCAGCAAACTATCGCAAGGACAAAAAACCAAACACCGCATATTCTCACTCATAGGTGGGAATTGAACAGTGAGAACACATGGACACAGGAAGGGGAACATCACACACCAGGGCCTGTTGTGGGGTGGGGGAAGGGGGGAGGGATAGCATTAGGAGATATACCTAATGTTAGATGACAAGTTAATGGGTGCAGCACACCAACATGGCACATGTATATATATGTAACAAACCTGCACGTTGTGCACATGTACCCTAAAACTTAAAGTATAATTAAAAAAAAAAAGAAGACAAACATTTCCAAGAACTTTCTTCTTTTGAGTGATACTTCTAAGTGCTACAAGCCACCCACCAGTCATTTCTGAACTCGGCATACTGTTATCTGACTTCAGCAACTGGATGTCATGCTTTTCCCCTGATGGCACAAGTCCTGTTGTGCTTTTTTTGTTTTGGAGGGACGTCTGTGTTTTCTTTTGAGCATTTTATGCCTGATTAAATTCCATCTCAGTAACTGAAGAACTTCTTAAAAGGAGCATTTTTGGTAGAAAACCTGGGTGCTTAGCTTATTGTTCACTACTAGTGTAAAATTTGGTGAATCCTTGAAACACATTTGTCTCACTTCTAAAATGTATGCCTTGAATGTCATCCTGTATATAAAAAACAAAACAAAGACAAAAAATAAAATGTACGCCAGAAGTTCTGGGACAAACAAAAAAAAGTATTCTTCCAATTGGTATTTCTGAGCATAAAAGGAGGCACTGTTAATACTTATGTCAGCACAACAGGCATAAATTCAGATTGTTTTGGACAAACTAGACATATGGTAATCCTCGGTATAATAGTCTCCAAATAGTGTGAAGCTACAAAAGTAAATTGTCAATCTATTCTGTTCTCAAAGAGAATTTAGCATAGTAGAGTGATAATACATGCACATAAATAAACAGAATACTATTAGAAAGTGATAAATACCCCGAGAGAGGTGCAGATAACTGTATTGAATTTTCACGGTGAGAAGAGATTGTTTTCATCTTGAAAAATCAAGGAAAGCTTTGTAAAAGCAGCACTCAAGTAGTCCCTGGACACATAAAGATAATGATGAGTGTGAGTTTCAGTTGGAGGGAACAGTATGAGCAGGGCTCCACTCATGATTCTTCAGTTTGTGTGCTGCAGAAGAATGCCACACCTAAGGGGACACTGTTCACATTGTGGACATTTTGAAATTTTTTATATTTTATATGTGTATTTGGGGTTTTCTGAGACATGGTCTTTCTCTGTTGCCCAGGCTGGAGTGCAGTGGCATGATCTCAGCTCACTGCAGCCTCAACCTTCTGGGCTCAAGCAATTCTCCCACCTCAACCTCCCAATTAGCTATGACTACAGGCATGCTCCACCATGCCTGGCCAATTTTGTTTTATATTTTGTAGAGAATGGGTCTCACTATATTGCCCAGGCTGGTCTTGAGCTCCTGGCCTCAAGCAATTCTCCCGCCTCAGCTTCCCAAAATGCCGAGATTACAGGCATGAGCCACCACACCCGGCCAAAATTTTCATGGTAATAACTTTTTTGTTATTTCAAAGATAGATGATTTGTATATTTCTATCTACTAGAGTAGGTGGCAGGAGAATGACATTTCCTAACAATCAGTATATTACAACAGTTTTCAGACAGATGGAAGTAAAGAGTTTTGAGGAAGAGACACCTTTTTCTATTTTGTGCCAAGAATCCATATGGGCTGGCAATGATCCTGAGTATGTGCAAAAGCATAAAAGAGAAAATTGTGGAGCATAAATAGAACAGAGAGAGTACATCAGTCTGAGTAAAGCACAGGTGCCTGAGAAAACACAGTGAATAAACAAACTGGGAAAGTAGATTCAAACCAGATTGTGGAAGTCCTTGAGTGTCAGCATAAAAAAGTCAGACTCTAGTCAGTAGTCACAGATCAAACCAGTTTTAAGGAGTTACTTTGAGGACAATGTATAAAGTAGTTTCAAAAAGCAAGGACTGGAAGTGAAGACACCTGTTAGAAGGCTATTGGCCTTCTAATGTAGGCAAACATTTCCCAGAGTGAACTCTGTAGAGCTAACTCTATTTCTTCTGGATTTCAATAACACCAGACAGCATGAGAGCAGAAGCACAGAAAGTTGCATGGTTTAATTCAGCCCTACCATCTCTCCATAACTCTAACTCTTCTACATGTCTACCTGAGTGACCTGCCAATACTTCATATTCACATGCCCAAAATCAAACTCATCCTCTTCCTCCTCAAAACTATTGCCTCAAAAAAACCCTATTTCCTCTGTGAGCATAGACATAAAATAAGGTTGGCTTAAATAAGATAGAATCTCAAAAGTAAGCAGTCCAGAGCTAGTATGGCAGTACCATGAAATCTTCAGGGACCCAGATTCCTTCTCGGTGTGCACTCTGCCATTCCTAAGGTATGTGCCTTCATGGCGCAAGATGAATATTGGTATTCCAGCCATTACATCCATATTCCTGACAGTGTACTGGAGAAAGAAGAAAGGAAATGTGTGATCTCTACCTTTTAAAGGAGATTCCTCGAAAAGTATCACATAACGTGACCACTTTAATCTCATTAACCAGAACTTAGTCACATGAACACATGCAAAGAAAGCTGAGAAATTGTCTTTTAGCTGAGTGACAATTTGCTCAACTAAAATTCTTTTTGTTTTACTAAAAAAAAAAAAAGAATGGATATTGGGTATTGGGAGGTAACTGGCAATGTCTGCCACAGATAGCAAAATCTTTAAGGCTGAGAGGGAGAGCAAGGCAAAGGAAGAGATGTCAAGGATGACAAGTTTTCTAGCCTGGGTGGCTGGGAGAAGAGTTTTTCTCTTATTTACAACTGTACTTAATCCTGATATACTCTGGAACAAATTAACTTATTTTAAAGAAGAGCTTTAAAATAGTTTCCCTACTTGGAGCAACACAGAAGACACTATACTAATAAAGTCCCACTAGCAGGAGATTTAGTTACAGCTATGCGTATAAATTAGAACTAGAAAAGAGCCATTTGGAACCTTAGCTATTATAAACTGCATTAGCAGGAATCACAGTCTATATCACCAGACTTCCAAACAGATGTTATTATGCAATGACCCTGTTTTATTATGATTATGCCTTGAAATTATATTTCCAAGAAGTTCAAATGCACTACTGCTTCTTATAATTTTTAATCTAATATATATGATAGGCATATAAGCTACATAGGAGACAAGTAATTTAATACTCATTTTATGGTAGGGTCAGGAATAAATTAATGCTTATGGTCATAGGATTTCTCAGATAGCTTCAACTACCAAGTCTTCTTCTGGGCTCTCTAGCAAACAAGCTCGTTTCTCCCAAGCAGTTGGTGATCCTAACCTTTCCATCTGTTACCTCTCAAATGGGGCTTGAGTGTACACCATGAGCCAGGGACAGAACTGAGATTAGGCCTACATCCCTCAACATATCCAGTCTAGATTACATGGGCCAATATGATTATTCAAAACAAAATTATTTCTCTTCCCAAACAGAAACTCCCCATTTACACAGACCAAGCACCCAAAAGTATATCTTAAAAATGGTGATGGACTGACTATTCAAGTCCCAGACCAAGAGGGATGACAACCATCTTGATAGGGACCTTTTCTACTCCATACTTGATCAGCAGATATGGGAAGAAAGGAGATTAGGGAGTAAGAAACAGACAGGGAGTAGCAAAAAAAAGGGGCTTATTTTTTGCTTTGCTTTGGATTTTTTTAAAAATGTACTGACCTAAACAATATCTTAATGAGGCAGGTCAGTATTTACAGTCTTTCGAACCCCATTTAACCTTTCTGTGCCTCATCTGCTAAGCATCTTGGCCAAGATCACATACCAAATCAGTGACATAGTCATCATGAGGCCTCAAGCGCCTAGTTCCCAGTTTCATATTTTAAAGAAGCCAAGTGACAGAAGAAAGGGAAAAACTGGGTCAGAGAAACAAAGTTGGCCTGAAAAATCTGTGTTTCAAAATAAAGCCAATTACATAAAGGCATGACATTTCCCATCTAAACAGAAAAATTAGTCGAGGCCCCAACATCTTTCTTTTCCAGTTGATAGATACAGGCACTTTTCAATGGCAAGAAAGCAAAATGATGACTCTAGCATCATTGTCAATTATTTTATCTAATGAAGCTCCATTGCTTGTAAAATTTGAGTAGAGTTATGGAAACAAACAAGCTGAGCAATTGGCTAAAACAACAGAGCTATAAAGATCCAACTAAGTAAAAAAGGTGTGTATGCTGAACAAAACATGCCTAACACCAAAGACAGGGTTTAAAAATATTAGTTGGTAGAATCTGTGCTTTAGATTCCTGATCATCTAAATTCTTTGTCACCGTTTTCTTCTCTTGTCTCCTTCAGGAATATTTTTAGATTCCTAAATTTGTACTCCAGCTTTGATAGCTGCCTCTAATCCTATCAATCATGGTGCCTCCTTTATAATTATTTTTTTAACCTTGGCTTTCTGGCCCAGATATCAATTCTGCTGGCTCCTTTGACTTTTGTCTCCACTTGCTCACTCTCTCTCTCTCCCCCTCACTGACAAACACACACACACACACACCAAGGAAGGGGAAACTCAGGCAGGTTTCCAGTGCTTTGCACCTGCGGAATGTGAAAGAGGCCCAATTGGCCGGGCGCGGTGGCTGCTCACGCCTGTAATCCTAGCACTTTGGGAGGCCGAGACGGGCGGATCACGAGGTCAGGAGATCGAGACCATCCTGGCTAACACGGTGAAACCCCGTCTCTACTAAAAATACAAAAAAATTAGCTGGGCGTGTTGGCGGGCGCCTGTAGTCCCAGCTACTTGGGAGGCTGAGGCAGGAGAATGGCGTGAACCTGGGAGGCGGAGCTTGCAGTGAGCCGAGATCGCGCCACTGCACTACAGCCTCAGCGACGGAGCGAGACTCTGCCTCAAAAAAAAAAAAAAAAAGAAAAAGAAAAAGGCCCAATTTTTCTTACTCCTGGGACTAAAGCACTGTGAGGAAACATTGCAGTGATGGAACCAAGCAGCTTTACTCTAGGCAAAACTGATGACAACCAAGCAAAGTTGCTAGTACAACTATGAACGTGCCCACTTACCTGTGCTTCTCTCTAAACATACACACCAATGCCCCCCATCCAAATTCTATTTTTTTTCTTTTTTTTAAACTGTCCCTTCCTCTGGAGACCCACCCAAAATCTAGAAGATGACAGCAAACTTCCCAGTTTTCTTCTACAAGTATAGCCATTCACAGACACCAGAACTCACAACTGGCCTTGGTTGGGGGAGAGGGGAGAACTGAGCAGATGAATATACCCAGGTCCTCCCTAACCGAAGTGATTCCTCTACATCAACCACCAACCAGAGAACCCCTCTGGAGTACTATGCAGCATTCTTGGCTGTTATATGTCATGAATATAACATTATTGCATGCCAGAATATGGAGAATGCAGGAATGCTACTGATAAACCCATAACCCTGCAATGTCACCTGTTGATAATTTCCCAGTACTGCAGGAAAAGGGAGGGGCCTACCTCTGACCCACCAAGACTCTGCCTGCCACTCCACAGTCCAGACCCAGCCCAACAACCCCAGACCAGAAACTTGAGTGCTGGCCTCCAACCCGCAATTCAGGGGCTATGGACCAGAAGCAGAGTCCACCTCAAGCACACCACGGAACTTGTCAGGACTTTCACCCAGGCAACTCTGGGAATGCTTAGCCTTGCTCTACCTGAGGGGGTAGATTCCTTTCTTTCTAAGCAATTGTTCAAGATTACCTAGTGCCACTGTTCTCATTGTTCTCCAATCAATTATTTATGCTTGCTCTCATCACCTAGAATCTGGACTCTTGGCTCCATAACCCAATTTCAATACCCATATGTGTCCCCTCCTTCAGTTTTGGTGACACTTTGGGTTCCCCTCGAAGATCAGAGGTTTGGATCTCACCCAGATTTCAGCTGTGCTTATTTTGTTTGTTCTTCCAAAATTGAAGTCCAGTTACTTTATTTTGATTATGTGAGTACTCTATCCTCCGTGAAAAAATTTAAAAAATACAGAGCACCCAATACAGAATGGAATAAAGATGAAAAAATTATCCATGATTCCACCATCCTGATGATGCTTTCTTCTGCCTCAGCTAAGAATTTCCTAATAAGACCTTGAGTAACTCCACCCATTCATGTTGTGCCACCTCTTGCAATTAGATTTGGCTCAGTAGGCACAGAATGAGAGGATCCAGAACTTTGGTCCTGAAAAAGGTGAGAATATTTGGAATTCTCCCTCTCATTGTGTGCTGGCCACAAGGTGTATAAGTGGGTCCATCATCCCCATCACCATTTAAGTCCCATAGCCATGTAGATACCTGGAACAGACATTGGGGAAATGTAAGTAAATAACTTCAGGCATCTGACCTGGACCTCCCCAATCCTCCACACAGAACAAGCACACTCAGACATCAATTTGAGACCCTTAAGAAATTTTGGGGCTGGGCATGGTGGCTCACACTTGTAATCCCAGCACTTTGGAATGCTGAGGTGTGAAGATCATTTGAGTCCAGGAGTTTGAAGTCAACTTGGGCAACATAACAAGATCCCATCTCTACAAAAAATACAAAATTTAGCAGGGTGTAGTGGCACCCCTGTAGTCCCAGCTACTCAGGAGGCTGAGGTGGGAGGATAACTTGAGCCCAGGAGTTCAAGGCTGCAGTGAGCTGTGATCGCACCACTGCACTCCAGCCTGGGCAGCAGAGAGAGACCCTGTTTCAAAAAGAGAGAGAGAGAAAGAGAGAGAGAGAGAAAAGTTTGGGGAAATTGAGATGTGTCTGCTTGTGTGTGTGTGTGTGTGTGTATGTGTGTGTCTGTATACATACATTCAAACATATTAGATATTCATATGTAATATGGTTTATTACTCAACTCATTTTAGCTTGTGTGATTTTTTTAAAAGAATTTCTCATAATTTTTGTTTGAATCAAATCTTCAAATAAATGTTTTGATTTTTCTAGAGGCAATTATTTCTCTATTACAAGATATTTAAAGTTTAAACTTTTACAGTTTCATTCTTTTTTTTAAAAAAAAAAGGACGATTTTTGTGTACCAAGACAGCCATCAATTTTAAACTGCTTTCATTACTCTCCCTCCACCTGCACATCTTAAAAAGTTGAAACTGCTTGTGATTCTAGAGTAAGGAATGAGCTCCACCCGGTGGTGAGATTTTGAAGTGCACCAAAGAAAATACCACTAAGTACACTCTCTGAACCCAATTTTCTGTCTTCCCTTTTTGTCTCTCACTCCACCCACAAGATTTTTAGAATCATCATCCTAGAAACTCATAGAGAAGAGGGGTTAAAAATGTAGATCACATCCTTCAACAAACTGTAAATCCTCTTCCACAATATGCTTAAAATGCCAAAATGGACAAAACTAAGAATTTATGCAGGAGGTTGCAAAATTTTTGTGTGCAAAATCAGACCTTGGCAATGATCTTGAGCAGTAGGATATATATAACTACCACAAGCTTGGTGTTCCCATAATGAAACACTAGGCATAAATGGGTTAAGCAAAACCTTTCATTTGGTTCCTACACTCGATATTGGATAAGAAGCTACATTTAATCCAGTAAAACAACTGGAGCCTTTTTAACTTGATACAAAACATAATAATAGCTAACAATAACTGAGTACTTATGTAACAGGCTGCTCTATGTGATGTGATGTGTGTATAAATTTAATACACAACCCTATAGGGTAGGTAATATTATCAGAACCAGTTTGCAGATGAAAAAACTGGGGCCTAGAGAAAATAAATTGCTCGAGGCCACAAAGTGGTAGAGCCAGACTTGAAGTCAGCTAGCCCAGGCTCTAAACCACCATGCCATACTGCTTCTCTGTAACTCAAATTGGACATAATCTCTCTCAGAATAAACAACTTGAGGCTAGGATCTTGTCCACATTCTTTCTCAAAAATAGCCAAAGGCAAGACAAGACCCCTGGTTCTATTTTTATTCATCTTATGGTCATCACAGATTTGTAACTCTAGCTTACCGCCCTTGTTCTTTCCCTACTGTGACAATGATTCTGTTTGGGAGTTTCAGTAAAAAGTCTTGTAGCTGAGAGCCTGGGTTTTATGTCTCTTCACCATTTATCTTGTGCCTTCTCCCCCAACTCCCACCCTATCTCAGCCCCAGCCTCCTCAAACATCATTCATTTAAAACCATGTTGAAAATGACACATTCTTTAAAATCCACCAATATTAATACAATCAAAATCAGAATTTTTCCTAAAACATTTGTGTGTACACACACACACACACACACACACACACACACAGGCAAGCACTAATTCTCATAGAAAACCTTAAATAGTATTTTACAGTACTTTCAACATTGCTACCAAAGCCATATTCCATTAAGGCACAAAAGCCTTTTCTCATTCATTCATCCAACAAAAATTTATTGAGCTTTTACTTCTCCTAAGCTGTGGAGATACAACAATGAAGAAGCCAAATATGGTCCCTGCCCTGATGGAACTTATAGTTCTGAATATTATTCAATATACATAAGAAAGAAGGAGATGACTCTGACCTAAAGATGCCTTCTAGATTTTTTTTAATGCACTACCTTCAAATTAGAGCTACCAATATGCATACCCTCCAGCTAGGTGACAAAAAAAGGAAATTTACAATCTTTGTAACTCCACTGGCAGAAAATAAAACCCATGAATATTCCAATAGGAGGAAAACAGGATTGTATTCTATATTCAAAAATTACCAGGTGACAATTTTCTCAGACTGCCAAAAATGGAAATTAGAGAGGCATAGGGCTGCCCTGGAAGCCACCTTGCCATGGCATCTTGCCTTTTGAATTTGGAATTCCTTGCTAAACTAGAGGCAATCTGGAAGTAGCTCAGCATGATCCAAATGAGAACCTTGGGTAAATTCCTCCTTGTCTTTTTGTGCCTGTGATCCTTGGGCACCACCCAGATTGCAAACTCTGGCTGACATCAACCATCCAACAATTTTTCTTGATGCCACTCCTCTTTACTGCCCTTCTCTACCCAATTTCATGCTGCTCCTCTCTCTCCCAACATTTCCACTACACCATCTGAATCTTGTTCCATTGTAAACAAAGTCCACTTCTAAGTCTTCTACTTCTTCCCTCCATCTCATCCCATCTCACTCCATGCTCATTCCATCTCCTGTTGCTAACTGAAAGCTGGCTCTCTACCCTGCAACCCCATGTCCCACACAGCCATATCAAGGTTGGTCTTTCTTGCACAATGTGCATAGTGGGCAAGGATGAGGGTTAGGGAGAGTTGTGTTACCATTCTCCTTAGTCCCCCATTGCATTTTCTAAACAATGAAGAAGCCAAATATGTTTGCCAGGGAACATATTTGGCTTCTTCATTGTTGTGTCTCCAGAGGTTAGGAGTAGTAAAAGCTCAATAAATTTTTATTGGATGAATGAAGAGGTAGGCAAACATTTTCTTTTCTTTCCTTTTTTTTTTCTTTTCGAGACAGGGTTTTGCTCTGTCACCCAAAACAGGGTCTTGTTCTGTCACCCAGGCTGGAGTGCAGTGGCATGAGCCTAGCTCACTGCAGTCTCAAAGTCCTGGACTCAAGCAGTCTTCCCACCTCAACCTCCTGAGTAGCTAGGACTACAGACACACAACACCAACATGCCTGGCTAATTTCTTTTTTAGAGATGGAGTCTTGCTGTATTGCCCAGGCTGGTCTCATACTCCTAAGTTTAAGTGATCCTACCACCTTGGCCTCCAAAAGCACTGGGATTACAGGCAGGAGCTACTGCACTCAGCCAAATATTTTCTTAAAGTACCAGAGAGTAAGTATTTTAGACTCTGTGGAACATACCAGCTGTGTTGCAACTACCTGACTCTACGGTCATGGCTTAAAAGCAGCCATAAACTATACATAAACAAATAAGCATGGCTGTGTTCCAATAAAACCTTTATTTGTTTATATTTTTATTTTCAATTTTGTGGGTACATAGTAGGTGTATATATTTATGGGGTAGATGACATGTTTTGATCCAGGCATGCAATACATAATAATCCCAGCATGGAGAATGGGGTATCTATCCCCTCAAGCATTTATCCTTTGTGTTACTAACAATCCAATTACACTCTTTTTGTTATTTTTAAATGTCAATTAAGTTATTGACTATAGTCACCCTATTGTGCTATCAAACAGCAGGTCTTAGTCATTCTTTCTATTTTTTGTACCCACTAACCACCTGTATTAGTCCGTTTTCATCCTGCTAATAAAGACATACCCAAGACTGGGCAATTTACAAAACAAAGAGGTTTAATGGACTCACAATTCCATGTGGCTGAGGAGGCCTCACAATCATAGTGGAACATGAAAGGCACATCTCACAAGGCAGCAGACAAGAAAAGAGAGCTTGTGCAGGGAATAATATCGAGTTATATGTTAAATGAGATAACGTATGTAAAACAATTAACACAGTACCTGACACCCAGCGGGTGCTCAATAAATGACAGCTAGGAATAAGAGCTCAGATTAGCTGGTGACTATATTTCCTCCTTCACTAAGACCTTTAAGTGTTTCTTAGCCTGGATTCCCCAGAAAGCAGAGCAATGGCTATGTGTTACTGTTTGGATGAACCATAAAAAATGCTGAAGTTCAACCATTTTGAATAGGGAAACCATATAGTTCAGCTTAATACGTTATTAGAGAGTGCAATCCCAGGGAAGCAGAAGGGAGGAAAAAGGGAAAGATGAAGGAATGAGAGTCAATATAAAGGTACGTTGGTAATCAAGCTTAAGCCCCTGGGACCATTTTCAGACAGATAGTATAAACATGACTTGAATCTCAGATCAGTGGACAAGCAAGATGGAAAGAGAACTAAATGTCCAGTTCCAATCTTTTTTTTTTTTTTTTCAGACAGTCTCACTGTCATTTACCCAGGCTGGAGTGCAGTGGTGTGATCAGGGCTCACTACAACCTTGAACTCTTGGGGATCAAGCAATCCTCATGCCTCAGCCTCCCAAGTAGGTGAGACTACAGGCATGTACACCATGCCCAACTTTTACTTTTATTTCATTTTGTTAGTAGAGATGAGGGTCTTACATTTTTACCCAGGCTGGTCATGAACCTCTGGCTTCAAGGGATCCTCTCACCTCTGTGTTGGGATTACAGGCATGAGCCACCACACCTGGCCCCCATCTTTTATGAATCAAAGGTTTGCGCTAAAGGGAGGCAGTGTTAATTCCCCTGCATCTCTAGGCTGCACTCTGCAACAGCACCCCAGCCAAAGGCAGAGTGGGCATGCAATGCAGAGCTGACTGTGAACCCCCACATAAGTCAGTCAGAGCCCACTCAAAAGCAGAGGCTGAGACTGAAGCAATAGCCAAGGGCCCCTGAGACGATAATGCCACGAGGATCCTGAACTGGTGTGTAAGAAATGGTTGATACACAGAGTGAAAGTCCTTGACTTCCTTTTCACTCCTCAAACTGTCCTGTACCTGTAATCCACTCTTTCTTTCCATAGGAGGAAGGGACACCTCTCCTCCTGTTTAGGGCTAATGTCTACCCCTCTACCCACTCCCTACTTTTCCCACTCACGTCTGTACTCTCAATTTCAATCCTTCCCACCTCCCCCAGGAACTTTTACCTTCAACTTCTCCCACTCTCTTGATCTCTTCCCCTCTACCTACTTATATCTGCTCAGGTTTTCCTTTCCTTAAAATAGCTTTCCTTTACTTTGTGCAGGCTTCTAGCTACTTCCTTTTCTCTTTCTTTCTCAGTAAAATATCTTAAATGAGTAATCCAGACTTACCAGCTCTACCTCAGAACAATATGAACAGATCTCATTGTTCTACTGAAATACCTTTGCTGAGGCAATCACTGACCTCCCTATGGTTGTATCGAATAGATACATTTCTGTTTATATCTATGTTGGTTTCTCTGCAGCATTTGATCCTGTTGCCTGCTCTATTCTCACTGAAACTCTTTGGCAGTTCAGTTACCATGATACCATTATTAGCTACTTCTCCTAATTCTTTTGCTGGCTTCTTTTCTGTCAGCCTCCATCCAGTCCATAAGTGTGGAGTTCGCCAGAGTCCTTTCCTCAGTCCCCTTTTTCTCTCACTCTATATATCCTCCCCGGAATTCAGGTATATTTTGTGCTGATTACTTCCAAGTTTGTATCTCTAGCCAAACCTCTTCCTCAGCACTCATCTTCAAACATATGTATCCAGCTGCTTAATGGGCATTTCCAGAAGGCACTTGAAACCATTTTAAAACCTAAACTCATTATCTCCCCAACAACCTCCACCCCAATCTTGCCTTTTTTTTTTTTTGAGAGGGAGTCACTCTGTTGCCCAGGCTGGAGTGAAGTGGCATGATCTCAGCTCAATGCAACCTCCGCCTCCAGGGTTCAAGCAATTCTCCTGCCTCAGCCTCCCGAGTAGCTGGGATTACAGGTGCCCACCACCAGGCCTGGCGAATTTTTGTATTGTTAGTAGAGATGGGAGCCTGCCAACCATGTGGGGCAGGCTGTTCTCAAACTTCTGACCTCAAGCAATCCACCCACCTCAGCCTCCCAAAGTGCTAGGATTACAGGCGTAAGCTACCACACCAGGCTACCAATCTTGCCTTAAACCCTATCTGCAGATAATGTCTGTTTTCATCATTACACTTTACATTTTATTCAACAATTAATAGTTAAGCACCTACTCCATACCATACAGTGTTCTAGATGCTTGCTCTGGTCTCTCTGGTTTTTTGTTGGGTGTTTTGTTTGGCCACACCTCATCTGGAGCTCTGGTTTCTCTGACTTGCCATATCCCGGCACTTGATATTTGGTTCTGGTCCTTTCCATTTTGTCTACACTTTAAACTCCTCCATCAGGGAAGGATTTGGACCCCGGGAACTGGAACTGCTCATACAAAAAATCTTGGACTCCTCCTGGCACCACCAAGGTCAGCTGAAGTGTCTGCGCCAGAGTAGGACTACAGTCCAAAAGAGCACACCCTTCACAGTGCCCAGCACAGGGCACAGGGGGACGTGTAGTGGGGGATGGAAATGAGGATGAGAAGGAATAGTGATCTGCTCACACTGTAGCTCTAAGAAGCTAGACCTATGCCCACCAACAGGTACTAGGCACTATGTAAAGTGCATAGCCAATAACCATTAGCATACTTAGTTCAAAGACTAAGTCCTGAACTTCCAGCCTGACACACACCTTCTATCCCATTCTATCTCTTTAGTCTTCCATACACAGACTTCAAATAGTCTTTCTCCACATTATGTCCTGGAACTGGATACAGATTGAATCCCAGGTTGAATTTCAGGTAATGGCTTTGGCTCTTTCCATTTAAAATTCTGTTACTGGTACCAGCAATGTTCTGACTACCTGCACTGGCCCAGTGTTGAGACTTAAGAACAAGTGAGGGAAATGATTGGTTAGGCAAGATTACAAAGTGCCTTGAATATCAGATTGAGAACCAAGGATTTAAACTTGTAAGAGGTACAGAGTCTATGAGGTTTCTAGGCAGGAAACCAAGATGATAAAAACAAAAGCCATGTTTTAGAACCTGGTAGAGTAGTAGGACTAGTTGTAATGAAGATTGAAAAGAAAGACTGGAAGCAAGGAACGCTATTAGAGACCTATTTCAGCAATCCAGCCTAGCCCAGTCAACTACACTTGCCTGATCTCTTCAGGCTTAATCCCTCGTCAAACAGACCATGAAATCTAAATGGGGAACCTTCAGCCGGCATTGGAGGACAGATGGCCATATTTGGAACAAGTTCAGAACATTACATGACCAGTAAATGAAATTGATATCACTGCAGATCACTCGTTGGATGGCTTCAGTTTTTAAATAGGGGTTCTTTTCCACTGTAACATAAATATCTGAAGTGTCTCCTTTACTTTGAGCACTAACATTTGGGGCTATTTACTAGGGCACCACCAAGAACAGAGGATGACTCTCTCCTAGATTGTCCAAGCCTTATTTTGCAAATTGCCCTTCGTTAGGCTTTCATTTTAGAATTGTATTACAGGGTCTAAAAAATAAACTCTCTGATTACTCACACAGCTTTTGCAGGGGTAGCCCTTGAAAGGGAATATTAATTAGTTATACCTCCAGAGCTGAAAAACAACTAATGTTACAATATTTATAATGATTTTTGGCCAATCGACTCCAGTTTTATTTACTCATTTAAGGAAATAAATTTTACTTATTTGTTCCTATATATAACTGACTTCTCATTTGAATGTTACCATCAATGGTCCGTGGCTACTGTAATCAAGATCTAGAATGAAGGGGTGATGCTAAGAACAATGTCTCACGCCTGTAATCCCAGCACTTTGGGAGGCCAAGGCAGGAGGATCACTTGAGGCCAGCAGCTCTAAACCACCCTGGGCAACATAGTGAGACTCTGTCTCTACAAAAATAAAAATAAAAAATAAAATGTAGGGGTGGAAGAGAGTAGTAGACAATCTTATAGAGAAAAATTATAAGCTTTTATTTGAATAGTAATTAGGAAGCCAATTTGATAAACTAATAAAACAAAGAAGATAATTAGAATTAGGAATATTATCCATAATTTCCTAAAATCAAATGTCTTATGAGACAAACTTTAATAAAGTTATTGGAACATATTTTTACCTCAGCTGTAATGTGTATAATGTACATGATATCTAAAAGGCTCAGAGATATATTACATAATCTACAATAAATTAGTATGACATACAGTTTAATAACATCATCTAGATATAGTTAGAAATAAGTTCAAGCAAAAGACACATCCGATAAAGAAATATTATTCAAAATATACAAAGAACTCTTAAAAGTGAACAATAAGAAAACAAACAACTCAGCTAAAAAATAGGCAAAAGGGTTGGGAGCGGTGGTTCACACCTATAATCTCACCACTTTGGGAGACTGAGGCAGGAGAATCGCTTGAGCCCAGCAGTTTGAGACCAGCCTGGCAAACAAAGTGAGACCCTGTCTCTTTAAAAAGTAAAATAACATAATTAGCTAGATGCAGTGGTGCACTCTTGTGATCCCAACTACTCAGAAGGCTGAGGCAGGAGGATTGCTTGAGCCTAGGAGGTCAAGGCTGCAGAGAGCCATGTTTGTGCCACTGCACTCCACGCTGGGTTACAGAGGGAGACCCTGTTTTAGAAATAAAATTAAAAATTAAAAAATAGGCAAAAACCTGAACAGACCTCATCAAACAAGATATACAAATGACAAATAAGCATATGAAAAGATATTCAACATCATATGTCATTAGGAAATTGCAAATTAAAACAACAATGAGATACCACTATACATTTATTAGAATAGCCAAAATTCAAAACAATGACAACACCAAATGCTGATGAGAACATGGAGCAACAGGAACTTTCATTCATTGCTAGTAGGAATGCAGAATGCTACAGCCACTTTGAAAGACAATTTGGCAGTTTCTTACAAAACTAGATATACTCTTACCAAATAATCCAGCAATCATCCTTCTTTGTATTTGCTCTAAGGAGTTGAAAACCCATGTCCACACAAAAACCTGTACACAGACTGGGTGCAGTGACTCATGCCTCTAATCCCACCACTTTAAGAGGCTGCGGCGAGAGAATCACTTGAGCCCAGGAGTTCGAGAGCAGCCTGGCAACACAATGAGACCCCGTCTCTACAAAAAATTTTGGAAATTAGAAGAAGAGGTGGAACAAGATGATGGAATACAAGGCTCCATCAATAGTCCCCCCGGCAAGGACACCAATTTAACAACTATCTACACACACACACACACACACACACACAAAACACCTTCATGAGAACCAAAAATTAGGTGAGCCCTCATGGTACCTGGTTTCAACTTCGTATTGCTGAAAGACACTCTCAAGAGGTAGAAAGGAGAGTCTTGAATCACTGAGGCCACTCCTCCCCCACTTCCCAGCAGACAAGGTGGTGTGGTGCAGAGAGGATCTCTGGGTGCTGGGGGAGGAAAAGCATAACAATCATGAGGCATTGAACTCAGTGATGTCCTAATAGAGCAGAAAGGAAAACCCAGACCAAACTCAGCTGACTCCTGCCCACAGAGAGAGCATTTAAACTAGCCCTAGCCAGGAAGGAATCACCAATCCCGACGGTCCGAACTTGAGTTCCCACAAACCTCACCATCGAGGGCTAAGGGGCTCTGGGTCTCTAAGAAAACTTGAAAGGTAGTCTAGGTCACAAGGACTACAAGTCTTAGGCAAGTCCTAGTACTGAACTGGACCCAGAGACAGTGGACTGGAGGCCTGGCAACACGACGAGACTCCATCTTGTGTTGCCTCCAGTATATCACAATGTGACATACTGAGACACCAGCTGGTGTAGCTAAGGGAGTGCTGGCATCATCCCTCCTCCAATCCCAGGTTGCACAGCCCGCAGCTCCAAAAGAGACCCTTCATTCTGCTTGAG
The DNA here is from genome assembly GCF_000001405.40 of Homo sapiens. Lineage (NCBI taxonomy): Eukaryota > Metazoa > Chordata > Mammalia > Primates > Hominidae > Homo > Homo sapiens. The sequence continues at coordinate 118,264,053 of NC_000023.11, forward strand.
GAGAGAGAAGAGTGGGGAGGACTTTGTCTTGCATCTTGGATACCAGCTCAGCCACAACAGGATAGGGCATCGGTCAGAGTTGTGAGACCCCCATTTCAGGCCCTACCTCCGGGATGACATTTCTAGACTTTCCTTGGGCCAGAAGCAAACCTGCTGCCTTGAAGGGAAGGACCCAGTCCTGGCAGAGTGCATTATCTGCTAAATGAAGAGCTCCTGGGCCCTCAATAACCAGTAGGGATACCCAGGTACTATGTCAAGGGCATTGGGTGAGCTGCTAAGGCTTGCTCACTTCAGATACCAGCTCAACCACAGAGGGTTAGAGAGCTAAGCAGGCTCTTAGGACCCTCAATTCCAGGACCTGATACTTGGATGGCATTTTTGGACCTGCACTGGGCCAGAGGGGAGCCCATTGCCCTGAAGGGTGAGTGACAGGCCAGGCAACATTCACCATAAGCTGACTTAAGAGCCCTTGGGCCTTAAGGGAACATCCTTCAGTAGTAGTCTGGTAGTAGTAGTAGACCTATGGCCTGTGGTGGCAGTGGCTACAAGGTGAGGCTCCTCTGCCTTTGGAAAGGGGAGGGAAGAGTAGGAAGGACTGCATCTTGTGGGAAGGATCACATCTTGTGAGCTCTAGTCAGGGACTAGAGTCAGAAACTTCTAAGGGGCCTGGGGGACCTCGTTGCCCTGAAGGGAAGGACAACAAAGCAGCTGGCTTTGCCACCTGCTGATGGCAGAGCCTCAGGGCCTTCAGTGAACATAGGCAGTAGCCAGGGATTGGTTACAGTAGGCCTTGGGTGAGACCCAGGGCTTTGCTGGCTTCATGTGTGACCCAGCACAGTCATAGTGTTGGTGGCCACAGGGGTGATTGTGTCACTCCACCCCCCAGCTTTAAGTGGCTCAGAACAGACAGAGAGACTACATTTGTTTGGGAGAAAGTAAGGGAAGAGAACAAGAGTCTCTGCCTGATAATCCAGAGAATTTCCGTGGATCTTGTCCAAGACTATCAAGGCAGTACCTCTATGAGACTGCAAGAATCACAGAGTTACTGGGCTTGGGGTGTCCCCTAAAGCAGTTACAGCTTAGATCACAACACCCAAGACCTTTCAAATATCTGGAAAGCCTTCCCAAGAATAAAGGCTATGAATAAGTACAGACAGTGAAGACTACAATAAATACCTAACTCTCCAATGCCCAGAAACCAAAGAACATCTACTAGCATCAACACCATCCAGGAAAACATGCCCTTACCAAATGAGCTAAATAAGGCGCCAGGGACCAATCCTGGAGAAACAGAGACATGTGACCTTTCAGACAGAGAATTCAAAATAGCTGTGTTGAGAAAACTCAAAGAAATTCAAGAGAATACAGACAAGGAATTGAGAATTCTATCAGATAAATTTAACAAAGAAATCAAAATAATGAAAAAGAATCAAGCAGAAATTCTGAAGCTGAAAAATTCAATTAGTATAATGAAGAATGCATCATAGTCTTTTAATAGCAGAATTGATCAAGCAGAAGAAAGAATTAGTGAGCTTCAAGACAGGCTATTAGAAAATACACAGTCAGAGGAAACAAAAGATAAAAGAATTTTAAAAAATGAAGTACACGTACAGGACCAAGAAAATGGCCTCAAAAAGGCAATCTAAGGGTTATTGGCCTTAAAGATGAGGTAGAGAAAGAGATGGGGGTAGAAAGTTTATTCAGAGGAATAATAACAGATAATTTCCCAAACCTAGAGAAATATATCAATATGAAAGTACAAAAATGTTATAGAATATCAAGCAGATTTAACCCAAAGAAGATGATTTCAGGGCATTTAATAATCAAACTCCCAAAGATATGGGATAAAGAAAGGATTCTAAAAGCAGCAAGAGAAAAGAAACAACATACAATGGAGCTCCAATACGTCTGGCAGCAGACTTTTCAGTGGAAACATTACAGAACAGGAGAGTGGCATGACATATTTAAAGTGCTGAAGGAAAAAACTTTTACCCTAGAATAGTGTTTATCTGGCAAAAATATTCTTCAAACATTAAGGAGAAATAAAGATTTTCCCAGACAAACAAAAGTTGAGGAATTTCATCAACACCAGACCTTCCCTACAAGAAATGCTAAAGGGAGTTCTTCAATCCAAAAGAAAAGGCTGTTAATGAGCAAAAAGAAGGTACAAAACTCACTGGTAATAGCAAATACAGAGAAAAACAGAATTACTATAACACTGTAACTGTGATGTGTAAACTACTCAAGTAGAAAGACTAAATGATGAACCAATCAAAAATAATAACTACGACAACTTTTCAAGACATAGAAAGTACAATAAGATATAAATGGAAACAACAAAACGTTAAAAACTGGGGTGATGAAGTTAAGGCATAGAGTTTTTACTAGTTTTCTTTTTGCTTGTTTGTTTGTTTATGCAAACAGTGGTAGGTTGTTATCAGGTTAAAATAATGGGTTGTAAAATAGAATTTGCAGCTGGGCGTGGTGGCTCATGCCTGTAATCCCAGCACTTTGGGAGGCCAAGGCAGGTGGATCACTTGAGGTCAGGAGTTCCAGACCAGCCTGACCAACATGGTGAAACCCCATCTCTACTAAAAATACAAAAACATAGCCAGGTGTGGTGGCACATGCCTGTAATCCCAGCTACTTGGGAGGCTGAGGCAGGAGAATTGCTTGAACCCGGGAGGCAGAGGTTGCATTGAGCTGAGATTGAGCCATTGCACTCCAGCCTGGGCAACAAAAGCAAAACTCCGTCTCAAAAAAAAAAAAAAAAGAATTTGCAAGCCTCATGTAACTAATATGGTTTGGCTCTTTGTCCCCACCCAACTTTCATGTTGAATTATAATCCTCAACGCTGGGGGAGGGACCTGGTGGGAGATGATTGGATCATAGGGATCGGTCTCCTCCTTGCTGTTGTGGTGATAGTGAGTGGGTTCTCACTAGATCTGTCTTTTTTAAAGTGTGTAGCACTTCCCCCTTCTTTCTCTCTTCCTCCTGCTCTGGCCATGTGCAGACATGTTTTGCTTCCCCTTCTGCCATGATTGTAAGTTTCCTGAGGCCTCCTCAGGCTTGTGGAAGTGTGAGTCAATTAAACCTCTTTTCTTTATAAATTACCCAGTCTTAGGTAGTTCTGATAACAGTGCAAGAATGGACTAATACAGTAACTTCAAACCAAAAAACATGCAATGGACACACAAAAAAAAAATAAAAAGCAAGAAACTAAATCACATCACCAGAGAAAATATGTTAAGTGAAAGAAGCCAGGCACAGAAAGACAAACATCGCATGTTCTCATTTATTTGTGGGCTCTAAAAATCAAAACAATTGAACTCATGGACATAGAGAATAGAAGAATGGTTACCAGAGACTGGGAAGGGTAGTGAGGAGTTGGGGGGAGAGGTGGGAATGGTTAATGGGTACAAAAAAAATAGAAAGAATGAATAAGACTATTTGATAGCACAACAGAGTGGTTTTAGTCAATAATAACTTAATTGTGCATTTTAAAATAACTAGGCAGGGCGTGGTGCCTCATGCCTGTAATCCCAGCACTTTGGGAAGCCACGGCGAGAGAATTACTCGAGGTCAGGAGTTCGAGACCAGCCTGGACAACATGGTGAAACCCCATCTCTACTAAAAATACAAAAATTAGCCAGGCATGGTGGTGTGCACCTGTAATCCCAGCTACTCAGGAGGCTGAGGCAGGAGAATCGCTTGAATCTTAGAGGCGGAGGTTGCAGTGAGCTGAGATCACGCCACTGCACTCTAGCCTGGGTGACAGAGAGAAAAACCCCATCTCAAAATAAATAAATAAATAAAATAACTAAAAGAGTGTAATCAGATTGCTTATAACACAAAGGATAAATACTTGAGGGGATAGATGCCCAGTTCTCCATAATGTGATTCTTACACATTGCATGCCTGTACCAAAACATCTCATGTACCCCATAAATATATACACCTGTCTACCCACAAATTTTTAAATTTTTAAATTTTTTAAAAAACTAAATTAGCTGAGCGTGGTGGCACATGCCTGTAATCCAAGCTACTCAGGGAGGATGAGGCAGGAGAATCACTGGAGCCCAGGAGTTTGAGGCTACAGTGAGAGCTATGATTTTACCACTGCATTCCAGCCTGGGTGACAAAGTGAGACCCTGTCTCTCAAAAAAAAAAAGCCAGGAGTCAAGGCAACATAGCAAGACCCTACCTCTACGAAAATAAAAAATTAGCTGGGTGTGATGGCATACACCTGTAGCCCTAGCTACTTGGGGGACTGAGGTGGGAGGATCGCTTGAACTCAGGACTTTGAGGCTGCAGTGAGCTATAATAGCACCACTGCACTCCAGCCTGGGTGACAGAGCAATATCCTGTCCCCACCACCAAAAAAAAAAAAAAAAAAAAAGGCTGTAAAGAGAGGTTTCTAGCAGCTTTATTCACAATTGCCAAAACTTGAAAGCAACCAAAATGTCCTTCAGTTGGTGAGTGGCTAAATAAACTGGAGTAATCCAGACAATGGAATATTATTCACACTATGAAGAACTGAGCTATCAAAACCTGAGGAAATATGGAAGAACCATAAATGCATATTACTAAGTAAAAGAAGCCAATCTGAAAAGGCTATATACCTGATTATTCCAAACATATGACATTCTGGAAAAAGCAAAACTATGGATACAGCAAAAAGATCAGTGGTTGCCAGGGTAAACATGGAGGGAGAAATGAATAGACAAAGCGTAGAGGATTTTTGGGGCAGTGATACTACTCTGTATGATACTGTAATGGTGGATACATGTCATTATACATTTGTCCAAACCATAGAATGTACAACACCAGGAGCGAACCCTAATGTAATTAATGTACTTTGGGTGATGATGATGTATCAATGTAGTTTCATCAGTTGTAACAAATATGCCACTATGATGCGGGATGTTGACAGTGGGAGAGGCTAGAGTGTGGAGTAAAAACAGTGGAAACGATGACAATGTGTAGGCAAAATATTAAATGGGTAGGGTAAACTGTGCTAAGATCCTTGTGTTGGTAAAGAGAAGGACAGAACCATTAAGTAACTTGTTGAATTTATTAGAAAAATTAGTTTACAGTCCCACCAACAGTGTAAAAGTGTTCCTATTTCTCCACATACTCTCCAGCACCTGTTGTTTCCTGCCTTTTTAATGATCACCATTCTAACTGGTGTGAGATGGTATCTCATTGTGGTTTTGATTTGCATTTCTCTGATGGCCAGTGATGATGAGCATTTTTTCATGTGTCTTTTGGCTCCATAAATGTCTTCTTTTGAGAAGTGTCTGTTCATATCCTTCGCATTCTCAGCAAACTATCGCAAGGACAAAAAACCAAACACCGCATGTTCTCACTCATAGGTAGGAATTGAACAGTGAGAACACATGGACACAGGAAGGGGAACATCACACACCAGGGCCTGTTGCGGGGTGGCGGGAGGGGGGAGGGATAGCATTAGGAGATATACCTAATGTTAAATGATGAGTTAATGGGTGCAGCACACCAACATGGCATGTGTATACATATGTAACAAACCTGCACATTGTGCACTTGTACCCTAAAACTTAAAGTATAATAAAAAGAAAAAAAGAAAAATTATATTTAAGTATCATAAAGTTGTAAATAAATCCTTAAAAGGATAAAAATACATTATATAGCTTCTAAACCAACAGAAGAAATTAAAGGAATATGGAAAGCTTTGTTAATCCAATAGAAAGTTTGGGAGGGAAAGGAAGAGGGAGAAAGTTAGGAAAATGTGTGGTGAATAGAACCTGAAGTAGGTGGGAAAAAGCAAGTTGCAGAATGATATGTATATATTGACACAATGTATATGAAGTTTTAAAAGCCCAGAAAACACTTAAAGCCCACCAAAGGATCTGAATAGACATTTCTCAAAAGGAGAAATACAAATGGCCAACAAATATATGAAAAAAATGTTCAACATCACTAATCATCAGGGAAATGCAAATCAAAACAACAATGATATCTTACCTTATCCCAGTTTTAATGACTATTATCAAAAAGACCAAAAAAATGCTAGTGAGGATGTGGAGAAGAGGGAATTCTTATATCTTCTTGGTAGGAATGTAAATTCGTATGGCCATTATGAAAAGCAGTATGGAGATCCTGCAGTAAAACTGAAAGTAGAACTACTGTATTATCCAACAATTCCATTAATGGATATTTATCCAAAGGAAAGGAAATCAGTATATCAAAGGGATATGTGCTCCCCTGTGTTTACTGTAGTGCTATTCACAATAGCCAAGATATGGAATCAACCTAAGTGTCCACCAATGGACGACTGGATAAAGAAAATGTGGAATGGAATGGAATATTATTCAGCCATTAAAAATGAAATCCTTTCATTCACAGCAGCATGGATGAGCCTGGAGGACATTGTGTCAATGAAATAAGTCAGGCACAGAAAGGTAAATGCCACATATTCTCACTCATATGTGGGAGCTAAAAAAGTTGAGCTCTGAGAAGCAGAAAGAAGAATTATGATTATTAGAAACTGGGAAGCATAGGGAGGAGAGGAGGATAAGAAGTTGGTTAACAGATACAGTTACAGCTACATGGGAAGAATATGTTCTACTGTTGTATAGCACTATACGGTGACTACGGTTAATAATTGTATTTTTTTAAAACTAGGAGAGAGAATTTTGAATGTTTTCAGCACAAATAAACGATAAATGTTTGAGGTGCCGGATATACTAATTACTCTAACTTGATCATTATACATTGTATGTATCAAAATATTACTCTTATCCCATAAATATGTACAATTATTACATATCAACTAAACAAAAGAAAAATAGCTAGAAGAGAAGAATTGTAATGTTCCCAACACAAGGAAATGATAAATGTTTGAGGTGATGGATATTCCAGTTACCCTGATTTGGTCATTACACATTGTATACAGATATCAAGATATCTCATGTACCCCCAAAATATGTACAACTATTATACATATTTTTAAATGAATAAAATACATTAGGCAACAATAAGTAAATAAAAATCAAACAAAAAACACAAAGCCCATAATATTACTTATTGTTTATGGATACCTAAATAATAAACACAAAATTTGTGATAAGTTATTTCTGGAAGGAAAGGAGAATGAAACCAAGGAAGGATATACAGAGGATATCAACTCTGTAAATGTTCATTTCTATTTTTAAAATCTAGTTTTTAAAATAATAAAACGTTAAGATTTTATAAAGACGGGTGGTGGATACCTAGGCATTTGTTACATTTTGTATTCTTGTCTCTCCATTTGAAATAATTACTGCTTGGAAAAATAAGTTGAAAAAGAGAGGGGAGCAAAGAATGAAAAACCTTATGTATGTATCTATTTTATATGAATAATTAAAATAACATATATATGTTGAGATAAGCATGCAAAAAATGGCTAGAAAATATAGACCCACTCTTAACAGTGATTGTCTGAAGGATAAGATTGCGACCTACTTCCACTTTCTGTTCTATATTGCTTTTTATTTTGTTTTGTCTTATAATGAACATGCATTACTATGTTAAGCAGTAAAAGAATCTTTTTTTTTTCAAGTAGAGACAATGAAAACAAGCGAGTCTGAACACAACTTTAGTCTTCATTAGGAAAACTCAAAGCTACAACAGTTTTTAAAAACAAGGAAAAGAACATATTTGAAATGCCATTTTCAAGCAAGTTCTCTCTGTATTTAGTGTTATGCTCTGTTGTGTCAAAATGCTGAGAAGAGTTATTAACTAACTGATGCAAAATGTAGATATCTTATTGTATTCTTGCTAAGCATTTCCATGGGCAAAAACGAAAGAATGAGATGATGTGGTAATTTTGATTAAATGGATGCCTGTGCTATCTTATGGCAGCTGGTTTTGAAGATTAGGCCATTCTTAGGCTGTAATTGGATAATGCTGGCTTTGTTGATTTGAAGTAGAAGGCTAATCCCAGGAGTTTACAGTGACAACCAAACTGTTAGATCGCTGGCATGGTAACAAGAAAAGAGGAAAACAAGATGCAATGATAGACTGGAACAGTCCTCTTGCCTGTATCTCATGCCAGTGGCAGTATGTATTATACATTGGGTTGAACGTATATTTATATTTAATAGAAATATTACATATTCACAAATATGAAGATCACAGCATAGATCATGAATGAATACACCATAACATGCATGTTGTAAAGTGGAGGGCTAATTTCAAAACAAAAATCATAGTTCCAAGATGTAACCTTTGTGATAGGTAAACACATTTTGAATAGAACTATATTGCACATAATAGAGATATAGGATAATTACATTCTTTCAATATTATGTTGCAATATCATTGTAAACATATATTATAAAACATATCCATGAGTGAGTTCATTATCTTTAATGGAAAAGGAGAATTGCCTTAATCATGACTCATAATCCTATTGCTGAGATGGAAATGAGTCATATGCAAGCTGTTAGTAGAGAAGACCAAAAAGGAAAACAAAAAAGATTTGCATCAAACAATGTAATGCCAAATGTATAGGGTTTTTTTCAACATCAGTAGTATGTTTTTCATTAAATTTTTAAGAAAGCCTACTGGGTAAAGTTTAAAAGATCACTTTAGATCAGCATTTTCCAAAAATGAATATAAAAATTACCCAGAATGGGCCTCTCTAAAAGACAGGACAGAAGAGGGCCCACTATGGCCCTCTAAACAACTTATAGATTCATCTGGAGGAAAAGTAGTCTCTGTGAACATGCTCCACCTTTTGCAGGAACTGTCATCAAGTTAAAAGCTGCTGTGAAATGTGGCAGTATTTATTAAAATTTTAAATGTTCATAACCTCTGATGGAGCTTTTGGCTTGCATACACAAGGATATTCATTGCAGTATTGTTTGTAGTTTTCTGTAATAGCTAAAAGTTGGTAGCAATCCAAATATTCATCAACAGAGAAATATTTAAATAAAGCATGGTATATGCACAGAATGAAATGTTATATATACACACACATACACACACACATATATATGTATACACACACAGAGAGATTCATAAGTACCAACATGGAAAGATGTGCTTATACATTAAGTGGAAAAAGTACGCTGTGCAGTGCCATGTTGAATATGATCCCATTTTCATTGTTGGTATCTGTACAAAAGAAAGAAAAATTAGAGGAATAAGCTGTAAACTGTTAACAATGGGGGCTATGAAACACTTTCACTTTTCAATTTACATGTTTACAAATCTTGTATAAGGTACACATTAATTTTGTAATCAGAAAAAATTTTAAAAATTAGACCTGCTGGACTGACGAGACTGAGATTCTTTACACACATACACAAACACATACACACAGACTAGTTTGACTGACAGGCCAAATTGATCAAAAATATATGTAGAAACAGACTAGGCTATATAGGCTTGATGTTTTTTCTTTAAGGTGGTGTTACGGGCTGAATTGTCTCCTTCCAAAATTGACATGTTGAAGTCCTAAGCCCCAGTAGTTCAGAATGTGATGCTATTTGGAAATAGGACCTCTAAAGAGGCAATTAAGTTAAAATGGGGTCATTAGGATGGCCCTGATCCAATATGACTGGTGTCCTCATTGAAAGAGGAAGGGATTAGGACAAAGACACACAGACAAAGGGAAGACCGTATGCGGACACAGGGAAGCTAAGCAGACAGGCCTCAGATGAAACCAAACCTGCCTCCAGAATTGTGAGAAAACAAATTTCTGTTGTTCAAGCTACCAAGTTTGTGGTATTTTGTAATGGCAGCCCTAGCAAACTAATACAAATAGTAGACTGAAGGCACATTATAAAAACCACTATAAATCTGCATTTTAAAACTGACTTTATAACAACATGGATGAACTTTGAAAACATTATGCTAAGTGAAAGAAATCAGTCACAAAAGACTATGTATTATATGATTCCATTTATATAGAATGTCCAAAATAGGCAAGTCTACAGAGACAGAAAGATATTAGTGGTTGTCTAGGCCTCAGAGCTTTGGAGGGGAATTAAGAATGACCACTAATGGACACAGGATTTCTTTCAGGATGTAGAACATGTCCTAAAATTGATTGTGGTAATGGTTGCATTTCTCTGTGAACACTAAAACCATTGAATTTTACTCTTTAAATACATGAATTGTATGATTTGTGAATTATATCTCAATAAAGCTGTTTTAAAAACTTGTTTTCAGGCTAGGCGCAGTGGCTCACGCCTATAATCCCAGCACTTTGGGAGGCTGAGGCAGGATAGCTTGATCCTAGGAGTTCTAGACCACCCTGGGCAACACAGTGAGACTCTGTCTCTACAAAAATTAAAAAAAAAAATTAGCCAGGTGTGGGGGCCCATGCCTGTGGTCCCAGCTACTGAGGAGGCTGAGGTGGGAGGATCACCTGAGCTAGGGAGGTCGAGGCTGCAGTGAGCCACGATTGTGCCACTGCACTCCAGCCTGGGCAAAAGAGTGCAATCTTTGTCTCAATCAATCAATATTGTCTCAGTCAATCAAACAATAAGACTTGGTTTCAAGGAATAAAGAGAACAATCACATCACAAAATTCAAAATAGAGGAGTAACCATAGACGGATGAAATCAAAAAAATTATACAAGAATTTGCACGACTCTATACAAATACATTTGCAAACTTGGGTGAAATGGACTATTTCCTATGAAAATTTGAATTATCAAAATTAACTCAATTCGTTGGAAAAACATAACAAAAGCTACAAAAAAGGAAAAATGAAAGAAAAAAATTAACTCAAGAAGTGATTGAAATAAACAACCAATTATTCGAAATTATTTTGAAAAATGGTGTCAAAGAGTACCCTGCAAAATACATGAGGCTCAGAAGTTTCAGATAAGTTCTACCAAATACTCAAGCATTGAATAACTTCAATGTTACCACAACTGTTCCATAGTACAGGGAAGCATACAAATTATTTTCTTCAAAGTTCAATGAAAGCAATAGCTCAATCTCACTCATGAATATCAATGTAAAAATCCTGTACAAAATATAAGCAGAATAAGCCCATGGGAAGAATAACACGCCAATTACCAAGTAGTTCTATTTCTGGAAGTCAAATTTATTTTAATGTTAGGGAATTTGTTAATATAATTTACTATATTAATAGAGCAAGGAAGAAAAAATAATGTGATCATCTTCATAAGTGCTGAAAAGGCATTTGAAAAAATTTAACATCCATTTCTGATTTAAAATACTGTTTATAAACTAAGAATAGATACATACTTACTTACCATTATGTTATTTTAAAAAGCTTGATACTGATGCATAAACAAACAGATACACATAGCAACGGAACAGAATACAGTCCAGAAATAAAGCCAAATATATATGGGACCTTAGTAATAAAAGCCACATTTCAAATCAGTGGGGGAAAAGGATGTATTCAACAAACGACATAGTGACAACTGGCTAGACATAGGTTGGATACCTACAACATTCCTTGCACCAAAACAAATTCCAGATGGGATTAAGGGATTCTTAAGAAACTAAAATGTATTTTAAAATTAGTTGGATATATTTATGACCTTAAGATAAGGAATGTCCGTTTCAACACGACACAAAATGCCAAAAGCCATAAGGACAATTTTGATACATTTGACTAGATTAAAAATTAAAATTTTCTGCAGGGAAAAAAAAAACTTCTTACCTCAAAATAATTCTAGATGCATGAAAGATTTAAACTTTTTTTAATCATAAAAATAACATGGAAGTTTTTTTTAATAACTACAACATGGAGGTCTTTGCAAAGAAGGATATGAAATCCAAAAGCCATAAAGAAAAGACTGACAAATTTGACTGCATAAAATACTTAAGTGGTTTGCATGGAAAAAACACTATAACCAATGTGTAAAGAAAAGCTGGGCAAATATTGGCAACTCATTCCACAGATGCAGCACTAAATTTTTTAATAAAGAACTCCTACAACCCAAAAAGAAAAAGGCCAATAGCAAAACAGGCAAAAGAAATGAACTGACAGTTCACAGGAAGAAAAAGAAATTGCTTTTTTTATTTATTAATTATTATTATTAAATTTTATTTTTAAATTTTTTTCTCTTTTTTTTTTTTTTTTTTTTTTTTTTGGAGAGATGGAATTTCACCATATTACTCAGGTTCGTCTCGGATTCCTGAGTTCAGGCAATCCACCCACCTCTGCCTCCCCAAATTCTGGGATTACAGGTATTTTTATTTTTATTAGAGATAGAATCTCCCTCTATTGCCCAGGCTGGAGTGCAGTGGCATGATCATAGCTCACTGCAGTCTCACTGCAGCCTCCACCTCCCAGGTTCAGGTGATCCAGTAGCTGGTACTACAGGCCCATGCCACATTTCTGGCTAATTTTCATATTTTTTGTAGAGACGGGGTCTTGCTATGTTGGCAAGGCTGATCTCAAACTCCTGGCTTCAAATGATCTTCCCACTTCATCCTCCCAAAGTGCTGGAATCACAGGTGTGAGCCACTACACCCAGCCAGAAATTGCATTTTTTTTTTTTTTTTGAGACGGAGTCTCACTCTGTCGCCCAGGCCGGAGTGCAGTGGCGTGATCTCCACTCACTGCAACCTATGCCTCCCGGGTTCAAGCGATTCTCCTGCCTCAGCCTCCCAAGTAGCTGGGGTTACAGGTGCGGGCCACCACACCAGGCTAATTTTTGTAGGAGTTTCACCATGTTGGCCAGGCTGGCCTCGAACTCCTGACCTCAGGTGATCCTCCCACCTCAGCTTCCCAAAGTGCTGAATTACAGGTGTGAGCCACGATGCCCAGCCAGAAATTGCTTTTAGAATATGAAAATTGCTGAAGTTTACTCATAATGAAACACATGTTTACAAAAATATGCCATTTTTACCTATCAAATTGCCAAAGATCCAAAAATTTAATAACTATTTTTCTTGAGGGTGTGGGAAAACAGGCACTCTCCCACATTATTTTTCTTCTTCTTCTTCTTCTTCTCCTTCTCCTTTTTTGTTTATTTATTTATTTTGAGACAAGGTCTCCCTCTGTCGCCAAGGCTAGAATGCCTGGCGTGATCACAGCTCACTGCAACCTCCACCTTCCAGGCTCAAGCAATCCTCCCACCTCAGTCTCCTCAGTAGCTGGGACTGCAGGCACGAACCACCATGCCCAGCTAATTTTTTTATTTTTATTTTTTGTAGAGACAGGGGTCTCCCTATGTTGGCCGGGCTGGTCTCGAACTCCTGGGCTCAAGAGATCTGCCCGCCTCAGCAGATCTCTTGAGTGCGGGGATTACGGGCGTGAACCACAGTGCCCGGCCCCACATTTCTAATGTGAGTTTAAATTGGTGCAAGCAGCATGGAGATCAATCAGGCAATATCTATCAAAATCTAAAATAATTGACTCAACAATTATATTTCAGGGGTTTTAGCCGACTTCAACATTTGCAAATGACATGTACACAGATATTTATTGCAGCACTGTTTGCAACAGCAAGGGCTGGAAACAACTGAATGCCCATCAAACAGGATATAGTTTAAATAAATAAAAGACCTATATGTTTGTATAAGCAATCTCTAGAAGATATCTGAAAAATTATAACAGTGGCTACTTCTGAAGAAGGAAACTGAAAGGCTGGGGATCTGCAATTAAAAAGAGATTTCCTTTTCATTGTATACTTTTTCAGTACTGCTTGAACTTTTTACTATGTCTATAGTTTGCCTATTTGTGAGCTGCTATTTTGCTTAATAAACATATAGAAATTAGTTTGCACTAAGTACTATCAACTTTCCAAATATTAACTCAGATCTTTTTCATAACAACTCTATGAAGTATGCATTTTTAGTGTCTCCATTACACAGATGAGGAAACCCAGGTATGCCAGACCACATTATGATTTACATTGGCCCTGGTCACTTATGCCTTTATGGGATCATTCCTGCATTAAAAAAATATTAATAGCCATTTGGTGAGGTGGCACATGTCTGTAGTCCCAGCTACTCAGAAGGCTGAGTCAAGCGAGTCACTTGAGCCCAGGAGTTTAAGACTGTAGCATATGTTTCCCAAAGCGAGGCCAGAGCAGAAAAGTGGTTATTCGCTGAACTTCTCACAGGGTGATGGCCACCGAGCCAAGTACTGTTGAGGGGCCGAGAAAGCCCAGCAGCAGGGCCTAGGTTCTCAGAAGAAGGACTGTCCCCCTCCAAGTGGTGGTGACTCTCAATGCAGAACTGTGTCCGGAATTGGTGGGTTCTTGGTCTCACTGACTTCAAGAATGAAGCTGCGGACCCTCGCGGTGAGTGTTACAGCTCTTAAGGTGGCGCGTCTGGAGTCTGTCCCTTCTGATGTTCAGATGTGTTCGGAGTTTCTTCCTTCTGGTGAATTCGTGGTCGCCAAAATGTGACCGGAATTGGTGGGTTCTTGGTCTCACTGACTTCAAGAATGAAGCCGCGGACCCTCACGGTAAGTGTTACAGCTCTTAAGGTGGCGCGTCTGGAGTCTGTCCCTTCTGATGTTCAGATGTGTTCGGAGTTTCTTGCGTTAGTTTCTTGAGTGTTTCATTTGCCTTCTCAACCTTCTCTGAGGATTGTGGCCTCCAGGAGCAGTGAAGATGATATTGTATCCCTAGCACCTTGGAGATTCCCTGAGTTATCGTGGCTTTAAAAGCTGGACCATTGTCACTCTGTAAACTTTGGGGAAGCCCAAATCTAAGAATTATTTCATGAATTAGGACTTTAATCACTTCCTGAGCCTTCTCTGTCTTGCAGGGGAAAGCTTCTATCCAATTTGTAAACGTATCAACACAGACCAACAAGTATTGAAATCCCTTTGACTTAGGCATATGGGTGAAGTCTAACTGCCAGTCCTCTCCGGGATAGTGACCTATTCTTTGTTCCCCCAAAGGGGCCTTACGATATACCAAGGGATTATTCTTTTGGCACACTTCACAGGCTTTGACTACCTGTCGGATGGTCCGGAGGAGATTTGGCCCTGTAAATAGGGATTTGGCCATTTGATTAGTGTTTTCAATACCCATATGAAAAGTTTGGTGGAGGGTTTTAAGTATTTTCCACTGGCTGGCTTCGGGTATAAGTACCTTTCCTTCTTCTGTCACCAACCACCCCGAAGGGAGAAAACTATGCCCCTGTGGAAGTCCCCATTCTGTTTCAGTCGGGGAATACTGGGGCTTCATCTCCTGGAGGGGGTTGTTCCATACCAAGGGTCCTTCCATAGGTATTTCTAATGGGGGGTTCCTCCTGGCAGCAGCTTTGGCCTCAGCATCTGCCCAATGGTTTCCTTCTGCCTTTTCTCCTTAGTCCTTCCAGAACACAGGTCAACAGATGTTTATGACTCCAGTCCCCATGATCTGAGTCAAGGTCCCAGTGGGGATCCATACTGGGGATGGCTTGCTGACCAGTAGGGAATTTGTCCCTTTCTTCGGCTGTCATTCTATCATTTACTTGACTAAGATACCAGGTATCTCCAAACTCTCAGGCTGCAGCTAAAGCCTCATTCTTTTCATTAAAGGCCAGGGTTTGATCTAACAGTAGCATGACATCTCTCCAAGTGAGGTCAAAGGTTTGCCCTAGACCCTGTAGAATATCTATGTACCTATCAGGATCATCTGAAAACTTCCCCAGGTCTGCCTTGATCTGCTTTAAATCAGAGAGGGAGAAGGGGACATGTACCCGGGTTGGGCCAAATTCCCCTCCCCCTACAGCTTGAAGGGGACATAACCGATAGCCCAGGGGTTTTTTGTGGTCCTTTGGAGATTTCTTTGCTTATTTCCTTCTGGGCAGGGGAGATTAGAGGAGGAGTATCATCAATAGGAAGGGGAGCTATAGGGAGGCTAGGATATGGAGGTAAGCTGAGGGGTCCTCCTGTGGGATGTAAATTGCAAGCTTTGCATAGTTGTGTATTCTCCCTCAGTGAAAAGAAAGCTTGGACATAAGGTATTTCACTCCATTTGCCTTCCCTCTTACAGAAAAGACCAAGCTGCAGGATAGTATTGTAATTTGTACTTCCCTCAGGTGGCCATTTTTCCCCATCAGAGAGAATATTGGGGCCAAGTCATAGTGCAGAAAAAAATGAGCTGCCTCTTTTTCAGGGTTTGTGGGTCAAATTGGTCCCAATGGCTTAGGATGCATTTCAAGGGTGAGCCTGTTGATGCCTGAGTGTTTCCCATCCGAAAGACAAAACCGCCCGCGGTTTTGGTTTGTTTTGTTTCTCTCCCTGCCCAAGAACCCGCAACGGTCCCTGGACCCTGCTGATCGGAGTAGTTGCGCTCACCGACGCAGCAGCAGAAACAACCCCTGCCCAAGAACCCACAACGGTCCCTGGACCCTGCTGATCAGAATAGTTGTGCTCACTGACGCAGCAGCAGAAACACTAGTTTTCCTCCCAGACCACATGGAGGACCGAGGAAGGTCGGATTTAGTGGTCCTTACCAACACATTCTCGAAAACCTGCACCCTTGCCTGTCCTCCTAGACCACAAGGAGGACCAACCAAGAAAAATCTGATTTAGTGGCCCTTACCGACGCATTCTCAAAAACCTGTTAGAGTCCTAAGCATTCTCCTGTTAGTATTGGGACTTTACCCGTCCTATAAAGATGTTATGCCCCAAAAATGAAGTGGAGGGCCATACCCTGAGGGAGGCAGGGGATCTTCAGGGTTGGAAGAGTGACACCTTTTGTCCTCACTTATATGAATAGGAAGGATACAATTTCTGAGGCTCCCCATATCCTAGCTTCAGAAATAACTTTTGTTAGGCCTGTTAGTCTGAGGAGGGATCCTAAAATTCCTAGTAGTCCCCACTACAGCAGGGCTTTGGGCAAAAACTGTGTCTTTCTGATTGGTGAGCCTGGGTGCCTAAAGAAGGTAACAGAGTCCTGGAGTTTATACTAGAAGTCATTCTTATAGGAGAAACAAGAAAAGCACCAGAGGCAGGTAGCAATTTTTAGAAGTGGGTCAAGCCTCAGAGAAGAGAGGCGAGAGGAAGTTTGTCTGGCAGGCATTAGGACCCAGAGGGCAAGGGTCAGGATAGATAGGATAGATGGGCGAGTCTCGCTTGGGCAACATGCTTTTGAGAGTTCCACTCATGGCCACAGGGTAAACCAACATGTTGTCGGGACCCCGGAGCTGCATGGCTTTCCTCTCTGTCGACCCTTGGCTCAGCCCAGAAGTACAAGAAAAGCGGAAGCTGGTTCTAGGCAAACCAACGGTCCCAACTCCGAAGAGTCGGGGGTTGTTAGAGAGCCCTTTCCCAGAAAGCCTGACACCCGTGTCTTTAGTCCGGTGGCCGCGCTAGTCGCTTTTATCTGGCCGACAGGGGCCCGGTATTTAGCCCCCGAATTCTAAGGAAAGATAGGACAGAATAGCAAGTGAAAGGGGTCCGATGGTACTCACTGCTTGGCGATAGGCAAAGGTCTCACCGCTCGGCGATTGTCTCACCGCTTGGCGATAGGTGAAAGTCCCTTCGTGGTCGCCAAAATGTGACCAGAATTGGTGGGTTCTTGGTCTCACTGACTTCAGGAATGAAGCTGCGGACCCTCGCAGTGAGTGTTACAGCTCTTAAGGTGGCACGTCTGGAGTCTGTCCCTTCGTGGTCGCCAAAATGTGTCCGGAATTGGTGGGTTCTTGGTCTCACTGACTTCAAGAATGAAGCTGCGGACCCTCGCGGTGAGTGTTGCAGCTCTTAAGGTGGTGCGTCTGGAGTCTGTCCCTTCTGATGTTCAGATGTGTTCGGAGTTTCTTCCTTCTGGTGGGTTCGTGGTCTCGCTGGCTCAGGAGTGAAGCTCCAGACCTTCGCGGTGAGTGTTACAGCTCTTAAGGCAGCGTTTCTGGAGTTGTTCGTTCCTCCCGGTGGGCTCATGGTCTCGCTGGGCTCAGGAGTGAAGCTGCAGATCCACGGTGAGTGTTACAGCTCATAAAAGCAGCGTGGACTCAAAGAGTGAGCAGTAGCAAGATTTATTGCAAAGAGCAAAAGAACAAAGCTTCCACAGTGTGGAAGGGGACCCGAGCAGGTTGCCAATGCTGGCGCGGGCAGCCTGCTTTTATTCTCTTATCTGGCCCCACCCACATCCTGCTGATTGGTAGAGCCGAGTGGCCTGTTTTGTCAGGGCGCTGATTGGTGTGTTTACAATCCCTGCGCTAGATACAAAGGTTCTCCACGTCCCCATCAGATTAGTTAGATACAGATTTTCGACACACATGTTCTCCAAGGCCCCACCAGAGCAGCTAGATACAGAGTGTCGATTGGTGCATTCACAAACCTTGAGCTAAACACAGGGTGCTGATTGGTGTGTTTACAAACCTTGAGCTAGATACAGAGTGCCGATTGGTGTATTTACAATCCCGGAGCTAGACATAAAGGTTCTCCAAGGCCCCACCAGAGCAGCTAGATACAGAGTGTCGGTTGGTGCACTCACAAACCCTGAGCTAGACACAGGGTACTGACTGGTGTGTTTACAATCCCTGAGCTAGACATAAAGGTTCTCCAAGGCCCCACCAGAGCAGCTACATACAGAGTGTCGATTGGTGCACTCACAAACCTTGAGCTAAACACAGGGTGCTGATTGGTGTATTTACAATCCCTGAGCTACATACAAAGACTCTCCACGTCCCCACCAGACTCAGGAGCCCAGCTGGCTTCACCTAGTGGATCCCGCACAGGGGCTGCAGGTGGAGCTGCCTGCCAGTCCTGTGCCGTGCGCTTCCATTCCTCAGCCCTTGGGTGGTCGATGGGACTGGGCGCCGTGGAGCAGGGGGTGGTGCTCGTCGGGGAGGCTCGGGCCACACAGGAGCCCATGGAGTGGGTGGGAGGCTCAGGCATGGAGGGCTGCAGGTCCCGAGCCCTGCCCCACAGGAACGCAGCTAAGGCTCGGTGAGAAATCAAGCACAGCGCCGGTGGGCCGGCACTGCTGGGGGACTCAGTACACCCTCCGCAGCCACTGGCCCAGGTGCTAAGTCCCCCATTGCCCCCCACCAAGCCCACGCTCATCCAGAACTCCAGCTGGCCCGCAAGCGCCGCATGCAGCCCCGGTTCCCGCTCGTGCCTCTCCCTCCACACCTCCCTGCAAGCTGAGGGAGTGGGCTCCAGCCTTGGCCAGCCCAGAAAGGGGCTCCCACAGTGCAGTGGGGGGGCTGAAGGGCTTCTCAAATGCCACCAAAGTGGGAACCCAGGCAGGGGAGGTGCCGAGAGCAAGCGAGGGCTCTGAGGACTGCCAGCATGCTGTCACCTCTCAGAACCACCACACTGATCTCACATTTTGCGAGATTATCCTGATGGAGATGGGGTCCCATAATGCAGCCTGGCCTTTCCTAGAGGCTGTGAACCCACGTTTGGACCAATCTCATTTTTAATAAGTTTAAAAAGAAAAAAAATGGCTAGAGAAAAAAACTCCTGTTTTTGCCATATGATTTTCCACAAGTGCAGCTATAGAAAAGTGCTTGTCCGTTGAATAAAAAACCACATTTGATAGAGAAAAAAAAGACTGTAGTATGCTATGATTGCACCTGTGAATAGCCACTGCACTCCAGACTGGGCAACATAGCAAGACCCCGTCTCTTAAAATAAATTAAAACTTGTATTTTACAATTGATTTGGTATATAAAAACAAATATAATCTGAACTGAATTCATTATTATATATTCATTATTTAATATTCATTTTTTCTCCTTGATTTTAAAAGAGAACACTTTCATGAGCTCCTAAAATTAAACATGTTTGTGGGCTCCTGAAAGTATGTAACAGACCCTAGGCACTGTGCCGACCGTGCCTAATGTTTTAAGTCAGCCCTGCAGGCACAGAGTAACTTGCCCAGGTCACACCGTCAAGTGGCAGAGCTGAGATTTGAATCCAAATAATGTGGCTTCAGAATCTATGATTTTAACCCCCATGCTAGGCAAACAAAGCAAATTACAGGGGAGAAATCCTGTACATATTACGTGTTTTTTTAGAAGAAAATTTATACACATATATGCCTAGGCCATCTCTGGAAGAATTCAGCAAAAAAAAAAAATGTCTGGGAAAACGAACTAGGAATTGGAGGCATAGGAGACTTAATTTTCATTGTACGTTCCTTTGCACTGTTAATTCTTTTTTACCATGAGCATATATTTCTAAATGAGGAAAGTGAGTCTTAAACAGGATTAAGTAACTTGCCCAAGGTTACACAGGAGTAAAGAAACCTCAAAGTTTACTCTGGCATGTATGAAATATTTAAGTTTGTTTTCTTGATGGAACATTTGGGCAAGGAGCATATAATTTTGGTTTCTTAAAATTAAACTTTTATTTAAAAATAACTCAAGGTAATAAGGGTTATAATTTTTCCCTATGCTATACTTTTTAGGTTCTCTGGAGGTATTGCTCTCTACCACTTTCTCCACGTCCACAAATCAAAATACCCCCAGAATTCAGCAGCTTCATATTAGAGTCAATTTTCTGGTTGGATCACTTATTAGAGAATTGGAAGTTTATAAATATGCACAATTATTCAGCCAATAAACAATACATCCTCCTTCCCAAATATAGGCCTTTCCTGTATCCCTGTTAAATTGCATCATTTTAGTCCATAGGACCAGTCAGCCAGCCTCTTTTTGTATTATGATTCTGGATACCGTGCATTCATCTTTATGGCAACCTTAAATCTGGCAAGCATGTTTTCCGTGTTTCATCCAAATATTGATTAAAATATTTAACACATGATAGGACTTAAGCAGAGCCCTGATGATGGGACCAGAGCTCTCTCCAGGATCACATCAATCCATTGCTTTGTCTAATAAGCTGCCAATCCAATTGATTGTACCATCTATCATTCCACTCACATCCCCTCTTCCCACTTTCCCCTAGGATATCTGGAGATCCCAGTGTTTTACTGCAAAGTGTCCATAGCATTCCATTTCCCACTGTGCTACTCAGAGCAGGTATTTAAAACTAACAAAGGATTGGTTTCTTTACTACGTTCTGCAGGCTTCTGAATTTTACGGCCTGGTCAATACCCCAGAACTCAAACACAAACTGTTTAATAAAACTATAATTCCCTATGGCTCCCAAATCTTTCATAACACATTTGTACAGAACATTTTAAAATGCAAAGATATGCAATCATTTCCCCCTAGGATCAACCCACTGCCACCCAAAATAACCCAGACAACTGAACACAGCAGCTGGCAAAAGGATGGAGGTCTCTAACCGTGGGGGCAGAGAGCTAAATGCATGCCACAAGGAATTACTGAAGAAGCATTCTCTGTTAACAACCCCTTGCTCTATTTCTAGCTGCAACACGCA
Organism: Homo sapiens; assembly: GCF_000001405.40. Lineage (NCBI taxonomy): Eukaryota > Metazoa > Chordata > Mammalia > Primates > Hominidae > Homo > Homo sapiens. The sequence goes on from NC_000023.11 coordinate 118,285,315, forward strand.
AGCTACAGTCAAAGTGTTGGGAGGAGAACATATTTTCTGATTTCCCCTGTAATCACACACACAGTCATAGAATATTTACAGTGGTAACCCTAACTTAACACAATTGCTATGTTTCTAAAAAGTTTACTATAAAGTAGAATTTACTGAACAAGGAATTCATTTTTTTTTTCATTGACTTGTCCTACCACCCCACATTGTCCTGGAAAGAATTTTGTTCCTTGGTTATTAAAAAAAAAAAATACACTTAACAGATGTAGCAGAATTTTCAATACTAGAGGAAAGAACCATGATTAACACTAAAATAATAAATAACATGTTTTACTCAAAATGTCACAGAAAAGAATGACTAAAAGTAAAAAAAAAATACTAGAATGTCAGCTATTCTGGCAATAGGATTACTTAGCTAATATTGCCTCGCATATAATTTCATTAGGAAAACTCAGTTTTGCACCATTTCTAGTATTTCTCCCTGTTTTAGAGTTACCATCTTTTTTTCAGACCCCTTTAACAACCTGGGCATGGTGGCTCACATCTGTAATCCCAGTAACTTGGGAGGCTGAGGGAGGAGGATCACTTGAGGCCAGGAGTTCAAGACCAGCCTGGGCACCATAGAGAGACCCTGGGTCTCTGTCGTGCCACTGCACTCCGTCCTGGCGGACAGAGTGAGACCCCCATCTCAAAAAAAGAAAAAAAAAAAGGCAGGACAGATATCTTTAACAGCTGAAGTCTGTATGGTTTGTTAAAGGATTTATTTTAATATGAGAAAATAATACAATAAAGTAGGTCTGTTTAGATATGCAGTTGATTGGCAGTTGATTAATGCCCAAAAAATGATTAGTAAAATTAAATTGTGTCTCTGCTATTCCTAACGTAAAGTTAAATGGAGGTGCTGCTTTCATTAAGGTATGTTATTGCGTCAGAATAGTGTTTGTTGAGATGACAAAATGCTGATTATAGTTAGATATTAACTGCTTGCTGTCATTTGTCATTCCAAGACAGGGTTAGTTATAATAATAGCTAACTTTTACTGAGCATTCACCAAATACTAGATTCTGTGTGAAGTGTTTATGTATATTAATCACATTTAAAGCTGACAACAACCCTATGAAGCAGAAAACATTATCACCTATATATTACAGAAAAAACAGGCACAGAGAAGCTAAGTAATTTGACCAAGATCACATAGCTAATAACTGGTAGCACATGATATGAAATCACACGAATTTCAGAGCCTGAACTCAACCACTATGCTGAGAAAGGAATTTGGCATTTCTGCTGATGATGAATGGGGAAGTAGATAACAATAGCAGCAACTCTGTTTAAAAAAAAAAAAAAGAGTTTGCTCTTTGTATCTTACTAAATACATAAATATCTTGATTTCAAAGTTTCCCTAGATCAATCACCATAGAATGAGAGACATCGAAGTACTCAGGCTGGACTCTGTCAAGATTCTCTGCATCTGTAAATGGCTTTTAATTAGATTATAATCAAACCCTTCCCTCAAAATAGTAGCTTTGATGCCTTTATGGTAAGTGACCAAAGAGTGCATTGCTATAGAGAAGGGCTAGGAAGAGAAATGAGAAAGGTTGTTTTCCTGAGGCTTGACTGAGGGATACGGCAGGAAAGGCCTGGAGGTACACTTACTAGGAGCACATTAGACCAATGCTCTTCAGACTCAACTCTCTTTTGCATATAAATTACTTAAAATTTTCACACAGCTTGTAATAATAATCCTCATTCTATACTATATTCACCAGAACACAATTCTAACTAAGTATGTTAATATACCTAATACTGATATTTAAGATTCTTGTTTCATAGTTGAGAAGCCATATGAGAAATAAAGATTCTAAAATAGCAACGCTGATTTTTTTTCGAGTGATGTACTAATAAAAATATACTAACAAATTGAGCTGGATCCTGACATCCTCTGAATTACACACAGATCCTGTCCTTTTTTTCCCCATTCTCCCCAGTTTTCAAAATGATCTCTCCTCTCTATATGGTCTCTCAGAGTCCCTCTTGAACAACAATAGGCTGATTATCACAAAACCAATCCTACATCTTTTCCCCTAAACTATATGCAAATTACCTATTTTTCACACCCACTCAAACAGAAATAAATCTAGCTTCCATATCCCAGATCAGTTACTGCTTTTGTGCTGTTTCTTCCGATTTAAGGGCAGCAACAATTATTATTTCTAGTATCAGTCATGGTCTTCCAGAGACTAGCAAGGCTATAATTCATGCTTTACTGCTATTGGTAAATCAGGCAAGTGAAAAACAGCAAAAGCCTATAATTTAAGTTCTCTCTGGGTTCTTAATCTAAGACTCTGGCATTTGAATTAGGATCTGTAATATATGGGTAAAATTAAACCATGAAGCAAGTATATATAAATTACTATCAGATCTAACTATCACTCTGAAACTCGTAAATTAAGAATTGAGATGGAAATTCTACTTTTAATCCTTTGTATTAATCTTAATACTACAACATATACTACACTAAATAGATGTATATCTTGTTTTCATTTAAACTGCCTGTTAACATAGATTTGGGCCTTTTGATCCAAAACAAAAGCCAACAGTGTGCAGATAACAAGTTATTCCTCTGAAAACGTATTTTTCCAGTTAAAGAAATTCCAGAAACATTTTTTATGTCATCAAACCTATATGCCATTAATTCTAAGCAATGGGAATGATATCCTATTTTCTCTTAGTTATGATTTAGATCTGGACTCTTCATTCCCATCCTCTCCTTTTCCCTTTGATTCCTGCTTTCAAAGAACTGTGTATAAACTAAGATCGTAAGAGATTGAAATATTGCTGAAAAACATTCAGGACATAGGCATGGGCAAGGGCTTCATGTCTAAAACACCAAAAGCAATGGCAACAAAAGACAAAATTGACAAATGGGATCTAATTAAACTAAAGAGCTTCTGCACAGCAAAAGAAACTACCATCAGAGTGAACAGGAAACCTAAAAAATGGGAGAAAATTTTTGCAACCTACTCATCTGACAAAGGGCTAATATCCAGAATCTACAATGAACTCAAACAAATTTACAAGAAAAAAACAAACAACCCCATCAAAAAGTGGGTGAAGGATATGAACAGACACTTCTCAAAAGAAGACATTTATGCAGCCAAAAGACACATGAAAAAATGCTCATCATCACTGGCCATCAGAGAAATGCAAATCAAAACCACAATGAGATACCAACTCACACCAGTTAGAGTGGCAATCATTAAAAAGTCAGGAAACAACAGGTGCTGGAGAGGATGTGGAGAAATAGGAACACTTTTACACTGTTGGTGGGACTGTAAACTAGTTCAACCATTGTGGAAGTCAGTGTGGCGATTCCTCAGGGATCTAGAACTAGAAATACCATTTGACCCAGCCATCCCATTACTGGGTATATACCCAAAGGACTATAAATCATGCTGCTATAAAGACACATGCCCACGTATGTTTATTGCGGCACTATTCACAATAGCAAAGACTTGGAACCAACCCAAATGTCCAACAATGATAGACTGGATTAAGAAAATGTGGCACATATACACCATGGAATACTATGCAGCCTTAAAAAATGATGAGTTCATGTCCTTTGTAGGGACATGGATGAAATTGGAAATCATCATTCTCAGTAAACTATCGCAAGTACAAAAAACCAAACACCACATGTTCTCACTCATAGATGGGAATTGAACAATGAGAATACATGGACACAGGAAGGGGAACATCACACTCTGGGGACTGTTGTGGGGTGGAGGGAGGGGGGAGGGATAGCATTAGGAGATATACCTAATGCTAAATGACGAGTTAATGGGTGCAGCACACCAGCATGGCACATGTATACATATGTAACTAACCTGCACATTGTGCACATGTACCCTAAAACTTAAAGTATAATAATAATAATAATAATAATAAAGAAATATTGCTGAAAAACAGAAGAATGACCAGCCTATTTCAGGTGACAGAAAGGAAGGTGGTCTTTGATTACGTGTCCCCAAATTACCTCTGAAAGGTTGCCTCATGGGGATGGAAGTCAACATTCCTCTTTTCTTTCCTATATTATTGGGGCTCTCCTTGTCTAGCTCTTTTTGTCCACCACTACATTTCCTTCCACTACCTAGTGTCTCTTCCACCCAATCCTAGTTCAATTTTGTCTAAGTGCTGGCTAGCAAATGAAGATAGGAAAAAAAGTGGGGGGGGGGCACGAATGCTACTAAGGGAAAGGGAGGAACTAACATTCCTTCAACATCTTTTTTGAGCTGGGCACTGAACCAAGCATTTTACACATGCCATCTCATTTAATTCTATAACAGCCCTACAAAATTGTGCTATTGTCTTCATTAGACAGATAATGAAACTAAGGTTGAAAGACTTCAAGAAATATGTCCAACACACAGCTAGCAAATGACAGGAAAGGAATAAGAGAGATTGAAAAACTGAAGAGTAAGCAAACTCTGCTCACTTTACTCCCTACTACCTATCTCCAGCCCTCGCCCTGGGTTCATCTTCATGGGAACAGGTGCCAGTTGCCACAAGCTTAATATCCTCAATGAGCCTTAAACTGTAACTCTTAATGTTATCTTAAACTTAATTCTCAAATGTTATTTACAATAATGTCATACATACAGTCTCAGAGACAAATGAAAGGATGAGAATACTTTTAGACTTCCATTTCCGGTAATATGGAGCACTAGATCTCCTGAAAAATCTTCTGCTAGAAAATAACTACAAATTCTGTAGATTTATTTTTAATCTTTTTGATGTATAACATAACACAGCCAGTAAGAGAGAAGAGGAAATCTCCAGAGATCAAAAAATTAAAAAGAAGCGGAGAGCGTAACTGTAATGGATGCTAATGCTTCAACAGCTCTGGGTGTTTTTGCACTTGGCAGTAATCAATATTCAAAGAGATATTAGCAGAGAATTTTCAGAATTATAAAAGCTATAAATCTCCAAATTCAGAAAACATAAATCCTCTAATAGAATTTTAAAAAGAAAGAAATTCCACATCTAAACACATTGCTGTTAAATAACAAAACAAAATATTTTAAAGCAGCCAGAGAGAAAAGATAGATTATCTAAAAAGGAAAAACAATTAAACTGACAGCAGGCATCTCTACAGTAACAATAAAATACACAAGACAATAAAATAGTATCTTCAAAGTGCTGAGAGAAAGTAATTGTCAACTTGGAATTGTGAAGCATAGCAAAACCATCTATCAAGAACAAGGGCAAAATAAAGACCTTTTCAGACAAATGAAAACTAAAAGTTTCATCAATAGACCCTCACCAAAGGAAATTCTAATGAATTACTTCAGAAAGAAGAAAAATGAACTCCAAAGGTAGGACTAAGATTCAAGAAGAAATGGCTTATAAAGAAATTAGAACACATGTGGTTAAAGCCAAACAATTATTGACTGTATGAAACAGTAATAATGATGTATAATTTGGATAAGGAGGAGGTACAATATTGGATAGCAACAACAAATAAAATGAGAGGAGATTGAGTGGATTTAATGCATTCTAAAGTTCTCATTTTTTTTAGAAGAGTAGAGATGTTTATTTCATTAGCAAAGATACTTTATTCAGTCAAATATGCATGTTAAAAACTTAAGAGTAATAGTAAAAGAAAAAATCCTTAAAAGTTAAAACAAAACAGCCTCCATCAAGCCAAATATAGACCCAAAGGAAGAAAAAAAGGAAATGGGGAAAAAGTAGAACAAATAACATACAACAACATAGTGAAAATATATCCAAATATATCAGTAAATATAATAAATATAAAGTAACTTCAAAATGGAGATTTTCAGGTCAGATTAAAAATAAATTCAGTCAGCTTCCAGGAAGATAGGTAGATATACTTGTTTTATATATACTACATTAAAATATATATAAGGCTATGAAAGGAGGAGAAAATAAGACAGAGGGGTTAGGGACCTTGGGTTCCAAGAAATGATATGATGCTAAGTTCTTGGGTATTATTTTTGCCTTATATATGTCAGACTTCAAGCTGAAGAAGCTGACAACTCAGAAACAACAATGGGCACAGACATCAAAAGCCCTAACAAAACACTGCTCTCTCTATCTAAAGACCTAGGAAAGGAACAGCCTAGTAAGACAGAAAACTTTTAAATAATAACTACTCTACTGCAGGCAAACACCATAGAAAAGACTGTGGCTCTATCCCTACTCCTGATACCGAAGGCCAAGTGAGAAGCCCAGACTTCTATCCTCTCTCCAGGCTATAACAAGGTATCCCAATAGCCTCTCCAGGGTGACATCAAAGGAGACAGAGTAGGGAACCAAGACTTTCATTTCTGCTGGATGATAATGACAGCTTACCCACCAAAGGTAGAAGTAGAGACTACAATGGGAGCCTGTCAATAACAAGGTGCCCCTCCTCTTCCTGGCTAGGAAGGTGTCGGAGGAGGCTTAGAGGAGAGTCAGGACATTTACCACTGCCCATTGGTAACCAGGTTATCCCCCACCATTATGTCATTGGAGACCATGTGGAGGGCAGACAGTTAGGTATGAGTGGAGGCCTAGGTGGGAACTGGAACTCCCACCTCCACCCAGCATTAGCAAGGAGGAAACCCCCCTTGAGTGTCAAGAGAGACCAAGTGGGGAGCCAGGACTCTTACAACCCACCTGAAAGTAATGAGGCAGTGCCCCTCTTCCCTTGCCAGAGTGGTATCAGAGGAAGCCACCTAAAACAGAAAGTTTAAGTAAGATCCAGAGTCTCATAACATAATACCAAAAAGTCCAATTTCAATAAAAAGTTACCCCTTATACCAAGAACCAGGAATATCTCAAGCTGAATTAAAAATAAAATCAATAGATGCCAACACCAAGATGATAGAAATATCAGAATTATCTGACAAGGCTGGGTACAGTGTCCATGCCTGTAATCTCAGCACTTTGGGAGGCCAAGGTGGGCAAATCACTTGAGGCCAGGAGTTCAAGACCAGCCTGGCCAACATGGAGAAGCCCTGTCTCTACTAAAAGTACAAAAATTAGCCAGGCTTGTTGGTAGGTACCGGTCATCCCAGCTACCTGGGTGGCTGAGGCAGAAGAATTGCTTGAACCCAGGAGGCGGAGGTTGCAGTGAGCTGAGATCATGCCACTGTCCACCAGCCTGGGTGACAGAGTGATACTCCATCTCACAAATAACATAAAATAATAAATAAATAAATAAAATGGCTTCTGCAAGCAATTATGAACACACTTGAAACAAATTAAAAAGCAGGAAATTTTAGCAAAGAAACAGAAAATATAAAGAAGAACCAAATAGAAAACTTGTAACTGAAAAATACAACAGCTGAAATTTTAAAATTCGATGGATAAGCTCGACAGCAGAATAGAGGAGATAGAGGAGAAAATATCAGCAACCTCAAAGATAGGACAATGAAAATTACCCAATTTGAACAAGAGAGAGAACATAGGTGGGGGAAAAATGAACACAGGTTTATGGGACTATAACAAAAAATATAACATTCATGTCATCAGAGTTCAAGAAGGAAAGGAGAAAGAGGGCAGGTTGAAAACTTCCCAAATTTGGCAAAACATGCAAGCCTACAGATTCAAGAAGTGAGTGAGCCTCAAACAGGATAAACTCAAAGAATTTCACACCAAGACACATCTTAGTTAAATTTCTGAAAATGGATAGCAAAGAAAAAAATTATTGAAAGCAGCAAGGGAGAAAAGACATCTTATACATATGGGAAATATAATTTGAATGTGTTGGGGTGATCAGACCCAACACCAGGTCATGGGGACGACGAAGTCCAGTGGAGTCAAAGGAATGAGAAAAAGAGTTTGAGAGAGAAAGTGGGACCAGGAGGCCATCGCGAGTGTGGAGGCTGCAAAGGCCCCAAGCTCTGGGAGTCCACGCTATTTATTGGTGCTCAAACAGGTGGTGGGGATGTGGGGGTTGAAAGGAAACAGTGTATCAAGTGAATGAGAAACATATGGCTGCTTGAGATAATGGGAGTGCTAGAAGCAAGGAGCCAGCAAGTCTAGCAGACATGCAAACTCTGCCTCAGCTTCTCTCCCAACATTCAGCTTTTCTCCCAACATGCCCCCCTTCTCTTTATTGTTAAAACCACCACAGCTATCATTATTATTAGCATAAGATGGCCTCTTTTTTAAATTAATTGAGCAAGGCAATTGCAGGCTGTGCAGCCCTTAACTGCCGGTTGGTGATCCAGCTTCATTTTTCTTAGCCCTTATTCAAAATGGAGTCGCTCTGGTTTGAATACTTCCTACATATCTCCCTTTTCCCTTTTACAAGAGGACCGTTAATCCTAGGGGTTGCAGAAGGATGGAGGTCCGTCTTCTGTAACTTCTTCATGCTAAATAGGGGCGATGATACTCCTGCCTACCTATTAGGTTCTCTTGTATTCAGGGTAGAGAGGAGTTCACTCAGAAAGTATTCATCCGTTAAGCATCTATAGGTAAAACCCTGGCACTCCAGCAGTTTTGTGTCTGGAATTGGTGGGTTCTCGGTCTCGCTGACTTCAAGAAGGAAGCCGTGGACCCTTGCGGTGAGTGTTACAATTCTTAAAGATGGTGTGTCCGGAGTTTGTTCCTTCTGATGTTCGGACGTGTCTGGAGTTTCTTCCTACTGGTGGGTTCGTGGTCTCACTGACTTCAGGAGTGAAGCTGCAGACCTTCGCGGTGAGTGTTACAGCTCTTAAAGGTGGCACGTCTGGAGTTATTCGTTCCTCCCAGTGGGTTCATGGTCTCGCTGGCCTCAGGAGTGAAGCTGCAGACCTTCGTGGTGAGTGTTACAGCTCATAAAGGTGGCAAGGACCCAAAGAGTGAGCAGCAGCAAGATTTATTGCGAAGAGCAAAAGAACAAAGCTTCCACAGTATGGAAGGGGACCTGAGCAGGTTGCCGCTGCTGGCTTTGGTGGCCTGCTTTTATTTCCTTATCTGCCCCACCCACATCCTGCTGATTGGTCCATTTTACAGAGCGCTGATTGGTCCATTTTGACAGAGTGCTGATTGGTGCGTTTGCAATCCTTTAGCTAGACAGAAAAGTTCTCCAAGTCCCCGCCCATCCCAGAAGCCCAGCTGGCTTCACCTCTCACTGGCACTCACCACGGGACTTTGCGGCACCTAGCCTGGGCACTCCAGCAGCCCAGAGGGAGCTCATCCCAGACAATCAGGAGGAAAAGAAGGGAAGCGAGAAAGAGACAGAGACCTCCTATCGTGGCCAACGATCCCGTGAAGAGGGAATGGTGGTCCATGCACAGGATTCAGCCTCCAATCAAGCCAGGCACCACTCACCTGGGACCCGTGCCAGCCTGCAAGTGCCGTGTGCAGCCTGGCTCCCACCCACACCTCTCTCTTCACACTTCCCCGCGAGCAGAGGGAGCTGGCTCCAGCCTCGGCCAGCCCCAGAGAGGGGCCCTCATAGCGCAGCTGTGGGCTGAAGGGCTCCTCGAGTGCAACCAGAGCAGACGCCGAGGCTGAGGAGGGACCGAGAGCAAGCGAGGGCTGCTAGCACATTGTCACCTCTCAGTTTCTCACAGCGTGGCTTGTATTGGGGGAACCCGGTCCATGATTGGGATCCATGGGTCCTTCCAGTCTCATGTTCCATGGTCATACACATCTTGAGGGCACCTACACGGTTTGTTCATCTCCTGCAAAAACACAAGCATACCCTCACCCCCAGTTAGTAAATCTACTGAAACAGAAGCAAAAACTTTTGTGGCTGTAGCCAAGAGGCCTGCCATTGCTGAAGCATTTGTAACTCACCTTCTGCCTCTTTGGTTAATTACCGTGGGGTAAAACTTACTGTTGATAACGAGAAGCAGGCCCCTTCTAACAGAAGGCACAGAGAAAGCAAATCGAGGCCTGAAAGCAATCCTTAAACCTTCAATTTGCACTGTACAGGTGGGTCCACTAGATGCTATGGTTCATGATAGATCTTCAGATGTTTGGTGGGCACCCACACAGGCACCTGATCCTCACCTGGAGAGACACAAGCAAATCCTCTTCCCCATAAAATTATCTGTCCTTTTTCCCAGCTCTTTGTATGTACATCCCTCCACCATGTATCTTGTCCAGCCTTTTTATTTTCCTTTTGTCCCGTCAGGTGTTGTTCAGCTGCAGTCATGGTTTGATCTTTTTGTACATTTAAAAAAATTAATGTTAATAAAGCTAAATGCAAATGATATGTGGTTTTTTATATTCCTGGTCCCCTCCCTTTTGCTTTTGTATTTGAGTTTTTAAAGTACAATTAGCCCTTTCCACTATTGCTTGTCCTTGTGAGTTATATGGAATACCCATAGTATGGGTAATATTCCATTGTTGAAAAAATGTAGCCATGGCTTTACTACAGTATCCTGGGCTGTTATCAGTTTTGATTTTTTCTGGGATTCCCATAACTGAAAAGCAAGATAAAAGATGTCTTTTAACATGAGCTGTGGCTTCCCATGTTTGACATGTGGCCCAGATAAAATGTAAATAGGTATTTACTGAAACATGAACAAAGGACAATTTTCCAAAAGCAGGAATATGTGTTACATCCATCTGCCAGATGGAATTTGGAGATAAACCTCTAGGGTTAACTCCTGTTCCTTGATGTGGCAGATACAGGGCTTGGCAGGCAGAACAGTGTTACACAATTTCTTTAGCTTGTTTCCATGATAGACCATATCTTTTTCTAAGGCCTGCTGCATTAAGATGGGTTAAATAATGAAATGTTTGTGCATCAGCAAAGGCTGCAGACATGAATGCATCCACCCTTTAATTAAATTTAAAGGGCCAGGGAGGTTAGTATGTGCTCTCAAATGAGTGATATAGAAAGGTGAATGCCTTTGTTGTACTACTTGCTGTAAAGAATGAAATAAAAGATTAAGTCGTTCATCAGTCACATTTCAAATTAAGGCACATTCAACATTTTGCATGGCTTGCACAACATAGGCTGAATCAGAAGCAATGTTTACTGGCTGCTTAAAAGTTTTTAACACTGTTATCACAGCCATAAGTTCAGCCCTTTGAGCAGAAGCAAAGTCAGTTTGAAAAACTTGCTGTTGAGGTCCTGCAAATGAGGCTTTTCCATTACTAGATCCATCAGTAAAAACAGTAATGGCCCCTTCAATAGGGGCTTTTTGAGTAATAGAAGGCAATACCAGGATGTTAATTTTAGAAACTGGAAGATTTTAGACTTAGGATAATGATTACCAAGAATGCCAACAAAACCGGCCAAATTAACTTGCCATTCTTGGAATTAATATAGGCTTGTTGAATTTGTTGTTTAGTTAATGGAACTATGATCTGATTTGGATCATGTCCCATTAGCTTTGTTGTACGCAGCCTCGCTTGTCCTACTAGCACAGCAATTTGATCTAAGTATAGAGTGAGCATTTTGGTTGTATTGTATGGTAGAAAAAGCCACTCAACCAGATCATCCTGTTGAACTATAACTCCTGTAGGCAAATGCTTAGTAGGAAAAACTAAAAACTGTAATGTCTGTATCAGGTTAATCCATTCTACTTGTGCTTGCCGAATTTTTTCCTCAATTGATTGAAGTTCCTCCAATGTTTCCTTGGACAGGGAGTGTTTACTGTTAAGGTTAGAATCACCTCGTAAAGTAGAAAAGAGGTGAGACATAGCATAGGTAGGAATGCCTAAAGTTGGATAAATCCAATTAATGTCTCCTAATAATTTTGGGGAATCTTTTAAGGTTTCTGAATTATCTCTTCGAATTTGAACCTTTTGAGGCTTAATAGCACTTTGCTCTACCTTCATTCCTAGATATTGAAAGGGAGTAGAAGTTTGGATTTTATCAGAGGCTATAATTAACCCTGCCGCATTTACAGCCTTTTCTAACTGTTTGTAGCACAACATCAATTCTTCCCTAGTTTCAGCTGCACACAGAATATCATCCATGTAATGGATAATATAACATTTTTTGAACTGTTCTCTAACTGGCTTAATAGCTTTCCTGACATAAATTTGACAAACAGTCGGGCTGTTTAGCATGCCTTGTGGTAGTACTTTCCAATGGTATCTGTCTGCCGATTCTTTATTATTTATGGTGGGAACAGTAAAAGCAAATTTTTCATAATCTTGGGCAGCTAAAGGAATGGCAAAAAAGCAATCCTTTAGATCTATCATTATGAGAGGCCAGTATTTTGGGATCATTGCTGGGGAGGGCAGCCCTGGTTGTAGAACACCCATGGGTCGAGTCACAGCATTAACAGCCCTTAAATCTGTTAACATTCTCCATTTCCCTGATTTTTTCTTAATGACAAATACAGGAGAATTCCAAGGGGATAAAGTAGGCTCTATATGTCCCTTTTGCAATTGTTCCTGCACCAGTTCTTTTAAAGCCTCCAGTTTTTCCTGTTTCAGCGGCCATTGCTCCACCCAAACCGGTTTGGCAGTTAGCCAAACAAGAGGAATGGGAGCCAGAGGCTCAACAATGGCCGCTCCCAAAAATGACACCTCAATCCAGTCCAATCTGTTTGCCCTTTTAATTCTAAAGGTTCTGATTGGCCATTTTTATCTTTTCCTAGTCCTTCTCTCAGGCGATATCCCATATTTTTCATCATTTGTCTACTATTATTACTATATTGATCCGTAGGAATAGATATTTCATCATCCCATTGTTGCAATAAGTCTCTACCCCATAAATTGACAGGAATAGGTGTAATGATAGGCTGAATTGTTCCTTCCTGACCATCTGGCCTTGACATGGTAAAATCAAAGAACTATGAAAAACTTCCGAGGCAGCTCCTACTCCAATAATACCAATGGATGCCCTTTGCTTAGGCCAGTGCTGGGGCCATTGATTTATAGCAATAATAGAGACATCAGCTCCAGTATCTACTAGTCCTTCAAAATCTTTTCCCCGAATAGTTACTGTGCAAATAGATCTTTTGTCAGACACTTGATTAACCCAATACACAGCCTTTCCTGCTGGATTAGTATTACCAAAGCCTCCTGTTCTTTTCACTGTGCTGCTTCCTAGTTTTATGTAAGGTAACAGCAACAACTGAGGAATTCTTTCTCCTGGGGAGGCAGACCACAGAGTCAAGGAACTAATAACTAATTGATTTTCTCCAGTATAATCAGAGTCAATTATTCCCGTATGTACAGTAACACCTTTTAAATTTAGACTAGACCTTCCAAGTAATAGACCGACTGTTCCTGAGGGTAAGGGTCCCCTAACTCCCATGGGGACCTTCTTTGGTGGCTCCACAGGAAGTAAGGAGATGGGAATTGTGCTGCAGAGGTCTACAGCAGCACTGCCTGCTGAGGCAGGGGACAATTGTTGTACATTTGTAAGGCCACTGGCTGTGCTGGGTATGCCTCAGTTTGTTGAGGGGCTCGAGGCGGGCCCTTCTTCCCGTTTCCTGAAAGAGGTTGTCCATCTTTGCTAAATTTAGAATGGCACTGACTTGCCCAGTGATTGCCTTTCTTACACTGGGGACATACACCAGGACTTTTCTGTTGATTGATGGTAGTAGTTTTTGCCTTTTGATTTCCTTTTCTACATTCCTTTCTTGTATGTCCAAATTGCCCACAATTAAAGCAAGAGCCTGAGAAATAGGGCATATTATTTCCTACTCTTAATCCAGCCAGAGCCTGAGCTAAAAGAATAGCCTTATGTAAGTTACCTCCAATGCCATCGCAAACCTTAATATATTCAGCTAAATAAGTCTTCCCTCTCAGGGGTCTAATAGCAGTTTGACACTGTACATTAGCATTATCGTATGCAAGAAGCTGTATTACAACATCCCGAGCCGTTTTATCAGTTATGGCTTTATACACAGCCTCTTGGAACCGAGCAATAAAATCAATATATGGTTCTTTAGGTCCTTGTCAGACAGAGCTGAAAGAAGGATATTTTTCCCATGTAACATTTATCCTTTCCCATGCCTGTAAGTACACAAAGCACAGCTGAACAATGGCAACATCCTCCATTACTGCTTGATTCTCTAATTGACCCCAATTAGGGCCAACTCCCATTAACTGTTCAAAGGAAACAGGCACAGGTGGCTGTGCTTGTGTGTTTTCCCTTGCCTGAGTTTGTGCTTCCTCAGCCCACCAGCTTTTAAACTGCAAGTACTGAGATGGAGTAAGAATGGATTTTGTCAAAGTATCCCAATCATATGATATTATCTATTATCGAGAGCCATATTTTTTAATAAAGTTTGCACAAAAGGAGAGTTCAGTCCATATTGACCAATGGCTTGCTTAAATTCCTTTAGTAACTTAAAAGGGAAAGTGGCCCAATTAGCTATATTCTGTCCTCCGTGCTGGATTATAATAATGGGAAATTGCCATGCTTCAAGGTCTCCCTTGGCTCTAGCTTTTTGAATAGAATTTTGCATAGCACCATCAATTGATGGTTTTATGATGCTCCAGGTTTTAATGTTGCAACTACAGGAGCAGTAAGTTTTTCAGCTAATTTCTTTTCTGGCCCATTAAGGAGAGAGAGAGGAGGTGGCCATTCATTTAATTCAGCAGGTGGAGCCGACGGGCTAGTAAAACATATTTTTTTAGTTTTCCTTTCTTTTCTTTAATCTCTTCCGGTAGCTGTTCCTCACACTCAGAATCTGAAGCTAGTTTTTTACACTCGTCCTCCTCTTTGTCATCTGAATCTGCCTATCTGTTTGAAATGGCTCAAGAGCTGCCTTTATTAGCACCCACATTGACCAAACAGAAACTGGAATTTCTGCTCCCTCTTTATCTGCCTTTTTAAAATCTCTTCGAATTCTCTCCCATTCATCCAACTCCATAGTCCCTTGTTCAGGAAACCACGGGCAAAACTGCTTTACTGTACTAAAGAGTGATAATAAACTCTGAGTACTAACTTTCACTCCCCCTCTTCATAATAAATGCCTCAAGAAATTTAAATAAGCAGAATGTCTGCTTTCACTTTGTCACATTGTTACCCTATTCTTCCGAGCGCTCAGCTTTCCCGCGGAGCATCTTTTAGATGTCCTCGGGTGTCCTTTGACGATGCATCCTCTGCTTTCACATGCTCTAGCATTCCTTCACCGGGGTCTTTGTCACCCCACATTGGGCAGCCAGGAATGTTGGGGTGATCAGACCCAACACCAGGTCATGGGGGCGACGAAGTCCAGTGGAGTCAAAGGAATGAGAAAAAGACAGTTTGAGAGAGAAAGTGGGACCAGGGAGCCATCGCGAGTGTGGAGGCTGCAAAGGCCCCGAGCTCTGAAAGCCCACACTATTTATTGGTGCCCAAACAAAGAAACAGGTGGTGAGGATGTGGGGGTTGAAAGGAAACAGTGTATCAAGTGAATGAGAAACATACGGCTGCTTGAGATAATGGGAGTGCTAGAAGCAAGGAGCCAGCAAGTCTAGCAGACATGCAAGCCCTGCCTCAGCTTCTCTCCCTACACTCAGCTTTTCTTCCAACAGAATAACAATGGTTTCTCATCTGCAACCATGCAGGTCAGAAGGAAGCACCATGCTGAAAGAAAACAATTGTTAATCCACAATTCTATATCCAACAAAAGTATCCCTTAGCAATAAAGGGGAAATCAAGACTTTCTTACATGAAGAAAAACTAAGAGAATTTATTACTAGTTGCCATACCCAAAAAGAACGGTATAAGGAAGTTCTCTAAATGAAAAGGGAATTAAAAAAAAAAAAGGAATCTTGGACGATAAGAAAGGAAGAAAAAATATAGTAAGAAAAAATATGGGTAAACAGAATTTTCTTCTGCTCTTGAGTCTTCCAAATTATGCTGAACAATTGAAGCAAAAATTACAATGCTGTCTGAATTAGTTCTAAATGTAAGTAGAGGAAATACTTAAGAGAAATATATTGTAATGAAGAAGTGTAAAAGAACATTAAGAGAGGTAAGGTTTCTATACTCCACTCAAACTGATAAAGTAGAGACACCAGTAGCTTGTGATAAGATAGATGATGATGATAGATAGATAGATAGATGCATATATGTAATGTAATACCTAGAGCAATGACTAAAACAGCTACACAAAGGGATACACTCACAAACACTGTATATAAATCAAAATGGAATTCTAAAAATTGTTGAAATAATCTACAGGAAGGCAGGAGAGCAAAAGAAAAACAGAAATAAAAGAGGGGAAGAATAAGCTGGCAGATTTAAGTTTCAAGTAGCAATAATTATATTAAATTTAAATGGTATAAATGTACCAATTAAAAAACAGAAACTGGCAGAGTTGGTTAAAAAACATGATCTAACTATA
The DNA here is from genome assembly GCF_000001405.40 of Homo sapiens. NCBI lineage: Eukaryota > Metazoa > Chordata > Mammalia > Primates > Hominidae > Homo > Homo sapiens. The sequence goes on from NC_000023.11 coordinate 118,301,556, forward strand.
TGATATCTATAAGAAACTCACTTTAAATATAATGGTATAGTCAGGTTGAAAGTAGAAGGATAGAAAAGTATTATTATGCAAACATCAAGCAAAAGAAAGCAGTAGTGGCTACATTAGTATCCGAGTATATATAGAGATACCACATACACACAAATATATTAGCAATATATATGTAATATGTCATTACATATAATCAGTATATATTTTACCTTAAATTAAATACATATTAACATATAAATAATAGTAAACATATAGACAGAGTATAAAATAAAATTCATTTCAGACCCCAAAGATTTACCCAAGACAAAGAAGGATATTACATAATGATAAAAGTGTCAGTTCATCAAGACATGACTATCCTAAAGTATATGCACCAAACAACAGAGCTGCAAAATATGTAAAGCAAAAACTGATTGAGCTAAAAGTAAAAACAGGTCGGGTGCAATGGCTCATGCCTGTAACCCCAGCAACTTGAGACGCTAAGGTGGGCAGATCACTTGAGGTCAGGAGTTCGAGACCAGCCTGGCCAACATGGAGAAACCCCATCTCTACTAAAAATACAAAAATTAGCCAGGTGTGGTGGTGCACACCTGTAATCCCAGCTACTTGGGTGGCTGATGCAGGAGGATCACTTCAGCTCGAGAGGCAGAGGTTGCAGTGAGCCAAGATCTGCCAAGATCTTGCCACTGCACTCTGGCCTGGGCGACAGAGTGACACTCCATCTCTAAAAAAAAAAAAAAAAAAAAAAAAGGATAAATATAGTTAAGATGGTAAATTAATGTTATATGTATCTTACCACAATTGAAAAGTTTTAAACTACATTTATCATATAACTTTAACCTTGTGTGTTATTTCCAACAACTGCAAATAGTGCACTATAAATTTCTATGTTGTACAAACCTAGAGATTATTCTAAATGATAACATTGCACAGTGTTATCCATGTTAACAAAAACATTAAATTTATTAAATGTGTACATTTAAAATATACCACAAAATTTAACCCTTGTTTGGTATTTATTTTGTAATATATCCATAAGAATAAAAGTGGCCATTTTTCTCTAGACCTGTGAGAGTCCTTGCTCCTCTCCACACACCCCATTTCAACCACCATTCCCTTTCCCCAAACTTTGTTCTGATTCTTCACCCTTCTATTGCTCCCATACTACTTCTTTCCCCAGATTTCTCACCCTGGAAGTCCTCAACCCAAGAGTTCCTATAATTTCTGCCTCTCATCTCTACCTGAGCCTGCATTCATCTTACTGAGCTAGAAATGCAAACCAGGGAGGTTGTCACTGGCTGCTTGAATTTGGAGAATTTCCAGTCCTGCTCATTGGGAACTGGCATGTCATGTTGTACAACTAGAGTAAGGAGTGCTATGTCAGAAGGTAGCAAGGCTTTCAGGCTAGTCATGATGGCTCACACCTGTAACCCCAGCACTTTGGGAGCCCAAGGAGGGAGGGAGGATCTCTTGAGCCCAAGGGTTCAAGACGAGCCTGGGCAACATAAGGAAACCCTGTCTTTACAAAAAAAAATTTAAATTAGCCAGGTGAAGTGGCACACACCTGTAGTCCCAGCTGCTCAGGAGATTGAGGTGGGAGCATCATTTGAGCCTGGGAGGTTGAGGCTGCAATGAGCTGCACTCCAGCCTGGGTGACAGAGCAAGACCCTGTCAAAAAAAAGAAGAAGGAGGAGGAGGAGGAGGAGGAGAAGGAGGAGGAGAAGGTAGCAAGGCCTTCAGAACTGACTTCTGCGTGAGGCTGAAGTCAAAGCTTACAAACTCCCTCCAAGGTGAGGAGGAAAAAGTTGATAGAGTTGGCTAAAGCTCTTACTAAACATTGATAGGACAGATTCCTTTATTTAACTAAAACACAACTACAGTCACTAATAGGAAACTACGTAGCCCACAAATAAAGGGATAATTAATTGAATCCATGCTGTACCCCTATCAAACAACAATAATAATATAATTAGTGGAAGTCCTAATAATTAGTGGAAGTCAGGACAGATAGACACTGATTCCAGATACACATTTAGATAAACTATTAGTTATGTATAGCAGACCCTGGAGGAGAGAGGCCCAATATGAGTCCCCATTAAGCATGTTACTCTACATTGTTCTGCAGCTAGTAGCTTTATTTGTGTCTCTGGATAACAGTATTCAGAGCCAGGCTTCCCCTCTGTGTGTGACCACAGACCCAGCTTCAAGGTAGTGAACCTGTGCAGTCACACAGGTCCCCCACTAAGAAGGACCCTGGCTTGATTTAATTTTGTTATCACCACCTTAAAATTCTTAATATGTTTTCTCTTTGAACTCATATATTGTAAGTGATGTTCAGTGGGACAATGGATTGCATGCATGAACAGAGAAGACATGTAGATGCAGGTTCATGAATGTTCATTACAGCACAGTTCACAGTAGCAAAGACATGGAATCAACCTAAATACCCATCAATGACAGACTGAATAAAGAAAATGTGGTACATATACACCATGGAATACTATGTGTATTAGTCCGTTTTCACACTGCTGATAAAGACATACCCAAAACTGGGAATTTACAAAAGAAAGATGTTTAATGGACTTACAGTTCCACGTGGCTGGGGACACATCACAATCATGGTGGAAGGCAAGGAAGAGCAAGTCATATCTTACATGAATGGCAGCAGGCAAAAAGAGAGAGAGCTTGTGCAGGGAAACTCCCATTTTTAAAACCATCAGATATCTTTTAAAACCATCAGATATTGTGAAACTTATTCACTATCATGAGAACACCATGGGAAAGACCCACCCCCATGATTCAATTACCTCCCACCGGGTTCCTCCCATGATAAGTGGGAATTGTGGGAGTTACAATTCATGATGAGATTTGGGTAGGGACACAGCCAATCCATATCATTCTGCCCCTGGCCCCTCCCAAATATCCTGTGCTCATATTTCAAAACCAATCATGCCTTCCCAACAGTCCCCCAAAGTCTTAACTCATTTCAGCATTAACTTAAAAGTCCACAGTCCAAAGTCTCATCCAAGATAAGTCAAGTCTCTTCCACCAATGAGCCCGTAAAATCAAAAGCAAGTTGGTTACTTCCAGGATACAGTGGGGACACGGGCATTGGATAAATACTGCCATTCCAAATGGGAGAAATTGGCCAAAACAAAGGGGCTACAGGCCCCATGTAAGTCTGAAATCCAGTGGGGCAGTCAAATCTTAAAGCTCCAAAATGATCTCCTTTGACTCCAGGTCTCACATCCAGGTTACGCTGATGCAAAAGGTTGGTTCCCATGGTCTTGGGCAGCTCCACCCCTGTGGCTTTGCAGGGTACCGCTTCCCTCCCGACTGCTTTCACAGGCTTGCATTTAGTGTCTGTGGCTTTTCCAGGCACACAGTGCAAGCTGTGAGTGGATATACCATTCTGGGGTCTGGAGGACAGTGGCCCTCTTCTCACACCTCCACTAGGTAGTGCCCCAGTAGGGACTCTGTGTGAGGGTTCTGACCCCACATTTCCCTTCTGCACTGCCCTAGCAGAGGTTCTCCATGAGGGCCTTGCCCCTGCAGCAAACTTCCTGCCTGGACATCCAGGCATTTCCATACATCCTCTGAAATCTAGGCGGAGGTTCTCTAACCCCAATTATTGACTTCTGTGCACTTGCAGGCTCAACACCACATGGAAGCTGCCAAGGCTTGGGGCTTGCACCCTCTAAAGCCATGGTCTGAGCTTTACATTGGCCCCTTTCAACCATGGTTGGAGTAGCTAGGATGCAGGGCACCAAGTCCCTAGGCTGCACACAGCACGGGGACCCTGGGCCCAGCCCATGAAACCACTTTTTCCTCTTAGGCCTCTGGGCCTGTGATGGGAGGGACTGTCGTGAAGACCTCTGACATGCCCTGGAGACATTTTCCCCATTGTCTTGGGGATTAACATTTGGCTCTTTGTTACTTATGCAAATTTCCACAGCTGGCTTGAATTTCTCCTCAGAAGATGAGATTTTCTTTTCTATTGCATTGTCAGGCTACAAATTTTCTGAACTTTTATGCTCTGCTTCCCTTATAAAACTGAATGCATTTAACAGAACCCAAGTCACCTCTTGAATGCTTTGCTGCTTAGAAATTTCTTCCGCCAGATACCCTAAATCATCTCTCTCAAGTTCAAAGTTCCACAAATCTTTAGGGCAGGCACAAAATGTCACCAGGCTCTTTGCTAAAACATAACAAGAGTCACCTTTACTCCAGTTCCCAACAAGTCCCTCACCTCCATCTGAGACCACCTCAGTCTGGATTTCATTGTCCATATCATTATCAGCATTTTGGTCAAAGCCATTCAACAAGTCTCTGGGAAGTTCCAAACTTTCCCACATTTTTCTATCTTCTTCTGAGCCCTCCAAACTGTTCTAACCTCTGCCTGTTACCCAGCTCCAAAGTTACACCCACATTTTTGGGTATCTTTTCAGCAGCACCCCACTCCTGGTACCAATTTACTGTGTTAGTTCATTTTCATGCTGCTGATAAAGACATACCTGAGGCTGGGCAATTTACAAAGGAAAGATGTTTAATGGTCTTACAGTTCCACATGACTGGGGAGACCTCACAATCATGGGGGAAGGCAAGGAGGAGCAAGTCACGTCTTACTTACATGGACAGCAGCGGGAAAAGAGAGAGCTTGTGCAGGGAAACTCCCATTTCAGATCTCATGAGACTTAGTCACTAACACCAGAACAGCACTGGAAAGACCCACCCCCATGATTTAATTACCTCCCACTGGGTTCCTCCCATGGCACGTGGGAATTGTGGGAGTTACAACTCATGATAAGATGTGGATGGAGACACAGCCAAACTGTATCACTATGCATCCATAAAAAAGAACACGATCATGTCTTTTGCAGGAACATGGATGGAGCTGAAGGCTGTCATCCTTAACAAACTAACACAGGAATAGAAAACCAAATACTATATGTTTTCACCTCTAAGTAGGAACTAAATGATAAGAACTTATGAACACAAAGAAGGAAGCAACAGACACTGAGGTCTACTTAAGAGGGGAGGGTAGGAGGAGGGAAAGGAGCAGAAAAGATAACTATTGGGCACAGAGCTTAATATCTGTGTAGTATAATAATATGTAAAACAAACCCCCATGGCACATGTGTATCTATGCAACAAACCTTCACATGTACCCCCAAACCTAAAATAAAAATTTTAAAGACATGTAGAAGAAAAAGCTTCATATTTTAGCAACTTTAACAGCAATTTCTTCTTGATTTTGAAAAAAAGCATTTTTATTTTGCACAAGGCCCTGCCAATTAAGTAGCCAGTGCTATGTAAACACCACATTTTCCCTACAACTCTATCACTTGGTACCCAACACACCTCAACAACTGCCTCAAATAGGTCAACAGATACTCTAGCTCTGCTTCAAGGAAGCCACTTTGTGCTTTTTCCCCCTTAATTTTGCAAAATACTTTTATCAGAAGGAAATAAGAAAACAAGGTTGATCAAAATATATATGTATAAACTATTGTTAATTCTGATATCCAGAGATATTAATATTAACATTTTGGTATATATCATGTTTATATGCACATATACTCATTTATGTAAAAACAAATGACATTAAACCATATGTGTTTTAGTGATCTTCTCTTTTAATCTTCTTGTCACTAAATATGTACATTATTTTTATTTTCATAAGAAAATATATCTGTTGACTCGGGTTCAGGGCTTATAGTCCCAGCTACTCAAGAGGCTGAAGCAAGAGGATCACTTGAGCCCAGGAGTTTAAGGCCAGCCTGGGCAGGCCTTAAAGAGATTCCATCTTCAAGAAAAAAAAAAGTCTTAAAAAGAAGAGAAAATAAGTTTGTTGATGTCTCCAGTCATAAAAAAATAGCTTATTCTGAAAAAACATTAGACAATACAGAAATGTACAAATAAGAAAGTGAAAATTCTACTTAATCTCACCATTCTATCACTCCTAGTAATTTGGAACAGATACTTTGAGACTTTCTTCTATGTATATAAATATATACACACATAAATGAATGATATATTACATATACATACTTAAAAATGGGATCACACTCTATATGATTATATAATCTTTCTATTTTCCTATAGAATAAGGATACGTTTCCATGTCATTAAGTATATATCAATATATACTTTTATATAAATTAATCATTCTACATTTAATATTCTCCATCTTCATATTATCTCCTAACATGTCTTAGATAGCTTTCCCATGCCAATCATATAGATTTCTCTTATCCTTTTTAACAACTAAGTAACATTTCATTGTATGAATTTATTATAATATAACTGTTACAGAAACACCGGGGGTTCAGTCTAGGTCCTACTGCTCACCGCACAGAAAGCCAATCACTGAGACCAGTATTGCCAAGGAAGAAGGCTTTAATCAGGTGGTGCAGCTGAGGAGATGGGAGATCAGTCTCAAATCCACCTCCCTAATTGACTAAAATTAGGGGTTTATATAGCAGGGGAAAAAATGTAACTATGTGTGGGAAAACAGGGACTCCAGAGAAGGAATGAGGGACATGGCATTTCATTGTCTGGATGTGATGATTTGGTGAGTTTCAGTTCTTTGATACTTTTGAGAGGCCTGAGGGTCCCTTCCTGAGGAAAGAACTTAGATAAAACAAATGTATGTTTCAAGCTTTAAAACAAGAAGGGTTGTAATATTCCTTATAAAACTGGTAAAAAAAAAAAAGCAGAAAAGTCAATTTCTATGTTTTGCCAAGAAAAAAATGTCTATGGGACTATTAGATCAGTTTCATAACTATTCCTCAAATGATAAGCATTTAGGTTGTTTCCAGATTTTCAATCTTTAAAAACCTATAATGAACATTTTTTATATGTGTGTATCCTCGGACACTTGTCCAGTTATTTCTTTAGAATAAATTGCTAGATGTGTAACGGCTGGATTAATGGCTATGAACATGAAATTGACATTTTATAATTCATGTTGTGCAAATATGTGCAGCTTCTCTGTATTTTTCTATCTCAAGTTTCTCACAAACCCCCATCTTTCTGTATGATACAGGAGGCATGCAGATTTAAATTTGCCAATTAAAGATATCTGACTTTACAAGTATAAAAAACAACATTTTCTATTTCAAATCATCTCCTTTGTGTAAATGCTCAGACAGTCAAGTTTTATCTCCCTTCTCCTTCCCAAGATGTCCTCGTGGCAATGGAGGGTGGGATCCTGACAGCTGGCTGTCCTTTGAGTCTCTGCTGGTCATTGATTCTATGTTGTCTTTGGGCAGTTCCTGAAGACTATGGGGGCTAGTGCTGGTGTCTTCACCTAGTCTGGTCTTTGAGGCTGGTGATGTCTACCTTCTTGGTTATATCATATGGCAACCGAATCAAAGCCTATTGGTATAGGAGTGCCTACACATACATGACAACTATCCCTAAGACTCAACTATAGAGATTAGTCACTCACAGCCTCTGCTTGCTGTCCTCTCATCTCACTGTCATTTGAGAAGTAAGCCTGTCCCAGGTCCCAGTAACTTTCCAAAGCCTTCTCCAGGACTCAGTTTTGCCAATGGTAGTGCAATGGAAAACTAGGGGATAATTTTTGCCCTCTTCCAACTTATTATGCCATTGTACCATTTTTATTTATTTTATTTTATTTTATTTTTTGAGAGAGGGTCTCACTCTGTCACCCAGGCTGGAATGCAGTGATGTGATCATGGTTCACTGCAGCCTCAATACTCCCTCCAGGCTCAGGTCATCCTCCCACCTCAGCCTCCCAAGTTCCTGGGACTACAGGCGCATGTCACCATGCCTGACTAGTTTTGTATTTTTGTAGAGATGAGGTCTCACTATGTTGCTCAGGTAGTTCTCAAACTCCTGGGCTCAAAAGATCTGCCTGCCTTGGCCTCCCAAAGTACTGGGATTACAGGCATAAGCCACTGTACCTGTCCATTGTACCATTTTTAATCTCTTATCTGGGTGGCATCATGTTAGACATGGTACTTGTCCAGAGGAACTTATCATTTTCCCAGCCTGCACTTGGGGATGCAAGACACTGGTTCTAGTGCTCTAAGAATCTACCAAACTTACTTGGAACCACCCCCTTCTTCTTCCTAGGCACCCTCCTCTAGGAACCAGAAAAGGCTATATATGACTTCCTCTTCCTATGTGGATGAGATGAAATGTGCCCTCCTTCTCAAGGCGGCATTCACCTTATCCATTCCCTGGCCCCTTAATAATGGAAAGTTATCAGATTACCAAAACAAACACATTGAAAGGTATTTGAAAAATTATTATTATGCACATCACATACATTTTAAAGCCTTAATACATATTACCAAATTACCCTGCAAAATATGATACCAATTTAAACTCTCAGTAGCAGTATATGAAATGTTTCCTTCCCATTGTCCTTCAACAGTGAGCACTAAACTTGGCCAACCTGTTGGGCAAAATCTTGTAATCTCAATCTTTTAATTTGCATTTCTATGAGTACAGTGAAGTTGACATTTTTGATATGTTTATTTCTTTTGTAAATTTTCTGTTCATGATCTTTGCTCATTATTCTATTGGTCTTCTTATGTTTGTCTTATTGATTTATTGATTTATGAGAGCTCTATATATAGTAAGACTATTAACCCAAGTTTGCCTTTGTCTTTACATTTTACTTGTGACATTTTGGCTTTTCAATTTTTTATTTTTATGAAGTCAAATCTATCGGACTTTTTTTTCTCCTTTTATGTTTTCTGGTTTTGCTTTCATGCTTAGAAGGGTCTTCTACATATAAATATGATATAAATATGTATCTACATATTATTCTGTACTTTACTATTTTAATGTTTTCATTTAAGTGTTTAATATATTTGAAATTTATTTTGGTGAAAGATATGAAGTAAGGTTCTTTCTTCCCAAATGATTAACAAGTTGTCCTAATGTCGTGGTGCCCTTGTTAAGGAAGAAAAATATTATGCTCTTAATTTTCCAGAACACTGTGACCTCAATATAGCAATTCTAAGTGACTAGCATAAACTTCCCTTATTTTCTGATATTACGCCAACTCTGAGGAACCTAGATCTAACCAAACTAATCTACCCTTCTAGGCAGGCACACACTCATCTGGATTTAGGTGAGTGGTAAACAGAAAGGGCTCTTCCAGATTAATCTTAGAGAGGCAGAATATCTCATAATGCCCTCTGCCCTGTGTAACACATCCTAACCAATCAATGGGATTCCTCACAACCTCCTAGCAGGAGTTTTACTAGTCTTGAAGAACATCTTGAGCCTCAGCTGTCACGATACCATCCCTGAGCCAAGCCAAAGATGTTTCTTTTGGCCAGGTGCAGTGTCTCACGCCTGTAATCCTAGCAATTTGGAAGGCCGACGAGGGCAAATCTCTTGAGCCCAGGAATTCAAGACCAGCCTGGGCAACATGGTGAAACCCTGTCTCTACAAAAAAAAAAAAAAAATTAGCCGGGCATGGCGGTGAGCACCTGTGGTAACAGCTACCCAGGAGGCTGAGGTGGGAGGGTCACTCAAGCCTGGGAAGTCAGGTGCCACTGCACTCCAGCCTGGGCAATAGAGCAAGACCTTGTCTCAAAAAAGAAAAAAAAAGATGTTTCTTTTAGAAAGCATAGAATTGCAAAGGACATTCAATATACCGGACAATGTATCAATTATATTGAAGTGGAAACCTCCCTGAACTATTAAGAACATCAACCAATTACTGGAGTTCCCCCTATATTCCACCCGAATTACTCTTCTAATAGACCTTTTAAAAAGGAAGGAGGGGTTTTTCCGAGGTCCCTGGCTGCAGCCACAGCATGCCGCAACTGAAACCTCTGTCTATCTTTCCCTTTATCCTTGCCTAGCCTACCCCAACATGCTCCTAAGTTATTAAAGCCAAACTCCAATTCCATGGAGAGAGCCATTTAATCCCCTATTTCCTCCAAAGTATATTACCTTACTCTTTCACCTACTTTCTTAAGGAATCTGGCTTTGGTTGAAGTTAAGTACATACTGTCTTCCAGGTAGAGATATACTACTTTAAAGTCCTCAAGTCCTTGTGATTCTAAGGTCAGACACCATTGACTAAGTAACTAGGCAAATCCAAAGACTCAGTTTTTGACAAACAGAGTAGTATTTGTAGAGATGTTTGAGTTTCACATCTAATATAGGTGGAATCACTAAGCAAATGCCCTGTCACATAAGCCAAATTCAAGCTCCTTGGTTAGCTTGGCAATCAACATCCTTCACAATACGGCCGTAAGCTGTTTTGTTTCAAGGTTCTGTCATTCTTCTCCAGGTCTCCCCAAATGGGCACCACACTAGCCCATGCTGTTCCCCAAAGACACCATGAATGTTTAGGTTCTGTGCCAATCCTACTTCATATTTTAAATTTGCCCATTCAAATCTATCCTCAACATAGCTAACATAATGGTTGCAAAATGCACATCTGATCATGTAGTTTCCCTCCTTAAAGCCTCTCCATGATTCCCTTCACCTGAAGGATGAAGTTCAAACTTTATAACATGGTATGCAAAGCTGTCCATGATCTAATCTCTTACTTCTCTAATCTAATTCCTCACCATTATCTGCCTTGCATTTCATGATCTGGCAATTCAAACTGCTTGTAGTCCTCCACTTGCACCATACTACTCTTATCTCCCTGCCTTTGCTGGTGTTCTCGCTAAGATTGCTTCAGTCACACCCATTCCCTTCATCAGCCTAATTCCTACATATTCTTGAACACTCAACTCAGATATTACCTTCAGGAAATATTCCCTGGTACCTTCTCTGCAAAGGCTGGCTTCAGTATCTCTCATACATCCTCCAATAATATAAAATGTAAAGTTCCATCACAGTTTTTAGCTCATTGTATTATGACTATATTTTTGTGTGCCAGTAAACCCATTTGATAGGTAGCTCTCTAAAGGGAGAGATTTTGTCTTATGTCTGTGTATTCCCAAGGTCTAACAATATCTGGCATGCAATAGGCCGTCAGATGCTTGCTGATTAAATTAACAAATAAATGAACTGCATCCTATCATTGGATAGGTAAACCAATCCCCCTCCCCCAATTCAACAATAAAGTGCCTGCCTTGAGGGAAGAATAAAGTCTGCTACAAACCCAGTCATAAATATGTTCTGAAAAACTTGTCAAATTTAGCTAAGACTGTTAGTATTGTGCATATATAGCTTCCAACCCAAATACTTGGCCATAAGGCCATAGCTTGAACTTACTTATGTAATGAAGAATAATTTGTATTCTTCATAATTTCTTATTGCGATGACCTGTTTATGTGTCTGCATCTCCCTCAAGAGGTTTGGACCATAATCCCAAAAGACACAATCCTGAATGCCATAATCGTGAATGTTGAAATCCTGAAAGATCAAAATCCCCAAAGTCCAAAATAAACAAACAAAAAAGTAAAAAATAAAAATAACAAAATCCCCGAAGTCTAAAATCCCAAAAGACCAAAATCCTGAAAAATCTAATTCTAGAAAAAAAATTTTTTTTAATTATTTAAAAGACACTTATTTATGTTTTTTAAAGGGATTTTTTTTTTTGAGACAGGGTCTCGCTCTGTTGCCCGGGCTGGAGTGCAGTGGAGCGATCTCAGCTCACTGCAACCCCCACTTCCTGGGCTCAAGTAATCCTCCCACCTGAGCCTCCCAAGTAGCTGAGACTACAGGCTTGTACCACCATGCCCTGCTAATTTTTGTATTTTCTGTAGGGACAGGTTTCACCATGTTGCCCAGGCTGGTCTCGAACTCCTGAGCTCAAGCAATCTGCCCACCTTGGCTTCCAAAAGTGCTGAGATTACAGGCGTGAGCCATCACGCCTGGCCTAAAAGGGGATTTATCTGAGAAACATAAAAACATGACAAAACACTTCATAGGCCAGTTTACACAATAAAATAGGCAATAATAATAATACATAGTTTAGCAAGCATAAACACTCAGGCATACTAACAACAGTTACATGGGTATAAATTTTAAGCAGACAAACGGTATTCATAAAGAAATCGCTTATATAACTTCATTCAACTGAAATATCATGATGGACAACCTGTCTTTTGACGAGATCTATCAAAAACTACAAGAAGTCACCACTACATATTTAGTCACCCAAAGAGCTGAAATCTAGATGAACTATCTTTCACAAATGCAGATGTATTTAATACAAAAAGGATATCTCTTTATTTACTGAGGAAGCTTCAGTGTTTTTATGTACATGCACAATGTGTACACACAAAGTCTATGTTGTGATAATGTACTTTCATGGAGTCAAATTTGCAAAAAAAAATGCATAAAACGAATTAGAACTCTCTAAAAGTCTTTACACAAGTTATAATTCCAGTATTGGAAATGATGTGAAGATAAAATACATTGCATAGGGAACTGTAAAAAATAATGCTGACAATTTAAAACAGTGGGGGGAAAACTAAACTAAAAAGAAAACTTGACATATGAAAAAGTGTATTACAGGGACAGATTATGGACAATTGCATAGAGGTGGTTCATAAGAGCTGATCAACTTTCACAATCATTAACTGTATTTTGAAATCTTGCATGGCAATAAATAGCTGTCTTTTTTCTTCTTTTAGGGCATGGCTATCTTCAGAGAAAATGTTAACATTCATTTTCTACATGGCACTGTTCTTTTTGAAATTCTTCTGTAACTCAACATACACCAACATGAGCATTCCCTATTAAATTCTGTGCCCTGCTCATATGTTGTTCTGTGTATGGGGAAATCCACTCCACATGCGTTCATTGGTGGAAACAACACCGTTGCGTGTCTTCTTATCCTACCATGCACATAATTATTTTTGAATCAGTCAGTAACTTCACTGCTTCTTCAGGCAAATGTGGCCTTCATTGAAGGCTCCCGGAATTTCATCAGCTGGCAGGAATGCCAATGCAGACAAATTATACATATATATATATATATATTTTTTTTTTTTTTTTGAGACAGGGTCTCACTCTGTTGCCCAAGCTGGTGTGCAGTGGCACGATCTTGGCCCACTGCAACCTCTGCCTCCCAGGTTCAAGCAATTCTCCTGTCTCAGCCTCCCGAGTAGCTGGGACTACAGGCACACATCACCACGCCCGGCTAATTTTTGTATTTTTAGTAGAGACGGGGTTTCACCATGTTGGCCAGGCTGGTCTTGAACTCCTGACCTCATGATCCACCCGCCCCAGCCTCCCAAAGTGCTGGGATTACAGGTATGAGCCACCGCACCTGGCCGACAAATTATACATTTTTAAACTGGAGTTTTTGTTGTTGCTGTATTGCATGGCCAATCCACTCATCTTAATTTTCTGCCAAATGCATTGGGCTGAATCGAAAAAATAAACCTTATTGGTAACACCTTAAAATTCACTTTTAGAAGCCTTGACTGAGCCTAATTCCAAATCTGTCGTTGTGGTTTGGGGATTCCATTAGATGTTAGAGATTTGACATTTTGGGAATTTAGACTTTAGGGATTGGGTCTTTCGGATTACTACGGGCAATGCCCACAAGATTAGGAACTTCTTAAAGCCCCACATCCAGTAGAATGCTTTGACACTTAGTAGGCACTCAATAAATGCTTACTGAATGAATGTGTAAGACATACATTTACACTGTTTTCTCTGCCAGAAATGCCTCTTCTTCCACTCCATTTCTACCCGAAAAAAATTATACTTGTCTTTTAAGCTTCAGCTCAAATGTCAACCTTTCTAACTCAACAGAAACAGAGCTAATTACTTCCTCCTCTGTGCTACCATAGTTCATTATACAAATAATTCTTGTAGCACCTATTACATTGGAGTATAGTTAAATTTAAGAACCATCACCCCACTACTTGTGAACTCCTCAAGAGTGGGAACTTTGATTATTTACATTTGTATCTCTCTATACTGTACCTAACACATAGAAGGCCCTAAATAATAGTTTGTCAAATTAGATTGAAAGGGGTGACAGTAAGAATAGAATGGAGGAGATATGTGTCATAACACTGGGACAGAGACCAAATCAAGAAGAATTTCTGAATGAGGGTAATATGAGTAAGGAAAGAAGACAGAAAATCAAGGATGACTTAAGGTTTTGAACTTGAATAACTAGAATAATTGAGTCATTTGCGTCTGAATCGCAGAAATAAAGAAATGAGTACTAGGCACAAGTTTGGGCAGGTGTGGGCAATCAGGAATTTACATTCAATCTTGGACATGCTGAGTTCAAGTTTCCAAGAAACATCCAGCCTACATTTAAGTCATCTATGGCTTAGAAGTCATCTATGGGTGGAGCTATCAAGACTAAGAGACAAGAAAAAAAATACCCACTTTCACCACATTGGTCTAAGTAAAAATAATAAAAAGAAAAAAAAATAACTGAGTGCTAAATATTGGAAAGGAAGAGAATATGTATTTGCTGACAATATCATAGTCTAACTGGGAAAGTGAAAAGTATAAAATAAAAACTACTAAAATCACAGGAGTCAAGATGAATACACAAAAATATATTTCTTTTAGTATAATGATAACTAATTAGAAAATGCAATAAAAAACTATTTGTGGGCCGGGTGCGGTGGCTCATGCCTGTAATCCCAGCACTTTGGGAGGCTGAGGCGGGCAAATCAAGAGGTCGGGAGATTGAGACCATCCTGGCTAACATGGTGAAACCACCGTCTCTACTAAAAATACAAAAAAAAAAAAAAAAAATTAGCCGGGCGTGGTGGCAGGCGCCTGTAGTCCCAGCTACTCGGGAGGCAGAGCTTGCAGTGAGCTGAGATCTTGCCGCTGTACTCCAGCCTGGGCGACAGAGCGAGACTCCGTCTCAAAAAAAAAAAAAAACTATTTGTGATAATAAAACTATAAAACACATAGAGAAATGTGTAAAATCTATATTAGGAAAGCCATAGAACTTCACTAAAGCACATAAAAGAACATTTTTAAAAATGGAAAAGCATACCAAGTTCCTGGATGGGATGATGCAATAGCCTAAATAAAACAATTCCTCCAAAATTAACACGTAAATCCAACGTAATTTTTATCAAAAACCTAAAGAACATTTTTGGAAATATGAAAAATTAATTCTAAAATTCATCCATAAGAGTATATTCCAGAGTTTTTTTTTGAAAAAAAAAGAATAATGAGAATGGACTTGCTCTGCCAGAAAGCAAAACTTACATAAAGCAACAACAGTGAAAACAATCCAGAACATATCTATGTTTATCTGGGGGGTTTATATGTGATAATAGTGAAATTTCATATCTGAGAGAAAAAAATTGGAAAAAATTAAGATATACCATATACAAAAATGAATTCCAGATGGATTGAAGATCTAAATGTAAAAAACGAAATACAGAAAGATAGAATACAGAAGACTCATGTGACAATATTGAGGTAGGAAAAGCTTTCTAAACAACTCATATCACCTCCAGGCTACAAAGTGAAAAAAACGATAGCTCTCACTGCATAGAAATCTAAAGTTGTACAACAAATGACAGCATAAACAAAAATCAAGAATTTTTTAAAAACTAAAAAAAAAATCGGAGCGAAAATATTCTAGCAAATTAAAGGATTTAAGATACATAAAAAATAGAGTTCTTTCAAATCAATAGGAAAAGAGAATCCAAAGGAAAAAATAAGCAAACAGGCAATTCAAAGATAAGTACAAATTTTTAATAAAACATTTAAAAACATCCAGCCTTGCTATTAATAAAAATGCAAGTAGAAACAATGAGATCATTTCTTTTTACTGTCAGGTTGGCAAAAATAAAAATAATTAAACCCTAATCAATAACCAGTGCTCTTCGTGAGGATATAAAGAAATGGATTGCTTTAAACTCTATCCATGAGAGTGATTGTAAATTGCTTCAAACTTTACAAAGGCAAATTATTATTGACTATTAAAGCCCTATATTAAAGCTCTACTATTAAGGTCTATTAAAATGTTAATCATTTATTTAAGTAGCCGTAACTAACCTTTTTTTTTTTTTTTTTTTTTTTGGTGGAGGGGACAGAGTCTTGCTCTGTCACCCAGGCTGCAGTGCAGTGGCGCCATCTCGGCTCACTGCAACCTCAGCCTCCCAGGTTCTAGCAATTCACCTGCCTCACTCTCCTGAGTAGCTGGGACTACAGGCGCATGCCACCATGCCTGGCTAATTTTTTTATTTTTAGTAGAGACAGGGCTTCACTGTGTTGGCCACGCTGGTCTCAAACTCTTGACCTCAGGTGATCAGCCCACCTCGGCTTCCCAAAGTGCTGGGATTACAGGCATGAGCCACCATGCCAGGCCAAGTATCTATAACAATTTTAAATGTATAGACCCAATCTTCCCCCAGTTCCATAGTGTGCCATTCATATTGCTATGGACTGAATGTGTTTCCTGCCAAATTCATACATTGAAACCCTAATCTCCAATGTGATGGTATTTGGAAGTGGGGCCTTTGGCAGGTAACTGGGTTTAGATGAGGTCATGAAGGTGGGACCCTCATGATAGGATTCGTGTCCTTATAAGGAGCTACATCAGAGAGCTTGCTCTCTCTCTCTCTCTCCCCGCATCGTGTGAGGATACATCAAGAAAGATGCAGTCTGCAAGTCAGGAAGAGAGCCCTCACTAAGAACTGAATCTGCTAGCACTGTGATCTTGGACTTCCCAGCCTCCAGGACTGTGAGAAATAGGTATCTGTTGTTTAAGCCATCCAGTCAATGTCATTTTCTTATAGCCACCTGAACAGACTAAGACATGTATCATATTTCCTTTAGTCACACCAGACATCCGAACCTCTCGTCTATCATAATCTAAATCTTAATTCCCATACCACATTCTTCATCTTCTATGATAAACCAATATCTCCCTTTCTTTACCCTCCTAAATTATGTCTTCTGGAACTCAGTTTGTACCAAATTAAACTTTGCTCTATCCTTAGCCTCTTCCTTAAATGTTCCCTTCACCTTCTTCTTCTAACCAAAATGTCACTTCTCCCTGAGGACACTGTTTTCCTTGAAGCCTTCTCAAGTGGAGGCTGTTCTCTTCCACATAAGTCACACAAACTAGAGTTGGAGGTAAAGTGCCCATTGTCCTCACAGCCATTTCTAATTCATTATTCCTTAAAACTCACCAGCTCCACACCTGGCTGTTGTCATCTAGCCCTCAGTCATCTATGGCTTTGCCAACAGTCCTGCTATCTTGTTCTCTACCACTACTGCTGTCATTATTTTTGGTGACTTTGATATTCACATGGATGATAGATAAAACCCACTAGTCAATTAGTTCCTTGACCTCCTCCCATCCAATGATGTTTTCCTCCAAGCTACCTCAGCTGCTCACTTCCATTGCCATAACCTAAACCATGCAATCACCATAACTTAACTACTTCTCAATGTAACCCTGGAATCTCAAAGACTATAGAGTAAAGCCTTCAAAATTCTGAAGGAAAATTATTTCAAAATTAATATACCTAGTCTAACTACTGATCAAGTGACAGGATAGATTAAAGATATTTCAAACAGGCAAGATCTCATATAACCCCTGATGCCTGGATCAGCTGAGGATTCTAATTTTACCTCACTCAAGTGTTAGGCTTTGAACTATTCTTAAGAGCTGGAGGTTGACTATGGTGAGTTTAAAATATGTGGAGCAGCCCATTCCCTCCAGTCATATTTCTGCAGGATGTTCAAAATCTGGTCTACACTGTAGCCTTGCCAAACATCCTGACCATTGTGAACCATGTGTTTCTCAGGCCAAGTGGTGTCTGGTTAGCTGGCTATCCAAAAGTATTTTTTAATTAAAAGAAAAAGCCCTGGCAGGGTGCAATGGCTCACACCTGTAATCTCAGCACTTTGGGAGCCTGAGGCAGGAGGATTGTTTGAGCTCAGGAGTTTGAGACCAGCCTGGGCAATATGGTGAAACCCTGTGTCTACTAAAAATATAAAACTTAGTCAGGCCTGGTGACACACATCTGCAATCCTAGCTACTTGGGAGGCTGAGGCACGAGAATCACTTGAACTCAGGAGGTGGAAGTTGCGGTGAGCCAAGATCATGCCACTGCACTCCAGCCTGGGTGACAGAATGAGATTGTTTCAATCAATCAATCAATCCATAGAAAAGCAAAGCCCTTTTTCTACAGTTTGTCAATTTTAATGACATAAACATTTCCTTTGTGGGCAATTTTTTAAATTTATTTTTTAATTGACTAAGGTAGTATGTATTTATGATGTACAACATGATGTTTTGAAATATGCACACATCGTGGAGTGACTAAGTTTAGCTAATTAACATGTGCATTATCTCACATGCTTATCATTTTTGTGGTGAGAATACTTACAATGTACTTTCTCAGCAATTTTCAAATATACAATACATTGTTATTAACTATAGTCACCATGTTGTACAACAGATCTCTTGAATTTATTCCTCCTGTCTAACTGAAATTTTGTGTCCTTTGACCAACATTTCCCCACCTCCAATACCACCCTCACCCCATCCCCTGCTAGATGGGCAACTTCAAGCTGCTAATATAGTATCGGTTTTCTGAAACCATCAGCCAGTTCCAGCACTCCACTGTGTGACACGGCAGCTCTCACAACTTTGCCCACTAATTTCCTTAGAAGGAATTCTCATAAACTCTCAGGGAAGCAGAAGACAAGATGTGCCCCAGAGACTCTTCCTCTGGGATCTTTTATTTAATAGTGACAATACTGCCCTTTCCTAACACAGTAAGTTTAGTGCTTGAGACTCATTTTTTTTTCAAAATAAAACAATATAATATACGTATATGGTTAATATATAAAGAAAAAACACAAAGAAATGTTTAAAACAAAAGGCAAGACACTGATTGCCTCTGTTGGTGAGGGAGGGGGAAGTAATTGAGGAGCAGCTCACAGGGGCCTTCTAAGATATTGAAAATGTCCTATTTCTTAAGCTGGATGGTGGATACGTAGGTGTTTATTTTATTATTATGCCTATGTTATTTTTATGGGAGATATAGCTAATAGCTAAAAATAATAAAATAGAAAAAAAATTAAAAAACACAAACGAAAAATTATGTATTAAAAAACGCAGTAGAATTTTTTTATATAATCTTCATTTAGGAGGAACTTCCTTAGCAAGACTCCAAATTCACAATCCAAAAATTGACAGATTTGATGACATAAAAATTAAAAACATCTGTACAACAAAAGATAACCAAAACAAAGTTTGGGGGTTTTAGATACAGGGTCTCACTTTGTCACCCAGGCTGGAGTGCAGTGGCTCTATCATAGCTCACTGAAGCCTCGAATTCCTGGGTTCAAATGATCCATACTCGCACCTCAGTTTCCCAAGTAGTATGTGCCACCATGCCCAGCTAATTTTTTTAAACTTTTGTAGAGACAGGGTCTCACTATGTTGCCCAGGCTAGTCTTGAAATCCTAGCTTCAAGCAATCCTCGTACCTCAGTCTCCCAAAGTGCTGGGATTACAGGCATAAGCCACCATACCCAGCCTAAACAAAGTTAAAAGACAAGTAACAGAGTAGGAAGGAAGATTTTCTATTGTGTGAGAAAAGGATTAATACTTTAAATATCTGACAAGACCCTATAAAGCAATGAGAAAAAAAGACAAAAAAAAATGAGAAAAATAAGTAAAGAATATCAACAGACAATTCACAGAAAAAATATGCAAACAGTAAATATATTTTAAAATGTTCAATCTCACTAATATTAGAGAAAATAAATTAAGCAATAATGAAATGCCAATTTTCACCAATCTTGTTGGCAAACAAAAATGATCAATAAAATCTAGTGTTGGTGAGGGTGTAAAGAAACAGGGTCTCTCACACACTACTGGCAGGAGTGTAATTGGGTAACTTCTTCTTGGAGGACAATCTGGTTTTATATCTAACAAAATCTAGCATTTTCAACCTGCTAGAATTCAGGTTGAAATTTCCCCTGCTAGAATGGTAGCCTTCAGATGCACTCAGACAGGTGCACAAAGTATAGGTGAAAAATAAAACTGAATGCCCATCAGCTGGTTAAATGTATTGCAAGATATTCACACAATGGAATTTATGCATTTGTTTAAAAAAGAAGATGGGGTGGGTGTGGTGGCTCATGCCTGTAATCCCATCACTTTGGGAAGCCAAGACCGGAGGATCACTTGAGCCCAGGAGTTTGAGACCAGCCTGGACAACATAGCGAGACCCAATCTCTACCAAAAAAAATTTCTTAAATTAGCCAAGCATGCATGCCTGTAGTCCAAGCTACTCCAGAGGCTGAGGTGGGAGGATCGTTTGAGTGTGGGAGGTCGAGGCAGCAGTGAGCTATGATAGCACCACTGCACTCCAGCGTGGGCGACAAGGTCCCCATCTCGAAAAGAACAGAACAGAACAGAAGAGAAAAGAAAAGAAAAGAGGGAGGGAGGGAGGGAGGATGGAAGAGAAGAAAAGAAGATGCACAGACATGGAAAGATGTCTCTGGTTTATTACTACATTTTTAAAAAGCAACATGCAGATTAATACTTATAGTATGCTTTTATGAAAAAATCTCTCTATATGAATATGTGTGCATTTGTATGTATACATATATATGTATATAAAAGACAAGAAAAATATTTTGAAGGAAACTCACTAAACTATTCATTATGGTTATCTCTTGTGGGGGAATGTGACCGGAGGAAGACTATCAATTGTCTTCCGACACCTGACACAGTGGCTCATGCCTGTAATCCCAACACTTTGGGAGGCTGAGACGGGTGGATCTCTTGAGCTCAGGAGTTTGAGACCAGCCTGAGCAACATGGTGAAACCCTCACTCTGCAGAAAATATGACAAATCAGCTGGGCATAGGGTATGTGCCTGTAGTCTCAGCTACTTGGGAGGCTGAGGTGGGAGGATCACTTCAGCCCAGGAGGTCGAGGCTGCAGGGGGCAGAGATCGCACCACTGCACTCCAGCCTGGGTGACAGAGTGAGATCCTGTCTCAAAAAATTAATGAAAATTATAATTAACTTCTATATTGTTTGAATCTTTATCAGCATGTATCTGAATATTTCTTGTGTAATTTTAATATAAAAATGTTCATATTTGCGTAGTTGGGGAGGAATTTTTACCAAAACATGTATTTGACAATGTACAATTTAGTATATACATTGGGACCTCTTTTATGAGTAATCCAGATTACTTTTGTCAAAGTAGCCTATGGATAATACAGGATCACAATCATAATGACAAAATTATATATCTCTGACTCTTCTCTGATCTGCTCTGCAGAAGTTATAAATAACCATTCTTAAGTTTTTCCCAACTATTTATAGAAATAAGTTCTTAGAGCTATCTTACATGTGTTCTATAAATGAGTCAGTTTGGCTGCCATGTGGTGCCTGCCATTTTCCTCCAATAATGATGTCTCCTGTTCTTGTCATCACCAAGAGCAGTTAGTACGTCAACAATGCTCATGAAGGCTTCATGGGCTGATGTCTGAGCTAAAGGCGCCAATGCTGTTTGTCAAAGTTATTGAGGATACTATTGCCATCAGAGCTACTTCCCTCAACAATGCCACTGCAATACTGCTACCACCATCACTATCATCTTGGTACCTCTTTTCCCTCACCCCCACATCCAATTTATCTAAAAGTCCTATGGATTCGACCTCCAAAATATACCTCAAATATGCCAACTTCTTTCCAAGTCCACTATTACCACCTTGGCTCAAGCCACCACCATATCTTATTTGGGCTACTGCAATTATCCTATTAATTGATCTCCTTGTTTCTGTTCTTGCAGTAATCCAATACATTTTCCACAATAGTAATATGAATGATCCTCTAAAATATAAATTAGGGCCTGGCGCGGTGCCTCACGCCTGTAGTCCCATCACTTTGGGAGACCAAGGTGGGCAGGTTTCTCAAGTTCGGGAGTTCAAGACCACCCTGGGCAACATGGTGAAACCCTGTCTCTACAAAAAATACAAAAATTAGCCGAGCATGGTGGTACATGTCTGTAGTCTCAGCTAGTTGGGAGACTGAGGTGGAAGGATTGCTTGAACCTGGGAGGTCAAGGCTGCAGTGAGCCATGGTCGCACCACTGCACTTCAGACCAGGTGACAGAGCGAGACCCTATCTCTCTCTATATATACATACATATCATTTCCCTGCTAAATATATATATCAAGCAGGGAAATTATAAGACCTAGACATATATATATATATATATATATATATATATATACACACACACACACACACACACACACACACACACACACACACGTGTCTAGGTAGCACACACACATATATGTTATATATATAGGCCTTATACATGTATATATGTGTGTGTTACCTAGACACATATGTGTGTGTGTGTGTGTGTGTGTATGTCTAGGTCTGATTTTATATATATATAGGTTATATATATGTTATATATATAGGTTATATATATGTTATATATATATGTTATATATATAGGTTATATATATGTTATATATATATGTTATATATATAGGTTATATATACGTTATATATATATATACAGTCTTAACATTTCCCTGCTCAAAACAATTCAGTGACTCTCCATCATACTTATATTAAAATTTAGGCTCCTTATCATGATTTCCTTGGTTGTATATGATCTGCCCTGACTACCTCTAGAATCTCATCTTGTGCCATTCTCTCCTCAATCAATTTGGCCCAGCCTCACTGGCCTCCTTTCTATTCCTCCGACATGCCAAGCTTTCTTCTGCCTTGGGGTCGTTGTATTTGATGTTTCTTTGCCTAGAAAGTTCCTCGCCCTATCTTCATATGGTTGACTCCTTCTTGTCATTCATATCTTAACTCAAATGTTACCTCTTCAGAGAGTAACTTTCCCTGACTTACCAATCCACATAGGCACCCACTCATTCTCTACTATATCGTTCTATTTCAAGCTCTGCACAGCACTTAGCACTGGCTGACCTTGTTTTTGTTTCTTCGTCCATGTCTATCAACAGACCCACTAGAATCTATGATCCAAGAAAGCAAGAATCTTGTTTATCCTGTTTGCCACTGTATCCTCAGCACCTATGTGCCTGGTGGATAGCATAGGTTCTCAGTAAAATTTTGCTAAATGAAGGAGTCATCATCACTGTGATGGTTAATACTAACTGTTAACTTGAGTGGATTGAAGGATGCAAAGTGTTGTTCCTGGGTGTGTCTGTGAGGGTGTTGCCAAAGGAGATTAACATTTGAGTCAGTGGACTAGGAGAGGCAGACCCACCCTTAATCTGGATGGCCACAATCTAATCAGCTTCCAGCACAGCTACAATAAAAGCAGGCAGAAGAGCGTGGAAGGACTAGACTGGCTGAGTCTTCCAGCATTCATCTTTCTCCTGTGCTAGATGCTTCCTACTTTGGACTCTCAGACTTACACCAGTAGTTTCCAGAGGCTCTCGGGCCTTCGACCACAGACTGAGGGCTGCTGCACTGTCGGCTTCCCTACTTGTGAGGTTTTGGGACTCGGACTGGCTTCCTTGCTCTTCAGCTTGCAGACAGCGTATCGTGGGACTTCACCTTGTGATCGTGTGAATCAATACTCCTTAATAAACTCCCTTTCATATAAACATCTATCCTATTAGTCCTGTCCCTCTAGAGAACCCTGACTAATACAATCACCAATACTGCCGGTGTTGTTGTCAGTGTCAAGCTTGGCTGCACATAGAATTACCTGAGGAAATTTAATAAATATTAATGCCTTACCTGGTCCCAACCTAAGAGGTTCTCATTAATTGCTATGGGCTGCATCCTGGGCGTCAGGATTCTTTAGAGCTCTCCAGGTAATTCTGATGTGTAGCCAAGGTTGACAACCACTGGTTAAGAATAAATTCTTTCACAGGGGACTCTGATTCCTCATATAAATAGATTCCTGGTAGAGCAATGTTAAGTCCTCTTGACTCTTTTTGAATTACAACGAATAATAACTCTAGGCTCAAGCTGGAACCCTTGGTGCATAGATATGCCACCACTCACTAATACTGAAATTATTAATACATTAATATTTTTACCAAATCCAGGGTCTTGAATATCCATTTCCTGATGACATTAACTGAGATGGGGCACTTTTAAGAAATGTAGTGTGTACTTGTTGTCACTAGAGGGCTGTCAGGTAAGGTAAGCAAAAGTGCAAGAAAAGAAAGTTTTCAAATTTGCTGAGAATTCATTCCCCCCCTCCCCCGCCCTCAGTTCCTATCACTTTGATGAGTATAAATCTAAATTTCCCATATCCAGCTCCGTCCACCACTTATATCTATAGTGCTGTATATTCAAGTGCATCCTAGTGATGTCTTCCTGATTGTCCATCACTTGCATTTAACCAAACACAAAAATCAAACACAAGCGTTCCAAAACTGACTTCCCTTTCTGAGTTCTATTTCAGTCCATGATGTTTTTATTCTTCCAGTCACTTAAACGACAAACTCCACATTCCCGTGCCTCTTTTTCCCATGTGCTTCCTCCCTTCATGCTTCAAGCTGATTTTACTTCCCAAGTATTTCTCACATCCATTTCTCCCCCTTTATCCCTATTGCCATGGCCTAAGTCCAGACCCCCAGCACTTTTCACCTGGATTATTGTAATAACCTCCTGAGTCTGTCTGACCCAGTTTGGGGTCATCTACTCCTTCCTTAATACTGCCACCAGAGTGAGCTTTTAAAACCAAAAAGTTGGCCCTGCATAATGGCTCACACCTGTAATCCCAGCACTTTGGGAGGCTGAGGTGGGTGGATCACCCGAGGTCAGGAGTTCAAGACCAGCCTTGCCAACATGGTGAAACCCCACCTCTACTAAAAACACAAAAATTAGCCAGGCTTGGTGGTGTGTGCCTGTAATACCAGCTACTCCAGAGGCTGAGGCAGGAGAATCACTTGAACCCGGGAGGCGAAGGTTGCAGTGAGCCGACATAGCGACACTGCACTCCAGCCTTGGCAACAGAGTGAGACTCTGTCTCAAATAAACAAATAAATAAATAAAACCAAAAAGTTGATCATGCCCTGAAACTAAAGATAAAATTTAATTTAATTTAATTTAAAATTTGATCATAATTATGGCAGTTCACTGCTTAAAACCCTTCACTGGCTCCATAAAAAATATAAAAAGGGTCTTTTAAGATCTGGCTCCTGCTTACTTCTCCAAACACATCTTTCACAGCTGCTTCTCTTGCATGCTAAGATCTGACACTTCTGAACTTCCAGTTCCTCCATCTATGCATTAGCAAGTGCTATTTCCTCTGCTTATAATGCCCTTCCTCCTCTTTTTAGTCTGGTGAGCTACTCAGCATTCAAGATTCAGCTAAGAGGTTTCCTTCTCTTTCCAGGCAAAAATAGTCACTTTGAAGGCCAGGCGCGGTGGCTCACACCTGTAATCCCAGCACTTTGGGAGGCCGAGGTGGGCGGATCACAAGGTCAGGAGATCGAGACCATCCTAGCTAACACGGTGAAACCCTGTCTCTACTAAAAATACAAAAAAAAAATTAGCTGGGTGTGGTGGTGGGTGCCTGTAGTCCCAGCTACTCGGGAGGCTGAGGCAGGAGAATGGCGTGAACCCGGGAGGCAGAGGTTGCAGTGAGCCGAGATCGAGCCACTGCACTCCAGCCTGGGCGACAGAGCAAGGCTCCGTCTCAAAAAATAAATAAATAAATAAATAAATAAATAAATAAATAAATAAAGAATGCCAGCACTTAGGGAGGCCAACGCAGGTGGATCACCTGAGGTCAGGAGTTCGAGACCAGCCTGGGCAACATGGTGAGTAGTCACTTTGGTGCTGCCTGGGCATCAGGATTTTTAAAACCCTCTGGGTGATTCTGATGTGCATCCCAAGTTGAGAACCACAGTCACCATATATCTTTAACACTATACTGCATTTCAGCTAGTTTTTAGCATATCTGTCCTCCCTTCTAGACTATAAGATGTTTGAGGGAAGAAACCATGTCATTCAATTTTGCAATCCCAGTTCCTGTTGAGAATACATGAATGAGTGCATAAATTCTACCAGTAATATAAAAGCACAAATTTCCACTAATATTCTTGTTGTATCATAAACATATATGATTCACTTTTGTAAAATATAATGTAGCATTACCTTATAAGAGCATAAGAACTGTCTTGCTGATTTAGACTAAATATTGTTATCAATAGTGTAAAAGAACATGGTTTTTCTCACTGACGTCAACCTCAACCTACTCAGAAATATACCCATAATAATTCTAACTTCCTGTAATAATTTATTATAAAACCATTATAAGTGAATTAATAAATCTATTCAGAAGCTATTTATAATTTCAGTTAGTCCTACTTCCTGGGGATAAATTTACTATTGGCATGCAGCAACATTCCAGGGCCTGGTAACAGACTCAGAGTGCAATGAAGCCGCCTAAAATTTTCTTTTTTAGATAGAACTCAATCCTGGGACCAAGGACAATTTATCCCAAGAGCAGTTTCCCTAGATGGCTTCATTACACCATCACATTCTTATCAACAGCTGCTTAGCTAAAAAGTTCTTCGGGACAGTTCAGCCAGCCCAACTCAAAAAACTTGAAGATATTTCTGGAATTACAAGAGAGATAGTTAGTAGGCCATGGAAATAGAGGACACCTGTTGTTGTCATTTCACAACAAAAAAAGACACTAGAAAATTTGAGCCTTTATCCTAGGTAGGAGTGCCTAACCATAGTTTGGAGGTCTTCGACAGTGGGGAAATGTGAAGACCTAACCTGAGTTGGGTCTAGGACATGTATTCTTCAAACCTGCACCCTGCTTTGGCAGGGGTATCCTGTTAAAGGGCCCTCTCAACTCCTTTCAACTCATTCACTTAGACACATATAGTGTATATGTGGGCCAGGACCATTAACTCTTTCCAAAAGAACAGGGACCTGAATATTTTCTAGGGCCATGAGGTGGCAGCAAGAAAGTGCTTTGTTCACCTGTATTCAGTTCAAGAAAGCCAGGGTTCAAAAGTAGGCTGGGTGCGGTGGCTCATGCCTGTAATCCCAGCACTTTGGGTGGCCGAGGCAGGTGGATCACCTGAGGTCAGGAGTTCAAGACCAGCCTAGCCAACATGGTGAAACCCCGTCTCTACTAAAAATACTAAAAAGTAGCCAGGTATGGTGGCACATGCCTGTAGTCCCAGCTACTGAGGAGGCTGAGGCAGGAGAATTGCTTGAGCCTGGGAAGCAGAGGTTGCAGTGAGCCGAAATCGCGCCACTGCACTCCAGCCTAGACAACAGAGGAGACTCTGTCTCAAAAAAAAAAAGTAGTTGAAATACATATCAACAAACTTTTATGTAGCAACATAGTCTTAAGGTACAGACACAAGGTAGCTAGATGTTGCCTCAACCATAGTCTGAGGAGGACTCTTTGGGATAAAAATGACAAACATTCTTCCTATTTTCAGTACTTAAGGGGTGAACATCTTTGTTCCTAAACTGGAAGCTTGATTAGGGTTGCAGATGCAGTGAAATGGACCTGGACACCCTATAGCTGACTCCAACTGGCTCCCTCAGTCTATTCCAGAACGCAGCTAAACTGAAAGCCGTGAAAGGAGAATTTGGGGAAGAGCTACTTGTATTTGTAGTGATGGCAAATTATTGCTTAACTTTGCACAGGTGAGACTACTAACAAAGTCTTTCCATATTCACTGTTAACACTCCCTCTATATAGTCACTAGACCCTGAATTTGAAGTCTTAGTTTTTCGAGTTAATCTTCCCTACTTCTAATTTTCAGTTCCAGATTACCATACGGGCTTTTACTTCCTTTTTGGTCTCTCAAGAGGCAAAGTCCTTTGTTATCTGGTCTTCAACAGACACAGTTTTTTGGCTTCTGATTGAAAGAGCACTAACTTCCTGACTACCTCTCATCACCCACTTGACTAGTTTCCCTCTGGCTGCTCCTAGGATGTCCTGTTTCTCCCTATCTCCTCCTCCCTGCTTGTGATAGAGGCTCTGCTTCCACACTATTCCTGGTCGCTGTCCACAGGGTTATAACATACTGAATAGTCTGCAACTGTCCCTGGATCCTGCACTTTGCAGCCACCATCATGTATTCTGTACCCAACTCTCATAAGCTTCTTCCTGACCCTGACACTGATCATCTCACATGTTTTTTGTCTCTTCTTTTTTTCCCAAAAACACTCTTGAATTTGGGGTTTCATTTTATTTTATTTTATTTTTTTTAGACAGAGTCTCACTTTATCACCCAGGCTGGAGTGCAGTGGTGCGATCTCAGCTCACTGCAACATCTGCTTCCCAGGTACAAGCGATTCTCTTGCCTCAGCCTCCCCAGTAGCTGGGATTACAGGCCTGTGCCACCAAGCCCGGCTATTTTTAGTAGAGATGGGGTTTCGCCATGTTGGCCAGGTTGGTCTCGAACTCCTGACCTCAGATGATCCACCTGCCACGGCCTCCCAAAGTGCTGGGATTACAGGCATGAGCCATAGTGCCCGGCCTTGGATTTGTTTTTTACAAGTCTACACCTATGAATCACTCACCTAGCATGTTGGGCTGCATGTGCTTACCTTCTTCCAGTTTATACTTTCCTCCCATTAAAAAATTAACAATACACATCTTCAAAAGCATGCCCACCACCACTAATTGCCACAAGCATTTACAGATACTTAAGATTCTTATGTTTATATTTTAACACTCCCATTTTCTGAACACACCTCTCCAAATTTCACAGTCACTTGGAGGAAGGAAGGCATTTGTCCAGATGTCTCAGAGTATTTATGGCTGGAATCTTCAACCTGACAATGAAATGACAAATCTTCACAACACGAAAATGTAATGCAATGCTCCCTCAAACAAACTTTGTTTAAAGTGTTACCTAAGGACCACCTGCATCACAGTCATTTTGGGGAAGTTTCTTAAAATGCTGATTTTGGCCGAGCACGGTGGCTCACACCTGTAATCCCAGCACTTTGGGAGGCTGAGGCAGGTGGATCACGAGGTCAGGAGATTGAGACCATCCTGGCTAACACGGTGAAACCCTGTCTCCTCTAAAAATACCAAAAATTAGCCGGGCGTGGTGGCAGGCGCCTGTAGTCCCAGCTACTTGGGAGGCTGAGGCAGGACAGTGGCGTGAACCCAGGAGGCAGAGCTTGCAGTGAGCAGAGGTCGCACCACTGCACTCCAGCCTGGGTGACAGAGTGAGAGATTCCCTCTCAAAAAAAAAAAAATGCTGATTTTGGGGATCTCCCAGAGATCAGAATTCAATAGATCTGGAGTGAAGTCCCAGAATCTGTATTCTAACAGGCTCTCCAGTTGAGTGTATAGTTTGAAAACCACTGCAATAAGAGATGCTGCTTATGTAGCTTTGTTCACTTTAGGCATCAAGATCTTGACTGTGGTCAGCAGGCAATGCACCCATAACAGTGTGTGATGTATGGAAAGTTCTTTAACTTGAGACTTTATGAAGACAGCAGAGATATCTGTTAAGAGTAATTGAAACTGGCTGGGCGTGGTGGCGGGCACCTGTAGTCCCAGCTACTCGGGAGGCTGAGGCAGGAGAATTGCTTCAACCCAGGAAGCAGAGGTTGCAGTGAGCCGAGATTGCGCCATTGTGCTCCAGCCTGGGCAACAGAGCAAGACTTCGTCTCAAAAAAAAAAAAAAATGACAGAGAGAGTAACAGAAAGTGAACTCTAACAGCAAGGACTATATTCTTGCTCATGCACACACAGATACACACTACTTGTTTACTTACTACATATATTTTAATAAAGCAAACTACAAGGGTCTGTGGTGGGTTTTGATATCAATCTCCAGATCCTCTTTTCTCAGGAACAGACCCTGCCTACATTTTCCTTTCAGATTCTGGGAATCATTCCCTATGTCTCCCAAGTTGTCATACCAATGCTGACTGATGTGGGAGAACCAATTCTTGCTTCAGGGTGCTTATTAGGAATCCCATGCACTTGCTCTAAGTATCAATAATTAATTTATTCCTATATTAACCTTTATTTCCTTCTGATGTGCTCTGCAAGTGGCTGGCTACCTGCTGTACTAGTTAATAGGAATTGGCAATACTTTCAGGCAATGTCTAACCCAACAGTTCCAAAAGCGGGGGTTGGTTGGAAGGGAAGGGGATATATGAAAATAATCTGAGGAGCTTTTTCAAGTGACATGTGCTTTCTGCCCAGGATACATGAGATTTTGGCAAAACCCAAGTTTGTGGATGGGGGATGGGGGTCGAGAATCCCTGGTCTAACCAGCAATCTGCGTTCTCTAAAGCTGTTGTATTCTCTCATTTTTAAAATCAGCATTCTTCAAGGTGAGAGAATGGGAGGTGCATTTTAAATCCCTTCTGCTTTTTTTTTTTTGAAAAGCCACTCCTGGTTTGGAGTCTAAGCTGAAAACAAATTCCCCAATTTCCTTCACTACACAGGTCCATAACACAACACTTCCTCAATAAAACCATGAACATTCCTCCTCTACCATCCCAACCCTTACTCCTGGGGGAGCATTGGCTTAGGGTATTACTAGTTAATCACTTCTTGCCTTCAACCCCCTCATTTACAGAATGACTTTTGGATTTACAATGGGCATCCTCAGAGATTGATGGGGTCGAAAGTCTTTCCCAGGGATGGTATGATACATGGCCTAGACTTCAAGTTTCCTACCTATGATATATGACAAGGGGAAACTGGTTTCTGTTACTGGCCTCATTAACTTTCATTCCTCATTGAATGGCTGTCCACTAACAAATGTAGACTCAAAGGGAGAAAACTTAGATTTCAAGCAAAGAAATCAATGACCCCTTTTTAAAATTTATTTATTTATTTAAGACAACTTAATTCATAGGTTCAGACTCCTTTTTAGACAAAAGTTATGGATCCTCAATAATAAAGTAGCTCAGTTTCAAATGGATTGAAACTCTATCCTTCCTCGGCAGACTAGATAGCCTCACACTCTCTTGGAAAAAATGAACTCTCACCTTTTACCCAAACAGTGTTTGATCCACTTTCTGCAGTTATCCAGCCCAGAAAGTAACTGGCCTCTTCAAGGACTTGCTGCCAGTAGAAGTAGCTATGGCACACTCTCTGATCCAGGACTTCAAGCACCATTATTTTCAAAGACACTTGATATAGTTTGGATCTGTGTCCCCGCTCAAATCTCATGTTGAAATGTTATCCTCAGTGCTGGAAGTGTTGCCTGGTGGGAGGTGATTGGATCACGGGGGTGGTTTCTCATGAATGGTTTAGCACTATCCCCCTAGTGCTATTCTCGTGATAGAGTTCTCAAGAGATCTGGTTATTTAAAAGTGTGTAGCACCTCCCCCTTCTCTCGCTCTTCCTCTTGCTCCAGCCATGTGAAGTGCTGGCTCTCCCTTCGCCTTCCATCATCATCGTAAGTTTCCTGAAGCCTCCCCAGAAGCTGATGGCCAGCATGTTTCCTGCACAGCCCCTGGAATTGTGAGCCAATTAAACTTCTTTTCTTTATAAATTACCCAGTCTCAGATATTTCTTTATAGCAGTGTGAGAACGGACTAATACAACACTATAATAACATATCCACTGCAACAACTATGTAATAGCCTAATCAATACAGCCCCAAAAGGAGAACTTTTATACAGTTTACTTTCTGCCTAAAAGACTGCTTCCATGACAACTCCATCAGAACTGAATCCAACCTATCCAAATCCCCATCTTTCTGTGGAATAGAATTTAACTGAGGTTATACGGCAGAAGAGATAGCCAAAGAAATACCACCCAGTATGGCACATCTTAAAATGATGATACATTATAGATGGTTGATAGATGGATAGACAGATAGAAAATATCCTTTTAAATGCATGACTGATGGTTGAGATGGCGAGAGTAAGAGCCAGTAAGGATATCTTAGCACTAATGCCGAAGGAAAAGGAAGCTATAAATCTGGCATTTCCTTTTGGATAGCTACTGGTTCCTAGCAACCCTAGAAAGTAGGTTTTTTTGTTGGTTTGTTTTTTGTTTTTGTTTATTTGTTTGTTTGTTTTTGAGATGGAGTCTCAAAAACAGCCAGTCACCCAGACTGGAGTCCAGTGGCGCGATCTCAGCTCACTGCAACCTCCGCCTCCCGGGTTCAAGCAATTCTCCTGTCTCTGCCTCCCAAGTAGCTGGAATTATAGGCATGCCCCACCACATCTGGCGAATTTTTGTATTTTTAGTAGAGACGGGGTTTCACGATGTTGGTCAGGCTGGTCTCGAACTCCTGACCTCAGGTGATCCACCTGCCTTGGCCTCCCAAAGTGCTGGGATTACAAGCATGAGCCACCATGCCTGGCCCCTAAAAAGTAGTTTTAACGGATCACTCAAGTGCATGGGGCAAAGGAGACAACTCCCAGGGCCCAAGCAAGGTTATAAATTGGATCAGACACACACTATCCCCCTTCTTCTCTGGTTAAAGTCAGACCCCCAAATGGTAATGGATGAACAGGGGGTAAAACTACCACTCAGAGGCAGATGGTAGAGGTATGGGCCTGCCTCGGTTTTAGCTCTGTGAAGTATGGGGGAAAAATGAGGGGAAAAAAAAGAACTCCTTGAAAGCTTCATAACCCCAAACTTGTACTCAGGTAGGTCTAGGTTCAACTTTCACATTATCTGTATGATCAAGACATCTCACACTGGAAATTAGGCCTAAAATCATTCTGGATTGATAGCGTTCCCAAGTTACTAGCAGGGTTAAGTGCAACTCTTCTCTGGAAGAATACACTTTAAACCTAGGCCTCAAAGAATTTCCAAAGAGAAAGTTCCAATGAATATATGTTCACAAATAAAGATCATAGTACACATTTTAAAAACACAAAAGACAGGTTAAAGCATATGGGGGATATAATAAGAAGGACCACTGCATATCTAATGTGACTTCTAGAAGAAAATATTAAGCAGAATAGGAGAAAGGCAATATCCAACAGTTAATGGCTGAGAGTTTTCCAAAATTAGTGAAATATACAAATCTTCAGATTCAGGCCACATTTAATTAGCATCTTCACTCTGTCTACTGAATTAATTAGGCTAATGCCAACCCTTCATTAGCCCACATGAGAATCCTGGATTGACCACAGTCAAGGCACCCAGTCATGATGTCAGCCTCTAAAAGAGCAAGGGACAATGAGTTTAGTTGCTTGAATAAGCCTCGTGGGTTGTTTCAGAATACTAGAACCGAAATTATGTATGGTCAATGTAGACTTTTTTTCAGAATCGGAAGCAGCATCCAATAGGTGAGCTCTGTTAATTCTAACTCCTAGCTCAGCCATTCTGCAATTTCCAAAAGGAAAAATAGAGATAAAGGTATGCATTTGGTGTGGTATACCAGGAAAAGCATTCACTTTAAGGCTCAGTACTCACCTAAGTTCAAATTTTGACCGTGCCACATGCTTTAGATTCCTACCTACACAATGAAAATAAAAATACAGTGGAGAAAGGTTTGAGAATTAAATGATTGAGATAACTTGTAAAATACAAGCTAGATCATAAGTACAGACTAAATTATTATTCCCTTTTTACCCTCATCCCTCTTCTTAGGTCATGACTTTCAGACTTTTGCCCAAGACTGAGGCCAGATCCATGGTTCATTTCTAAACAAGTTGTCTACTGTTTTGTTTTGTTTTCTTTTCTTTTGAGATGGAGTCTCACTCTGTTGCCCAGGCTGGAGTACAGTGGTGCGATCTCAGCTCACTGCAACCACTACCTCCTGAGTTCAAGTGATTCTCCTGCCTCGGCCTCCCGAGTAGCTAGAAGCTGGAACTAGAGGTGTGTGCCACCATGCCTGGCTAATTTTTGTATTTTTAGTAGAGACAGGGTTTCATCATATTGGCCAGGCTGGTCTCGAACTCAAGTGATCTGCCTGCCTCAGCCTCCCAAAGTACTGGGATTACAGGCGTGAGTCACTGCACCTGGCCACAACAAGTTGTCTACTCTTCACAAAATGATCACTTTGGGTATAAAACTTTGTCAGAAAATTTGAAAAACTAAAATTATGTCTACTATTTCCCAACTTGAAGAGGTATATGGCAGGTCTAAAGGAACAGATATTCCCGACCATACCAGCCAGCCACTGTGACTTAGATGGGCAGTGTGTAAAGGTGGACAGGATAACAGAAGAAGGCAAAAAATCCAGCAGGGCAAGCTAGGTTTCAAGTCCAGACTTAGTACTGGCCAGGAAACATAGGAAGACTATAGTCAGGGCAGGCTGATATGCTGAAGATTTAGCTTCAAAGGTGAGGAACATAGGCAAAAAACCATAAGTGAAAAGTTAGGGATTTTGTTTTTCAGGGACTGGCCAATGACTAATGGGAGCCCCATCCCCAGATGATATGGATCATGTGTCAGATTCCAGGCTTAGACAATGCAGATGAAAAGCTCAGTCAAGGATCAGGCCATACCACTGCTAACCTGATATGTAGTACCATACCTGGCATATAGTGAGCCCTTAATCTGTTATTAATTCTGTTGAAGAAGCAATGAATGATCATGCAACCACAGTGACACCAGAT
This sequence comes from Homo sapiens, assembly GCF_000001405.40. Taxonomy (NCBI): domain Eukaryota; kingdom Metazoa; phylum Chordata; class Mammalia; order Primates; family Hominidae; genus Homo; species Homo sapiens. Next base: position 118,335,997 of record NC_000023.11, read on the forward strand.
AATGACACTGGAAGGTCACTATTAAGATAAACATTGAGGAATGCTATTCAACCTTTAAAAAGAAGGAAATACAGTCATTTGTGACAACACAGATGAACCTGGAGTACATTATGCTAAGTTAAATAAGCCAGGCACAGAAAGACAACTACTGCATGATATCACTTACATGTGAAATCTAAAAATGTCAAACTCATAGAGACAGAGAGTAGAGTGGTGGTTGCCAGGGCCTAGGGGGAGTAAGGGGCCACAGCCAGGAAATGGGAAGATATTGGTCAAAAGATAGAAAGTTTTAGTTAGACAGGAGGAATAAGTTCTGGAGATCTATTGCACAACATGGTGACTATGGTTAATAATAATATATCATATACTTGAAAATTGCTTGCAGCCATAAAAAATTAATGAGATCATGTCCTTTGCAGGGACATGGATGGAGTTGGAGGCCATTATCCTTAGCAAACTAACTCAGGGACAGAGAACCAAATACCACATGTTCTCACTTATAAGTGGGAGCTAAATGATGAGGACACATGAACAGAAAGGAGAACAACACACACTGGGGCCTATTGGAGGGAGAAGGTTTGGAGGAGGGAGAGGATCAGGAAAAACAACTAGTGGGTACTAGGCTTAATACCTGGAAGATGAAATAATCTGTACAACAAACCCCTATGACACAAGTTTACCTATGTAACAAACCCACACTTGTACCCCTGAGCTTAAAGTTAAAAAAAGAAAAAGCGAAAATAAACATGGAAAATGAGACCAATGGCTAATATAAGTTACAGAAAAGAGAACAGAGAAAAATAGGAAGCAGGAGATTAGCAAACAAATAATGGAGAATTTGCCTGATTTGAAGGGTGTGAGTTTTCAGTCTGAAAGAGTTCTGCAAGTGTTCGGCATAATAACACGCACGCACACACACACACACACGCACACACACACACGGGAGTACATCATTTGAAAGTCTAAGGTATGAAAAAAAGAAAATTGCTAAAAGTAGATTTTAAATGTTCTCACCACAAAATAGTGATACATATGTGAGGTAATGGATGTGTTAACTAGCTTGATTTAATCATTTCACAATGTGTGTATATATATTTAAAACATCACATTGTACACCATAAATATATACAATTTTTATTTGTCAATTATACCTTAAAATCTAAAAGTATTTGGAATGAAAAAAATAAAGATTGACATTGGAACTGAGCACAAGTTCTAAAGGCAAGCAGATTCACCCAATGGGAAAGACCACAGAAGCAGGGATCAGGCAGTCCCTTACATCACATGCGTAGGAGGATTGCTGGGGTTCTGGGGAACATTTTGTAAATGGGGTTGAATTTGGGGCACAGTGTGTCTGTAGTGTATATGATGCTAAACATTTCTTTCATATCTTAAATGCATGTTAGGTTATTTTTTCTGAATTCACTGTTTTTCTGTTAAGAGAAACACACCATAATGTTCACTCCAGTGTTATATTTATTCCCAAGGGCACTCAAGGACTTCAGAAAGCAAACAGTCCATGTTGATGTATTACACGTGCTTTTATCATGACCTACCTAGATCTGTGGTTCTTAACCAGGAGAGAGGATAAGGATATTTATCCCTGTAGTAGTTTTCTATTGCTTCATAACAAATTACCACAAGGTTAGTGGCTTAAAACAATGCCAGTTTATTAGCTCACAGTTCTGTAAGCCAGAAATCTGAGTACAGTGTGACTAGGCTCTCTGCTCAGGGTCTCACAAGGCTGAAACCAAGATGTCAGCCAGGCTGCATTCACATCTGGATCTTGGGGTCCTCTCCCAAGCTCCTGCTGGCTGTTGGCAGACTTCAGTTCCCTGCAGCCACAGGACTGAGGCTCCCATTTCTTTGCTGACTATCAGCTGGGGGTTCACTCTCAGCTCTTAGAGGCCACCCATAATCCACACCGCATGGCCCTCGTAGGCAGTTCACAGCATAGATGTTTGTTTTCATCTAGGCCAACCAGAGTGCATTTTTCTGACTTCCTCTTCCCCATCAGCCAGAAAAAAAATCTCTCTGCTTTTAAAGAACTCATGTAATTAGGCCAGATCCACCTATATAATCTACCTAATCTTTTTTTTTTCTTTTTTTGAGACAGAATCTCACTCTGTCACCCAGGCTGGAGTGCGATCTGGGCTCACTGCAACCTCCGCCTCCCAGGTTCAAGCGATTCTCCTGCCTCAGCCTCCTGAGTAGCTGGGATTACAGGCATGCGCCAGGACGCCCGGCTAATTTTTGTTGTTTGTTTGTTTGTTTGTTTTTTATTATTATACTTTAAGTTATAGGGTACATGTGCAGGTTTGTTACATATGTATACATGTGCCATGTTGGTGTGCTGCACCCATTAACTCGTCATTTACATTAGGTATATCTCCTAATGCTATCCCTCCCCCCTCCCCCTCACCCCACGACAGGCCCCGGGGAGTTTTTGTATTTGCAGTAGAGACGGGGGTTTCACCATGTTGGTCAGGCTGGTCTCGAACTCCTGACCTCGTGATCCGCCCACCTCAGCCTCCCAAAGTGCTGGAATTACAGGCATGAGCCACCATGCCCAGCCTAATCTACCTAATCTTAAAGTCAACTGATTTGGAACTTGAATCACATCTGACAAATCTCTTCACAACAGCGTCTAGATTAGTTTGGGACTGAATAACTGGGAGATGTGTGTATACCAGGGGCTGGGAATCCTGGGGGCCATCCTAGAATACTGCCTACCACAACCCCCCAATGTTGAGATGTACCCATTTAGATAAAGCATACCATAAAAAATGAAAAAAAAATCAACCAATTGCTTTTTTACTTGCTGCAATATTATTATTTTAGATATTTCATTCATTAACATGCTTCATTTGTTGCAGGCTAATAAAACTCCAAACTCTGGAGAGGTAATGAAAAAATAAAATAATAAAATCAAATCAAAGTGTAACCTGAGGCATGTCACCACTTTCAACATCTCAGTTTTCATATTTGTAAAGCAAAGGTGATAATATGATCTTTCCTACCCTTAAAGTGCCTAAGAGTTCAGGCTCTGAATTCAGAAGGCCTTGGGCTCAAATCCTGACCACTAAAAACTAGCTGTGAAACATAGGGCAAATTACTTAACTCTTCTAAACCTCAATTTCCCTACCTGTAAAATGGGTATAATAGTAGCATCTTCTTCATATAGTGTATGAAATGAAATAATATATGCAAAGTACTTAATGTGGTGCCTGTTACCTAGTAAGCACTAATTTAATGATAGTGATTATATTATCATTAAATAATAGATGAAATTGTCTTAGAAAGTATGAATAACTATTGTTATGTAACATATTATTGGCCGGGTGTGGTGGCTCACGCCTGTAATCCCAGCACTTTGGGAGGCTGAGGCGGGTGGATCACGAGGTCAGGAGTTCAAGACCAGCCTGGCCAACATGGTGAAACCCCGTCTCTACTGATAATACAAAAATTAGCCAGGCGTGGTGGCACATGCCTGTAATCCCAGCTACTCAGGACACTGAGGCAGGAGAATCGCTTGAACCTGGGAGGCGGAGGTTGTGGTGAGCCAAGATCGCGCCACTGCACTCCAGCCTGGGCAACGAGAGCAAAACTCTGTCTCAAAACAACAAAAACAACAAAAAAGAAACAAAAAAACATATTATTACTAGGTACACACAGAGAACATACCATTAAACAGGTACTGTACACATATGGTGGACATGTATAGTATCTGCACATATTATTGCATATTTATTTAATGCACCACCTTAATTGTGTAGTCAAAATTCCCATTTATCTGTCTCTGAACACATTCAGTGTAAACATATCAGTATATATTCCCAAGATAAACATACAACAGAGAATTGATAACCATCTTTGAAAAGATGAAAGGTTTTGTATGGACTTAGTAACCAGAATCATAACCAGTGGATGAAAATTACAGAAATGTAGATTTGGGCCAAATAAAATGAAGAAATCTGCTAACATTAGAGGTTATCAAAAAATTGATTGGATAAATACTAAACTCCATGTCCTTGAATGACCATTTACTGGTGAAGTTTGTAGAAGGAATTCATCTATGAGATATGAGGCTTGGACTGATGACCTTTAAAGTTCCTTCTCACCTCCAGATACCATCACATTGGGGATTAGGTTTCAACATATGAATTTTGAGAGAACACAAACAGTCTATAGCACCAGAAAATTCTAGTTGTTGCTGTTGAGTGTGTGTGTGTATGTGTATATTAGCCTGGTGACTGACATTTCTATATAAATATTTGCCTTTAGATTGAGTTTCAAGCATTTAAAAAAAATAAAGATGCCATGGGTGGTAGATAAAAGACATCTTCTCCAGTTTGTGACCCAGAATAATTTTTTTGAAGGATGAAGTTCATATGCCTTTATTCATTTCTCTTTAGATCACGCCATATATACTCAATGTGTTGAAAAACAAAATTATGCTTAGTCCATATTGTTAGAAGTATACCTCCAACCTTGCTCCAAAAAGCTTCCGATCTGTTTCACAGATTCACCATTTCTAGTTGCTTTAGAAATTACCATTACTTATTCTCTTTATGTGTCAGGCTTGCAGTGCAGAAAATATGACTTTCTACTGGTAGACTAATTGCATTTCAAGATTTGCTTTGTGGGTATTTTTTCAAAGTTCAGCTTCTTGGTGGTATTTACTGAAGTGTTCCAGAAACCATCTTACCTACAATAGGCCCAGGACTCATAGTTATGCACTATGTAGGAAATGAATTTTAGATCTTAATTTTGTATGTAAATCTACCTTGTATATGATAGGTTATATATTTTCTTTTAATAATTTCCCCTTATTTATAAGGTAATACATATTCGCTGTAGAAAATCATTACACAAAGGTACAAATAAGGCACAAACCTCCTATTATTATTATTTTAATCAGCAACAAAAGATGCTCGCCGTAAATCCTTTGTGAATATTTTTCCAGAATTCTCCATACACAGAGGTATACACATGTGCATAGATAAATGACTGACATGAATGGGATTATTCTATACACAGTATTCTGTAACATCTGTTTTCATTTAACACTTTATGAGCTCTTTTCATGTCAATGTATATAGAGACTTACCCCTTAATAACTTATATAAACATGTTGCTACTGTCTGCTAGTATCCTTTTGTTTGTCTGTTTGTTTTGCTAGTATCCTTTCCTTGAAAAAACATCCACTGAATATTCTATGCAGTCCTAGTAAGGAAGATAATCACAGTAGTCTCTCCTGATTTGGCGAGTGGCAAGCAATCAGCTGACCCAGGCCTGAACAAATGAGAGTTCTGTATGCTCCTAGCTAGATGGGCCTCCTAAAACCAATCAACATCCTCTCTGAGATTTAATATATAAACACTGACAGAGAAAGTCTCACTTCCTTTGGGACTGAGAGTTATTAAGACATTATAAGCTAAAGTTCCTTGCAGCCATCTTCACTAACTACAAGAAGGAAGTTGTTTGCAGTAGGAAAATTGAAGCCAAAACACAAAAAGAAGCAGATGGACAGAAAGAGAGAGCGTATTGATATATCTTGGGCCCTGGATCCAGCCATACCTGAAGCTACCACATCTGGACTACAGTCAGTTCTGCTATAAAGGGGCATGAGCATTCCTAAAAATCACTCTGCTATGCAAAATTGTTCAATAAAAACCACAAGGCTTATGGGGAAAATGGGGTAGGGGCACAACATTCAAAAATTTCATCAGTGATATATACACAAAAAGATATGAACCTAATAAAAATGGCAGCACAGTTTTACACATGTAAAATGATTAGGAAATACATAAATGCTACAGTAAAGATGGTACTTTACTTTGAAAAAGACCTGAAATTTGCTTGTGGAAGTAGGTATCAGAAGGGTTGCAGGTTGTAGACCAGGTACAGTGGCTCACGCCTGTAATCCCAACACTTTGGGAGGCCAAGGCAAGAGGATCACTTGAGGCCAGGAGTTCAAGACCAGCCTGGGCAACACAGTGAGTAATATTTAATCTTTTCCTGTCAACATTATGTCTCAAATCACCTAACACTGTACATAAAAAATTATTTTTCCTGAGTTATCACTTTAGCTCTTGCTTGTAACAAAAGGCTACATGCATTAGGATGTACTTGGAACACTGATGTTCTGAGTGACTGGTTACCCTTGGGGTTGCGGCAAAATTAGCCTCAAGGATGTTGCCAGTTTGTATTATTCTTGCCAAGAGGAGAGAATGAACATCCCACAGATAAGTTGTTCCATACAGTGGCTGTGACCTCTAGTCTTTGGAGAGTAGAGTATTTGCTATGCAGATAAGGAATTTAGTTAAGCATAAAAATTTTCCTTAAACCCACCTTACCCTTAGATGTATGAAATTTTAATAGTCATTGGGAATGAGCCAGGTAGGGAAGGTTTTATTCTTATTTTTATCTACACACATGATTTTGCAGCATCATATGATCTGCTGAAACCATTTAATTTGAGGGTATTTTTAGTTCTGAGGTACCCTAGAAAATAGTATCTTATGGACCAAGGATCTGAAAATTTTTCTGTAAAAACGGCCTGATAGTAAATATCTTAGGCTTAGGCTTTGTGGGTCACACAGTCTCTGTCCCAGCTACTCAACTCTGCCATGATAGCGGCCATGTGCAATATATAAACAAATAGTCCTGGCTATGTTCCAACAATATGTTATTTACAAAAACAGAGAGTGGGACAGATTTGTCCAGTGGACCATAATTTGCCAACCTCTGCTTTGGACCAATAGTTTTTCATTTGTTCTTTTTTTTTATCGGGCCTTAGGACAGTCTCCGGAGATTCAAGGAAGGTCAAACAGACAGGGACCTCAACTTTGAAACCCTGTTTCAAATAGAGCAGTTTTTATTTGTATACTATATCGACTTTTGCATAAAATTAAGTTTGATTAAGGTTCCATTTCTAATACAGAGAAAAGCTTCAAAACCACTGCCTTGGATGATACCTAAAATCTGCTGCTTTAAAACTCAAGAACTGATATTTCAGGCAAAATAAACACATCTTTTACATCTTTAAAAGTGATGATGGGGCCGGGCGCGGTGGCTCACGCCTGTAATCCCAGCACTTTGGGAGGCCGAGGCGGACGGATCAAGAGGTCAGGAGATCGAGACCATCCTGGCTAACACGGTGAAACCCCGTCTCTACTAAAAATACAAAAAAATTAGCCGGTCGTGGTGGCTAGCACCTGTAGTCCCAGTTACTCGGGAGGCTGAGGCAGGAGAATGGCGTGAACCCGGGAGGCGGAGCTTGCAGTGAGCAGAGATCGAGCCACTGCACTCCAGCCTGGGCGACAGAGCGAGACTCCATCTCAAAAAAAAAAAAAACAAAAAAAAGTGACGATGGGCAGTATTTATATGTGTTTTAACGTTTCCAGCAATTCATTCTAGCAATTGGCTTTCTCATGCAATTGATAAAAGCATTTAAACGGAAACTTTAAAAGCTCTAAAAATGTTACCAGTTTATCATTCCTATCCATTTTACCTTTTTCTAAGTATAATGTTTAAGGCAGCTTAAAAGGTCCAAGAGAGCTGATATGGTATATTGAAAAAAAACAGAGCACCAAACTAGGACTCCGTATTTGTCTCCACTGCTAGATTATTAGCTTTTTGTAGGCAGAAACTTAAGTTGTCTTTTTCTGTTTTGTTTTTGTTGTTGTTGTTGTTGTTGTTTTTGAGACAGAGTCTCCCTCTGTCGCCCAGGCTGGAATGCAGCGGCGGGATCTCAGCTCACTGCAACCTCCGCCTCCCAGGTTCAAGCAATTCTCCTACCTCAGCCTCCCGAGTAGCTGGGACAACAGGCAAGTGCCACCACGCCCCCCTAACTTTTGTATTTTTAGTAGAGACAGGATTTTGCCATGTTGGCCAGACTGGTCTCGAACTCCTGACCTCAAGTGATCTGCGCACCTCGGCCTTCCAAAGTGTTAGGATTACAGGTGTGAGCCACCGCGCCGGATCTAGTTGTCTTTTTAATCTGTCAATTGTCCTCAGCATCTAGAACGCTTCATGACACCAAATTGTATATGTTTACTGAACTGAGCGACTGGTTTCCACACACGGCATTTTGTTTTTGTTGTTGCTGTTGTTTTTTGTGTGTGTGTGTGAGAGACAGGGTGTGGCTCTGCTGCCCAGTCTGGAGTGTAGTGGTGCTATCTCAGCTCACTGTAGCCTCAACCTCCTGGGCTCAAGCGATTCTCCCACCTCAGCCTCCACAGTAGTTGAGACCATAGGCACATGCCACCACACCCAGTTAAATTTTGAATTTTTTGTAGAGACAGGGTTTCACCATGTTGCCCAGGCTGGTCTGAAACTCTTGAGCTCAAGAAATCCGCCTGCCTCGGCCTCCCAAAGTGCAGGGATTACGGGCGTGAGCCACCGCGCCTGGAACTAACACCTCTATCATATAGAGAAAACTAACTTTTTTTTCTTTGGAAGCCATAAATTCACTATTAGATATCTAGGAAGAGAATACATTCAGGTAGTTAACATCTTTCCATAAATATATATTTCCCTACCTTATATCTGGTATCTTTCCATAATCCAAAAAGAAAACAAAAAAACCTATCTTAGTGAGCAAAACGTTTTTAAAAGTTAGTACTTTGAGTTACATTTTTATACCTAGGAAGTTAATTAACATGTTTAAGACACATAAAACCTAATAATTTTTAGGTTTGACAAAAGTCATACCCTCACAAGGATCCACAAATCCCTTGTCTCCAATTCTGAAACTTCAAAAGCTCTGGAAACCAAGTTTCTGTTTTTTTTTTTTTTTAGTAATTTATTTGACAGTCAAATAGATCTATCTTAAACTTATTTGGCAGAAGCGTCTGACTCAAACTGAATGAGGCTATTTACTTGTATTTATTTATCCCGTATGAACAATCATATATCTTGCTGCAAAAATATTAATATATTTGATTACGCAGTGTTTTCCCTAAACTCCCTGGGGTATTATAGAATATACAGTATATGACATTTGGTTTTTACCCAAGTCCACTAGACCACAGCAGACCTTGCCCTGATTGCTTGACAAAGTCTAGAGCCCCTTTCCAGTTTCTCTGAGACCATACCCCTGGCTCCAATCCAGCCTTTTCTTGAATACTAATTGAGGCTGCACGAACAGCTCAAAATGCCTATCATGATGTCAGTTGGAGAAATAAATATGCTGTGTGATCATACTGAAAGTCAATGTTATCACCTTGATGGTCAATGACCCGTGGTTTAAGAAGGAACATCTCGGTTTTTTAAAAAGTACCTTTCTATTTTTATCACCGGACGCTGGGCAGTTGAGGATCAGAATTAAGCCATTAGCTCGTAGGCTTGCAATGATATCTGCTCAATAAATATTTACCATTTAGCTGACGCACATCTTGGGCAGTATGTAAGAACTTCTCTCACACTGTGTTGGCAGCGACAGACATGTGCGGAGAAAAAGTAACCGGAGGCCTAATACTGGCTCAGCTCCAGCAATAAATCCATCATTACACCATGGAACTGGCACACTCCCCGTGTATATCTCAAGGACCCCACCCTCTGGCCGGCAGGATCATATCTAGGGATCTCAATTAGAGATCTCGTAGTGAATAAGGGCGAGTTATTCTCGTAACGCCAGAGGTGGTGGACCTGCCGACGCCCTAGGGTGGGACATTCCGGGCTTGGATAGTAAGACATCGTAAATATACGCCAAAATGTCCACACCAACGTTTCCCGAGAGTATTTCTTTACAAGTAAAAGACCGACTCAAAATCACCCCTCTCAAAACGCGTCTCTTTGGAACTGCAGAGTTAGGGAGTAAGACTTTCTGCCTGACCCCACCTACGTCGGCCGCGCGCTCTCAGAGCCAGGGCACCACGCTGCTCCTGCGCAGGTCCTAGACTCCTCCCTTCGGGAGGCTCACCCCCTCCCTTCTCGGCTACTTCCGGCCCTCACCGAACGCCCTCAACGCGCTTGCGCCGTTTTGATAGGCTTCTCGGGCCGAAGTAATCGGAGCGCTGCCTCTCTGGAACCGCCCCCGCCACCTCTTCGCCCCGCCCACGTATTACCGCCCCTCCGAAATCTCGCGAGGGTAGGTGCGCGTCGGTATTTTGCGGGCAACTAGCTCTTCCAGCTGCTGTAAATTGCTGCTGCGGGAGAAACTGGAGCCGCTGTAGCCGGCGCGCCCTTCTTCCCTTACTGCGAGGAGCCACCGCCTCTTTCGCGCTCCTTATACACCTATCACTGGGAGCGGTGGCAGCAACATTCCCTGGACCAACCGCCGCCTCTTCAGGCGGCCGCTTTGCCGGTCATTCCCGAAGCCCGGCAACTGAGGGCGGCCCCCTTTCCTTAACAGTCTCCTCGCTACAGATCGTCTGCTCCCTCAGCCTCGCCCGAGACCCACTTCCCCAGTCTCGCCCGGGTGGAGGTCGACGAGGAGGAGACAAGAGTCACCCTTCCTCCAGGCGGCGCCGGCCCCCTCACCCGCGGGTGTGTCCTATAAATGGCGTCGGAAAGCGACACCGAGGAATTCTATGATGCCCCTGAAGATGTGCACCTAGGGGGCGGCTACCCCGTGGGGTAAGTGACTGCAGCTATGACAGGAAGCCGGGCATCCCAAGCCCCCCGCATCTCCTGTGTCTTCCCCCTACACCCCTCCCAGGTCCCGCTGTGTCCGCCACCGCTGTTCCTCCCCGTCTCACTGGAGGACTTCAGAACCCAGACCTGGGGCTTCTTAGGGCGGGGTGACTCGGAGAAGGGGGAGTCAGCCACCTCGGGCAGCCTCCCGGCCGTTTCCCTACTGAACGGTCCCAGGGTCGGTCTCGGAGCCCGTTTCTCTTCTGATCCAGCCTTCTGTGAGGGGGAACAGCTTACGTGCCTGAGTCGGAGATTTGTATCTGTGGGGTTCTGAGCTTACCTTTCAAACATCCGTTTTGGCCTCGGGGACCGTAGATTAAAGGAGCAGTAACAGGAGAAATGTAACTTGTAGTTTTTTATTCTCCCGTTTACCGCTAACTTACCTATTCACTTCAGAGGTGGCTGTAACTCTCCCCTATTTGCCGTCCTCTTTTTCTTGCACACAGCGAAAAGGAGCGGGGGGAAGGTTGGGTATTTGCTTAAGAAAGTCCTCTAGCGAATGTACTCTAGATCAACAGTGTTTTATTAAAATAACACCTTATCGTGAGGTAAAGGAAATCGAATACACGGTCCCTATTAGGCAGAATGCGGTCTAAAAGGATGGCCAGACAGAAGAAATGTGCACAACTGACTGCAGAGGGACAAACAAGTGCTGAGTAATCTGGTGATTGGAAGGAGAGCCCCAGCTTTGTGTTCTTTATCTAATTCTGCAAGATGTTTTAGTGGTGATTAATATGGGTGATTCTGAATAGGAAGTACAGTAGTTGGAATGCTCGCTTGACTAGGACTTGTATTTACTTACCCACTTCTCCACTTTTCAAAGTTGGGGTAGTGCTTTAAAGCGATTTCGCCGAACTCCCCTACGAATGTACGTGGAAATAGAGGCAGTGAAATATATTTTCATGCTGTAAGAACTTGAGGATTGGTAAAATGTAGATGTTAGTATAAAGGACTAATATGGTTCGAGAAGTTCACTGCCTTCAATTCTCACACTTACTCCGTGGGAGTAATAACCCGCTGTGATGCAAGTATAGTTAGCCATGCATGCTAGAAGTCATTCTAAAAACTAATGTATGTTTATACACAATATGCACCAAAAAGTTACAGTAATAAAATCAGAAAGCAATGTACGTTGGTAGATTTCAGATGTTTGTCTTTCCACCAACCTTCATGTCACTGTTGTGGGATTTTGGGGTGGCAGTGGCCAATCTTGAGATGACACCGAATCTCCTTCAAGTTCAATATCTGAGACAAGTTTAGAGCTAGGTGTAGAGCATAGGAAATACATTTGGGTTTTGAAATGTATTGGACTTCCGTGAAACTTAATTTTTGTGTGTGTGGTTTTCCCTTCAAAGTAATGAACTGACAATTCAGATTGAATGAGACACCAAGTCCTTTGGTACTTTTGTGTGTGTGTATTGGGGTGGGGGAGGGAAATCATCAGTTTATGAGCTGATCAGTTTAGAACTACTCTGTGGATATTGTTCTTTCCACTGAATAAGTTTAATTTCAAAGGACGCAAGTTATATCAGGACCTGTGTAAACTGTCTAGTCCAGTACCTGGGCACAGAGAAAGCATTCAAAATGTTCATGCTTTTCTCCTTCCTTTCTTGGCATTGGCAAATTTGTTAACTTTACACAAAGCTTATTTTGGGAGATATATAGAACTTGGACCTATTTTACTTATCTAAACCGGATGAGTCATTTTGATAGAATTGATAGAGTCACTTCTTCCCTCATGAGATAATACAGCTTCTCAAGCACTTTGATCCTCTGATATTAGGTGAAAACTGAAAAAGGTTTTTTTGGAACTCAGCTTTCTAATTTTAACTTTAACCTGCCCAATTACTAAGTGTGTTGAGTTCTATGGATAAAACTACAGGGTCAGTTTGTGGATTTCAGGGCTCCTTTCTGTATTAGAGGATTGGAAAGACAATAGACTAATCTGGAGAATTGCATCTGAAAAGAACTGGCAGCACTGAGGGCAGAAAAAGGTTAGCATCATTTACATTTTCCTCTATCCTTTGTGGAAGGTTGTATCATTTGCATAAGACACCGTGAGGAGATCTGGGTGGGCAACTTATAACCTAGAAATGTAGTGAGAAATCTTGATTTGTGGAAACAGATTGCCTTACTAGATATTGGTCATCAGAAATATGTTCTGTTCCTTCATATGATCTGGAGTGGCAAACTATACAATTTCTAAGGTTAATAGACTGAATTTGGGCACTTCAGAAATGTTCCTTGCTGTTGTGTGTTTGGGAGTACACAGACTATGTCAACAAATTGTAGTAAACTGAATAGGCAGTGGAGACTTATCTCATGTTTTGTTAATTAGCACAATCCTAATACACAAGCTATTTCCTAAAATTAATTTATTTCTTGCATTTTCCTTCCAATGATGTCTTCGGCTTTGTTAATCTACTCTTTGAAAGCAAATTTAATAAGTTAAAAATCAGCCCAGTTTTTTTAGAGACTTTTAATTCCAGTACAGCCTACTTTTCTACAGTGGCAGATGATCTTCACTTGCCCAGCTTTGCAATATATGCCGTATTTATAATGCTTTTTTATTGATATTTTAGGTCAGGTTTTCTTTATTTTCTTTTTTCTTTTCTTTTTTTTTTTTTCCAAGATAGGGTCTCACTCTGTTGCCCAGGCTGGAGAGGTGGTGAGATCATGGCTCACTGCAGCATCAAACTCCTAAGCTCAAGTTATCTTCCCACAGGTGCATACCACCCTGCTCAGCTAAAGGTTTTTTTAGAGATGGGGTCTTGCTATGTTGCCCAGGCTGGTCTCAAACTCCTGGCTTCAAGTGATCCTCCCACCTCAGTCTCCCAGGGCGCTGGGATTACTGTCAGGCATGAGCCATCTCGCCAGGCCCAGGTTTTCTCATTTTTATCTTCATTTTTACATATGAGGAACATTTTTTTTTTTTTTTGAGATGGAGTCTCGCTCTGTCGCCCAGGCTGGAGTGCAGTGGCACGATCTCTGCTCACTGCAACCTTCGCCTCCCGGGTTCAAGAGAGTCTCCTGCCTCAGCCTCCTGAGTAGCTGGGACTACAGGTGTGCGCCACCACGCCCAGCTAATTTTTAGGAGAGACGGGGTTTCACCATGTTCGTCAGGCTGGTCTTGAACTCCTAACCTCATGGTCCGCCCGCCTCGGCCTCCCACAGTGCTGGGATTACAGGCGTGAGCCACCGCACCTGGCCTAGGAACCTTAGACTCAGAGACGGTTAAGTGAATTTGTCCTAGGAGAGAGCTTTTAAGTGGCAGAACTGGGATTTGAAACCAGCTCTTCAGACTCCTAGTCCAGTATTTTTTTTTTTTTTTCCTGTGGAGGGCGATGAGAGCAGTGACAGAGAGGTGGACAGAGATCCTCCCCTGGTAAATTCTGGAGTAAAATGCTTTAGGACCAAGTTGCTGAATTGAACTGATACATCTCCATTAAAACCAGCAGCCTAAACTTTTTTGTTCTCTTGGCAAGAAATTCCACTTTCTTTCAGCAACGTGTATTTTTGTTTTGTCAGATAGGAATTTTGCAAGATCATAGCCTGTTGCAGCTAGAAGGGACATCTAGTTAAACTCCTTCGTGTAAAATGTTGTGAAAACTGAAACCTAGAGAGAGAAAGCAACTTGTAAAAGCTGCCACAGCAAATTAATGGTGGAGCTAGGTCTAGAACCCGGATCAGTTTGACTGTCTGGCGTTCTTTCTGCTACTGGGCTGTCTTTTGATAGAGCAGGAAAGAGAAGAGGAATCGTGTGGTACACTAGAAAAGAGCCCTGCACTGTGAGTCATTTTATTTCCTCATCTTTAAATTGAGGGGATTACACTCTTGAGAACCCTTCCAACTCTAAATGTCTTTATATTGAGGTTTAATAGTGTGCTTGTATTGATAAGCTTTTGTTCTTGGTAAATCTTTCGTGATTTTTTTTAATCTTTTCGTTTAACTTAATGGTATTTGGTACATAGTTCAAGACCCATAAATTTGAAATTAAGTATTTACTGGGTAAATTATATATGAGATGAATGCCCCTGCTAACTCATGTGGTTTATACTTACACATACTAAAGGCTGGCACTGAGAACATGTTGTAAAAATAAATGTAACATTTTCAGCACTCTTTTTTTTAGTGGCAGCCAAAATATTTTTGAGGCCTTGGAAGAAGGATAGAATCATAACATTTTTAGAGTAGGAAGGGACTGGAGATCATTTTAGCCCAGCCTTCCCTTTTAACTGAAAGTGAAATTTAGGGTCTGAGAGGGGAAGTGACACATTGCTAATAAGGGCAGACTTGGAACTAGAGCCCAGGTCTCTTGATTCCTCACTTATACCATGCTACCATGTCTGCGGAAGAAGGGAAAGTATTGCTGGCTATTCCTGCCATAGGTTTCTGGCACTTACCCTATTAGCTGGGCTTTTAAGATGGTTTACTTGACTGTTTCTTCATACCTTGCCTATCAGAGGTCTTGAACTATTTTAGAATCCTAAGTTTTGCTTACGAGTTTTTTCCAAGTGAAAGTGAAAAACAATGGCAAAATAGCTTGTCTAAGAACAGTGATTATTTGTATTATTTTATTCTTAGGCATTTAGTTAGTATTAACTGCAATCTACCATATTCAGATAGGAATAATGATAAAATCTTAAGTCATGGGAACTGAGACCAAACTGTCCTGAATAATTGTTAGGTCTGAAAAACAAAAAGGTGTGTAGCTGCCTTTGTTGAAAACTCAGCTTCTCACTTTACTTAGGTGTCAGAAACATTTCTCTCTGAATTGAAAATTGATACAAGTTTTAATTTAAAAAATACCTGTGCAATATTTATTACTTTAGGGAAGTTTCCTTAAAAATGGCTGTTTGTTGATGAGTTGACATTTGATCACAAATTTGATTACTGAAGGCTTTAAGGAGTGATAGAAGTATATTTACAAATGCTGTTTTATCGCACTCATGTAACATCATATTGAAGTGAGAAAAAACAACCCTCTACATATTAGTTAGTAAATTCAAGTTCTAAATTTAGTGACATCCGGCCGGGCACCATGACTCACGCCTGTAATCTCAGCAGTTTGGGAGGCTGAGGCGGGTGGATCACCTGAGGTCAGGAGTTCGAGACCAGCCTGGCCAACGTGGTCAAACCCCATCTCTACTAAAAATACAAAAATTAGCCGAGCATGGTAGCACACACCCAGCTACTTGGGAGGCTGAGGCAGGAGAATCGCTTGAACCCGGGAGGCGGAGGTTACAGTGAGCTGTGGTCATGCCACTGCACTCCAGCCTGGGCAACAGAGCAAGACTCCGTCTCAAAAATAAATAAATAAACAATTTATATTTAGTGACATCTGACTGTCAGTTGGTAACTCATGGGGGTAGGATAGTCCATAGTGGCATGGCAATTTGGGGGCTCAAGTTGAATCTGTATAAACTCCTGTAAATTGGAAACTGTATTCTCTTCTTGTGATAATCTACTTCATAAGATAGGACAGATAAAATTTGTGTTGTTTGTTTTTTGTTTTTTGTTTTTTTTTTTGAGACAGGGTCTCACTCTGTCACCCAGGCTAGAGTGCAATGGTGCAATCTCAGCTCACTGCAGCCTCGACCTCCCCAGGCTCAGGTGATCCTCCCACCTCAGCCTCCCAAGTAGCTGGGACCACATATGTGCACCACCACGCCCAGCTAATTTATATATATATATATATATATATATATATATATATTTTTTTTTTTTTTTTTTTTTGTAGAGATGGGGTTTCACCATGTTGCCCAGGCTAGTCTCAAACTCCTGGGCTCAACTGATCCACCCAACCTCGACCTCCCAAAGTGCTGAGATTACAGGTATGCACCACTGCACCTGTCCCTTGATTTTAAAAAATATTAAAAACCTAAATAGTTTTAGGATGTGAAGTATAGTGGTGGTCTTAAACAGAAAATAATTTCTAATTATTGGTATTTTAGACTTACTGTCTAACCTTTACATTACCCAACACTCCATGTGTTTGTACTCTTAAGTTCATTGTTAAGACTTTGACAGAATCAGGTGAATTTGCCAGGCAAGCACCTTTAAGAGGCTGCTTGTTTCCTCCTCATACTCTGCAATTTTGTTAGTTACTTCCTGGGGTAGTAGTGGAGGTGGAGGAAGGGAGTATAAAGAGATCATGCAGGTTGTGGTGATGGAGGTGGAAGAGGTAAAGGTAGCCCCAGCAGTAGGTATAGAGACCAAGTTACAGTGCTGCTTCCTGGGGCATGGATAACTGAGATAAGACAAATCCCATCATTTTGATACACATGTTCACAGCATGAATTAAATAACCCCTTCTCTAAGAGATTAATAACCTATAAGAAATACCTCAAATCAAAGTTAAAGTAACAAAAATTGTAGGTACTTTATGATGTCCTACTGATATTTAGCTTGAATTGATAAATAACCTATGTTTCTCATTTCTATCCATAGTTAGGCTAATATCTACAAACTTTCACAAGGACTGTTCCCCTCTCACTGTTGGATATTATTCAGCTAACCAGCTAAACCTTTAATAGGGTGCTTTCCTTACTCTTCAGAGTGAAACTCTTTCTATTCCCTTATTTCAAACTCAGCAGTGTTTGTGTTAGTCTGTCATCTCATGATTCAAAACCGAGGAAAAAGCACCTACGACATAATGTGGGCCTCATACCTGATGGCAACCCTGATGTTTTTCCTCAGTCAGTATACAAATTTATCTTGGTTACTATAGCAACCAGTCTATCAGTTATTCTTCTAGCTCTTTTGCCTTCTCTCAGATACTAGGATTACCATATAATCAGGTTCTGCCAGAGCGCTTCAGGTCTTAGAGTTCTATTACCAGCTGCAACTGTCTGGCAGTTCACAGTTTGGCATTCCATCAGAGTCAGTTGTTTTTTAAGTCCACAAAACCTTTTTGTCTCCAAACCTTTTTAAACATTTTAAACATATATAATTTAACAAAAACATGTTTAGGCAGCAATTTCCTCATACTAATTTTCTCAATCCAGTGTTAGTCATTGCCCTGAAGATTGAATGCATTGCATCACTGCATCCAATAGCCATCCCTTTATAATAACAAGTAGAATCAATTTCCAGATCGAGGGTGACCATTTAGGAAATATATTTGCAAATGTGATTTTAGACTCAGTATCATCACAAACTAGCTAAAATGACTTAAAAGCATCTTGATCATCAGCAGCTACCAAATAATCCAGCTTTTAACAAAAATGATTTCTATAGGTTGTAGAAAGAATGTTTGGCCTTTAGATTAATTCATTTTAATTTGAGAAAACTGTTTAGAAAACTAATAGGAAGTGTTATCTTTTGTAGCCCTTGAATAAACAGGAAGAGAACAGTAAAGACTGAATAGTTGTATGGGTCTTTTTTTTTATATTTATTTGACATACTTTTTTAACTCTTAAAAATCTCAGAATTCATGTAACTAAAATAGTTTTAAATTATAAATATGTTTACCTGTTTTGGTCAAAACAAGGATTGGCCAGGTACAGAAGCTCATGCCTGTAATCCCAGTGCCATGAGAGGCTGAGGTGGAGGGATCACTTGAAGCCAGGAGTTTGAGACCAGCCTGGGCAATGTAGCAAGACCTCATCTCTACAAAAAGTTTTTAAAAATTAGTTGGACATGATGGTGCATGCCTATAGTTCTAGCTATTTGGGAGATTGGGGCAGGAGGATTGCTTGGGCCCAGGAGGTCGAGGGTGCAGTGAGCTATGGTCACGCCACTGTACTCTGGCCTGGGCGATGGAGCCAGACTCTGTCTCTTAAAAAAAAAAAAAAACTATAGTTAAATTATGATAATGCTTCAAGGAAATCTTTAATTGTACAAATAGACTTAAGACTGGTTTCACTTTCTCCACAGAGTCCTGATCTTTAAAATTTTTCAAAGGGGGAGTCAGGTTTTTAAAAAATCTGAGGATGAAATATAAGATTTTTTGAAACTTCTGAGGGAAAACTTGAATGGTATTTTTTTTTATTATACTTTAAGTTCTGGGGTACATGTGCAGAACATGCAGTTTTGTTACATAGGTATACACTGAATGGTATTTTCTAATAGGTATCCTATACAGAACAAGCCATACCTGTAACAAGCTATCTATATCTGTATAAAACCTACTTGGCCACTACTAATTGTAATAGACTATTCCAGTACAAAACTCATTGAACCATGGGCATTCTTATGAACCACAGATCAAACTTTCTAGAGAACCTATAAATAGTATGTAGTGCTGTATGCAAACTCACTGTCCCAGGAGCAAGCATCCTGATTACTAAGCAAGCTCAAGAGAAGAGGTGGGAGTATTCTTTCTGACATTGTTCTTGAACTGGTAAGAATAGCTGTGGATGAACTTAATATCCATAGTCCTCTTTTAATTCTGTGCCTGAAAGTATTTATTGAAATTGGAAGACTAAGGGAATCATCTTTCTGGTTATTAGCAGTACTGTTAACAATTGAATTTTTTTTTTAAATCTGTCTTTTAAAATATATTACCTATCCATGCCAAACTAAAATGGCAGGTGGATTGAACATTTCACTCAGCCCCAACTCCACCCCTTTCACTGCCAGCTTTTTCTTTCCTAGCATAGTCAATGTCATTAGTACAGAGATTTCCTAGTATAACTACTTCTTGTCCCTTAAAACTGAGAAGGGTCAGTGATGGAAGAAATATAAAGGGTGGGAACTTTTGGAAGGAGTAAGGGAAAAATTGGTTGCATTGGATATGGTGGACAAGTTGGTAAAGACTTTAGTGTTACAGGTGGTGCTTAGTCATTGGATTAGTGAAAGATGGGTGAGCAGAATGAACAAGTAGCTTGATAAAACTAGTAGCTTTGTGAGTGAAAGCAAGTAGATTTGTCTGTATTTTGCAATGGGTATTTTATCTTTATTAGCTTGGCTTAAGGGTTAAGGTTAATGATTGAGATCAGTCCTTTTTCCTTTAAGTGCACCTTACTGTGCCTATTATGTCCCAGATCATAGCCCTTAGCTGTTGACTTTTAACCTTTGCCTTATTTCCCAGCATAGTCCACAGTTATGTCTAGCAGTGCACACAAGGTTTAGTTGGGGAGGCGGGTGGTGAGTAAGCATGCTCTGTGGTATCTACTGCGCTTCACAATTGGTTCTGATTTTGAACTTCCTGGTTCTCTCCAATCTCCAGTCACCCTTAAACACACACAGGTACCAGTTCCTATAAGAGGAGGTAGGTAAGGGAGCTGAGGCAAAGAGAGTGCTTTGGATGTATAGGATCTTCATAACTTGAGGACATCCTATACCCAGTAAATATTAAATGTTAACAGTAAAACCTTGGGTGGTGTTGCCAGTTATCCTGCATTCCTATCAGTTCCTTGTTACCAACTTTTTTTTCAGGAATGAATGTGTTCACAGTAAGAAAGAAATATTATAGTGCTACATGTTACATGCAAAGAACGATAACACCATAACACCATAATGCTAACTAACGGTGGGCATTTGTTTTCAAAGTTCTTTTAAAAAGTTACTGTTTCAAACAATGAAAAGCAGTATTTTTATGCCCTTCATTTTAAGCTTTGACATAATTGATTACGGCATGGTAGCCAGGTCAGAAAATGACCTTGCTTCTGAAAAAGCTGGAATCCCAGACACTGTTCACTGCATTTCAAAGAGTTATGGTCTTTGTTCCTAAGGGAAACCCCCTCAGGATATGAGCCATTGCTGATTTGGGTTTCAGTGCCGTGTCAAAAAGTCTTAATCCCAGATTTTTTTTTTTCCTACAATTGTTTTATAGATTGTTGTCAGTTGCTTAGTTAGGCCACAGTACTGTATTGTGTTTTGTTTTTATTTTAGTATAACTGATTCATTTTTTTGGCCACAAGCCTCTAACTAGAAACACAATGTTTCTTTTTCTCTTTCCCTTCAAATGTGTTTTGTAGCAGTCACAGAGAGTGACTGCTTTGTCACTCTTTGTGACTACCTACCTAATCAAACCTCTATTGGCTTTCAAACTAATGGGAAAAATGTATTCCTAATAGCTGGGTAATTACAAAAAAATTAAATGATTAGTAATTACTGTTTAAGATGTAAATAAGATTGAACAATTTGTAATAATAGTAAAGGGCTTAAACTTGATCTACATAGTGTGTTCTGTAGGTAAGCATTCTAGATAATTGAAGATTTTTGTAGAATATATATATCAAGTCATTGATATATATTTCTTTCTTTTTTTTTTTTTTTTGAGACAGAGTCTTGTTCTGTCACCAGGCTGGAGTGCAGTGGCACAATCTCGGCTTACTGCAACCTCCACCTCCCGGGTTCAAGCGATTCTCTTGCCTCAGCCTCCGGAGTAGCTGGCATGCCACCAAGCCCAGCTAATTTTTGTATTTTTAGTAGAGATGGGGTTTCACCATGTTGGCCGGGATGGTCTCAATCTCTTGACCTCGTGATCCTCCCACCTCGGCCTCTCAAAGTGCTGGGATTACAGGCATGAGCCACTGTACCTGGCCTGATATATATTTCATTAGAAAAAGAATGTAGAAGTAGAAATTCAAGTACATAAAGCATAGAAATTAAATTTAGAAAATAAAGTACTTAATGGCAGATTTTACTGAAATATATTTGAGTTTTTGTTATTCATGATATTGTAGGAAAACATGAATAATTAAAAGCTGTCAGTTACACAACAATCTCAGGTCAGTCATTAGTTTACCATCAAAACTTTTATCAAAGATAATAACAGTAGGTTTTCTTTAATTTTAAAAAATAAATAGTTTGGTTTGAGTTTTGTTCCTCTGCTCATCTTTGGTGATGAGCAGTGAACTCAAAAGAAGGAAAACAAGAAATCTTGAAGTCTGAGTAGTTCACTAATAGAATTTATCAATTTAAATTTTTAAAAAGGGGGGCTCACGACAGGTGCTTTAGAATGCTAGTTTTTATTTAGAAGTTACTGGCATTTACTTTTAAAAATTAGTACCCCACCAGGTGTGGTGGCTCATGCCTGTAATCCCAGCTACCCAGGAGGTTGAAGCAGGAAGACCCTTTGAGGCCAGGTACTTGAGACCACGCTGGCCAACATAGTGAAACCCTGTCTCTAACATTTTTTTTTTAAACTTAACCAGGCATGGTGGTACTTGCCTGTAGTCCCAGCTAGGTGGGCGTAGAGGGGGATTACTGGAGCCCAAGAATTCAAGGCTATAGTGAGCCATAATCACACCACTGCATTCCAGCCTGGGCAACAGAGTGAGACCCCGACTCTTAAAACACACACAGCTGGGCGCGGTGGCTCATGCCTGTAATCCCAGCACTTTGGGAGGCCGAGGCGGGCAGATCATGAGGTCAGGAGATCAAGACCATCCTGGCCAACATGGTGAAACCTCATCTCTACTAAAGATACAAAAAATTAGCTGGGCATGGTGGTACACGCCTGTAGTCACAAACTAGCTAAAAATGACTTAAAAGCATCTTGATCAGCAACAGCTACCAAATAACCCAGCTTTTAACAAAAATGATTTCTATAGGTTGTAGAAAGAATGTTTGGCCTTTAGATTAATTCATTTTAATTTGAGAAAACTGTTTAGAAAACTAATAGGAAGTGTTATCTTTCTTTTGTAGCCCTTGAATAAACAGGAAGAGAACAGTAAAGACTGGATAGTTGTATGGGTCTTTATTTTTAAAAAGCCATATGTCTTTCTTTTTTTATATTTATTTGACAAACTTTTTTAACTCTTAAAAACTTCAGAATTCATATAACTAAAATAGTTTTAAATTTTAAATATGTTTACCTGTTTTGCTCAAAGTAAGGATTGGCCAGGTACAGAAGCTCATGCCCAGTGCCATGAGAGGCTGAGGTGGACGGATCACTTGAAGCCAGGAGTTTGAGACCAGCCTGGGCAATGTAGCAAGACCTCATCTCTACAAAAAGTTTTTAAAAATTATCTGGGCATGATGGCACATGCCTGTAGTCCTAGCTATTTGGGAGGCTGAGGCAGGGGAATCGCTTGAACCCAGGAGGTGGAGATTGCAGTGAGCCGAGATCGCACCACTGCACTCCAGCCTGGCGACAGAGCGAGACTCCGTCTAAAACAAACAAAAAAGAAAAAACCACCACCACACACAGATTAGTACTCCATTTAATGTTTTAGGTAACTTACAAAACCATATTAATATGGCCAGGCATGGTGTATCACACCTGTAATCCCAGCACTTTGGGAGGCCGAGGCAGGTGGATCGCTTGAGGTCAGGAGTTCCAGATCAGCCTGGCCAACATGGTGAAACTCCATCTCTACTAAAAATACAGAAAGTTAGCCGGGCATGGTAGCACACAGGAGCTCCTCCAGCTACTCGGTAGACTGATGCAGGAGAATCCCTTGAACCCGGGAAACAGAGGTTGCAGTGAGCCAAGATCACACCACTGCACTCCAGCCTGGGCGACAGAGTGAGACTCCATCTCAAAACCAAAAAAAAAATCTTAGCACTTTAGCTTGATAAAGCTTCTGTAATACGGCCTGTAGCCCAACATCTTGTTTACTTTTTCAAAAGTAACAGTGATCTAGCATGATTGCATTAGATATTGATTTCTCTAGGCAGGCATAAATTTAGTTATCTGTTTCTGTCTTGATTTTACTGGAAATTACTTTAAGTCATTAATAGATTTGACTTTTATTCTAACCTACTTTAACAAATTGGGACATGGTGATATAGCTGCCTTACCTTGGTGTTATTGTTTTACTGCAGGTATTTATTGAATGGTTGTGAATGTGCAGAATAGAATGTTTTTAGTTTGGAATCCTTGAGTAGGCCCAGGAAAGTGGTTTTCTGTTTATGTCAGTAAATACATTATCAAGCTGTTCTTTTAGGAATATGGCATAAAGCTGCACTACATACATCATTTTTGAAAAATCAGGTTGTCATTTTAGATAAGATATAATTGTAAGAAGGTCCACTTGAAGTTTTGTAATTACCCTGTATGTGAACAGATGTATATTTCACAACAAAGTTTCCTTTGATTTCATTAAAGATCATTTACAAATATTGCCACAAAACCTTTCAAAAAACATAGGGCCATTGTGCCAAATTTTCTCACTATTTCTATTAATATCATTGATAAAATAATTATTAGTTAATTTTAGATGTAATCTGCTATGCTTTCATAGTATTTAAAATTTAAATGTCCTTTCAAAAGGTAATAAAAGTAATAATTCACATCTTGAAGATTCAGTTAATATCCTATTGGATAATTGTCATAACTATTCTCAGCTTTTTGTGAATGTTGTTAATAAACCAGTATTGCTTTGCATCCAAGGAAATTCGAGTGATTTCTATTTTCTGCTGCCTAGTTACCTGAGATTTTGGGATGTACTAGGAAAATCAGACTAATTTATGATTGCCTAGCACTTATTTTTTTCCTGCTGTTTTTAGACTTTTCAGGTTTAGTTGGTATTATCACTTTTGGTAGTAGTCAACTTAAAATTATTAGTAGTCAACTTAAAATAGGACTGTGAGAATGAGAGTGGTACTGTTACAAATTATTTAGGTTTGAAAGGCCAGCAGATGATTTTTCTCTTAGATGCCATTTCTTCAATTTGAGTAGCACTGTCTTTAGGTTGAAGGTGCTTATATACATTTCAACTCCAGTGTA
The DNA here is from genome assembly GCF_000001405.40 of Homo sapiens. NCBI lineage: Eukaryota > Metazoa > Chordata > Mammalia > Primates > Hominidae > Homo > Homo sapiens. The sequence goes on from NC_000023.11 coordinate 118,360,262, forward strand.
CAGTATTACATACCACATTTTAAAAGCTGTGCACTTAAAGCAAGATTTAAGAACAAAGGAGAACAGTCTCTTGTTCTCTAAACTTGAAGTGTTTTTAATTTTTGGTTCAACCTAGGGTTAGTTTTGTTTGTTTTTATTTTTGTTTTTTGCTTCATTTTTTGTTGTCATCATTTTTCTGCCTGGCCTCAGTGGGCCCAAGAAAGAGTTCTTGTTAAGTGTTTCCTGAGGACCAGACACGTGATTCCCTGTTTAGACTTAGCACTTCAGTGTCGGTCTTAGTTTGCTATCAAATCTTACTGTTTCAACTTGCTGGACTTTAGAAATCAAAACTCTTTAATTAGTTGCTTACTTTAATGACTGGCTAAGTCCTTATCTATGCTCATACCCTGTTCACCTCAAGGACCTTAGAATCCTAGCGCCTTCTTTGTACAGGCAAGCTATTCTTTGCTTTGCTTGATTCAGTTCCTTGGTGCACTGCTTAAGCTCATCTTACTTTTATATTTTCTTTATAACAAAGGATAGAGGGGGATAAAAACAAAATCAAGCTGTAGGGTAATTTCCTGGTGAACCTTTTGTAGTCACTTTCATGTAAGAAAAATGTTTCCCAAGCAACCAGCTTTATTCTAGCTGACTCACTTTGTACTCCCTCCTTCCATGTCATTGCTCCTTTTTACCTCTTTAGGAGTCTGTTAGGAATTTTGCAACCTGACAAAAGGCTTCTGCAGAGCCAACCACCTTTTTTTTTCCTCAGGGCCTGAAAAAAAAGTGAGTCTTCCTACTGACAGGAAAATAAAAAGAGACCTTGTTAGTCAATTTTTTTCTGTATGTTCAATTGTTCTGGTATATTCTTTTCCTTGAGTATAAAGAAAAGTCTGAAAATAATGGTAAAAGTGTGAGATTGCTCTGATATTTCCTTTTTGTACTTTAGGAGGTGGTTCTTTGAGTTCCTAGTTGTTTAGTTGAACATGAAGCAGGTGGCAAATGTAAGTTTAGTCTACACACTGATTCCTTCCTGTTCGCAGAAGGGTTCATGTGTTCGTTTTTAAATAATCTTCGGGTAAGGAATAGAGAAACACCAAGCCCAAGAGGCAGAAGGATCTGTCTATAGCTAATGAGTGAGAAACTAACTGTGGGATGGTTTATGGTCTCTGGCTCTTTGAAACCACAGAAATTTAAAGTTATTTTTAAAAAGCCAACTTGACTGGGCACAGTGGCTCATGCCTGTAATCCCGAGGCAGGCGGGGGGCCAAGGCAGACAGATTTCTTGAGCCCAAGAGTTCAAGAACAGCCTGGGCAATATGGTGAAACCCCATCTTCTCAAAAAAATTAAAAAATTAAAAAAAAATTAGCCATATGTGGTGGTGCATGCCTGTAGTCCCAGCTACTCTGGAGGCTAAGGTGGGAGGATCACTTGAGCCTGAGAGGCGAAGGTTGCAATGACCTGAGATCATGCCACACTGCACTACAGTCTGGGAAACAGAGACCTTGTCTCAAAAAAAAATAATAACTACACCTAAGCACTTACACCATTATTTTAAGTCCTGATTACTTTAAGGCCATACCACATGAGTGCTGAAGATCTGAGTTTAAAATTGGAAAAGGTGTTCCTATAATTGCCTGGAGAAAAACCAATAATTGCCCAGAGAAAAACCACTTGCAGAAGCTATGAAAAACCAAGTTAGATTCCTACTAGTCAGCCACGTCAGTAGCTGATTTCAAAATATGAGTTTTGCAGTAAGCCAGGCAAGACAGTACAAGTAGCTTCTATTTGGGGAATCTAATCTATATAGGTTCTTAATACATACTTGCATTGATTGCCATTCAAATCTAGGAGCTATTAGTGCTTCAGCTGTGGGAAAATTGTGAGATTATGCATTGACAGAATTGAGAAGCAAATTCTACTTCACGTTGCAGAAGGCTCATCAGATTTTAGATTGATATAGAAATAATATAACGAATATTTCTACTACGCTTTTTGTAAAGTGAGGAGACTGTTCTAAAGTGACTTTGTATATGTAATAACTGAATCCCTTTTTAATGACAAAATAATTTTAATTGATATTTATCTAGAAAGTTGGTTGTTGATGGTTATTTGACCTATACAGGTTAACCTCATTTTGAACATGTTGACTGAGGACAGTTTCAGTGATTATAAGTCAAATCACATATCTAGAGATTTTGTCAATGTATTACAGTAGCCATCTTGGTTTTGTGGGGCAATCTAAGCCAAAAAATAATGAAGCTGTTTATATACCTTCCTGCTTTTTGCTGAGCATTTTTGATAAATGTACATAATACCATACATGTAGTATTTGCATTTAAGCCTATTCAGTGCATGCACTGTCTGGAAGAGCTCTGACTAAATAGACACGTGCAAATTTTTTCCCCATTCAGTGAACACTATTAAAAAATCAGATGAATATTTATACAGTGGCATTGGCCATGCAATTCTTCCTGCTTTGTCCCTTTATCACACACTAACAGAACGTAGGATTAATTATCCACCTAATTAACTTGGGGGTGGGGTAGAGTTGCTGGATAAAGTACAAGACACTCAGTTCAATTCCAATTTCAGATAAACATACTAAAAATGTATTCATTGTTTATCTGAAATTGGAATTGAACTGGGCATCCTTTATTTTTAGTTGCTAAATCTGGCAACCCTAGGTGGGGAAGAGGCAGGAGACTAGTAGATATAGGCACAGTTGTGAGATTTAAATACACCATGCAATGACAAGAGTAACCTTTACTCTCACGGGAATACTAAGTGTTTTTTAGCGCAATGCTATTTATTTTAGTGTCCAATGCTTTTTTCTTTTTTTTTGAAAATGCATCAATGCTCAAAGCTCAAAAATAGTAAAACGTGGCTCACACTTATAATCCCAGCACTTTGGGAGGCAGAGAGGCAGGCAGATCACCTGAGGTCAGGAGTTCAAGACCAGTCTGGTCAACATGGTGAAACCCTGTCTCTACTAAAAAAAAATACAAAAGTTAGCCGGGCGTGGTGGCAGGCACTTGCAATCCCAGCTACTTCGGAGGCTGAGGCAGGAGAATTGCTTGAACCGGGAGGTGGAGGTTGCAGTGAGCCAAGATCGTGCCGTTGTACTCCAGCCTGGGAGATAAGAGTGAAACTCCGTCTCAAAAAAAAAAAAAAAAAGGGAGAAAAAAGAAAAAAATAGAAAAATGTAACAACATATTGTTTAGGGATACATGCACGTATGATGAACTGTTTTTGAAAACAAAAAATTAAGGGAACAATAAGCGAAATCTGGGATAGTGGTTACCTCTAAGGGAGCAGCAAGCAGATGGAATAAAGCACATAGTAGCTGCACTGGTATTAATGCTAATTCTCAGTTAATGTGGTAAGTGACAGGATGTATTTTTTTATGCTTCATAATTACGTGTACACATTGCACATATCAAATACAGAATAGCATTTTAAAAGATAAGTTAAAACAGACTTCAATAAGAAAATTAGCCTATGTGCAAAATTTAACTGTATATACTTTCTAAAATAAATCCAAAATCCAAAAAGTAAGGTCAAAAGGCATTCTGAAATTTTACCAGTTTGCTAAAGATCATATTGAGTAATTAATAGATTCTAGAATGATTACTTATCTGCTGTAATACATCTAAAATAATTAAACTCTTTGGTTTGTGAAAATTTCATTTTTATTACTTGATGTCTACAGTGGTGAATCTTCAGTTTTTGTCTTTACTTGGAAAGATTACTGATTGTTCAGATATATTATATGCCAAATTAAAGGAAAGAAAAACAGCAGGTAGAGCATGCATTAAGTGATTAATTCAAATGAGCTAGGCCTAAACTTTAGGATTCCTGGAACAAAAAATCAGAAATCTCTGTTTTCCTTGATTAATTTTTAAAAGTTAGATTTCTAACTCCTCGTTTGTAAAAACTATTATGACAGTCTACAATATCCATCAGTAAGCAGAAAAATTCATCTTTAGCAAGTGCCAGTTTAGAGCATTAAGCTGAAGTTAGTGTTTAGTGTAAATTTATTTAGTGTTTTAAAGCACTTCTAGCTCTCTGTAGTCTTATATAATTTTGTCTTGTAGAAATAGCTGGAGGGTCTATTCCAGAAAGCCTATCCAAATATGTCCTCTTCTCCCACTTACATACACACTTAGGTGCCCCTCCTCTGTGCTTCAAGGTTATCATGTGCTTGTGTCTCTCATTGCAATTGTTACCTTATATTGAAATTATGTGTTATATTTTCCTCAGCTTATCAGATTGTGACCTTTCTGTGGGCAAGGGCTGGATCTTTCTCACCCTTTGTATTTCAATGCCTGAAAGTGCCTGGCACATGGTAGATAACCAATAAGGATTTGTTGACTGAATGAAGGGGCCTAAAGACTCAACTAATACAGCTCCTTCATTTTACAGGTGTGGAAACTGAGGTTTAAAGAGATTGTGGCTTTAGAAATAGAAACAAGACCACAGAGATTGTCTGTTCCAGCCTTCTACAATATCCCTATTGAGACATCATTGAGTTTCTGTTTTAATACTTTATCAGGGAAGCAGCTCATGGCTTTTTCTAAACTCAGGTTGTTACTGAGATTGTTAGGTTGAACAAAAGCCTATCTCTTTGTAATTTCTACTCTTAGTCCTAGTTCTGCTGCATAATGCTTCAAACATTTGAAAACAACTACTTTTCTTCCTTATCTTCTTCTGGTTAGCCATCCTTAGTTCTTTATATCATTCCACTCAGTTTCTAGAACATTCACCAAATTGATTTCTCTCTTCTGAGTATGTTCTGTTTCATCAGTGTTCCTTTTAAAATGAATCTCAAAAAGTATATGATGTTCCTAAATGTGCTTTTATCAGTAAGAAGTAGAAGAGAACTTACCATTCCCCTTGCTCTGGACATGATAGTTCTGATAATTCAGCCTAAAAACACAGTAGTTTTGGCAGCCATATCACAGTCTTTGTCTGAGCAATCAACCAAAATACCTAAATGTTTTCACATGATTTGCTGTTAAGCCATGTCTCTCCCATCGTGCATTTTACATTTATCCCTACTACATTTCATACCGTTAAGATTTGACCCATTGTTCTAGCCCATTGAAATATTTTGGTGGCCAGTGGCAGTGGCTCACACCTGTAATCCCAGCACTTTGGGAGGCTGAGGCAGAAAGATTGCTTGAGCCTGGGAGGTCGAGGCTGCAGTGAACCATGATCGTGCCACTGCACTCCAGCCTAAGCAGCAGAGCAAGACCCTGTCTCCAAAAAAAAAAGAAAAAAGAAAAAAGAAAAATTTTGGGGTCCTGTCAGCCAGTATATTACCTGTCTCTCTCAACTTTGTGTTATCTGCAAATTTAGTAGATATGCCATCAGTATCCTTATCCAAGATATTAGTAAGAACATCAGGTAGGGTAGAAAGTAATTTAGTGCTTAAAACCGGATTTTTGTGTGTGTGCAATATTCTCTTTTATTCTAGGCCAGTAACCCTATCAGAAGAGGAAATTAGGTTAATCTTGCATGATTGGCTTCTGTGAATGCTTGCTGACTCTTAATGAGTATCTTTTTCCCTTGCATAGGGCTCTTAAACAATTAAACAGTGTTTAAGAAATTTGTTTGGAATTGACATCAAATCAATCTGTCTGTAGTTGGTGGCATCTAGGCATCTACCTGCTTTGCAGAGTTGACTATTAGTGTTTTCTTTACATCATCCCCTTCCATTCCCCTGATTCTTCAAAGGTTTTAGATGGAAATTGAGCTCTGCAAATTCTCAGATACACTGGGACATAATTTGGGAGAGTAGAATGGAAGTCACTTATAATATTAATAGTTAGGTACTTTTATCTCCTTGAATGCTTTGGGATTCAGTTTCCTCATTCTACAATTTGTTTTTCCCTTTCTGGTTTGACTATCAGTAATCTTAATAGAAAAAAAAGTTGAGATAGCCTTTTACATTATAATAACGTATACTTATCCATATATAAGTAGACCTGCACTTTATATTTGTTGTGCTTGTTCTGAGTATAAATTAAGAAAAATCTTGTCTCCGGTATTTTTTTTAAATCTTAGCACATTCTGAGTGCCAGCCTTTCTGATAATGTTCTTACAGGTTTTTGCAATTTTTCTTGGATATGTGCCCATTCCATCCCTCCAATCTCTCCTGCATGTTTTTAAAAAAATATTTCTTCTGACATGTCACCATGAAGATGCAATCAACAAAATTCAGACATGAGAAATTCTACAGGATGAGCAACCTACTTTCTTCAACACATGAATTGCAAGAAATAAGAGAGATTGAAGGGGAACCTGCTGATTTATCGAAAGAGACATATCAACTGATTGTAATATATGGACCGTATTTGATTGATATAAACCAAACGTACAAAAATTTGGGCAGTCTGGGAAGTCTGAATGTTATATAACAGCATGTTATATATAATATATATAATCTATTAATGTATATAATAAGGAATTGTTAAATTTTATAGTAGTGTTGTGGTTATGTTTTAAAGAGAAATCTTTGTCCTTTTTAGATGCATACTGAAATATTTATGGTTAAAAATGAAATGGTTTCGGCCGGGCGCAGTGGCTCACGCCTGTAATCCCAGCACTTTGGGAGACCGAGGCGGGCAGATGACGAGGTCAGGAGATGGAGACCACGGTGAAACCCCGTCTCTACTAAAAATGCAAAAAAATTAGCTGGGCGCAGTGGCGGGCGCCCGTAGTCCCAGCTACTCAGGAGGCTGAGGCAGGAGAATGGCGTGAACCTGGAAGGCGGAGCTTGCGGTAAGCCGAGATCACGCCACTGCACCCCAGCCTGGGCAACAGAGCAAGACTCCGTCTCAAAAAAAAAAAAAAATGAAATGGTTTCTGGGATTTGCTTCAAAATAATCTGGCAGAGGGGTGGAAGAGGAGTACTGATATTTTTATCATTGTTGAACATGATCAACATGTTGTATATTTGGGTTTATAATATTATTCTCCCAATTTTGTATATATTTGAAATAGCCATAAGTAAATGTTGGAAAAACTCCCCCTAAATATTTATTGTCACATAGATTTTTACTGGCAGATTTGGGACTAAAACTCAGGTCTCCTGATTCTGCTCTTTTTTTGTGTGTGTGTAGCTAAAATTATAGCTCTTGTACTTTCAGATTGATGTCATGTTGTCCTTTCAGTCTCTGGGACCCCCAAGCTTTCCCTGAGAAATTTGTGGTAGTACTTGTAGATAAATTAAGGCCTTACTAAAGGGTCACAGTTTCACTTGACTGGCTACCTACCTATGTGAAACCATAAGGGACATTAGACTTACTAGTGTAGAGAGGCTGCATGGGTTATTAGAACCAGCAAAGAAACTTGGGTCCTAGTCTTCACTAGGCCTTAGCATAAGTTCTAAGATGGCAGGGACCATGTCTGTTTTGTTCACTACTTTATACTCAATACCTGGGACCATGCCAGGTACATGGAAACAATCAGTAAATGTTGAATTAATGGATTAATTTAACCGATGGCATAATTTCCCTCACATGTAAAATGAGACAGTTGATCTAAATGATTCTTAAGTTTCCTTCAAACACTGAAAAAAAAAGTACTCTTGCCTTCTGACTGATTTTTTTAAAATCCTTTTAGGATTTTGAAAAGGATTACTGTAAATTTCTTTAACACTAGGTGACATCAGTAGGTAATATGCTCACTTTGAATAACTGTTATAGAAAAACCACAGTTGCTATATTGCATCAAAATCTCTTTAAAAATAGACTACTGTTATATATTTTCTGTTAGATTGGTATTTATTTCTATAAAGTACATGCATACTGTTCTCAACATACTAAATTAGAGAGTCAGGTTTAGCAAGTTCCAAAGTGTAGCCATCTAAGAAGGTTACTAAAATGTTCCCTTTGCTTGCATACTTGTGCTTTTTGCTTCAGTTGTATTGAATGCAGTACTATTATGTCAGAGTTTATAAAGGATTTGACATTTTGCTTCCCAAGGAAAAATCAGTGGGCAACTTTTGGTTAAGTGGCAGTTATTGTCATCGCATCAGTGACTAGGCTCCTATCATTGGGAGTAATGACCTTATTATGAAATTTTGCTTCAGGTATCTGTAGGTTATCGCTGAATCAGGTCAGAGTTTGTAAAAGAAAACTAATTCCTATACCGTTTTATAAAATCACCAGAACAGTGTTTTGAAGCCACATACATGTTTTGAAATAGTGACTATATATATATATATATATATACTTCTTGAGGACCTTTCCGCATTCCTCCAGCTCCTTCTGAAGCCTTGTCTTGGCTGATACATGGATGTTGATGACCTCTCTTGTTGCTTCTCCCAGCAGTGTTTACCAAGGGCCTTTGGGAAAGGTTTGCATGACATCACAGGGCAGCTAGAGGGGAGAAGTGTTGGGAGACTGGAAAGGCCTCTGTGTGATGCCACTAATCATATGAAGTAGCAATCCACATACTCTTCCTTTTTTTTTTTTTTTTTTTTTTGGAGACAGAATCTTGCTCTGTCACCCAGGCTGGAGTGCAGCGGTGGATCTCGGCTCACTGCAACCTCTGCCTCCCGGGTTCAAGCGACACTCCTGCCTCACCCTCCTGAGTAGCTGGGACTACGGGTGTGCACCACCACACCTGGCTAATTTTTTTTTTCTTTTTGTATTTTTAGTAGAGATGGGATTTCGCCACATTGGCCAGGCTGGTCTCAAACTCCTGACCTCAGACAATCCACCCACCTTGGCCTCCCAAAGTGCTGGGATTACAGGCATGAGCCACCATGCCTGGCCAAAAATAATTTCTATAATTAAAATGCTAAATGAATAGGGACTGGAGAAAGCATGTAATAAACTATTTTATATTCAGACATGAGCTTTGTTAATATAAACTAAATGTTAGCTAGTGTACTAGTGTATGAAAATAACTTTCTTTTTTATTTTATTTTATTTTTTGAGACAGAGTCTCACTCTTTCACCCAGGCGGGAGTGCAGTGGCCCTATCTCGGCTCACTGCAAGCTCCGCCTCCCGGGTTCACGCCATTCTCCTGCCTCAGCCTCCCGACTAGCTGGGACTATAGGCACCCGCCACCATGCCCGGCTAATTTTTTGTGTTTTTGGTAGAGACGGGGTTTCACTGTGTTAGCCAGGGTGGTCTCGATCTCCTGACCTCGTGATCCGCCCGCCTCGGCCTCCCAAAGTGCTGGGATTACAGGTGTGAGCCACCACGCCCGGCCTTTTTTTTTTTTTTTTTGAAATGGAGTCTTGCTCTGTCACCCAGGCTGGAGTGCAGTGGCGGGATCTCGGCTCACTGCAAGCTCCGCCTCCCAGGTTCACGCCATTCTCCTGCTCAGCCTCCCGAGTAGCTGGGGCTACAGGCGCCCACCACCACGCCTGACTAATTTTTTGTATTTTTAGTAGAGATGGGGTTTCACCGTGTTAGCCAGGATGGTCTCAATCTCCTGACCTTGTGATCTGCCCGCCTCGGCCACCAAAGTGCTGGGATTACAGGTGTGGGCTACCACGTCCAGCCGAAAATAACTTTCTAATAGAAAACAGGATATAATGCATTAAAATGTTCTATTTATATTGAAAGTTGCTGAAGTACTAATCTTAAAATTGCCTTTATATTCAAAACCTAAGTGGAAGACACACTAAATAATTTTAGTATTTGATCTGTAAGCCATGTGGGTTTTTTAGTAGAATATCAGTACTTATTTGAATCAGAATTTATTTTGAAGCTGTTTCAGACGTTGCTTTTTGTGTTTAAATTCATTGGCAGCATTGATAGACACTGTCTTCAATTTCAGAAACTATGCTGCAAAATCAAAATTTTGCTGTTTTTGACATTAGTCTAGGCAATGATATTTTGGATTTAACCCCAAAAGCACAGGCAACAAAAGCAAAAATACACAAATGAGATTGTGTCAGACTAAAATTGGTCTGATAAAATTGCACAGCAAAGGAAACAACAGTGAAAAGACAACCTACAGATTGGGAGAAAATATTTGCAAAACATATGGTTTAGATGTTTTGTGCCCTCCAATTCTTATGTTGAAATGTGACCTTCAGTATTGGAGGTAGGCCTAGTGGGAGGTGTTTCAGTCATGGGGCAGATCCCTCATGAATGTCTTGGTGCTGTCCTCACGATGAATGACTTCTTGGCCTGAGTTCACGCAAGATCTGGTTGTTTAAAAGTGGGTGGCATCTCCTCCCCCACTTTCTTCCTGTCTTGCTATGTGATGCATCCCTTTTGCATTCCATGATTGGAAGCTTCCTGAGGCCCTCACCGGGAGCAGATGCTGGTACCATTCTTCTTGTACAGCCTGCAAAACCATGAGCTAAAATAATAAACCTCTTTTTTTTTTTTAGACAGAGTCTCGCTCTGTCGCCAGGCTGGAGTGCAGTGGCGCAATGTCGGCTCACTAAAACCTCCAATTTCCTGGTTTAAGGAATTCTCCTGCCTTAGCCTCCCTGAGTAGCTGGGATTACAGGCACGCAGCAGCACACCAGCTAATTTTTGTATTTTTAGTAGAGATGAGTTTTCACCATATTGGCCAGGATGGTCTTGATCTCCTGACCTCGTGATCCACCCGCCCCATCCTCCCAAAGTGCTGGGATTACAGGCATGAGCCACCGTGCCCAGCCTAAACCTCTTTTTTTTTTTTTAATAAATTACTCAGCCTTAGGTATTTCTTTATAGCAATGCAAATGGACTAACACACCATACATCTGATAAGGGATTAATACCCACAGTATGTAAGGAATTCAAACAACTCAGTAGCCAGAAAACAACCCAATTTAAAAATGGGCAGAGGACCTGAACAGACATTTCTGAAAGGAAGACATACAGACAGATGGCCAACACACAGTGGAACACTATTGAGCCTTAAGAATGGAATCATGTCATATGTGGCAATATGGATAAACCTAGAAGACATTATGTTAAGTGAAATAAACCAGGCATAGGAAGACTACTACTGTATAATCTCACTTGTATGTGGAATGTAAAAATGATGAACTCGTAGAAGCAGAGAGTAGAATGGTAGTTTCCGGGGGTTGGGGGAGTAGGGAGCAGCTGAGGAATGGGAAAATATTAGTCAGAGGGTACAAAGTTTTAGTTAGGAGGAATAAGTTCTGGAGAACTATTGCACAGCATGATGACTATAATAATAACAATGTATGTTTCAAAATTGCTGAGAGAGTAAATTTTGAATGTTCTCACCACAAAAGATCAGTATGTAAAGTGAAGAATATATTAATTTGCTTGATTTAAAGATTTACCATATTTGTAATTAGTATTAATATGTTGGAAGTTTGAGTTTTGTTTTGTTTCTGCTGTTAGGTGAGCAAGGAAGCCTAGCTCTTGAAATTTGTATTTTTGTTCAACTTTGTAAGAAGCATATTTATTATTTAAATAAATATTTATTGATCAGATAGTAAATGCATCAGAAATATTTGATTTAAAGGTGCCCTATGATGAAAGCTTTGGAAAGAAAAAATGAACTTTTGAAGCTCTCATTTTGGTTTGTCGGGTTTTCTTTAAAAACATACCACCAATACTCAAATATGTCTACATGTAACTTCAGAGTTTTCTGAAAAATTTTCCGTGTGTGTGGTTTAATAAAGTTATTTTATGTAGACATTTGAACTTTTTCTGCAAAAAATTACCTTAATATGTAAAAAGGATAAATCCAATTTACCCCATTTAGTATCTATAGAATATTTTGAAGAAATATTTTTCTATTTTTCTTTTTTTATTTCTTTTTTTTTTTTTTAGCTCCTGCTATCACTGGAGAAAAAAATATTTTTCTAGTTAACTAGATGTAGCAAAGTATTATTGGACATTTCTGGGTATGTACGTGTATGTCTGATTATATCCGTGTTTTATATAATATATTTCAAATTTAAGGGAAATTAGAGGATATAATATTTAGATCATTAATCATGGTACAAATTATGTCTCCACTCTCAAACTAATGGTCTTAAGACAAAATTCCCTAAAATTATAGGAACTCTAAAATCCCTTGCTTAAGATATTTCTGCTAGTTAGTGGGAGAGCTAAGAGTAGAACTTAATTTTCTTGACATCTAGTTCCCCATTTCTCCCTCCCATCCCCAAACTTGAACATGAATAGTTGTTTTCTTTAGGCACATAAACACTGAAATAGTCTACTGTTACTATCTCTACTTTGACATTAGAGACTTATTTACAGAGAATTTTTGAGTTGTCTAAGGATACTGAAGATTAATAACACCTCACTTATCTGTTGGCCACCTCTGTGGTAATGACAGTTCTCAAGATACAGCTGAAAACAAGAAATAAGCATTTAAAAAGCCTCTGAACAGTTCAATAAAAAAAAAAGTGCCACAAAGTTCAAAATAAGATTATGTACGTAAAGTCTCATGGGGAGACCCTTAGGATCCCTAGATTCTCCCTTCACCATACAATTTCATATTAAGGAAATCTGGTTTCCCAGCTCAATGCAGATTAGAAGCACAAGTGAGAAGGATGGTGGGAAGAAAGCTTTTAAATGCAGGCGCATGGCTGACTGTAATAAGCCACCGCTTATAGGCTGGGTGCGGTGGCTCACGCCTGTAATCCCAGCACTTTGAGAGGCTGAGGAGGGCGGATCGTCTGAGGTCAGGAGGTTGAGACCAGCCTGGCCAATGTGGCGAAACCCCATCTCTACTAAAAATACAAAAATAAGCCGGGCTTGGGGGCGGGCACCTGTAATCCCAGCTACTTGGGAGGCTGAGTCAGGAGAATAGCTTGAACCTGGGAGGCGGGGGTTGCAGTGAGCCAAGATCATGCCACTGCACTCCAGCCTGGCCAACAAGAGCAAAACTCCGTCTCAAAAAATAAAACAACAACAACAACAACAACAAAAAGAAGTGACCACTTAAAGTGAGGAAGGAAATATAAAACTATAAAACACAGACATTCCAGGCATAGTAACTTAGGGTCCTTGAAGGCAAATAAATCTGCACTTTAGGGTCCCTAAAGTGTATTAAAATATAATGTAGTATTTGAGCGTGATAATTAAGAAGGACAATTGTATATCCTTTGTTTAAGAAGATATTTTCAGGGAAAGAGTACTGAAACTGCAAGGTTTAACCTACTCATGTACTTATTTACAAGCTGCTTTTGAGATTTTTAAATTCAAAAATAGTTAAAATATTATCAAAAATTTGGCACTCAAAAGCTTCATCTCTCTGGAAATTTTACATGTGGAACGTTTCATTATTTCATTCCCTAGCAGTCCAAGGCAATTAGGTGTTAATTGTAGTTGTTAAAGGCAGGTCAGGATTCAGAGCCTTTGACTTAATCAGTTTAGTCCAATTCAAGAAGCAGCGTTAATTGCCTTTACTTTGGTGCTCATACACAGCACCAGTTACAGTGTTTTCATAATTATCTTCTTTTAAGTCCTTACCCAGAGAGGAGGCAGTATTGCGAAGTGGTTGAGAGAATGGGCTCTGGAGTCAGGCTGCCTAGGGTCAAATTCTGGCCCTACTGTTTACTAGCTGTACAATGTAAATGACCTAATCTGACTCAAGCCAGTTTTTTGTTATGTAAAATAGAGCAAGTAATATAACCACCTAATAGGAGGGCTGTGAGGACCAAAGAAGCTAAAACATGTCAAGTGTTATAGTTTTTGGCAAATGCTTAATAAATGATGGCCATTGTTTTATTTTATTTTATTTTATTTTATTTTTTCATTATACTTTAAGTTCTGGGATACAGGTGCAGAACGTGCAGGTTTGTTACGTAGATATACATGTGTCACAGTGGTTTGCTGCACCCATCAATCCGTCATCTACATTAGGTATTTCTCCTAATGCTATCCCTCCCCTAGCCCCCCACCCCCTGACAGGCCCTGGTGTGTGTTGTTCCCCTCCCTGTGCCCATATGTTCTCATTGTTCAGCTCCCACTTATGAGTGAGAATATGCGGTGCTTTATTATTTTTACAAGGCCCCTATTAGGAAAGTTTTGTGTGATAATACTAAATAATGTTTTTTATTGCTTCTTAGGGTGAAATGAATTGGTTTTTTTTCATCTTGGCACATGATACAAATCATTTTAGCCAACTTTGCAAGTTATAAATATGCCTTCACTTTTTACTAGGCATTAATGTTCTACAAATGGATTTAGAAATTTGTCACAAAGGAATTCTACTCTTACAGATTACCCTGTTAAAGACAGTTTTAGGCTTAATAGACTTGAAATTGTAGTAGTTTGAAATGTTCCTACCTACCAAGGCCTTAACAACTTTGTAACATTTAACATATACCTCAAACATGAGTGTCTTTTGTTACTAGTTTTTTATTTAGTGATGTCACCCAGTTGCAAGCAGGATCCCATTTTAATCACCAGCTCAATATGATATAGCTTTTTCATGTTCCCTGTCGTTAAATGTGCTGGAACTTGACAGGCTATAGGGGACCTTTGCTGTATTCCAGAAATTGGTCTCAGGCTCCCCACTACTGACAGACTGCCAAAGTGCCTTTGAGAAACTTGGAGCATTTCAGAGCTGCTGAAGAGACTACACTATCATGTGTGTCCCATGTACTCACTCACTTCATCCTCATAGAAGTTCTATGAAATAGATGGTTTTACCCCCTTTTGCAGAGGATGAGATCGAGGCTTGGAGAAATGATTTGATCACACATAGGATAAATAGTAGAAACAATATTGAAGCAAGGTTCATCTGCTCAAAAGCCTATATTTTACTGTCTCCTCGTCTCTCAAAAGAAAATAATAAATTACTCTGTATAGTTTGTACACAGTTATATGTAAAGCCCCACCAGAACCAATCTAGAATATTTCCATATATTTCCATGTGTGTCAGTAATTAGCCAATAACTTTGATCCTATGAATCAACAGCCAGAGAGTACTGTTTTTGAAACTAGTGGCACACAAGAAATAAATATGGCTTCCTGGTTTTTTTTTGTTTGTTTATTTTGTTTTTTGACAGCTAAAAAACCTGTTCAGATATCTCAAGGTGTGAGGGTTGCTGGAAAGGCCAAGTTTCTTCCCTTCTCTACCTCATATGGGGCTTAATTTTAAAATATCTTACCCTTCTTACCTTTATGCCTTTGTTGCAGGTGATTGGCATCCTGAATTTTGTACCACATGGAAATTTGTGCCCCTTAAAGGTTTTTCAGGCTAGGTGCAGTAGCTCACCCCTGTAATCCCAGCACTTTGGGAGGCTGAGGTGGGAGGATCGCTTGAAGCTAGGAGTTCAAGACCAGCCTGGGCAGTAAAGTGAGACCCCATCTCAAAAAAAAAAAAAAAAACAAACAGGTTTTTCATTTTTGCTTTTTAATATTTGTTGTTGTTTTGATTGCACTTGTATTATTTAAGATATCAATTTGTGTGGAATCTTCTTTCTTTTTTTGAGTATGGATTAGCCTCAGTCCTAACTAATCAACTCTAGATAAACAGGATTTTGATACATTGCAGTGTAAGTTTGTCAGGGGACCAAAATAATTAGCAATATATGTTTTCATTTCTGGAAATTGTCCTTTGTTAACACATATTTATATTGACCAGACATTGTAATTAAATGGGTACTATTTTATGACAACTACTTTTTTTGTTTTCTAAACAAATTTAACTCCCTCCCCTAAACTAGAATTTTATCTAATTTATCTTTGTATCTCTAGTCTTGGTACATAGTAGGTAATTCATAAATGTCAGCTTTGGGTGTCTGGTTTTATTTTTTGTTTTGAGACAAGGTCTCGCTCTGTCACCCAGGTTAGAGTGCAGTAGCACAATCATGGCTCATGGCTCCTGGGCTCAAGTGATCTTCCTACATCAGCCTCCTAAGTAGCTAAGACTGCAGGTGTGCAACCCCATGCCTGGCTGGTTTATTTTTATTTTGTAGAGATGGGGTGTCACTATATTGCCTAGGCTGGTCTCAAACTCCTGAGATCAAGCAATCCTCCCGCCTTGGCCTCCCAAAGTGCTGGGATTACAGGTATGAGCCACTGCACCCAGCCCATAAATGTTTGTTGAGTAAAGGGATTGATTTTCTGTTACTCAAAAGTAATTTTTTTAACAAATTAAGTTTTTATTAGAGGTCAAGGATTCCTCTACCAAAGGAATCATTACCCAGTTTGGCATATAAAAACATGTTAGTAGGACTCATTTCTTCTCTTGGTTGTGCTCCAAAATACGACTTTGAGGAAAAGTCACTTAATCTCTTGGAATCTCAGTTTCTTGATCTGTAAAAAGAGGCTGTGTGATTAGATCATCTTGAAGGTGCCTTTCAATTCAAATTTGCATCATGTAATCATTGGATTTTACCAAAAAAAAATTAGAAATGGCATATTAATTATTTAAAACTTTCCTATTGCATAACCCCAAGGTATAACTAAGTAGCCTTATGCTTTGAAGCAGATATCAGACTGTTCCTATTCAAAAAAAAAATGTGGGGGAAAGGGTGAAATGGTGAAAAGTTACTTTTAAAAATTATTACATCCAGGCTGGGTGCGGTGGCTCCCTCCTGTAATCTCAGCACTTTGGGAAGATGAGGCGGGTGGATTGCTTGAGCCCAGGAGTTCGAGACCACCTTTAGCAATATGGCAAACCCCGTCTCTATACAAAAGTACAGAAATCAGCTGAGCATGGTGGCACGTGCCTGTAGTCCCAGTACTTGGGAGGCTGAGGTGGGAGGATTGCTTGAGCCCAAGAGGTTGAGGCTGCAGTGAGCCATGATGGTGTCACTGCACTCAAGCCTGAGTAACGGAGTGAGACCCTATCTCAAAAAAATATGTATTACATCCAGAGTAGTCTGTTTAAGAACAGAGTCTTGCTCCAGTAGAAAAATGAGCTGAGAGTGGTACACAGTGGTTCGTTCCTGTAATCTCAGTACTTTGAGAGACTGAAATGGGAGGATTGCTTGAGCCCAAGAGTTCAAGACCAGCCTGGGCAACATAGTGAGACCCTGTCTCTACAAAAAAATACAAAATATTAGCTGGGTGTGGTGGCGCATGCCTGTAGTCCCAGCTACTCAGAAGACTGAGACTGGAGGATCGCTTGAGACCAGGAGGTCGAGGCTGCAGTGAGCCAAGATCACACCACTGCACTCCAGCCTGGGCAACAGCAAGACTCTGTCTTTAAAAAAAAAAGAAAAAGTAAAAGCTGAGAACAAAAATGGGTATCTCTCTTCAAAATCGATATAAATGTCTAATACATATGAAAATTTTCATCCACACTGGAAATCAAAGTACAAATTAAAACACCAATGAGATATACTTTTGCCTGTCAACTTGGTAAAAAAAAGTTTAAAATAACACTTATTTTTGGTGAGGGTATTAAGAAACAGGCATTCACAGAGCAGTAGGAGTGTAAACAGGTACAAGTTGGCAGTTTGAAAGTAGTGTTATGTCATATACAACTATATATGTACATATGAAGATAAAAGATACTCAGATCTCTAGGTGATAAGATTATGTATGAATCACTTTAATTTTCTTCTCTCTCTTTTTTTTTTTTTTTTTTTTAAGAGATGGGATCTTGCTGTCTCCCCCAAGCTGGAGTGCAGTGGCACAATCATGGCTCACTGCATCCTTGAATTCCTGGGCTAAAGCAATCCTTGTGCCTCAGCCTCCTAGGTAGCTGGGTCTACAGGCAATAGCCACCACACCTGGATAATTTTTAAATTATTTGTAGAGACAGGGTCTCACTCCGTTGACCAGACTGGTCTTCTCCACTTTTTTTTTCTTTTTCTTTTTGAGATGGAGTCTCGCTCTGTCACCAGGGCTGGGGTGCAGTGGCATGATCTCGGCTCACTGAAACCTCCGCCTCCCGGTTCAAGTGATTCTCCTGCCTCAGCCTCTCAAGTAGCTGGGATTATAGGCACGCACCACCACACCCTGCTAATTTTTGTATTTTCTGTGGAGGTGGGGTTTCGCCATATTCAGGCTGATCTTGAACTCCTGACCTCAGGTGATCCGCCTGCCTCAGCCTCCCAAAGTGCTGGGATTACAGGCGTGAGCCACTGCGCCCAGCCTCTCTTCCACTTTTTGTTTTCCACATTTTCTACGTGCACACAAGACTTTTCAGTCACAAAATATATACACATTTTTTAAATGTGGACTTGTCTGTAGTAAGTGTATAGAAGTATTTGTCTTCTCATCTCCTCTATTCAACACCTCCTTACTTTTATTTCTGAACAGGTCTCCAGGAAAAGTTGGGCTTTCAACATTCAAGGTAAGTTGTGCTTTCTGAAAGTTATGTTTTTAGAAATTGTATACTTTTTATTCGTGTTTTTGTGTAATTCTTCATTTTCTTGCTTTTGCTTTTTTTTACTTACTTTTTGCTCAGTAATGTAGTCATTATGTCCTACTTGGTATACATAGGTACTCTAGAAATACCTAACTAAATATTATGCTGTAAAGAAGGAACTGTAAGTATTTTTTAGATTTCTACTGATTTTTATTTGTTTATAATATCTAGAATAAAAGAACGTGTGTGTGTGTGTGTGTGTGTGTGTTGAAAAAGTGATACTTGGCCAGGCATGGTGGCTCACACCTGTAATCTCAACACATTGGGGGGCTGAGGTGGGCAGATCAGTTGAGGTCAGGAGTTTGACACCAGCCTGGCCAACATGGTGAAACCCCGTCTCTACTAAAAAAAAAAAAACACACAAAAATTATCCAGGTGTGGTGGCGCAGACCTGTATTCCCAGCTACTTGGGAGACTGAGGCAGGAGAATTGCTTGAACCCAGGAAATGGAGGCTGCAGTGAACTGAGATCGTGCCACTGCACTCCAGCCTGGGTGACAGAGCGAGACTCCACCTCAAAAAAAAAAGCAAAAAATTAATACTTGCATGACAAAAATGTACAGTAACTGAAACACATGTATACTTCTTGTGGGCCCATGTACCATCACTATATATAAAAATCAATCCCAGCTTATATTCAGGCAGAGGAGTTTGGTATTGAGATATTATGCCACTGAGAGCCATTTTAAGTATAAGATATCACCAAATGGAACTATTTATATCAGATAGAGTATATATTGTATATGTATATTTATATGTATGTGTAATCTCAAACATGCTATATTTTTTTCAGTTCCAGTATACCGACCTTCTGTTTATACACATTGGATACCAGTCTCTTTGATAAATTATGATATGTTTATATGAAATATTCTACAGTAGTAGAAATGAATGAATTAGTTATATACAATGACATGGATGAATTTCAGCACTAGAGTGTTGAGTTGGGGGTAACTACTCATAGAAAAACATATACAGTAACGTTTCATTTATATTAAGTTCAAAAGCATGCCAAACTAAAGAATATATTGTTTAGAGAATAGATTGTTTAGAGATACAAGCGTGGTAAAACTGTGAAGAATTACCAGGGAATGAGAAATACAAAATTTAGGATATCGGTCATTCTCTGAGGGGGAGAGATTGTAATGGAAATGGAGAAGGATACACAAGAGACTTGAAAACTGATAATAATGTTCTTTTTCTTAAATTGAGTGCTTAAGAAAAGTTATATCATAACTCTTACGCTAAATAAAAATTATTTTGTATTTACTTAATATTTAATAAAAACAGTCTTTAAAAGTAATAACGTGTAGGGTTGAAATTTACTCAGGACAAAAGGTATATGGTTGAAAATGTAGCTTTCCTTCCACTTCTCATCCCCCACCTCTCAAACTTCATATCCAGAGGCGATTACTGTTTATGCTTATAGGTCTTAAAAGCCATTTAGCGCTAAGATATTTTTATATTATAACAAATAGATTTGGAGAATTTACTTTACCCCGTAATTATAGATTGTCCTTAACTTGAGTGAAATTAGATAACAAGTATACATATTTAGTAAATAAATATGAAGTTGGATATTGTTCATTTTTTTAACTTTTTATTTTGAAATAATTATAGATTCACAGGAAGCTTTAAAGATAATGCAGAAAGGTCCTGTATATTCTTCACCATTTCCCCAGTGGTTATATCTTAATTATAGTACAATTTTAAAATGAGGAATTTAACGTTGGTGCAATGCGAGTGTATAGTTCTGCGCCAATTTATCATGTGTATATTTGTATAACCACCACAATGAAGATGCAGAACTATTTCATCATCACAAAGATCTCCGTTGTGCTACCCCTTTATAATCACACCCACCACCTTCCCCATATCATCCCTAAATCTGTTTTCCATCTCTATAATTTTGTCACTTAAGGAATGTTCTATAAATGGAATTATATACTATGTGACCTTATGGGATTGGTTGAAAGGGTCACGATCCATCCAAGTTGTTGTCTGTATCAATGGTTTGTTTCTTTTTATTGCTGAGTAGTATTATATGATAAACATGTACTGAGGCTATTGAGTGCATATTATGAATAACAGTATATCTATTGATATTGTAATATAAAGGAAGGCTTGATATAGTTCTGATTGTTGGTGATTTTACAGTCTGATGGAAGAGACATGTATACAAAAGGGCAATTTATGAGGTCTCGATGTTTGTAAAATAGAATAGACGTGTTAACTGCCACAAGGGGTTTGGAGGAACGAGAGGAAGATAGAATTGGCGTGAGAGCACTGTTACCTGAAATAGCAGAGAAAAGTTTCAGGGAGGAAATAGAACTTTTGCTGAGCTTTGAAAATTGGGAGAGGTTTGCATAGGTAGATAGAGAAAAATTGGGAAAGCATTGTAGTTAGGAAATAGTAGGGACTAATAAATATGCAAAAGCATGGGATTTGCTAGAAGCATTGAAAAACTGTGACCAGTGTAAAAGTTTCAGTGGTAGAGTACTGGAAAATAAATTGAGGCCAGATTGTGATGAGCCTTGAATGTCAGGTTACCTGATTTTATCATAATACTATGTATACATGCATTGAAACATCACATTATACCCTGTAAATATGTATCATATTATGTGTCAATTAAAAATTAAATTATAATTTAGAAAAGAGATGGGGCGCAGTGGCTCACGCTTGTAATCCCAGCACTTTGGGAGGCTGAGACGGGCAGATCACCTGAGGTCAGGAGTTAGAGACCAGCCTGGCCAACATGGTGAAACTCCATCTTTACTGAAAATACAAAAATTAGCCAGGCGTGGTGGCACATGCCTGTAATCCCAGCTACTTGGGAGGCTGAGGCAGGAGAATCACTTGAATCTGAGAGGCTGAGGTTGCAGTGAGTCAAGATTGTGCCACTGTACTCCACCCTGGACGATAGAGTGAGACTCTGTCTCAAGTTAAAAAAAAATTTAGAAAAGAACTCTGATCTTTAAAATTTTGAAGCAGGATATTTTTGGGTTTCTTTTCCTTGCTTTTCTTTTCTTTTCTTTCGTTCTTTCTTCTTTTTTTTTTTTTTTTGATGGAGTCTCACTCTGTCACCCAGGCTGGAGTGCAGTGATGCAATCTTGGCTCACTGCAACCTCCGCCTCCTGGGTTCAAGCAATTTTCCTGCCTCAGCCTCCCAAGTAGCTAGGATTATAGGCGCCCGCCACCACACCCAGCTAATTTTTGTATTTTTAGTAGAGATGGGGTTTCACCATGTTGGCCACACTGGTCTCAAATGACCTCAAGTGATCTGCCCACCTCAACATCCCAAAGTGCTGGGATTATAGGCATGAGCCACTGGGCCCGACCAGTATATTTTTGTTTTTTGAAGGTCTCACTCTGTCACCCAGGCAAGAATGCAATGGCACAATCACAGCTCACTATAACCTCGAACTCCTGGTCTCAAGGACTCCTCCCACCTGAGACTCCCAAGTAGCTAGGACTACAGACTCAAACCCCACACCCAGCTATTTTATTTTATTTTTATTTTTTAGAGATAGGGTCTTGCTAGGTTGTCCAGACTGGTCTGAAACTCCTGGCCTCAAACCATCCTCCTCCCTTGGCCTCCCAAAGCATTGGGATTACATGAATGAGTCTCTGTGCCAGGCCTAAAGTGGGACATTTAAAAAGTCAACTTTTATATGTCTTACAGCTGTGCTGCCAAGGTGGTTTTTTTGTTTGTTTGTTTGTTTGTTTTTGCTCGGGAACTAAGAAAACTGGTGGAAGGGTGGAAGAAAGTTTGGAGGAAAAAGACTTAGGTGCAAAGAAAGCTGTCAAGAGGCAGTTAAAATGTCAAGACATGAGACTCCAACAAAGGGAACAGCATTGAAAGGAGTGGATGTATGGATATGACAGCGATTTAAGAGTTGTTTACTTTTTAGAACAATTTTCTCAGCAAAAAAAGAGTGGAAGTCACATTTATAAGTTTTTCTCCTTTTTTAAAAAATTTCACTTTAGTAGCTTCCCTTCCCTTACTACTAAAAATTACCAGTTACCTGAATTTTTCTATAATTAATGTTTTTAGCTTAATGTTCTTTAGTAGGTAATAATGAAGATTTCTGTGAGTGTAGATCACTTTCATACAAATACTTTGTTGGGTGTACTTATTAAAATTAAAAAGCTGAAATCTTATAACCAAATACTGCAGGGGGGTTATAGACAGCTCTGTAATATCCAACACAGGTGGAGGTAACTGTTACATGAATTGCTGAAAATTGAATAAGCTACCATACCTTTTAAGGAAGCAAATTTTTGATACCATGATAGATAGGAGTTAGAGAAATTGCCTAATAGTAGGGAAGCTGGGATTTAGTAAGTACTGCATTTTAATAATGGGTCAGCACATCACCAGAAGTAGGTAATGGACTGTCTCAAGTATAGCTAAGTTGGCATTGGTTGTCTGTGGACACATGCTTGGCTTCCATTCCTTTGTCCCAAAAGCCTGATCAAGGTGTTAGAAGGACCTGGATGTTATACATCACTGAGAGAGAATCATAATTGACTATATATCCTAAGTCTGATTTTATTAAGAAGTCTTCTCTGGAGATCAGGCCCTCTGGTAGGTGCCATATCACTCCTTTAAACTTGTGACTTAAAACAGCAGAGTACCTTAGGAGTTACTATCTTTTAAAAGTTCAGACTCCAAGAGAGTTTTGTTAAAGCCAAATAAAATAGAAGTCTGATCACTGCTTGGCAGTTTTGGCTAGTGTAGGAATGTTAATCTTTTATAAGTAAATAATTGAAACAAATTAGGCCGAGTGCAGTGACACATAGGCCAAGTGCAGTGACTCACGCCTGTTATCCCAACACTTTGGGATGCTAAGGTGGGAGGATGGCTGCATTCCAGCCTGGGCAACTGCGAGACCCTGCTTCTAAAAATCAGTTAATCAAAATGAGGTCCAAAGATTATTAATGTGTAATTTTATGTAGCTTAATTTAGGGAAAATATCCACAGAATTATGCTGTACAATGCTTCTGATTTTCCTACTGATAAACAGTTATTAGAAAATAATTGGATAAAAATAATTAGTAGGACAGTTGAAGGTGTTTCTCTAATATGCATTAACTGTTATTTATTTATTTATTTTTTTCTTTTTTCCTGCGGACCCCGTTCTGCTGAGAGCATCAACTATTCTTAATGGTGATCAGCTTCCAAGTATTCTTTTTTTTTTTTTTTTTGGAGACAGAGTCTCGCTCTGTCCCAGGCTGGACCAAGTATTCTCTTAATGGTGATCAGCTTCCAAGTATTCTCTCTCCACCTTGTCAAGGTTATCTTATCAATTGGTCTTGGTTAGATTTTTATTTCTTTTTTTTAATTTCTTTTTTTTTTTTTTTTTTTGAGACAGGGTCTTGCTTTCTTCCCCAGGCTGGAATGCAGTGGCATTATCATAGCTCACTGCAGCCTCAGGCTCCTAGGCTCAAGTAGTCCTCCCACAACAACCTCCAAAGTAGCTGGGACTGCAGGCACATACCACCATGCTTGGCTAATTATTATTTTTTTTAGAGGCGAGGTCTCACTGTGTTGCCCAGGCTGGTCTCAAACTCCGGGTTTCAGCCTGTGCCCGGCCTTCTTTCATATAAAACCAGGATCCAATTAAAGCCTATGTAAACTTAAGATGTATGTATTAACTGAAGAAAAAACAGAGCATGCATCATTCAACATTCATTCAGCAAATGATTATTTAGTGCTGGACACTGTTTTAGGTACTGAACAAACTGTAGATAGAACAAACAAGGTCCATCTCTCATGGAGCTTACATTCTAGTGGGACAGGGAAGAGACAAAAAATAAGCAAGTAAATAAGGTCATTTCGAACGATAAGTGCAATGAAGGAAAATAGGATAATGTTTTCCCAGCACCATTTATTGAGTAGGGAAGCCTTTCCCCATTCTTTGTTTTCATCAGGTTTGTCGAAGATCAGATAGTTGTAGGTGTGCGGTCTTATTTCTGTATTCTCTATTCTGTTCTATTGGTCTGTGTGTCTCTTTTTGTACCAGTACCATGCTGTTTGGTAACTGTAGCACTGTAGCATAGTTTGAAGTCGGGTAGCATGATGCCTCCAGCTTTGTTCTTTTTGCTTAGGATTTGCCTTGGCTATTCAGGCTCTTTTTTGGTTCCCTATGAATTTTAAAATAAAATTTCCTAGTTCTGTGAAGAATCTCAGTGGTAGTTTAATAGTAATGGCATTAAGTCTATACATTGCCTTGGGCAGTGTGGCCATTTTAACGATATTGATTCTTCCTATCCATGAGCTTGGAATGTTTTTCCATTTGTTTGTGTCATCTCTGGTTTCTTTGAGCAGTGGTTTGTAGTTCTCCTTTCACCTCCCTAGTTAGCTGTATTCATAGGTATTTTCTTTTCGTGGCAATTGCAAATGATGGGAGTTTATTCCTGATTTGGCTCTCTGCTTGGCTGTTATTAGTGTATAATAATGCTAGTGATTTTTGCACATTTATTTTGTATCCTGAGACTTTGTTGAAGTTGTTTATCAGCTTAAGAATCTTTTGGGCTGAGACTATGGGTTATCTAGATATAAGATCATGTTGTCTGCAAACAGGGATAGTTTGACATCCTCTCCTCAATCCCATTACTGGGTATATACCCAAAGGAATATAAATCATTCTATTATAAAGACACATGCACACACATGTTCATTGCAGCACTATTCACAATAGCAAAGACATGAAATCAACCTAAATGCCCATCAATGATAGACTGGATAAAGAAAATGTAGTACATATACACCATGGAATACTATGCAGCCATAAAAAAGAACGAGATCATGTCCTTTGCAGGGCCATGGATGGAGCTGGAGGCCATTATCCTTAGCAAATCAATGCAGGAACAGAAAACCAAATACTGCATGTTCTCACTTATAGGTGGGAGCTAAATGATGTGGACACATGAACCCATAGAGGGGAACAACACATGTTGAGGCCTATCAGAGGGTGAAGGGTGGGAGGAGGGAGAGGATCAGGAAAAATGACTAATGTGTACTAGGCTTAATACCTGGGTGATGAAATAATCTGTGCAACAAAACCCCATGACACAAGTTTACCTGTGTAACAAATCTGCACATGTACCCCTGAACTTAAAGTTAAAAAAAAAAAGAAAAATAGGATAATGTGATAGAAAGTTAAGGAGTCAGCTAAGGCTATTTTGAGATGGTCAGGGAAGTATTTTCTGATAAAATAGCACTTGAGCTATGACCCTAATGGCAAGGAATCATCCTATTGGCCAGAATGTAATTGTGGGGGAGTGATATGAGAGGGAGATGAGGAGTGTAGAAGATATCAAAAATGTAGGCAGAGGCTATGTCATGTTTAGGCCTTCATGGGCCTTGGTACTGTTTGGATTTTATCTAATACTTAAGAGTCCATGAAACATTTTTTTTTTTCTAGAAGAATCTGTGTAAGATTGGTAGTATTCTCCAAATTCTGGGGGAGGAATTCAGTGCTCGAAGATATTGCAAGTCCTACAGAAATTTCACTGGCACGTTAAATCTTTAACATTTTAATAATCTCTGGAGTAATTTCATTATTGAGCCTATTGTGATCATATCCTGATACTTGTATAAGTGCCACCTAAATAATTAATGTGCCTTGAGTCCTTTATCTGTCTAAAATGGTTATAATGACCTTCCTCTAACAAACTCTGTGATGTGCACAAAGAATTATGGTTTTTTTTCCTCAGTATCAAGAGTAGCATTCAAATTGCTGTGCTTCTATAAATAGACAACTTAAGATTGAGAAGAGTATTGTATTGAGATTTGCAAATATATGATTGTCTTATTTTACCCTAATTTTTTCCAGCAGAAATGCAGTATCCATTTCTAACCTCCCAAATATATATATATATGTACGTATGTGTATATAAATGTATACGTAGATATATATGTATTTTTGGTGGGTTTAATTTTTTTCATCTTTTTTCATAGTTTTTTTAGGGGCTTCATTTAACTTCTGGTTAAGTCTTGATTTCTTTTATCTAAAGCATGTAGAATTTTAAGAAAACTATTCCCTGAATGTGGTTTTCTGTGTTATAAACTTTTGTATTTGTGCATATTTATGGAGCAATGCTTTGGGGAAAATAACAATTTTTATTCAGCCCCTTGCTTAAATCCTTAATCCTTTTTAGCTATAAAAGTACGTAGAAGTTCTTATCGTCCATTACAGTTTTTTAATGTTAAAAAGTTGAGCAAGTTTTCACATTTAAAGGTAAATATCCTATTGCAGAATAATAGAATATTGCTGATGGGTAACTTTCTTATGCAAATTACATTGTCCCATTTGGCATAAAATTTCTGAGCATCTATCAGTATTCAGAAATCTAAGCCCTTTAGGCTGGGCACAGTGGCTCACACCTATAATCCCAGCACTTTGGGAGGCTGAGGTGGGTAGATCACTTGAGGTCAGGAGTTCAAGACCAGCCTGGCCAACAAGGTGAAACTCTGTCTGTACTAAAATTACAAAAATTAGCCAGGTGTGGTGGCACGCGCCTATAATCCCAGCTACTCGGGAGGCTGAGGCAGGAGAATCACTTGAACCCGGGAAGCAGAGGTTGCAGTGAGCCAGGATTGTGCCACTGCACTCCAGCCTGGGTGACAGAGTAAAACTCTGTCTCAAAAAAAAAAAAAAAAAAAAAAGAAGAAGAAGAAATCAAAGCCCTTTAAGGGCCTTTGATTTATTAATGCTACATTTTCTCATTTGTACCCCTTTAAAGCATATTTTTAAAGAAAAGATGTCATCATTTGGTCTCTATTTCTTTTCTTTTTCAAACAGGAAACAGAGAACACTGCATACAAAGTTGGAAATGAGTCCCCTGTACAAGAATTGAAACAAGATGTGTCTAAAAAGGTTGGAAAGATACAATGTCAATATTAGTTTATAGCAGACATCATATTTATATGGTATATTTCAAACAGCTTTTATATTCTTTTAGTATAGCGCTCTGTACATGGCTGATGTTCAGCAAATGTTTCATGAATCTGTCACATTTGTGGTTGAAGACATTTCAGTCTTTTTAGAAGTCCTTTTCATATTCTAATTGGTAATTTATCCTTGAGACAATATTTTGTAAAATGCTTTTATTTTTTGTTCTTGTATTTTTATCAGAATAAGCCCTAACTCTTCTTGAGGTTACTACCAGGAGTTATGGGTATTGAAAAGCTCAGTGCAGCAACATTCTGATGTCTTTAGGAATCAGAAGTTATAAGAAGTCCTTACTCTGATAGTACCTGATACCTTTTAAAAAATTGATGCTATGAAGCTTCAAAGGTTGGTTTACTAGAAGAGACTGAGCACAAGATCAGTATTTTGAAAATGGGCAGTTTACAGTATCAGGATAAAACTCAAGGAGAAAGACAGGATGGTGTGTTTTTATTCATTTATACAAGTTTTAAGTGTTTTCTGTGCCCTAGGCAATGTTCTAGCCAGTGGGTTTCCAGAGGCTAACAAAATGACACATTCTCCACCCCAGAGTTTCTCCAGTACTGGCACTCGACATTTTGGGCTAATAGAGGGTAGGGGAAGGCCTGTTGTGTGCATTGTAAGATGTTTTAGCAGTATCCCCAGCTTCTACTTACTAAATGCCAATAGCATCCTCAACTCCCAATTATGACAACCAAATATATCTCCAGATGTCTGGGAAGGGGTATGGAACAAAATAACCCCTAATGGAAAACCACTGTTCTATCCTTATGGAATTTAGAAATTTAATGGACTACATTTTTTTTTTATTTGAGGCAGGGTCTCACTCTGTCGCCCAAGCTAGAGTGCAGTGGCACAATCATGGCTCACTGTAGCCTCCACCTCCTGGACTCAAGTGATCCTCCCACCTCACCCTCCTGAGTAGCTGGGACTACAGGTGTATGCCACCATGCCTGGATAATTTTTGTATATTTTATAGAGACAAGGTTTTGCCATGTTTCCCAGGCTGGTCTTGAAATTCTGAGCTCAGGCAATCCACCCACCTCAGCCTCCCGAAGTGCTGGGATTATAGGTGTGCAACACTGTGCCCAGCGAGACCACATATTTTGATATTGATCATACTTTTTCCTTTAAAGGAAAAATGTTCCCTTTTGGGACGAATGGTGGATTGCATAGCAGTGTACATAACAGGAATTGAACCATTTTTTTAAAAAAATAAGAAATTGCCTATAATTCTATACTATAACACACAGGTGTCTTGATTTTTCAGCATTTCCTTCTGGTCCTCATCCATTAGCATACATTTTTCTGCCTAATTGTAGTGTAGGTAGAATTTTATATTCTGTCTTTTACTCTTACCATTTTTAGATTTTCCTCATACTTCTATATGAGTTCTGTACTCAGATGCATCAGATTCCATCAAGTAAATGGATTACAATGTTATCTAGCCATTTTTATTGTTGAAACTTAAAATATTCCTGTTTTTTCCACTATAGCTTTTCTTATTTTTTAAAGAATGTTTTTCTTAGGATAAATAACAAATGTATAACTATCTATAGTTAGTGGGGAAAAAAGATGATTTTAAGGAGAGTTTAGAAGTTTAAACAGTAGTGAGAAAACACTGTGGAGCAGAATGAGGTTTAAGATTCTAAATAATCACTTTTTAAGTTCTAGCCTTTTCAGTTGAATTAAGTATGAATCACTAATGATAAAGGCTATGGGGATATACCCTGGACGAGGGCATACTCTGCTCTCGAGTAACTTACATTTTAGTAGAAGAAATTGGATAAACACAAAACTAAATGCAGTAAGTATTCAAATAAACTTAGAAGCTATTGTAAGAACACAAAGGGAAGGAGACTTCTTGCTTGGGGGTAGGAATGAAGATGACTTCATGGAGGAGGTAGCATCTGAGCTGGTTCTTAATGAATGCATAAGATTTGGACAGGCTAGGCCGGGCACGGTGGCTCACGCCTATAATCCCAGCACTTTGGGAGGCCGAGGCAGGCGGATCACCTGAGGTCGGGAGTTCGAGACCAGCCTGACCAACATGGAGAAACCCCATCTCTACTAAAAATACAAAAATTAGCTGGGCGTGGTGGCGTGTCCCTGTAGTCCCAGCTACTTGGGAGGCCAAGGCAGGAGAATCGCTTGAACCTGGAGGCAGAGGTTGCAGTGAGCTGAAATTGCGCCACTGCACTCCAGCCTGGTGACAGAGCTAGACTCCCTCTCAAAAAAAAAAAAAAAAAAAAGGATTTGGCCAGGCTAAGATGGGAGAGGAAAGGCATTACTGAAGGCATGGAGGTGGGGAATGTGCAGAACATTTGAGGATGAGCCTAGAGAGCAAAGTTAGGGCTGGATTATAGGAATGCCTTATGTCATACTAAACTGTCTGCTTTTTATTTATTTATTTATTTATTTTTTGAGACTTGAGTCTCGCTCTGTTGCCCAGGCTAGAGTGCAGTGGTGTGATCTCAGCTCACTGCAACCTCCACCTCCTGGGTTGAAGCAATTCTTCTGCCTCAGCCTCCCAAGTAGCTGGGTTTACACCAACACACCACCACGCCAGGCTAATTTTTTATATTTATTTATTTATTTATTTATTTTGTATTTTTAGTAGAGATGGGGTTTCACCATGTTGGCCAGGCTGGTTTTGAACTCCTGACCTCAGTTGATCCGCCCACCTCAGCCTCCCAAAGTGCTGGGATTACAAGCATAAGTCACCGTGTCCGGTCACAGTGAGCTTTTTGCAGCAAACAATGCTTTAGCATAATCATCTCTATGTGTGTCTTGGTTCTCATTGTTCTCTTAGTCTTTCCGTTTTCACTATTTCCTAAAATCCAGAAAAAAATGACAGGGCTAGGCACCATAAGAAGGTGTCATGAGGCATATCAAGAGGCAAAAAACATGGACCTTTCTCTCCAGGTACTAATTATCTGGTGTAGAGAAAATAAATAGAGCTAGCCTATATACAGCTCTGTATTTGTATTATAGTTCATACTATACTGAACAGTAAGAATAATAATAGAAGTGCAGAGGAGGGAGAGATTATTATCAGATAAGGGATTGGGGAAGATGCATTTTCAACCTCATTTTGACCCCTCTTGTGGCACAGACATTTCCATTATGTGTAGTGATTATTTCAAACCTTTATACTCACCTCATGCTCACTGTACCCACTCACATCCCCCTCACTTTCAGCCGATAACCTTGTTTCCTACTCCACGTAAATATTAGAGGCTAAAAAGCCTGAATCCATTCCTTTGTATCATCTTTCACTTCCTTTACCTACATATTTATTGTTATTTCTTACCTTTTTTTCATGTCATCCATCACTGAAGATTTAGTATTCTTGTTTTCTGTCCAAAGTAGTGTGGTATAATACAAAGATCACTGGATTTTTAAGTAAGACCTGGATTTCAGTTTTGGCTTTGTAGCTTACTAATTGTGGGACTGGCAAAATTCTTAAAGCCTTTACCTCAGAGTCCTGCTTTTCTAGGAGGGAGGTAATCCAGCTACCTAACCCAAAGGCCTGTATGACAATTAAATGAGAATGTGTATACTAGGTCTAATACACAGTAGGCCTTCTTTCCTTTCTTTTCCAGAACATTGCTCTGTTATCTTCTTTTCCAGTAGTTCCTTCCCTTCAGGTTATAAAAGTGCTGGGTCACTTTATCGAAGTCTTTTTGCATTTATAGCTAAGCTTTTTGAAAACTCAGACCGTGCTAATGTCTCTGTATCTTCACCTCTTATTCAATCTCAAATCCATTGTAATATGACTTCTGTTATCACTGTTATCATTGAGGTTCTCAGTGCTCAGTAACCACCTAATTGACAAATTGGTTGGACTCTGGTTAGTTTTGGTGAAAGCAAGGTAATTTCTAAGGTTAACAATTTGAAGTTTGAGAAAAACTAACATATAGAACATGCTAAGAAATCAGGGATGAATATTACTGAGCAGCAGTAATACCCAGTTCAAGTTAGCATGAAATTGTAGTAAACCAGATTAGGATGGTTCTATGATGCATTCTGTTAACTTTCTGAAGCCAGGGAATTGAGAAAGCAGAAGTTGTTCATGGTTGGACATGGTGGCAGGATAAGTGATCTGGGAGATTTAATATTAGTAATGACAAGACTGGGGAGAAAATATATTCTAAATGTTGGCAGAAGATAATAGAAAGCCTGTTTATATTTTAAGCTACATATAAGAAAGGGGGCCAGGCGCAGTGGCTCATGCCTGTAATCCCAGCACTTTGGGAGGCTGAGGCAGGTGGATCACATGAGGTCGGGAGTTAAAGGCCAGCCTGGCCAACATGGTGAAACCTCGTCTCTACTAAAAATACAAAAATTATCCCGGCGTGGAGCACCTGTAATCTCAGCTTTTAGGGAGGCTGAGGCAGGAGAATTGCTTGAACCTGGGAGGCAGAGGTTGCAGTGAGCCAAGATCGTGCCACTGCACTCCAGCCTGGGTGACAGAGTGAGACTCCATTTCAAAAAAGAAAAAGAAAGGAAGGGAAAAGACAAGGTGGACTGGGTATTTGAACTCTTTTCATGGTCCTGCCATCAGTCCACATAGTGGAGTTTAGGTGTAGTCTGTTTAAGAATGTTAATCTCCCTGCATCTGCTGGTTTTTGGGTCATAAGCTTGAGTTCAGAGCTAAACAACTTGAATTCTTCTCCTGGGGATTTGGATTATCGTGGTTTGGTTAAGTAGGCTCAAACCATTAGGCTGGTATTACAACAAGTTTGGCATAAATATGTAAATGAATCAGGATATTGAGTCTTAATGTAAGTTTAGGATTGAACTTGATTTTACAGGATTATTTGATCTTTTGTACCTAAGTATTAACACAAATTTGCTATTATGAGGGTTAAGAGTATAGATGCTGGAATCAAACTCCCTGGGTTTATACCTGCTTCATCACTTACTAGCTTTGTGACCTTGGACAAATCATTTGATTAGTTCCCTAATTTGTAAAATGGTGACAGTAGGAGTAGAATCTCATAAGGTTGTTGTAAAGATTAAAATATGTAAAGTGTTAAGAACATTGCCTGGCACATACTAAGTACTATGTAAATGATTAGCTGTTACTGTGTTCTTATAAATAGCTTCATTTTTAAAAACTACTTTTAACCCTTTCATCAGATTATTGAAAGTATTATTGAGGAGAGTCAGAAAGTACTACAGCTTGAAGATGACTCTTTGGATTCCAAAGGAAAAGAACTCTCTGATCAAGCTACTGCCAGTCCTATTGTGGCTAGAACAGATCTGAGCAATATACCCGGACTGTTAGCCATAGATCAAGTACTACCGGAAGAATCCCAAAAGGCAGAGAGTCAGAATACATTTGAAGAGACTGAATTAGAATTAAAAAAATGCTTTCCTTCTGATGAAACCTGTGAGAAACCAGTAGATGAAACCACGAAGTTAACTCAAACAAGTTCAACTGAGCAGCTTAATGTGCTTGAAACTGAAACAGAAGTATTGAACAAGGAAGCAGTGGAAGTCAAAGGAGGTGGTGATGTTTTAGAGCCTGTGTCCTCAGACTCCTTATCTACTAAAGATTTTGCCGCTGTGGAAGAAGTGGCCCCTGCCAAACCCCCAAGACACCTTACTCCAGAGCCTGATATAGTGGCTAGTACAAAGAAGCCTGTTCCAGCACGCCCACCTCCTCCAACTAATTTCCCACCTCCTAGACCCCCACCTCCTTCTCGACCTGCTCCACCACCAAGAAAAAGGAAAAGCGAATTGGAATTTGAGACTCTGAAAACTCCTGATATAGATGGCAAGTATTAATTGAGAAATCACTCTGTTGGTTGGGCACAGTGGCTCACGCCTGTAATCCCAGCACTTTGGGAGGCCAAGGCGGGCGGATCGCTTGAGCTCAGTTCAAGACCAGCCTGGGCAACATGGCAAAACCCCATCTGAGCAACAACAACAAAAAAAAATACAAAAGTTAGCTGGCCATGGTGGCACGCGCCTGTAGTCCCAGCTACTTGGGAGGCTGAGGCAGGAGAGTTGCTTGGGCCTGGGAGGCAGAGACTGCAGTGAGCCAAGGTCGCGCCATTGCACTCCAGCCTGGGTGATCAGAGTGAAATCTTGTCTCAAAAAAAAAAAAAAAGAGAGAAATAACTCTTTGTGGTGAAATTTTGGAGTTGAAACTGTTTACCTTTCTGCCTTTATTTCACTTTATTAAAAAACTCACTGGCAACCAAGTTATTAAAATTATTTCTTTAGTAATAGACAAAATGTAAAAATGTTTACATTGGTGAAAATTACTTTACTGTAATTGAACACTTCAGCAGACTTCAAACTTTCAATTCTGTTGCCATCTGAGAGAGAGTGGCATGGTGAAAAAAACTTGGGATTTGGAGACCTAAAGTCTGAATTCAAGTCCTGCATCTTTTTTTTGTATGAGCTGTATAGTCTTGAGGAAATTAAATAACTTGTTTGAACCATGGTTTCCCTGTATAGGAAATGAGAGTAATCAAGCCACTTTCCTCACAGGGTTGTTACAAGAATCAAACAAAAAGGGTTGTTATTATTGTTGTTATTATTATCATTGCAGTTCCCAAAGAGAATATTACGTCTGATTCTCTCCTAACCGCAAGCATGGCTTCAGAAAGTACGGTTAAGGATTCTCAGCCTTCTCTTGATTTGGCAAGTGCTACCAGTGGAGATAAAATAGTTACCGCCCAGGTTGGTGAATTAGTGTTCTGTTTCATATAGACTTTATCAGCTCCCTGCAACTGGCTGGTTTGTTGATGATTATTCTGTATTCTCCAGGCCAGATTTTTCTTTGTCCTCCAAACCTGACCCCCTTACTTCTCTTGATCAGCTCTGCTACATGCTAACTGGGTGAGCCTAGCAAGCTGTTTAGCATCTGGATCTCAGATGCCCCATCAATAAAATGGAGGAAAAGTCCTTCCTTGAGGGTTTGAAATGAGCTAAAATATGCCAAGTATCTAGCAGGTAATAGGTATTCAAAAAACGACAGATGCTACTATTTGTAATATTGTTGGTACTAATAAACACCAACTATAGTCTATGTTTGTCCTGTATTGGTCAGAATTGAAGACTTTTTTTTTTTATAATTTCCTTTTCCTAATCATAGAAAAACTTTATATGCTAGGAAGCGGGCTACACAAAAGACTTGATAACACTAATTTTACCACAGCCAGATTCTGGGACTCAGAGCTACTTACATGGTAGCTGTGGTGGGCCAGGCTACCACACTAGAATATAGGACACTATAGTCTTGTTATAGCCTTAGAGCAGGGGTCAGTAGTGGCCTGCTTTAGGAGGTTCCCCAAGCTAAGAATGTTCTTTACATTTTTAAAGGTTGTTTAAAATAAGAAGAAGAATATGTGACAGAGACTCTATATGAACAAAAATGCCTTAAATATTTACTGTATGGCTCTTTATAGAGAGAAGTTTTCTGACCCCTACCTTTGAGGTAGCCACATACAGTCCAGATTAATAGCAGTCTTAGTAGAGAAATGCCTTTTGGCCAGGTTCAAATAGAACATTTATTTGTTTTCAAGAATACTAAGACATTATTTCATGAGCAGCAATAGTTTTGGTTCCTAATGTTTTTCAGCATGCTGGGAAAAATGAAGGACTGAAACGTAATGTTCCATTTAGATTTTCAGCAGACTCCATTATCTGAATTATGAAATTCTTTAGAATTATATGTGGTAATAATTGAAAATTTATAGAAATTGATTCAGTCTAATTTCTGTTTATAAAATTATATTTCCAGGAAAATGGAAAAGCACCTGATGGGCAGACTGTAGCAGGTGAAGTGATGGGCCCTCAGAGACCTAGATCCAACTCTGGGAGAGAGCTTACTGATGAGGTAGAAATAGATTTTTTTGTTCTTGTTCTTAAAACATAAAGTACAAAAAACATAATGGGAAGATGAAAACGTTCTGGAGATGGATGGTAATGATGGTTGCATGACAATGTGAATGTACTTAATGACCCAGAACTATACACTTAAAAATGGTTAAAATGGTAAATTTTATGTTATGTGTAGTTTACCACAATTTAATTTTTTTTAAGTTTATTGCTGTTACACACAAAAAAAAATACAGAAGAAAAAATGAAAATTGAAGATTGTCTTTGTTGATATGCTGGATGTAGCATCTCTGACTTAAACTTGCCCTTTCACTGTGTTGCATAGTGGAATAAATATATTGAAAGCAAGGTTTATATTTTATAGAAAGTGGGCTTTAAAAGAACTTGATATTGAGGCCAGGTGTGGTGGCTCACTCCTGTAATCCCAGCACTTTGGGAGGCCAAGGTGGGCAGGTCACTTGAGGTCAGGAGTTTGAGACCAGCCTGGCCAACATGGCAAAACCCTGTCTCTACTAAAAATACAAAAATTAGCCAGGCATGGTGGTGTGCATCTGTAATCCCAGTTACCCAGAGGCTGAGGCAGGAGAATCACTTGAACCTGGGAGGCGGAGGTTGCAGTGAGCCGAGATCACACCACTGCACTCCAACCTGGGCGACAGAGCAAGACTCGGTCTCAAGAAAAAAAATTTAAAATAATATAATAATAAAAGAACTTGATATTATGAATATATGTTATACCAAAATAAATTTTTTTATTATTTTAATGGTTTCTTATCATTAAAACTTAGTATGCACCTATTAGCCAACTTATTCAGAATTAAATTTTACAGCAAAATCTTAGTTGATGTTTCTTTAAAACAATACATTTCTTAAAATATTGCACTTTGGAAAACAGTTTGGCAATTCCTCAAAATGTGAAACATAGTGTTACCATGACCCAGCAATTCCGTTCCTTTGTATATACCAATGAGAAATGAAAACATATGTTCACACAAAAAAATGTACACAAATATTCACAGCATCATCATTCATAACAGCCAGAAAGTGGAAACAACCCAAATGTTCATCACTGATTGGATGGATAAATAAAATGTGGTATATTCATACCATGTTATATTTTTTAGCAATTAAAAGGAATGAAGGGATAAAGTACTGATACATGCTACAACATGGATAAACCTTGAAAACATCATGTTAAGTTAAAGAAACCGACATAAAACGCCATATATTACAGGATTTGATTTATATGAAATGTATGGAATAGGCAAATCTATAGAGACAGAAAGTAGATTGGTATTTGCCAGGGGCTAAAAAGAAAGGGAAATGAGGTGTGACTGCTAATGGGTAGGGAATTTCCTTTTGGGGTGCAGAAAATATTCTGACTTAGTGGCAATAGTTGTACAACTCTGTGAATATACTAAAAACCATTGAATTATATGCTTTAAATGAGTGCATTTTGTGGCATGTGAATTATATCTCAATAAAAATGTTAGAAATTATTGTGTGCAGTATTGAATATATCTAAAAAGCCTTTAGCTTAAATTTTAGGGGATTTTGTAGACTCAAAAAGATAATTAAATTGCAGGTCATCTTGGTGTGATTGTTTTTTTTTTTTAACCTCAGGAAATTTTAGCCAGTGTAATGATTAAGAACCTGGATACTGGAGAAGAAATACCTTTGAGTCTTGCAGAAGAGAAACTACCAACAGGCATTAATCCTCTCACTCTACACATCATGAGAAGGACAAAAGAATATGTAAGGTATGGCCTAATGTTGTTATTTGTCATTTCTAGTATTTCAGAGTTGTTAAGATTTCTCTGTTAATGAACTATGACAACCCCTAATTTGGTTTCATTCAGTCTTTTTTCTTCTGGAATTAAAATAGAGTTAGATAATGTATGTATTCTTTAACTTTGCTCTTCATTATGACTGTACAGTTACTTGGGGAAAATAGTATAAATATTAAATCCCATAGCACTTAATTTCTCTTTTTTAATGATTTAAATTATACTTGAGACAATATAAAAACAGTGAGGCAGCCAGGCGTGATAGTTCATGCCTGTAATCCCAGCACTTTAGGAGGCTGAGGCAGCACTTGAATTCAGGAGTTAGAGAGGAGCCTGGGCAACATAGTGAGACCTCATCTCCACAAAAATAAATAAATAAATTAAAATAACAGAAAAATGAGGCTAAAAAGCTATGTAGAATGAACACTTAGTCTTCTGAAACCTTGCTTTAAGGATCATAAATTGTTTAAATATTTGTACTGTTTTTGTAGGATCAGAAAATGGCTTTAAAATGAGATGAGTGACTTTACTACGAGATGTATGTGGATCTATTGAATCATTTTGGTAAAAGCAGGAGCTATTTTATTAAATGTAATGCAGGATGTACTTAATGAGTGGGGAGGAAGATACCTACAAGTTACTTTATTATTTCCCTATAGCACATTTTGCCAAGCAAAAAGGTTTGTTTGTAGTAGGTTTTTCATAAATTTCTAAATTGCATTCATTTACATGTTGTACATTGAACCTTGCTTAAAGATTCTTTTCTTCAATTTCTGAAGCCTTTAAGTTGTCAGGTCCATCATTTAAATTAAAATTATATGGGCCGAGCACAGTGGCTCACACCCGTAATTCTAGCACTTTAGGAGGCCAAGGTGGGTGGATTGCCTGAGCTCAGGAGTTCGACACGAGCCTGGGCAACATGGTGAAACCCTGTCTCTACTAAAATACAAAAAATTAGCCAGACATGGTGGTGTGCGCCTATAGTCCCAAGTACTCAGGAGGCTGAGGCAGGAGAATTGCTTGAACCAGGGAGGCGGAGGTTGCAGTGAGCCAAGATTGTGCCACTGCACTGCAGCTTGGGCGACAGAGCAAGACTCCATCTCCTAAATAAATAAATAAATAATTAAAATTATGTAAAGCTTATTAGCGTAGTTTTTCTTATTCTGATTAACTGGTTATATAGTAAGTATAAACAGATTTTTAAGAAGTATAGAAGAAATGGCTTCTTTTAAAACAACTTCCCCTTCTTACAGTAATGACGCGGCACAGTCAGATGATGAAGAGAAGTTACAGTCTCAGCCAACAGATACTGATGGTGGAAGGTTAAAACAGAAAACGTGAGTTACAGTACATCCCTTTTCTTCATTTCAAGTTTTTATTTAAAAAAATATGAGAACTACCATACTATTTTAAATCATGCTCCATGTAGTTTTTATGTCTACCCACCACCATTCCTCCCTGTCCCTCGCTGATGGGTTATGAAGTTGTATTGATTAGTTTTAAAGCATCTGGGCTGGGCGCAATGGCTCACGCCTATAATCCCATCACTTTGGGAGGCCAAGGCAGGCAGATCTCCTGAGATCAGGGGTTCAAGACCAGCCTGGCCAACATGGTGAAACCCCATCTCTACTAAAAATACAAAAATTAGTTGGGCATGATGACAGGTGCCTGTAATCCCAGCTACTTGGGAGGCTGAGGCAGGAGAATCACTTGAACCCAGGAGGTGGACTCCACTGCACTCCAGCCTGGGCGACAGAGCAAGACTCCCCCTCAAAAAAAAAATGGTAATAATAATAAAGCATCTGACATACAGAAAATGACCAGTAAGTGTTGCACCATACTTGTGTTATTTTTCTACCAGTAGGTAGGTACGAAAAGTGTTAGTAGAAGAACATGATTGTCCTTGAAGTTGTCTTTTCCCTTTCTCTTTATCTCTGCAATCCTATTTGTCTTTCTAAACCCAACTATAATGAGATTCCTCCTGACTACTACAGTCCATGGCAATTTTCTTTCTTTTCTCAATTTTGGGAATACCTGTAGTCTATAACTTACTTTTTCCCTTTACAATATGTTATCTTAAACTGTTTTCAGACAAATACACATTAAACAATCAAAGCGTATGTTGCAAAAGGATTCTGATTATGCCATCCTTTGTTTCCCCTACAAACTTCTAGATCAATGGTGGGCCTGTACATTTTGTTTGATTATACACAAGTCACTAAATTGATAATAATTAACTCTAAGGTCCAAAGTGAATTATCCACTTGAGTCCTTTTCCTAGTGTGTATCAAAGAAAGCATTGAGAATTTTTAGGAAAGATGTACCTAAAATGCAGGCATATGATAGCACCTTAGATATTTGGAACTTGGCCATCTAGTAGTTGCAGTTATTGGGAACCTGAGAATAAGGAATTACTACAATTATTCTGGGACAGATAAACATCCAGAAGAGATGTCACATAGTCCATGCACTAAAGCTCATTATTTTTCTAAGAGAAAAGTTCCTCAGGTTTATTCAAAGCCATTATGCTTATTTCTTACATCATTTTTTTTAAAACTCTGTTCAGTGTCTGAGCTTACTGCAAAATAGAAGCAGCAAACTGTGACAACATGTAAGTTGACACATAAGAATGTCAGGTAATCAGAAAAATGATAAAATAACTCATAATATAGGTGGGTGCAGTGGCTCACACCTGTAATCCTAGCATTTTGGGAGACCAAAGTAGGAGGATCACTTGAGCCCAGGAGTTTGAGAGCAGCCTGAGCAACACAGGTAGACTCACTCTTTACCAAAAAATTTTAAAAATTAGCCAGGCATGGTGGCACACACATGTGGTCTCAGCTACTCAGGAGGCTGACATGGGAGAATTGCTTGAGCCTGAGGGATCGAGGCTGCAGTGAGCCGTGATCACACCACTGCACTTCGGCCTGGGTGACAGAGCAAGACCTTGTCCCCCACACCCCCCACCAAAAAAAAAAAACTCATAGCACAATCATTGTACCACAGTGCTTTTCAACCTTTTCTTATGCCATTGACACACAGAGAACATAATAGTATTTGCACTGAATGTTGGGGTAAGCTGGCCATCAGCTGATGGCCAGAGAAGATTGGCCCAGGCTTCCCTGGGCCCTGCCCTGTTGCCTTGAAGGCTGAGTGGGGAACCAATAGTATGGCCCACCTGCAATGCATTAGAAAGGCTCTGAATGTATTAAAGAACCAAAATGATGGTAACGATCTTATCCATCAAGGAATGAAATTTAGGGAACATTAAGTGCCATTTAAGAAGGCATAAAAGTAGATACTTTAGAACTATTACCATCTGAAATAATTAAAATGTCTGTTTTCTTGGCTTTTAAAGTGGTAGTAAACTTATAATTATCCAGAAAATACAGCTTCAGAGTTATAGGTAGCAGAGACCTTATAATGGCTTTAAAAATGGTTTATCATCTGTGTTTTCTGGTTATCAAAAGAAATACAGAAATATGTAAAATAGAAAATGAAAGTTTCTCATAATCTCAGCCCCAGAAATCAGTTTTGTTTTTTTTTTTATTATACTTTAAGTTTTAGGGTACATGTGCACATTGTGCAGGTTAGTTACACATGTATACATGTGCCATGCTGGTGCGCTGCACCCACTAACTCGTCATCTAGCATTAGGTATATCTCCCAATGCTATCCCTCCCCACTCCCCCCACCCCACCACAGTCCCCAGAGTGTGATATTCCCCTTCCTGAGTCCATGTGATCTCATTGTTCAATTCCCACCTATGAGTGAGAATATGTGGTGTTTGGTTTTTTGTTCTTGCGATAGTTTACTGAGAATGATGATTTCCAATTTCATCCATGTCCCTACAAAGGACATGAACTCATCATTTTGTATGGCTGCATAGTATTCCATGGTGTATATGTGCCACATTTTCTTAATCCAGTCTATCATTGTTGGACATTTGGGTTGGTTCCAAGTCTTTGCTATTGTGAATAATGCCGCAATAAACATACGTGTGCATGTGTCTTTATAGCAGCATGATTTATAGTCCTTTGGGTATATACCCAGTAATGGGATGGCTGGGTCAAATGGTATTTCTAGTTCTAGATCCCTGAGGAATCGCCACACTGACTTCCACAATGGTTGAACTAGTTTACAGTCCCACCAACAGTGTAAAAGTGTTCCTATTTCTCCACATCCTCTCCAGCACCTGTTGTTTCCTGACTTTTTAATGATTGCCATTCTAACTGGTGTGAGATGATATCTCATAGTGGTTTTGATTTGCATTTCTCTGATGGCTAGTGATGATGAGCATTTTTTCATGTGTTTTTTGGCTGCATAAATGTCTTCTTTTGAGAAGTGTCTGTTCATGTCCTTCGCCCACTTTTTGATGGGGTTGTTTGTTTTTTTCTTGTAAATTTGTTTGAGTCCATTGTAGATTCTGGATATTAGCCCTTTGTCAGATGAGTAGGTTGCGAAAATTTTCTCCCATTTTGTAGGTTGCCTGTTCACTCTGATGGTAGTTTCTTTTGCTGTGCAGAAGCTCTTTAGTTTAATTAGATCCCATTTGTCAATTTTGTCTTTTGTTGCCATTGCTTTTGGTGTTTTAGACATGAAGTCCTTGCCCATGCCTATGTCCTGAATGGTAATGCCTAGGTTTTCTTCTAGGGTTTTTATGGTTTTAGGTCTAACGTTTAAATCTTTAATCCATCTTGAATTGATTTTTGTATAAGATGTAAGGAAGGGATCCAGTTTCAGCTTTCTACATATGGCTAGCCAATCCAGAAATCAGTTTTAATAGCATGGTGTATTCGCCATAGAATTTTTTTTTCTCGTAAAAGCGGGGCTACTCTATGTCTATAGTTTGTCAACTTGCTGTTTTTTGTTTTTTTTGTTTTTTTGGTTTTTTTTTAGAAAATCAAATATATCATAGACATCTCTTTATATCAGCACTAATAATATATATATTGTAGTCTTTCTGAGAGCCAGATATGAGAGTTAAGTGCTTGGGATATAACAGTTAAGACATTAAGAGGCCAGGCGTGGTGGCTCATGCCTGTAATCCAGCACTTTGGGAGGCCGAGGCAGGTGGATTACCTGAGGTCAGGAGTTCACGACCAGCCCGGCCAACATGGTGAAAGCCCATCTCTACTAAAAATACAAAAAATTAGCTGGGCATGGTGGTGGGCGCCTGTACTCCTAGCTACTCGGGAGGCTGAAGCAGGAGAATTGCTTGAACCCAGGAGGCAGAGATTGCAGTGAGCTGAGATCATGCCTTTGCACTCCAGCCTGGGCATCAAGAGTGAAACTCTGTCTCAAAAAAAAAAAAAAAAAAAAAAAACATTCAGGATGGGTGCAATGGCTCATGCTTGTAATCCGAGCACTTTGGGAGGCCAAGGCAGGTGGATCACTTGAGTCCAGGAGTTCAAGACCAGCCTGGGCAACATGGCAGGACCCCGTCTCTACAAAAAATACAAAAATTAGCCAGGCATGGTGGTGTGTGCCTGTAATCCCAGCAACTCAGAAGGCAGAGGCAGGTGGGTCTATTGATCCTGGGATGTCAAGGC
Organism: Homo sapiens; assembly: GCF_000001405.40. Taxonomy (NCBI): domain Eukaryota; kingdom Metazoa; phylum Chordata; class Mammalia; order Primates; family Hominidae; genus Homo; species Homo sapiens. Next base: position 118,402,686 of record NC_000023.11, read on the forward strand.
TGCAGTGAGCCAAAATCATGCCACTGCACTCCAGTCTGGGCAACAGAGCAAGACTCTGTCTCAATTAAAAACAATTTATAAAAAAGACATTCGTGGTCTCTGCCTTCATAGAACTTCTGTTAAATGGGAGAAATAGGCATTAAACATGTAATTGCACAGATAAGTCTAGCTACATTTGTAGTGATTGCTATAAAAGAAAAGTTCCAGGTGCTGTGGAGATATTACAGTAGTTCCCTCTTATCCATGGGGTATACGTTCCAAGATCCCCAGTGGATACCTGAAATCACAGATAGTACCAGACTCTGTATCTACTGTGTTTTTTCTATCTGATAACCAAGAAGACTACTAAGTAATAAGTGGGTATCATCTATAGCGTGGAAACACTGGACAGAGGGATGATTCACATCCCAGGTAGGATGGAGCAGGGTGGTGTGAGATTTCATCATGCTACTCAGAATGGCACACGATTTAAAACTTACAAATTGTTTTATTTCTGGGATTTTCCATTTAATATTTTTGGACCATGGTTGACTGGGGTAACTGAAACCATGTAAAGTCAAACTTGGGATAAACGGGGACTATGTAACAAAAACTCTGTCTAAAGTTAAAAAGGCCATTTTGAGAGAGCTGTTTGATCTGAGACCTAAAAAGTGAGTGGGAATTAGCCAAGGGAGAGGTGTTCCAGGCAGAAATAACCACACATGCAAAGCCCCTGAGGTTACTATAAGAGCTTGGCACATTTAAAAAGCTGAGGTTTGCCTCATTAATTTTATTGTATTTCATACCAGCACTTATTTATCTGTTCCTCTATTGACAAAAAAAAATTTAGTTTATTTCCACTTTTTGACTATTCTAAACAGTGTTACATTGAACTTCTCTGTATATATAACTTAACAACTTTTAAAAATACTGTCCCTCATGAGCTCCCATGAATCAGTAAAAATTTACTCCTGATTTGTATTTCTTTTGGTTTTAAATATCATCATGTACTGTGCATTGCTTTTTGTAATCTTAATATATGAAATCTGAGACTTAGCTAATTGAAAATGCAATAAGTAAGTCCTATTTATGGAAGCTTGAGATGCATACTTAGTTTACCTCGTATTTGGGAATACCTACTAGGAAAACTCAGCCTAATTTTATTACATGCACCTACCCAAACTGAAAGAGAAGGGACAAGGGACCATCTTAAGCTACCAAAGCATTCTATTTTGTGAGGAAATATCTCTTTACTCTTTATTGGTAAAATGTGTTTTTAAGAACAGCTCTCTAAAGCAGCCTTCTCAAAGCAGTTCTCACCCCCAGACTCTCTAAATTGGATTATCTGGGGATGGAGCTGAAGTACCTACACTTTAAACACTCCCCTCTCCACACTACCTCTGCCAATCAATTTTTATTCACCATTGAAAACCAAAGCTCTAGAATATATGAATATTGTAAATTGGGGGAAAGGGTGTATGTTTCCTTTGCCATATTGACTTGAATATGTTTATTCCATAGAATAAGGGATTTGGAACTCAAACACCTATTATTTATGTTTAAAAAAGTTATTTCAAAGTAGTGTACTTTATCAGTCACAGCTGATACATTTGTCTGCAAATTATTGGACTTTTACAGTTAACTGAGTTGATACTTTTTTCATTTTTGTTAAGGACTCAACTAAAGAAGTTTCTTGGAAAATCAGTAAAGAGAGCAAAGCACCTTGCTGAGGAATATGGTGAACGTGCTATAAATAAAGTTAAAAGTGTTAGAGATGAAGGTGAGTTAAAACAGAACATTTCAACTAAACATTCAATTAATTTGTAATCGTCTAAATTTAGCCTGTAGTTTGTAAGAAGCATTCTATTTAAAATAGTAAACCTTTATAGCTGACATCTTAGTATTTCAATAAATAAGGTACTCTATGACTTAATTTTATGAGTGTGAAGAAAAATGGATTTATACATATTTTGTGACTTTTGACAGTCTGAAATGGTTGAGTGTTAAATAATCAGTTATGAATTAGTTTCGTTTGTTTGTTTGTTTGTTTATTTGAGATGGAGTCTTACTCTGTTGCCCAGGCTGGAGTGCAGTGGCGCGATCTCGGCTCACTGCAAGCTCCACCTCCCAGGTTCACACCATTCTCCTGCCTCAGCCTCCCGAGTAGCTGGGACTACAGGCGCCTGCCACCACACCTGGCTAATTTTTTGTGTTTTTAGTAGAGACGGGGTTTCACTGTGTTAGCCAGGATGGTCTCGATCTCCTGACCTCGTGATCTGCCTGCCTCGGACTCCCAAAGTGCTGGGATTACAGGCGTGAGCCACTGCACCCGGCCATAAATTAGTTTTTTAAGGCTATTTGGTTTTGGGTTTTTCTTTTTTCTTTTTTTTTGAGAAAGTCTTGCTCTGTCGCCCAGACTGGGGTGGAATGGCATGATCTTGGCTCACTGCAACCTCCGTCTCCTGGGTTCAAGCCATTCTCCTGCCTCAGCTTACCAAGTAGCTGGGATTATAGGCACACACCACCACACCTGGCTAATTTTTGTATTTTTAGCAGAGACAGGGTTTTGCCATGTTGGCCAGGCTGGTATTGAACTCCTGACCTCAGGTGATCCACCCACTTCTACCTCCCAAAATGCTGGAATTACAGGCATGAGCCACCACGTCTGGCCAAGGCTATTTTTTTCTTTTTTGGAGATGGAGTCTCGCTCTGTCACCCAGGCTGGAGTACAGTGGCACGATCTCGGCTCACTTCAACCTCTGCCTCCTGGGTTCAAACAATTCTCCTGCCTCAGCCTCCCAAGTAGCTGGGATTACAGGCACCTGCCACCACACCTGGCTAATTTTTGTATTTTTAGTAGGGACAGGGTTTCACCATGTTGCCCAAGCTGGTCTCGCACTGATGACCTCAGGTGATCTGCCCACCTCAGCCTCTCAAAGCTCTGGGATTACAAGCGTGAGCCACCGCGCCTGGCCAGCTATTTGGTTTTTACAAATACAGTCAGTCCTCCATATCCATGGGTTCCACATGGAGGGATTCAAACAACCACAGATAGAAAAATATTTTTAAAAATATATAAAAAATAACAATGCAACAATAAAACATAATAGAAAAAATAATATAACAACTATTTATATAACATTTACACTGCAGTAGATATTATAAGTAATCTAGAGATTATTTAAAGTATACAGGGCGAGGCATGGTGGCTCATGCCTATAATTCCAGTACTTTGAGAGGCCAAGACAGGAGAACCGCTTGAGGCCAGGAGTTCGAGACTAGCCTGGTCAAACATAGTGAGACCCTGTCTCTACTAAAAAATAAAAATTAGCTTTGTGTAGTGACGTGTGCCTATAGTCCCAGCTACTCAGAAGGCCAAGGAGCAGGATTGCTTGAGCCCAAGAGTTCAGGGCTGCAATGAGCTATGATTGCACCATTGCACTCCAACCTGAGACCCTGTCTTTAAAAAAGAAAGCAAGTACGTGAAAGGATGTGCATAGGTTATATGCAAATACCATGCCATTTTATGTTAAGGGATTTGAGCATTCGCAGATTTTGGTACCCATAGCAGGTCCTGCCATGGATACTGGGGAATAACTGTATTTTCAAAATTAGGTAGGGCTGGGTATGATGGCTCATATCTGTAATCCCAACACTTTGGAAGGCTAAGGCAGGAGGATCACTTAAGCCCAGGAGTTGGAGACCAGCTTGGGCAACATAGTGAGACCCCTGTTTGTATAAAAATAAATAAATAAATTTTTTTAATTAGGTAAATTTTCTAAATTTGCACATATCTTAACCTCCTATGCTTTTGTCATTATTGTACTCATTTGTTTTATTTAATGAAACTTACATAGTACTTATTCAGTGCCTGGGACTGTACTAAGCACTTTTACCTGTATTAATTCATTTAATCCCATAGAAACCCTATGAGGTAAGTACCATCATTATCCCCATTTGATAGATGAGAAAACTAAGAGGCATCGAAAGTTGAGTAACTTGCCTGTGGTCACACAGATAATAAATGACAGAGCTGGATTTGAACCTGGCAGTCTGGCATTAGACTCCATGTTTTTAACCAGTATGTTATATAATAAATAAATTTTGCTCTTCCATTTAATGAATTTTCTTGGTATGCAGGAAATATGAAATTATGATAATAGCAATATCTACATTAGCTAGTAGTGATTTCTGTTGCTTTTCTGTTCAGTGTTTCATACTGATCAAGATGATCCTTCATCAAGTGATGATGAAGGAATGCCATACACAAGACCAGTTAAATTCAAAGCAGCACACGGTTTCAAAGGACCTTATGATTTTGATCAGATCAAAGTGGTGCAAGATCTTAGTGGTGAACATATGGTAAGCAACTTTTTCATTTTTTAGGATTGATACTGTTTTTGTTAAGAGAAATACTTTGGCTTCTACAAAACTATCTCTTTCTATGTATGTAACTTTGCTAGCCTGACTCAAGAACGGGGAATTTATGTTAACATGATTTAATGAATAGGTAATGCAAAGTCTATCTCTGAATTATTCCAGAAGTGACTTATCGGCCAGGTGCGGTGGCTCACGCCTGTAATCCCAGCACTTTGGGAGGCCAAGACAGGCGGATCACTTGAGGTCAGGAGTTCGAGACCAGCCTGACCAACATGGCGAAACCCTGTCTCTACGAAAAATATAAAAATTAGCCAAGCATGGTGGCGGGTGCCTGTAATCCCAGCTACTTGGGAGGCTGAGGCAGGAGAATTGCTTGAACCCAGGAGGCAGAGGTTGTGGTGAGTCGAGTTTGTGCCACTGCACTCCAGCCTGGGCTACAGAGTAAAAAACTCCGTCTCAAAAAAAAAAAAAAAAGAAAGAAAGGAGTTATTGAATAAGTAAACTCTCAGGCTGTATCACTAAGAAAGCTATGCAAAGGCACCAAACTTTAAAGCAGTTAGATTAGAGGGTGTAACTTTGAAAAATGTTTAAAATGCTCCCAACCATATTTTAAATAATTTACAAAATATATCAGAAGCTCAATATATGTTGTAAAGTGAGATATTCAGCTAAAACAAGGAGAGAGGTAAAAGTTCAAGTTCTCCTTTAGAGTTCAAATGTACCAATGTAGATGCAATTGCACAAACTGTATTGTGGTTAACCCCTGAAAATGCTAGGAACACAAAGAAGGCAGTGATAAAATTTAGATCTGAATAAATAATACTGTGCCCTTGATCAGGGAATCTGTTTACATTTTAAGTCTAAAAGTTGGCTTAACTAGAATGAAGCAACCATAAATATATTGGATGGCAACCAAATTCAAATTTAAATTTTGATGTTTACAGATAAATGTTTGAGTTGATTTTAGTATTTTCCTTAAGGAAATTGATGAATTTCCTAGTACTGTATTGACTCGTTATTTCCTGTTTTAAATAAAATCTCATCGTAGTAGGCTCCAAATGACTCATTTTTAATACACTTGAATTTTGTAGAAGTGAATGGTTATTTCAATAAATGGGCTGTGGCATAATCTTTTTGATACATCTGAATGTGTATATAATAGTATTTCTTGTAATAAGATTTGGTCTTTCCAACTTAAGAGGTTCATGTTCTTTCTCCCTGCTCCTCCACCCCCACCACACACACATACTTTCCTATTGTTCTCAGTATCTAGAGATTCTGGTCATATACTTTGAAACCTTGTTTCTAGAGAGAAAAGTAGGATGAGACCACACCACTCCAATACAACTACCTTTTTTTTTTTTTCTTTTTGTGGCAGAGTCTCGCTCTGTCACCCAGGCTGGAGTGCAGGGGCGGGATCTCAGCTCACTGAAGCCTCTGCCTCCTGGGCTCAAGCAGTCCTCCCTCCTCAGCCTCCTGAGTAGCTGGGACCACAGGTGCGCACCACCATGCCTGGCTAATTTTTTGTATTTTTTGTAGAGATGGGGTTTCGCCATGTTGCCCAGGCTAGTCTCAAACTCCTGAGCTCAAGTGATCCACCCGCCTGGACCTCCCAAAGTGCTGGGATTACAGGCGCGTGCCACCACGCCCGGCCCATTCCAAAACTGTAATACTTCTAAGTGCTGGATGCTATACGGGTCACTGCCAAGGTGGGCTTTAGTCTTCCTCAGTCCTGCTCAGTTGTTAGTGCTATGCTGAGGGCTCTGCCACCCATCTTTACGTTCAGCTAGGGGACTAAGATCCCCAGCTAGGATTTGTGCTTTTCCAATGAAGATTTCTGACCACTTTAGAACTCCCATTTCTGTTAATATGTGGACAGGGTTTGAGTTCTTGAAGTTGTTAGTTTAGATTATGGAACACTACAACTATCTTACCCTACCTTTCTTGTGAAAGTCTACTTTTGTGGTATTATAGCACCATTGAACTTTTGGACTTAAGTAGTGTTAGCAATTTGAGCATTATCTTAGTATATGTAATTTGGCGTAATTTTAAACTTTGGCTTTAAAGTAATGTCTCTATTTTATTTTATTTATTATTATTTTTAGATAGAGTTTCGCTTTTGTTGCCCAGGCTGGAGTGCAATGGCGCGGTCTTGACTCACTGCACCCTTCACCTCCCAGGTTCAAGTGATCCTCCTGCCTCAGCCTCCTAAGTGGCTGGGATTACAGGCGCCCGCCACCATGCCCAGCTAATTTTTGTATTTTTAGCAGAGATGGGGTTTTACCATGTTGGCCAGGCTGGTCTCGAACTCCTGACCTTAGGTGATCCACCTGCCTCAGCCTCCCAAAGTGCTGAGATTACAGACGTGAGCCACCATGCCAGGCCAAAAGTAAAGTCTCTAAAGGTGTAAAGTATTAACTTTGAAACTTCTTTTGTTTTCATAGGGAGCTGTTTGGACCATGAAATTTTCTCACTGTGGCCGATTACTTGCCTCAGCTGGACAAGACAATGTAGTGAGAATATGGGCTTTAAAAAATGCTTTTGACTATTTCAACAATATGCGAATGAAATACAATACTGAAGGTATTTTTCATCTATTTAAAAATCTACAGAAACCTGAAGTTTTTACATTTTAGGTATACTGATGCCCTACTTTTCTGGCAGTCATTTGCAGCAACCACTACTTATGATAATAGCCAAAAACTTGAAAGTAAGACAGACGTCAGTGGCAAAAAGTCTCTAAACCCAATGAAAAGAGCTGCCACAAAGCTTTTGATTTATTCCTTTCCAGGTGTAGTGTGTAGTTAATTTCATCAACTATTGAGAACATGATATTTGGTTTCCTCTGGCAACCTTCAGTTCTATCCTAGGTTAAAATAGAATTGCTAATTAAACTGGAAAAAGAATGAAAATCATATATATCCAGTAAGTAAAAATGATTAAGGAAAAAGTCATGGAAAATGAATGTGAATTGTCAATATATCAAGGGATATATGAAAAAATGTTGAAAAGAGAAGCCTCAGAACATTATGTACACACTGATTACAACTATGTACAGATATTTATGTATCATGGTGTTATCAGGAAAGTATGTAGAACTGATGTAAATTTGGGCTTTAAGTTCATGGGATTCTTTTCTAATAACTATTTAACTGTGTAATAAGTTTTTTCCACACCCTCCCCGCCATCAAGTAAGGCTGCAAACGAGAAGTAAAGCATAGGAGAAAGGAGAAGAAAGGTGGCCATGGGTGAGAGTATATAGTCAAAGCACCAATTTGAGGAACATAAAAGTCTAGGGAGATTCACTAAACTGGCAAGCTAGACCTCATATACTTGAGTAAATCCTGTGAGTATTGCTTGCATTATGTTTCAGTACTTAGTTGAAGATGATAATAATTTGACAAGAAGTTAAACTGTGTTTACTATATGGTGAGTTTTTCTAGTCCTAGCTGTGTGTCATTTCTTTTACTGCCCTGCCAAGAGCAAAAAGACTATTTTCAGTGGCCCTTGAGACTAACCCCAGCCCTGAACCTTTCTGCTCCTTTATTGTTCCTCTTGCTACTTGTCATGATTAATAAGAATGTGTTCTATTCGAATACTGAGGATTTAACGGTATTTTGTTTACTAAAGTAGGGAAATGGTTAAGCCATTTTATGAAGTTTTTATGTAAAAATGATTGAAACAAATATTTTGGCTCCTATAGGGTTATGCCTCAATTGTTAGTATTTTTCTAGAATACTGTATTCTCTAACTATTAGACATTGCTGTGTCATTACTTCTGGATGTTATATTTTGGTGGGTCTGTGTGTGTACATACATGCCTTTTTTACAATTATTATGTTGTTTTTAGGACGTGTGTCCCCATCACCCTCTCAGGAAAGTCTAAGTTCATCAAAATCGGATACAGATACAGGGGTATGCTTATTGTTTTATGGTTACTCTGTTTTCAGGTATGATTTAATTTGTTTACCATAAAGTATTTTTGTGTATCAGAAATTACAGTTGCATGAAGACACTTAATATAAAATTAAGATGTATCATTAGAACCAAGAGTTTCTTCAATTAGAAGAAATTAGCAAATGAAAATTTTTGATATTTAAAGGTTGCCAGACAGTGAATACTATTGCTCAGGGTACTATACCACTAATGTAAACTTAAATAATACAAAAGCCCCTCCCCTCAAATCCATGTTAGACATTTTTAAAATAATGATAATAGATACCCAAATAAGAGGTAATTAAGGAAAGAAAAAATATATTTAAGTATTTTAATTTTCTAATCTTCTTGGTTTAATAAACACTTTATCACAGTTTCAGATAAGGTATCTTAATGATTTTCATTTGGTTTTAGAGCTGGAAGGTTAAATATAACCAATTTTAAACCTATAAAGCAGAATACACAATATTGTACTAAGTTGTCACCTGTGTTTTTTGTGTGTTGCATTAGGTAAGGGTGATATAAACAAGAGAACCTAAAATGTCTACCTGCTCAACAGTATTTTCCTGAGATTTCATTGGCTCCAGTATTTGACACTACGTTTTCTCCTTCTCCTGGCTTTCCATGGTTCTGTTTCCCTTTGTTCTCTTATACTCCCACTGTTTCTTCTTCCATCTCCTTACATTTACTGTTTCTCAGGGTCTGTTCTTGGCCATTTTCAATAGACATATTTATGCTCTTCTTCTAGTCCTGAACTGGCTTTAGATCTGTAATTCTTTGTTTACTTTCAGTAACTTTATGATTTTTAAACAAGAACATTATTGTGCTTGCTGCCTTTTCACATAATATATAGGATCTCTTTATCTACATGTAATCCAACCACATCAACTAATAGGTCCAAAACTAAACTCCTTCAACAAATGTTTTCTGAGTGCCTGCTATATGTGGCAGACACTGCTACATGCTATAAAATCAAATGAGACATATTCTCTGTCCTCAGGGATCTTGTGAACTAGTGAAATGGGTAAACTCACAATTACAGTATTAGATGGTGATATTCTACAGAAGGTACTACACAAAAATAGGTTAGCCTTATAAATCACAGTGTTAGGAATAGTTTCCTGGAAACTTGTTATTTGAGCTAGGATTTAGCTATATGAGAGAAGAAAGGAAGGAGCGTGTCAGACCCAGGGACTAGCAAGTGCAAAAGCATGGAGGCTAGTATGTTAAAGGTACTACAAGGAATTACACATGGCTGGGAAAGGTGCATTTGTGAGATTGGTGGGAGAGGTAGGCAGGAGTGGAATTTTAAATGACTTTTTGTGATGAACCAAGATGGAACTTTATCCTGCAAACTACTGGGAGCAGGGTGGGGCTTTGAAGGATTTCACTCAGAGGCATAATTACCATGTTCAGATTTTTGTTTTAGAAAGAGTATTCTGGTAGTATTGTGAAGGATAGACTAGGTGGGGGCTTCAGGTTTGAGACAGGGAGACCATGTAAGAGGCTATTAACCCAGAGAAATGGTTACTTCCGATTTTGATGATTATGATACCAGTAGAGCTAGAAACTGTAAAGATAAGCTGAATTGAGAGATGTAAAATAAGTCTAATTTGTAGGACTTGGTGACTGACTAGCTGGGGTAGTAAAAGTGAGTAGCCTGGGATGAATCACAGGTGTCTAGCTTGCGTAGTTAGCTACATGGTAATGGTCACTCATAGAAATATTTTTTATATTTTAATTTTTCCATAAGTTATTGGGGTACAGGTGGTATTTGGTTACATAAGTTCTTTAGTGATTTTGGTGCACCCATCACCCAAGGAGTATACACTGCACCTATTTGTAGTCTTTTATTCCTCACCCTCCTCCCACTCTTCCTCCCAAGTCCCCAAAGTCCATTGTATCATTCTTACATCTTTGCGTCCTCATAGTTTAGCTCCCACATATCAGTGAGAACATACAATGTTTGGTTTTCCATTCCTGAGTTACTTCTCTTAGAATAATAGTCTCCAATCTCATCCAGGTTGCTGCAAATGCTGTTAATTCATTCCTTTTTATGGCTGAGTAGTATTCCATCGTGTATACATACCAGTTTCTTTATCCACTCGTTGATTGATGGGCATTTGGGTTGGTTCCACGTTTTTGCAATTCCAAATTGTGCTGCTATAAACGTGCGTGTGCAAGTATCTTTTTCTAATAATGACTTCTTTTCCTCTGGGTAGATACCCAATAGTGGGATTGATGGATCAAATGTTAGTTCTACTTTTATTTCTTTAAGGAATCTCCACGCTGTTTTCCACAGTGGTTGTATTAGTTTACATTCCCACTAGCAGTGTAGAAGTGTTCCCTGATCACCACATCCACGCCAACATCTATTTTTTGATTTTTTATTATGGCCATTCTTGCAGGAGTAAGATGGTATCACATCGAGGTTTTGATTTACATTTCCCTGATTATTGTGATGTTGAGCATTTTTTCATACGTGTGTTGGCCATTTGTATATTTTTTTGAGAATTGTCTATTTATGTCCTTAGCCCACTTTTTGATGGACTGTTTTTTTCTTACTGATTTGTTTGAGTTTGTTGTTCATTCTGGATATTAGTTAGTCCTTAGTTGGATGTATAGATTGTGAAGATTTTCTCCCACTCTGTGGGTTGTCTGTTTACTCTGCTGACTGTTCCTTTTGCTGTGCAAAAGCTCGTTAGTGTAATTAAGTCCCAACTATTTATTTTTATTGCATTTGCTTTTGGGTTCCTGGTCATGAAATCCTTGCCTAAGCCAATGTCTAGAAGGGTTTTTCCAATGTTATCTTCTAGAATTTTTATGCTTTCAGGTCTTAGATTCGAGTCCTTAATCCCTCTTGAGTTGATTTTTGTATAAAGTGAGAGATGAGGATCCAGTTTCATTATCCTACACGTGGCTAGCCAGTTATCTCAGCACCATTTGTTGAAAAGGGTGTCCTTTCCCCACTTTTTATGTTTTTGTTTGCTTTGTCAAAGATCAGTTGGCTGTAAATATTTGGGTTTATTTCTGGGTTCTCTATTGTTTTCCATTGGTCTGTGTGCCTATGTTTATACCAGTACCATACTGTCTTGGTGACTATGGCCTTATAGTTTGAAATCAGTAAGTGTGACGCCTCCGTATTTGTTCTTTTGCTTAGTCTTGCTTTGGCTGTGTGGGCTCTTTTGGTTCCATATGAATTTTAGAATTGTTTTTTCTAATTCTGTGAAGAATGATGGTGGTATTTTGATGGGGATTGCGTTGAACTTGCGATTGCTTTTTTTTTTTTTTTTTTTATGTTCCATGGTTTTGTGTTTTTTTTTTTCCATTACTGGATATATACCCAAAGGACTATAAATCATGCTGCTATAAAGACACATGCACACGTATGTTTATTGTGGCACTATTCACAATAGCAAAGTCTTGGAACCAACCCAAATGTCCAACAATAATAGACTGGATTAAGAAAATGTGGCAGATTGCTTTTTGAAGTATGGCCATTTTCACAATATTGATTCTACCCATCCATGAGCATGGGATGTGTTTCCATTTGTTTGTGTCGTCCATGATTTCTTTCAGCAGCGTTTTGTAGTTTTCCTTGTAGATGTCTTTCGCCTCTTTGGTTAGGTATATTCCTAAGTATTTTATTTTTTTGCAGCTTTTGTAAAAGTGATTGAGTTATCGATTTGATTCTTCGCTTGGTTGCTGTTGGTGTATACAAGAGCTACTGATTTGTTTACATTAATCTTGTATCTGGAAACTGTGCTGAATTCTTTTATCAGTTCTGAGCTTTCTGGAGGAGTCTTTAGGGTTTCCGAGGTAAATGATCATATCGTCAGCAAACAGTGACAGTTTGACTTTCTCTTTACCCCATTTGAATGCCCTTTATTTCTTTCTCTTGTCTGATTGCTCTGGCTAGGACTTCCAGTACTGTGTTGAAGAGGAGTGGTAAGAGTGGGCATCCTTGTCTTGTTCCAGTTCTCAGAGGGAATGCTTTCAATTTTTCCCCATTCAGTATTATGTTGGCTGTGGGTTTGTCATAGATGGCTTTTATTACACTGAGATATGTCACCTGTATGCTGATTTTGCTGAGAGTTTTAATCATAAAGGATGCTGGATTTTGTCAAATGCTTTTTCTGCATCTATTGAGATGATCATGTGATTTTTGTTTTTAATTCTGTTTATGTGGTGTATCACATTTATTGACTTGCATATGTTAAACCATCCCTGCATCCCTGCTATGAAACCCACTTGAACTGGGTGGATTATCTTTTCGATATGTTGTTGGATTTGGTTAGCTAGTATGTTGTTAAGGATTTTAGCATCTATGTTCATCAGGGATATTGGTCTGTAGTTTTCTTTTTTGGTTGTGTCCTTTCCTGATTTTGGTATTAGTGGGTGATGCTGGCTTCATAGAATGAATTAGGGAGGATTCCCTCTTTTTCTATCTTGTGGAATAGTGTCAAAAGAATTGTTACCAATTCTTCTTTGAATGTCTGGTAGAATTCTGCTGTGAATCCATCTGGTCCTGGACTTTTTTTGAGATGGAGTCTCACTCTGTTGCCCAGGCTGGAGTGCAGTGGCGCAATCTCAGCTCACTGCAGCCTCCGCCTCCTGGGTTCCAACGATTCTCCTGCCTCAGCCTTCCTGGTAGCTGGGATTACAGGCACACACCACCATGCCCGGCTAGTTTTTGTATTTTTAGTAGAGACGAGGTTTCAACATGTTGGCCAGGCTAGTCTTGAACTCCTGGCCTCAGGTGATCCGCCTGCCTCGGCCTCCCAAAGTGCTGGGATTACAGGCATGAGCCATCGTGCCCAGCCAGTCCTGGACTGTTTTTTTTGTTGATAATTTTTAAATTACCATTTCAATCTCGCTGCTTGTTATTGGTCTGTTCAGGGTATCTATTTCTTCCTAATTTAAGCTAGGAGGGTTGTATTTTTCCAGGAATTTTTCCATCTCTTCTAGGTTTTCTAGTTTATGTGCATAAAGGTGTTCATAGTAGCCTTGAATGATCTTTTGTATTTCAGTGATGTCAGTTGTAATATCTCCTGTTTCTCTTCTTAATGAGGTTATTTGGATTTTCTCTTTTATTTTCTTGGTTAATCTTGCTAACAGTCTATCAATTTTATTTATCTTTTCAAAGAACCAGCTTTGTGTTTCATTTATCTTTTGTATTTTTTGTTTGTTTCAATTTAGTTTAATTCTGCTCTGATCTTGGTAATTTCCTTTCTTCTGCTGGCTTTGGGTTTGGTTTGTTCTTGTTTCTCTAGTTCCTTGAAGTGTGACCTTAGCATGTCAGTTTGTGCTCTTTGAGTCTTTTTGATGTAGGCATTTATAGGGCTATGAACTTTCCTGTTAGCACCACCTTTGCTGTATCCCAAAGGTTATGATAGATTGTTTCATTATTGTCATTCAGTTCAAATAATTTTTTAATTTCCATCTTGATTTCATTTTTGACCGAGTGCTCATTCAGGAGCAGGTTATTTTATTTCCATGTATTTGCACGGTTTCGAAGGTTCCTTTTGGAGTTCATTTCCAGTTTTATTCCACTGTAGTCTGAGAGAGTGCTTGATATAATTTCAATTTTCTTAAATTTATTGAGGCTCGTTTTATGGCCTATCATATGGTCTATCTTGGAGAAGGTTCCATGCGCTATTGAATAGAATGTGTATTCTGCAGTTGTTGGATGGAATGTTCTGTATATATATCTGTTAAGTCCATTTGTTCCAAGGTATAGTTTAAATTCGTTGTTTCTTTGTTGACTTTCTGCCTTGATGACCTGTCTAGTGCTGTCAGTGGAGTATTGAAGTCCCCAACTATTATCGTGTTGCCGTCTATCTCATTTCTTAGGTCTATTAGTAATTGTTTTATAAATTTGGGAGCTCCAGTCTTAGGTGCATAAATGTTTAGGATTGTGATATTTTCCTGTTGGACAAGGCCTTTTACTGTTATATCATGTCCCTCTTTGTCTCTTTTAAATGCTGTTGCTTTAAAGTTTGTTTTGTCTGATATAAGAATAGCTACCCCTGTTCGCTTTTGGTGTCCATTTGCATGAAACGCCTTTTACCACCCCTTTAAGTTTATTTGAGTCCTTATGTCTCCTGAAGACAGCAGATAGTTGGTTGGTGGGTTCTTATCCATTCTGCATCTCTGTATCTTTTAACTGGAGCATTTAGGCCACTTACATTCAATGTTAGTATTGAGATGTGAGATACCTCATAGTGTTATTTGTTGCCTGTGTACCTTGGTTTTTTTTGTTTTTGCTTTTTAACTTACATTTTTGTTTTATAGGTTCTGTATGATTTATGCTTTAAAGAAGTTCTGTTTTAATGTGTTTCCAGGATTTGTTTCAAGATTTAGAGCTCGTTTTAGCAGTTCTTATAGTGGTGGCTTAGTAGTGGCAAATTCTCTCAGCATTTGTTTGTCTGAAAACGACTGTATCTTTCCTTCATATATGATACTTAGTTTTACTGGATACAAAATTCTTAGTGATAATTGTTTTGTTTGAGGAGGCTGAAGATAGGGCCCCAATCCCTTCTAGCTTGTAGGGTTTCTGCTGAGAAATCCGCTGCTAATCTGTTAGGTTTTCCTTTATACGTTACCTGGTGCTTTTGTCTCACAGCTCTTAAGATTCTTTCCTTTGTCTTAACTTTAGATAACGTGATGACAGTGTGCCTACGCGATGATCATTTTGTGATGAATTTCCCACTTGTTCTTTGTGCTTCTTGTATTTGAATGTCTAGATCTCGAGCAAGGCCGGGGAAGTTTTCCTTGATTATTCCCCCAAATATGTTTTTCAAACTTTCAGACATCTCTTCTTCCTCAGGAACATCAGTTATTCTTAGGTTTGGTGTTTAACATAATCCCAGACCTCGTAGAGGCTTCATTCATATTCTCTTATTCTTTTTTCTTTGTCTTTGTTGTATTGGGTTAATTTGAAGACCTTGTCTTTGAGCTCTGAATTTCTTTCTTCTACTTGTTCAATTCTATTGCTGAGACTTTCCAGAGCATTTTTCATTTCTATAAGTGTGTACAGTGTTTCCTGAAGTTTTTATTGTTTTTTTTCTTTATGCTATCCATTTCCTTGAATATTTCTCCCTTCACTTCTTGTATCGTTTTTTGGATTTCACTGCATTGGGCTTTGCCTTTCTCTGGCGCCTCCCAGATTAACTTAATAACTAACCTCCTGAATTCTTTTTCAGGTAAATCAGGGATTTCTTATTGGTTTGGATGCATTGCTGATGAACTAGTGTGATTTTTCGGGGGTTGTTAAAGAGCCTTGTTTTGTCAAATTACCAGAGTTGGTTTTCTGGTTCCTTCTCATTTGGGTAGGCTCTGTCAGAGTCTAGGGCTGAAGGCTGTTGTTCAGATTCGTTTGTCCCACTGGGTGTTCCCTTGATGTAGTACTCTTCCCTTTTTCCTATGGATGTGGCTTCCTGTGAGCCGAGCTGCAGGGATTGTTATCTCTCTTCTGGGTCTAGCCACCCAGCAAGTCTACCCAGCTCTGAGCTGGTACTGGAGGTTGTCTGCAGAGAGTCCTGTGATGTGAACCGTCTATGGGTCTCTCAGCCGTGGATACCAGCACCTGTACCAGTGGAAGTGGCAGGGGGGTGAAATGGACTCTGTGAGGGTTCTTAGCTTTGGTGGTTTAATTTTCTATTTTTGTGCTGGTTGGCCTTCTGCTGGGAGGTGGCGCTTTCCAAAGAGCATCAAGCTATGGTAGTATGGATTGGAAATGGTGGTGGGTGGGGCCCTAGAACTCTCAAGAGTATATGCCCTTTGTCTTCAGCTACCAGGGTGGATAAGGAAGGCCCATCAGGTGGGGGCAGGGCTAGGTGTGTCTGAGCTCAGAATCTCCTTGGTTGGGTCTTGCTGAGGCTGCTGTGGGGGATGGATGTGATGTTCCCAGGTCAATGAAGTTGCGTACCTAGGAAGATTATGGCTGCCTCTGCTGAGTCATGCAGGTTGTCAGGGAAGCGGGGGAAAGCTGGCAGTCACAGGCCTCACCCAGCTCCCACACAAACGGAAGGGCCAGTCTCACTCCCACCATGCCCCCTCAACAGCCCCAAGTCTGTTTCCAGGCAGTAGGGGATCTGGGCCTGAGAACTTGCCCCAGGCTACTCACCTCCCAGCTGTGAAAGAAAAAGGCTTGGTTCTTTCCCCACCTATGGAGTCTGCACACCGGATTCGTGCCCTCCCCCTTCTGGCCAGGAGGCTTCTCGCCAGTTCAAATTGTTACAAAGTTCAGCTGGAGACTTCCTTCTCCCTATAGTGTTTCCCCTCCTATTCCTCTGGCTGCCCTCCCGAAGGATCCCTGTGGTGCCAGGCAGGAATGGCCTGCTTGAAGACCCAGCGAGCTCCCAAGGCTTTCCTGCTGCTTCCTCTACTTCTATATTTCGCTGGGCTCTCTAAATTGACTCAGCTCCAGGTAAGGTCAGAAACTTATCCTGCAAACAGACGTTCAGTTTCCCCAGTGGGGGTGTGTGTTCCGGAGAGGAGGATCTCCCTTTCCCACTTCTGCAGTTTGGGCACTCACAGTATTCGGGGTGTCTCCTGGGTCCTGCAGGAGCATTCTGCTTCCTTCAGAGGGTCTGTGGGTTCTCTTGGGATTCCTAGTTCTTTCTTGCAGTCGATCTGCAGCTAAAATTCATGGTGTGAGCCTCCGCATGCTGCTCTGTCCATCTGAGTAGGAGCTGCAATCTAGTCCTGCCTCCTGTCTGCCATGATGGCATCCCATTATGTTTAAAATGTTTCTTATAGATAGCATATAGTTAGACCATGTTTTTTTACCCACTCTGCCAGTTTCTGTTTTTTAATTGGTACATTTATACCATTTAAACTTACTGTAATTATTGCTACTTTAAACTCAAATCTGTCATCTTTATGATCATTCATTGAAATATTTTCATCATTCACCCACAAACCTGCTTCTCCTCACTTCTGAACCTTATTTAGTGGCATCAACATCTACACGTTACCTTTTTAACTCAATCAAAAATACTCCATTACTTTTTCTTCCTTACCCACATTTCAAATTAGTAACAAATTCCTAGCCACTCTACCCCCACCCACAAATACCTGTGGAACTTACCCCCTCATCCCTAATTGTCACACACATCGTCTAGGTCTTCAACACTCATTTAAATGCTTGCCATAGTCTCCTAATTGTTTTTTCTGCCTCTGGTCTCTACCCAATTCATTTTCTACACTGCCACCAGCCAGCCAGGTTTTTCAAAACAGATTGACTGTGCCATTGTGTGGTTTAAAATTTTTTTTTCTTTTTTTTGAGACAGAGTCTCGCTCTGTCGCCGAGGCTGGAGTGCAGTGGCATGATCTCGGCTCATTTGCAACCTGCGCCTCCCGGGTTCAAGGGGTTCTCCTGCCTCAGCCTCCCAAATAACTGGTATTACAGGCACTCACCACCATGCCCAGCTAATTTTTGTGTTTTTAGTAGAGATAGGGTTTCACCATGTTGGCCAGGCTGGTCTTAAACTCCTGACCTCAAGTGATCCTCCCACCTCGGCCCCCCAAAGTGCTGGGATTACAGGCGTGAGCCACCATGCCCAGCCTTGCGGTTTAAAATCTTTTGACGGCCCTTTATCTCCCCCACAATAAGATTCTTCCCTGTATTGCCTAATCTTAACTTTTGACTCAGTTCCAATTCCCTAGTGCCTGTGCATCCTACCAGCCGTGCCTGATACAGGTCTGTACACTATAAACACTTTCACTTTCATGTCTCTGTCCCTGCTGTTTGCTTTGCCTTCACAGGGCAAAGCCCTACTTATCCTTCAAGATTCAGCTCAAATATCTTATTATTTTCCCTGAATCCAGCAGATAAAATTGTTCTTCATTTGTATTCTAATAGTACATCATAGGTACTTTTATACTGATATTACCATGTCTTTCTTGTTAGTCTCCCTGGCTAGGCTCTGGGCTGATTGAAGGCAAAGAACTGTACTTCACAGATTTTAGTATCCTTGGAATCTAATTCCATTCCTGACTGTAGCAGGCCCATAATCATGTTGAATTCCTGCCTGTGGACCTTATTCCTATTGTTCCCCTTATTTGGATGCCTTGATCATCTTTCTATTCAAAGCATGCCCATTCTTCATGGCCCGCTTCCTCCATAAAGCCTCACTGACTAATGTAGCAGAGATAATTTTAACTGCTTTGCTTTAGGGAAAAGGGCTTGCTTTTATTAGTTTAATTTACCATACAGTTTCCAGGCATTGATTACTATTAAAAATAGAGACTATCTGTAGTATCTTTTATTGCGCTTATTTCAGCAATCCTACTTATAGATCCTCAGCTACATCCATCTAACCCCAAACAGACCTAAGTAACTCACAATTTTATTGAATACAAAGCCTTTTTACATGAGAAATAACATTTATATCCATTGTTTTCAGGAAGAGATCATTTGGGGTTTGTTTCCCTTCTGTCATTTTATTTGGGGACAGTTAAAAGAGGCTTCTATTTCACATGCCATTAGAGTTTGACACCAGAAATTATCTTCTAACCTAGTGCTAGCCACAGTGAGGCACAGTAAACACAATGGAGTTTATGTTCCTGATGTGTGTATTCTTTTTTTCTTATGATAGTGATATCTTTTTCATCTCTTTTGAAGTACTTTTTCAGTCTTTTGTCTTAGCATCTGTGTGGAATATAATATATAAAAGTATTGTACAGTCGAACATACAGAGTGATGTACCCAAGATCACTCACCTGTGCATTGGTAATGCCAAGCCTAGAATTCTGGCTACTTTCTGTTTCTGTTAATTTTCAAAATTAGCTCAATAAATGTAAGAAAGACAGGAAGAGGTGCATGTCTAATATGCTCCATTATCTTAGACACTTATAAAGTAGGGATTTTTTTAATAGTTGGGTTTTGCAGAGACTGTTAGACCTCATGGCTTCTAAGAATTGATAATTGCATCAGATTGCAAATATGAATATACTGTATCCATTTTAATAAGTATAAAATTTCTTTTTGATACTAGAAGCTGTAAGTATGCTATGTACCTAGAAAGTAATGTTTTTCTTGCAAATTTATGTTTAATGTGCATGACTAGGGAACATTAGCATAGGTGTTGTAGCATTTAACTGCTGCTTAAAATTTTTGAGAATAGGCCAGGTGCAGTGGCTCATGCCTATAATCCCAGCACTTTGGGAGGCCCAGGCAGGAGGATTGCTTGAGTCCAGGAGTTTGAGACCAGTCTGGGTAACATAACAAGACTATGTCTCTATTTAAAAAAAAAAAATATATAGCCAAGCATGGTGGCATGTACCTGTAGTCCAGCTACTTGAGAGGCTGAGGCATGAGGATCACCTGAGCTCAGGAGTTTGAGGTTACAGTGAGCTGTGATCACCACTGCACTCCAGCCTGGGCAACAGAGCAAGACCCTGTCTCGAATAAATTTTTTTGAGCCAGGCGCGGTGGCTCATGCCTGTAATCCTAGCACTTTGAAGAGGCCGAGGCAGGCGGATCACCTGAGGTCAAGTGTTCAAGACCAGCTTGGCCAACATGGTGAAACCCGGTCTCTACTAAAAATACGAAAATTAGCTGGGCATGGTGGCATGTGCCTATAATCCCAGCTACTTGGGAGGCTGGGGCAGGAGAATTGCTTCAACCGGGAGGCGGAGGTTGCAGTGAGCCAAGATCGCACCATTGCACTCCAGCCTGGGTGACAAGAGCAAAACTCCGTCTCAAAAAAAAAAAAAGAAAAATTTCTGAGAGTATATCATTAGAATCTAGAACTTGGGTAAAGGAAGTTAACTATAAGGGAGTGAGAGAATTTTTGTGAAATGTAGGTATGCAGTATTTGATACAGATTTGTCTTGGTACTATTAATAGCCTCACTTTACAAATGAAGGTTTAGAGCTGTTAAGTAACTCAACAATTTCACACAGTCATAGCATCAGTATTAGAACCCTGCTCTGTCTCTAGAGCTTATGTTTTTAACCATTATGCTCCAATAGTTGACATCTTGAGGTCTGGGACTATGTCTTCATTCACTCTAGAGATATTTATTAAGTGCCTACTATTTTTATTAATCACTGTTCTAGGAGCTAGAGATATAGTAAGTGAACAAAAGAGACAAAAATATCTGTGAACAAGAGACAAAAATAGAATGGAGCATACATTCTAGTGGAAGAAGACAGAAAATAAGTAAATTTTATAATATAAAGTTGTTTTTTTTTTGAGATAGAGTTTCACTATTGTTGCCTAGGCTGGAGTGCAGTGGCACAATCTTGGCTCACTGCAACCTCTGCCTCCTGGGTTCAAGCAATTCTCCTGCCTCAGCCTCCCAAGTAGCTGGAATTACAGGCACGTACCACCACTCCCAGCTAATTTTTTTGTATTTAGTAGAGACGGAGTTTCACCATGTTGATCAGGCTGGTCTCGAACTCCTGACCTCAGGTGATCCACCCGCCTTGGCCTCCCAAAGTGTTGGGATT
Organism: Homo sapiens; assembly: GCF_000001405.40. Classification (NCBI taxonomy): domain Eukaryota; kingdom Metazoa; phylum Chordata; class Mammalia; order Primates; family Hominidae; genus Homo; species Homo sapiens. The sequence continues at coordinate 118,423,443 of NC_000023.11, forward strand.
ACAAGCGTGAGCCACTGTGCCAGGCTATAAGTTAATTTTTTAAACCACTTTATTGAGGTATGATTGGTATTCAAAAAGCTGTATGTATTTATTATATAGAACTTAATGAGTTTGGAGATAAGTATACAAGCATGAAACCATCACCACCGTCTGTGCCATAACCCAAGCATCACCTATAAAAGTTTATTCTCATCCTCTTATTTATTAAGTATACGATACAGTATTGTAAACTGTATGCACTGTGCTATATAATAGATCTCTCAAACTTAATCATTTTGAAAGTGAAACTTTGTACCCTTTGACTAATACCACCTGTTTCGCCAGCCCCAAGGCCCTCGCAATCACTGTTCTACTCTGCTTCTATGAGTTTGTTGTTTCTAGATTCATCATATAAGTGGCATTATGTAGTATTTGTCCAAAAAGTATCTGGCTTAATTTCACTTAGCATAATGTCTTCCAGTTTCATTCATGTTATCACAAATGCCAGGATTTTCTTTTTATGACTGAATAGTATTCTGTTGTGTGTATATGCCACATTTTCTTTATCCATTCATCTGTCAATGGACATTTAGGTTGTTTCCATGTCTAGGCTATTGTGAATAATGCTGCAGTGAACATGGGAGTTCAGATACCTCTCTGACATACTGATTTTATTTACTTTAAATATATACCCAGAAGTGGAATTGCAGGATCATATGGTAGTTCTATTTTAAGTTTTTTCAGGAACTTTCATACTGGTTTTCATAGTAGGTGCACCAATTTACATTCCCATCGACTGTACAGGGTTCCATTTTATCCACATCTTCACTAATACTTGTTATCTTATATATATATATATATGTGTGTGTGTGTATGTGTATATATATATATGTGTGTGTGTGTATATATATATATATATATATATATGTATATATATATAATGTTCATCCTAACAGGTGTGAGGTGATATATCATTGTGGTTTTGATTTGGAAATCAAATCACCTGATTAATTGGTGATGTTGAGCACCTTTTCATGTACTCATTGGCCATTTGTATGTCCTCTTTGGAGAAATGTCTATTTAGGTCCTTTGCCTATTTTAAAAATTGGGTTATTTGTTTGAATTTTGGGGTTTTTGACATTCAGTTGTAGGGGTTTCTTACATATTTTAGATATCAACCATTCATTAGATAAACGGTTTGCAAATATTTTCTCCCATTCTGTAAGTTGCCTTTTCATGTTGTTGGTTGTTTCTTTTGTTGTGCAGAAGCTTTTTAGTTTGATACAGTCCCGTTTGTCTATTTTTGCTTTTGCTGCTGGTGCTTTTGGTGTGGTGTCATATCCAAGAAATCATTGCCAAGTCCAATGTCAAGAAGTTTTTTTCCTGTTTTCTTCTAGGAGTTTTACAGCTTCAGGCCTTACATTTAAGTATTTAATACATTTTGAGTTTATTTTTGTATATGATGTAATATAAGAGTCCAATTTCATTTTTTTGCATGTGTATCTCCAAAGGTAATCAGTTTTGTGAAGAAAAGTAAAACAAAGTGGGATGGCAGGGAGTAAATAAGGTGGGTGAGCAAAGCTTCACTGAGAAGTTGTTGTTCGAGCAAAGTACAAAGGAGGTAAGGAAATGATCATATGATAAGACCATTCCAGGTAGAGACAGCAGCAAGTGAAGCTGCTATAAGGCAGGAGTTCTGGTGTGCTCAAAAAACAGCAGCAAGGGCAGCTGGAGCCAGTGAGTGAGAAGGAGAGGAAAATAGAAAAGGAAAACATAGAGATGTCGATGCGGGGATCAGAACATATAGGACATTGCAAGGACTTTGGCTTTTGCTCTGAGTAAGATGGGAATCAGTGGGTTTTCAAACAGAGAATGACATAATCTGATTTATTTTAAAAGGATCATTCTGACTTTTATACTGAGAACAAACTATAAGAAGATAAGGACCAGGCATGGTGGCTTATGCCTGTAATCCCAGCACTTTGGGAGGCCAAGGTGGGCGGATCACCTGAGGTCAGGAGTTCAAGACCAGCCTGACCAACAAGGTGAAACCCTGTCTCTACTAAAAATACAAAAATTAGCTGGGTGTGGTGGCAGGTGCCTGTATTCCCAGCTCCTCGGGAGGCTGAGACAGGAGAACCACTTGAACCTGGGAGGTGGAGGTTGCAGTGAGCCAAGATCACACCACTGCACTCCAACCTAGGTGATGGAGCAAGACTCCATCTCAAAAAAAAAGATAAGAAATGTCTTGTTAATTCTGGTATTCCAAATAAGCAATACAGTATATCTGCTACATATTGTATGTGCTAATGAATGTCAAAAGCCTTATAATTTTCCATAGCAATCCAACTTTATAATATCTTTAGATAGGCCGGGCATGGTGGCCCATACCTGTAATCCCAGCACTTTGGGAGGCCGAGGCAGATGGATCACCTGAAGTCAGGAGTTAGAGACCTGCCTGGCCAACATGGTGAAACCCCATCTCTACTAAAAATACAAAAAAATTAGCTGGGTGTGGTGGCATGTGCCTGTAGACCCAACTGCTCGAGAGGCTGAGGCAGGAGAATCACTTGAACCCGGGAGGCGGAGGTTGCAGTGAGCTGAGATGGTGCCGCTGCACTCCAGCCTGGGCAACAGAGCAAGACTCCGTCTAAAAAAGAAAATCTTTAGATAATTAGAACATTTGAGTGTGGATTAGATATTAGATGATATAAATGGTATTTTTTAGGTATGAGAATGGCACGGTAATCATATTTAAAAGAAGGGTTATCAGAGGTATATATAGAAGTATCTACTGATAAAATTATTAGTGTCTAGATCTTGCTTTCAATGCTGCAGCAAAAATAAACAAAAATGGGAAGACTGATAAAGTAGGTAAAATTTTGATAATTGTTAAAGCAGGTGATGGATGCATGGGGTTCAATATATTATATGGAGTTCATTATACTCTTCTATCTACTTTTGTATATATTTAAAATGCCCATAATAAAAAGACAGTGGCCGGGCATGGTGGCTCATGCTTGTAATCGCAGCACTTTAAGAGGCCAAGGTGGGAGGATCACTTGAGCCCAGGAGTTCAAGACCAGCCCAGGCAACAAAGAGAGACCCTGTCTCTACAAACAAACACAACAAAAATTAGCTGAGTGTGGTGGCACATGCCTGTGGTCCCACCTACTCAGGAGGCTGGGGTGAAAGGATCGCTGGAGCCCAGGAGGCGGAGGTTACAGTGAGCCGAGGCCATGCCACTGCACTCTAGCCTGGGCAACAGAACAAGACCCTATCTCAAAAAAAAAAAGAAAGAAAAATATATGTATATAACATTTTACTTGGTAATTCTACCTTTAATAATTTATCATAAAGGAATAATCAAGAAAAAATAAATACCAAAAAATAGAACAAAAAACAAAAACAAACCAAAAAATTATTAGATATTCTGAAAGATAAGTAAGAAGATTCTCATCTTAGTGTTTTCATAATAGCTAAAATTTGAACAACCTAAATTTCTAACAGTTGGAAAATAAAAACTGGTATAACCCATGCAGTAAAATACATGCAGTCCTTAAATTGTTTTCAAAGACTATTTAATGATGTTAAAAATGGTCACAATAAAACATAAAGTGAAGAAAGCAGAATGTGAAATTGGATACAATATTACCACAATTTTGACTAAAAAGTACCTATAAATATACATATATATTTTAAGGGATAAGAGTCTCCCTCTGTCACCCATGCTGGAGTGCTGTGGTACCATCATAGCATGTTGTGACCTCAAACTTCTGGGTTCAAGCAATCCTCCCACCTCAGTCTCCTGGGTAGCTTGTGCTACAGGCAAGCACCACCATGCCTGGCTTTTTTTTTTTTTTTTTGGGGACGGAGTCTTGCTCTGTCACCCAGGCTGGAGTGCAGTGGCGCGATCTCTGCTCACTGCAAGCTCCGCCTCCCGGGTTCACGCCATTCTCCTGCCTCAGCCTCCCGAGTAGCTGGGACTACAGGCGCCTGCCACCACGCCCGGCTAATTTTTTGTATTTTTAGTAGAGACGGGGTTTCACCATGTTAGCCAGGATAGTCTCCATCTCCTGACCTCGTGATCTGCCCTCCTCGGCCTCCCAAAGTGCTGGGATTACAGGCGTGAGCCACCACACCCGGCAAAATGGGCAGACATCTGTAACTAACTCATTAGTTCATATTATTTGAGAGAAACTGCTCTAGCCGTCTCAGTACATCCTCTCCACCATGAAGTAAGCTCCATGAGGGCAGGAATCTTTTTTTTTTTTTTTTCTTTTCGCTCTGTCGTCCAGGCTGGAGTGCAGTGGCACGATCTCGGCTCACTGCAAGCTCTGCCTCCTGGGTTCACGCTATTCTCCTGCCTCAGCCTCCCGAGTAGCTGGGACTGCAGGCACCTGCCACCAAGCCTGGCTAATTTTTTTGTATTTTTAGTAGAGACGGGGTTTCACCGTGTTAGCCAGGATGGTCTTGATCTCCTGACCTCATGATCTGCCCGCCTCGGCCTCCCAAAGTGCTGAGATTACAGGCGTGAGCCACTGTGCCTGGCCTATTTTTTTAATTAAAAAATAATTTTGCGGCTAGGCACAGTGGCTTATTACACTTGTAATCCTGGCACTTTGGGAGGCCGAGGTGGGTGGATCAGTTGAGATCAGGAGTTCAAGACCAGCCTGGCCAACATGGTGAAATCCCATCTCTACTAAAAATACAAAAAGTAGCCAGGTATGGTGACCGCCACCTGTAATCTCAGCTACTTGGGAGGCTGAGGCATGAGAATCGCCTGAACCCAGGAGGCAGAGGTTGCAGTGAGCCAAGATTTCACCACTGCACTCCAGCCTGAGTGACAGAGCAAGACTCCATCTCAAAAAATAGTAATAATAATAATAATGATTATTTTTGTAGAGACAGTCTCACTGTGTTGTCCAGTCTGGTCTCAAACTCCTGGCCTCAAGCAATCCTCCTGCCTCAGCCTCCCAAAGCACTGGGATTACAGGGACGAACTACCGTGCCTGGCCCTATAAATATTTATAGATAAAAGACTTTGAGGAAATATGCTAAATTATTAATAATATTCTTTATCTCTGAGTGATAGGATTTCACATCTTTTGATTCTTTATACTCTGTTTTTCTAAAGTTTTCTTTTATGCTTACCTACTTTTATTAAAACAAATGGAAGAGGGGAATGTAAATTAGTTCAACCATTATGGAAGACAGTGTGGCAATTCCTCAAAGACCTAGAACCAGAAATACCATTTGACCCAGCAATCCCATTACTGGGTATATACCCAAAGGAATAGAAATCATTGTGTTATAAAGATACATGCAGGCATATGTTCATTGCAGCACTATTCCATATAGCAAAGACATTGAATCAACAAAAATGCCTATCAATGATAGACTGGGTAAAGAAAATGTGGTACATATATACCATGGAATACTATGCAGCCATACAAAGGAATGAGAGCATGTCCTTTGCAGGGACACGGCTGGAACTGGAAGCCATTATCCTCAACAAACTAATGCAGGAACAGAAAACCAAACACCACATGTTATCACTTATAAGTAGGAGCTGAACAATGAGAACACATGGACACAGGGAGGGGAACAACACACAGTGGGGCCTGTCAGGGGGATGGGAGGAGGGAGAGCATCAGGAACAATAGCCAATGCATGTGGGGCTTAATACCTAGGTGATGGGTTGATAAGTGCAGCAAACCACCCTGGCACACGTTTATGTAAGAAACCTGCACATTCTGCACATGTATCTTGGAACTTAAGAAGTATTATTTTTTAATTCAAAACATAAAAAAAAAGAGACTATAAAAGTTTCAGGTTTAAACTTTTTGACCCAGTAATAACCCTAATATAAGGATAAGGAAATAGGCCAGGCACAGTGGCTCACGCCTGTAATCCCAGCACTTTGGGAGGCTGAGGCAGGTGGATCACTTGAGATCAGGAGTTCGAGACCAGCCTGGCCAACATAGTGGAACCCTGTCTCTACTAAAAATACAAAAATTAGATGGGTGTGGTGCTGTGTGCCTATAATCCCAGGTTCTCGGGAGGCTGAGGCAGGAGGATTGCTTGAACCCAGGAGACAGAGGTTGCAGTGAGCCAAGATCGTGCCACTGCACTCCAGCCTGGGTGACAGAGCAAGACTCAGTCTCAAAAAAAAAAAAAAAGATAAGGAAATAGTCAAATGTGGATAAAGATTCAAAGATTCATGTTCCAGGGCATTCATTGAATTGCTGGGTTTTATTTATTTGTTTGTTTTTGTTTTTTGTTTGTTTGTTTGTTTTTGAGACAGAGTCTCGCTCAGGTTCTAGTGATTCTCCTGCCTTAGCCTCCCGAGTAGCTAGGATTACAGGTGTGCACCACGCCCGGCTAATTTTTGTATTTTTAGTAGAGATGGAGTTTCACCATGTTGGCCAGGCTGGTCTCCAACTCCTGACCTCAGGTGATCCGGCTGCCTCAGCCTTCCAAAGTGCTGGGATTACAGGAGTGAACCACCACGCCTGGCCGAATTACTGTTTTTATTAGCAGAAAAGTTGGAAATGTCTAAGTGACCAACAAAGGAAGAATGATTAATCGTGATGCATCCATATTATGCAGCTACTAAATGTTTTCAAAGCATGAAATACAGAAAATGCTCATGGTATAATAGGAAGATTGGTAAATTTCATGTTTAATATGATTTCAAATACATTTTTTAAAAATGAAAGATTGAAGAGAGACAAAACGTTAGCAGGTTTGGGGTGATGTTAATTTTTCTGTTTTTTTTTTTTTGTTCTCCGAATTGTCTACACTGATCATGTATTATTTTATAACTTAAAAAATTTAGGCTGGGTGTGGTGGCTCACACCTGTAATCCCAGCACTTTGGGAGGCCGAGGCTGGTGGATCATGAGGTCAGGAGTTCAAGACCAGCCTGGCCAAGATGGTGAAACGCCGTCTCTACCAAAAATACAAAAATTAGCCAGGCACGGTGGCAGGCGCCTGTAATCCCAGCTACTCAGGAGGCTGAGGCAGGAGAATCACTTGAACCCAGAGGGCAGAGGTTGCAGTGAGCCGAGATTGCACCACTGCACTCCAGCCTGAGTGACAGTGAGACTCCATCTAAAAAAAAAAAAAAATTTAGTCTGGTCATGGTGGCTCACACCTGTAATCCCAGCACTTTGGGAGGCCGAGGCGGGTGGATCACCTGAGGTCAGGAGTTCAAGACCAGCCTGGCCAACATGGTGAAACCCTGTGTCTACCAAAAATATAAAAAATTAACCAGGCGTGGTGGCATGTGCCTGTAATCTCAGCTACTTGGGAAGCTGAGGCAGTAGAATGGCTTGAACTTGGGAGACAGAGGTTGCAGTGAGCCAAGATCATGCCATTGCACTCCAGCCTAGGCAACAAGAGTGAAACTCCGAATCTGATTTGTATGTAATGAGGGAAGCCTGTTTAGCTGTATGTCTCCCAGCAGTGCTCACTAGTCTGGTAGTAAAATTGAGGGGGGCGAGGATGGTAGTCATCTAGCATTAGAAGTGCTTGGCAAAGGTTACAGGAGTCTGTGTTGGTGGTCTACCTCCATGGTTGATGTGAAGATGTTTTTTATAAACTGTAAAGTTCTACACGAATAATAGTGGTAGTTTTTAATCTATCCCCATGCCACTGTCCTCATTCAAGCCCTCATTATTCTTACTTAAACTTATTGACTGCTTTTCCTGCCTCCATGCTCTCTCCAAACCATCTTTTACATTACTGCCCAGAGTTCTTTTTCTGAAGCACCGGTAAGATGGTGGTGGTTTTTTCCTTTCAGAAACCTGTGTTGGCTCTCCATGTCTGAACTTTTAAGCCACAAATTTGAGGCCTTTTTATTGTTTATTTTATTTTATTTATTTATGTATTTTTGGAGACAGAGTTTCGCTCTTGTGGCCCATGCTGGAGTGCAATGCTGTGATCTCAGCTCACCGCAACCTCCACCTCCTGGGTTCAAGCGATTCTCCTGCCTTAGCCTCCCAAGTAGCTGGGATTACAGGCATGCGCCACCATGCCCAGCTAATACTGTGTTTTTAGTAGGGACGGAGTTTCTCCATGTTGGTCAGGCTGATCTTGAACTACCGACCTCAGGTGATCTGCCTGTCTCGGCCTCCCAAAATGCTGGGATTACAGGCATGAGCCACCGTGCCTCGCCAAGGCCTTTTTGAATGTGATCCCAAAGTACCTTTCTACCCTAATTTCTGACTACATCTCCATATACTGTTTTCTCTGTCCTCATCATCCTACCTACCTTTCCCTAAATATGCGAGGCTTAGCTAACCCTCTGTTCTTGCTCATGCTATGTCATGTAAAACATTTGAAGGACAAACTTTGGACTTACAGTTAGATGACTTGTATTACTGCTTTGGTTCTGCTGTTCACAGGTGGCTGTGTGGCCTTTAATATATTATTTTAACCTCTTTGATCCTCAGGGGTTTGTTGTGTGTTTTGTTTGTTTGTTTGTTTGTTTGTTTTTACTAATTTCTTCATCTTTATACTGTTAATACCTACCTCAAAGAATTGTTAGAATTTATTCAGATAATGAATACGAAAGCACGTTGTAACTAGATGCACAGTACACATGTATGGCATTATTTTCTACCTACCTCTGTCAGTATGCTTTTGACTTCAAATAACAGAAATCCAACTGAAAATGGCTTAAACAATGAGGAAGCAACTCTGGAGGTAAGGCGGTTCCAGGGTTGGTTAATTCAGCAGCTCAGTAGCATCGTCCTACTATCTCCCTGCTTTGTACTCTTTGTTTTGTTCCTTTCGGCTTTTTACACTATGGTCTTAAGATGGCTGCTACAGTCTTAGTTGTCACATGAAGTCAGCAATGTTCAGATGCAGGAAAGGAGGAGTCCTATTAGTATGACCCTCTTTAAGGGTGAGAAAATCTCTCTAGAAGCCTTCCCTCATCCCCACCCCATAAACTTTGCCCAATGTCTAATTCATGGAAATTGTACCACATGCCTAACCAGTCATCACTGGGAAGGGAAATCAGCTAATCTTCATTAGCTTAGACCAATCATGATTCACTCGCTGGTACTGGCCGTCACCTCTCCTGAAGGAACAGATGCTTATTAGGGGCTCTATTAGGGAGGGAAAAGATTGTGACAGCACGATGTCTTCAGGGATGACCCTGGTTTGTTAGGGCAAGGAGATGAAAGGAAGAGGTGCTAAGTAGTAAATCAGCATAAAGGGGAGCTTGCTTTTGGTGACTCAAGATTTCAATCAGGCATCATACAAAATGCTGAGAGAACAGATGGGGTGGGAAGAATGTGAAACTAGTTTTACATTGCAGTTTCAAAGTTTATCTTTATATCCAAATAGGTATGCAGTGGAACTGATGAAGACCCTGATGATAAAAACGCACCCTTTCGGCAACGGCCATTTTGCAAATATAAAGGACATACTGCTGATCTCCTTGATCTTTCATGGTCTAAAGTAAGAAATTCTTATTTGAATCATATAGTAATTCTGCGTATAAGGAGCTGATGCTGTAGTCTTAAAGCAGAATTTCTTCTCCGGGAAACCTCAGTTTTTTGTCTTAAGGCCTTCAACTGATTGGATGAGGCCCACCCACATAGTCAAGGGTGATCTCCTTTACTTAAAATCAACTGATTATAGGTATTAATCACATGTACAGAATACCTTCACAGCAACAACTAGATTGGTGTTTGATTAAATAATTGAGTACTAGCTTAATAATTAAATAATTGAGTATAGCTAAGTTGATACATAAAATTAACTGTTATAACCACCTTCTTACCAGAATTAACACCTTTTCTTTGAACTCATTCTCCTTAACCTTTCTCTAGCATTTGATGATTTGATGCTATTGATCTTTCTTGAACTACTTGATTTTGGAGCACTGTATGTTCTAGATTCCCTTCCTATCTCACTGACTATTCCCTTGTTTCCTTCATGGAGGAAATATGTAATAGTTAAAAAAAAAAATTGAGAACCTGTGCAACTATACCTGCTATGTACCAAGTACTTTTCATTCACTCAAAACATATCTGTTGATCATTTTACCACCTGGTTAAGAAATGACCCCTGGAGCCAGACTCCCAAGGTACATATTCTTCCTAGTCTGCCCCTTACATTATGTGACCTTGGGCAAGTTATTTAACCTCACCATGCCTCATCTGCAAAATAGACATAATAAAAATACCTTCCTCATAGTGTTATAACAGGGAAAGATTAACTGAGCTAGTAAATATAAAGCACTTGCCTAGAACATAATAAATGTTCAATTAATATTAGCAGTGATGATAATGATTAACTGAGCTAGTAAATATAAAACACTTGCCTAGAACATAATAATGCTCAGTTAATATTAGCAATGATCGTCATCATCATCATCATCACTATCTGCCAAGTAGCATTTTAGCCACTGGGGACACAGACAAAAGTTAAGTACTTTACATGTGCTCTGTTCGTACCCTCAAAACAACCTTATGCGATTGTTGATGTTTCCTTATCAAGGATTTAAAACCAAGGGTCATACGTGTTAAAGAACATGCTTAAAGGCGTATAGCTAGGGAGATACGGGAGTTTAGGTTCAAACCCTATGACTTCGGAGCATTACTCTCTAGCCCATTCCAGTGTCACAGTAGCTAATCACTACAAGGAAACAGGATGACAAAAATAACAAATGTTGGACACGTTGAAAGATTTAAGAAATCATAAATTTTTTATACTTTCCGTTTTATACTTTATTTCCATTCTATCTCTTAGGAGGCAGCAGTAATATGATTTAGTATCTATCCAGCTACCTAATTGTCTCAAGTGAGTAATGTGCATTTTTAAGGACTGGTGCCAGCCTATAAACCACCTGGTCTTCCTGGTCCTTGACGATACAAATATAGAATACCAGTCTGTGAAGAGATAAGTGCAGAAACCAAGAGTAAACTATTTAGAAGTGTTTATGGCAGTTTTCACAATAAGTTTATACCTGTTTAATCTTTTAAAACTTGGGCTTCTATTTTGTATAATAATACAAAATGGGGCTTTTATTTTATATGACTTTTATTTTTATTTCATTTTTCTAGTAAATGTTTTCTGTATTTTAAAATAGTTTCAGTCCACAACTCATTGGAAATTTAAAAAAACAAAAACAATCCTTCACCAGAAATAGTCTGAGAAGCACTAGTCTAGATGAGTTATTTCAATGAGGTGCTGCCCCATGCAGGAATGGTTCCTAAAGGTCTATCCTCATATCCCCAACCCCTCCACCCCACCTCCATCCAGAGGAAAGGAACAAAATTTCTGCAACAAGATTCTAAGCCTCTCCAGGGTAGGAACCAGATATTATTTTACTGTTTTTTGCTTTTCAAACACCAACTCAAACCAGATATTGTTTCTCTTTAATGTCTATCACAGTGTTTTTAGTGAGTTTTCTATTTGTTGAAGGTGTATTTTGTGCCAATAACAAGAATTACCGTGTTAATTCTTACAATAACAACCCCGTGAGGTAGACAACCTGATTTTGTCTCGAGGAAGAGATTGAGCCCCTGTGACCTATCTAAAATCACAAAATTAGTTATGGGTAGAACTTAGATTTTAATCTAATTTATCTGACTTCTAAGATCAGTGCTTAGTTTAAGAACGTTATTTAATTTCGTTTATTTAATAAAAAGTATTTATTAAATACTTATAAAAGAACAAGTCTTTCTTAAAGAATACTTATTTGGAACAAGTCTTAACATGTCTTCAGCACCTTCACTTAATATTTTAGGGATGTCTTCATACCTCTTTCATATGCTCAAAGCAATGAGCTATTGCAGGAATTGAATACAGTCAGTTTCTGTTTTTTGTTTTTTTCTTCTGTTTTCTTTTTTTTGAGACAGAGTCTCGCTCTGTTGCCAAGGCTGGAGTGCAGTGGCACGATCTCAGCTCACTGCAACCTCCATCTCCCAGGTTCAAGCGATTCTCCTGCCTCAGCCTCCCCGAGTAGCTGGAATTACAGGCGTGGGCCACCACGCCCAGCTAATTTTTTTTTTTATTTTTAGTGGAGATGGGGTTTCACCATGGTGGCCAGACTGATCTCGAACTCCTGACCTCAAATGATCCACCTGCCTCAGCCTCCCAAAGTGCTGGGATTACAGGCATGGGCCACTGTGTCCAGCCAAATAAAGTCAGTTTTAATGAACATAGGTTCATGGTGTGCCATAGGTTAAGTTTTTATACAGTTGGTATTAATCAACAGGAAATTATAATGCAAACTGCATATACTCTTAAAAACTTTTCTGGAACTGAGTGGATCTTGAAAATAAAAATGATTGTTAGATATTTCAAAGATTATTGTAAATTTCCAAATTCTGTTTTTTAATTCTTTACTTTTAATCATAAAGTATACCATCTATTTGAAAACAGGTATACCACAATGTACCTACTTCATAGTGTTGCTATATAATGCGAAGAACAATGCTTAACACATCGTAAGTATGCGATCAATGTCACCATTGCCTTGATTTGTTTAGCACCTTTAGGCACACCAAAGAATACAGAGGTATCATTTGAGTTTTCTCATTCAGTATAACTCATAGTTCTCCTCCTTAAATAGATTATGTTGAGGAATTAATGAGCTTCTGCCAGCTGAAAGCTTTTGACAGATAGATGTTTGTTTCCTGGGCGATGGGGCCATCACGGTGCCTAAGTCAGTTACACTACCATCTTCTAGCCTTGAACATTCTGTGATCTATTCTGAAAGATTTGACAATTTCTATTCTCTAATTTTCTTGCCTAGAGTGTGACAGGTGCACAATAACTTTTCATTTCCATGCTGCATTATAGGGTAATCTTTTTGAAGACATTTTAAATGACAATTAGAGATCTATGTGAGTTAAAATTCACCAGTGTTATCAATGTGAAAATAACTGAAGTGACAATAAAATGAATAGATGCCTTATACTGATAGCTAAGTTCCAATATGTGCAGGTGATAACAACTAAGGCACACCTTAGTTCTCTGCTGGTGCCTGGCAGATTTCTTTAGACATTGATAAGATTCATCTGAATTTCAGAACAGGTAATGTCAAAAAGTTTTAGAATCAGTGAAATATGGTACTTAACTGTTTGGGGGAAAATAGGATCTTCCAAGTGAATTTGATAATCTTTTGTTCTTTCCGATGCTGCATTTAACAATAACAAAACTGTTGAGATACAAAAACCAAAAGTTCACTTTTATTGTATAAATAGGGTTCTTTTTCATATAGTGATAACATAGTCAATGTCATTTTCCCCATAGAACTACTTTCTTCTTTCTTCTTCAATGGATAAAACAGTCAGATTATGGCACATTTCTCGAAGAGAATGCCTTTGCTGTTTTCAACATATAGATTTTGTCACTGCCATAGCTTTTCATCCAAGAGTAAGTAACTATTTATACATGTTTTTGTTAACCTCTAAGGAAGGTGAGAGAACCTGATTTCTCTAGAGGGCAATTGGACTACAGGAAAAAAATTATTAACAGCTACATAGTTATGAGCAATTTAATTTTGTGTTTCATTTTGCTTTAGAAATGAGAAAGGAAATATTCTGCTGATCTGCATTAGAAAAACTGGGGATATTATATCCTAAATCTTTATTAAGACATGCAAGGTATAAATAAATGAAATAAAGTATCCTATTAAAGATGAGAGATATTGGAGATGGAGGAAGAAGAGACAGCAGATGGATAAATGAGAAAGGGAAGTACCTAGGCAGAAATAATGAGAAGATTGGGGAGGGAAGAGACAGAGAAAAAGACTGAAAGAGGCAAAGACGAAAATTCATTACAAGATACACTGAATTCATATTGTTAGTCTTGATATCCCTTCTTTATTCCTTTTCAGTATAGAAAATCCTTTCATATCTTTCCCCCAGAAATAAAGTATTTCATATGATTTCAGCCAAATGAGAAAAATCTGCTGTCATGGAATTGCAGACCTATTGTATGCCCTTAGAGGATGGAGCCACCAAATGCTTAAGGCTAAATTAGTTACAGATTTTTGCAACTGTAAGCAAAAGGGAAATCACATGTTGGTGCTGACTGCACTAGCTCTATTAAGCAGAGGACTCGAGCTGACCCTAGCAACAAGTTTCCCTTACCTAAGTTGGTGTTATGATTACATTTCCAGTGGTGTCCTCATCTTTATATGTTTAACACACATTATCTTTTTAATGTAACATTTTAATCATATTCACATTTCTTCATCTCCCCCAAATTAAGAAGACTGACTTGTTTTCAATATACTTTCCTTCCCTGAGCAGGCTTGTAACATAAGCAGTGATAATTCCGAACCCTTGAAGACTTGGTTAAGGGCCAGGCGCGGTGGCTCACACCTGTAATCCCAGCACTTTGGGAGGCCAAGGTGGGCAGATCACGAGGTCAAGAGATCAAGACCAACCTGGCCAACATGGTGAAACATTGTCTCTACTAAAAATACAAACGTTAGTCAGGCATGGTGGCAGGTGCCTGTAGTCCCAGCTACTCGGGAGGCTGAGGCAAGAGAATCACTTGAACCCAGGAGGCAGAGGCTGCAGTGAGCTGAGATCGCGCCAGCCTGGGCAATAGAGCGAGACTCTGTCTCAAAATAAAAAAAAAAAAAAGAGGAAGAAGACTTGGTTAAGAATTTTGGTGGCTCACGCCTATAATCTCCGCACTTTGGGAGGCTGAGGTGGGAGGATGGCTTTAGGCTGGGAGTTCAAGACCAGCCTGGACAACACAGTGAGACCCCACCTTTATCACACACAAAAAAACTATGTTAATTCTTACCAGTTTTGATGATCAAGTCATTAGAGTCCTGTTTCTGAATAACACCCCCATCCCTGTTCCCTATACACACAACAAAAGGATGGATTTACCCCATCAGCAACTGTGAGCAAAATCTTTCCATCCATAAATCTTTCCATAACTATTTTAGCTATAAAGTATCAGCTTGGAAAGAGATATTTGGTTGTGTTCGTTTTCTTTCTCTTTCTTTTCTTTTCTTTTCTTTTTATTTATCTATTTTTGGAGACAGGGTATCACTTTGTCACCCAGGCTGTAGTGCAGTGGTGCAGTCTTGGCTTACTGCAGCCTCAACTTCCCTGGCTCGGGTGATACTCCTGCCTCAGCTCCCCAGGTAGCTGGGACTACAGGCATGCACCACTATGCCTGCACTATGCCTAGCTAATTTTTGTATTTTTAGTAGAGACAGGGTATTGCCATGTTGCCCAGGCTGGTCTCAAACTCCTAGGCTCAAAGCGATCTGCCCACCTCGGCCTCCCAAAGTGCTAGGATTAAAAGCATGAACCACTGCACCCATCCAGTTGTTTTCCATGTGGTATTTTATTATTTATTAAACTTTCTGTTCAGCCATGTTTTTTTTTTTTTTTTTTTTTGAAGACAGTCTCCAGGCTGGAGTGCAGTGGCACAATCTCGGCTCACTGCAACCTCCACCTCCCGAGTTCAAGCAGTTCTGCCTCAGCCTCCCAAGTAGTTGGGATTACAGACATGCACCACCACATCCAGCTAATTTTCATATTTTTATTAGAGATAGAGTTTCACCATGTTGGCCAGGCTGGTCTACAACTCTTGACCTCAAGTGATCCGCCTGCCTCAGCCTCACAAAGTGCTGGAATTACAGACGTGAGCCACTGCGCCTGGCCCAGCCAATGATTTTTTATAGTGCTTTTATTTGGTTTTATTTTGGAAACTATAAAGCCCTATTTCTAAAAATCGTACTGACCTGGAGTGTTTTTAAGAGGGGCTAGGAAAGAATAGGGTAGTGATGCCTTTTTTTGGGGGGGAAATATGACTTTTATTATAATGTTAAAGGAAGAAAGGTAGCAGAGTTAGAAAAGAAATAGCAAAATGGGCCAGGCGTGGTGGCTCATGTCTGTAATCCCAGCACTTTGGGAGGCCGAGGCGGGTGGATCACCTGAGGTCAGGAGTTCAAGACCAGCCTGGCCAACATGGTGAAAACCTGTCTCTAATAAAAATACAAAAATTAGCCGGCCGTCGTGTTGCATGCCTATAATCCCAGCTACTCAGGAGGCTGAGGCAGGAGAATTGCTTGAGCCAAGGAGGCGGAGGTTGCAGTGAGCCAAGATTGTACCACTGTACCCCAGCCTGAGTGACAGAATGAGACTCCGTCTCAAAAAAAAAGGAATAGCAAAATGGAGATACACATACATAGATGTATGTATGTGACAATTCTGAATTAGAAGACTAAGTTAAAGTATTTTTACTTGTTCACCTCTTCTACTGGTACACATTGAGTGAGCTTACATTATTTGTAGATTGTCTTTGACAGGTTTCAGAGATGGGTAAGAATAATAATCTTTGGCAAGGAACAGAAACCCTTAGGGCAGGGGGATTTGGGGTGGGGGAAGGAAAAAAAAAGAAGAAGAAGAATCTTGGCTGGGTATGGTGGCTCACTCCTATAATCCCAGCACTTTGGGAGTTTGAGGCAGGAGGATCACTTGAGGCCAGGAGTTTGAGACTAGCCTGGGCAACATAGGGAGACCCCATTTTTATAAAAAAATTTAAAATTAGCCCGGTATGGTGGTGTGCTTCTGTGATCCCAACTACTTGGGAGGCTGAGGTGAGAGGATTACTTGAGCCCAGGAGGTCGAGGCTGCAGTAAGCCGTGATCGAGCCTCTGTACTCCAGCCTGGGCAACAAACTGAGACCCCATCACCAAAAAAAAAAAAAAAGAAAGAAAGAAAGAAAAATTCTTATGTTGCCAAAAACAAAACAAGCTTAGTGGTAGGACTGATTTAGTTTAAAGGAGATTTCTCAATCCTAGTACTATTGACATTCTTTGTTACACGGGGGAGAGTAGGCTGTGCGTTATAGGATATTTAGCAGCATCCCTGGTCTCTACACACTAAATACTGGTAGCATCCTGATCCTCCCACCAGTTTTGACAACCAAAATGTCTCCAGATAATGCTAGATGTCCCCTGCAAGGTCAGATTGCCGCAGGTTGAGAACCGCTGATTTGAGAGCAGAATTTGAATGATGAAGTAATTCTCTGTTGACATGGTGTTAGAGTTCCAAAAATGACTGGTTTTGGGGGCCACTAACTGATGTTACTCTTTATCCAAGTGTTACATGTATCCCAGAGGAAGGTATGATATAGGATAGTGTTTCCCATAGCATGTTCCTGAAAGGTCTAGCACCTCCCGTAAACACGCCCCCCCAAAAAAAGTCTGTGGTTAAATATGTTGAAAAGTGCTACCTACTTTATCCTGTTTGGAGATTCAAAATGCAGGTTAACTGAGAATCATGTTTAACTTTTTGTAACCCAGAATTTCTCAAACTTATTTGATCACAGAACCTTCTTCCATGCAATACACACTCAAACACTTTATCTATTGACATCCATATCTTGCAAAACAGCAGTTTAAGGATATGATAATTAGAATTTTATTTCTCCAAAGTGAATAGTGAGGTTTCTTATTGTTGTTACTGCTTTCAGTGCATAAAATAATGCTTGCTTAAAGAATAAAAATTTTTAAATGAAATCTTTTTTTTTTTTTTTTTTTTTTTTTTTTTGAGACGGAGTCTCACTCTGTTGCCAGGCTGGAGTACAGTGGTGCGATCTTGGCTCACTGCAACCTCCACCTCCTGGGTTCAAGCGATTCTCCTGCCTCAGCCTCCCGAGTAGCTGGGACTACAGCCGCGCACCACCATGCCCAGCTAATTTTTATATTTTTACTAGAGACGAGGTTTCACCATATTGGCCAGGATAGTGTCGATCTCTTGACCTTGTGATCCACTGCCTTGGCCTCCCCCAAAGTGCTAGGATTATAGGCGTGAGCCACCGCACCTGGCCCTGAAATCTACATTTTTAAACTATTCTAATAGACTTACTGATTTGATTTGCTAATGAGTTTTTTCTTGATGTGGTAAAATGAAAACTTTCTCTGTTGCCACCTCTTTAGGATGACAGGTATTTTCTAAGTGGGTCTTTGGATGGAAAGCTCCGCCTTTGGAACATACCTGACAAAAAAGTGGCTTTGTGGAATGAAGTAGATGGTCAGACAAAATTGATCACAGCTGCAAATTTCTGTCAGAATGGCAAATATGCAGTGATTGGGACATATGATGGCAGATGTATTTTCTATGATACAGAGGTAAATGATTGTTTTTTGTAAATTATATAATTGTATACTTAGTAAACACTTTCATGGTTTTGGACAAGTTGCTTATCCCCTCTGGGCTTTAACTGCATTTTCTCTAAATAGAGACAAATAATACCATGTCTGTCTTAAGAGTTGGAACAGATGACTTTTGAGATGTCTTCTAATTCTAATTTAAAAAAAATTTTTTTTTGAGATGGAGTCTCACTCTGTTGCCCAGGATGGAGTGCAGTGGAGCGATCTCGGCTCACTACAACCTCTACCTCCTGGATTCAAGTGATTCTTGTGCCTCAGCCTCCTGAGTAGCTGGGACTATAGGCACGTGCCACCACACTCAGCTAATTTTTGTATTTTTTGGTAGAGATGGGATTTCAACGTGTTGGCCAGGCTGGTCTCGAACTCCTGACTTCAAGTGATTAACCTGCCTCAGCCTACCAAAGTGCTGGGATTATAGGCGTGAGCCACCACGCCCAAGCAAAAAGAATTTTTTTATAGAGACAAAGTCTCATTCTGTCACCCAAGTTAGAGCGTAGTGGTGCAATTGTTGCTCACTACAGCCTCGAACTCTTGGGCTCAAGCAGTCCTCCTGCCTCAGCCTCCTGAGTAGCTAGAGTTACAGATACGAGCCACCACACATGCTCCTAATTCTAATATGTTAAATGTATGGTTTATTTTTAGCATTTGAAATACCATACACAAATACATGTCCGATCTACTAGAGGGCGCAACAAGGTTGGAAGAAAAATTACTGGCATTGAGCCTTTACCTGGAGAAAATAAGGTACTACAGTATTCAAAACCATCTCTCTCCATACTATATGTAGATTCTTGAAAGTTCTTAATATCTTGGCAAAAAAATGTATTCTCTTTGTTGTGGAATACCGCTTTTCTTCTAGTTTTGAGGTATATTAGTTTGTATGTGTGTAACACCCTTTTTGGGTTGTAGCTTAGCTTGTACTAAAAGATGATATTTTTAACTTTTCATTTGATCTACTTTTAGATATTGGTAACCTCAAATGACTCCAGAATCAGACTATATGATTTGAGAGATTTGTCACTATCCATGAAGTATAAGGGTTACGTCAATAGCAGCAGCCAGATCAAAGCAAGTTTCAGGTAAATTGGCAATGAGATGTTCCCAAAAGAGATCAGGACATTTCTCCCCTAGTTCCATTTTTCCATTGGTCTATGCCTTATGTTTAATGGGGTTCTTTTCACTTTTGCAAGTAGTAGTTTATTATCATGCAATACGTACCTTGTCCACCTATATAGTATATAGAATTCGAATTGACCCTGTTCTGCAAATGAAGAAACCAAGACTCAGAAAATTAAGTGATTGGCCTAAAGTCATGGTTGTAGAGCCAAGATTATGAAGACTCTCATCTCTAGAGTTTTTGCTTTTGTACCTTTGTTTACGCTTTTAAGAGGGGGCTTACGGCTCATCCCGCCACTCCCCTCCCTGCCCCATTGTCTTGAACCTTTTAGGAAAGGAAGGAACCTTTTAGGATTCTAAGAAAGCATTTTAACACCCCACAGCACAGGGTCTTGTATTCAAAACTTTACATATCATTATTATTTAAATTTCTAATTTGGGTTCTGGACACTCTCCTGAAATAGGGTTAGCTACCTTTTCTTCTTTCTAGCCCTCTTCTTTTGCCGTTTTCTTACCAGTTCTTTTTTCTTGAATTATACATTAATTAATTCAATTGGTAAAGTATTCTGCTCCTGTCTTTCACACCTTAAATCATCATTCCTCCCAACGTGGATTAACTAACATCACAGTTACTTAGAGCTTTGATGCAAATACAAGTGCCAGGCCACTACATCACACGTACACATTTAGAACATCTAGAGTGAGACCATGGGTCTACATATTCAACAAGACCCTTCAAGTGTTATTTTAGGTATCACAAAGTAGGAAGCACTGATAAAGGAAACCTTTAAACATATACACACACACATTTTATTTGCTTTTCCTTTCTCCCCAAAATTCAGCCATGATTTTACTTACCTCGTTAGTGGTTCAGAAGATAAGTATGTTTATATCTGGAGTACCTACCATGACCTAAGCAAGTTTACTTCAGTCAGGAGAGATCGTAATGACTTCTGGGAAGGTATTAAAGGTAAGTACATACTTGCTTTTGTGTGTCTTATAAGAGAATCAAGTTACAGTGGATATATACTAGAAGTAAATTCATGACCGGACACAGTGGCTCACGCCTGTAATCCCAGCACTTTGGGAGGCCCATACGGGTGTATCACGAGGTCAGGAGATCGAGACCATCCTGGCTAACACGGTGAAACTCTGTCTCTACTAAAAATACAAAAAAAATTAGCCGGGCATAGTGGCACACGTCTGTAGTCCCAGCTACTTGGGAGGCTGAGGCAGGAGAATCGCTGGAACCTGGGAGGTGGAAATTGCAGTGAGCCGAGATGGCACCACTGCACTCCAGTCTGGGCAATAGAGTGAGATTCCGTCTAAAAAAAAGACAAAAAAAAAGAAGAAGTAAATTCATTTAGGCATTATTTTAGAGAGGCAGTTTGACAATGATAAAGTGCCTTGCATTTGGCTTTGCTTGTTTTATCTATACTAAGGAAGAACTTTGGTCTAAAATTTGAGAAGTCAGGGAATTTCAGAACTTATATGTGATTTTTTTTAGAAAAATTTTTGGGTTTTAAATCACTCTTAGTTACTTCTATGTTAGTTTTTAAGGATATTTGGCATATAACATACACTATCGTGTTTGTCTTGGTATCCAATTTGTCAGTTATCCTGAAGTAAATTTTTTCCACAGCCCACAATGCAGTTGTTACATCAGCCATCTTTGCACCAAACCCAAGTTTGATGTTATCTTTGGATGTGCAATCTGAAAAATCAGAAGGGAACGAGAAAAGTGAAGATGCTGAAGTTTTGGATGCCACACCTTCTGGTAAATCTTTACTTGTCCTATATTTTTTTCTAGTCAGCACTTAGTAGCCTCATTTATCTCATTTGAGTATAATAAGGTTTTCACTAGTATAAAGAATATTTCTTTTTTCTTTTTTCTTAAGACAGGGTCTTGCTCTGTCACCCAGGCTGGAGCGCAGTGACGCAGTCACACACAGCTCACTGCAGCCTCAACCACCCTGGACTCAGGTGATCCTTCCACCTCAGCCTCCCAAGTAGCTGGGACTATGGGCCTACACCACCATGCCCAGCTAATTTTTGTATTTTTTGTAGAGATGGGATTTCACCATGTTGCCCAGGCTGGTCTCAAACTTCTGGGCTCAAGCAATGCACCCACCTCAGCCTCCCAAAGTGCTGGGATTACAGGCATGAGCCACCAAAGAATATTTCTTGTTTGCAACTTAATGGTTGTCAGATATCCATTTCTGAACTTTTCAGTAATATATTTCCTCAAAGTTTTACCTGTTTTAAATTCACCTGAGAATTAAAAATGAGAAATTTGGGCCTGGTGCGGTGGCTCACACCTGTAATCCCAGCACTTTGGGAGGCCAAGGCAGATGGATCACGAGGTCAGGAGATCGAGACCATCCTGGCTAACACGGTGAAACCCCGTCTCTACTAAAAATACAAAAAATTAGCCGGGCATGGTGGCGGGTGCCTGTAATCCTAGCTACTCGGGATGCTGAGGCAAGAGAATGGTGTGAGCCCGGGAGGCAGAGCTTGCAGTGAGCTGAGATCGCGCCACTGCACTCCAGCCTGTGTGACAGAGCAAGACTCCATCTCAAAAAAAGAAAAGAGAAATTTGGATGTTCATAACTATGGGTAACCATTCTCTTTAGAGAAGTGCAAACAATATATGCAAATGTAAAACTTCTTTATTACCTGTCTCTCCTACTAGTCTGTAATCTCTAGAAGACAGAGACTTTTCATGTCTTATTTATTGCTGTATTGCCAGTGTCTCTCACAATGCTTGCCTACACATAGTAGGTGCTTGATGAACATGTGCTGACTAAATGAATTAAACCCAAATGAAGCAGGGCTAATTTTTCTACTTGCCACAAGTTAACAGCTTCTTGAGATAGGTGGCTATTTACAAGTTTGTAATTTCTTGCCATTTGTAGCATATATGCTTTGAGAATGAATATTAATTCCAGTTATATACAATGCTCATATTAGGAAGGGAGAAGAAACTGTCAGCAAGTAATATTGAGTGCCAATCAGTTATATAAAAATCTGGGCCAGGTGCGGTGGCTCACGCCTGTAATCCCAGCACTTTGGGAGACCAAGGCAGGCGGATTATGAGGTTGAGAGTTCGAGACCATCCTGGCCAACATGGTGAAACCCCGTCTCTACTGAAAAACTGCAAAAATTAGCTGGGCGTGGTAGTGCACGCCTGCAGTCCCAGCTACTCAGGAGGCTGAGGCTGGAGAATCGCTTGAACCAGGGAGGTGGAGGTTGCAGTGAGCCGAGATCACGCCACTGCACTCCAGCCTGGTGACAGAGGGAGACTCCATCTCAAAAAAGAAAAAAAAAAAAAAAAAAGACCAAGGTGAGCAGATTGCTTGAGGTCAGGAGTTCAAGACCAGCCTGGCCAACATGTTGAAACCCTGTCTCTACTAAAAATACAAAAAGTGGCCAGGTATGGTTGCACACCTCTGTAATCCCAGGAGGCTGAGGCAGGAGAAGTGCTTGAACTCGGGAAGGTGGAGTTTTCAGTGGGCTGAGATTGCACCACTGTACTCCAGTCTGGGTGACACAGCAAGACTCTGTCTAAAAATATATATATATGGCAGGCGTTGTGGTATGTACCTGTAATCCCGGGTATTTGGGAGGCTGAGGCAGGAGGTCTTGAGCCCGGGCAACATAGAAGACCAGCCCGGGCAACATAGAAGGACACCCAACTCAAAAAATATATATATGATTCTTTTTTAATTTTTAAATCGATTGCATAATAGTTTATTGACTGTATTGTCTCATGCTACAGATTACAAACAGGTCATAAAGCCACAGGAATAGATACAGTGTACAAAGAGTGCTTCTAAAGTATTTGAATGGTAAAAAGTTATCAAGTACTTTAATCTCAAGTAATTTTTTTGTAGTATTATTTGGACTATCTACTCCACTCATGACACTTTTCCTTCTGTCTGTGAAGAAAAATTTTGATAACAAAGATGAACTTCAGTCTAGCATTTCTTTCAGTACAAGATACAAAAATAAACCAAGTTAGAATGATTAAACCTTTACTAAATGCCTGTTTAACTGCTGTCTGTTTTCTTTTTCTTTCCTTCTCAGAATCACATCCAGCTTCTGTCTTCTAACTTAAGTCATTTACGTTTTTTCTTTTTTTTTTTAACTTATGAATGAATGAATGAATGAATGACATGGTGTCGCTCTGTTGCCCTGGCTAGAGTGCAGTGGTACAATCATAGCTCACTGCAACGTTGAACTCCTGTGCTCAAGCAATCTTCCTGCCTCAGCATCCCGAGTAGCTAGGACTACACGTACTACCATGCCTGGCTAATTTTTTTTTTTTTTTTCTTTTTGCTAGCAATGAGTTCTCGTTATGTTGCCCAGGCTGGTCTCGAACTTCTAGCCTCAAAAAGGTTAGTCCTACTTTGGCCAAAGTACTGGGATTACAGGCATGAGACATCATACCTGGCCTTTTTTTCTTTTCTTTTCTTTTTTCCCCAGTGCTACCTTTTTACATTCCATATACTTCCCCTGCATATTCCACAGGAAATTCTAGCTTTTAAAACAATTTGAGGAAAAGTAAAAAGTACAGGGTTTTTTTTAACTTCTCAAAAATATACCACATTAACAAGGTTCAGTTAACTAACTGGGTCCTTTTTTAAGAGGCACAAATTTTAGTGGATTGTACTCAGATTTGTGTTTGTCATTTTGTACCCATGTAGGTGTAGTCTAAGAATAAGCTCTCTTAAACCCAAAATGTGGGATCACAAAATATATTCAATTCCCCTCTCTCTTTGTTCCTGACGTGTTTGGCAATTCAAGCCTCAATTTTCCTTATGTGTAAAATAATGATGATAACCTAGTTTATAGAGTTTCAATAAGAATTAGATATGACATGTATAGGCTGGGCATGGTGGCTCATGCCTGTAACCCCAACATTTTGGGAGGCCAAGGCAGGAGGATCACTTGAGACCAGGAGTTTGAGACCAGCCTGGACAACATAGCAAGACCCTGTCTTCACAAAAAATTAAATAATTAGTCGGGCACAGTGGCGCATGCCTGTAGGGAGGCTGAGGTGGAAGGATCCTTTGAGCCCAGGAGTATGAGGTTACAAGAAAGCTATGATGGTGCCACTGCATTCCAGCCTGTGCAACAGAGTGAGACTCTATCTAAAATATATATATATATATATATATATATATATATATATATACTTGTATGTGTAAAAGTGCCTAGCAAAATGCCTGGCATGTAGTAGGCATTATTGTTATCATTTTCATTATTATTGTGTCTTACAAAGCATTTTATATGTATGGTGAATTATTTTCTTCTCTATCCTTTCTCATATTCCTAAGTTCTTTGCTGCTGCTACTACTGCACAGCACTGCTGTGAGATATGCCAAAAGGGTGGTAAAGGAATGTTCAAAGGCTTAGGATATGTTTTTAGCACATCTAAGTGAAACCATTTTGTGTGACTCATCCTGTCCACAACTTTCCAATTAAAGTTTGGATTATTTTCTTCTTTTTTAAATCTCAAATTAAAATCTCAGTTTTCACCTATGTATAATAGAGTTAGTTAACACTGAATTTTTTTATTAAGTGCTTTTATGCAACTGGCAAATGTAAGAGGTAAGCATTTATGCCATTCAGCATAGTTATATAGCTTTTCAGTAAGGACCATATGGCAAAAGGTGCTGTCAGCATTCACACAGCAAACGTGTGTACTTCATTTCATGGCAGTTTCAGTATGTCTGCTATACAATAAACCTTACTGGCAACCTCGCTAGACACCCCTGTTAGCAACAGACTTGCCCAGCTGATCCGATTCTGCCAGCACTCCAGTCCTGGGGCTGAATGACACACTAGCTTCTTGCCATGCAATGAAGCATTAGATGACTTAGATGCCTAGGCTGCCTAGGAATAGGTCCAAGCATCCAGGCCCCAAGAGACTGTAATATCCTCAAGCCAGGGAAAGACCAGCTAAGACAAGGTAAGTGAAAGTGAGCCTCAGAGCAGAGGAGAGATTCAGCAGAATGAAAGAATTACAGGAGCCAGCCAGAAAAGGAGACTGAAAAGGTGGGGAGATGATCTTCTCCCCTGAAGCTGGAGGGTCATGGGCATGTGATAATTGTGGCAGCAGGCTTCATATTCCTTTAAAAATCAACTTAAAACTATTTTTTATACTTTTAAGGTATTATGAAGACAGATAACACAGAAGTTCTTCTCTCTGCTGACTTCACTGGAGCAATCAAAGTGTTTGTTAATAAAAGAAAAAATGTATCTTAATTTGAAATGGCATTTAAAATAAACATATCAGTAAGTTTCTATATGTATCAAAACTGAAAAAATAGTGTTCCAGGCTAACATACTTTTTTAATTTTTATTGAAAGTTGTTCAAATATAATATATTTTTTGAGAGGCAGTGTTAATGATCTAGGAAACCCTGGGCTGATAGAGTAGAAAGGAATATGGCTAGAATAACATTGCCAAACATTAGGCTTTATGTTTTGTTATGTTTGTGTTTTCGTTGTATAATTATGAACATGCACAAGTTTCTGCATGAAAAGATATTAATATATTAATCACATGTATGTGCCTTTTGGTTACATGCATTAAATCTAACAGAGTTAAATTATTTCAGTGGCTCTTTTGGCCTCTTACTAGGGGGGATAGTCTTGTTTCTAGCTTAAACAATTTTTTTTTTGCACAAAATTTCATTTTTAATAAAAGTGGTATCTTTTGACTGAGTTATTGTTTTGAAAATGGTATATAGGTTTCCAGTAGGTCAACAACCATATGTAAATGGTTTTTATAAATTTCTCAATTTGGGGACAAGATTTTTTTGTGGTCTAAATTGTGGGCTTAAGATTCTTTTCTTTATATGTGTACATATAATTTTTTTTTCTTTGCCACACTGGAGCACAATGTTTCTATGTAAAGAATTATTTTCATTCTTTATCCATGAGCACCAGGCTTTGCTCACTTAAAAAAAAATTAAGCCACATTAAGGAGTGAGTCTTCTTTTTTACAATAATGTAAAAATTAAACTGTTTACATTTTTTTAAAGCATTGTAGTTTTTAAAAATTAAGCTGTTTTGTTTTGTGTTGTTGAATTTGAAAGCCTTTGTAAATATCAATATAATGTACCAATGAAATAACATCTGGGGCAATGAAACCCTGATCATGTTGTTGATGGTTAGCATATGTTTCTGAAAATTAAATATGTATTATTAAAAGTTGGTCTCCAACACTTGTTTAAACATGACTTTATTTTTAATTGACTTCAGTAAATCAAGGAATGCAAGAAAAATAAACTCTTGTTTTAATCATTTAAATTTTAGCAACAGAAGACCAGATTTTAGATCCCTAAATTATAATGCATTAGTTACATGCCTTAAAATTTTTTTAATTCTAGCTTTAAATTGAACAGTGCTAAGAATTCATCTATATGCTTATATGTTCTTTACTGCATTTGTTTTCAGCATGTAAGTGAGAAGTTGGGGAGCCACGGACATATCCTTGTTGATTAGCACGGTCTTAGAGTGTTCTAGGCTTTCTAGTAAATTACATATTATTTGTTGCTTTCTTCTTGCCAGTGCTGTGCTTTCTCCCTCTACCCTTCCCCCTCCCCTCTCCTCATCTCTCTGGTTGCTTTGGCTTCCTCACTCTCCTGTACTCTCCCTGACTGAATTGTTATGCCATTGGCTTTCTAAAAACCAGGCACAGTTTCTTTAATCTCAAGGTCTGGGTGGCATTGTGATTGATCCAGTGTTTCTTTTTAAAACTTGATGTCTTCAGCTCTTTGAGGCAGCTTGGCTTTCACTAACTTCTGCCTGAGAACTTGTAGTCGGCTGTGGTGTTGATTGTTTTAACTGCAGATAATCAGGGTATTATTATATGACTATCTCGTGATAGGTTTTATGTGGTTACTTGACCAAAAAGACAAAACGAGTTGGGATGCAAGCTTAAAAGCATAATACTGGCCGGGCGTGGTGGCTCATGCCTATAACCCCAGCACTTTGGGAGGCCAAGATCACCTGAGGTCAGGAGTTCAAGACCAGCCTGGCCAACATGGTGAAACCCCATCTCTACTAAGAATACAAAAAATTAGCTGGGCGTGGTGGCGGGCACCTGTAATCCCAGCTACTCAGGAGGCTGAGGCAGGATAATCGCTTGGACCCAGGAGGCGGAGGTTGCGATGAGCCAAGATCGCACCATTGCACTCCAGCCTGGGCAACAAGAGCAAAACTCTGTCTCAAAAAAAAAAAAGCATAATACTGACACTTGTTATTGCTATATGAATACACTGAATTTAAAAGGTAGCATCAAAATATATAGAAAAAAAGAACACTATTTCTCTTTAAAATGAGTTTTAGATATTCTCTATAACGAGTGATATGGTATTATTAAAAAAAAAAAGATCACAGGTTCTAGAGTCAGGTAAACTTGGATTTGCTTCCTTCCCGTTAGCACATTCCTTGGGCAAGTTATTTATCCTACATTACTACTACTTCCTTATCTGTAATATGGGAATACCTAACTTAAATTGCAAAGATTTGCTAAGAAATCATGTATGTGTAAAGCTTGGTGCCTAACCAGTAGGTATACTCAACAGATGTACATTTCTTGCTGCCTCTCGCAAATCCGTGAGTACTCTCTCAGACCAAAAAAAAAAAAAAAGACGATATATGGAAACGCTTTCTTTTTGAGATGGAATTTTGCTCTTGTTGCCCAGGCTGGGGTGTAATGGCACGATCTCGGCTCACCACAACCTCCGCCTCCTGGGTTCAAGCGATTCTCCTGCCTCAGCCTCCCAAGTAGCTGGGATTACAGGTATGCGCCACCATGCCCAGCTAATTTTGTATTTTTAGTAGAGATGGGGTTTCTCCATGTTGGTCAGGCTAGTCTCCAACTCCCGACCTCAGGTGATCCACCCGCCTCGGCCTCCGAAAGTGCTGGGATTACAGGCACGAGCGACCACGTCCAGCCAGAAACGCTTTCTAGACATAGGGATTTCATGGACACACAGCATTTTAGGGATTGACATAGGGCACAGACATTTTTTAACACTTTTTTAACAGACACCATCTACTATCCCCACTTCATAAAAGATAAAACATTTTAATGCTAAAAACATAGGCCAAGCACTATCACATAATCTTAGAGCAACCAATAGTCTATTAAAATGAATACACTTGACTTTTGAAATAAGTAATTATATTCCCTTATTTTTCTTACGATACCATGTTATATTTTTCAATTAAGGAACCAATATTGGTATAATTAACTAAACTCCACGCTTTATTCAGATTTCACTAGTTTTTACCCATATTTGGTCATCATGTGTCCTTAGACCCCTCTTAGCCGTGACAATTTCTCAGACTTTCCATGCTTTTGATGACCCTGATAGTTTTGAGGAGTACTGGTCAAGTATTTTGTTGAATGTACCTCACATTGGGTTTGTCTAATGTTTTTCTCATGATTCAGCTGGGGTTGTGGACTTTAAGGAAGTGAATTGCTCTTTTCATTACATCACATCGAGGGTACGTTCTTATCACCTGGCTGAGGTAGTGTCCATCATATGGGCACAATTTAAGCAATCCATCAAACATTCAGGTTGTGCCTGTTTTTTATCACTGTGAATAACAATCAGAGATAGAGAAATATATATCTTGTCAGAATTTCCAATTATTGATCGAAGGTGGTAGGTCCTTAAAATGAAAGTACAAAGCATGAACTCTTAACAGTAAGCACCAGCCTGGGCAACATGGTGAGACTCCGTCTCTACAAAAAAAAAAAAAAAAAAAAAAAAAATCCAGACGTGGTGATGCATGCCTGTGGTCCCAGCGAACAGGGAGACTGAAGCAGGAGAATGGCTTGAGCCCAGGGGGTCGAGGCTGCAGTGAGCCATGTTCACACCACTGTGCTCCATGTGCTCCAGCCTGAGCAACAGAGTGAGACCCTGTCTCAAAAAAAAAAAAAAAAAGAATAAGCGATGTATGAATTACAAGAAATTCCTGCATAGAAATTGGGAACCCCAATTTGTAGTCCTGGTTGTGGTGGCCTTGTGACTTCAGGAAAGATAAGTAGTTCTCTGCAAGTCTATTAAAATGAAGTCCTTGGACTAAGATTTCTAACTCTGATGGTCCATGTGGTCCATGTGCTTGCCGGCAGTCCTTCAGAAACAGTGCAGCTGAGGATTTCCTCACTTTCTCATTCATTTATTCAAATTCCTGCTGACATAACTTGTGATCTTCTGTGGCATCAGAATGGCACAATCAGTGACTGAGTTCTACTCCTAGAACATCTAATTACAAGATCGGTATATTGAGAAGCATTTTCCCTGATTTTTTTTTTCTCAAAATATGTTCATCAACTGGATCAGTATACACTGTCTCCTCTAGGTGGTACCCAACATTTAAAATACTGCAGTGTATATTATTTGGATAAGAAGACCAAAAGCATAATTTAAAATTGCTAGGAGAAAATGCCTTAGATTTTCACCATCCCTACTTGGAGAGGGGGAGGAACATTGCAACAGATGTCAGTGCTTTGCTTCTCTTAGGACCAGAACCAAACAGAAAGGGGACCAAGAAGCAAGAAAGAATTGCGCTATTCTATTGAACCTCTGAGCAGGTTGCAAATATTAAGTTTTTAGTGAACCATGAAACCTAAGTTGTTTACAAAACAAAGTGAAGCAGTGCAAATTAGAACTGAATCTGTTTTCTAAGCCTAGAACATTAGTAAAAACTCAACTATTGGCTGGGCACGGTGGCTTACACCTGTAATCCCAGCACTTTGGGAGGCCGAGGCGGGTGGATCACCTGAGGTCATGAGTTCGAGACCAGCCTGGCCAACATTGGTGAAACCCTGTCTCTACTAAAAATACAAAAATCAACTGGGCATGGTGGCACGCACCTGTAATCCCAGCTTCTCAGGAGGCTGAGGCAGGAGAATTGCTTGAACCCAGGAGGCCTCTGGAGGTTGCAGTGGGCCGAGATGGTGCCACTGCACTCCAGCCTGGGCGACAGAGTGAGACCTCTGTCTCGGGGGGGAAAAAAAACTCAACTATTTTAAGTATGGCCAAAGTGAACTTAAATTGAACCTACCCTTGTTAAGTCAGAGTCCTTAATTAGGACAGTCTTCTCTAGAGTGAGTTTTGCATGAGGCAAAAAAGAAAGGCACACTTGGTCAGAATGAAGCTCTGTGTGTGGCAAGAGCAGGAGTGATGAAGTGGTATGGCAGCGAGAGGTACAGACAACTGGAGAAGCAGCAGCAGCTGGGACGGACACAGGTGGCAATGGGAGTGGAAGGTGGTGGGAAGCCTCAAAATCCACAGGAGATCAAGTTGAAGCAGATACAGAAGAGAATCATTCCACTTTATTGATTATTATGGAGTGATTTCACCCATAGAATACGTGTGAAAGTCAATCACAGGTCCTTGTAAGTAATGTTCAACAAATATTTGATCTGAATTGAGTCTGCTGCAGTGCATACAACAATATGAAAAAGAGTAATTGAAGAGACATTGGAAACTGACTTCCTTGGGTCAGTTTTTGCCTTAACATGGTCATTCACTAATCAGTCGAATAAACCGTTAGATAAACCATTAAGTCAGCCAAGCTTCCATGCACCTTCATTAGGGAAAGGAGTTATTTTAAGCTTATAAGCAATTCTATGAAAGCTTTCACTCTTGTGCACTAACGTCAAGAGCAGGATATTTTGTTTTTCCTTTTTCCAAGTCATCTCCTTTCAACCCCATGGGGACTTCTAAAATTGTGGTCTGCTATGCCTTCCTCAGAAGCACCTGGGAATTAGTTTAACGTGCACTGAATCACAGTCTGTTGGAGAAGGGATGCAGGAACCTGTTTTCAACAACTTTAAGAATCCCTGAGCTAGGAATAGAAGTTTAAGCAGCTAACTCATTCAGGTAAAGGCCAAGAGACAGACAAGTAGGGTCACGAATTGCCCAAGGCCTACAGCCAGTGGTGTACTAGTAAATGTTTCACAGTCCACCCTCCAAAAAAAACCAAAAATAAATTTGTAATATTTGCTAATTTCCATGGTGTAAATACTCCCACGGTGGCCAATTTTAAGCTAACAATGTGACATCACCTAACATGGTGCACTGTAGCACTGTTACATAGTATTTGTACCATAAAGATACAATAAATCTCAAGATCATAAATGGTAGTACAACATAGTAAAATAATCAGGAAGTGATGAGTTTTTAGTAATTATTACCTGTATCTTT
This sequence comes from Homo sapiens, assembly GCF_000001405.40. Taxonomy (NCBI): domain Eukaryota; kingdom Metazoa; phylum Chordata; class Mammalia; order Primates; family Hominidae; genus Homo; species Homo sapiens. The sequence continues at coordinate 118,454,956 of NC_000023.11, forward strand.
ATTATAACTTCATTGTAATATTGATTTAAATTACGACTGTGTTTAACAAATGGCTTGCAAATTTTAATGATCACCTCTCACCATTACCTGAAAACATTCTTGAAAAAGACACACATCCCTCCTTTGGCCTGTGGACTAATCAGAGCACATGAGCAATCTCAGAGAACCTGCCATGTGTCAAGTGAGGAAGGAGAAGTGTTAGGGGAGGCATTGTTTACGGATGGATTTGGCCAGTAATCAACAATCAGGAAGAGCTATTATTGTGTTCATTCCCTGGGGCCTATGTGGCCACACAGAACCAAGTAGGCAACTTAGCCTCCTCATTCAGAGGCTTGCCCTAGAGCCTGAGCTAAGAAAAAAGACCACGGGGAATGCACTGCAGCCCACAGGCAAACTGCCTTCTGCATCTTATACATACTCTAGCCCAGGATTTCTTCAGCACAGACGACCTGCATGAAGTTGTGCTTAAAATGTAATGTCTTGGCCAGACGTGGTGGCTCACGCCTGTAATCCCAGCATTTTGGGAGGCTGAGACAGGCGGACCATGAGGTCAGGAGATCAAGACCATCCTGGCTAACAAGGTGAAACCCCGTCTTTATGGCCAGGCGCAGTGGATCACGCCTGTAATCCCAGCACTTTGGGAGGCCGAGGCGGGCGGATCATGAGGTCAGGAGATCGAGACCATCCTGGCTAACACGGTGAAACCCCGTCTCTACTAAAAATACAAAAAATTAGCCGGGCGTGGTGGCGGGCACCTGTAGTCCCAGCTACTTGGGAGGCTGAGGCAGCAGAATGGCGTGAACCCGGGAGGCGGACTTTGCAGTGAACCGAGATTGCGCCACTGCACTCCAGCCTGGGTGACAGAGCAAGACTCCATCTCAAAAAAAAAAAAAAAGAAAAAAAAACCCGTCTTTACTAAAAATACAAAAAGTTAGCTGGGCGTGGTGGCACGCCCCTGTAGTCCCTGCTACTCAGGAGGCTGAGGCAGGAGAATCGCTTGAACCCTTGGAGTGGAAGTTGCAGTGAGCTGAGGTGGCACCACTGCACTCCAGTGTGGGCGACAGAGCGAGACTACATCTCAAAAAAAAAAAAAAAAAAAAAAGGCCTGGGCCCCACCCCAGACCTCCAGAATCAGAATCTCTGGGAGCCTGGTGTGGAATTTGCATATTTAGAAACACACCAAGCAAGTCTGATAAGCACTAAAATTCAAGAACTCCTGGGTTGAAGCAGCTGTAGTTAAGTATACATACCCCTGAGGGTACTTGAAGATTTTCCAAGGCATATGTAGGCATAGATAGTTTTAAAGTAATCAATTTCCAGATCATTCACTTTCGTATGTACTCAGATTCCCAAAATCCATCTGCCTGAAGAAGTGGCAACCTGCAGAATCTTCTTTCCCACCTCCCCTTTCATGATTGCCAGTCTCTACCTTCAAAAAAAAACCATACTTCTTGCCCATCCCAAAAGTTAGTATGGAGCATGGCCACAGGGTGTGAAAACCTCCAGAGATATAAATAGGACAATCCAACATATTGGTGTTGGTGCTGAGAAAATTAGTGATACTCTGATAATGGGGTAGCATATCTTTTTGCCAGTCAAGTGGTTTCTAATTTATTGCTTTCAGTAACATTGAAGGAGGACATAATTGCCAGCTAATCATTAAAAATAACTTTGATCATAGAATACTTTTTTATATGTAACTTGGAAAGGGTTCAAAGAAATGGGTGGCATTGCTATAAAAAAATTCCATTCTCGTCTATTTAAATTTGTGAATGAGGTTCCTCAATGCTTATATCTATAAAAGAAAAGAAAAATAGGAACAAAGTTGATGTTGAACCCTGTCTCCCAGCAGTAAGAGTAATCCACAGAAACATGAACTAAAAATGGCCCCATACATTTTAGAGCTGTGTTTCCAATAAAAATGTACTTCTCATGCTTAATAATTATTGATTAAAATTGTTGTGGCCAGGTGCAGTGGCTCATGCCTGTAATCCCAGCACTTTGGGAGGCCGAGGCAGGCGGATCACTTGAGGTCAGCAGTTCGAGACCAGTCTGGCCAACATGGCGAAACCCTGTCTCTACTAAGAATACAAAAATTAGTCAAGCGTGGTGATATGTGCCTGTAATCCCAGCTCCTCGGGAGGCTAAAGCAGGAGAATCGCTTGAATCTGCGAGGCAGAGGTTGCGGTGAACTGAGATCCCACCCCTGCACTCCAGCCTGGGCAACAGAGCGAGACTCCGTCTCCAAAAAAAAAAAAAAAGAAAAGTTACGTTTATGTTGATTGTCTAGTAATATAAATTGTAAATAAATAATTTGTGAAGCTATTTTAATTCAGAAGAAAAGTGTTAACATTTTAGAGCATTGTGTTGACAGAAAATTAAAAATTATTTCAAGTTTAATGTGTATCTGATTATTTGCTGCAAGGAAGTACGACAGGATGACCTATATAAATACTTTCAGAATACAAAAGATATCATTAGGATAAAAATATGTGGAGGAAGAGGAATGGATTTATAAGTTCAAACAGAAAAGGGAATGATGTATAGCCTTCAACTGTTAAGGAGCTTGTCTTTATGTTTTTTAGAGGAATGATGTTGTCAAATTGATATGGTATGAGCCCTATGGTATGATAAACGTATCTTAATAAAGTTGTTATTTTTAAAAAGAAAACTGCTAGGGCAGTAAGATTCCAAAAGTAATGTAAGATTTCTTCTAAAATATTTACAAAATGCCAAAATTGCATTCTCTCCAGTATTTTAACTTATGATGTAAAAGTTTAAATGTCAATTTTAAAACATGTCAGGAATTATGTATAACAAATGTTGAAGACCACTGGGGTAGAACATGAAGGATGAGGAAGACTGGCATAAGGTAAGCTGGGTCTGGGTCCTTTTGAGCTTTCACGCATTGTTCTCTCTCTCTCTTTTTATTTTTTTTGAGAAGGAGTCTCGTTCTGTCACCTAGGCTGAAGTGCAGTGGCACAATCTCGGCTCACTGCAACCTCCGCCTCCCGGGTTCAAGCGATTCTCCTGCCTCAGCTTCCCGAGTAGCTGGGATTACAGACTCCTGCCACCACACCCGGCTAATTTTTGTATTTTTAGTAGAGACAGGGTTTCACCACGTTGGCCAGGCTGGTCTCGAACTCCTGATCTCAGGTGATCTGCCCGCCTCGGCCTCCCAAAGTGCAGGGATTATTACAGGCGTGAGCCACCGCGCTCAGCCTTCATGCATTGTTCTGAGAGCAATGGGCTGCTCTCAATGTGAAGAGTGGGGTGGGCAGAGGGTGTCAAGAACGGGTAAAACCAGAGGCTGAGCAAGCAGCTAGGAAAATGTGGCAGTAATCCAGGCAAGAAATGATAGTGGCTTGGACCAGAGTGGTAGCAGTAGGAGGACAATTCCTTCCCAGGATTAGTTTGAGGATAAAGTCTTGAGCATGAAAAGGATTGAGTGGGGCACAACTGGAAACTACTAGTGCTGTTATTAAATACAAACCTCATAAAGCAATACGACAGCTTATATTGCTAAACCAAATTGCAAATCAACAAGAAAAGATAGCCATCGGATATGCTAACAACAATGCAGTACATCATTTGGAAGGTCATCATTATTCATTAAAAAGGTACCAAAATCCTCCCAGCTCCATCAGCAGGTAAAAAGACATTTCAGGTCTTTTATTTAAACTGGTGTACACTACTTAGGATAGTTACTTCTGAATTTACACCTAGAGGGTCTGTGTATTGTAGACCTTAAGCTGGGGCTCCCCAGCTGCTGGGCCATGGACTGGTAATGTCCGTGGCCCATTAGGAACCGGACTGCACAGCAGGAGGTGAGCAGCAGGCTGGTGAGCATTTTACCGCCTGAGTGCCACCTCCTGTCAGATCAACAGTGGCATTAGGTTCTCATAGGGGCATGAACCCTATTGTGAACTGCGCATTATGAGAGGGACCTAGGTTGCAAGCTCCTTGTGAGAATCTAATGCTTGATGATCTGAGGTGGAACAGTTTCATCCCAAAATCATTTCCCACCCCACCCCACCCTACCATCCGTGGAAAAATTGTCTTCCATGAAACTGGTGCCTGGTGCCAAAAAGGTTGGGGACCACTGCATTAAGCAATTATCTCTTATAACCTTGTCCCACGTTCAGAACTGCATAAAAATTCATTTGAAGTCACAGAACCATCACTTGGATCGAGTCCATCCCCCTCAACTTCCATTTCTTTGGATGACAGTTTTTTGTTGATCACTTTTTCTTTCAACAATTTTGAAAATAATTGGGAATGGAGTGATGTGTATGGTATTTTGAAATAACTACTAAATGTCCATCCCCATTCCTGAAAGTGAAGTTCTGAAATATATATATATATAATATATATGTAAATATGTTTATATATAAAATATATATAAGGTGACAAAATATTACAAAAATTAAGTCAATTATGAATTAAAATGGGCTTTTTAATAGAAAAGTTTTTAAAAATTTCTTTAAAATGATGCTGCACATCAGGGAGTAGAGTGTGTTCTGGCTCTTCCATTAGCTTTATGACTTTGGGCAAATAGCTTCCCTCTCCCTGTGCCTCAGTTTCCCCATCTGCAAAATAAGGGATTGGACACAAAGATATTTCAATCCCTCCAGCTCTAACTGTGGTGATCTCACCACCTAATTTACCTATAGCTGTTTCTTTTTCCCTCTAGGCTTGCCGTTTGTAGGCCATTGTATAATTTCATTTCACCTCCACTAGAGGGTGGCCAGGGAAAGGAGATGAGGCTCAAACCAGCTATTTGTATTCTTTGCCGGCAAAAAACCAAAAAATAATGTTGGCAGAAGAAATCGATATTACATGGACAAGAATGAAACTGGGATTTCAGTTGGTTTCGTTTGTCTTAGCTGTTATGCTCCTATGTTATACAAAGGAATCATGAGAGAGGTGTTTTACATAATTTTCTTTTAAATTAATATAAGGAAATCAAGCACAGTTGACCATCCGTATCCTTGGATTCTGCATCCATGGATTAAACCAACCTCAGATCAAAAATATTCTAAAATAAAATGAAATAAAAAATGACAATACAACAATAAAAAGTAATACAAATGTTTAACAATAGAGTATATCTACACAGCATTTACATTGTATTAGGTATTATAAGTAAGCTAGTGATGATTTAAAGTATACAGGAAGGCTGGAAACGGTGGCTCACGCCTGTAATCCCAGCACTTTGGGAGGCCGAGGTGGGCAGATCACTTGAAGCCAGGACTTCGAGACCAGCCTGGCCAACTTGTTGAAACACTGTCTCTACTAAAAATACAAAAATTAGTCGGGCTCGGTGGTACGCGCCTGTGATCCCAGCTACTCAGAAGGCTGAGGGAGGAGAATCACTTGAACCCGGAAGGTGGAGGTTGCAGTGAGCTGAGATCATTCCACTGCACTCCAGCTTGGGTGATAGAATGAGACTGTGTATATACACACATACATATATACAGGAAGATGTACGTAGGTTATACAAATACTACACCATTTTATATACGAGACATGAGCATCCATGAATTTTGGTGCCCATGAGGGTCCTGGAAACAATCCCCTTTGGATACCGAGGGACAACTGTATATACTTGCCTCCTCCAGACTGTATGTCCCCAGCTAATAAATACAATCTCTACTAAATCAATCTTCAAGCACACCCCCTTCCCATTCTTTGTACTGGAATTTCCAGTCAAGAATTGTGATCAGGAACCTTCCCTGATTCCAATTTGCTTGCCACAGAAAATTCTAGCTCTCTGGCCAACTTTCTGACCAATTTTGTTTCCCATTACTTCCCAGAAAATATCCTCTACCGGAAAGACACAGCTTTTCATTAAGATCCCACAAACGTAGCCTTGGTGTTTTCAGGGCTGACCTACTGTGTTGCGATAACGCTGCAAGCTGGAGTCAAAAGATTTTAGTGTACCAGAGCTTGTTAGAGAATGGCTGATTCCAGGGCTGGGCAAGGTAAGCACAAGGTGAGCCTGGAGCATATTTTTATGCCAGAAATTAAGGAAGTGCTCAAAATAAATGATGGTGGTATGTCACAAGGACAGGTACCACCTTGAAGGGACCATGGGCCAAATCTGGGAAAATTGAGATTCAAAATAATTAAATACAGTAATGAATTAGGACATGTTAAAAAATTAGTAAAGATATAAGTTCATACCAATAATAGATAAATAAATCGCTAAATAAAATGAAGAAGGGAGAGAACTTTACAGTAGAATTCAATTGTGAATGTGGAAGAAGTACTAGAGGTGGAAAATCAGTATTTTGCAACCATCATAGTAAATATTGGTTCAGACAAGAGTCATCAATGGATTTAGATGAGGAGTAGGCTATTTGCATGGTCTTAAAGTATTACCCCACTGGCCAGGCGTGGTGGCTCACGCCTGTAATCCCAGCACTTTGGGAGGCCGAGGCAGGTGGATCAACTGAGGTCAGGAGTTCAAGGCCAGCCTGGTCAACATGGTGAAACCCTGTCTCTACTAAAAAATACAAAAATTAGCCAGGCGTGGTGGCAGGTGCCTGTAGTCCCAGCTACTCAGGAGGCTGAGGCAGGAGAATCACTTGAACCGGGTAGGCGGGGGTTGCAGTGAGCCGAGATCACGCCATTGCACTCCAGCCTGGGCAACACGAGCGAAACTCTGTCTCAAAAAAAAAAAAAAAGTATTACCTCACTGACTGCTTGTTAATTACATAGCAAAAAGAATAACTATACAGTAAAGAAATTGGACATCACCTTGACCAAGTGATCAAAACTAATATCACCAGTGGGACAGATGGATAACATGTGCCTCTGGTTTGACACCCTGAGAAAGACCCAGCAACACTTGCGTAGTATTCCAGCTGAGAATGCATCACCTGAATATAATCATGAGAAAACACCAAAGAAACTCCAAATAAGAAACACAATTTTTTAAAAAAGGACTATATTCTCTCTCTCTCTCTTTTTTTTTTTTCGAGATGAAGTCTCACTCTGTCACCTAGGCTGAAGTGCAATGGTGCCATCTTGCAACCTGTGCCTCCTGGGTTCAAGTGATTCTCCTGCCTCAGCCTCCTGAGTAGCTGGGATTACAGGCACCCGCCACCACGCCCGGCTAATTTTTGTATTTTTGGTAGAGATGGGGCTTTGTCATGTTGACCAGGCTGATCTCGAACTCCTGACCTCAGGTGATCTGCCCACCTCGGCCTCCCAAAGTGCTGGGATTACAGGCGTGAGCCACTGTGCCTGGCCTACATTCTTAAAAAACAGTGATGTTATAAAAGACAAAACTGTCCTGGTGGAGTGACTTATGCCTGTAATTCTAGCACTTTGGGAGGCTGAAGCAAGAGGATCACTTGAGGCCAGGAGTTCAGGAGCAGGCTGGACAACATGGCGGGGTCCCTACTCTACAAAAATAATAATAACAAAATTAAAAATAAAAATAAGTTTTAAAAAAGACAAAGGCCGGGCATGATGGCTCATAGCTGTACTCCCAGCACTTTGGAAGGCCAAGGTGGGAGGATTACTTGAGCCCAGGAGTTTGAGACCACCCTGGGCAACACAGCGAGACTTCTACAAATAACATAAAAATTAGCCAGGCATGATGGTGCGAACCTGTGGTCCCAGCTACTCACAATGTTGAGGCAGGAGGATCAGTTGAGCCTGGGAGGTCGAAGCTGCAGTGAGCCATGATTGCACCGCTGCACTCCAGCCTGGGCAATAGAGCAAGACCCCATTTCAAAAAAAGAAAAAGACAAAGACTGTAGAAATGTGTCCAGATTAAAGGAGATTAAAGCAACATGACAAATAATGCATACCAGATCCTAGATTGAATCTTGGAGGGGGGAGATGATGCTATAAAGGACATTATTGGATCAGTTGACAAAATGGAAATATGGACAGTAGATAAGAAAAAATTATATCCATATTAAATTGAAGTTAACTGTACTGTGGTCATGTAAACATAATATTCCTAGTCTTCAAAATATACCGGCAGGAGGATCGCCTGAGTTCAGGAGGTCGAAGCTGCAGTGAGCCATGTTCGCACCACTGCATGCCAGCCTGGACGACTGAAGTCTTTAGGGGTCATAAATCATGAAACTTACTCTCAAATAGATGGATACACAGAGAGAGAGCATGCCTAAATGAGCCATAATGGTAATAATAGCCGAATCTGAGCAAAGAGAGTATATGGGGTTCTTCGTACTGTTGTTTGTTTGTTTGTTTTGTTTGTTTGTTTTTTGAGACGGAGTCTCCCTCTGTTGCCCAGGCTGGAGTGCAGTGGTGCGAACTTGCCTTACTGCAACCTCCGCCTCCCGGGTTCAAGCGATTCTCCTGCCTCAGCCTCCCGAGTAGCTGGGATTACAGGCGCCCTCCACCACGCCCAGCTAATCTTGTGTATTTTTACTAGAGAAGGGGTTTCGCCATGTTGGGCAGGCTGGTCTTGGACTCCTGCCCTCAGGTGATCCACCCGCCTCGGCCTCCCAAAGTGCTGGGATTACAGAGGTGAGCCACCGCGTCCGGCCCTCTTCTTTTCTTCTCTTCAATTTTATTTTTTGAGACCCGATCTCACTCTGGCCCAGGCTGAAGTGCAGTGGTGCCATCTCAGCTCACTGCAGCCTCGGCCTCCCAAGTGATGCTCCCACCTCAGCTTCCTGAGTAGCTGGGACTAAAGGCGCACACCACCACACCTGGCTAATTTTTTGTTTTTTTGTAGAGACAAGATTTCACCATGTTGCCCAGGCTGATCTCAAACTTCTGGGCTCAAGCAATCCACCTGCCTTGGCCTCCCAAAGTGCTGGGATTACAGGCATGAGCCACTGTGCCTGGCCAGGCTGGCTTCTTAGGCTCAGGTTCAGGTCTGCTCCATGTATCTCTCATTTCAGGACCCAGGCCAAAAAGGAAGTAGTTACCTGTGGCATGCTTGTCTTTTAGCGGATAGCAGGAATACAAGACGCCTCTTAAAGCCTCTGCTCAGAACTGATACACTATCACTTTGGCCCATTGGTCAAAATAGGACACCTGGCCAAGCCCCAAATTCCCGGAATGGGGAAATATACTCCACCAACTCTACTGGGTGGGATGTACTACAAAGTTGCATAACAGAGGGTGCAGATGGATAATTCTCTAGGGAGAAGGAAGAAATGAGAATAATAATCCAATATTCTAGACACTCTTGTCCATACACCAGAGTAGAGTTGAGGTGGCTGTGAAGTCCTGTTTATGTTATTCTGATTATAATTATTCGTGCATTTGTGACTAACTTATTTAAGACCTATCTCTTGTACTGGATATGAGCTCCTTGAGGGCTGGGATAGTGTCAGGTTTGGCTCATCATTGAATCCGCCACATCTAGGACGGTGCCTAGTATGTAGTAGGCACTCAATAAATGTTGTTGAAATCATGGATGAATAAATGGATCCCTGTTTCTGTTAGAGTGTTACCTGATTCATCTCTCTTTCGAGAATCTCAGAGCATTTCACAGTTTTGTCAAAAATGTACTGCAGTCAGGAGAATCGTTTGAACCTGGGAGGCAGAGGTTGTAGTGAACTGAGATCGTGCCACTGCACTCCAGCCTAAAAAAAAAAAAAAAAACAAGGAAAAGGAAATGTCCTGCAATCACCTTGGAGAACAGAGGTCACGCTAGAGTTTGGAACAAAATATTACAAAACGACAAAAGCTGGTTTAAGAGCTTCGGGAAGAGGAACCTACACATGTGACTCTAAAATCGTAGACTGTATCTGGAAAGCCTTGATAAGAAAGATCTCCCTGATGACACTTGATTTCTGGCATCATCAAATAAAGTTGAATAGAAATACATCATCCAGTCTTGCACAAAAACTCCAGGACACAAACCAAGTAGGCAAAGGAGAAAAACGGATTACATGAGCTTTGAGAGGAAAAAAGAAATTATTACTGCCCATTTACTTAGTCATGTTGAATAAATCTTGAGTTGTTAAATAAAACGGATCTTATTCTCAGTTAACCCACCTGGGGCTCCCTGAGCAGTTGGAAAGAGATATTCTATGAAGAACCCAATCGTTCAGATACTGGGAGGAATCAAACACCTACCTAACAAAGAAGCAAAGGGATGCCCTTCTGCACTTCCCACATCTTTCCACTGAAGTATCCCAAAGCACAAATGTATGAATGTGGTAAGCACACAATTTTGTTGAACTCACAGGTAATATTCCAAAAATCCATGCAAAGTTTGCTTCCTGCTCCATAACATATCCAAATGCATTTTAATATAAAAATACCATTTAAAATTGCTCATTGTCGTCCAGGCAAGGTGGCTCATGCCTATAACCCTAGCACTTTGGGAGGCCAAGATGGGTGTATCACTTAAGGTCACGAGTTTGAGACCAGCCTGGCCAGCATAGTGAAACCCCATCTCTACTAAAAATACAAAAATTAGCTGGGTGTGGTGGCACGCGCCTGTAATCCCAGCTACTCATGAGGCTGAGGTGGGAGAATCACTTAAACCCAGGAGGTGAAGTTTGCAGTGAGCCGAGATCACACCACTGCACTCCAGCCTGGGGAACAGAGCGAGACTCTGTCTCAAAAAATAATAATAATAATAATAATAATAACAAAATTACTCATTGTCTAGTAAAATGGAAACCCAGGAAGATGCACCTTGTTGTTTTACATACGACCCCCCTTTCCCAGCCTGTTCTCTTCCCCAGGCTTACGTATCTCTGTTTGAGAAACAGACCTTTTATCATTGGCTGAAGCTGTTAACCATATTATAATATTTAAATCAGCCTGGCTAGATGTTGCCGCCTTATACGGGAAAGATTTCCAAAGGTGATGTCAGAAGGGAATCGAGGGGCTCTTTTGCAAGTGAAAACCAAAATGGAATCAATGAGAATGAGATTGCCCCAAGGAGATTTCAGTATTTCTCTAAAAACCCTTTTGCTATTCTGCCCCTGTGGCCTAACTTGGGTGATCACTCTAAAACTTTATGCTTCTGGAATCCCCACCCCTACAGAAATCACCCAGCCTGTTTGCACAATAGAAACATTGGCCAGTGGAGTATAGGTCATCCAATAGGATTAGAGAAGAGGCTTCTTTTTCTGACTACAAGAGTAATTTTTATTCATTGTATAACAAATTGAAAAGTATAAAAAGGCAGGAAAAAAAATAAGCTGATGCCCCAAATCGCCTTTTGGCATATTTTCTTCCAGCTTTTTTTTCTGCTCTTTTTTTTTTTTAGCATAATAGCGATTGTACCACATATATAATTTTTTTTTTGGTGGGGACAAGTTCTCACTCTGTCACCCAGGTTGGAGGGCAGTGGCATCATCAGGGCTCACTGCAGCCTCGACCTCCTGGGCTCAAGCAATCCTCTTACCTCAGTCTCCTGAGTAGCTGGGACCACAGGCACTTGTGACCACACCCAGCTTATTTTTGTATTTTTAGTGGAGACTGGGTTTCGCCACGTTGCCCAGGCTGGTCTTGAACTCTTGGCCTCAAGCAATCCTCCCACCTCGGCCTCTGAAAGTGCTGGGGTTACAGGTGTAAGCCACGGCGCCTGGCTGACACAAATAAATTTTTATCTTGGTATTGCCACTTTTAATATTATAGCATTTCCCATATCCTTAAATACTTCTCTAATGATTCTGTTTAAAGACTATTCAGTGTCCTGATATCTAGCTGTACCATAATTTACTCAGCCATTCTCTTAATGTTAGAGGTTTAAGTTGTTTCCAGTTTTTCAGTTTTCTATTAAATCAATAACACCGGCCAGGTGAGGTGGCTCATGCCTGTAATCCCAGCACTTTGGGAGGCCAAGGTGGGCGGATCACCTGAGGTCAGCAGTTCAAAACCAGCCTGGCCAACATGACGAAACCCCGTCTCTACTAAAAACACAAAAAATAGCTGGGCATGGTGACATATGACTATAATCCCAGCTACTCAGGAGGCTGAGGCAGGAGACTTGCTTGAACCCGGGAGGCGGAGGTTGCAGTGAGCCGAGATTGTGCAACTGCACTCCAGCCTGGGTGACAGGGTGAGACTCTGTCTCAAAAATAAATAAATAAATAAATAAATAACACTTGGGCCGGGTGCAGTGGCTCACACCTATAATCCTATTACTTTGGGAGGCCGAGGTGGGTGAATCACTTGAGGTCAGGAGTTCAAGACCAGCCTGGCCAACATGGTGAAATCCTGTCTCTACTAAAAATACAAAAATTAGCTGGGTGTGGTGGCATGTGCCTGTAATCTCAGCTACTTGGGAGGCTGGAGCAGGAGAATCATTTGAACCCGGGAGACGGAGGCTGCACTGAGCCGACATTGTGCCACTGCACTCCAGCCTGGGTGACAGAGCAAGACTCCATCTCAGAAAATAAATAACACCTGGATGAACATCTTTGTGTACAAAATTTTGCCTGCACTATAGAGTGCACACTTAGGTAAATGTCTAAGAATGAGGACTCAAAGCATTTGCACTTTTTTTTAGAGACAGGGTCTTGCTCTGTCACCCAGACTGGAATGCAGTAGTATGATCTCCACTCATTACAACCTCTGCCTCCCAGGCTCAAGTGATCCTCCTGCCTCAGCCTCCAGAGTAGCTGGGACTATAGACTCGCACCACCACACCTAGCTAATTGTCTTTTTAAAAATTTTTTTGTAGAGACAGGGTCTCGCTATGTTGCCCAGGCCAATTTCAAACTCCTGGGCTCAAGCAATCCACCAGCCTTGGCCTCCTAAAGTGGGAGCCACCACGACCAGCCAATTTGCACATTTTTAAGACTCTTGATACAACTGTCTATTAGGGTTTTTAGTCACAAGTAACAGAAGCTGACTCTGGGAAATTGAGCAGAGAAGTTGTTTACTAAAGGATATTGAGTCTTTCACAGAATTGTTGGAGGGACTGGATAATCAAGGCTAAGCTGCCAGAAATGCCCCCAATCAGGCCACAGAATAAGCTGATGGAAAAGATACTATAGCCTGTAATCCCAGCACTTTGTGAGGCTGAAGCTGGCAGATCACCTGAAGTCAAGAGTTCGAGACCAGCCTGGCGAACGTGGTGAAATCCCATCTCTATTAAAAATACAAAAAATTAGCTGGGCATGGTGCCAGGCACCTGTAATCCCAGCTACTCGGGAGACTGAGGCAGGAGAATTGCTTGACCCGGGAGGTGGAGGTTGCAGTGAGCCAAGATCGCGCCACTGCACTCTGGCCTGGGCGACAGATACCATAGTCCATGTAAATGGCACTCCCTAGATTTATACATATGTGGTAGCCCTGAACCCCACTATAAAAAAATCCACTGGCACTGACGCCAGCACCCAAAATAGATGGCTCCCTCCTTTCATCACCTCTGTCAGCACAAAAGGAAGTTCTATGCAGAGCCTGGTTTAATCATCATCCTCACTGCCTAATATAAGTTTCCTGAAAGCAAAGCCGAGACCACATGCTTGCAGGCTAGCTGAAAAGGACACTAAGAATACGATGCGAGCATTATAAACTTGGAATTTTCACAAATATAGGAAGTAAGTTTGCCAGATAAAATACAGGATGTCTGGTTAAATTTGAATTTCAGATAAACAAGTAATAATTTTTAATATAAGTGTATCCCAAACAATTATGGGACGTATAGTAAAAAATTATTTCCTGTTTATCTGAAATTCAGACTTAAACAAGCATCCATGTTCTTATTTGCTAAATCTGGCAACCCTAATTGAAATGCTATTCAAAAGATTATGGTCAGCTGTGCGGGAATATCTCAAACATCCACTACACTATCATATTGCTTTAGTTAAACGAAGCACCAAAAATGAACAGAAGTTTCTAATTCACTAATAGTCTTTAAAAAAATGTTTGCTGGCCTGGTGTGGTGGCTCACGCATGTAATCCCAGCATTTTGGGAGGCTGAGACAGGCAGATCCCTTGAGGCCAGGAGTTTGAGACCAGCCTGGGCAACATGGTGAAACCCCAGTACAAAAATTAGCTGGGTGTGGTGGCAGGCACATGTAGTCTTAGCTACTCGGGAGGCTGAGCCAGGAGAATCACTTGAACCTCGGAGGCAAAGGCTGCAGTGAGTTGAGATTGTGCCATTGCACTCAAGCCTGGGTGACAGAGAGAGACTGTCTCAAAAAGAAAAAATATTTGCTAATTTGATAGGCAAAAACTGATATGTAATTTTTGTTTTCATTTACTTTTCTTTGATTTTTAGTGAGGCTGAACAGTTTTTCTAATCCTCATTATTTTTATCTCCCTCTTGGTGAAGAGATGTTTCATGTGATATACATTGGTCTATTGGAGTCTTTCTGTTTTAATTATCAAAGACAGCATTAGCCCCCTTACAATAAATATACTATCCCTTTACCTAGTTTATTGTCTATCTTTTAATTCATGATCCTTTTTTTACAGAAGTTTTATTTTACTTTTAAATATACATATTTATATTGTATATATATGTGTGCGTGTGTGTGTGTGTGTGTGTGTGTGTGTGTGTGTGTGTATGACCTCCTGGCCAGGCTGCTCTTGAACTCCTGAGCTCAGGTGATCTGTTTCCCTCAGCCTCCCAAAGTGCGGGATTACAGACATGAACCACCATGCCCCGCCTATTTTTAAAAAATATTTTGAATAGAGATGGAGCATCTCACTATGTTGCCCAGGCTGGTCTCAAACTCCTGGTCTCAATCAGCCCTCCTGCTTCAGCCTCCCAAAGTGCTGAAATTACAGGCATGAGCCACCATGCCCAGCCACACAAAGGTTTTGTATGGTTAAGTTTCTTGCTTCCCCCCCATGTTTAGAACAATTTTACCTAGAGATCAGATAAATGTTTATTTATTTCAGTTTTCTACGTATGATTTGATATTTTTATTTTACTTTTTTTTTTTTTTTTTGAGACGAAGTCTCACTCTGTTGCCCAAGCTGGAGTGCAGTGGAGTGATCTTGGCTCACTGCAACCTCCACCTACTGGGTTCAAGCAATTCTCCTGCCTCAGCCTCCCAAGTTGCTGGGATTACAGCCATGCGCCACCATGCTCGGCTAATTTTTTGTATTTTTAGTAGAGACGGGGTTTCATTATGTTTGCCAGGCTGGTCTTGAACTCCTGGCCTCATGATCCACCCACCTTGGCCTGCTAAAGTGCTGGGATTACAGGAAAGAGCCACCACGCCCAGCCTTTATTTTACTTTTTAATGTGCATGGAGGTTGGGTAATGATTAAATAGGCCTTATCCTAATAGTTAGCTAACAAATTATCCTAGTAGGGTTTGTTGAACAAACCAAGAGAGATCTTTTTCAAAACACTTGTCAACGTTGTAAGTTTCTCTCTTTCATTACCTAATAGCACTGAGCCCTTACAATTTAGCATATTCCTGTGACCCTACCAATAGTAACAGAAATTTCATTTGAACTCCATGCTATTTACTCACTTTATACATTTAGATTCATAAGCAAAGACATTCAGAAGCTCTCTCTTAGCCAGGCACAGTGGCACATGCCTGTATTCCCAGCTTCTTGAGAGGCTGAGGTGGGAGGGTAGCTTGATCCCAGGAGTTTGAGGCTGTAATAAGGTATGAGCTATTGAGAGGTGAAGCCAGCTGGACTTCCTAGGTCGAGTGGGGACTTGGAGAAATTTTGTCTAGTTAGAGGATTGTAAACACACCAATCAGCACTCTGTAAATACGCACCAATAAGTGCTCTGTGTCTAGCTAAAAGATTGTAAATGCACCAGTCAGCACCCTTTGAAAACACACCAATCAGCACTCTGTGTCTAGCTAGAGGATTGTAAATGCACCAGTCAGCACTCTGTAAAAACGCACCAATCAGCGCTCTGTGTCTAGCTAAAGGATTGTAAATGCACCAATCAGCACTCTGTAAAAATGCACCAATCAGCGCTCTGTGTCTACCTAGAGGACTGTAAATGCACCAATCAGCACTCTGTAAAAACACACCAATCAGCACTCTGTGTCTAGCTAAAGGATTGGAAGTGCACCAATCAGAACTCTGTGTCTAGCTAAAGGATTGTAAATGCACCAGTCAGCATTCTGTAAAAACGCACCAATCAGCACTCTGTGTATAGCTAAAGGATTGTAAGTGCACCAATCAGAACTCTGTGTCTAGCTAGAGGATTGTAAATGCACTAATCAGCACTCTGTAAAACACACCAATCAGCCCTCTGTGTCTAGCTAAAGGATTGTAAATGCACCAATCAGCATTATGTAAAAATGCATCAATCAGCACTCTGTAAAAACGCACCAATCAGCCCTCTGTGTCTAGCTAAAGGATTGTAAATGCACCAATCAGCACTCTGTGTCTAGCTAGAGGATTGTAAATGCACCAATCAGCACTCTGTAAAAATGCATCAATCAGCACTCTGTGTCTAGCTAGAGGATTGTAAATGCATCAATCAGCACTCTGTGTCTAGCTAAAGGATTGTAAATGCACCAATCAGCACTCTGTAAAAATGCACCAATCAGTGCTCTGTGTCTAGCTAAAGGATTGTAAATGCACCAATCAGCACTCTGTAAAAATGCACCAATCAGCACTCTGGATCTAGCTAAACGGTTGTAAACTCACCAATCAGCACTCTGTAAAATGGGCCAATCAGCGCTCTGTAAAATGGACCAATCAGCAGGATGTGAGTGGGGACAAACAAGGGAATAAAAGCTGGCCACCCGAGCCAGCAGAAACAACCCACTCAGGTCCACTTCCATGCTGTGGAAGCTTTGTTCTTTCACTCTAAATCTTGCTGCTGCTCACTCTTTGGGTCCATGTCACCTTTAAGAGCTGTAACACTCACCATGAAGGTCCGCAACTTCCTTCTTGAAGTCAGCAAGACCAAGAACCCACCAGAAGGAACCAACTCCAGACACACTATGATCCTGTCACTGCACTCCCACCTGGGAAACAGAGTGAGACCCCATCTCTTAAACACACACACACAGACACACAAATCTCTGTTTACTCCTGAGAACTATACCTAACATTCACGTGACTCAAATGATGATGGGGTTACATTTTTGGGAACAAGATGACCTACATCTACATAGATGTAGACAACTAGATCAAAAAATAAGAATAATTTCTCCCATAATTTTGATTTTCTCTAAACCCTTTATTATAATAAAATATTGTTGTTTTTGTTGATGATTCTTGTTTTTGAGACAGGGTCTCACTCTGCCACCCAGGCTGGAGTGCAGTGGCATGATCATAGCTCACAGCAGCCTTGAATTCCTGGGCTCAAGTGATCTTGCCACCTCAGCCTCCCAAGTAGCTGGGACTACAGGTGTACGCCACCATGCCTTGCTAATTTTTTAATGTTTTATAGAGATGGGGCCTCACCATGTTGCCTAGGCTGGTCTCAAACTCCTGAGCTCAAGTGAACCTCCCACCTTGGCCTCCCAAAGTGCTGGGATTACAGGCATAAGCCACTGTGCCTGGCCTATATATTATTTATGGATAAATGCATATGTAGGAAAAGTATACAACATTGCTTTTGGGGTACATAGACTTTAGGTAGTGATAACTTCTAAGGGAATAGAGGACAGGATTGAGGAAAGGTGCAGAGGGACTTCAAATGTATTATGTTTTATTTCTTGAAAAACTCTGAAGTCCATATGACAAAATACAAAGATTTGTCAAATCTAAGCAGTGATGAAATCGTTTATTCTCTGTAGTTTTCTGTGTTTTTGAAATATTTCAAAAGTTCAAAACATTAAAAAAAATCAACACAACTAGGTGATGGATAGAACGTGGGTGCGAAGTCAAGAAAGGAGTCAAAGATGACTCAGGTTTTATGTCTGGTGCTGACGTTAGTGACAGAAAAAGAGAAGCTACGGAAACTGGCTTTGTGGAAGAAGATGAGTTATATTTCAGACAAGTGAAGCTGAAGGAAACAGCAGAACATCCCTCTGGAAATGTACATGAGACTGCGTGAAGCTGGTGGTCGGGAGAGAAAACAGGCCTGCCGAGAGAGTGGCAAAGCAGGATATTAGCCCTCAGCCCCACCCTTTCACCTCTTCACAGGGGCCAGCCCCTTCAACATTAGAGTATTTCATTAAGAGATCCAAGAAGGGCTGGGCACAGTGGCTCATGCCTGTAATCCCAGCAATTTGGGGGGCTGAGGTGGGCAGATCACTTGAGGTCAGGAGTTCAAGACCAGCTTGGCCAACATGGTGAACCGCCATACAAAAAAAACAAATTAGCTGGGGATGATGGTGCGCACCTGTAATTGGAAGGCTGAGGCAGGAGAATCCCTTGAACCAGGGAGGCCAGGTGAGACTCCATCTCAAAAGAGATCCAAGAAGGAGGGGAGGAGGAACAATGAAGAAGTCAGGTAATGAGGACCAAGGAAAGGTTACTGAGTATGGTGATGACTTTCAGATGAGAAGATTTTTTGTTGTTGTTTAGAGACAGGGTCTCACTCTGTCACCGAGGCTGGAGTGCAGTGCCTCCATTATAGCTCACTGCAGCCTCAATGTCTTGGGCTCAAAGGATCCTTCCACCTCAGCCTCCTGAATGGCTGGGACTACAGGTGCACACTGCCACGCCCAGCTAATTTTTTTTCAATTTTTATAATTTTCTTAAAATTATGTTTTGTAGACACATGATCTTGCTATGTAGCCAGGGCTGGTCTGTAATTCCTGGGCTCAGGCAATCCTCCAACCTCAGCCTTCCAAAGTGCTAGGATTACAGGCATGACCCAACGCATCTGACTTCAGATGAGAAGATTTTTGTCAAGCAGTTATGAGAGGCCAAGTGGCAGGCAGCGAAGGATCAAGTGAGTAGCAAAAGGAGGGGAAGCAGTGGTAGAATATTCATTTTACAAGACAAACAATGAAAGGGAAGGGAGCTACTATACAGCATTTATGAATAAATATACAGATAGTAAGAGTGTAAAAACTAGCAATGGGAAGTACAGACACTGACTTCATATGTGAATGTACATGCATGTATGTGTATACACATACATGCACATTTGCACACATGCATGTATGTATGAAATGTATATTTAGGCTGAGTGCTGTGGCTCACACCTGTAATCCCAACACCTTAGGAGGTTGAGGCAGGCAGATCACTTCAGCCCAGAAGTTTGAGACCAACCTGCACAACATGTTGAAACCCCATCACTACAAAATTTAAAAAAAAAAATAGCTGGGCATGGTGGCATGCAGCTGTAGTCCCAGCTACTCAGGAGGCTATGGGAGGATGGCTTGAGCTTGGGAGGTTGAGGTTGCAGTGAGCTGAGATCACCCCACTGCGCTCCATCTTGGGCAACAAAGTGAGACCCTGTCTCAAAAAAAATGTATAATGGAACATATTTTATTCATTCACAAACACTAATTAATAAACTTCAAAATCTGTCACAGTGAGCAAATATATATATATATGCACAAATATGATGTATACTTAATGATAGATATGTATATTATGTCTGTGTACACTTTTACCTTGTGTGAAGAGGGTACCAGGAAAGAACTAAGCATTTAGGATGATCTCCACCTCAGAGTTTTTAAATGGACTTCCATTCATGAGTGCGGAAAATGAACATCTCAGAAAGCTTCTCGCCTGGAGTACTGTGAGGGGGAAAGAAGTCAAAAATATACCCACTCTGGAGACATTTTCAGCCATTTCAAGAGAAAGATGAAACCAAAGTCAATAGCTCTTAAGGATAAGATGCAAAAAAATAAATCCTTTAAGAGGGAAACATTAAAAATTGCTCCCTAACTACTAGCGTAAAAGCAATGCAATGGCAAACTCCTTGAGGTGGAGATCTTTTTTTTTGCATGCACAAGTCAGGGAAAGAGCAAACGATGACGTGAAGTCACTGAGCTGGAGGAAGTCCAGAAAATGAAGTAAAGAACTGAGAAGATGAAATAGTTTCCACAGAATAATACACTAAGGAGCATTTCCCACATGTATTTGACCAAGGAACACTCTTAAAATTATCGTATGTGACTGGAATTCCACCAGGAACTCAAGATATAATGCTCATTTGAATGAAAGTAGACAACCAGGGCTGGGCGCCGTGGCTCATGCCTGTATCCCCACCACTTTGGGAGGCCAAGGTGGGTGGATTGCTTGAGCCTAGGAGTTCAAGACCAGCCTGGGCAACATAGGGAGGCCCCCCTCCGACCACCACCATAGCTGGGCGTGGTGACTCATGCCTATAATCCCAGCACTTTGGGATGCTGAGGCGGGTGAATCACCTGAGGTCAGGAGTTCGAGACCAGCCTGGCCAACACGGTGAAACTACAAAATGGTGAAACTACTGAAAATACAAAATGTAGATGGGCGTGGTGGCAGGCATCTGTAGTCCCAGCTACTCGGGAGGCTGAGGCAGGAGAATCACTTGAACCCGGGAGGCGGATCTTTTTATGTTTTGTTATAAAATGTGGCATATATGAAGCAATGTTGAAAAATCATTTGTCTTTTCTTTACATACTTTCTTAATATTATGAACAATCGTCCTGAATGAAAATGTTATATAATGTAGCCATTCAACAAATATTTACTGAGTGCCTACTATATGCCAAACACTGTTCTAGGTGCTGTGGATATATAGTGATGAACAAAACACACAAAAAGCTTTGCTCATACAGAGCTTATAATTTATGGGGAGAGACAAATACTAAATATATATAGGTTGGCTGGGCGCAGTGGCTCACACCTGTAATCCCAGCAATTTGGGAGGCCGAGACGGGCGGATCACCTGAGGTCAGGAGTTCAAGACCAGCATGACCAACATGGAGAAACCCCGTCTCTACTAAAAATACAAAATTAGCGGGGCATGGTGGCACATGCCTATAATCCCAGCTACTCGGGAGGCTGAGGCAGGAGAATCGCTTGAACCTGGGAGGCAGAGTTTGCGGTGAGCTGAGACGACACCATTGCACTCCAGCCTGGGCAGCAAGAGAGGAACACCATCTCAAAAAAAAAAAAAAAAAAAGATGTGTGTGTAGTAAATGCTATGGAGAAAAAACAAAACAGGGAAGAGAAAAAAATAGGTAGTCTGGGGGGTGGGTTGCAATTTTAAATAAGGTGTAAAGGGAAGGCCTCACTGAGAAGGTGGCATTTGAGCAAAGGCTGGAAGGAGGGGAGAAAGAGAACCACTCTTCTGTCTGGGGTAACAGCATTCCAGACAGAGGGGACAGCAAGTGCAAATGCCTTGGGGCTGAAGCATGCCTGGCGTGTTTGAGAAAGAGCAAGGAAGCTGGTAAGCCTGATGTGAGTGAGCAAGGGGAGAATGGAGAGGAGAGTGGAGAGGTCACCGGAGGTGAGGGCGTGGAACCATTGTAAGGACTTCAGCTTTTGCGAAGTGAAATGATGAGCCAGAGGAAAGTTCAGAGCAGACTGCTGTGATCTGACTTCCATTTTAACAGGATCACTCTGGCTGCTGTGTTTTAAACACTGAATGGGCCAAGGCTGTAAGCAAGGAGACCATTTAGGAGGCTAGTACATTCTTAGAGACGATCCATCATCTTAGTAAGAGATGATAGTGCTTTGGACCAGGGTATTAATGGAAGTGGTGAGAAGTGGTCTTATATTTTGAAGGTAGGGACACCAGGATGTGCTGAAGGATTGGATGCAGGATGTGAGAGAAAGAGGAGTC
This sequence comes from Homo sapiens, assembly GCF_000001405.40. Classification (NCBI taxonomy): domain Eukaryota; kingdom Metazoa; phylum Chordata; class Mammalia; order Primates; family Hominidae; genus Homo; species Homo sapiens. Next base: position 118,476,535 of record NC_000023.11, read on the forward strand.
TGGGATGGCTCCAAGGTTTTGGGCCTGAGCAACCTGAAAAATGGAGTTGTCATTAATTGAGATGTGTAAGCCTCTGAAAGGTTTCTTGGGGGAAGATGAGTAGCTGCGTTTGGGACATACTCTCTCTCTCTCTCTCTCTCTCTATATATATATATATATGTGTGTGTGTGTGTGTGTGTGTGTGTGTGTATAAAAATATATATTATATCACAAACACACATATATAATATATTATATTATAATTTTATATATAATTTTATATATAATATATATGTATTTGAGACAGTCTCACTTCGTCACCCAGGCTGGAGTGCAGTGGAGCGATCTCAGCTCACTGCAACCTCCACCTCCCCGGTTCAAGCTATTCTCGTGCCTCAGCCTCTGGAATAGCTGGGATTAGAAGCACGGGCCACCATGCCCGGCTAATTGTTTTTGTATTTTTAGTAGAGACGTGATTTTGCCATGTTGCCCAGGCTGTTCTCAAACTCCTGCCCTCAAGTGATCTGGCCACCTCAGCCTCCCGAAGTGCTGGGATTGCAGGCGTGAGCCACCACGCCTGGCCCTGGACATAAATTTTAGATGACTATAATAAATGCAGGTGGGGATGTTGAGTAGACAGTTGGATGAATGAGTCTGCAGTTCAGAGGAGAGATCTAGGTTGGAAAAGTAAATCTGGACCTTGTCAGCGTATAGATACCTACTATCTGATACAGTAGCCACCAGCCACATGTGACGATTGATCACCTGAAATGTGGCTAGTCCGAAATGAGATATGCTATGAGTGTAAAATACTCACTGGATGTCAAAGACAATACAGAAAAAAGAAAGTGAAATATTTTATTAATAATTTTTAAATATTGATCACATGTTGAAAAGATATTTTTGGCTATATTGGATTAAATAAAATACATTATTAAAATTGATTTCATGTGTTCCTTTTTACTTGTTGAACGTGGCTAGTAAAGTATTTAAAGTTATATATGTGGCTCACATTATATTTCCATTGGACCGTGCTGGTACAGATGTTATATAAAGCCATAAACACTGGATGAGATCATCAAGGGAGTGAGAAGAGTGGCTAGAGAAGAAGTCTGAAAATTGAGGCCTCATTGACAAGAAATATATTATATATATATAAATATATATACACACCACATACACATATATAAACACATATATACACACATACACATTCAACTTTATTGAGTTTTAATTGTAAAAAATAACGCGCCTTCATTTTATATATGTATATATGTGTGTATATATATTCACATGTATATATATGTATATATTCATGTTACCACCACCCCACCATATTTTGTTTTAGTTGCAGCTTAAAATGAATAAACCATTTTGAATAGATTCATTGGAGCAAAAAGAGGAACACAAATCCCCTGTTTTACAATATTTAGGCACTCTTTAATTCATCTGTTTCAGAAATCATTATTATTTCATTCTAGACACCTCACCTCCTGAGTTTTTAGAAATCAAAGGCTCTCATTGTTTACATTTTCTTTAAATTATTCTAACTCTGTCTTTGTTAGATTCAGACACAGTTTGAGCCCCATAATAGTGGTTTTTGTTTATAACTTTTCTTTAAAAATTTTTTTTGGCTGGGCGCGGTGGCTCACGCCTATAATCCCAGCATTTTGGGAGGCCGAGGCGGGTGGATCACGAGGTCAGGAGATCGAGACCATCATAGCTAACACGGTGAAACCCCGTCTCTTCTAAAAATACAAAAATTAGCCGGGCTTGGTGGCGGGCGCCTGTAGTCCCAGCTTCTCGGGAGGCTGAGGCAGGAGAATGGCGTGAACCCGGGAGGCGGAGCTTGCAGTGAGCCGAGATTGTGCCACTGCACTCCAGCCTGGGCGACAGAGCGAGACTCCATCTCAAAAAAAAAAAATTTATTTTTTTTTTGGAGATAGTGTCTCACTCTTTCGCCCAGGCTGGAGTGCAGTGGTGCGATCATAGCTCACTGCAGCCTCCAACTCCTGTGCTCAAGCGTTCCTCCCACCTCAGCCTCACAAGTAACTGGGGCTACAGGTGCACACCACCACACCTGACTTATAACTATTCTTTCAACCAGACATCTCTGGGGAATGAAAAGAATGAGTTTATATAGCACAGGGCCACTTGTATAGGGTTCAACAGACTGTCTCTACACAATTTTTTTTTTTTTGAGATAGAGTTTCGCTCTTGTTGCCCAGGCTGAAGTGCAATGGCATTATCTCGGCTCACCGCAACCTCCGCCTCCCGGGTTCAAGTGATTCTCCTGCCTCAGCCTCCGGAGTAGCTGGGATTACAGGTGCCCGCCACTACACCTGACTAATTTTTGGTATTTTTAATAGAGATGGGTTTTCACCATGTTGGCCAGGCTGGTCTCAAACTCCTGACCTCAGGTGATCCACCCACCTCGGCCTTTCAAAGCGCTGGGATTACAGGCATGAGCCACCGCTCCCGGCCTCTATACATCTTTATACATCTCCAGGGGAGTGCCATTCACATAGTCTATGATGTGATTGGCATCTCCAGAATTGTTCAATGTGGCAACACTTACCAACACAACATCATACTGAGATATATTGTCCTCCCCAGTGATAGCAGTTTCCGTGACATTATTCAGAATTACGTACTAAACACATGTACCACCAGGGCTGCATTGATTTTCTATTATGTTTTCATTCTCCTGGTGATCTTTTATAGACTTTCAGTAGTCTTTGGCCATGGTACACCCATGGTACACCATTTTAAAAGGCAGATAATCACATAATAATTATAGGAATGTATTCTCAAACTCCTGACCTCAGGTGATCCACCTGCCTCAGCCTCCCAAAGTGCTGGGATTATAGGAGTGAGCCACCGCACCCGGCCTACACCCATCTAATTTTTTTTTTTTTTTTTTGTAGAGACGGGGTCGCCCTATGTTGCCCAGGCTGGTCTCGAACTCCTGGGCTCAAGCGATCTTCCCACCTTGGTCACCCAAAGTGCCAGGATTACAGGCTTCAGCCACACCCTGCACAGTCTTTTTTCTTTCTTTCTTTCTTTGAGACAGGATCTCACTCTGTCACCCAGGCTAAAGTATAGTGATGCGATCATAGCTCACTGCAGCCTCTACCTCCTGGGCTCAAGTGATCCTCCCACCTCAGCTTCCCAAGTAGGTGGGACTACAGGCACTCACCACCTTACCTATCTAATTTTTTTATTTTTATTTTTTGTGCAGAAGGGGGTCTCTGTATGTTGTCCAGGCTGGTATTGTATTTTTTAAATTGAGCTGGAATTTGCACAACATACAGTTCACCATTTAAAAGTGCACAATTCAATGGCATTTCGTGCATTAAAAATGCAGTGCAACCACTACCTCTCTCTAGTTTCAAATGTTTTCATCACCCCAGAAGAATACCTTGTACCTATTAAGTAATTACTCTTTATTTCCCCCTCTTCCTGACCCCTGGCAACCACTAATATGCTTTCTGTCTCTATAAATTTGCCTATTCTGGGCATTTTACAAGAAAGGAATCATACAGTATGTGACTTTTTGTCTCTGGCTCTTTTCATTTAGCATTTTTTAGACGTTCATTCAAGTTGTAGCATGTATCAGTCATGCATTCCAATTTATGGCTGAATAATATTTCAAAATATAGATGTACCACAATTTATTTATCCACTCATCCATTGGTGGACATTTGGGCTGTTCCCATCTTTTGGCTATTATGAATAATCCTGCTGTAAATATTTACATACAAGTTTCTGTGCAGACATATGTTTTCATTTCTCTTGGAAATATACCTAGGAGTGAAGTTGCTAAATCATATGGTAATTCTATACTTAACATTCCGAGGAACTGCCAAACTGTATTCCACAGCAGCTGCACCATTTCACATTCCCACCAGTAATATACAAGGGTTCCCATTTCTGTGCATCTGACCAACACTTGTTATTTTCTCTGTGTGTGTGTGTCTCTGTGTGTGTGTGTGTCTCTCTCTCTGTGTGTGTGTGTGTGTGTGTGTATTATAGCCATCCTAGTGGATGTGAAGTGGTATCTCATGGTTTTGATTTCTGTTTACCTAATTACTAATGATACTGAGCATTTTTTCTTTTTTCTTTTTCTTTTTTTTTTTTTTTTTTTTTGAGACAGAGTGAACCTGTCACCCAGGTTGGAGTGCAGTGGCCCCATCTCAGCTCACTGCAACCTCCACCTCCCAGGTTCAAGTGATTCTCCTTCCTCAGGCTCCCAAGTAGCTGGGACTACAGGCGCGTGCCACCACGCCCGGCTAATTTTTGTATTTTTAGTAGAGACGGGATTTCGCCATGTTGGTCAGGCTGGTCTCGAGCTCCTGGCCTCAAGTGATCTGTCTGCCTCGACCTCCCAAAGGGCTGGGATTACAGACGTGAGCCACTGCACCCGGCCTAGCATTTTTTCATGTGCCTATTGGTCATTTGTATATCTCCTCTGGAGAAATGCCTGTTCAAGTCCTCCACCCATGTTTTTGTTTTGTTTTGTTTTGTTTTGTTTTCTTTGAGACGGAGTCCCGCTCTGTCGCCAGGCTGGAGTGCAGTGGCACGATCTCAGCTCACTGCAGTCTCTGCCTCCCAGGTTCAAGCGATTCTTCTGCCTCAGCCTACCGAGTAGCTGGGACTACAGGTGCGCACCACCACGCCCAGCTAAGTTTTGTATTGTTAGTAGAGACAGGATTTCACCATGTTGGCCAGGATGGTCTCGATCTCTTGACTTCGTGATCTACCCGCCTCAGCCTCCCAAAGTGCTGGGATTACAGGCATGAGTCACCATACCCGGCCTTTCTTTTCTTTTCTTTTTTTGAGAGAGGGTCTCACTCTGTCACCCAGGCTGGAGTACAATGGCGTAATCATAGTTTACTGTGGCCTCGACCTACCAGACTCAAACGATTCTTTCACCTTAGCCTCCTGAATAGCTGCTCTACCCATTTTTAAATTAGATTGTTGGCCCTTTTCGTACTGAATTGTAAGAGTTCTTTACATATTCTGAATACTAGACCCTCAACAGAATTATGTTTCCCATTCTGCAGGTTGACTTCTCACTTTCTTTATAATGTCCTTTGATGTACAAAAGTTTTAAATTTTGATGAAGTCCAGTTTACCTATTTTTTTTTCTTTTGGTGCTTGTGCTTTTGGTATCAAATTTAATAATTCATTGCCAAATCCGAGGTCATAAAGATATATCTCTATGTTTTCCTCTAAGAGTTTTATCATTTCAAATGATATATTTATTTATTTATTTATTTAATTTATTTTTTTTGAGACAGAGTCTTGCTCTGTCACCCAGGCTGGAGTGCAGTGGCATAATCTCGGCCCACTGAAACCTCTGCCTCCTGGGCTCAATTGATTCTCCTGCCTCAGCCTCCTGAGTAGCTGGAAACACAGGTGCCTACCACCACACATGGATAATTTTTTGTATTTTTGGTAGAGATGGGGTTTCACCTTGTTGGACAGGCTAGTCTCAAACTCCTGACCTCAAGTGATCCACCTGCCTCGGCCTCCCAAAGTGCTGGGATTACAGGCATGAGCCACCACACCCAGCCTCAGCTATTATATTTAGATCATTGATCCATTTTCATTTAGTTTTTGTATATGGAGTGAAATAGGGATCCAACTTTATTATTTTGCAGGTGATTTTCCAGTTATCCCAGCACCATTTGGTGGGGAAGAGATGCTTATTTCCCCCATTGTATGGTCTTGACACTTTCCGTAGTATTTTAAAGCAAATCCTGGACATCATGTTGTTTCATCTGTAAATACTTCAGTGTTGATCTCAAATCGATAAAGACTTCATTTATTTATTTTGAGACAGGGTCTCACTCTGTCACCCAGGCTGGAGTGCAGTAGCACAATCATGGCTCACTGCAGCCTCAACCTCCCAGGCTCAAGCAATCCTCTCACCTCAGCCTCCTGAGTAGCTGAGACCACAGGCATGCACCACCATGCCCGGCTAATTTTTGCATTTTTTGTAGAGACAGAGTCTCGCTATGTTGCCAAGCTGGTCCTGAACTCTTGTCCTCAAGGGATCCTCCTGCTTTGGCCTCTCAAAGCGCTGGGATTACAGGTGTGAGCCACCACACCTGGTCAGTTCCATTTCTTTTTTCTTTTTTTTTTTTGAGACAGAATCTAGCTCTGATGCCCAGACTGGAGTGCAGTGGCATGACCTCAGCTCACTGTAACCTCCACCTTGCTGGTTCAAGCCATTCTCGTGCCTCAGCCTCCCAAGTAACTGGGATTACAGGCATGTGCCACCAGGCCTGGCTAATTTTTGTATTTTTAGTAGGGACGGGGTTTTGCCATATTGGCCTGTCTGGTCTCGAACTCCTGACCTCAAGTGATCCACCCACCTTGGCCTCCCAAAATAATAGGATTACAGGCGTGAGCCACCGCACACGGGAAGCTCCATCTCTTAAGTGGTTTGCTTTCCTTTGTCTGAATTAATCCTGGTCTTGCCTTCTGTACAAAGAAGCAGTTTGAACTAAAATTTAGTCACTAGGCAATTTCTTTTCTTTTTTCTTTCTTTTTTTTTTTTTTTTGAGACAGAGTCTGGCTCTGTCACCCAGGCTGGAGTGCAATGGCATGATCTCGGCTCACTGCAACCTCCACTTCCTGGGTTCAAGTAATTCTCCTGCCTCAGCCTCCTGAGTAGCTGGGACTACAAGCACGTGCCACCATGCCCAGCTAATTTTTGTATTTTTAGTAGAGACGGGGTTTCACCATTTTGGCCAGGATGGTTTCGATCTCTTGACCTTGTGATCCGCCCGCCTCGACCTCCCAAAGTGCTGGGATTACAGGCGTGAACCACAGCACCCGATCTCACTAGGCAATTTCTAAGGTCTGATCCAACTCCACGTACCTGCCCTCCCTGTCCTTGCTCCTGTTCTGATCCTAGTCCCTGTAATTTTCTGGATACAACTTATCTGTCCCTAAAGGCTCCTGAAAGTCCTTCTTTGCTCTTTTCAGTTGTGCCCAGGAATAATTTCCACTGGACTTGTCCAGCACCAAGTCCTCATATCCTTTCCCCAGCCTGGACCATTTGTTGTCTCTCTCTCTTTTTTTTTTTTTTTTTCATATGAAGGCGACACTAAACCATTTGGTCTCTTTATAAGTAAGTTTCGCAGTCAGCAGTCTGGGCAATAGTGTGAGATCTCATCTCTAAAAAAAACCTTGAAAATTAGCCAGGCATGGCATGTACCTGTAGTCCAAGCTACTCAGGAGGCTGAAGCGGAGGAATTGCTTCAGCCCAGGAGTTCAAGGTAAAAAAAAAGTTTCATATTCAGGAATATACATGTACATAATAGAAAGCAATACCTAATGCTTTCTACAACATTTGAAATACTTAAGAAGCTTACACTGGCATTTTCACAGACATATCATTAGCTTCCTGCAAGGGAAAGGGTCATTTTGAAAACCACAACATTTTATGGATGAAGAGGTTTTCTCTTTTTTTTTTTTTTTTTTGAGAGGCAGTCTCCCTCTGTAGCCCAGGCTGGAGTGCAGTGGTGTGATCTCGGCTCACTGCAACCTCTGCCTCCCAGTTCAAGCAATCCTCCTGCCTCAGCCTCCCTAGTAGCTGGGACTACAGGCACCCACCACCACACCCAACTAATTTTTGTATTTTTAGTAGAGACGAGATTTTGCCATGCTGGCCAGGCTTGTCTTGAACTCCTGACCTCAGGTGATCTGCACGCCTCGGCCTGCCAAAGTGCTGGGATTACAGGCGTGAGCCACTGCGCCCAGCTGAGTATTTTTCAATATTTGTTGGTGGCTAAGTATATTAGGACAACACGCTAAATTTGGACTTATCCCAAACTCCCACTTTCCCAGTCTGACAAGTTTGGGGACTGCCCTCTCCAACCCTTCTGACTTAGTCTCCCAGGCATGCTGGCTATCTGGCTATAGTCTAGAATTGACTCAGCAAACAAGCAAATGTAAATACTCACTGAATCTTTCTGGGGCCATTCCGTGGAAACAGAAATATATTTAAGTTTTTCTGCCTTTGAGAAACTGCTACGGGGCATAGCCGTGGGTAGATATATTTGGTGGCTCTTAGACCCCCTGACATACACCCACGGACCATCCTCATCTATTTGCTTTCTGGCTTCTGATCTGGGCCCTTCTTGGGAATAGTTTTTCTCTGACCCTAGAGTCTAGACTAAAGCCAATTGGACATTCACTTCCTGGTTTTTTTTTCCCATTTGTCTGGCAGTTTCTGTCCTGGCCTCCCCATACTTGGGCTCTCCTATCTTGGATTCATAATTATATTTCTAGCCACTTTTTCTTTCTTACTCCTTTAGCTCTTATTTTCTTTTTTTTTTTTTTTACAGTTATATTTGTATAATTTTGAGAAGGACAAATGCAGTTTTGTTACGTGGCTACATTGCATAGTGGTGATGTTTAGGCTTTTAGTGTATCCATCACCCAAATAGTGTACATTTTACCCATTAAGTAATTTCTTATCCCTCACCCCTCTTCCACCCTTCCACCCTTCTGTGTCTCCAGTGATTATTCCACATTCTATGTCCATGTGAATGCATTATTTAGCTCCCACTTATAAGTGAGAACATGCAGTATTTGACTTTTTGTTTCTGAGTTGTTTCACTTAATGGCCTCCAGGTCCATTCATTTTGCTGCAAAATTCATAATTCCATTCTTTTTATGGCTGAATAATATTCCATTGTGTATATATATCACATTTCCTTTATCCAATCATTCATTGATGGACACTTAGTTTGATTCCGTAACTTTACTATTATGAATAGTGCTGTGATAAACGTGAGTATAGGTGTCTTTTGGCTATAATTATTTCTTTTCCTTTGGGTAGTTTCCCAGTGGGATTGCTGGATCAAATATAGTTTTATTGTTAATTCTTTGAGGCCTTTCATTACGGTGGGGTTTTTTTGTTCTCCCTTTCCCCTCAAGTAGCCTCTGAACATTACATGCCTAATCATCCTCTCCCTGGCTCAGCTGATGGTCCTAGCATCTCCCACTGATGGGCTTTTTCTTATTCTCCTGAAGAGTTTCATATGGCTTCACAAGATAAAATTGCATTTTGATTATGGTTCTCATAGATTTCTGCTTTGCAAAAAAACAAACAGACAAAAACCCCACAACTCAGGAAACCACGCTGATATATTTTTTAAAAGTCTGGTTCTGACTATTTTTCTATTCTCCATTGGCTTTTACTATTCAAAACCCCTTGCCTACCAGCAGTAGCATTACACCTATCCCCACCTCTCTTAGCTGTGGGGCTAAAGGATAGAACATTCTATTTGGCTAAAGAAAAAAGTAGGACATTCTATTTGGCTAAAGAAAAAAGGTAATCAGACTGAGCCCAGAGATGTACACATAGGGGCTCATAAACAAAACAACCTCGTTTCACTCTTTTACAGCAGAATTTTAGCTAGGTCACTTCTACTAACAGCCATCTATTGGGGGAAAATTAATGACTATCAATTTACAAAACAGGATTATGGAAAACTTTTAAATGAGAGCTAGATAGAGAAACTCTTGGGTTAACGCTCCTCAGTGACCTAGAAGTATATTGAAAAAACAAAATAGTGCATTTCTGATAATGAAACATGACAACCGTACCTAACCTTTTTAAATTAACAGTGGTGCATATATACTGTGATCTTTTCAAGGGCAGCAGGACCACATTTGAATCATTTTCTCCATAGGTTATCTTGAGGAACATGATAGTCAAATGTCCCTAGGCATCTCCACCCATCTGGGCTTTGGGTCATGAATTGATACTTATACAGGAACTAGCTGCCATTAGGTGGAGCAATTTGAAGTCTAATAGGCCATCTAGAAGGATATCAGATCAGGAGGTTTAAGAACTCCAGATGTTTTAATTTAGGTGAGTGCAGCCACAAGGCTGCTAGGACATTAACAAAGAACTGATTGATAGAGAAGAAAAAGTAGCTGGTATTAGATAATGGTATTAGATAAAAGTAGCTGGTATTAGATGATGGGAGGGGCCTGATGTCTGGTTGCCAAGGCACCTAACTCTTCACTCGATAGTCCCCCAAGCACAGGATTCATGGCTTTTGTGGCCCCATCCCTTGGGCGTAGAGCATAATCCTTAGCTGACCTTTGAAAAATGCAACCTCAGGCTTGCCCGGCTTCTGGTACTTCCAACTCTTCTTTGCCATTATTATAAACACAATTATCAGTCTTTGAGGGGAGGCTGATCTTTTAGTTCAGATTTCCAGAGTTCAGATTGGCAGGTGTCCTTTGTCATCTCATAAAGGAATTAAAGTGACCTGAGAAAATGTCCTCTGGGTAAGATCAATGCCACCTGTACTCTGTCCTTGCCCAAACTCTTTCATCAGAGCTCTCATGTGCATCAGCCCTTCCCCACTCCCTTCAAGCCTGTACAGCCTGGGCATGACAACAAATTTGGTCCTTTAGCAATAGCATGTACAACTAATGGACAACTCCCAGGTTATCATCTATCCCTTTTGAGAACTCAATAGGATTATTATTATTATTATTATTATTTTGAGACGGAGTTTCACTCTTGTCACCCAGCTGGAGTGCAATGGCATGACCTCGGCTCACTGAAACCTCTGCCTCTAGGCTCAAGTGATTCTCCTGCCCAGCCTCCCGAGTAGCTGGGATTACAGGCTTCTGCCACCACGCCTGGCTAATTTTTGTATTTTTAGTAAAGAAGGGGTTTCACCATGTTAGCCAGGCTGGTCTTCAACTCCTGACCTCAGGTGATCCACCTGCCTTGGCCTCTCAAAGTGCTGGGAGTATAAGTGTGAGCCACTGTGCCCAGATGAGTATTACATATATATATATATTTTTTACTTCTTTTTATTTTTTATTGTTATTATTTTTTAGAGGCGGAGTCTCACCCTGTCGCCCAGGCTGGAGTGCAGTGGCGTGATCTCGGCTCACTGCAAGCTCTGCCTCCCAGGTTCACGCCATTCTCCTGCCTCAGCCTCCCGAGTAACTGGGACTACAAGTGCCCGCCACCGCGCCCAGCTAATTTTTTTTTTTTTTTGTATTTTTAGTAGAGACAGGGTTTCACCGTGTTAGCCAGGATGGTCTCGATCTCCTGACCTCGTGATCCGCCCTCCTCAGCCTCCCAAAGTACTGGTATTACAGGCGTGAGCCACCGCACCCGGCCTAAAAAATATTTTTAAGAAAATTTAAAAATATTTTTAAAATATGTTTTTAATATTATTTTTAAAATATTCCTTTGAAGGATAAAAAAGTGAAAAAGAAGGTGTTAACTTTGGGAAATAAGGAACCTCTCATTATTCCAAGTGGTACCATAGGCGATTAATATATATTCAATAAGTTTTATATTATTTAAAATATCTTATAATTGCGATAGGGCTTTTAACTTTTTCAAATACTCATATATTGCCTATATTATTGTATGCAACAATATACAGTTGTTTGACAGATAAAATATATATGACAATCTCACTATAAATTCATGACTAATGGATCCGCATAGAATTAGAGTAAGATGGAGAGTCTCCCAAGGCCCTTAAGGTTAGTCAGTGCCATGTGGTGTATCTGAAAGAGACCTAAAAGACCTGGCTTCTGTTTCTGGCCCTGCCAACTACTGTGTGACTTATCTGTAAAATGGGGAAAAATAATCTTGGCTCTGTCTACCTCTCCAGATTGTTCTGAAGATTGAATGAGATAATGGATATAAATATGCTTTGGAGACCATACAACTCTCCACAATTATAGTTTGGTTGTAATAAATGCCTCAACAACACACAGAAGTGAACATGGTATCATGATTTCTTTTGTTTTGCTTTATTTATCTCATTGAAGTCATCATGAATATATTCTGATTGGAAAAGCAGCACACAATTTGTATATAATAATTAATTATTGAGTGACCTTTAAGTGCTGGGCACTGTTCTAGGCCTGCCTTGTGCAACGTTGTGGCCACTAGCCACATAGAGCTATTGAGCACATGAATGTAGTTCATGCGACTGGGGAAATGAATTTGTAATTTTATTTAATTTTAGTTAATTTACACTTAAATACAAAAACTGATATGAAATAATTATTAGAATTGTTTTTCTGACAGGGTCTTGCTCTGTCACCCATGCTGGAGTGCAGTGGCACAATCACGGCTCACTGAAGCCTCAAACTCCTGGGCTCATGTAATCCACCTGTCTCAACCTCCTGAGTAGCTGGGACTACAGACGTGTACCACAATGCCCAGCTAATTTTTTAATTTTTAATTTTTTTGTACAGATGGGATCTTCTTATGTTGACCAGGCTGGTTTTATTTATTTCTTTATTTATTTAGAGATGGAGTCTCACTCTGTTGCCCAGGCTGGACTGCAGTGGCATGATCATGGCTCACTGCAACCTCTGCCTCCCGGTTTCAAGTGATTCTTCTGCCTCAGCCTCCTGAATAGCTGGGAGTACAGGTGCGTGCCACCACGCCCGACTAATTTTTGTATTTTTAGTAGAGATGGGGTTTCACCATATTGGCCAGGCTGTTCTCGAACTCCTGACCTCGTGATCCACCCACCTCAGCCTCCCAAAGTGCTGGGATTAGATGCGTGAGCCACCACATCTGGCCAATTTTTTTGTAATTTTAGTGGAGACAAGGTTTCACCATGTTGGTCAGGCTGGTCTCAAACTCCTGACCTCAAATGATCCTCCTGCCTCAGCCTCCCAAAGTGCTGGGATTATAGTCATGAGCCACTGCACCTGGCCATTAGAAAACTTTTTTTTTTTTTTTTTGAGACGGAGTTTCGCTCTTGTTGCTCAGGCTGGTGTGCAATGGCGTGATCTCGGCTCACTGTAACCTCCCCCTCCTGAGTTCAAGCAGTTCTCCTGTCTCAGCCTCCTGAGTAGCTGGGATTACAGGCGCCCGCCACTACACCTGGCTAAGTTTTGGCATTTTTAGTAGGGATAGGGTTTCACCATGTTGGCCAGGCTTGTCTCGAACTCCTGACCTAAGGTGATCCGCCCACCTCGGCCTCCCAAAGTGCTGGGATTACAGGTGTGAGCCACCATGCCCAACAAAAATATACTTTTAAAATTAATTTCACCTGCTTCTTTTTACTAATTTTTTAATGTGGCTACAAGTGAATTTATAATTACATATGTACTCATATTATATTTCTGTTGGGCAGTGCTGCTTTAGGCACTGATGATAAAGCAGTGAACAAAGGAGACAAAATATCCCGCTTTCATGGAACGTGCATTTTAGTGCGGAAGACAGATGATAAAATAAATATATAAACATATATAGTATATCAAATGGTGACAAGTGCTTTGGAGAAAAACAAAGAAAGCAAGTTAGATAGGAGATGGTAGGAGGGTTGAACTTTTAAATACGAAGGTCAAGGAACGCCCAAAATCTAGATGTTGAGAGAGTAAGTAATGAAGCTTCTTCCGCTGGGTAGAAGCAACAGTAAGTGAGGAGGCCTTGATGATGGACAAAGCCTTGGCAATTCAGGGACCCTCAAGGAGGCCTGTGTGGTAGATCATGGAGTGCAAAGGAGAGGATCAATAGGAGATGAGATCAGACAGGTATGGGAAAAAAGCTGTAATGCTATAGTGAGACAGGTCAGGTAGATTGTGATGGGCAGCTTCTGACATGGCTCCAGATGATTCTTGCCTCCTAGTATTAATGCCCTGTGTTAATATCTTCCCCTTCAATGTGAGCTGGACCTAGTGAATAAAATACAGTAAAATTGATGGGATGCCACTTCCAAGTTTAGGTTATAAAAGACTGTGGATTCCAATTGCAGGTAGTCTTTCACTCTTTCAACTCTCTCTTGTTTGCTCACTTTTTTTTCTTTTTCTTTTCTTTTCTTTTCTTTCTTTCTTTCTTTTTTTTTGACAGAATCTCACTCTGTTGCCCAGGCTGGAATGCAGTGGTGGGATCTTGGCTCACTGCAACCTCCACCTCCTGGGTTCAAGTGATCCTCTCACCTCAGCCTCCTGAGTAGCTGGGATTACAGGTATGCACCACCACACCCTGCCAACTTTAGTATTCTTAGTAGAGACAGGGTTTCACCATGTTGGCCAGGCTGGTCTTGAACTCCTGACGTCAAGTGATCCACCCACATTGGCCTCCCAAAATGCTGGAACTACAGGCGTGAGCCACTGCGCCTGGCCCTGTTTGCTCACTTTGGTAAACTGCCATGTTATTAACTGCCTTCTGGAGAAGCTCATGAGGCAAGGAACTGAGGCCAACCTCTGGCTGACAGCCAGCAAGGAACTAAGGCCCTTACTACAACAACCTGTGAGGATCTGGATGCTGCCACAACCAGTGAATGGGCTTAAAAACAAATTCTGCCCCAGTTAAACCTTGAGATGGGTGAGGCCCCTGCTCTGACACCTTGATCATAGCCTATGAGAGATCCTGAACTCATACCTTGATGGCAGCCTAGCGAGAGACTCTGGTCTGGACAACCCAACTAAGCCATGCTTAGATTCCTGAACGACAGAAACCGTGAGATAATACATGTGTATTGTTTTAAGCTGCTAAACTTGGGGGTAATTTGTTACACAGCAAGAGATAACACTAGATATTGTAGGTCACTGTAAGTAGAAACTGAATAGGGGGTTGGTGGGACTCACTGGCTATGTTGCAAATAGACTACAGGAGGGTAAGGGTGAAAGCAGGGAGGTCAGTTGAGAGGCTATTGACATAAGCTTGGTAAGGGTTGCTGGTGGTATTGGTAGAGATATTAAGAAGTGGTTGGATTTCAGACGTATTTTGAAGGCAGAGCCAACAGGCTTTGCTGTTGGTTGGATAAAGGGTGTGTAGGTAATAAGATGACTCTAAGGCTTTTGTTCTGAGGAACTAGAAAGAATGATCATATACTGAGATGGAGAAAACTATAGAAAAACTAGATTCGTGGAGAAAGAATAAGAGTTCGATTTTAGGCACGCTTAATTAGAGATACTAGACATCCCAGTGGGGATGCTGAGTTCGATATACAAGTTTGATGTTTGAGGCTGGAAATAAAAATTTGAGAGTCTTTAGCATTTAGATGATAAAATGTTAAAGTCTCCTTGCTCCCCACTTCCACTCCCCACCCATGAGGCCCCCACTATTAGCTCATGTATAGGGACATACATATACACACACACCACACACACAAATTTTTCTTTTTTTGAGACAGAATCCCGCTGTATCCTCCAGGCTGGAGTGCAGTGAAGCGATCTTGGCTCACTGCAATCTCCACCTCTCGGGTTCAAGCCATTCTCATGCCTCAGCCTCCCAAGTAGCTGAGATTACAGGGTGCACACCATCACGCCTGGGTAATTTTTGTATTTTTAGTAGAGACGGAGTTTCGCCATGCCATGTTGGTCAGGTTGGTCTCAAACTCCTGGCCAGGTTGGTCTCAAACTCCTGGCCTCAGGTGATCCGCCTGCCTCAGCCTCCCAAAATGTTGGGATTACAGGCGTGAGCCACCGCGCCTGGCCCACACATACACATTTTCATAAATAGAGTTGTTCTGCAACTTGCTTTTATCAGTGAATATCCTTTGGAGCTTTTTCAATGTAATTACATACATATTTACCTCATTCTTTTTTTAATAGCTGAAGAGAGTCCCTTCATTTGAATAAATCATGTGTATTCATTCATTCGCTGAACAACTATTTTTTGAGCACTCACAATGTGCCAGGCAGTGGTCTAGGGACTGATCATAAAGAAGTCCCTTTTAGATGGACATTCAGGTTCTTTCTAATATTTTGCTATTACAAACATTTGATATAATGACCATCCTTATACAGGCATCTGAGCTCACATATGCAAGTTTTTATTTGGCATTGATTTATACAAGTGGAATTTCTCAGTCAAAGGGCTCAATGGCATTTCTAATACTTGTATCTCAGGTTCAATTAGGATAGAATTAGGATAGTGTTAATGCAGCAGCTAAATTTGTGATAAAAACTGAATATATTTAACGAATGTGGAAAAGAAATCGCCCAATAAAATGCCCTATTGGAAGTTGTAAGATTGCACCTACGATTTCTCTTTACTATGTGAGTGCAGTTATATCCAAATCCTACCCATTCCGCAAAGTCCAGCTCAAATGCTCAAACACCCCCTGTTCCAGAAAACCTTTCATAGACCTAAGAAGATATGATCTCTCCTGCCTTTTTTTTTTCTTTTTTCTTTTTTGAGATGGAGTCTCACTCTTCTTGCCCAGGCTGGAGGGCAATGGTGCAATCTTGGCTCAGTGAAATCTCTGCCTCCCGGGTTCAAGTGATCTCCTGCCTCAGCCTCCCAAGTAGTTGGGATTACAGGTGCCTGCCACCATACCTGGCTAATTTTTGTATTTTTAGTAGAGACGGATTTTGCCATGTTGGTTAGGCTGGTCTCGAACTCCTGACCTCAGGTGATCCACCCACCTCGGCCTCCCAAAGTGCTGGGATTACAGGCATGAGCCACCGCGCTCGGCCTCTCCTGCCTCTTTACCTTGAGTATGGTCTGTATCACATACTACTTTGTACCATAAATACATTCTCTACTAGACTTTCTTTTTTTTTTCCCAGAAGGAAATAGTGTCTTTAATTCATACTGCATTCTCCCTCAGTGTGTAGCACCATGCTCAATGTTTATGTATTTAAATAGAAGTCTTAAACCAGAAGAAGTGAAATCTACAATCTCAAGAATGAGCATAGAGCCTGCACAATGGCCAGATGGTGTTTGTGCACCATCAGTGTGACATATGCTTCCCATGGCTCACAATACTCTGCAGAAATTGCTTACTTCTCCTACTCTATCTTGTACCACTCTTCTTCCTTCTACGCTCCAGCCACACTGGCCTTTTTTTGGTCTTTGAACACACTAAGTCTGCCCCCATCTCTAGGCCTTCGTTCCTGGCATTTCTGTCGCCTGGAATGGTCTACCTGCTGATCTCTGCTGACTGCTTCTTTAAGACTCAGCTCAGTGTTTACCTCCTCAAAGAAGCTTTTCTTGATCATCTATTTTAAACTAGGTCCCCAACTCCAGTTACTCTCTATCAACTCCCCTTAATTCTCTACATAGCATTTATGTTTCTGAAATTAACATGTTCATTTCTTTGCACTGACATGTGAGCTCCAGGAGAGGAGGGACCTTGCCTGTCTTGTTCAATGCTGTGCACCTTCAGTGGCTACCATAGAGCCTGTGGTACTAAGAATGCTTTTGGCTGAAAGTAACAGAATATTCATCTAAACGTGTCATAAACTGCAGGGGTTTATTTTTCTTACATAAAAAGGAACTAGAGGTAGGCAGTATCAGGCCTGGTTCAACAGTTCAATGCTGTCTGGATTCTACATTGGCTTCTCTGAGATTGCCTTGGCCTTGCCTCATGGTTGCAATATGGCTGCCAAGGGCCAAAGCATTGCAAGAAAACATCCCTCTCAGGAAGAAAGTGGGGCCTGGGCCTCTCTCCTTTTTTTTTCATCAAGGTAGAAAAACTTTCCCAGGAACCCTCCTCTCACACTTCCCTCTTATATCTTATTGGCCCAAACCGATTGGGAGTCTAGACCATCCCACTAGTCAATAAGAGGGAGCTTATCATGGTTTTTTCATCAGTCATGATTCATCACCTGGAGTTGGGCCTGCCTTCCTTAAACCCTGTGGCTCTGCCCTATATCTGAAGTAAATCTGGGCTCTCTTTGCAAGCAAAAAGTGTTATAGCTATTGTGGTGGTAACCAACAGCATGAGCCACACAGGCATTTATGGAACAGAGGGTATGAATTCTTGGAGATCAGCCTACACGCAACAATTAACAAATTTTACACGTACTGTGCAAAACTAAGATTTGTGACAGAATGTCTTTAGAGGACTTCCAGGTCCCAGGCCCTCTAGGAGCCTCCATATATGCTTTATTGAGACTGATGGGATGGCTGAAATAGGCTTACTGCGAAGAGACTTGGCCTTTTCTGGGTTCAAAGAAACCATCACCACGCATGCCCTTGTTTCCATAATAAAGTCCCCTAAAAGACTGTTTGGTCTTTGAGGGTGGGGAAAGTGCCCGATGGGTGGTGGTAGGACTGCTTTCAGAAGGGCTGCTCGGTCCCCCAGACTGAGGGCCATTTTCAAACTCTCAACAAATGAAATAACCAGATAGAAAACTGCCACCATCAGTGGAGCCTTTCACTCTGCACTTCAGGAGGTCTGACAGGGTCACTAGTACTTCAAGATTCCCGTCCCTATTTCTGTCTTAAGCATGTTCGTTTTATACCCTGTTATGAGATGTTCTTTGATTCTTGGAAAAACAATTTCTTGGAAGCTGAAAAGAGTAAGGAGATGAATAGGAAATGGAGAGGTGAGTGCAGGGCACTTGTAAAAGCTACTATAAGATTGGTAAGTCCACCAAACCCAGGGAGATGGCCTTCCTAATGCCCACCCCCACCCCACTCCTGGTGCAGTCAGTGCTGACCTAGGGATCACCTGCCACAGGCTCATCCTAATGCCCACCCCCACCCCACTCCTGGTGCAGTCAGTGCTGACCTAGGGATCACCTGCCACAGGCTCAGGCTCCACCACCCAGCTCTCCCCCGTGGGGGACGGAGCGAGGGGTGCCGCCACAATAAGTTCCCACTTCCAGAAGCATGCTCTCTCCCCAGTGTTGCCCCCTGTTAGGTGAGCCAACTGAGTAGGAAAACGGTGTGGGCGAGGAGGGGGACCCAGTCGAGCCGCTCACGCTGGAAAGCAGCTCTCTGTCCTTCGACATTGGTGCGACCCTTCCCCAAGGAGCACACAAAAGGCGGCTGCTCCACGTTGTTTTCCAGCCCCTAGCCGCCTGGGCCCTGGGGGCTTGCGGGGTGGAGGGACGTGAGAGTTCTCCAGCCCTCCTGCGGGCACTGCAGCTCGGAGGCGGGAGAGGAGCACTAGGGCGGGAGAGGAGCACGCCCCACTCTTGGAGACATTTCATCACCCCTCTCTGTTCCCCCACCCCACCCCGCCCTCCCCACTCAAGCGGAAAAAAAGAAGCAGCCCAGATCTCCCCTCCCGGATGCGGCTGCACCAGCAACATCAGCTGCGGGCGGAGCCCGAGCGGTAGCCACTTCCCCCCTCTTCCCTCGTGACCCTCGCCCCCACCTCCAGTTCTCCCTCCCCCTCTACACACCCTTCCCCATCAGACACACCCTCCTGCTTCGGCTGGTGGCGATCGGAGCTCGGGCCCTCTAGGGGAGGGAGCTGCCGCCGCCGACGCCGTGGGGCAGGACAGTGAGCGGGCGAAGCGAGCGAGAAAAGGAGGGAAGGAGGGAACGAGGGAGGAGCAGCGGGTGGGAGGTGGGAGGGAGGAGCAGCGTGAGCCGCGCCGCCGCCGAGCTGCGATGTGGCCGGCCGGCCGGCGAGTAAACAGAGGGAGCAGCAGCGGCCGCGGCCGCCGCGGGCCGGGGCAGTGAGTCCACCCGCCCGCCGAGGTCCGCCCGCCCGCCGAGACCCGCCCGCCGCCGCTGCCATGGCCGAAGTGCGCAAATTCACCAAACGGCTCAGCAAGCCTGGCACGGCGGCTGAGCTCCGGCAGAGCGTGTCTGAGGCCGTGCGGGGCTCCGTGGTGCTGGTGAGTGGCCGGGGGACGGGGCATCCCGGGGGACGCGCTCCAGGCGGGAGCGACGCGGGAAGGGGCAGGAACGGCGCCAGTGCGGCCGCTTGGTGCGCCGCGCGCTGTCTTTCTCCGCTCCAGTAAGTTTTCGCACCGGCAGCCGCCGGCCGGGGTCCGAGTCCCAGGCGCCGGCTGACAGCTCTCCGGCCGCCCGGCACGGCGGAGGCGTGCGCCGGGATGGAAGCAGACGGGCAAAAGCCGGGCTCGGACGGCTGCGGAGGAGGCGGAGGCGGAGGCTCCCACCCAGGGTCGGGGCCGGGGGTGTGAGCTAAAGAGCTGACCTCGCGCTGCTCTGGACTCGGCACAAAGAGCCGGGGACAAGGGCACGACGAGATCCTGATCCCCTCCCGCGAGCACCTGAGGCCGCCTAGGCGGAAGGATGCGATGAGCGTTTGGCACACACACTCTCGCGCGCACACATACACACACTGTGTACACAAAAAAGAACCCCACCCAGAAAGCCCCGGGCGCCCAAGCTCGGGCTGGCGGTGAGAACAGAGGAAGCAGAGCGACTTCCTCCTGCAACTGGGGAGAGAGGGTGGTGATGGGTGTTGAAGGGGTGCTGCTGCGGAGGAAGGGCATTAGAAACAACGGGGTTCTGCGACAGAGTGGGCGCAGGGTCATCCACCGCAGGGAGAGTGTGTCCCTCGGGGACACGCGAGCGCTCCAGAGGCAAGGGGACCAAGGGGACGGTGCCGTGGGGATTTGGGGGAAGACTGGGTGTGTCAGTCCAGGGATGGAGGACCTGGGGTCAGAGCCCCACAGCTCAGGACTGGGGGATGGGGATTCGAAAGCGCGCTGACTCCCTGGGAACCCTCCCAGAGCACCCTCAGCCTTATCCAGATTGTCTGACTCTGGAGAAAGGCTAAAGGGTGCTAACGGGCACTTGCCCCTTCTCTTGTTTTCAAGACACTCGTTGCCAGTTTCCTGGACAAGCGAACAAACCCTGAATAAGCAATCGGACTGATTAATTAGTGTTTGTTTTGTTACTTTGTTTTTTGGTTGTTGTTTTTGTTTGTTTTTGTCTCCCTCAGCTCCATTTTACAGCGAGTCGTTTGCTGTGTTTAAATTTCACCGTTTAAGAGAGGGCTCTTTTTGTTAAAACAACTTGTCATCGGAAGGGAACTTCACAGCTTTTCCTTGTAATTTTTCTGTTGATCTTGTAGAATCAGCAATAAAACCCAGCATTAAAGGGAGGCCAGGGGCTTGATCCCAACAGTGGAGAAAGTTGACATTAGTGGGAGTTCTGGAGGAGGATCAAAGGTAAACTATGTACCTTTGAGATAAAGATCTGATCCCTAATAGCTACAACTGTGCAAACCTAAGTGACTTTAAAGAAATCTCTTTATTGTGGCTAGACCCTTGAAAGTTTAATTCTGCTGTTTAGTGGAGCTAAATCCAGACCTTTAATGTTACTTTAATGGACTTGGCTTGTGTATTTCAGTCTGATTTTGGAGTGAGGACCTGTTGAGGTCAGATTGGAGCCTTGCCTGTCATCACAGCCAGTTAAGAGAGGAAGGCAAGCTGTGTGCAGAGCATTTATACCAGGGCTCTCATCTTGGGTGATTGTTAACACGTGATTCAATCTACCTAGCAGAGAACGCTTTCCTAAATTCAGAGAAAACAAAAAACCTTCCTTGAGCGGGGTTGGCTGGCCTTCTACCACAACACGTGAAGAAAGCTGTAGGTGGCCAGATTTCTCGAGAATAAATGGGACTAAGAAAACTTCCACTGGGATTTGATCAGCACTTGACCTGCCACCCTAGCAGCAAAAAGTTAACATTAGCATTCTTTCCCCTGTTTTTAGGTTTTCAAAAGAATTTTGTGCATTGTAGGTTCAGCGGCTCCTTCCTGACCATTGATTCTATGGCGAAGGAGGAAAAACTGTTATTGGCAGGAGTCTTTTCTAGGAGACGCTGGCAGTGGCCATGGTTCCCTTGTCAGCCCAGCTTACTTGGGACCAAGGTCATTGATTTTTACCGTTTACACCAGGCAATGCAGAGGAATATTTACTCATTACTCTAGTATGTGAACCACATTGAGATTTTGGGAGTGAGGGAGAACAGATTCTAGTAATCTAAATCAATGAATATCTATTGAGCCCTTACAATGTGCCACACACAATGCTAGATGCTCTATAATTATGAGAATGCAAATGATCTTTTTCTTCATTTGTTTTCATTATTTACAATCTGGGTTGGTTGTGTGTATGGGAATGTCTTTGTCAATAGGACACCCAGATTATGCACACAAATCAAGTTTAGATTCTTCATAGAGCCTTAGCAAATGCTATTTGTAAGCAGTTTAGTCAACGAAAAAATAAGGAAATAGTTCTTACATGGAATGTATGCTCCTAAATGACTCTCTCTCACAAAGAGCTGTTAACCAAAGTTAGTAAAACCACGAGTGGCTGGAGAGTGAGGGGACCATGTTGCAGCTGCTGCCATAACTTCTGATTCTTTTAAGGGACAGCTGAGGTAGGATTTACACTTGTGCTATAAACCCAAGATACTCACATTGGGGCTTCAATATGAGTTAGAGCCATTACCGCAGCAAGTCAAGCTTTCCTCTGGTGTATCTCTTGTTAGAACATGGAAAACCCACCAAGCTGTACAAATATACAGTATTTCCTGTTTAGGTTTTTTTTTTATTTTTTTTTTAAGGATTTTGGAATTACACCCTTGTTGGCCTGTTGCTAACATCATTCAGTTTTCCTCACTGTTTGAAAAATTCAGATGGCTGGGCCTGGGCTATATATAGCATGTTGTTGCGTATTCAAACTGTTATTCAGTTATTAGTACTTCCACGAATCTATTAACTAACTACATAATAAAGCAGACAGAGAGACTGTTCCACTGTTACTGCATTTTCCTATAAGTTCAGCATTTTTATGAAGGTCAGTTTTAACCCAGGGAAAGGGATAATTACAGAATCATCATTGACAGATTTCTCAAGAGGGGATTGGGGAGAAACATTATAACCTGAGAGTGTATGTGATTAAGAGAGAAGTGTTTACATATGTACTTGTTTAAAATGCAGAGTTTTAAATTTTTAAATTGATTTTGTTGTAATTCAGGATGTAGCTACTGGTGCCGCAGGGGAACAAAGGCATTTTGCTAAACCTGTTGTATTATGGCCGCCCTTTAGAGAAGCCACTTTATCAGCCTGGAAGAGTCGCCTAGTAGCTGTTTAAATACTGTTTACTGCGGAGCTTACCCTCAATTCCTTGTGCGCCAAAAGATCGGGAAAGAGTTGCTAGATATTAGGGGTTGTAGCCCCTGGACGCGCCGTAATGCACGCAGCGTCCCCTGGCTGGCATCAGCCAGATTTCGTATAATAGCTCCAGTAGAGAAAAGCTCTCCAGAAGCTGAGAATGGCTGAAAAGCGTCTGCAGCTGTTGACTCCCCCAACCCGCCGCTCACAACTACCTTTGCATGGAATGTTTGTTATGTTTGCATTTAGAGAAGCGCTGAAACGGAACCACTCCTCTGCTCCCTCTTCCCAAGGGAATTTGTGTAAAGTAGGTAATATAGGACAAAACCCACAGCCTCATCTCTAAGGAGGTGAGAACAATACGGAATAAAAGCCAGTTTCAACTTGGGCTTCTTGACCAAGCATTTCCAGTTCAGAGGCTCTCAATGAACTGAGCTGTCAATGAACTGAGGGTCAGGAAAGTTAACCAGAGTGTTAGCACCTAAACATAAAATAGTCTCGCTACTGGAGGTTAGCAGGGCCCAGAGCAAGCCACTCCACCACGATCTGTACAAAAGACCGGTGCAGGTTGCTGTGAAGCCAGAGAGGCCTCCTTGCTGAACCCTTGTTTAAGCACCAAATAGGAAAATTTGTTTTCTGAGACTAACATGTTAAAAAATTCTCTGGATTGAGTCTTTTTCTATTCTAATCACCAGTGAACCTTTGTTTTTTAAGCTTTCATTGCTTTTTTTTTTTTTTTAGACGGAATCTCCCTCTGTCGCCCAGACTGGAGTGCGGTGGCGGGATCTCGGCTCACTGCAAGCTCCGCCTCCCGGGTTCACGTCATTCTCCCGCCTCAGCCTCCCGAGTAGCTGGGACTACAGGCGCCCGCCGCCACGCCCGGCTAATTTTTTGTATTTTTAGTAGAGACGGGGTTTCACCGTGTTAGCCAGGATGGTCTCGATCTCCTGACCTCGTGATCCGCCCGCCTCGGTCTCTCAAAGTGCTGGGATTACAGGCGTGAGCCACCGCGCCCGGCCTTCATTGCTTTATTACATGCCAAATGCTTGTTTATTGTACAACAGCTAGAAAAACAGAAAAGTAAGAATAATTATCACCATCTCATTACCCAGAGGAAGCTCCGTAAATATTTTAATGTAAATATTTACCTTTCTCTCTTTCTATGTGTATATATACACATCTATAAATACACATATATACTGTATATATAGATGTATACATATCTATACATACATATACATACCCACACACATATATGGATGGAAAGAAATATACACAAACTTTTTATTTTTGTTTATGTATTTTTTTTTTGAGACAAAGTCTTGCTCTTTACCCAGGTTGGAGTGCAGTGGTGTAATCATGGCTCACTGCAGCTTTGACCTTTGGGACTCAAGGGATCCTCCCACCTCAGCCTCCCAAGTAGCTGGGACTGCAGGCAAACGCCACCGTGCCCAGCTAAAGTTTTTTTTGTTTTTGTTTTGTTTTGTTTTTTTAGTAGAGACAGGGTTTCACAGTGTTTCCCCAGGCTGGTCTCAAACTCCTGAGCTCAAGCAGTCCTCCCACCTTGGCCTCTCAAAGTGCTGGGATTACAGGCATGAGCCACTTCGCCTGGCCACACAAACTTTTAAATAATTTTTTTCATTTATCAGTATCTTATGAATATTTTTTGATGTCAATAAATACAAATCTATATAATCATATTTAATGACTGCCTAAATTTTCATTATGGGTGTACCAGAGGTAATTATCATTTATTGTTTGATATTTTGATAGTTTTTCTAATTTTGTGCTGTTATAAACATGAACTATAAAGGTAAATAGCTATATATCTTTCTTTACTTTTAAATTTAAATTAATTAAAAATAATCATATCCAGGCATGGTGGCTCACACCTGTAATCCCAGCACTTTGGGAGGCTGAGGCAGGCATATCACCTGAGGACAGGAGTTTGAGACCAGCCTGGCCAACATGGCAAAACCCCGTCTCTACTTAAAAAAAAATACAAAAATTAGCTGAGTGTCATGGCGCATGCCTGTAGTCCCAGGTACTCGGGAGGCTGAGGCAGGAGAATCGCTTGAACCCAGGAGGTGGAGGTTGCAGTGATCTGAGATCCCACCACTGCACTCCAGCCTAGGCGACACAGCGATACTCCGACTCAAAAAAAGTAATAATAATAATCAGTTTCTAAATTTCACTTGCCACAGTTCAAGTGCTCAATAGCCACATGTGGCTAGTGGCTACTATATTGGACTGCATATACTATATATGCAGATAAAGAGCATTACCATCAGTAACTGAGTGAATGTCTTTGAGAAGGCATCTTCAAAATTGCCAAATCGTCCCCTTAGGATAAATTTCTAGCAGTGAACTTGCTTGCTCAAAGATTACACTGTATGCATTTTTAGTATTAAAAATTCCTCTTAAACATACTGTTAAATTGCTCTACAGAAAGTAGCTTCAGTTTACTCTTTCACCAGGAGAGTGTGAGGGTGTTCATTTCCCCTCTCCCATGCCAACGCTTGTTAGTAATATTTTAAAAATTTTTTGCAGTTTGATAGGAAATAAATGGTACATCACCGTTCTAATTTGCATTTCTTTGATTACTCTTAAAGTTGAACAGTTTTTCATGTTGATTGGCCTTTCATAGTTCTTCTGTTGAGGCTTGAATGAATCTGCTTACAGACTTATTTCCTCGTTTGTGATTCTTGCAATACAGTCTCCATCCCCCAAGATTCTGTTTTGCTAAGTCTGGGGTGGGGCCTGCATCTGTATTCTTTAAAAGGACCCCAGATGATTCTCATGTGCACAGAAACACTCATCTAGACCGCTTGTCCACTCAAGGCAGGAATGTCCTTTCCACCCAGCCCTGACAAATGATTATTTAGCTTCTCCTTAAACACCCCTGCCTGTTAGAGGGCTATGTTAGAAAAGGTTCTTGAGCCGAAATTTACTGTGTAAATTTCACCATGGGCTAGACCTAGCTCTGCTGTTGGAGCCACACGTTTGCTTCCTTCCTCTTTTGCATAACAACCTCTCAAATATTTAGAGACAGCCACCATGTCATTTTAAAATTCACTCTTCACAAAGCCAAAGAGGCTACATTTCTTTCCTTCGTTCCCCACATGACTTGGTTTCAAGATTCTTCATATCATTATCATCCTGTTTGGGCTCTTTTCCAAGTTTTCTATGTCCTACTTAAGATGTGAGAGACAGAGCATAAGCTAGAGGATCAGATCTGGTCTTGAACCCAACGTCTGTCACTTGCCTGAATTGTGAACAGACGCAAGTAACCTGGTCTCATTTTCCTTATCTGTGAAATGGGAATAAATAGTAGTACCTCCCTTGTGGAGTTCTTGGGAATAACGAAGGTAACATATGGAAAGTTTCTAATGTATAAGTGATTCATAAAGGTTAAAAAAAGAGATCTGGCCAAAACAAAACAAACAAACAAACAAACAAACAAAAAAACAGTATTCCAGAAGGATCTGCCACTGAATACAGTCAGGGAGGGGGCAATGTTTTGTATCATTTCTGGGTGTGAGCCGAGAAGCCGGGGGCTGTGTATTCATTTTTATTCCCAGCCCAGCCCCTCACACAGTGTCTGGAGTGCAGTAGATTCTTAGGTGTTTTGTGAAAATACACTGCCAACCTTGGGTAGGATGGACTCATTGTTGGGAGAAGAGCCTGGAGGCCAGGAAATGACTTAAAATACAGTTAATATAGTTCTGGAGAGAGATAACAAAGGCTTTTTTTTTTTTTTTTGAAATGGAGTTTCACTCTTGTCGCCCAGGCACGATCTTGGCTCACTGCAACCTCTGCCTCCCGGGTTCAAGCGATTCTCCTGCCTCGGGCTCCTGAGTAGCTGGGATTACAGATGCGTGCCACCACGCCCCATATAATTTTTGTATTTTTAGTAGAGATGGGGTTTCACCACGTTGGCCAGGCTGATCTCGAACTCCTGACCTCAGGTGATCCACCCACCTCTGCCTCCCAAAGTGCTGGGATTACAGGCCTGAGCCACTGCACCAGGCGAACAAAGGCTTTTAACTGAGGCAATGAGAATGGAGATAAGGGAGAAGACATAAGAAACATTGTGCTGAGAAAATCAACAGGATTTGGTGATTCTTAAAAGGGAAGGAGAAGGGGGAGGAAGAAAGAGAGGAAGAGCGGAGGTGGAGTCAAGATAATTTTGAGGTTTCTCAGCTTGTGTGAACTGAAGGAAAAGCAAGTTTGTTGATAGGGGAAGGGAAAAGAAAATGAGCAACTTCTGTTTGAGGGAGTTGTCAGGGCAAAGCCAGGTTTCAGTTAAGCAAGATGGTGGCTGAGCATATAAGGTTGTCTTTTGGCAAAGGACTAGGGTTCTCGAGGGCAGAGGTGGAAAGTGTTCCAAGTGGGTTCAGGAAGAAGAAGAGCCAGGAAAAGGCCAGGGCTGAGTGGACAGAGATGAAATTGTAGGCGAGATTAGCTGATTGAAGAGGTTTGCACCTTTGGGGGTGATTAGGGAAGTGGGAGGCAGGGTGTGGGGAAACGATCTGGAGGCCAGCCCCAGACTTCCAGTTAGAATGGGGTGGGGATGGGAAGTGAGTCCACCCCTTGGGCAGATCCCACTCTGGGGTGGGTCTGAGCAGCAGTTGCCCTGAGGAGCAGGGGGTCAGTGAGGGGTTGACTTCCTGCTCAGGTGCTCAGGAAGAGGCTAATAGGATAGTTCCTGCTTTTAAGGGAGACTAGAAGTACGCAAATAACCTACAGAAGATAGAAGCCAGATAGGAGTCCAGTGGTCATTGGTTTCCCAGTCTTCACCCCATCTCCGACCCCCACCCCAGCCCCCAGTGCTCTCTCTTAAGATCCTTAACGTTTTTCAAGACTTTCGTCCTTTCTGGGTTCGACAAGGTTAAATAGGCCTTTACTAATGAACATTGTTCTGTTTATGGCATTTCCCACATTTATTTGACCACAGACCCTGCCCCACCCCCAACCGGCTTTTTATGGAAAGTGGAGAGTAAATGGTAACATCTAACAGGCTGAGAAATTCCTATATAGTGTGCGTGTGTAACTAACTCATCTTGGCGTTCTCTTACTTGACCTCTGTGGATTGCAAGCAGTGGTTGCTACTTTCCCATGCTCCACGTCAAGAACCACCCTTGCTGTTCAGTTCAGAGGAGTAATTCACCTGTCTGATTGTGCTTTCTCCTGAGCTATAGAATTGTCAGCAAGTCATGTTGAAAGACGATTAGTTTTTAAAAATAATTTGTTTATCATGGAAGGGGAGGCCAAAACTACATGAGGGTACAGCTCGAGCCATTTCTTCTGTAAATCCTAAGGGTACTTAGAATACGTTTCTCTTTGAGATTTACCCCTCTTGGTTTAATTTTTATCAGGCATGCAGAGGAGTTGGTGGGTAACATTGGCCTGCCGTTTATATCAGCCTACAGCCAGATGCCTTTTTGATTCCTTGCAGGACCCCACCCTGGACGCTCCCAGAGCAGTAGCTTGAATGGAGCAAAGAGACAGTCTCAGTTAGCTGCCATTGCCTTTGTAAGCTTGTGCTTCAGAGCAAAGTGGTTAAGAGCTTGGGCTCTGGAAGCATGCTGCCCAGGTTCAGAGTTCAGCCCTAGATGACCTTGGGCCAATTATTTAACCTTCCTGGGCATTGGTAACCCCCTCAGGGGCTTGTTGAAAGGCTTAAATGAGTTATTTGTTTTGTTTTGTTTTTGAGACGGGGTCTCGCTCTGTCACCCAGGCTGGAGTGCAGTGACACGAACTTGGTTCACTGTAACCTCCGCCTCCTGGGTTCAAGTGATCCTTCCATCTCAGCCTCCCTAGTAGCTGGGACTACAGGTGTGCACCACCATTGCCCGGCTAAGTTTTGTGTTTTTAGTATAGAGACAGGGTTTTGCCATGTTGGCCAGGCTGGTCTCGAACTCCTGACCTCAAATGATCCGCCTGCCTCGGCCTCCCAAAGTGCTGGGATTACAGGCGTGAGACACCATGCCCAGCCTTGAGTGAGTTATTATATTCTTAATGTATAATATTGAAAGCACTTCAAGTGGGGTTTGCCAATTGTTAAGTACTGATGACTGTTGGCTCGCATTATCATCCCCAGGCTTTATGGTGGGCAAGAGACGTCTTTTGTATATGTGTTACAAGTCAGCAGACAGAAAAGTTAACTGGAAGAGGGGAAGCAGGTACCCTTGCTTTAATTCCTTGCTCCAGATGATGCCCCAAAGGGGTGAGCCACATGGCTGATCCAAGAATCTTACCCTTCCTGGAAGAACAAGCTGGCAGACCCCTCTGCATGAGGTTCTTGCCAATACCCGTTCCCAGTCTGACTTAGTCATACTGAAAAGCCTAGTGGATGGTAGCAAGGGTTCTGGGTTTTTGGCATTTTCTACCTTCACACGAGTTTAATGAGTGAGTGGGAAGGCTGGTCCTCAAGTGGGGAGAAGCACTCTGTCCTGTGCCTTGGGCCGGAAGGCTCTCCAGACTGGGGAAACTGTACCTGTGGCCTTTGGCAGAAGCACTTACCTTTATGCCAGCCTGTTCAGTGTGATTTATGCAAAGGGGTGAATAGAAGAGAATTGGGATCTGTGTGGAAAAACAGAGCTTGGACATGCCTACCTTTCCCTTTCAAACCTTCACTGATGCCAGGCACGTTAGCCTATGCCTATAATCCCAGCCCTTTGGGAGGCTGAGCTGGGAGGATTGCTTGAGCCTGGGAGTTCCAGGCCAGCCTGGGAGATACAGGGAGACCCCCATCTTTACAAAATTAAAACAAAAATGAGCCAGGCGTGGTGGCACATGCGTGTAGTCCAGCTACTTGAGAGACTGAAGTGGGAGGATTCCTTGAGCCCAGGAGTTCGAGGCTGCAGTGAGCCTTGATTGTGCCACTGCACTCCAGCTTGGGTGACAGACTGAGACCCTGTCTCAAAAAAAAAAAAAACAACAAAAAACCAAAACCAAAAAACCTTTATTGTTATCCCTTTCACTCTTAATCCTCACATTTAATAGTCAAATAAATATTGAAATGCAAATGCTTTTTTAAAGTTCTATTTTGGGGCTGAGCGCGGTGGCTCACACCTATATTCCCAGCACTTTGAGAGGCCGAGGTGGGTGGATCACTTGAGGTCAGGAGTTTGAGATCAGCCTGGCCAACATGGTAAAACCCTGTCTCTACCAAAAATACAAAAATTAGCTGGGCATGGTGGTGCACGCCTGTAATCCCAGCTACTTGGGAGGCTGAGGCATGAGAATCACTTGAACCCGGGAGGCAGAGGTTGCAGTGAGCTGAGATCACGCCACTGCACCCCAGCCTGGGCGACAAAGTGAGACTGTCTCAAAAAAAAAATTATATTTTGGAAACATACGTTTTAATAGGAAATTTTAAAACTTAAAGCTGTCTCGAGAAATTATTCTTTTATATTTGGCTATTCTGGTTTTGTGGTAGCAGGATAAGTTCTGTTAAGGATAGTGTGTGGCTGGGCATGATGGCTAGTGCCTAAAATGCCAGCACTTTGGCAGGCTGAGGTAGGAGGATTGTTTGAGGCCAGGAGTTCAAGACCAGCCTGGGCAACATAGCGAGACCCCCGTCTTTCCAAAAAAATAAAAAGAATAGTGCACACAGGTTCCTAGCAGAGTCAGTACAGTGGAAAACATGCCGAGTGTTCCAGCTCTACGTGGTTCATCTTTTGTCTGTGTGCAGCCTTGCACAATCATGCCTAAATTTGCTATTAATGATTTCCTGCGATTCTTCTCCACTTTTATTGCCTATTGAGTTTATTGTTCATGGGAAGTTATGTGCTTTTGCCGTTTTTGACTTCTGTTGGATTGTGTATATGTTTCAAGCTGCTAAGAAATGTTAGAAGATATTCTGATACTTCAGCGTTCCCATCGCATTGCTTTCCCTAATGACTGGAAATATTTTACTGGGTAAGATTTAACTGAGAAGTCAAGTGTTGCTTCCAAGTCTCTGAGACAGAACATCTTTATTTGAAGTGTTTCAGTGAAGTGTGTCAGAAGGCTGGGGAATTCATTTGTATAAGATTTTTTTTTTTTTTCCGGAGACAGAGTCTTGCTCTGTCACCCAGGCTGGAGTGCAGTGGCAACCTCCGCCTCCTGTGTTCAAGCGATTCTCCTGCCTCAGCCTCCCAAGTAGCTGGGATTACAGGCATCTGCCACCACGCCTGGCTAATTTTTGTGTTTTTAGTAGAGACGGGGTTTCACCATGTTGGCCATGCTGGTTTTGAACTCCTGACCTCAGGTGATCCATCCGCCTGGGCCTCCCAAGGTGCTGGAATTACAGGCATGAGCCACCGTGCCCGGCCCGTTTTTTAAATGGTGACAAGACCTTGAGTTTTTATAGCCGAAATCTTAAGACTTAAAAATGCTGTTATATCTATCTGTGGCCTCATATGTCTACAGGTCACTACTGAACACATATCACATAGTCATCACCCCTCTTCTGTAAGTGGGGAAACAGAGGCATGGTTTTCAGTGAGGCAGGCCATAGGTTATTTATATTAATGAAATGACAGAGCAGGTAATGAACTCCAGGTGTCCTGATTCCTTTGGAGTAACCATGTGAAGAAATACTAGAGGGATGCCAGATTCCACAGTCAATCAGGTGGAGAAAGCTCTTTCTGTGTGGTTTTGGTGATGATCTCGCTCTATTGGGAAACAGTGTTTATTTCTAAACAAGCTTAGGTCTCTTTAGTGGGAAAGTAGGAGGTGAGGACAAAAAAAAAAAAAAGAGGGATGGGGTTGTTATTGAGAAATGTGGGCAAGATCAGTATAGATTTTTGCTTGCCAAAGTAAGCCTAAGGATATTGAGAACTGTTTGCAATTGGCCATCCCTCCTTACTTTGCTATTTGAATAACTATATGGAAAAAAATATCCAGAACACTGGCTCTGCAGAGGTACCTGGGATCATTTTCATGGAACTGTTTTCATGATTTTTTTCAAGTGGGTTAGTGCTGTCCAAAAATAACAACATATATATTTCTTTCCATGCCTTTTATATTAGTAGTTTAGTTTTCCCACTTGAGAAACTGCCAGCTTTATGCCTTGCAGGGCCTGTTGTCACAGTGTTCACGGTGTGAATGGAAGAGTGCTGTTGGCATGGCCAGTTTACTTTCATAGGTGAACACGTTCCTAATGCTTCAGTACATTAAATCGTTTCCTAGAGATCTGAAGGAGGGAATGCTACCTTCCAAGGTACCTACCTTCCCACCAAGAAATAACTTAAGTTCAAGAAGGTTCTAAATCAACCGGTACATACATGGAACTGAATCGTTATTTCAAAGCTCACAGGGGCCAATAGCTCTCGTTGTGTCCAGCCGAGTGTTTACGACATGCTCTATAGTTTGTGGAGCAAAGAAAGCCCTCCCTTGCTAACTTGACCCTGGGGAGACTTGCTCCTCTACTCCTAGTGACCGACATGACCACTTGCAAGGGAACTTGGCCTCCGTCTGTCCCTGCTAAATGGTCTGGCAGAATTCTCATCAGGAGAGCCAGAAGAAAATTCCATAAGGCTTCTCGCTTCAGTTCTGTAATAACAAACCCAGCTCCCTCTCCCTGCCTGCCCTGCTTCCTTTGCTCAGTACTGCCCCTAGGCTCAGAGACATCAGGGAGTCTCATATTCAGAGCCCAGGTTCTTCAAGTCCATAGGCTGCTGGTTCTGCCCTGCCTTTAAAATCCATTTCCAGTCAACTGGATTTGGATCTTCTTGTCCCCTTGTGTCTTTGTCTCACTCACTGTATCTCTGTCTGGCCCCCTAGCCTGTCCATAGCTAACCCCCTGCCTCAGTTTTCTGGCTAATCGCCCAGTTCCTCTAGGAGTAAGTTCTTGCCTTGTTGCTGGCCTTCCTGAGGAGGGGTGCCTTACCCTCACCAGGACCATATGACTGAGCCCAGCACAGTGGAACTGTGGATTGAAGGGGTGAGTTTCTCTCTTTTTTTTTTTCTGGAAACAGAGTCTTCCCAGGCTGGGGTGCAGTGGTGCAATCTCGGCTCACTGAAACCTCTGCTTCCCGTGTTCAAGTGATTCTCCTGCCTCAGCCTCCTGAGTAGCTGGGACTACAGGTGTACACCACCACTCCTGGCTAATTTTTTGTATGTTTAGTAGAGACGGGGTTTTACCATGTTGGTCAGGCTGGTCTCGAACTCCTGACCTCAAGTGTTCCAACTGCCTCGGCCTCCCAAAGTGCTCGGATTATAGGCGTGAGCCACTGCACCTGGCCTGGAGGGGTGAGTTTCTGCTTAGAGAACTCAGAGGAGACAAAGTGCCTGGGATAACGCAGTCCAGCAAGTGGCCCTGTTGAGGACTGGACTAGCTTTATGGTCTATTAGTTTCCTATTGCCACTGTAATGAATTGCCACAAACTTAGTGTCTTAACACAGATGTGTTCCAGTTCTAGAGATCAGAAGGCCAAAATTGGTTTCACTGAGCTAAAGCCAAGGTGTCCAAAAAGCCTCACTTCCTCCAGAAGCTGTAGGGGAGGATCCATTGCCTGGTCTCTTCCAGCTTCTAGAGGATGCCCACATTCCTTGGCTCATGGCCCCTTCCTCCCTCCTCAAACCAGCAATGACTGGTCGAGTCTTTCTCACATCCTATCAGTCTCACACTGCTTCTGTCATTATATCTCCTTCTCTGACACCGGCTCTCTTGCCTCCCTCTTTCACTTATAAGGACCTTGGTTCCACCTTGGTAATCTAGGATAATTGCCCCATCTCCAAATCCTTAATTTAATCATGCCTGCAAAGTCTTCTTTGCCATGTAAAGTAACATATTCACAGGTTCCACGGATTAAGATGTGGCCATCATTGAGGAACCATTATTCTGCCTATCACGCAAGATGTCACCCAAGTTTGAGGACTGATGGAATCCTGGGGTCAGAGGGGTTCCCAGCACAGGTCCTGACATTACAGTGGAGGAGGAACAGGGATCTGGCAAACAGCCAGGCGCAGAAGTCTTCATAGAATTCAAATGAGGAAGCACAATCCCTTTTGCGAATTTTGGCTGAAAGAAAGCAATACAGGTCTGCAGTCTGCAATTTCAATTGACATGTTTTCTTAAATTCTTCATAACTAAATGTCTTTCCCCACACAGGACTCCCTGAGCCTGGAGTTCTTATAGCGGGCACTGCTTTCAGACTTGAGGTGTTTTAGGATACAAGCTGGGCAGACACTTTGCGGGCATTTAGCCAGCTCAGGCCTATAGAATTTTCCACCTTCAGTTAAAGAAAAGAGCAAAGAGGTAGGGGTGTGTGTGGGTGTGTGGATGTATGTGTGTGGCGGGGGGTCAGCGGGGAGGTGTTTAAAAGAGAAAGCGATGGTTGCACATCACATAAAATAACTATTTGGCCACAAGTCCCAAGATACCTCTCATATGTCCTGTGTAAGAGATGCTTTGCCCAGCCTGAAGGTCAAGTTAGACTGGGCATGGTCCTTCTGCATTTTCAAGGTAATCACAGAATCCCTTCCCAGAAATGGCTTTCTAAAACACATGATTGGAGAAGCAGAAGGAAGGACTGGAAAATCTATCTGAGTTCTTTCTGGCTTCATGATGATTTCAATTAAAAGATAAATGGAAACTTCCCCTCTCTACCACATCTAGTCACTGCCATCTTAGAGACACATAGAACAAAAGTTTCCTGGCTGATAACATTTGCATCAGCCCTCCTCACACTGGCCAGTATGATGTCCATGATGTGTCTGATGGCACAGAGCTTTGCTGTCCTGAAGAAGCACTCTATCGTAGATGTGGATTGCATTTCCTATTTTTACCTTGGTTCTAATTGGCCACGGCCATATTTCTCCCAGGCCCAGCATATCTTTTTTCAAGCCTCTGGCTAATTGACCTGGCTGTAATGCACTGAAAATCATTATAGAAAAGGTTGGGGAAACTCCCAGATTGTGTTTGAAAATCTGTAGAGACAAAATACACATTCACTATCTTCACTTTTCTCCTGTTCTATTTTTTCTTTTTTTCCTCCTCAATAGGAAAACAGTTTCAATTCTCCTTATAAACCATCTCAGGGTAAATATTCAGATGTTTTCAGTGGAATTATGTTAAACCATTTTTTGAAAGTGCTTATCTACGATGAATATCTACTAATTATTAAATGTGAAAGGGTATTAACTGTAGTCCTATTTAAATCTTTTTTAGAAAATGGTGTTCATTTTCTGTAAATTGTGGGTTTATTCTCTTCAACCTGGCTTATTTGATTTTATTTTGCGATTTACTACTTTCTGCTTTGGAGTTTCTCCTTTTCTCTATTGGCTGTCAGCTGAACTTCACCGAGGCTTCTGGGTACTGTGCATTAGGTCAATGAGCTTCATGACAGAGTTGACGCCTGGGAACCCTGGAACCTCTGGGGCTGTGTTATGCAGCAGAAGGAACTAGAAAGGAGGAGGGCGTTGCTGGAGAGTGAGCTAGAGAGAGAGAAAGTTGTGCTGAGCTGTGGAAGATGGCTCCCCTGGCTGAGGGAGAAGACAGATACCGTCGTTCAGTTCATGCTCAAATCCCAAGGGAAATGTTTGTGAACTGTTGCTTGAATTGAAGAGAAGCAGAGAATCTATTTCCGCTTATTTATTTATTTATTTTTTGAGAAGGAGTCTCACTCTGTCGCCCAGGCTGGAGTGCAGTGGCACGATCTTGGCTCACTGCAACCACCGACTCCGGGGTTCAAGCAATTCTCCTGCCTCAGCCTCCCGAGTAGCTGGGACTACAGGCGCACGCCGCCATGCGTGTATTTTAGTAAAGACAGGGTTTCACCGTGTTGCCCAGGCTGGTCGCGAACTCCTGAGCTCAGACAATCTGCCTGCCTTGGCCTCCCAAAATGCTGGGATTACAGCGTGAGCCACCATGCCCTGCTCCGCTGATTTCTTTTTAACAGATCAAACCTACTTACGACAAGGAGGTAGGAGGAATGGTGGAAGGCAAGACCAGGGCTTAATCTCAAGAAACTGAAGGATTAAAAAGGGGCAAAAGGAAGGTATTTTTTTTCCATTACAAAGACCAAGAGACCAGAGATTAAAATATTAACAATATTTAATGAGTGCAGCCGTATATTTTTAGATTCAGACAGGAAGAGATCAAGTCCTTTAGAAATTGTGCTTGATAAATGAAACAGTTTTGTCTGGCACCAAAGGGGTGAGTAGATACTTATTCAGGGGCTGGAGACAGTGCATATACTGTCAACTTGCATGATGCAGGACCTCAAATCAGTTAGTTAAGGAATTGAGAAAATACTTGTATGCCATTCAGCATATAGGATAGTTGGAACATAGGGAAACTCATTCTCCAACTTCAATGGAGGTCAGAGACACATGACCATCAGACACCCATAGGGGCCAGATTTCTGTTGGGAGCCCAGGGTAGAGGGACTCAGGTGCTAGGTCTGCCTGCCCTCCTTTTTTCCATCCTATCCTCTACCAGGGTAGAAGGGGAGCCAACAGCTCATGCCTCTGCCAGACCCGTGTTTCTCAAGGCAGAAAACGCTGCTTGACAGGAATGGTGGCCATAGAGGCTGCCACTCTGAGCCCTTGTGACCTTCTCTGAGAGCAGCCCCCACTGGGACTGGCTTCTTCTTACTGACTACATTCTCTTTCTTGCAAGCTACTATCTTCCCCTTTCCACCTTCTACTATTCCCTAACTGCTTTCCCCCCATTCTGATTTTCCTCAACTGCTGCTCCTGGTGTTTGCCTCTGCACTGCCACCTTCCAGGAAACTCTTCTGTGGATCTGGCTGCCTGATCCAGCTCCTTGACTTCTCCCTTCTACCATGCCCTGGGAACCATTGTTTGACTGTGGGCACACTCCTTCTCTCCCCTTCTCATCTTTTTCTCACCTCTTCTTTCTCTCTCCTCTGTTTGGCTAAAAAGTGTGCTTTGTGGCACAGAGCCATCACTGTGTTTATTTTTTTTAAACCTTTTCTTTAGCCAAGGATGGAAAATTCCAAAGGCCTGAGCTAGTGATGGCTGGATGCCTTTTCTGGAAATCCAGTGGCCTGGGTGCCAAGGGAATGTTGTGGAGCTACACATCTGGCAAGGTTGTCCCCTAAAATGTCCTGGCTTTGGATTTAGTTCCAACTGAAAGAAGGGGAGGTTCTATCTGGAATTATGGAATCAGAATGAAGAGTTAGCTAGGTGTGGTGGCACACGCCTGTGGTTCCAGCTACTCGGGAGGCTGAAGCAGGAGGATCACTTGAACCCACTTCAAGGCCATGGTGAACTATGATTACACCATTGTACTCCAGCCTGGGTGACAGAGCGAGACCTTGTCTCAAATTTTAAAAAAAAGTGAAGAGTTTACGAAATTATGTAATTGTAACCCCAGAGCCCAGTTTATGTCACTGTTTTTTTCTGCTGGGTTTAATTGGGAAAGAGTGGCCTTTGACTTAGTAGATCTTTAAAAAGTGAAACCTTTTGCATGAGAGTCAAATAAAGTTCTTGCACCTCAGTTTAATCGATGATTTTGCTTCGTTGGGGTTACTTGGCAGAGGCCAGGCACACTTCAGAGCACCTGGAGTGGGCCTTATGGGGGAGCAGCAGCATCATTCCAGTTGTTACCAGGTGCAGTTGAGTAGGCCTACTCCACCTTCATGTTTCTTGCCCCCTCTTGGAGAAATAATGATATGGTTTGGCTGTGTACCCACCCAAAAATCTCATCTTGAATTGTAATCCCCATAATCCCCACGTCAATGGTGGGAACAAGTGGAGGTAATTGGATCATGGGGGCAGTTTTTCTGCATGCTGTTCTGGTGATAGTGAATGAGTCTCATGCATATCTGATGGTTTTTTAAACGTCTGACCTTTCCCCTGCCTGCACTCACTCCATCCTGCCACCCTGTGAAGAGGGTGCCTGCTTCTCCTTTGCCTTCTGCCTGGACTGTAAGTTTCCTGAGGCCCCCCCCATCAATGCTGAACTGTGAGTCAATTAAACCTCTTTCCTTTATAAATTACCCAGTCTCAGGCAGTTCTTTATTAGGAGTATGAAAATGGACTAATACAAATAATTTGGCCAGAGTTTTGTGCACACGTTCCTGCGGGGTGAAACAAGTCAGAGTTGACCAC
The DNA here is from genome assembly GCF_000001405.40 of Homo sapiens. Taxonomy (NCBI): domain Eukaryota; kingdom Metazoa; phylum Chordata; class Mammalia; order Primates; family Hominidae; genus Homo; species Homo sapiens. The sequence goes on from NC_000023.11 coordinate 118,514,401, forward strand.
CTTGATGGTAAGCAAAAAGTTATTGTCTTGAAATATCTAGAAACTGTACCATTCTCCTACCTCTTGAGAGCGTGGGGGAGATTAACAATACCCAAACCCATAAAAATGCCAACTCTGTCTGCACTGGCTTCACATTGCCATAAACACCCAGATTTCCTAGAGGGGACTTCATGGCCCTTCATGTCCACCAGTAAGGACCATCCCACCTTTGAAGTTTCTTCTCCCACCACACCCTTCCTTTGCCCTGTAGTCTAGCCACATTGAACCATCACACTTTTTCAAACACATTTCTATAGTTTCTCACCTACATACCTTTGTGCATGCTGACTCCTCATCCGGGGATGCCCTTACAAGCCCTTCCCTGCTAAAGGGAATCCTATCTGTCCTTCAGGGCTTAGGTCAAATGGCCATCTTCTCCATGGCCACCATATTTGGAGCTAATTGCTCCTTCTGCAGCCTTACAGCCTCTTACTAGTTGCGTTGGCTTCCTGTGGCTGCTGTAACAAATTACCACAAATTGGGTGGCCTAAAACAAGTTTGTTCTCTAACAGATCTAGAGGCCAGACGTCTGAAATAAGTATCACTAGGCCTCACTCCTTCAGGAGATTTTAGGAAAGGATCATTTATTGCCTCTTCCAGCTCTGGTAGCTACCAGCATTCCTTGGCTTGTGGTTGCATCACTCCAATCTCTGCCTCTGTGGTCACATTGCCACCTCTTTGGTCTGTTTCAGGTCTCCCGCTGCCTCTTTCTTATCAAGATACTTGTGATGGCATTTAGAGTCCACCCCAATAATCCGGATGCGCTCTTCATCTCAAGATCCTTAATTTATTTCATTTTGTTTTGTTTTTTGAGATGGAGTTTCGCTCTTGTTGCCCAGGCTGGAGTGCAATGGTGCAATCTCGGCTTACCGCAACCTCCGCCTCTCGAGTTCAAGCGATTCTTCTGCCTCAGCCTCCCGAGTAGCTGGGATTACAGGCATGCACCACCATGCCTGGCTAATTTTGTATTTTTAGTAGAGACGGGGTTTCTTCATGTTGGTCAGGTTGGTCTCGAACTCCTGACCTCAGGTGATCCGCCCGCCTTGGCCTCCCAAAGTGCTGGGATTATAGATGTGAGCCACTGCACCCAGCCAATTTATTTCACGTCTGTAAAGACCCTTTGGCCATATATCATTTGCAGGTTCCAGGGATGAGGATGGGGGCATATCTTTTTGTGGGGGAGGCATTTTTTCAGTCTGTGTGTTCTTAGGTTTTAGAGAGGATTGATATCAGTACTTTCATTTTAGAGAGGATTGATTTCATTAGGCCTCCTAAGATAGTTGTTGATAGCTTCTCTATTGTATTAGAATGTAAATACCTTAAGGGGCTGGTAGGAGACTAGAAAGCTATTGCTTAGTAGTCAGTGCCAGAGGGCCCAGCAATTCTACTGACAATCTGTGTTACCTTGGGCAGACTGTTTGACTTTTGGGGGATCTCCTTTTGCTTATTTGTAAACATTGGAAGAATAACATGAACATCAATTGGCCTTGCAAATATGTTTATAATAGCAAAAACAAAAACCCAAAAAAGTTCACCTAAATGTTCAAAAGTAAGGATTTGGGCAAATATATATATATATACATTCTTACACCAGAAAACTGTGCAGTCCTTAAAATGACATTCTTTCTTTCTTTTTTCTTTTCTTTTCTTTTTCTTTTTTTTTTTTTTTTTGTGATGGAGTCTGCGTCTGTTATCCAGCCTGGAGTGCAGTGGCATGATCTCGACTCACTGCAAGCTCCGCCTCCCGGGTTCACGCCATTCTCCTGCCTCAGCCTCCTGAGTAGCTGGGACTACAGGCGCCCACCACCATGCCCGGCTAATTTTGTTTTGTATTTTTAGTAGAGATGGGGTTTCACCATGTTAGCCAGGATGGTTTCGATCTCCTGACCTCGTAATCTGCCCGCCTCGGCCTCCCAAAGTGCTGGGATTACAGGCGTGAGCCACTGCACCCGGCCTCCTCCTCTCCTCTCCTCCCCTCCCCTCCCCTCCCCTCCTTTTTCTTCTTTCTTTCTCTCTCCGCCTCTCTCACACTCGCTCTGTTGCCCAGGCTGGAGTGCAGCTGTGTGATCTTGGCTCACTGCATCCTTCTCCCCCTGAGTTCAAGCAATTCTCCTACCTCAGCCTCCCTAGTAGCTGGGAGTGCACTACCATGCCCAAGCTAATTTTTGTATTTTTAGTAGAGATGGGGTTTCGCCATGTTGGCCAGGCTGGTCTCGAACTCCTGACCTCAAATGATCTGTGCACCTCAGCCTCCCAAAGTGCTGGGATTACAGACGTGAGCCACCGCACCCGGCTGACATCTATATTTATTGACAGTGGCAAAAAATTTACATTATGAAATGGCATGCAAAGTATGATCCTATTTTTATAAAATAATGCATATACGATATATGTGAATATACTTACCTAATCACTCTGTGCCTCGTTTTCTTCATCTGTAAAATGTAGATAATGATAGTACTGACCTCAGAGGCTTGTTGCAAGGTTTGAGTAAAATTAGACATTGAAGCACGAGGAACAATGCCTAGCACATAGAGAAGCACTGAATAAACGTAGCTATTAGTATTATTGTTATATTCAAAACAACATTCCCAAAGGATGTTGTATGTTGATAACATATGTTTATATATAATGCGTATATGTGTGTATAATATTAAGAGTGCTAGATGGGCACACTGGCTCACACCTGTAATCCTAGTGACTCAGGAGGCTGAGGTGGGAGGATCATTTGAGCCCAGGAGTTCGAGGCTGGGCAACATAGCCAGACCCCTGTCTCTTAAAAAAAATAATAAAATTAGCTGGGCATGGTGGTGTGTGCCTGTAGTCCTAGCTACTTGTGAGTCTGAGGCAAGAGGATTGCTTAAACCCAGGAGTTTGGGGTTACAGTGAGCTATGATCGCGCCACTGCACTCCAGCGTGGGTGACAGAGTGAGACCCTGTTTTAAAAAAAAAGAAAAATAAAATAAATAAAAGAGTGCCTATCTCGGATGGTGGGATTATGTTATGAGGAAATTTTATTTTTGCTTTAAAAACATTAATTCATTTATTTTACTCTGAGCATTATTATTTTTATAAACAGAAGATGTAGAGTTCAAGATAAGAACCATACTTTCAGGATTTCTAGATTTATGTGACACGCATGTGTGTGCACACACAACATATGGTCTCTCTATAATTAGCTATTATTATTAAGATAATTTTTCCTATAATCCTGCAGCTCCTTGCCTAGTGCTTTGCGTATCTCAGATTCTCTGTCTGCTAGATCATTAAAATTAGGATGGGCTAGAGATTAGACTTTAATTCCCACTTGCATTTAATTCCTATCTTCTTAAGTATTATTCCCTGAACTTTGATTATAATGTGTTTTCTTTAAAGTGAAATTTTGAAGAATATATGTATATAGTCTTACACTAGATATTTGCCTGTACATCCACATATATCTATATATTTCATATTATCTTTATAATTTTGGGGAGGCCTAAGTGCCTACTCTGAATTTTCTGAACTGTAAATTAAAATAGCTGCTATGTTGCGTGTGAAATGTATCTCAGGTTGTTGATACTGGAGTTCTCTTTTGCTGCCATTAAGAAGATGAATCACTAGAGGGACTTAAATTTCAAGTAAAGCTAATTAATTTGCATTGAAATTGCAAGGATTTGTGGTCATGATTTTTCTGATTTTGAACATGCTGAATCTTTGTTCTTTTATTTAAAATAATCTTTATACTTCTCATGGATTTAAAAACAAATGGATGGGAGAATTACTTATGAATTATGAGCTTTGAAATGGAAGGTCTTGCCTCTGACATTTAAAACAATTAGATTATGATGCGCATCTTGGTAGGCAGGGGCTCTTTCCCTCTCTACTGTGTGCCTCTTTTTTCTGTCAGCATGCATGTCCTTGAGTTCATTTCTTTCTTCCTTCTGTTCTTCTGTCTTCTCTCTACTATATGTCTCTTTTTCTTACAAGATATATAAAAATGATTTGTTACGTTTGGTGGTCTCTGCCTGTAGTCTCAGCTACTTTAGGGAGACCAAGGCGAGAGGATTCCTTGAGCCCAGGAGTTCAAGTCCAGCCTGGGCGACATAGTGAGACCCCCATCTCTTAAAGAAATGGTTTGTTGTATTTAAACTGGGATTTGGATATTTCCTCTTTGTAACTGAAAAAGTAGGGCAAATGAAGGGATGAATAAGTGAAGCAGAGAGGATTTTTAAGGCAGTGAAACTACTCCATATACTACTGCAGTGGTGGATACATGCCATTATATATTTGTCAAACAAAACCCATAGAATGTACAGCACCTAGAGTGAATCCTAATGTATCCTATGGACTTTGGGTGTTATGATGTGTCATTGTAGGGTCATCAATTGTAACAAATGTACCACTCTGGTGCCTGATGTTGATAGTAGGGGAGGCTGAGCCTGTGTTGGGGCAGGGAGCACATGGGAACTGAACTCTATAATTTCTGCTTAATTTTGCTGGGAACCTAAAACTGCTCTGAAAAATAGTTTATTTAAAAAAGTAAGATCTATGAAATTTTTTTTTGTCAAAAAATATCCTAAGTGTAGTTCTTTTGCATTTCCGTGGACCTTTAATTTTTCTGCCTGTCAGTAGTCCTAATATTTTTTTAAAAAAACTTTTTGTCCCATCTCGATAATTTGGAAGCTTGCATTCCCAGCTCTCTTGCTGACTTGTTCGGCATAATTATGGAGACTTACAGCAAATGAGAATTGAATACTTCGAAGGCTTTGAATGAAAGGTGCCAGGTAAAAGCAAAGCAATTTTATTGTTAGAGTGGGGGATTATGAGTCAGAAATTTTAAGGTCAGCTGGGCACGGTGGCTCACGCCTGTAATCCCAGCACTTTTGGAGGCCAAGATGGGCAGATCACTTGAGGTCAGGAGTTTGAGACCAGCCTGGCCAACATGGCGAAACCCCATCTCTACTAAAAATACAAAAAAATTAGCCAGGCGTGGTGGCACACACCTGTAATCCCAGCTACTCGGGTGGTGGAGGCAGGAGAAATGCTTGAACCTGGGAGGTGGAGGTTGCAGTGAACCACTGCACTCCAGCCTGTGCAACAGAGCTTGACTCTGTCTCAAAACAGAAAAGAAATTTTAAGGTCTGCTCTTCACTGTGTGACCCTGGAGGCAAGGCGCTGATGAAATGAGTATGTGAACCACCAAAATCATGGTGAAGAGGTACCTGCTAACCAAATTCAGACTTTGGAGCAGCTGTGTTTCCTCAATGTGGCCCATATGTAAATCAAATTTGGGCAAATCACGTCATTTCACATACACTTGGGGAATCTGATTTTTGAATGAACTTTATTGGAATCCTTTGGAAAAGCAAAGCATAATTTTGTAATGCAAGTAACCATCCACTAATTTATATTTTTTTAAGGCAGGGTTTTGTGAGGTGGGATTTCAGTTTTTGTAACACACTGTCACTCCTCTGCCATTTAAAATCAGATTATACCTGGGAGAGAAGGATAACTCTGGGAAGTTGCATTAACTCCTTCAGACCTGAAGAAGGCATTTAGTCAATTATTGTTTCTGGGAACTAAATAATACCCTTGTCACTCAAAAAATTTAAAATAGCCTTTGTAAGTGGCTCCTCAGTCTCTAAGAGAACATGACTCATTCTTTCTTTGTAACTTGAAAGAAATCCAAGTGTCAGAAGACACTGGGAAATGGACTTAAGTTACACTTCTAAACATCAGTACTAGAGATCTTAAATATTAGGAAACCAATATGATATTGGTTTAAAGTTGATGGTTGGAGCCACTGTATTAGGATGAAAGGGCAAGGGATTGACTGGCAGTGCTTTCTAGAATATTCCTTGGGGAAATTCTTGCTGGCAGCATTAAGGCTCCTGAGCTCTGGCTGTACTCTGTGTACCATAGGCTGTCCTGTTCTTTTGTCCAGAAAGCCCACTCCCTGCTTTTCTAACTGCCTCATGGTTACACATGGCCTCATAATGTTTCTTCTGCCAGCTTAATTTATGGTTGCTTTCCCCTCAAGCAGCCTTTGGATCCATCTTCTGCATATAACCAGTGAAAAGAAACGGAGTATATTAGAAGATGCCTTGCATTAGTGCTGGGAGATGGATTGCATTCCTGTACTTCTTAAAACCCATGTCCTTGATAATACAAGATGGAGCTGTGGAGGGTGAGGTTCTCCATGTCTGGGTTCGCCTTTGCCTTTCATTGACCTCGGTGGCTGCCAGTCAATGGAAAAATATGATCAGGGTTCACCCTATGGAATCATTGCTTAATATCATAGATGACTCATTGGAATTAGTGTTGTTAGAAAATCACTTCCAGATGTGGAGCAGAAACTTTTCCAAAAGAGAGAAATACACTCTGGAAAACTGGGTTTTATTATTTTTTTAAATGATCTTAGGGCCAGAATTAAATCTGCTTGTGCGTGGTTAGTCAACATATATTTGGAGTTCTAAGTAGTACAATCCTGTTCACTTCCTTTAGACTGACATCCACATAAGTGGGGGCTGCCTTTAGCCTGCTTCCTTATCCTCTGTCAACTTCTGCCCTCTCCACATCTCCCATCTTCTCACAGTGATGAATGGCTTGGAAGCCTTATCTACTCCCTCAGGTTCCGGTCTCTCATTCCTTATCATTACCAGCAAAATTTATTGAGCATTCCTAGATACTGTGAAGGATGGAAGAAACATCTAGTTGGAAAGCAATAGAAGTTTTGGTCATATAGCTAAGTGACTGAGAATGAGCTCTGGTGTCCACTTCTGAGTTGAAATGCCACTTTCTGGCTGTGGAATATTGGGAAACTTACTCAACCTTTTTAAGTCCCAGTTTCTTTGTTTATAAAATAGGAGTGATGGTGATAATCATACCTACCGCATAAGGTAAGCATGAGGCCTAAAGGGATAATCCATGGTCAACCCTTTGCATAGGCTAAGTGTTAGCTATTATTATTCATCAATTCACCTCCGTGTGTAGTTTTTGTATGAAGGGGGAACATGAACCATTAGTTCTAGACTGACACTCTCCAAAAAGCAACCACAGTGTTTGAATTTTGGAATTCTCTTTAAGTTTATTTCACTGCAGCAGAGAATTCACTGGCTTCTCATATTCACTACATTTTTAGTTGTGCCCTGTTAAAAGAGGGAATGTGTTGTCATCTCCTTGGAAGCACCACATGACAGACTTTGTAGTTCACGCAATAGTCAGAAGGAAAGTATTTGTAAATAGCATACCCTGGAGCTCTTGCAAAAGCCACGTCTATTCTAATAAGGTGTTTTTGGTAAATGAAATCTTATGTTTTCCATCCTACTTATTTTTCACAACGTAACCTATTATCACATTGTATTTGAGTAGTTTTCTATTGAATATGTATTCTCCCCTCCCTCCATCTCAAATGTAACATATCAATAAGTGTGTTTCTATACTAGAATGTGGTAAAAAAAACATTTCTAAAACTTGAAAACTGCACTAGAAGAAGAAAATATCATAACCATTCCTATTACATAGAGATTTACATTAATATCTTTACTCTTTAAAGCATTGAAAATGTTTGGGAATTCACAAAACTGCTGCAGAATCTGCTGTAGTGGTTAAGAGCATGCACTTGGCCAGGCTCATTCCTGTAATCCCAGCACTTGGGGAGGCTGAGGCAGGCAGATCACTTGAGGCCAGGAGTTTGAGAACAGCCCTGCCAACAAAGCAAAACCCCGTCTCTACTAAAAATACAAAAATTTAGCTGGGTGTGGTGGCGGGCACCTGTAGTCCCAGCTACTCAGGAAGCTGAGGCAGGAGAATTGCTTGAACCCAGGGGGCGGAGGTTGCAATGAGTGATATTGCACCACTGCACTCCAGCCTGGGGTCAGAGTGAGACTTTGTCTAAAAAAAAAAAGCATGCACTCCAGAGTTAAATAGAGCCTGGCTTTGAATCCTGACTATACTGGTTTTCTGTTGCTGCATAGCAAATTACCACATACTTAGCAGCTTAAAATAACACACTTATTATTTCACAGTCAGAAGTGTAGGCATGGCTCAGCTGGATTCTCTGCTCAGGGTTTTACAGGTGTTGGCAGGACTGCATTCTTATCCAGAAGCTCAGAGCTTTTCCAAGCTCATTCAAGATAGCACAATTTGGTTCCTTGAAGTAGTTGAAATGGTCCCATTCAGCTGGGGGTTGCTGTCACCTCCTAGAGGACATCCTCAGGTCCTGGACAGATAGGCCTCTCATCATATGGCAGTTTACTTCTTTAAATCCAGCAGGTGTATCTCTCTCTTCAGGATGGGCCCAGTTCCTCTTCTAGAGATCACTTGATTAGGTCGGGCCCACCTGGAATCCTCTCTGTTTTGATTAACTCACAGTCAGTTGATTCCTGACCTAATCAGGGTAGGGATATCTCTCAATATTCACAGGTCCCGCTTACATTCAAGAGGAGAATTAAACAGGGTGAGTAGACCAGGAGGCAAGAATTCTAGGGGCATCTCAGAATTTGGCGTACTACGCTGACTCTATTTGCTCACTTGGGCAAGTTTCTGACCTCTCTTAATCTGTTTTCCCATTGATAAAATGTGAGTAGTGATAGTATTCTCTACCTCATACAGTCATTGCTAAAATTAAATGAGGTAACGCATGTAATGCATTTCGCATAGTACCTGGTGCTTAGCAAGCTTTCAATAAATGTTAGAAGCATAATAGAGAAGAGTTACATTTCTTCCTCCTGTCCTACATTTTCTTTCATTTCCCCACCCTCATAATGAAATGGCTTTGAGGGTAGGACATATGGTCACATGCTAAAGAAGTTGAGTTTTTGCCCTTAGGATTTGAATTAAATACAAAAAAGAACTTACTGAGCATAAAGGTTGTTTAACATTGAAATTTCTAAGCCATTTGTATGTCTAGGTGGAGACCTTTCTAGAAATATCCTTCTCATTGGATTCTTGGTTAAATGAATGCATGTGCAGCAGGCAGTTCATGGGGTTTTAGGTGTGCTTCCTAGGTAAGAAGATTTTAGGTTATTTACTCTGCTTATGAAAAGACAGTTTGGTAGGTTGGTGATCTGTAATTGTCAATACCTTTCAAAAACAAATCAGTACTTTGTAGAGCGAGAAATTTCAGTTTACAGGACCTGCACTGTGCACTGTGTTTCTCACGTTTAGTAAGGATATTCAACAGTTCAGCCTCACGATAGTCCTGAAATTTGGACTGAGTTTATTCACATAAGCTACTGAGACACAGCCATTTCTAGAGGATTTGAGTATAGTTCCGGGGCTATTCCTAGAAGAAAATGAATATGTATTGCTTTTTCTCATTGCCTGTGTAAATTGATCATACTCAATAATACTTAGAAAACAAACTCCCATGTGACAAATAGTTGGTTCGAAGGCCCATTTTGCAGGGGGGACTGAAGAGAAAGGAAATAAGGGGCAGAGAGACAAGAAGGGGAGTTTGATCCTCCGAGATGGAACTGAACTTGGGTGTCACTTTTCACAATAATTACTCAAGCATTCCTCTCCATTCAGTAGTGACAAATCTGCATGTTTGTCTTCTATGTGAGAAGTTTGGAAGTTTGAGTGTGTAGTTAAGAACCAGCCAGAAACAGAGAGCTGGTAGGGCTGAGGAATCGTATAAGCCTGTAAGATCTATGTCCTCCCCACCCTGCCTGTTTGCCCTTGCTGGGCTCACTACCACACCCAGATGAGTTTCCTTTCTGTGACTGTCATTAGTACACAAGTGCCCCACCGCATTAGCTGCCTAAAAAGGAGCCAAGTTGGGGGACGATTGATGAGTTTGTGACCTCATTGAGAATACCTCAGTTCTTGTTCCTTCACCCACAGAAGGGTAAAAAGGAGGTATTAGGCGTACCTTCTCCATCCATATTTCAGGCTGTCTGTTTGCTCCCTAAAAATTCAACCCATACCTTCTTTAAAAAATAAAGTTGATTACATTAACTTTATTTGTCGGTGTCCTCTGATTTTTTTCTCAAATCAGAGGACACTAACAGGAGAGTAAAAAGGCAACCCACAGAATGGGCAAAAGTATTTGTAAAGCATATATCTGATAAGAGATTAATGTCCAGAATAGATAAAGAACTCCTATAATGCAACAACAACAACAAACTTGATTTAAGTCAGGCAAAGGACTTAAATAGACATTTCTTTGAAGATGATAAACAAATGGCCAATAAGCACGGGAAAAGATACTCAAAACCATTAGTCATCAGGGAAATACAAATGAAAACCACAACGAGATACCACCTCACACCTGTTCTGATGGTTGTTATTCAAAAAACTGGAAAATAAGTGTTGAGGAACACGGGCGGGGCGGACCTGGAACCCTTGTGCATTGCTGGTGGGTAATGTAAAATGGTACAACCACTATGGAAAACAGTTAAGTGGTTCCTCAGAAAGTTAAATATAGAATTACCATATAATAGACTGGGAGAGGTGGCTCACACCTGTAATGCCAGCATTTTGGGAGAGGCAGGCAGATCACATGAGGTCAGGAGTTTGAGACAAGCCTGGCCAACATGGTAAAACCCCATCTCTACTAAAAAATATGAAAATTAGCTGGGCGTGGTGGCGTGTGCCTGTAATCTCAGCTACTCAGGAGGCTGAGGCAGGAGAATCACTTGAACCCAGGAGGCGGAGGTTGCAGTGAGCCAAAATAGCGCCACTGCACTCCAGTCTGGGTGACAGAGCGAGACTCTGTCTCAAAAAAAAAAAAAAGTATTACCATATAACCCAGCAATTCTATTAGGTGGAATTGGGAAATTCTCCCCAAAAGAATTGAAGGAAGGGACTCAGATACTTGTTTCACACCACTGTTCATAGCAGCATTGTTCACAATTGTCAAAAGGTGGAAACAGCCCAGTGTCCCTCAGCAGATGACCAATGGAATATTATTCAGCCTTAAAAAGGAAGGAAATTATGACACATGCTACAATATGCATGAAGCTTGAGGACATTATACTAAGTGAAAGAAGCCAGTCACAGAAAGACAAATTTTATATGATTCCACATATATGAGGTACCTAGAATAGGCAAGTACATAGAGACAGAAAATAGAATAAAGGTTACCAGGGATGGGCGGGGGCGGTGTGGAGGAAGTGCAGAGTTGAATGCGTACAGAGTTTCTCTTTGGGATGATGAGGAAGTTTGGAAATGGGTAATGATGATGATTGCAGAGTAATGTGAATATAGTTAATGCCAAATGCAGACACTTATATAGTATATACTTAACGAAGTATATACTTTAAAATAGTTAAAATGGTAAATTTTATGTATATTTTTACCACAATAACTAAAAAAACCAAATTAAGTTGATTGTATGTTTTGGATTATACCAGCGGTACTTGTTTGTGCTAGAAAACTCTGGGGGAAAACAGAAAAGGAAAAAAAAAGAAAAAGAACGTAACACCTCCATTTGGAATACATAAATCTTTAATGTTTTGATTTGACCATGTTTCTTTTTAACTACCCTCCCCTTGTCAGCAAAAATGACAATCACTTTCTACCACTTCCCGTATAGGTGGCAAAATAGTGCCTACTTATTCCCTGTGAAATTTCCATGTCTTAATTCACAAACAGAAAAGAAAGAAGAAAGACCTGAGCAGTGAAAAACATCGCTTCCCTGCTGGGCATTCTGTTGTAAACCTATCCTTAGCAAGGCGGTAGTTCCCAGGCCATGACATCTTGGGAGCAGCTACCAAGACAAGCACAAGGACCTGGGGTCAGCAGGTCTGGCTTCCAGCTCCAGTCGTATGAAAGATATGAGCCAGGGCTTTCAAGTCTTCAGTCATTCTCACATCCCTTACTAAGCCACAGAGCAACATCACATTTAGCCATATTGAATCAAGTCCTCCTCATACCGAGCATGGCTCTTGCTTCAGAGATGTGAAGGCTGTTATCTCTTGTTTCCTCTCTCAGCTAGCTGTTCTGTCAATGGTCTGTCCCCAGGGCCCTTCAAAAGGAACTCTGGCCAAGGGTCCCTGAGGGAGAGAAAGATGCCAGAGTTTTACAAGGGCTGCCTTTGCCTGTTTGTCCGATGACTACTTGCTTACAGTCTGAACGTGAGTGCTCTCAGGTTGTGGTGTTTATGAGAAAGCAGGGGCCAGCCCCTGACCTGGCCAGAGACTGTAGTTTCTACAGTAGTGCCAGTACATTCCTGGGTTCTGGGAAACTTTACTGAGCTAGGCCCAGATTGCTCCCTAAGAGAAACCTCCCAAGGGTCAGAGGAAAGAGGAAAAGGCTCATTGATTTAACAGAGGACAGAGTGACTGATAGAGAAAACCATTAAACATTTCAATTGGCTTTTCCTTGAATTTTAGAAAGGGACTTATTTGTTTTCCCACTGGAAAATGGGATATTATTTAAATATGGGATGAAAATTACATTGGAAGGACTGGACTTAAATGGCCAGAAGTCCTTCATTGATCCAAGCAATAATCCTGTTTTGCCAGAATTCTCTCAATAGTGAAATATGTAAGCAGCAGTGAAGTAATTACACCAATCTTCCTCCTTAAACACGATGGGACTCCAAAAACATATAAGTGATGTCCTTTGAATTGTCACCCACCACAGGAGGCCACATAATCACTCCCTAATGTTTTCATTGCTCTAAAACCCAGGAATTTCCATCTGTAAGTTTATGATTCGTGTGAGATACCCAGGGCCTTTACTATATAGTTGTATTTCATGTACTGTATATACTTTTATCATTAGATGAGTGTCTGCATTTTGGTAGTAAAGGAAAACTACCATTTAAACAAAACAACTTCTACTGGTTTTATTGTGTCTCTCCAAGACTATAATTACATCTGCTTTTTTTCCCAATTGATATAGATCCAGTCATTTTACGTGAAAAGATACTCTTTCTTAGGCTGGGGCTTCACATAGCCTGTTGAAATCCTTAGAATTTTTAAACACCTTGTGTGAAAACTTAGTTAAGAATTTCCCTCTCTTACTTTTGGAGCAACAAATATTTGTTGGTGGATACATCTTGGAAATCAAAGAGGTTTTTGAACTCTGGTCCGAGGTTCCTTGTAGTCAGAAATTTCTCTTATATTACTGGGAACACCGTAACTGCTAGAAATCAACTTAATCAGCAGTATGAATCCATTTTGGAAGAAGAAAAAAATGAAAAGAGATGGAGAACATCAAAATGTTAACAGTGGTCATTTATGGATGGTGGTTTTCCAAGTGACTTATATTTTCCTCATTATATTTTTGGATTAAAAATTCTTCAACAAACATGTATTGTTTTTATAATTATACAAAACCAATACATCTTATATGATGACAAGGCAACCTGTTTATATGAAGCTAGTAAGGCAGTAGATTATAACCTTTCTTGGGCCACACACTCCTTTGAGATTCTGGGAAGCTGTGAACCCTCTCCCCAAAAAGATGTACATATAGCACCTTCCATATAATTTTAGTAGTTTCACAGATTCTGTGTAGCCCATCCAAGAATTGACTAAACCCCCAGATTAGGAACTACTTTAGGAAGTGGATAGAGTGGTACCCCAAAAGGTATTGGCTGCCAAATAAATGTAGCAGGATGCAGAGTTATATACATGTTGTTGGCATCATTGTGGAGGCATCTGATTCAGGGCACAGCCCTGACATCGGACTATGCAAATTGATTGGGACACCATTGTTATCGTAAGAGAGAGGAATTTTTCCATTCACGAAGCCTCAAGTGTACTGTTCTTCTATAGGCTGAGGCATAGGGAGCTGCCAAGGTGGAAGTCAAAACCTTGAGGGGCAGGCCTGAGAGCCCAGTTGATCCCAGGGCTTGTATCTATGTGAATGAAGCCGCCCCACCCCTGGCACCCAGTTGGGATTTTCTCCAGCAGCAGCTGCAAAGGCTGGAAGCCCCTTGGAGAAGCAGCAGAGAAATAAATGAGAAGGGGATTTGATCCAGGGCTGGGGAGTGGCGGCGGATGGCGGATGTGGTTCAAAATGACAAGGGGTGGTGGGGGAAGAGGTCCCAGTTGAACTGAAAATGAAAGCAAGACAGGAACGCACTGTCACATTGAGAGGATAGCATTTTAGCTGGAGAATGTACAGGAGAAGGTGTAGACATAGTTTTGTCTGTGTCAGACACCTTGATAGCAAACACTATAGGTAGAGGCTTCTGGAGGCAGGATTGCTCTTAGTCTAAGGTCTTATGGTAACATTTGCAGGGGATACGGGTTAGCATTACAAAATGGGGATGCTTCAGGAAGGGCGTGGGCGAGTGCTTCTTGCTATTACTTCTTGTAACCAAAGCTAGTCTAGGCTTTTGGGTATGTTCAACACTGCATGGCCTTTGGAGCACTTTTATGGGAAGAGGTAAGAAAATGTTCCTGTGGGCACATTTAGCACACAGACTAAATGTGAGCTTCAAGGAAGGGAGGGTGGGTGGGATAGACAGAGAGAGAGAGGTTGTTTAGGAGGAAGTTTGACAAGGGGAAAGCTATTACCAGCACAAATGGAGTTTTGCTTGAGTCATCGACTTCTTCTCAGGTTTAATTCAAGTGCGCAACCAATACTGTTTACTTTTTCTTTTTTTTCTTTTTTTTTTTTGAGATGGAGTCTCGCTCTGTCACCCAGACTGGAGTATAGTGGCGCGATCTCGGCTCACTGCAACCTCCGCCTCCTGGGTTCAGGCAATTCCGTCTCAGCCTCCCAAGTAGCTGGGACTACAGGCGCGTGCCACCATGCCTGGCTGATTTTTTTGGTATTTTTAGTAGAGATGGGGTTTCACCATGCTCACCAGGCAGGTCTCAAACTCCTGACCTTGTGATCCGCCTGCCTTGGCCTCCCAAAGTGCTGGGATTACAGGCGTGAGCCACCACGCCCGACCACCCATACTATTTTCTACCTCCCAGCATTTCTTCGTGGGGTGCCTTGTTCTATGAAAACTTCATATATGGCATTGTGAATTTACAAAAAGATAAATTAGTGAGTGATGATTCATACTATTAAAAGTGTTCAGTAGCAGAGCTCCTTTGGACAGCTACCCTAATGTTTGCCTTTCAGTGTTTTAGAGATTGTGGTCATCTAGGAAAGATTGTAAGAGGCAGAAAATCTTAATTCTGAAGGTTAGGAAAATATTGACCATGGATTTGTACTTTGCTCATTTGAAGAGCTAGGGACAGAGCAGTGAATAAGACAACGACACTACAATCACAGAACTTTCATTTAAGAGGGTAGAGAGACAGAAAAGGAAACATCAGGCACTGCACCTTGGCACCTCTGAAATGGGCTGGGATGGCGAAGGAAGCGTAGGAAATAGAATAGCTCTGGGTTTCAGAAGGTGCACTGAATAGGAAGAAGTGGTCACCTGTACTTGGGTAGATAAGGCAGCCTCTTGGGGTCTTGAGGTGGGGGGAGTAGACATAACCAGGCAGAGAGGTCAGGATCATCAAATATGAGATAACATGACCCATTAGGAGGTCTACCCACCCTGATTGGAGGACATGGGGCTGGAGGCTGAAGATGGAGACCAGATCACAAGGGATCTAATAAGCCTTGCTGAACAGTTTGAGCTTTATTCTACAGACTCTGGTGAGCCACTGAAGGGATTGAAACAAAGAAATACTGTGATCCAACATATTTCTCATCAAAAGTTGGACCATTTTGGATCAAATTAGCCATAGGAAAGGTGTTGGGAACAAATTAAGTACAGATTGGCAGCTGATCTTTTCCAAATGAAATATTCTGGTTAATCTCTGTCACACAAGGACAATGCAAACATTTTCTCTCTCTTAAAGAAAGGCTTTTCACATAAGCAGAGTCCTCACTTTATTTTCCTCAATAGTTTTGTATGCAACTCTAATGAGTAGTTTTCCATAATTCAGTGTATTACTCCTGGAAAACATAGACAATAGGACAAATTTTTAGCCTATGCTGTCATTTTATGGATTAATTTCCATTAACGTTGACCTTCTGGCTTTCAGTGGATAAATGTGAGTAAAACATCTGTTCATGTCATTCCCTTGCTTAAAAACCACTTCTGGCTCCCCATCACCTACACTAGGAAACAGTCTAAACTCATTGACTTGGCATATGTGGTCCTCCATAAACGTTCCTTCCCAGCTCATCTTGGCCATTCCTCCCTGTTCTGTACACCCCAGAATCAATGAACACATGGCTTTCTTCTTCTTTGCTAAGACTTATGCTCTCTTCCTTGCCTGCCATGGGGATTTTTATTTCATCCTTCGAGTCTCAGCTCAAAAGCTATTTCCTCTCTGAACTGCCTTCACCAGTGATATGAATCACTCCCTTCCCTGTGTCTGCATGGCACTCTCTGTATCCCCTACCCTAGCCCTTACTCCATTGCATCATAGCTCTTGATTTAGGGATCTCTCTCTCCCTCTAGCCCATGAGTTTGTTAAGGGCAGGGCCCACATCTTGCCTGCTTTTGCCTTCCCAGCTTTGTAGCTCCACTGCCTGACACATGGTTAATGCTCAGTGAATCTATAGAACTAAGTTCTATGTTTTCTATTTCTGTTTATAAGATTCCAGAAGAGCCCTCGGGGAATGACAGAGCAGCAAGCCTCACTTTTGTAGCAGGCTGGTCTGTGAAATATATGGCTATGGTGTAGGAACCTCAAGCATTGAAAACTAACCATTGGAATGAAGAGCAACATGATTTCTGTACTGAGAACTCATCTCTTACTAAATATTGGAGATTTTGTTGTTATTGTTGTTGTTGTTTTGTTTCGTTTTGTTTTTGGATGTATAAGGAAGTGAGGTTGGGTGCAGTGGCTCATGCTGGTAATCCCAGCACTTTGGGAGTCAGGCAGGAGGGTTGCTTGAGGCCAGGAGTTTGAGACCAGTCTGGGCAACATAGGGAGACTTCATCTCTACAAAAATAAAAAAGAAATAGCCAGGTATGGTGGTGGATGACTGTGGTCCCAGCTACTCAGGAGACTGAGGTGGGAGGATCCCTTAAGCCCAGGAGGTTCGGGGCTGCAGTGAGCCATATACTCAAAAAAAAAAAAAAAAAAAAAAAAAAAAAAAAAAAAAAACAGGAAGTGAAGCTGAGTAATTTTATGTTTTACTTTTCTTGACAGCCTTTGAGATATAATCCTCATTCTATACAGCTTAACCATTTGAAGTGTGTATATATATATATATATATATTGTTTTTTTGAAACAGAGTCTTGCTTTGTTGCCCAGGCTGGAGTGCAATGGTGCCATCTTGGCTCACTGCAACCTCCGCCTCCCAAGTTCAAGTGATTCTCCTGCCTCAGCCTCCCGAGTAGCTGGGATTACAGGCGCCCGCCACCACATCTGGCTAACTTTTTGTATTTTTAGTAGAGGTGGGGTTTCACCATGATGGCCAGGCAGGTCTCGAACTCCTGACCTCAGGTGATCCGCCCGCATCAGCCTCCCAAAGTGCTGTGATTAGAGGTGTTAGCCACCACACCCAGCTGAAGTGTATATTTTCATTTTTAGTATATTCAAAGATATGTGAAGTCATCGCCACAATTTTAGAACATTTTCATCACTTCAAGGTTATTTGTTTAAGACAGTCAAAAAACCTTTCATAGAGGTCAACTCTTAAGACTTCTTTTAAATGGTATCTCTGGTGATAGGGGGTTTGTCATAGGGAAGGGAATTGGCTTAAAGAAGAATATAAAGATTATAGATAGGGGCAGGCTTTTTTGTTTCAGAGGAGGATGTGTAATAAAAAAAAAAAAAGCTGAACACCCAAGGGATGGTTTAACGGATGCTGGTCTGACTTAACACCCTTTCTAAGGATAGAGAGAGGCTAAGCTATTGGAGCTTTCATACGGTGAGACCCTATAAAGTTATAGAACATGGACAGGAAAGTGAGACATGGGTTTCTAGAGAGACAAGAATTGGGAAAATAATTACAACTTATTAATAGGAGAGTATGCTGTAAGCTTAATTGAACTTGACTGAAGCTACACGAGAGCAACTGAGGACCAGGATGTGTTAGGGCCAATAGAACGGTAAAATTCAGGGCATGATCAGGAAGGGCTTTTTGGCAGGCATCTGTAGACACCTGCCTCACCTCACCAAGAAAACCCAGTTGAAGAAGGTGTGCCGGCCGGGCGGGGTGGCTCACACCTGTAATCCCAGCACTTTGGGAGGCCGAGGCGGGTGGATCACGAGGTCAGGAGATCGAGACCATCCTGGCTAACATGGTGAAACCCCGTCTCTACTAAAAAATACAAAAAATTAGTCAGGCGTGGTGGTGGGCGCCTGTAGCCCCAGCTACTCGGGAGGCTGAGGCAGGAGAATGGCGTGAATCCGGGAGGCGGAGCTTGCAGTGAGCCGAGATCGCGCCACTGCACCCCAGCCTGGGCGACAGAGCGAGACTCTGTCTCAAAAAAAAAAAAAAAAAAGAAGGTGTGCCTGTTTAGTCACGAGTGGGATACAGGATAAACGTAAATCACCTCACCATATCCTGAAATGTTATACCACAAGGTGGAGCATCTCCTGACATTTTAAAGATAAAGAGGTAAACTGAAGTCAAAGGAGCTATCACTTTATTTACTTTACATAGCTTTTATTTATTTATT
Source organism: Homo sapiens (assembly GCF_000001405.40). NCBI lineage: Eukaryota > Metazoa > Chordata > Mammalia > Primates > Hominidae > Homo > Homo sapiens. Next base: position 118,532,976 of record NC_000023.11, read on the forward strand.
TGTTTGTTTGTTTGTTTGTTGTTATTAATTTTTGAGATGGAGATTCGCTCTTGTTGCCCTGGCTGGAGTGCAATGTCATGGTCTCCGCTCACTGCAACCTCCGCCTCCCGGGTTTAAGCGATTCTCCCGCTTCAGCCTTCTGAGTAGCTGGGATTACAGGCGCCCATCACCACATCTGGCTAATTTTTATATTTTTGGTAGAGACAGGGTTTCACCATGTTGGCCGGGCTGGTCTCTAACTCCTGATCTCAGGTGATCTGCCCACCACGGCCTCCCAAAGTGCTGGGATTACAGGCGTGAGACACCACGCCTGGCCTTACATAGCTTTTAGAATATATTATCTCATGCAGTTGTATAAACTTAAAATATTGGTGGGCCCAAAAAAGGTAGAGATAATTTCAATTAATGGATAGATTCAATGTGATGGATGGTGGAAAACTAAAATATTTGTAGAAAGGTGTATTTTTGCCCCTATCAAGGTTGATTTTCAAACTAGAGTCTGTCAGTTTTCTTTACTCCATTATCAAGAGCAAGTTAATGAGATGGGTAGACCGATTGCCAGATCCAGTGTGGAAAATGATGTGTGGCTGCTTTATAGATTACTGAGCTTCTCTAATGGAGTAAGTTTATGCTACTGTGTTCAAATGATACAAACAGGACCTCTAGGAGGTTATGTTTTATTGAATGTAAGTGATTTAGATGGCTAAATCTACATACCTATAGAATGCCTGTGCACTTTACAGTTTTTTCTGCTTAAGAATGCAAGTTATGTTAGAGTTTTGTTTATAAAACTCAGGAAAAAGTCAGAGATGTCTTTTTGTTGTTGTTGTTGTTACAAGTTTAAGGTGAGCACTAAGATCTGAGGCAGGTTATAAAATAGTTGATAGGCATAGAATGAGCACAGTCTAATTTCTCCTTGCAGGAATGAATTATTTGCAATAATTTGTGTATGTCTTTGTGAACTCGTTAAATTCTTTGATTTGTTAGAAAGTCATTATGTATCTCCAAGGCACATTTCTTTTTCTTTCTGTCAATAATGGTGTACTAAAGAATAGAAAAAAAATTCTAATTTTAAAAAGGCTCTTTGCCATTCTAGTCTCTCAATTATTCAAGCCCTTCTTTTCATTTCTTAAACCTCTTTTGTGTTACTTTTGAGTCATTTAAATGCTTATTAGCACAGAGTGAGCACAAAAAGCCAGGAGGAATTGAATTCAAATCAGCTTTCCTACCTGTCAACAAGTTTGTCGAGTAAAGTTTTGGCTAAATTGAGTTTTGGGGTAGAAAGTTCATGAAAATTCTATTTATCCATTTGTAGGTAATCAAGGTTATTTGCATAATATTTGAACTGGCTGTAATGAAAAATGTTTGTTAATAGAGTGTGCACTAATCATATAGTGCATAGTCTTGTTTGTTTCTTATTGTTTTTAAAGTAAATTCTTTGTAAGTTTTTAAAAGTAGCTCTTGAGTTTTTGTAAATAGTTAAATAGACTTGGAAAGGGGAAATAATTCGGCAGTTAAAACAATTTCTTCCCTATGCTAAAACTCTAAGGGAAAAAATGGGTTTTATTTTTCCTTAATGTTTCTATGTTAGATTTAAAGGCCTTCGAAATCATATTGTGCTGATTCTTAGAACATTAAGTTGTTGTTCCTAAATTAAAGCTGGGAAGTGAAAATTTAATTCTGAAAGCATCAGCAACAACTTGTCCTTCTCTCCTTGTGTGCTGCCATTTTAGCTTGGAAGGCATACGTGTAAGAGCAGTCTCTTTGTACTATTTAGCTGGTTATCCCTACACAAAAACTTCTGGCTTTGTAGTTCTCAGGGCTCTCTGCTAGGTTGTGTGGAGGATATTGAGGTGAATTAGACATGGTCCCTTGACAATAGCGTACTGTTGTTTTTTTTTGTAATTTGATTCTTAACCACTTGAAATTGAATCTGCCAACTCCTTTCCCCCAAGTAAAAGACCTAAGGTGCTAATCCCTACTCACTGATGACAAATGCTAAATTGGAAGCAACAGCTTAGGAATGCAAAGATCCTTATCCAATTACATTACAAGCTCTCTAAGCCAGTCATGTTCAGCATCATCAGGGCGATAGGAAGGCAAGATCTCACTTTGGTAAGAATGATAGCGTAGTTTGAGTAAGTTTTAGAAAATTCTAAAATGCAAAGTTCATTCAAGGAAATAAAATGTGGTAGGAGCTGAGAAAATGATTTGCTTTTGTTAAGTTCAACGCATAAAGGTTTATGTGGATCATGGTTAAGAGCACTGGCTTGGGAGTCCATCAGATAAAGATTTGAATCCCAGCTCCACAAATATGTGACACTGGACCTGCCTAAGCCTCAATTTCCTCATCTGTAAAATGGGCATAATAAAATAACCTCTCACAGGATTTTGGGGAGAATTAGATGAGATCATAGATATAAAACGCTTAACCGAGTATACAGCAATGCTTAATGTAAGTGGTAACAGAAAGTACAAGGCACTGTTTGCTGACCGAACCGGTGTTTTTGATCCTGCCTAGGAGACTAAGTAAACCACCCAAAAAGCAGTTAAGTATCCAGGGAATGTTATATATGAGTAAATGCCACAATAGATGGGAAAGACAATAAGGGCTGTTGGGGAGCGAGGAGGGCTATGCTATCATAAGAATCAGGTGAGCTAAGTGTGGGTTGGTAATAAACATGACCCACTGGTCTCATGGAAAGTATGACTTTTCCCTTAGCCGTTTACTTTAAGAAAGGTCAGTGTCCTGAATGCAGTTTGTATTTAGATTCTTATGCCAAGATTTTCCCCAGAAAATAATCTTTATGAAAAGATGTTCATGTCTATTTTGGCAAGTTGGGTTCTGCTAGTTAAAAAGATGCCCCTCCCGCCCCACCACATCACCATTAGATTGTAGTTATGCAAAGCTCCTTCAGTAATTGGAGTTCCTATTGGGGAAGAGACAAAGAGATGAGCTGCTGAAAGATGGTCACATTTGGAACAAACAGGCCATGGTCATAACAAAGTCAAATACTCTTTATTTGAACCTTATGAAGAAATTTCTTACAGGCTGGACACAGTGGCTCATGCCAGCACTTTGGGAGGCTTGATGGGTGGATCACTTGACCTCAGGAGTTTGAGACCAGCCTGGGCAACACGGCAAAACCCCGTCTCTATAAAAAATACAAAAATTAGCCTGATGTGGTGGCACACATGTGTAGTCCCAGCTACTTGGGAGGCTGAGGTGGGAGGATTGCCTGAGCCCAGGGAGGTTGAGGCTGCAGTGAGCTGTGATCAAACTACTACACTCCATCCTGGGCGACAGAGTAAGACCTTGTCTCAAAAAAAAAAAAATCCTTACAGTTATGGTTCCATTATTGACATGCTGTATAGGGTTCCTCTCTAGAAGTCTCTAATCTACAGTGGTGGCATCTCTCACTTCTGTGAATCATAATGCAACTTTTGCTTCTCCTCATATTCACACACCACTCTTGACAGTTACCTAGTCTCTGATCTTACAGGGTTTATGAATAAAACTAGAAGGCAAGATGAAATGATCTGAGACCACATAAATCGATATGATGAAATTCTTCTGATTGATCTAATGGGGAATAGAGGGACTCACACATTTTAGTGTGCAAACACACTTGTACAGTTCCTTTTTTGGAAGAAGATATGGCTATCAAAGGGCATGATAGATGCACAGAAATTACAATAGTCTGTGATCAGCTCTCACATCTTGGGTTTATCTACCTTCCCCACGAGACTGTGAACTTCTCAAGGGCAAGGTCTGTTTTTTTATTCACCTCTGCATTACCAGGGGCTAGCACAGGGCCAGAACCTCAGTAGGAACTCAATAAATGCATCTTTATGCTGAACTCACTTTGTTTTCTGTGCTGCCGGAAATTGCATGCCCCCAGTGGCCATTTTGAGTGCAAAGTGTTATTTTAAGATGCTCTCTAGAGAAAGCACTCTAGGCTCTGCTTACAAATGTCTGAGAGGAAAGGAGAGCCGAATGACTAGGGGATCTGGAGAAATTCCTAAGTGAAGGTCGTGGAGAAATGATGGGAAGGAGAGACTCACCTCTTTTTGAGTGTGCTACTTCTATCCCAAGACTGTTGTTATTTTTCATAAGAAAATGCTCAGATGTCATTGAGGCTGTAGTCTGACTGCAATACTGCAAAAAAGCACTTTTGGGCTAATCATTCTCTTTCTGAAACCAGTAGTTGCCATGTTCCTCCTTGTGCTGAAACTCAGTTTGGAGGATGGGGTGGTGGTAGTGGTGGCGTGGTGGTGCAGGGATGTTTTTGAATTGGCTCTGTGCCCTACTGCTCAGCTTTCTGCCTGCTTTCTGGTATCCCTCCCAGTGTGATAAAGGAGAGATTCTATGATGCCAGTGTTCACTTCAGACTTGCAGAAGAGACATTCTTAGAATTCTTAAGGAGAACTAGTTTCTAAAGTAAAAGATTTACCGGTAAACTAATGACCTTTGGTATGGTATTTAAGCAGAAGTAACCCAGGCTCATTTTGCATTGCTTACAGATAAATATTATGTGATTATTCTTGTGTCTTACACATTTCTAATGATAACATAAATATGCCTGCTAGTCAAATGTGCTTTTGGATACATGAGTGGTTGGATGGTTGAATATATACATTCATGTACATTTTTATGTATTTTAGTATTACAAGCATGGTTTTATATTTATACACATACAGTTACGATGATAAAAGATCAGTCATCCTGTACTGCGAATGTACAGGAACCACCACAAAATTGTAAAGTCTAAGTGGTGATGCTATTAGTGACCCTCAGTGAGGATCCATTGTTTCCTCTCTTTGGACCAAGAAGTGGACTGCAACTGAATCTATTCTGACGAGTTTCCTTTTTTGCTATCTGTCCTTTCCACTTATATTAGAAATAAAATTATCTCAATTTATGGAGCTGTGCATTTCTTCCCATTTGTAGAGTTTGCACATAGAAAGCTCATTGAGATTTGGTCCTTAGTGGCCTGAGTAAGCAACGGAAAAGTGTACTGCATCCCACACCATGGTACCAAAATTGGCATTTTTATTTTACTAGAGATAGAAAAATGCAATTTATTCTCCTTTATGGGATGATATGAAGCTTTCTTTTTCAATAAATGTTTTCAATGAAGAAGATATTTGATTTGAAGAAAAATATGAAGTAAATGATAATACAGATGGTGTGGCAAATATGAGGATTATATGTGAATAAGTTCGGGAAACTAATAGAAACAAGGATTAGGAGTTGGGAGACCTGGGTTTGAATCCTGGTTCAGCTCCTAATGTAGACAGATGAACTTAGGCCTCTGAGCCAGTTTCCTGATGGATAAAGTTGAAATGATGGTATTTTCCTTGTCTACTTGACAAAGCGTTTGGTAACAAACAGAATGCATATGAAAGTGTTTTCTTAAGACTGCAAAGTGACCTTGAAATGAATTAACAAAAAATACTAATATTATTAGCAAGTTATTCAAGAAAACTTAGGAGTCAGTGAATGAAAACTTTTAAGAACAAATCATTTTGTTTTGTTTTGTTTTCCCCATGGTGAAAACTGAGTTGGTTCCAAATTTAGGTTGACGGTTTTCCTGTCACTACTTACGGGAAGAAGACTGAAACATATGCTCACTTCTCTCCAGATTGCATAAATGCCTTCGCCTTTTACTTAGCACTGCTCCGGAACTGTATGGAAGTTGCTATTATTTGAATGTTTAAGGTACCATTTATTGTAACGGGTTTTTGGAGTTATGAAAAAGCACCTTTGCAGGCCAATCAGTGCACACTGGCAGAAAGGATAAATTACAAAGCTGAAAGAAAGACCCTCTTTGAGTGTATTGGAAGCTTTTATGTATAAGTCTAATAATAGAATGAGAAAGCTGAATGAGAAAGTTAGATAAGGGATATGATGGAGACTGCAGGGCAGAACCACCATTAAATCATGATAATTCTATAGGTCAAAAGGTTTTCTTTGTCTCTGATGCCTGCAGAGTTATAACTGAATCCTACTAGAAGGGAAATGCAGGGTTCAGTCCCTTCTCATCTTTCTTCTTGGAGAGATGAATCCTGATTCACAGGCCTAAATCTTCTATTAGGGGAAGCTTTGTGGGACCCAGAGTAGCCACCCTAACTTTTCCGCAATTGAGCTACCCCTGACAAAAAAAGTAGGCGTGAAGACCCAGAATGCTTAGTTTAATCAGTTTTAAATGAAAAGTGAAACTTTGTTTTCTATAACATAAATATATGTCCTTCAAAACATGTGGTAAGCTGTGTTTCATTTTTAGAAGGTATATACTTTTAAATAAATGAGTAATTCAGGAATTGGAGAACATTACGCTAAGTGAAGTATGTCAGGCAAAGAAAGACAAATACTGCATGATCTCACTTATATGTGAAATCTAAAACAATCAAACTCATAGAAGCAGGGTAGAATGGTGGTTACCAGGGGCTGGGGGCAAAGTGGGGGAGATGGTAGTCAATGGTGGGATACAAAGTCTCAGTTAAACAGGAAGAATAAGTTTGGTTTTTTTGAGATCAATAGTATAGCATGCTGAATATGCCTAATAATTGAGTACTGTACATCTTATCACTAAGAATAAATTTCTCATGTTCTCATCACAAGAAATGTTAAATATTTGAGGTGATAGATATAACTAGCTTAATTTCATCATTCTACATTGTATTAAAAATCATAACACCACTTTGTACCCCATAAATTAAAAAAATAAGTGATTCATTTTGACATATTCTTTCCATATTAATTTGGAGCTACATTAGAAAGCTGAAGGAGGGCCAGGCATGGTGGCTCATGCCTGTAATTCCAGTACTTTGGGAGGTCAAGGCGGGGGGATCACCTGAGCTCAGGAGTTCGAGACCAGCCTGGCCAACATGGTGAAACCCTGTCTCTACTAAAAATACAAAGATTAGCTGGGTGTGGTGGCAGGCACCTGTAATCCCACCTACTCGGGAGGCTGAGGCAGGAGAATCGCTTGAACCCAGGAGGTGGAGGTTGCAGTGAGCTGAGATCACGCCATTGCACTCCAGCCTGGGCAACAAGAGCAAAACTCCATCTCAAAAAAAAAAAAAAAAAAAAAAAAAGGAAAAGAAAAGAAAAAAGAAAGCTGAAGGAGGATTTTCTTTTTTTTCTTTTTCAAATATACTTGAAGTAGGTACTTGTAAAATTATTGTACAGAGAAGTTGACAGATTCAACAGGTTAAAACATTGAAATTTGAGGACTGTTTTTGCAATCTGTACTAGGAAAATAGTTGGCACCAAAAGCAAGACTTAGATTATTTTTAGTGCCTCAAGCTTGCTTTCTTAGATAGGACTTATTCATTCAACTTCTCTGAGAAATTGATCTCAGACTGTGAGCGTTAGAGCTGGAAGATGCAGTCAGTTTCCTTTTGAGTCCATGGAAACACGGTAGATATGGCCGAAAGGGGTCAGATTTTTCTGTCAGAAAATCTGAATTTCTCAAATAGGATTTTTTCCTTTTATTTCAACTCATTTTGCAGTAGTATTTGCAGACATGAGAGGGATGATCAACTTGCTTTGATCTTTGTAGACATGGGTCTACAAATCCAAATTTAAGACTTGAAATAAAGCATAAAGGTTAGGATCTTTTAGATTTGTTGAACACTGAGCTCATTGGTCAGAGTAGTTTACTTTAATCTTTCTAAATAATCTTCTACAGGAAACTCTGAGATGCCCTTCCGATATGGAAATTGGGTATAGCTGTGACCTGTTGTGAACCATGTATAAAAACTATTCTCAACTTTTCTATGGATGTAGTGATACTAGAGACTACCTCAAATACTATGTACAAAAATACAAGTATAATCCCGATGCTATTATAATATTAAGTCTTAATATAAATTATATTTGGGGTTTTTATACAGTTTTTATTATAAAATTTTAAGGAAATAATTTCATATGAAACATCATCATTAAAAATTACTACTGTCTGCCCACCTTGGTTTAGAATAGAGTGTTGAGACATGGCTCTGGTTGAATCTGAATATCTCAAAGTTCATCAGCAATTAATGACTGGATGTCTACCGTGTGCCAGGTATTCTAAGTGCTGGGATTAAAGAAGTAAACAAATAAAAGAAAATCCCTGCCCTCAAATAGTCAGAGAGGTGAAATAGATGGTATATCAGATTGTGGTAAGTTCAATGAAGGAAAAAAAATGATAGGAAGGTAAATAGTGGGATCCCATTCCCAGTTCAGTACCATGCACATGAGAATCTTGGTATATTTCTTTCTTTTTCTTTCCGCCCCCCGCTCCCCCGCAGTTGCAGGGGTCAAGGGCTGGTGGTGTGCATGCATGACAGCTGTGGGTGCATGTACAGTAGTGATGGCCAGTGGTGGAAGTCAGGGTCACCTCATATGGCTGTGGGGGTTGAGGCTTATGGCATGCACACCTGTGACAATGAAAACTAGTGATGATAGACATTGAAGTCAGTTGCATGTGTACACACAGCTGCAGGGTCAGCCATGGGTGTGCAGAAGTGGGTGCCGTCTTTGTGTATTTCTGAGGGGAAAAAGAAAAGCAGAGCCTTTGCAGTCACAGACCTGGGTTTGAATTCCAGTTCTGAAGGCAGGCAAGTTACTTAACCTCAGTTAGGTCCAGAGTCTCTGCATCTGTAAAATGGGGATAATGATTCAATCTGTTTCATATTGCTATGAGTGTTACATGAAAAAATGTACAGAAAGCGCTTAGCACAGTGCCTGGCATATAGAAAGGGCTCAGTAAATGTGAACTGTTACCACTACTCTTATTATGTTACATCCTGGCTTTCTTAGCATCACTGACCCTGCTTCTTGTTACTTTAGCTTCAGTCTGGGTCCTACTGTCAATGGCCAGCTCGCCTAGAAGTCCAGCAGGGATCCACTGACTTTGTCACCTTGAACCTAACCCTTTCATAACCTGCCCAAGGGATCAAGCATCTCTAGTATCTATGCCTGCCCTGGATATGCTGGAACTTAGTATGCCCATGGGACAGTGTCCCTGGTACAGAGTAGGAACATGAATGTTGATACTTTCTCCTCCAACGTTGCCCAGAGAGTAGTACAGATGCAGTAAATACCAACAGGCACACTTCCAAGTATGCCACTTTTTGTTTTACTTAAAATTCAATAATTTTTAGAAGGCACACAGATTAAGTAGAATAACACAGTTCTATTTCTCCAGAACTTTTTTTTTTTTTTTGGAGAGACAGGATCTTGCTCTGTTGCCCAGATATAAGTGGCACAATCACGGATCACTACAACCTCAACCTCCCAGGCTCAAGTGATCCTCCTGCCTCAGCCTCCCGAGTGGCTGGGACTACAGGCATGGGCTATCACACCCAGCTAATTTTTGTACTTTTTGTTGAGATGGGGTTTTCTCATGTTGCCCAGGCTGATCTCTAATTCCTGGGCTCAAGTCATCCACCTTCCTCAGCCTCCCAAAGTACTGGGATTACAGGCATGAGCCACCATGCCCAGCCAGAACTCTTTATCTTTAGCAAGAGAATGTCTGTGTGTGTGTGTGTGTGTTTGTGTGTGTGTGTGTGTGTGTGTGTATGTGTTTGTGGTGTGTGTCTAGCTATGAAGACTATTTCTCTTGTGAAACTGTCTCAATTAAGTACTTAAAAGTATCAGTAATCCCTTCCTTTGAGAAGTAATGTATCTTTAGTACATAGAAAGTTATTTAACTCTTGTGAGTTTGATCATAATAACTTTACTTTTGTCTCTTATAAAGGAAAAGGCCAAAGTTGTTGAGCCCCTGGACTATGAGAATGTTATTGCCCAAAGAAAAACCCAGATTTACAGCGACCCCCTCCGAGATCTGCTTATGTTCCCAATGGAAGATATATCTGTGAGTTCACAAACACTTCTTTAAAGAAAAAAACCCCTATTTTTCAAGCCAGTTCTTACAGCAAAAATGTTCTTTGTGTTCTAGATCTCGGTGATAGGTCGTCAACGCAGAACGGTGCAGTCTACTGTACCAGAAGATGCTGAAAAGAGGGCCCAGAGTTTATTTGTTAAAGAGGTAAGAGGCTCAAAGGCCACAGAAGAATATTCTTCATATATTTAAAATATATACAGTATTTATATGTCTTTATGTATTTGTAACCTGTTTATAAATACATAAATGTAAAATATTTAAAGTAGTCTTCCTTTAATGTAAAGGTAAAATAAAATAACTAACATTAACTGTCCTAAATAACAAGTTTATATGCTGTTAACAAGTCTATATGATGATAAAGCTTAAACATTTCCACAAGGTGCATATGACCTTAGTGTTTTCCTTTTGGATTTGAATACTCTTTGCACTGAGAGTCAGAGTATTCAAAGGGCATATGAATTGGGATTTATTGCCACCAACTGGGTAAGAGAGACACAGTTAACCCATAAAGGAAGATCCCAGTACTAGTAATTGCCAAATGGTTTTAGAAAGCCTGTCGGCATAGTACCAGAGTTTTAAAAAGTGGATATATATGTACTTTTCCTATATTTCAAATTCAAGATTCCTATTTTCTTTCAGTGTATTAAAACCTATAGCACAGATTGGCACGTGGTAAACTACAAGTATGAGGACTTCTCTGGGGACTTTCGAATGTTGCCATGGTAAGTTTAGCATTCCAGGGAAACATGCAACAGGAGAATTATTAAGCTTTTTTACCTTGTTAAAACCACTTGTGAGGCCGGGTGCAGTGGCTCACGCCTGTAATCCCAGCACTTTGGGAGGCCGAGGCGGGCAGATCACAAGGTCAGGAGATCGAGACCATCCTGGCTAACACGGTGAAACCCTGTCTCTACTAAAAATACAAAAAATTAGCCGGGCGTGGTGGCAGGCGCCTGTAGTCTCAGCTACTTGGGAGGGTGAGGCAGGACAATGTTGTAAACCCGGGAGGCGGAGGTTGCAGTGAGCGGAGATCATGCCATCACACTCCAGCTTGGGCGACAGATAGAGACTCCATCTCAAAACAAACAAACACCACTTGTGAAACCTTTCAGTTATAATTTGTAATAAAGCAAATCTTCAAGGAACCTGCATGTTTGGTTAAATGCAGTGTTTTGGTTAATTGAATAGGTTTTAACTTTCCTCTTTGAAATTCCAAAATGTATGAGAGCTCACTTTTTGGCTTTAGTGAACCTGTATTGATCATAAACTAAAATATAGCTGATGATGGATAATGTAGTGAGCATTTTCCAGTAGTGTCAGTGAAAAAGCTTGATGATAATTAGTTCAGTTTGATGAACCTAGCCATCCCTTGGAAAAAGTGCATCTCTTTCAGTTGAATTGAAGGAATGGCATGAGCACACTGGCCCAGGAGCCAGACTGTTGGGGCTCAAATCTTATTTCTACCACTTACTAGCTGGATGACCATGGCTCAGTCACTTAACCTGTTTGAGCTCTCCATTTTCTCATCTCTAGCACTAATTCCTCACAGGATGTCATATGGGAAATGTTTTTGGAACAAATAGCAGAGGAATAAGACATTTGTTTAGCCTTTTGTAGTTTTCAGAGCACTTTCCAAAAGAGGAGAAAACTGAGTCCTATATGACAGCCTGGTCCTTGGGAAAAAAAAAGAAAAAGAAAAAGAAAACAGAGTCCTAAAATGACCAGTCCAAGGTCATACAGCAAACAAATGCAAGAGCCAGAATTACACTGTTGCTTTTTTTTTTTTTTTTTTTTTTTTTTTTTTTTGAGACAGAGTTTCGCTCTTGTCACCCAGGCTGGAGTGCAGTGGCGCGATCTCGGCTCACTGCAACCTCTGCCTCCCGGGTTCAGGTGATTCTTCTGCCTCAGCCTCCTGAGTAGCTGGGCTTACAGGCACCCGCCATCACCCCCAGTTAATTTTTTTTTTTTTTTTAATTTTTGGTAGAGACGGGGTTTCACCCTTTTGGCCAGGCTGGTCTTGAACTCCTGACCTCAGGTGATCCACCCGCCTCTGCCTCCCAAAGTGTTGGGATTACAGGTTTGAGCCACCACGCCTGGCCTGTGTTGCTTTTTGACCCGGGGAAGGAGAAGTTCTGCCACCACTAACAGCTCTGGCACAGGTTCCTTAGCAACTTCTGCCCTCCCTAAGTTTCTGGGCTTAGTTATGTCTTCGCTGCTGGCCACATATGTGGAAGTCCTTACAGAAACACAAACTTACAGTAAGTTTACTCAGAGGGGATAATCTGAATTTGGAAAGGAGAATAGGATGTCTTGGCATTTTCTCGTTTGTGAAAGAAAGAAATCTGCTCATCTTGCTTTTACTGTTGTTGTCATTATTGTTGTGTTTTTGTGTTGTTTTTCTTTTTTTTTTTGGTCTTTTTAGTGTCTAAGACAGTTCTCTTATATTTGCAGTAAATCTTTGAGACCAGAAAAGATTCCTAATCATGTATTTGAGATAGATGAAGACTGTGAGAAAGATGAGGTAAGAATGGGGGCAACAGTTGGGGTAACTGTGCTAGTTTCCTCACGGTCACTTTGCTGAAAAAGATTTCAAAGGGAATTTCTTGAGAAAATATGAAGGAAATAATTATTCTGGAATGATCTGTGGCCAGCTTTCAAACCGGGTGCTTTTCAATTTTTTTTTTAATTACTGTATTTCCAAGTAGGGTTTAGGAAAAAAAATCAAGTGAGAGGGGCTATGATTTGTACATAAACATGTTCCCCCACCTGTGGGACATGCTTGTGGAGTTGCTTTTCTTGAGTTGGGCATGTGGTGTGGTGATTCATCTGGACTCTCCTGCCTGATAGATTCCTCTTGGGACAGATGGCCCGGATGTCTGTGACATTTCGAGGTGCAGTTCGACTGTTTACATAATGCAGAAGATTTCCCAGAAGAGAGCCCATACCATTCAGTAAATACTGAGTGCCTACTGTGTGCATAGCACAGAGCCTTTCATTCTACAGTCAACTATTTTAAATCCTCACGGGGAAGAGGGGACTTTATGTTTTAATTAGGAAATGGGCAGGGCCTCATTCTGTGCCCCTAAATGTTTCGCTAATTAGATGGCAGGCTGGCTGTTGTTTTACTGATAATTTTTGTTCTATTTCAGGACTCATCTTCTTTATGTTCTCAGAAGGGTGGTGTGATAAAACAAGGCTGGTTGCATAAAGCAAATGTAAATAGTACCATCACAGTAACCATGAAGGTAGGAAGTAGTTATTATATTATTCCATCATTTTAATGATATTGGCATAAGTAGTCTATCTGGAAACAATATTTATTTTACAAAGAGCCCTAGCAAAAAAAAAAAAAAAAAAAAAGGAGAGGATTCTCACAGACGTATGGAATTTAAAAAATCTAAAACATCAGGATAAATTTAGAAGTGCAACTTTTTAAAGACATATAATGTAATGATTATCTGGTGAATCAGGATGTTTAAAAAGGAGGCTGTCAGTTGAAGGAGGAAAATAGCTTTGAAAAATGGGCATCAAAGTTTCATATGTAGAAATGACCTTAATGAGTGGAAGGACAAGTAATCCATTTCTTTAGCAAATATTAATTAGGTACTTATTACATATTAGTCACTGTGGGGAAATATGTAGATATCTAAGATGTGGTCCTTGGTCTCAGCCTCTAGACTAGACAAGAAATATACTATTTTAACTAGTATACAAAGCAGTCCTTTAGTGCAGTGAGAACAGTCTAACTAGAAAGTTTTGTAGTTTGACAGGATAGTGAGTTTGCATAAGGGGTTTAAGTGAGCTAAAAGTTGAAACGTTGAAAAGGATAAAATTGGGCTGGGTGCAGTAGCTCACACCTGTAGTCCCTCCTTCTTTGGGAGGCCGAGGTGGGTGGATTGCTTGAGGGCAGGAGTTCGAGACCAGCCTGTGCAACATGATGAAACCCCATCTCTACAAAAACTACAAAAATTAGCCTGGCGTGATAGCACACACCTGTAGTCCCAGCTACTCAGGAGACTGAGGTGGGAGAATCCCTTGATCCCAGGAGATGGAGGTTGCAGTGAGCCAAGATGGCACTACTGCATTCCAGCCTGGGCAACAGAGGGAGAGTGTATCTCAAAAATAAATAGATAATTTTTTTTTTTTTTACAAAAAAGGATAAAATTGTGCAGAGCCTTGAACACCTTGGACATGAGGTTCACTTATTTGGGAGGCTGTAAAGAGCCATTAAAATCCAAAGGGAAAACAAGCTACATGAGGATTCTGAGCAGAAAAACAAATTATGCTCTGATACCAAATATAACTGTTCTTTCAGATATTCAATATAAAATCATGTGGTTTTCTGAGGATGATTCACACTTGCATTAAGTATTGAAGGTCATTCTATCTTTCACACAGGCTGCAAGTAGAAACCGTGGGTATCTACCAAGGGAAGACTCAAATTTTATCTTAATTTAATATTTTGCCTGCTGCCTTCCCTTTGGTGATCATGTCCTGTTCTCACTTTCATTTTCAAGCCCTGAAAATAATGAATCCAAGTTGTAGGATACTTCCTGTATATCGCTTGCACCTAAGCATGGGCATCAGCAAGTGGTGATAATAAGAGAAACCATTTATTAAGGACTTAATACGTACCAGACACCATACTGGGTGTTTTATATTCTGTATCTTGTTTAATTCTCATGGCTGCCCTATGCAATAGGTACTGCTAACTATTCTTAGTTTATAGATTTGGAAAGTGAAGCTCAGAGAAATTCAATAATTAACCCAAGGTCCCACAGCTCCAAGTTTTCAGAGGTAGGATTTGAACCTAGGCAGGCTGATGTCAGAGCCTATGCTCTTAACCAGTATACTATCAGTGCTCACTAGCTGAATGAGACTCAAGGGTTTATTAACAATATATTTCGTGCCAGAGTTATCAGGTTCAGAAATGTACGTGAAGGTTACATTTCTGTGTGGATTATCAGAAAATGGTTGTATCGTTTTTGACTGCATTCCCTTTCCCGCAGATTCTCAAAATATTCAAATAGGGCCAGGCAGGAGGCTCATACCTGTAATCCCAGCACTTTGGGAGGCCAAGGCAGGAGGATCGCTTGAGCCCAGGAGTTCGAGGCTGCAGTGAGCTATGATCACACCACTGCACTCCAGCCTGGGCAACAGAATTAGATGCTGTCTCTAAATTAAATAAATAAATGCATGAAGGAATGAATGGTTTTAACCACATTTAAGCCTTAGCCTCACATTAAGTAAATGTGCAAAAATCTGGATTCATAAAATAAGATGTTAGGAAATTAATATCTTTACAGAATAATTCGCCACAGATTCCTTTAGTTTAATACCTTTCAACTTTAATTTGCCTTACAAACAACTTCTAATTTTGTAGGAGTCCATATATTATAAGCCAAAAAGCACATGCTTTACATTTTCTCTCATAATTTGTGAAATACACATTGATTGATTGATGTGATAGGAGGAATTGATGGCCTCTCAAAGATGTCCATGTCTTAATCCCTGGAACCAGTCAATGGTCCCCTACATGGCAAAGAGGAATTAAAATTACTAATCGGCAGGAGGGACGGTATCCACAATTATGCGGGTGGGCCCAGTGCAATTTCAAGAACCCCATAAGTGGAAGAGGGAGGCAGAAAAGGACAGTCAGGGAAAGAGATGTAAGGATAGTCAGGGAAAGAGATGTGAGAACAGAAGGAGGGCCAGAGAGAGATGCTGTCTTGCTGGCTTTGAGGGTACAGAAAAGACTCACAGGCCGAGAAATGCAGGCAGCTTCTAGAAGCCGGAAAAGGTAAGAAAATGGATTCTCCCATGCAGCATCCAGAAAGGAACATAGCCCTGCTGACACCTTGAATTTAGCCCAGTGAGACCCATGTCAGACTTCTAACCTGCGAAACTATAAGATAATAAATTTGTGCTATTTTAAGCCATCAAATTTGTGCTAATTTATTACAACAGCAATAGGAAACTAATACAATTAGTTAGGCAAAGGTTGATTGTTCAGCTTGTGTGTTTCTTATCCCTGAGCTTGGAAACTCTAGCACTAACAGTGACCAGGCGGGAGCCATAAATTCATAGAGTGTGTGATGGGTCCGAGGCAACCTGGTGACCACATAGCCCACAGCTGAAGGGGACAGCTGCCACTTGTCTCCAGCTAATTGTTGTTTTGCTGCAGCTGAGCTAGGCTCTTTGCTTTGCCTCTTTTTATCCTCAGCTGCTCATATTCTGTGTGTGTGTGTGTGTGTGTGTGATCATTAACATATAAAACTTTTTTTTTTTTTGAGATGGCTCCTAGCTCTGTTGCACCAGGATGGAGTGCAGAGGTGCAATCTCAGCTCACTGCAACCTCCACCTCCCGGGTTTAAGCCATTCTCCTGCCTCAGCCTCCTGTGTAGCTGGGATTACAGGTGCACGCCACCATGCCTGGCTAATTTTTGTATTTTTATTAGAGACGGGGTCTCACCATGTGGCCAGGCTCGTCTCGAACTCCTGATCTCAAGTGATCCACCTACCTCAGCCTCCCAAAGTGCTGGGATTACAGGTGTGAGCCACTGTGCTCGGCCTATTTCTTTCTTTTTAAAATCTCTACCAAACATCAGGCAAAGGAAGGAAAAGAGGAATAAACCAAGTTAATTGGTCATATGAAGCTACACAACTTTTATGTTTATTTTTATCATTTATTTATTTGTTTTTGAGACAGTCTCACTGTGTCGCCCAGGCTGGAGTGCAGTGGCGTGATCACGGCTCACTGCAGTCTCAAACTCCCAGGCTCAAGCAGTCCTCCCACTTCAGCCTCCCAAGTAGCTGGGACCACAGGCACATAGCACCGTGCCCAGCTAATTTTGTTTGTTTGTTTGTTTGTTTTTGATAGAGATGGGGTCTCCCTATGTTGTGCAGGCTGGTCTCAAACTCTTGGACTCAAGTGATCCTCCCACCTTGTCCTCCCAAAATTCTGAGATTACAGGCATCAGCCACCATGCCTGGCTACTACACAGCTTAAAAAAAGTTAATAGGAAATACTTTGAAATGCAAAGGCCATATTGAGGTTTGGGAGCTGTTTCTGGTTATGAGTTTCCTTTATCCCCACTCTTTTCCATTATAAATTATGAATCTCCATTTTGAATTTCAAACTCTTCTGATTTCATCTCCTGAGCCATAGCAGTAGTGTTGTATTTCAGAATTTGTCACAGCTAGAATGGGAATCAGAGGAAGGTTCAGCTAGAACCTTCTGAGGCATTTTGCCAAGATTACTTTTTCCTCTAATAATTGTATTTTGGGCCAGGCGTGGTAGTTCATGCCTATAATCCCAGCAGTTTGGGAAGCCAATATGGGAGGATCACTTGAACCCAGGAGTTTAAGACCAGCCTAGGCAACATAGCGAGACCCTGTCTCTACAAAAATGAACAAAATTAGCCATGTGAATTGGTGCTCCCCTGTAGTCCCAGGTACTTGGGACATTGAAGTAGGAGGATCACTTCAGCCTGGGAGGTCGAGGCTGTAGTGAGGCGAGATTGAGCCACTGCACTCCAGCCTGGGTGACAGAGTGACACCTTATCTCAAAAAAAAAAAGTGTTTTAACTGTTATTTAGTTCAACATTATTGAAATTAGTTGGAACTGCAGTGTTGACACATCATTTTTTCATGTTCTCTTTCTGTATCAATACAGGGCAAGTGAGTGTATGGGGCAGAGGATTGAAAAGGGGGAGCAGTTTTATAGTTTCCAGGCTAGAACTTGAAGTGAAGGCCAAAGCACAAGTCCAGGCCTATGAACAAAGGCACACTGGGAGAGTCTGGTTTGTACCTTTCAGTGCTCTGTTACAGGGTGGGGGATCATATAAGTTCTTCCTGCATCACGTCTGGATTGTTTCAGGCATAGGAGGCTAAAGCTAAAGATGAGGTGAGCAGCTGACCCAGCTCTTGGATAATTGGAAAAGGCAGAGGCAGAAGAACTGAGACAAAGGGTTGACAGAGTTTGAGAGGAAAGTTTCTATGTATTTTTTTTCTACTATGGTAATGTTTGAAGTGAAGAATACTAATGAAGCTCATAAGCAAATGGGAAGATGACTCAGGTGTGCTATTATCTGAGTCATTTCCCCAATCCTGGAGGCAGGTTTATCCTTAGAGCATCTGGAGTTCCCTGCCCGCTAGGAACTCCAGCCCACACTGGTAAGAAGCATTGGTAGATTTAGCAACCAGCACCTCAGGGCCAGAGCTTGCAGAGTTGAGAGCAAAGAATCTTTTCTTTTTGGAAAATCCAAGCTTCGATAGCCCCTGCAAACTCATGGCAAACTAACTAGGAAGCAAGAGCAGATCTGGTTATTAACCATGACTCAGTGGCAAATAACAGCCTCCATAAGCCAAGCTTCTTCCCTGTGTTTTAGCTGAGCTTATTTGATGCCCTGTGGCTTGACACTGGCCTGCAGTTCCCTCTGGAATTGCTAGGGAATAAAAGCAAGGCATCTTGGTGCCTTTTAGAGAGAGGTGTACGTTTAAGCGTCTTTATTCATTAAGAAATTTCTAAATTTTAAAAATTATGTGCTGGGCATAGTGGCTCATGCCTGTAATCTTAGCACTTTGGGAGGCCAAGGCAGGAAGATGGCTTGAGTTTGGGAGTTCGAAACTAGCCTGGGCAACATAGCGAGCCCTGTCTCTTCAAAAAATAAAAAAATTAGCTGGGCATGGTGACGCATGCCTGTATTTGCAGCTACTTGAGAAGCTGAGGTGGGAGGATCGCTTGAGCCTGGGAGGTCAAAGCTACAGTGAGCTGTGATTGCATGACTGTACTCCAGTCTGACTGACAGAGCAATACTCGATCTCTTAAAAAAAAAATTACAGTCAGTTCTTTGGAAAGTTTGAAATTATGCGCAACTTTAAACTGATCTTAGAAATAGGTCTGAGTTGTTTTGCTGGACATTTTGACTGTTAGAAATAAAGGAATCTGCCCAGGCGTTCATGACCAGCCTGAGCAACATGACGAAACCTCGCCTCTACAAAAAATACAAAGGTAGTTAGCTAGGCGTGGTGGTGCACTCCTATAGTCCCAGCTACTCTGGAGGCTTAAGTGGGAGGATCACCTGAGTTTAAGAGGTGGAGGTTGCAGTGAGCCAAGATTGTGCCACTGCACTCCAGCCTGGGTGACAGAGCGACACTCTGTCTCAAAAAAAAAAAAAAAGGGAGGGAGGGAGGACTCTAATAGCAAGGAAGGGAGGAATCACATCGTGAGAGAAAGTGCAAAAATAAAACGAAGGAAAGAGTATTAGAAGAGACTCAGCAAAGTGCAGTTGATAAAAGGGAATTAGAAGATTCCAACTTTATAAGATCTTTTGAGAAAGCAACCACATGGCCTTTAATGCAATCTAAATAATATAGCCAAACTAATTTGTATATGGGTTGCTGTAGACAGTTTAACCTTCCTAGCTAGCTTGCCAGCAAGTTTTGCAAGAACATTCAAGTCGACAGTTCTTGCAATGACTTGCAGTGCATTCAAGTCGATGGGCTGTAGGGAAAAGAGGGGCTAGTAGAGGAACTAGGCTGAGTTCTTCGTATTGGAAGATTATAAGACCACATATTTATAGGATAAAAATTTATATTTTCCCCAATATATAGCTTTCCCCCTGCTCTGGTCAGTTGTTAAGATATAATCTGTACCACCTTCTGAAATGGGCATATTTTCCCAGAAGTGCTTGCTGAGTATAACCTCATTGTTGGCTGAGAAACTTGCCCTGAGGAGCCTGGACTACAGGAAAGCTGCGAATAATGTGCATCACTCCACGAGTCACAGTGCTCTGTGCCCAAGCACTTCCTCTCACTGAAGAGGATGCATCATGCAGTTCTTGCAGAAGCTCTGTTGTACTGGGTGTGGTGGCATGTGCCTGTAATCCCAGCAACTTAAGAGGCTGAGTCAGGAGGATCGCTTGAGCCCAGGAGTTTGAAGCTGCAGTGAGCTATGATTGTGCCACTGCACTCCAGCCTGAGCACAAAGCGAGACCTCATCCCCTTTTTTTTTTCAAAAAGAAAACCCCAAAAAACAAAAAACCAACGCTCTGTTGGTTGTTTGGGTGCAGTGAACATTTAGCACTTGTAATTTGCTTTGTTCTTGGTATTCAAGTTAAAACAGGACAAGCCTTATCATAGTGATTAATTTCGTCAATTTGTGGTTTCTAGTTAATGAGGAGGTACCTTGCTGCCACTCTTCAATTCCTGGAAAAGTATTAGAGAGAAGTTTTAAGATGTCATAGAGAATACATGATCCTTTAGACAGAAACCACAATCCTAACAGACCCCTATTCATTTACATTCTCTCTTTCCCAAGTAGCTGCTAGAGACATCTGCTTTATTCAACTTCTTTTCATATCAATGAAGGAATTTAATGTGGGTTTAGATAGCTGTGATATTGGACATAGCCTTCCCCTGGTATTTAGAACTATTTCTCCTAAGAGATATAATGATATATGGAGGAATTTAATCTTCAGGGTGGTTTTTCATTTTTTAAAAAATTGCTGCAGATTCTTGGCCAACTCCTGGGACACCCACCTTTATGCATCTTTTTGGCTCAATTTGGTCACATTCCTCTAGCTCTCTCCTCCCCATTCTCAGCAATTAAACGCTGAAGTGCCTTGATATGATATCGGGGTTGCAAGTTCAACTGGTTGATGTATGACTCACTTCTAGTGCCCTTTAAAATTTTTTTGGCACAAAAAGAGCCATTTGTTATATATCCAGAGTCCAAAAGTCCTTAAATCCTTAACTCTTCCAGGAGGGATTTTTCCTCCTCTGCAGTGGGAGAACATCAAATCAAATGAGGATTTGACCTAAGAAAGCACATACAATATTAAAATAATTGCTAGGAGGTCAAGGTCACTATGTGTGTTAGAACAAAAGGAAGAGAAAATATTTTATTTTTGATATCTTAGTCCAATTGTATTCTCAAATCTACCAGACTATCTCTTACAGCTAACAAATGGATTGCATTCATTTATTATGCATAAGATTTTTTCATTAATTTGTTTTTTATGTTTTGTTTTCTCTCATTCATATTACTTCTCAAAAACTATTTATTAGGTGCTTCATATGTGTCAGACACTATTGGGTATCAACAAATTCATGACCAAATAGATAATTTCTTAATTTAATTTTTTCAGAGACAAGGTCTTACTATATTGCCCTGGCTGGAGTGCAGTGGCACAATCATAGCTCATTGCAGCCTCCAACACCTGGGCTGAAGCGATCCTCTTGCCTCAGGCTCCCAAGTACCTGAGACTACAGGTGCATCCCACCACGCCTGGCTACCAAATAGATATTGAATGCCTTGTTAATACAAGGTATTAGCATTGTGGAGGGTAGAGAGAAGTGTCAGATGTAGAGCTTAAAACCTTTTTGGGAAGGTGGGCTGGGCACAGTGGCTCACACTTGTAATCCCAGCACTTTGGGAGGCTGAGGTGGGCTGATAACTTGAAGTCAAAAGTTCAAGACCAGCCTGGCCAACATAGTGAAACCCTGTCTCTACTAAAAATACAAAAATTAGCCAGGCGTCGTGGTGTGCACCTGTAATATCAGCTACTCGGGAGGCTGAGGCACCAGAATCTCTCGAACCCGAGAGGCAGAGGTTGCAGTGAGCTGAGATCGCACCACTGCACTCCAGCCTGGGCAACAGAGTGAGACTCTGTCTCAAAAAAACAAAACAAAACAAAAAACCACCTTTTTGGGGAGGTGAGACACACAATAAAAATAATTGTTTAAAGATGGTACAGTGACCAAGTGCTACATGAATCTAGATCATTGTGGCCTGGGGTCAGAGAAGGCTTCTTGAAGAAGGCGGGGCCTCGAAGGAAGTGAATCAGAAAGGAGAAAGTGAGTGTGCCAGGCAATATGTATAAGGCAGAATGGTTAGGTGAAGCTCAGTAGTCATGGGAGATGAAGTTGATTTGGTTCTTTGGTATCACCTTGTGCCTCCATTTCTCTTCTGTAATATGGAGGGCATAACAGTAATGACCACATAAATTGTTACTAGGATTCAATGAAATAATACAAGGAAAGCACTTAACCAGAGACCATAATGCACAAAGCACCCCACAGATGTTAGCAATTGTTGTTATTTTATATTATTAGGATTGTGGGAGGGCCTTGAATGCAGTATCTGGCATGTGTGCCTTATGTGAGTAATTGAGAGTCATTGATTATTTGAGCAGTGACATGCTGTGCTGAAATACATCTGATAAAATAATTTGTCTGTAATGAGAAGGGTGGATTGTAGACCCCTCCTACTAGACTTGGCTTTAAATCAAATAGTTGAACTCTTCAGTGCCCAGATACGGTAGAATTATTTAAGAAAAGCTATTTGATTTTTACTCAGTTTCTCAGTGGGTAGGAGAGTGTCATATATTAAAACTTGGGGCCAGGTGTGGTGGCTCATGCCTGTAATGCCAGCACTTTGGGAGGCCAAGCCAGAAGGATCACTTGAGGTCAGGAGTTCGAGACCAGCCTGGGCAACACGGTGAAACCCTGTCTCCACTAAAAAGACAAAAAGCTTAGCCGGGTATGGTGACACACACCTATAGTCCCACCCACTTGAGAGGCTGAGGTGGGAGGATCGCTTGAACCCAGGAGGCTGAGGTTGCAGTGAGCTGAGATCGTGCCACTGCACTCCACCCTGGGCGACAGAGTGAGACTTCATCTTGAAAAGAAAAAAAAAAAACAAAATAAACTTGATAGGACTGTAAATGACATGATGGAGAGAGGTGAGTGATATATCAGGTTGCCAACGTAGTGGTAGGGGTTCTTTAGCAGGATGAAGTTCCTGGCATTCTGGTGTCATTACTGCAACTCACTTTTCTAAGTCCTGTGGTTTTTTTCCCCATTGTTTCTTTCATTTTTGTGCAGAACAGTTCTAAGACCCAGTATGTCTCTGTCTCTCCTGCTTTCTCCTTTTCCTTGCTGGCTCTTCCATTGTGTTCTGTCTGAGACATTAGGCAAGTTCCCCTACATCATTTCTACATTGCTCTTGGCCTACCTACTCTGCCTCTAAACCTTTGATGTATCCTTTCTAAGGGCTTCTGGTTCATGCAATTTAGCAGTAAATAATTACCCCTCTAGGTAACACACAATAGGTAAACGCTCTTGGGATTTGCTGTATAAAATGATAAAAGGTTTTCCTACTTTCTTTTCTTTCTTTTTTTTTTTTTTGACAGAGGATCTCGCTCTGTCTTCCAGGCTGGAGTGCAGTGGTACAATCTCTGCTCACTGCAACCTCTGCCTCCTGGGTTCAAGCACTTCTCCAGCCTCAGCCTCTCAAGTAGCTGGGATTACAGGTGTGCACCACCACGCCCAGCTAATTTTTGTATTTTTAGCAGAGATGGGGTTTCACCATGTTGGCCAGGCTGGTCTCGAACTCCTGACCTCAGGTGATCCACCCGCCTCGGCATCCCAAAGTACTGGGATTACAGATGTGAGCCGCCACCCCCAGCCATTTTCCTACTTTGAGGATACTAAGTGCTCCAACTTTCCTTCCTATGTTTAATCTTTGATGCAGCTGAATGACAAAAGGCCTTTGTTCCTGCTCCAGAAGGGGTTCAAAAAGGTTGTCATCTGGCCAGGCACGGTAGCTCACACCTGTAATCCCAACACTTTGGGAGGGTGAGGTGGGTAGATCACTTGAGGCCAGAAGTTCAAGACCAGCCTGGCCAACATGGTGAAACCCCATCTCTACTAAAAATAAAAATAAAAAAAAATTAGCCAGGCGTGGTGGCATGCACCTGTAATCCCAGCTACTCGGGAGGCTGAGGCAGGAGAATTGCTTGAATCCGGGAGGCAGAGGTTGCAGTAAGCCGAGATCACACCACTGCACTACAGCCTGGGCAACAGAGCGTGGCTCTGTCTCCGGAAAAAAAAAAAAAAAAAAGTGTGTCATTCCAACAGCTTGGGGCCTTAAGCACACTTGGCAGGACCTGATCCTATAGAATCAAATCCTTTGGCTTGCTCTCTGTTTTATTGTTGTGGGTGGTCTGAATGGGCCACTCTTCAGGATCTGTGTTCCTCACTGAGTAAGGTGGGGCATTTTCAGCTGTGTTCACCATCAAACAAAAATAATAAAGACGAGGAGGAGGAGAAAGAAGAGTGTGGGCATTACAGAGAAACACAATTCTGTTGTATGAAACCACTGGAGAATCTGCTGGAGAATCTTTGCTGGAAATGGGATTATTCATTCATTGTTTATTAATTTTGAAACATTTTATTGAGTCCAGGCATTGTTATAGGTACTGGGGGGTTAACAGCAGTAGATGAAACATGAAACTTCATGGGCTAGAAAGAGACGGCAAATAAAACAGATAGATGAATAACATATTTGTATAGGGATCACTCCATGAAAAAGACATAACTGGGTGCTATGATGAGGGCAGGTGGTACAGAAGGCCTCCCAGAGGAGGGGAGATTGAAGCAAAGACGTGAAAGGAGTAAGAAAGTAAACTGTGTGGATAGTGAGGAAAGAGGATTCTAGGCTGAGGAAACAGGAAGTACAGAGACCCAAAGGAGCTTACTTGAGATATTTGAGTAACAGCAGATAAGCCAGTGTAGCTGGAGCAGAAAGATTAGAAATAGAGTCCAAGGAAGGCCGGGCGCGGTGGCTCATGCCTGTAATCCCAACACTTTGGGAGGCTGAGGTGGGTGGATCACGAGGTCAGATCGAGACCATCCTGGCTAACATGGTGAAACCCCGTCTCTACTAAAAATACAAAAATTAGCCGGGCATGGTGGCGGGCGCCCGTAGTCCCAGCTACTCAGGAGGCTGAGGCCGGAGAATGGCGTGAACCCAGGAGGTGGAGCTTGCAGTGAGCCGAGATCGCGCCACTGTACTCCAGCCCGGGAGACAGAATGAGACTCTGTCTCAAAAAAAAAAAAAAAAAAAAAAAAAAAGAGAAGAAATAGAATCCAAGAAGTAATCTGAGGCCAAATCCTGTGCAGTTTTCTGGGCTATGGTGAGGATTTTAGATCTTACTGTAAAGTAAGATGGGAAGCCATTGGAGGATTTGGGCAAGATTCTCTTTGTAGCCATTATCCTATTCTGATTCCAGTTCTATCAGTGACTTGCCTGTGTGAACCTTTTTTTTTTTTTTTTGAGACGGAGTCTTGCTGTCTCGCCCAGGCTGGAGTGCAGTGGTGTGATCTCGGCTCACTGCAGCCTCCGCCTCCCGGGTACAAGTAATTCTCACCTCAGCCTCCCGAGTTGCTGGGATTACAGGGGTGCGCCACCACGCCTGGCTAATTTTTGCATTTTTAATAGAGACACGGTTTCACCATGTTGGCCAGGCTGGTCTTGAACTTCTGACTTCAGATGTTTCACCCACCTCGGCCTCCCAAAGTGTTGGGATTAGAGGCATGAACCACCGCTCCTGGCCGCCTGTGTGAATTTGAATGAGCTCTTGATCCCTCAGTTTGCTGTTAGGTAAAATGTGGATAATGATACTTACCCCAAGAGGCATTAAAAGAATTAGCTATTGGTTACAAAAGGCTCGCAGCCTTCAAATGACAGGTATGATATAGAGTAATTACCATTATTCTGTATAGTCGTTATTTTAACACCTGTCTTCTTTTAGAAATGTAAAAAATATATATAAACTTATACCCTAAGTAGCTGCATTGTGGAAATTTTTTAAATGTCTAGGAAGTTATGTTTCTGATTTCCCTTTGATTTCCATGAGAGAGATTTAGGATATTCCTTTCTTCTTTGCAAAAGATATCTTAAAAGCTTCTCAGAAGTTGAAACCCAACATATATCATAAAATATTAGAATGAGAAGAGACCTTACAATTTGTTGTTGGGCAGAGTCTGATTTCTACATAGAGATGACTTTTAAAAATATTCCTTACTGTCCAAACTGTGTGTTTCTAGTGTATGAGAAATCACATGGGGAGAGTAGCTTCCAGGCTAGGAAGGCTGCTGTGTTATTTGTTCAAGTTGAATGAAATTATTTGTAGATTGTGGAAAAATATGATCTTACAGATCATCTCGTCTGATGTCATCATTTTACAAGTGAGTAAACTGAGAGAAGCAGAGTCTTGAGGACAATTTCACTGCTGGTTAGCAGGAGATACTGGCTGAGAATCAGTATCATAAGACTTTCAGGCAACTGCTCTTTCTGAGTGCTCTTTCAGGCATCATATTCTCTCCTCAGATTCATAAGCTACCTACCCTAGTGTCACATTTAGATATAATTGCAATGTTAGAGGAAGTGATTTGCTGTAATTTCATATCCCTTTCCATGTCCATTGTAATGATGCACTTTGCTAATATGGGAAGTGGTGGCTGCCACAGAATTTCTTTGCTTGGTGAGGCAGCTGTATGTGAAAAAAAAATTTCTCAGACTATAATTTGACTGTATGCCACAAATGTTTTGCTCTGTATTTTCTCTTCTTCTGCCTCTCTCTTTGTTGCTGGCTGTTGACTCTGCAAGTGGATTCTGTAGGCTGTCCCACTGAAGCAGCAGAATTTCAGTTTTAGATTTGAACAATTCAAATATAAATTTTTTCATATTATTTTTTTCATGTTACTTTTGGCCTGAAAGATGTATTCTAGTTTTGTTATAGATAATTACTGTGATAACTTTAAAAAGCAATGTGTTATACAAAGTTAGTGTTCATTACATGTTATTCATTTGAAATGACCTCAGCATGTAATTTTAAGCCTTCTATTCCCATCATTTTAATGAGAGATGTGAACCATTGTCATGAAAATAAGCAAATAGGCCAGGCAGGGTGGCTCACTTTTGGGAGGCTGAGGCAGAAGGATCCCTTGAGCTCAGGAGTTCGAGACCAGCATGGGCAACATAGGGAGACCTTGTGTCTACTAAAAATAAAAATAAAAATAAAGAAAATAAGCAAACATGCATATATAATCACCATTATGATTAACATTTTCCTTTAATATTAATCTAGATTTCTTCCAGCAAACTTAAATGTAGATTAATTGAATATGAGAATATATGTATATATTCTCACATATATGAGATATGTACATATATGAAAGATATAAATATACCCACACATTCTCTTTCTGTTCCTTTGCATACTAATACAATAACATTTAATTGACTGGCATTGCAAAACAAGCTGATGTTTTCTGCTAGGACTCTTTTCTGTTGATAGCACGTAGCCCACATGGCCCCTTCCCGAGATAGAAGCTGTAGCATTTATCAGTCTAACCTGTTAGGGTATTCCTTACACTGATATATATTTTTGTCATTCATTAAAAAAAATCAATGATATTTATACAAGTCAAAAATAAATATCAATGTTATTTATTTTTACTGGTTTTTCTAAAAAGAAATGTCCCTTAAGGCTTTTATATATTTTGCTTGGTCATGCTATGGAGAAATAAATTGATGTTTCAGGTACTTTGCCAGACGTTAAGTTGTTGGCAAGAACGATCTTGCCAAATAATACTCTTTCCATAATTAAAGTTCTCAAAATGATCAGGGATCATATTGGATAATCAGATGGGTAATTAAAAATGACCAGCTTAAATTTTAAAGCCAGGTTCTTCGAATAAGACAAGATGCATAGGAATGCATTTCCTCAATAATCACCAGGAGCTGCTCTTCCCATCTCACCCTGAAGTGACTTCAGATCTGTCATCCTGGGAAATTGCAACTTGAATAAGCTCTGCCTTTCACTGTGACAATTGCTTGACATAGCCTGCAGTTTGTGACTTACTGAAAGAAGCATCAATTCATCAGAGAGCTCCTAATCCCTTTTCTCACCTCTTTTATCAGACTGTCAAAGTCTGTTTTTAGGGGAGAATAGAGGGACAGCATGAACTCATCAGGCAGTCCCCAACCTTTTCCTGTTCCTGTGGGCTTTGCTGTGAGTTGTAGCAACAGGCTACTCCTTAACTATTGTGAATCCCTAACTCCAAACAAATGGCATAGTTCCATTAGGCCTGTTGATTTAAAGCTCAGCACTTGGGGCACTCGACAACAACTGGCAGGCAACTAATGACTCTGTGCTTCCCTGTGAGTGCCCTGTAAATTGGACTTTCAGAAGCAAAGACAGTGGTACAGTGTAGATGAGTACATGTGTAGGTGAGATGGAAATATGTAATGTGGGTATATGTATATATGTATATATATGCTTTTTATGTTTATTCTTGGATTCGTGGTAATAGAAACCAAATTAAAATGATGTAATCATGGTTTGCAATTAAATGGGAAAAGAATGCTATAGTGAAAGGGTCAGGAGATTCAGATATCAGAATGCTTTATACATTTCAAAGTGTTAAGTCTTAATTATTGTTCTCTAGATATTTGATTAACTGAGGGTAAATCATGTGATTTTCATTCACTATCTTAGAAAAATGAAGATAATGATAATTCCTAACATCTTGTCAGGGTTGTCTGAAGATTGTCCAGGCACAATTGCCTGGCAAGCTTTTGAGGTTTTTAGTTCAGAGAAACTATTCAAATGCAATGTATATGTAACAAATGTATCATTGCTGGGTTTTCCCCATGTAGGTATTCAAGAGACGATATTTTTACTTGACCCAACTTCCTGACGGTTCATATATTCTCAATTCCTATAAAGATGAGAAAAATTCAAAAGAATCGAAAGGTTGCATCTACTTGGACGCCTGCATTGATGTTGTTCAGGTAAGGCCATTGAGGTAATCCTTCTCTTTTTCTAACAGGGTTATTGATAAACTTTTAAGAACCCCAGATGGTTGGGTGGGGTGGCTTATGCCTGTAATCCCAGCACTTTGAGAGGCTGAGGCAGGAGGATCGCTTGAGCCTAGGAGTACATCAGCCTGGGCAACAAAGAGACCCCATCTCTACAAAAAAATACAAAAATTACCCAGGCATGGTGGCACATTCCTGTGGTCCCAGCTACTCTGGAGGCTGAAGTGGGAGGATCACTTGAGTCTAGGAGGTTGAAGCTGCAGTGAGCTGTGATTGCACCACTGCACTCCAGCCTGGGTGACAGAGCAAGACCCTGTCTACAAAAAAGAAAAGAAAAAGTGACTGGTGCGGTGGCTCATGTGTATAATCCCTGCGCTTTGTAAGGCTGAGGTGGGCAGGTCACTTGAGGTCAGGAGTTCGAGACTAGCCTAGGCAACATGGTGAAACCCCGTCTCTACTAAAAATACAAAAATTAGCCAGGTGTGGTGGCACGCACCTGTAATCCCAGCTACACAGGAGGCTGAGGCAGGAGAATCGCTTGAACCCAGGAGTCAGAGGTTGCAGTGAGCCAAGACGGTGCCACTACACTGCAGCCTGGGTGATGGAGTGAGACTCCATCACAAAAAAAAAAAAAGGAAAGAAAATGAACCTTGGCATTTTTCCATCTTGATTGATGGCATCTCCGTCCTCCGAAACATCTACACTAGAAAGCTCAGAATCCTCTTCAGTGCCCTGTTCTTGCTCAGTGCCAATATTTAAATGTTTATCAAGTCTCTTTGAGTCTGGCTCTAAAGTGCCTCTTAACCTCTTACCTCCTACTTTCATTGCCCTTTCTCCAGTTCTCCCTTTTATCATCGCTGGCCCAAAGTTGCGCTTTTATGCCTCCTGATTTCTTGTCTTGCTCCAGTTCAACTTCCTAAGATATAGTTTGGGTCAATCATTTGCCTTCTCCAAATCTTTTGGCTCTTGATTTATTGTCTTACAGAGTGAACTCTAAAGCTTTTGCCCTGACATTGAAGGCCCATAGTGATTTGGCCTCACTGTGCTTTCTAGCCTCATCCTTCCTGAACCCCCTTGTGTATTCTGTGCTCTGGTCACACCAGGCTAAGCATTCTAAAGCGTTGCACACATATATGGCTTGCCTTACATTTTTTTCCTCTTCTTGCTATATATAATTTCTCCTTCTATTCCCGTTTGAACCTTATCTTTTATGACTCAGCTTAAAGGCTACTGCCGTGAAAAGTTTTGTGTTTCCTTCCTCACCCTCGTGACTACCAAGTAGAATTAAGCTCCACCTCTCCTGTGCTAACCATTTTGCTTTTCCTTCTGTCATACAACTAAGTCACATTCTAATTTTGGTTAATTCTACACATTCCTTTGGGGATTACAGGGACCATCTCTTACTCATTTCTGTTTCTTCTATAATTACCAGGGTTCTGCACACAGTAGGGACTTAATGAATGTTTGTTGATATGAATTACTGAGGGGACACAGACAGAAACAGGATGGGAAGTAGAGGGCTGAGAGATGATCTGGATGGGAAGTCAATTGACTATGGAACAGAAGTCATTATTACAGAGCCAGGGTGGTGTGGTGGACTAGAAGAACAATGGGCTGATTAGGAGGAAAGTGATGTTAGTTCAGCACCCTCAGTTTACCTAAATCTTCATTTTCAGAACTGTGAAGTGGGATTAGTAGTATCTGTATACTCTATCAAACAAGATTGTTGTGAGGATCAAATGAGAAAATACCTTTAGGGCATGATGTTGTGTGCCTGTAGTGCCAGCTACTCAGGAGCCTGTGGCAGGAGCATTGCTTGGGCCCAGGAGTTTGACGCTGCAGTGAGATATGATCACGCCTGTGGAATTAGCCAGTGCACTCCAGCCTGGGCAGCACAGTGAGATCTCATCTCTAAAAAGATAAATTAAAAAATTCTAACAAATGAGAAAACACTTTTTAAAAAGTATAAAGCTCTATGTGAATAAAATGTGCTTATATGTATGATTATATATTATATATTCATATATATGAATTCATATATATTCATATATATAAAGAAGAGCTTTCTTACTGGAAGAACGAGGCACACACAATTTCCGGATTGACCTTTCTTTGTAGTGCTTCCCTCATCTTTTTATTTTTATTATCATTTAAAAAATTTTTTTCTTTTCTTTTTTTTTTTTGAGACAGAGTCTCACTATGTTGCCCAGGCTGGAGTGCAGTGGCGCAATCTCAGCTTGCTGCAACCTCCACCTTCTGGGTTCAGGCGATTCTCCTGCCTAGAGTAGCTGGGATTAGAGGCACCCGCCACCATGCCTGGCTAATTTTTGTATTTTTAGTAGAGATGTTGTATAACTTTCTCCTTAGTTCAGTTAAAACCAGTTCTTGTCACATAACCAGGAAAGATTAGGCTTGTGGACACATAGAAGGGTGAGAAGTGGAATTTACTGGGTGAAAAGGAAAAATAACTCTCACCAAAGTGAGAGAGAGTCCTGCTAGCAGGTTTCCCACCTCACAGATTAAAGGTTTTGCCGGGAATCCTTGGCTGTCTCCTGTCTCTGTCAGAGATGGGGTTTCTGCATGTTGGCCAGGCTGGTCTCAAATTCCTGACCTCAAGTGATCCGCTCACCTCAGCCACCCAAAGTGCTGGGATTACAGGCGTGAGCCGCCATGCTCAGGCACCTCATCTATTTATGATACCGCCTCCCAAATATTTTCAAATGTATAAATCTTTATGACTTGATACAGCAGTTTAATTTCATCCTTTCGTAGACTTCAAAGATTAGAAGGAGGAACTTTCTTGGTTCCTTCTTGAATAATGACCATGCAGTGGAAAATTATTGATTCATGAGCATTTCTTGAAATTAATGCTGAGGGATTTGAAAAGGGTAGTATGTCATTTCTTTTTTCATGACAGAGAAGGTGGTAAAGTAAAAGAATGTATCAGCAAGCTTGAGAAAAGGAGGAGACTTATTTTCCTTGTGTGGTGGTATTCAGCACAGGTTACTTCCATGTATTTTATGGAGAGTCACAATTTAATGTGAACCAACTATGGTTGCATGGTCTTATTTTTTCTTTCTTTTTTACCAAGCCATTCTTCTTCTTCTTTGCTTGCTTGCTAGCTTTCTTTCTTTCTTTCTCTTTCTTTCTTTCTGTTTCTTTCTCTTTCTCTCTCTCTCTTTCTCTCTTTCGTTCTTTCCTTCTTTCCCTTCCTTCCTTCCTTCTTTCTTTCTTTCCTTCTTTGGAGTCTTGCCCTGTCTGGAGTGCAGTGGCATGATCATATCTCACTGCAGCCTTGCAGCCTTGAACTCCTTGCTGCAGGCAATCCACCTTAGCCTCCAAAGTGCTGGGATTACATGCATAAACCACCATGCTGGGGCTTCTCTTTTTAATTTTTAATTTTTTTTTTGAGGCAGGATCTCACTGTGTCGCCCCGGCTGGAGTGTAGTAGTACCATCTTGGCTCACTGCACCCTTGAACTCCAAGGCTTAGGTGATCCTCCCACCTCAGCCCCACGAGTAGCTGGGACTACAGCCATGCGCCATCACGCCTGGCTATTTTTTTTTGTATTTTTTTTGTAGAGATGAGGTTTCACCGCTTTGCTCAGGCTGGTCTCAAACTCCTGGGCTTAAGCAATCCGCCCACCTCTGTCTCCCAAAGTGCTAGGACTACAGGTGTGGGCCACTGCCCCCATCTTTACTTTTTTGTTGCTATGGATATGGAATATTTCTACATATTTTGGGGGTACATGTGATAGTTTGATACAAGTATACAATGTGCAAATGATCGAATCAGAGTAATTGGGTTATCCATCACCTCAAGTGTGTATCATTTAATTGTGTTAGGAACATTCCAAATCCACTCTTCTAGTTATGTTGAAATATACAATAAATTATTGTTAACTATGGTCGCCCTATTGTGCTGCCAAACACTGTGGTCTTCTTTTATACTATTGTGATACAGTTGATACTATGCGTGGTAAAATGAGTTAGGATCTATAGTGCCTTTTATGGTGAGATATAAATTTATCAGATTTGTTTCAGGTCATATTTAAATTTTTTAAAGTGCTGACTTTGAAAATCCTTAAATATTCAAGGAAAAGTTTGAACGGAGTGGAAATTCTAAAATGTTTGCTTACTTTTATGGTGGTACTTTGATTTTCTGAATGTGAAGGATGCCAAAAGGCCTTAAATGATAATACTTAACAAGTATTGTTTTCTCCCAACTTTATACATATTCATACTACTGTGCTCAGTCCTGAGGGAGGGGAACAAAAAATATATTTAACATGGTCATTTGTTGTCTTAGAGTGTCTGTTTCTTACTGAAAGAAGCAGTTATTTCATGAAAGTCTTGACGCACATATGCACTAAGCTGAGATAAAAATAAATATAAACTAATGAAATCTAATAGTAAAAGGACAACTAAACTAACTGAACACATACTTTTTCTCCCCTCTAGTGCCCCAAAATGCGCCGTCATGCTTTTGAACTCAAGATGTTAGATAAATATAGCCATTATCTGGCTGCTGAAACTGAGCAGGAAATGGAGGAATGGTTGATAACTTTGAAAAAGATTATTCAGATCAACACCGACAGTTTAGTTCAAGAAAAAAAGGAGACGGTAGAAACAGCACAAGGTCAGAATTTTAAAGTGATTTATTATTGAAGTAAAGCCCTTGTCTTTAATCCGTGGAAATGTCCTCTGTGCAGGGTGAGTAGAGAACTCTTAATCTTAAAAGTTGACCTGCTTCTTCATTAATAAGTGACTGTGGAGGTTGATAGACTTTTTTTAAACAGTTGATGCTGCATGGGCTCTGACATATGAAATATAACCAGACTAAAACAGATAGAAAATTCATGGCAGGTTTTCAAAAGTCCATTAAAGTTTTCCCTATGCTTTCATAATAGAAATTCTTTGCAATAAATCTTGTAGGAGAGGATGGGTGGGAGAGATAGTTAGGATACTCCTCTTAGGTTATTAGTAATGGTCTGTATGGTTTAGAACATCTGCTTTTAATGAATTTGCAGATGATGAAACTAGCAGCCAAGGAAAAGCCGAGAACATCATGGCAAGTTTGGAAAGGAGCATGCATCCGGAACTGATGAAGGTACATCTTTCATATGGCAACTTGCCTTCAACTGAGATAATGCAGGATTAGCTATTAAAGTTTTAATGCTGGATTCCATTTGGCAATGTCATTTCCACGTTAAAAACCACAGCAAATTGGTGAAACAGGTAGAGATTGTAAAAGAAAAGTTGCACTCCTGAAGACTAACTTGTAAGTACCAACTGACAGTTTGGAAAAATCTTATTTTTTTCCAGACACCAAGAAATACTTCCAGGCTTTTGTGACTTCATTAATTTTATCTGCTAGTTCTTATTTAATTTAATTACTGTATATCATTCATAAAATATTCTTCTTCCAAAAGGATAATGATGCAGCTCATGCACATGATATTTAATCTATGACCAACATATGTTAATCTCACATGAAAATCATATTCTCTATATGTAAATATATGTGTATATGAATGATTTAATCTGATAAAGATTTTGGTGAACATGCATCATTTTTGTTATTTACTCTGCTGTTTGAAGTTTGAAATGAACCAGTTTTGAAATTGTAGAGATGATTGTCCTGAGTATCTTACCACGATACTGTATTCTGTAGACTCTATATTATAGTAGATTAGAAGGTTGTGACCCATTTATTCATTTAAATCATTGCCAAATCTATTTATATTTTTACTTTATTCATCTTACTGGACAAATTAGTTACACAAATTTGGAAGCTCCTTTTTTTTTTCTATTTTAAATTTACCCCTCATAAACTTCAAAGCTATTTTTCAAAATTTAGGGACACAGTCATGATCCTCTAATCTAGGATTTTTTTTTTTTTTTTTTGAGACAGAGTCTCACTCTATCGCCCAGGCTGGAGTGCAGTAGCACGATCTCACCTCACTGCAACCTCCGTTGCCGAGGTTCAAGTGATTCTCCTGCCTCAGCCTCCTGAGTAACTAGGATTACAGGCGCCCACCACCACGCCCAGCTAATCTTTGTATTTTTAGTAGAGACAGGGTTTCACCTTGTTGGCCAGGCTGGTCTTGAACTCCTGGCCTCGAGTGATCCACCCACTTCGGCCTCCCAAAGTGCTGGGATTACCAGCATGAACCACTGTGCCTGGCCTTATCTTATAAAATGATTTTATAGATTTTAGTTGCATTCCCTCTCAATCTTTGTCATCCTGGATTGTGCAGCTCCATTAGGTATTTCCCAAAGTGATGGAATCAGAATTACATATAATATTCTATAGCTAACATAATGGCTATGAAAACTATGGTGATTTCTCTTTTGTTTATTTCTCCTTTGCATCCAGAGTCTCTTGCATTCCTGTTTTGTACTGACTACAGGATGAATGGTATATTTTTGAAGCTGTGACAGATTGATAGTTTCACATAAACTATACATTTAAATAGTATTTAACACTGTTTTGAAGGAAATGAAGTAACATACTTATTTTTTAAAATTTTAGTATGGAAGAGAAACTGAACAACTAAACAAACTCAGTAGAGGAGATGGAAGACAGAATCTCTTTTCTTTTGATTCAGAAGTTCAGGTATTAATGATACATTTCTTTAATAGTCCTAGAATTATTGCTTATTCAGATAAACAACATCTTTGAAATGTTGAAATCACTGTTTTTCTTGCACCAGTGGGGAATATAGATTGTTTTATATTTGTCTTGTTTGCTTTGAACAGGTAACTTAACAAATAACTCTTCACTCAAGGGGACTGTCACATATGCAGATAATTTGGGGCTGAATTATATATATATATATATATATATATATATATATATATATATATATATATATATATTTCTCAGTTTCTTGTATTCTTTTCACTTCCTTTTGCTCCTCAAAATAGATAAATTAAAGCACCGTTAAAGATGGTTACAGTGTTCTTTTAGCCCATGAAATACAATTGTGATCTAGTGGCAGAAAATATCTCCAGTATAAAGAACATATGAGTCATATGAGACATTTATTTTTCACATTTGATGTAGGCCTGTAGAACTAGGATAATTGTCATGTCTGGCTTAATCACACTTTAAATGGAGGGTGGTGCAGGAAGGTGCAGGTTTATACGCGGATGTGTATTTTAACCTCTTTCATGAGAGTTAGATGTGTTTTGTAGTAAGATATATGCAGTTAATATTTAAGTCTATGACATTTTCTAATTAAGTTTTTAATTTGTTTAAGTGGGAAAGGTCTACAGTATTTAAGTATTACAAATATTTTTCCTAATGGAAAATACCTTTTGAAAAAATGAAATTGAGGAAGACGAAATTTTTTGGCTTTCTTTTCCCTTTTTCTACATGAGATTTCGAATGAAAATTTTTTATTTAGTTTGAAATCGGAAAATGTGCATTACAGTTTTTTCTTCCACGAAAATATGAAATAATTTGGGGAAGTCTGATTTTGTTGTTGTCGTTTTTTCTTCTTTCTTTCTTTCTCTCTCTCTCTTCTTTCTTTCTTTCTTTCCTTTTTTTTTTTTTTTTTTTTTTTGAGATGGAGTTTTGCTCTTGTTGCCCAGGCTGGAGTGCAATGGCACGATCTCGGCTCACTGCAACCTCTGCCTCCTCAAGCAGTTCTCCTGCCTCAGCCTCCCGAGTAGCTGGGATTACAGGCATGCACCACCACGCCCGACTAATTTTGTATTTTTAGTAGAAATGGGGTTTCTCCACATTGGTCAGGCTGGTCTCGAACTCCCAACCTCAGATGATCCACCCGCCTTGGCCTCTCAAAGTGCTGGGATTGCAGGCGTGAGCCACTGTGCACGGCCTCTTTTTCTTTTTTTAAGTGTAGTCAAGTACAGTAGTGACAAGGGGAGAAAGAGTAGAACAAAAAGTTCAATATGTAATTGACTGAACAATCAATTGAGATAACTCACTACCTTTGGGCCAGCCATTGTTGTTTTTTTCTTTTTGCTTCATATGGTTTTCTAATTAAAAATTTAGTTTAAAATAGAAAAAGTATATAGGCTATAAATAATGCAAACATTTTCCTTAATGAAAGTATCACACAAGAAAATGGAATTATTTGGAGAAAATAAATTTTAAAAAATAATTTCATTTCCCTTTCTCCCCCCACGGAGTTAAATATTGCTTTAGTGCAAGTTATGTGATTTTTTTTTTTTTTGTAAAAAAGTAACAGTATAATGGGCCTCAGGGATGTTTGTTCTAAGATATTCATTCAGAAATTTACTTGTTCCAAGCATGTCTGAGTCTTTGATCCTCCCACCCATGACTGGGCTCTAGTTGGACGTGTTAGGCTGTTTCATTGTATACAAAGGAGCCAACTGACTGTGGTTGAAACTAAATCCAGTATCTTTACAAATTTGTGGTGTAGCGTTTTTGTGGTAATAAAACTGAACTGGTTTTATGTCTGAGTTGTTTATCAGTGAGCTATGGTAAGAGAGAAATTCACAGTTGTGATGAAGCTTTAAGGAGAAGAAATTGAATGTAATGTTGGTTATGGAAGGCAGTGTCGCCTCGGAGAAACCCATGTTGTATCTGTCGAGTACCTTTTCTAGGTGAGGTGCCATCCCATAATTTTACCTTTTCTTTTGGCCATAGTTCATTGTTTAGAGACATGACCTTAGAGAATAAAGAAACACTGGCTGATTAAAGGGGATGGCTCAAACGTAGAGCTGAAGAAGGCCATGTGTCCCAACATTTGTACTCACAGGCCTTAGAAGGGAAAGGATTTGAAGGCTGGAGTGGTTTGGTCCAGTTTCTCTTTCCATTCTACTGTCTGAGTAACACAGAAAGGAGAGCAGATAAATGGGTGGAAATTAAAATTGATCTCCATGGCAATGACTTGCCTCCACAGATGGATATGTGTTCAAGAGGGAGCTGTCTAGTCCCACACATTCGCATTCCTTTTGTAGATAAATAGATTGAAAGGTGAAGAAGTCAAGCTTTCAGGCACAAATCTTACACATTGGGCCCTTTTAAGGAGGTTTCAGTCAGTCATACTGGGTAGGTTAGAACAGCTATAATTATCCAGTATTCTTCAGGCATAATACCTGTTTTGGCTTGAATTACTTAGGTAATTGAGAAAAAATTTTGTGTTTCTTGTCTTGAGTTTTCCATACTGACAGTGTTATTCTGCTCAGATCCACCCAATCATTTTCTGCCTACAATGTCTATGGCCTTAATGAAAGTACAGTAAATTGTCCCCACAATCCACACTTTTCTTCCCCTTTGTGAATAGAATATAAGTCTGTTCAGACATTCAGCATGAACAGATGAACTTAGATTGCCTGAGCAATCTTTTTCTTTGAGAGACAGAGTCCTCCCCTACTGAAAGGAATTCCTTCACACCCAATATCTTCTTCTTAAACTTGTTTTTATTTCAAAATACCAATAATTTTTAAAAATCGATTTCTGTGGCAGCCCAGGTCCATTGCCCAGCTCTGTTAGCTGAGCTCAGTGTTGCTCAGTTTCCTAAGCGGATGCCTCTTACTCTGTTCATAAGTTAAACGTAGGTAGTCCATGGGGTTCCAGCCTTTTGTGCCTCTCAACCTAAATGCTGCTGACTCCCACGTCCAGATCTCTAAGTCAGGCCTCTCCCATTTTTCCAACTACCTACTACCGTCACCACAAACACAACACATCCCATACTGAACTCACCATTTCTACTCACTGTACCCCAAAATCTGCCATTCATTTGTATTTCACGACTAAGTTCATAACATCGTTATCTATTGAATCTCCCAAATTAGAGACCACTGTGTTAATCTTTTTTTTTTTTTTCTGAGACAGGATCTCACTCTGTCACCCAGGTCGGAGTGCAGTGGCACCATCATAGCTCACTGCAGTCTTGAACTCTTGGGCTCAAGCCATCCTCCCACCTCAGCCTCCCGAATAACCAGGATTACAGACCTGCACCACCATGCCTGGCTAGTTTTTATTTTTTATAGAGACAAGGGTCTCACTGTCTTGCCTAGGCTGGTCTCGAACTCCTGGCCTCAAGCGAAATTCCCTCCTCGGTCTACATATTAGTTTTGATGCTTCCCATACCCATTCCTGTCAATTTTGCATCCTGCACAGCTCAAAAACGAAACCAAATTTCGACTGTCCTGGAACATATATTGTGTGGGGAAGACAAAGAATAAACACATATAAAAAGTAATATTAGAAAGATAAATGAGAGAAAGGGAGTATAGACTGTCAGGGAGTGTGCAGTTTTCTATAGGGAGTTAGGAAAGGTCTCCCTGCAGAAGTGTCGACTGATCAGAGACTTGGAAATGAGGGAGCAAGCCATACAG
Source organism: Homo sapiens (assembly GCF_000001405.40). NCBI lineage: Eukaryota > Metazoa > Chordata > Mammalia > Primates > Hominidae > Homo > Homo sapiens. The sequence goes on from NC_000023.11 coordinate 118,571,882, forward strand.
CTATCTGAGGGAAGAGGGTTCCTGACAGAGTAGCAAGTGCAAAAGCCCCGGCATGGGAGTGTCCTTGTTGTGCTGGCAAAATAACCAAGGAGGCCAGTGTGGCTGCAAGAGGGAAGAGGGCAATTGTGGTAGGAGATGAGGTCAGAGCAGTGAGAAGAGACAGGGAATCATGCCATGTAGGGCTTTGTAGGCCATAGTACAGACTTGTGACTTTTCCATTGCCCTTAGATCCGAGTTTCATCATCTCCCTCTAGGATTTCTCCATCACTGTTTAACCTTAGTGTAAAAAGTCTATAAAAGCTTGTTAGATGAAAACATAAAAAGGGTTCAAATGAAGAATGGACAGAGAACTGTTGGATTTTTGCCATTTTTTGTATATTGATGTAAATCAATATGAATCCCATCTTTTTTTGAAAATGATTCATACTATCTCTTTTATAGAGGTTGGACTTTTCAGGAATTGAACCTGATATAAAGCCATTTGAAGAAAAATGCAATAAACGTTTCCTGGTGAATTGCCATGATTTAACTTTCAATATCTTGGGCCAAATTGGAGACAATGCAAAAGGACCACCCACAAATGTATGTATGACTTTGCCTTCTACCCCCCTTGCATCAGTGCATTAAAGAAATGTCTTTCTCAAAATAATTTGTACACCAAACCTCCGTGACATGCAATTTACCTATATAACAAACCTGCACATGTACTCCTGAACCTAAAATGAAAGTTTTATATATATAAAAAAGAAATCTTATTACAATAAAAAAATGAAGAAACATCTTTGTATGACTGAGAACTATTAATAATTGACTGTGTGAAAATTCCAGTGCCACATATTATGATAAATTTGACATGGAAGAATTTTATACATCTCTTTCTTTTGCCAAAATATGACTATGTTCTCATTGTGAGGATTCATGAAAATCTTACCTACTCAGAATAGCAGATAGAGTAGGCTCTTGATGTTCAAGAGGAGCATGTCTCCCAAACTTGCAAAATCTTCAAATGCGTAAATTCTACTAGATAATATGTTTTCTTCTATGAAATTGGTTCGTAGCAATGAGTAAGGATCACCATAGCCATGCTGGGATACAGATGCTGTGCAGTCTGCTAGGCTCGGTCACTATTCTATAGCATTAGATTCATTTTGGTCTACAGAGAAAATTCTAAGTGACAGCTCTCATGGATCATTTGAGTTGCTTAGAAATCCTTGAAACTGTAAGTGTAAAATCTTCAGAGAGACTTTTTTGTGTTCATCTTTATTTTTTCGTTCTAGTTTTGTCTATTAAAAATAAAACAGTGATGAGGGATTCTCTTACAAAATAGCTTAAAAGTACAACAGACTTTTCTGTGTGTAAAGGGTTAATCTTTATGCCATCTGGCATGAAATTTCTCTTTGTGACCATCTTTCAAATGCCATCTGTAGAGAGGAATCATGTCTTCCAAAATTGCTGATAGGGCAAAGCTTTTGTCAAGTACTTTGGTGTTGACTGTTATTAGCGCTTATGAAATGTATAGTCAAGTAAGTTGGAACATAACAGAAGAGAAGATTTATTTCTATACTGTAATATTGGCATTATTTTTTAGGTAGTTTCAGTAAACGTGTAGCGAATAAAATTTTATTCATAGAACAATTTGTGTTATTTAAATGTAGCTTTTGATTTCCATTTTTTTGGTAAACTTTATAACTTGTGAAATTATCTACACCTGACGGAAGTTAAAATTTGATGAAGTCTGTTGTTTTGGAATGCCCTTTCTTCTGTGCAGATAAGCCATAATATAATTTTAGCTAAGTGTTGAACTCAGAAAGGAATTGTAATCACAGAAACTGGAGGAATACAAAACTTATTTTGCACTTGTGCCCCTCCCCGCCATGCCCCCACTAAAGTCTCAGTTTTAAAATGTAACTGTTTTCATTCCCAGGTTGAGCCCTTTTTTATCAATCTTGCCTTATTTGATGTAAAGAACAATTGTAAGATTTCAGCAGACTTTCATGTAGACCTGAATCCCCCATCTGTCCGTGAAATGCTGTGGGGCTCTTCAACCCAACTGGCCAGTGACGGTAGCCCAAAGGGCTCTTCACCCGAATCTTACATTCATGGAATTGCCGAATCTCAGTTACGCTACATACAACAGGTAACGAATGACCTTTAGTCTTAGCAGCGTATTCAGAATAAGAAACAGAAATATTCTTGTATTATTTCATGGTTTCAGGCCAATGTTTTCATGGCATTCTCTCTCTTGTAAGGTCTGTCGATAGAGATTTTTCTGGTTACTGAAGTTTGAGGGCAAAAATGGAAACCAATGAACATGCTAGTAACATGTTATCAAAGGAACATTTTTAATGGGACCATGATGTGAGACACAAGGGAATTATTTTGTGAGATAGAAAGCTGAACCAGGCCAGGCGTGGTGGCTCACGCCTGTAATCCCAGCACTATGGGAGGCTGAGGCGGGCAGATCACTTGAGGTCAAGAGTTCGAGACCAGCCTGGCCAACATGGTGAAACCCCATCTCTACTAAAGGTACCAAAAAAATTAGCCAGGCGTGGTGATGTGCGCCTGTAATCCTAGCTACTCGGGACACTGAGGCAGGAGAATCGCTTGAACCCAGGAGGTGGAGGTTGCAGTGAGCCGAGATCACGCTACACTGCACTCCAGCCTGGGCAACAGAGCAAGACTCCGTCTCACAAAGAAAGCTGATACAGACACCCATAAACACACCTGCACCCACACTCATACATATACTTCTAAGCAAGGCAATAAGTGCTTGAAAGTTTTGGTTTTTAAGAAAAATTGACCCTAAATTAACTCTCCCACCCCTGATTTTCATGTCCATTATGAGTAGGTCATTTGAATGGAGCATATGGGCTCTTTATACAAGGAGTTTTACTTGAAAAGCAATGGGCGGGAACTGCTTGTGTCATAGCTGTAATGCTACACTCTTCTATTCTATCTGGAGCAAAGAATCCCTTTCAGAAAGAGCTTAACTGTTCCTTGGAATTCTGACCTCTGACCAGACTAGAGGCCATAAGAAGTTAGCCGAGTGGATTGATCATTTGCTCGCTAGACTTTTGCAGCTAAAAGGAAATGAGAGCACGGCATAGAATTAAAAGTAGAAAGAGGCATATGAACAAAGCTGTTCATGTTGTAAGGAGATTGATTTTTTTCTAAATAAAAATACTATTCTTTTTTTCCTGATTATAATAAGTACATTCTTATGTAGAAAATTCAAATAATATAAGAAGTATAAAAAAGAAAGTAAAAGTCTCCACCCAAAAGACAATACCTATTAACATTTTGGTAAACATCTTTTCAGACATCTCTGTTGTGTATATAGAAATATATACACATTATGTGTATGCTTATAAAAATTATATTCATGCTGTTTTATACCTACTGTATTCTTTTAATATCATATTTATCATCCTATACCAATATCTATAGATCAGTCATATTTATATGAAAGGCTAACATGACATTTCATTGATTTAGCTACTTAAGACATTTCTAATTATTTGCTATCAGAAATAATGCTGCATTGAACCTCTTGTGCACACATCTTAGCTCATTTGTTGAATTATCTCCTTAGAATAAATTCCAAGCATTAGGATTTTTAGGGTCAAAGATTATGCTGATTTATATAGATGATCAAACATTGGGGAAGACTGCTTTACATGGACTGTCACTGTCTTTTTGGGGCTGTGGATTTCTGGTGGCTTGTCCTCAAGTTGTCCCTTATCCCCTGATAGCCCCTTAGCTTGTTACTGAGACTATAGTTGTCACCTCTGTGAACATTCCACAATGATGGTGGATGCTTCTGAAAGAGGGATGGAGCAAGTAAAGTGTTGTAAATATTTGAGAACTTGCTATTGAATTTTATGTTTAAAATTTCCTGCACAATATCAAATAAGTCATTTTAAGCCAATGTGTATTTCCCGTATTACTTCAGTGTGTAGCACTCAGCTGTATGTTCAATGCAGGAAGTTTAAATTATGATTTCAGATGTCATCCAGTTTGTAATTTGGAACAGGAAGAAAATCAACATTTAAAAAAGATCTCCTGTGTGCCAACATTATTCCATCAGTGTCTCATGTAATCATACTAGTTTGTGAAATGATATAATCACTACTGTTTGACAGATGGCGAAACTGAAGCTCAGGGAGGTTAAGTAAACTGCTCACCATTACACAGCTAGTAGTGGTGACGGTAGGATTTGAATTTAGGTCTGTTTGAAATAATTTGATCAAGAATATTAGACAAATGTAATTAAGTGCCGAAATATATAACCCTAGCACATGCCCTGCCACATCCTGGGAGCTTTGTAAGTGCTGGTGGCTGGGGTAGAGGACCTGGCCCATTTTCTAGCGGGAGGGGCCAGCAAAGTGGGTAAGAGTCGCCCTGGGGTGGGGAGGCATATTCATGCCCCTTGGTGGGAAACAAGGACTGGGCCATAGACCTTGTCCTAAACGGCCAGACCTCCAGCCCACGTGGGATTTCTGGGTTCTCTCTGGCCACCTTTTGCATTCTGGGGACAGGGAGAGGACCAGAAGCTGTTGGGACAAAAGGTAAAACAACCCCAAAGAGTGTCCCCCATCATTGGAATCCCTGGTCAGTTAGAAAATGGACATCTCTGTGCCTCAGCATCCTTATCTGCAAGTGGAGGTGGTGACAGTACCTGTCTCCAAGGGCTGTGGGGAGGCACAAATAAGGTGCGTGGTTCTAAGAAAACACTCAGCACTGTGATGGGCACACTGGGTTAGCGCAGTGCAGCGTAGCAGCCAGGAGTAGTAGCACTGACAGTGATCTCAAACAAGTGAAAACAGCAAGCTTTTATCAATTATCAACTATCTTAAAATTATAGTCCTCATTGCTGGCATCAGTAGGAAATGCTTAGAGTACTGGGAATGGGAAACAATAGGTGCTCAGTAAATGTTAGCTATAGCAATAATCAGTATTACTGTTCTCAAACTCCTGGGCTCAAGCAATCCTCCCGCCTCAGCCTCCCAAAGTGCTGGGATTACAGGCACGAGCCACCACACCCAGCAGTATTACTGTTCTAATCAGGCCTCATCATATGAGATGTTGGGTGTATGGGACTCAGGGCTGAGAGAGAATATAGCATGGGCTGTGTAATCTGGAAGCCTGAACTGCAATCTTCTTCACCCACTTACTCACTGCACAAACCTTTCTGAGCCTCCACTTCTTAATCTATAGAATATGTATATAGTAGTGCCTACATTTCAGGGTTTTTATGAAGACTGAATGAGATAAAGCATGAAAACCATCTAGCATGGTTATGTGGCAGTTAGCGTAACACTGCACTCAAGGTGCACTGCTCAGCATACCTTCTGCAGGGACAGCCCGGGCAGTCTGCCAACCCGTTCAGCCTCACAGCTCAAACAGCATGTTCCCGGCAGTACCCGAAGCCAGGTTCTGTGACCTTGGGATGCTTTGGTGGGCCACCTGGGTAATAGCAAGGTACCTGATGTGCATTACTTCATTTAATCCATACAAGAAATGTATGAAATCACTACTATCCTGCTATTTCACAGATGAGAAACCTGAGACTTAGAGAGAATGTGACTTGCTTAAACCCATAAATGTTGGAGCCAGAACCCAAGAAATTTGACAAGCAATTTTGAACCACTTTGTTCACTTTCTCAAGCAAATTTGAACCACTTTGTTCCATGCTTGCTGCTTGGGAATTCAAAGCTGAATCAGCCATTACGCAGGATCCTTATAAGCTGTTTGACTTGGGGGAAATCATTAGCCTCTTAACACTCAATTTTCTATTCTGCCCTGTCTACCTCCAAGGGTTCTATCTGGTACAAATGAGATAATGTGTCTGAAATGCATTGGAAACTGGAAATCACTATATTAACAAAGTTGGTAATATATCAAGGAAAAAAACGAAATTTTGGTAGAGACTCAGTGATAGATTTTTCCACTTGAATTCACTAGTGATGCCCCTTTAAACAACAGGCATAACCAACTAACATGCTATGTAGATGATATTATATTTGGAAGGAGTCAAACTGGACAGGAGGTGTTCCTGTTCCACATGCATTCAAAGAAAAATGTAATTTTGGTTGCATCTACATTAGTACATTTAAGTAAAGTGTATGGGGACAAAATGAGTTTTGGATTCTCTGTCTCCTACCTTTGCATTGGAAGCACCAGAGCTCTTGAACTGCAACAAAGGAATGTCTTTTAGAGGATGATTTAGTTTTTCTATATTAGAGCAGTAAAGTTTCTTTTTCCTTCTTAGTGGAAATAAATATTAGTTAAATATTAATTGCTCTTGAGTTACATGCAGCTGCATTTAAAAATGTATATCTAGTTCCACTCGAGAAATGTACTCACTTCGCATACACAACCAAACCAAAGAGGCAAAGCAGCAACGGTGACACCTGCGCTATGGAGACTAACAGATGTGAGGTTGGTGACAAAATATAAAATCCATTTTGAAAGGAACGTTGGAAGCTTTGAAAACTCTATGAAAGGAAATTCTATCTATTTCTAGGGTCCTGGACATGATCCTTTGTTGAATATGAACATTGTTTACTAAAAATCGTTAACCATAAACAACCATATGCACAAGATTACATAAGAAAGTCTAACGGAAGTACTTTTTTCCCAGGGAATTTTCTCAGTGACGAATCCACATCCTGAAATTTTTCTAGTTGCCAGAATTGAAAAGGTACTACAGGGAAACATTACACACTGTGCAGAACCCTATATCAAAAATTCTGATCCAGTAAAGGTAATTTATAAAGGTTGTTGATCAACATTTCACCTTAACGTAGAATTTGCCTTTTACTGATATTTTAAATGCCATTGCTTTGAGCATGCTATATATTCTGAAAACATTGTATACTGTGTATGTTTGCTAAAACTTGAACATGGCATATTTTCCTATTGTCATTGATGTTCTGTTAATGTGATAATCTGATTTCTGCTTGATTATCAAAATAAGAGCCAAAAGCTTTTAGGCAACATCTGCTAATTGACACCATATCCTTGACAATAGCCGTTCTTTTCCTTACAGCCCTACATGAAGTGCTAGAATGAATCTCAGAGCTGGGAGATTAAAGATGATCCAGTCCTATAGTTCCCAAATGTCAGTTCATACCCAGATTTACTCCTGTCTGTGATGAAACGAGAAAAGAAAGACAGACAGTGAACATTTCATGAAGCTAAATGTATTTAATTCAAAGGGCTGCCCTTTATTCTGAGATCTTTGCCCTTCCTACTTTTTAAAGGTTATGCGTATCTTCCTTTCATGAAATGTTGGCATATTAAATGGCAGGGATTTAAAAAATTATTGTTGAGTGTCCTTAAGTGGCAATATTAAAAGTTGGCAACCCTATATTGTCATCCAGATTTCTAGAAAATTGTGAAATTGTGAAATTCAAATGTTTGGAAATCATCGCTCTAATCTCATCCTCTCCTTTTATAAATGGAAAAACTGAGACCCCAGGAGGGAAAGGTTCATGGTTGAGTTCATTAGTAGCACTCCAGCTACTGTGTATTTATGTACATCAATCTGTTGTACATGGCATTTTGTTGTATACCCAAATAGTGTTTATTAAATGGAAGTTGCTGATGTGATGGGACTAATTTGTGGAGGAAAAATGTCTCAACAATATAGATAAAAGCCTCCAGCATTCTGTATCCCTAGGGATAAGCATCCAGCCAGCATTTCGAGTCTGTTTAGACTCTATAGGCAGTTTATCTCCTTGTCATCTCCCTGTGCCTGTGCAAACAGCAGCTCCTGCCCACACTTAGACTAATTGCCTTGACTCCTGGTGACTTGCTCCTTGTCTTGGGAGTAGAAAGGGCAGCTGTATCCAGAAAAAACTTCTCCCAAGAATGATGAGCATTTGCCTGCTATGTGAAGTAAAGTACATGTTAAAACCACTGAACATTTTTCCAGTAGAGGTCTTGGTTCAAAGTGTGCCCTATATCTATTTCGTCTGTCTTCTGCTATAAGTGACAGAAGCTCTGTTAATGAGAAAATCCAAAGCCTTTATGAAATACTTTGGACTTGAAAAATGGCTGGCTGATGCATGTTATTCTGCTTGTGGCTATTTCTATATATTTTTTTGAGATTTTTGATGTTTTGTAATGGTAGGTTGGGGAAATTATTTTTCTGGGTGGGTCCATGGCAGTTTGAACAAATACAAGCCTATCTTCTTGTTTCTGACCTTAGACGGCCCAGAAGGTGCACAGGACAGCTAAACAAGTGTGTAGCCGCCTTGGACAATACAGAATGCCCTTCGCTTGGGCTGCCAGGTTTGTACAAATATAATCCTGACCCGCTCACTCGTGTTCATATGTGAAGTTAAGGGCTGTTATACTTACCAGCATTCAGCACTGTGTTTCTGGCAGGCCAGTTGTATCTTGGGACACTTGGGATGTAATAATTATTATTTTTGTTGTTGTTTTTGAGACGGAGTTTCGCTCTTGTTGCCCAGGCTGGAGTGCAGTGGCGCGATCTCGGCTCACCACAACCTCCGCCTCTTGGGTTCAAGCGATTCTCCTGCCTCAGCCTCCCAAGTAGCTGGGATTACAGGCATGCGCCACCACACCTGGCTAATTTTTGTATTTTTAGTAGAGACGGGGTTTCACCATGTTAGTCAGGCTGGTCTCGGATTCCTGACCTCAGGCGATCCACCCGCCTCGGCCTCCCAAAGTGCTGGGATTACAGGCGTGAGCTACTGTGCCCGGCCAAGAATGCTTTCTCTTAAACTTTGCTGTGCATCAAAGACCCTCTCATTTTTTTTTTCATATGTCTTGCTTTAGGGAAGTTTTCTTTGGCTTTGGTTACTGCTCTGACTGACACCACTTAATTTTACTGCATTTAAAAGCAGAATTTATTTGGTAGTCATGGAATTTTTTCAGAAAAGCAGAAATTATAGTGAGTTATGTACAGTATACCCCCTATTTCAGAGTTGGTTGTGTTTATGCTTTGAAAATCTATCATAGAATATTTCTGGAAAACATACTGAAAATTCAGAGGCAACTAATGAAGTCATTAAATGTGAGTGTGTAATTAATGTATTTTCTTCCTGATGACAAATTCTGCCAGCATGTGATAACTATATTTCATATCTGATGGTAGGTTACATTATTTTATCCAAATTTTGTAAATCCATGCAGGGATGACTTAAAACAAGTTTCTTGTTTTTCTCCCTTTTTCAAGTACAGGTTCACTGGCTTGTTTGTGGTACAGCCTGTACAGCTCACTGGGGCTTCTGTGGAAAGGACACCATGTTCTGAATAATTCAATCAATTATGTTCAGTGGGTGCTAGGGAGTAGCATAAGGGTAGGAGATTCTAAGTTAATTAACTCTTTTATTTGTCACTATTTATAATCATTTCATTTTGGGCAAGGTCTCAAAATGTATTGTATGTTGGTGGATGAAAGATCACTATTGTCCTTGTTTTGCAGACTGGTAAAAAAAAATGATAGCTAGGGGTAGGTGAATGGCAAAGAGTAGCAGAGGTTGGTGTATGTAGGCATTATAGAAGGTGAAGTATGGCTTATAAATATCAGCATATTTTTAATGCTCCAGCCTGAAAAGTCCATTGCTGCTGCTGCTATTATTATTGTTAATAGTTATTGGCTGGGCACGGCTGGGTGCAGTGGCTCACGCCTGTAATCCCAGCACTTTGGGAGGCCGAGGCGGGTGGATCACGAGGTCAGGAGATCGAGACCATCCTGGCTAACGTGGTGAAACCCTGTCTCTACTAAAAATACAAAAAAATTAGCTGGGCATGGTGGCGTGCACCTGTAGTGCCAGCTACTCTGGAGGCTGAGGCAGGAGAATGGCGTGAACCTGGGAGGTGGAGCTTGCAGTGAGCAGAGATTGCGCCACGGCACTCCAGCCTGGGCGACAGAGCGAGACTCCGTCTCCTAAAAAAAAAAAAAAAAAAAAAAAAAAAAAAAAAAATTGGTTATTGGCCGGCCACAGTGGCTCACGCCTGTAATCCCAGCAGTTTGGGAGGCTGAGGCGGGTGGATCACAAGATCAGGAGTTCAAGACCAGCCTGGCCAACATGGTGAAACCCCGTCTCTGCTAAAAATATAAAAATTAGCCGGGCGTGATGGCAGGCGCCTGTAATCCCAGCTACTCGGGAGGCTGAGACAGGAGAATTGCTTGAACGTGGGAGGCGGAGGTTGCAGTGAGCCGAGATCACAGCACTGTACTTCAGCCTGGGCAACAGCAAGACTCTGTCTCGGGGAAAAAAAAAGTTATCAAGTGCTAACTCTGTTCAAGGCACTTATCTACGTGCTTCATGTCTATTGTCTTAAAAGGTGGGTACTGTTATCCCTGTCTTTGAAGATGAGGAAATTGAGGCCCAGAAGTGAAGCAGAAAGACAAAAATATAAATTATTTTCCAAGTTCACACAGCATGTGGCAGAACATGGATCAGAACCCAGGGCACCTGCCTTCAAAGCCATCTCTAGACCACTGTGGCATACGGTCCCTCTTTGGGCCATACCAGTAGCTGCTTGATGCCGTTTTACCAGTAGAAAAGTTAATTTTGAAGTCTTCAAAGTTAGAAGCTTTGATTTCCAGTTCTAATGAGGAATTAAGGTATTTTTTTCCTCCTGAATTGTTTTGGTTCTCAGCAGTAGTAAAAACTTACTCAAAAGGCTGGGCTGGATGTTTAAAAGATATATGATAAACCTCTGTTTACTAGAAATAAAGGAGGTATGCTTAGCGAAGGATATGAACAGACACTTCTCAAAAGAAGACATTTATGTGGCCAACAAAGATATGAATAAAAGCTCATCATCACTGGTCATTAGAGAAATGCAAATCAAAACCGCAACGAGATACCATCTCATGCTAGTTAGAATGGCGGTCATTAAAAAGTCAGGAAACAACAGACGCTAGAGAGGATGTGGAGAAATAGGAACGCTTTTACACTGTTGGTGGGAGTGTAAATTAGTTTGACCATTGTGGAAGACAATGTCACGATCCTCAAGGATCTAGAACCAGAAACAACATTTGACCCAGCAGTCCCATTACTGGGTATATACCCAAAGGATTATAAATCATTCTACTATAAAGACACATGCACATGTATGTTTATTGTGGCACTGTTCATAATAGCAAAGACTTGGGACCAACCCAAATGTCCAACAATGATGACTGGATAAAGAAAATGTGGCACATATACACCATGGAATACTATGCAGCCATAAAAAAGGATGAGTTCATGTCCTTTGCAGGGACATGGATGAAGCTAGGAACCTTCATTCTCAACAAACTAACACAAAAACAGAAAACCAAACACCGCATGTTCTCACTCATAGGTGGGAGTTGAACAATGAGAATACATGGACATGGGGAAGGGAACATCACACACCGGAGCCTTTCGGTGGGTTGGGGGGCTAGGGGAGGGATAACATTAGGAGAAATACCTAATGTAGATGATAGGTTGATGGGTACAGCAAACCACCATGGCACATGTATACCTGTGTAACAAACCTGCACATTCTGCACATGTATTCCAGAACTTAAAGTGTATATATACACTTTATATATACACACATATATATATATGAAGTAGGAACAATGGAGTTAATTAATGCCTATTACCACATCTTCAGAGGTATGCTGGGGGGAAATATGTTTCAGGCTATAGCTGCTTCCAGTGTGTTGGGTGCGTGTATATTGTTTTCCATTTTAGCAGCAGAATAGTTGCTTAAAAATGGGAGAAGAGGAGGGGAAGGGAATAATTCAAGTTCATATAGGAAACTATACATATATAGTCATCCCTCAGTATCCATGGGGCATTGGTTCCAGGATCTCCCACAGATACCAAGATCTGCAAATGCTGAAGTCTCTGATATAAAATTACGTAGTATTTGCATGTAACCTATTCACATCCTCCCATGTACTTTAAGTCATCTGTAGATTACTTATAATACCTAATGCAATGTAAATGCTATATAAATAGTTGTTATACTGTATTCTTTAGTGAATAATGACAAGAAAGTCTATTTGTGTTCAGTACAGACACAGTTCTTTTTTCCAAATATTTTTTATCCATGGTTTTTTGAATCCACGGATGCGGAGCCTGTGGATACAGAGAACCGACTCTACATTGTAATCTCCCCATATAAATTTATCCTTATGCTTTTTATGAACTTTATGGAAATATACTTCACCTTTGATAAAATGTACATATTTTAAATGTCTAGCTTCATGAATTTTCATGAATGTATACAGTCACGTAACCACCACCCCAACCAGATATGGAACATGTCTATTACCCCAGAAAGTTTCCTCATGTCCCTTGTCCATTCAGCCATCTTATCCCTGTCCCAGGCAACCACTGATCTGATTTTCATTGCAGATGACTTTTAATCTCTTTTGCACCTTCATATAAATGGAATCATGCAGTATGTCCTCTGATGTTTGCTTTCTTGTACTCAGTGTTCTTGAGATTCATCCATATTGTTGTGTGAATATGTAGTTCATTTTGAGCAGTATCCCATTGCGTGAATATACAGCAGTTTGCTTACCCATTCACTTTTTCTGGGTTATTACTAGTTTGGAGCTATAGCAAATAAATTGGCTGTGAACATTTATTTATATAAATTTTTGTTAAATTGCTGCTGCGCAAATTAAGAACATTCATGTACCATGTGGAAATATGCCTAGGAGTGGAATTGCAGGATTGTAGAGTGATGGGTGATTAACTTAATGAGAAACCGCCAAACTGTTTCCAAAGTGGTTTCACCATTTTACATCCCGACCATTGCTAATTTTATCTTAATTTATCAACATGGAATTTTTTTTTTTAAAAAAATGCTTCTGTTGCTGTTTTAGACCCATTTTCAAAGATACTCAAGGCTCTCTTGATCTGGATGGGAGATTTTCTCCTCTGTATAAACAAGACAGTAGCAAGCTTTCAAGTGAAGACATTCTCAAGTTGCTCTCAGAATATAAGAAGTAAGTGTTTGGTGTTTCTGCAATAAGTAAATATAATAGATGAATCCTCAGTTTTTTAAAATGATGAATGTGAGTCATATATGGGAAAAACAGAATGATTAAAATTGTAAGTTTGGATAGAGGGTAACCAGTGCATTCAGTAATCATAATTTTAACTCTAAAATATTATTATTTTATACCCAGGCCAGAAAAGACCAAACTGCAGATTATTCCTGGGCAGCTAAACATCACAGTAGAATGTGTTCCTGTGGATTTATCAAGTAAGAACATATTGCAAATAAACCTTAAGCATAATGTTTGAATGTCAGGTTGTTATCCTTTCAATATTTTTCTTGAGGTTTACGTGGCATATTAGTTTCCCAGGGTTGCCATAGCACAAAGTACTGTTACAAATTGGGTGGCTTAAGACAACAAACATTTATTCTCTCACAGTTCCAGAGGCTAGAAGTCCAAAATTAAGGTGTTTGCAGGGCCATGCTCTCTCTGAATGCTCTAGGGAAGAGCCATTCCTTGCCTCTTCCTGCCTTCCAGTAGCTCCCAGCTAACCTTGGCATCAGTTGGCTTGTGGCTGCATCACTCCAACTTCTCCTCTGTCATCACATGACCTTCTTATAAGGACACCAGTCATTGGATTTAAGGCCCATCTAATCTAGTATGACCTCATCTTAACTAATTGCATCTACAAATATCCCATTTCTAAATAAAGTCACATTCTGAGGTTCCGGGTGGACATGAATTTTGAGTGGGGGCGTGGATGCTTTTCAACCCAGTATGCACGATGAATAGTTACAGATTAGGAAGTGAATTGAGTTGATTTTATCAGATGCTGTTTCATATATACGAAGTTGTGAGTGTGTCCCAGTCAGGTTCTATTGCCTTTTGCCTTTGGTAACTTTTACTTCTGTCATCAACTAAGAGATGAAAAAGGAGAAGGATTTCTTTTCTTGTCTAAGGACAAGAATCCAAGATCCCAGGAGAAAAATAGAAGACACAAAACACAATTTGCAAGAGATAAAATGAAGTAGCTAGTAAATATGTGAAAAATATTCAATCTTAGTAATAATGCCAGTAAGGCAAATTAAACAATATGCTTTTGCTCATCCATCAAATCTATTAAAATGTTTAAAGTGAAGCTACCTAATGCTGGCTAGGTTTTGGCCAGGTGGTATCACCTATCATGAGTAGGAGTACAGTTTGGTAATAGATATCCATAGATGTTCATAAGTAGGGCATTCCAATTCTGAGAGTATATGCATTCATTCACTGAATAACTATCTATTGAGTAAACGTTTATTGACTACCAACGAGGTGCTTTAAACGTAGGGAGTTTAAAGTCTAGAAGGAGTGACAGATAGTATGCAAGCAAACGAGTTGTATTACTCCGTTTTTCACACGGCTATAAAGATACTACCCAAGACTGGGTAATTTATAAAGGAGAGAGGTTTAATTGACTCACAGTTCTGTATGGCTGGGGAGGCCTCAGGAAACTTAAAATCGTGGCAGAAGGGGAAGCAGGCACGTCTTTTGTGGTGGCAGGCGAGATAAATAGTGAATGAAAGAGGAACTTCCAAACACTTATAAAACCATCAGATCTCATGAGAACTCACTCACTATCACAAGAACAGCATGGGGGAAACCGCCCCATGATACATTCACCTCCCACCAGGTCTCTCCCTCAACACCTGGGGATTACAATTCATGGTGAGATTTGGGTGGAGACACAAAGCCTAACCATATCACAAGGGCAGCTGTAAAAAGGGTAGCCAGGGAACACCTGTCTTAAGCTCAGGAACTGAAGAGGGAGAAAGAGAGCCAGCATGTGGTGATTGGGACTGAACATTTTCAGACTGAGGGCATCACATACGTTGTAAAGACCATCACATATATATGTAAAGACCTTGAGGTGAGACCAAGCTGGGTTTGCATGAACAGAAGGGAATCCAGTATAGCTCTAGTGTAGTATGTGATGGGAACAGTGGAGATAGGAGATAAAATAGGAAGCATCAGGTCATGTAAGGAATTGTGTTGACTGTGGTAATGCCTTAAAAAATTGAATTTTATTCTAAATGCAGTGAGAAGTCAATAAAGAATAGTAAATGGAGGTGTGGCATCCACTTTATATTTTAAAACATCTAAGAGTACAATGGATTATTTTTTCCTAAAGAAGCAATTTGAAATCTAGGCAGAAATGGATCCATAAAGATGTTCTTTGCAGTGTTATTTATATTGGAGGAAAATTGGAAACAATCAGAATCCAACACTGTCAGTGTGGTTAAGATAATGATGCTACACTGATACCATGAAACTTTATTGCAGCCATTAACAGCAATGTTTACAAAGAGTTCATGGAATGAGACATCAGATAAATGTCGAAAAATCAGGATAAAGTTCTATATATAGTGTAGGATTTTCATATCACTATATACAATATGCATAGAAGACTAAAAGAAGATATGCCAAAGTCTCAACAGTAGTTATCTCTGGGTGGCGGAATGAGCAACTGTCCTTGTCTACCTTCACTGTCTACCTCCAGATGCTCTGTTATAGGCATGTATCACTGTAATAATCAGAAAAGCAAATCCAACAAAAAATACAGCATCCTCAGGTCCAACTCTCCCTGGGTCTTCCTTCATCATTACTGCTCTGCAGCAAGGACCAGCAGTCTTAGAGCCCCTTAAGTATATGAATAACCTTTACTACAGTGACGATTTCAATAACATATGCTGCTAAACTTCTCTGAGGCTTAGTATTTTTTCACGGTCGGGGTATTGAGTTTATCATTGGTAACACATCGTAAGATCAAAAGGCCTCCATTATTTCTTAGGTGAAAATTTGCACCTGTACCAAGTTAGCTTTTAAAAAGTGACTTGCCATGAACTAATTGGAAGCATAAATTTACCGTTATTTCCCTGATACCAATAAAAATTTGCAGTGAAAGCTAAATTGCTGCCACAGGAGGGAAAATGAAATGGATTTCTTTGCAGAGTTTAAATTTGTCAAAATTATGATGTGTTATATTTGGCAAATCACTCGACATTGAGAACGAAATAGCACTCCACGTCTGGTATGAAGGGTTCCACTAAAATCAGCATCAGACTACTCAGTCTTGTCTTTTTGGGTTCTTAAAGTTGTCATGTGATTTTTTTGGTCAATTACTAAGAATTATGTTTTTTAAATCGCTCTTTGAGAATGCAATTCATGTATATTTTTTATACATGCAGGAATGTGTTAATGATTATTAAACTGAATGATCTTTGCCTGTTTTTTTCCCTGCTATAGATTGTATTACTTCTTCATATGTGCCCTTGAAGCCTTTTGAAAAGAATTGCCAAAATATTACTGTGGAGGTTGAAGAGTTTGTTCCAGAAATGACAAAATATTGTTATCCATTTACTATTTACAAAAACCATCTGTATGTATATCCCCTGCAATTAAAATACGATAGCCAGAAAACATTTGCCAAGGTAACCATGTAAACTATACATTTTTGGAGTATAAAATGTTATTTATAATCTGCTAATTGTGTGACTCATTTTGACTGATTAATCATTTTAGGCAAGGAACATTGCAGTCTGTGTGGAATTCCGGGATTCAGATGAAAGTGACGCTAGTGCCCTAAAGGTTTGTTTATGATATTGATAGGCATATGTTTTTAGTAGAGATGGAGATTTTGGTACTCAGTAGTCTTATGCTCTAGGTTTAATTTGTATCAACATCAAAAAGAAAATGTTCTAAAGTGACAAATGTAATACTTTCTTTTCTACTCTTACATATTAACTATAAGGCTTAGTTTAAATATTAATGCAGTAGGAGCATATATAGCTTTAAAAATGCCAGGTTTTGGCTTTTGCTCCTTTTTGATTTTGCAATTGCTTCAATGCCCAATTGCAAGGTCGTTTTCTTATGACCTGATAGTTTATAATGGTACCATCAAGGGACTATAAACTCCTTTCTCCTTGAAACCTGAACAGGCTTTGAGCTGACAGAAGCACAGCATGACTGCTTTGATCTGAGATACGACTTCTACTCCGTGACTGGCCAAATGGTGCCTCCAGTCTTGGATTGTGGTCTATGAAAAGCAGAATCTCAGTCTTATCTGATACAGCAATCCTTAAATACCTGTCACACCACAGTGCCTTTATATTTTTACTCTTTATAACTGTAACCCATCAATCAGGGACCTGAAAGAGAAGTCAGAACATCTAGCCAGCAAGAAGTGTTTATTTGGCTCCCCATTTCTCTTGCATCAGCCTAAATCAGACAGATGGATGCTGGGTCTTACACTCAAACCACCTAGGGAAACAGGCTGGAATGCCCCTGACTAAGTAATTGAATAATAGCCCCTACCTTTGAAAAGAGATTTTTTTTTTTTATGTATACAGAGAAACTTAAATTAAGGATTTGCTGGCTCAAATTCTGTATGTTTTCTCTGGTTCTCTGTTCAGTGGAGATGAGAACAACTGCTCTATTTCCTCCATGCAATATCCTTTTGTAGACCCAATGACTCTTAGGTTACTTCTCAGCAGTTCTTGCAAATTGCCTTCATAACCATATTTAAGAAGAGTTGGATATTCACTTATATGGAGTTTCAATTTCATTTCTTAGCTGGCCTGGATTGCTCACTCTAAAGTAACAGAATGAGGCAATTAGTACGTTGGCATGCTGACTCCATATTCATCCTTGAGCCTATTAGGCCTATAGAAGTGAAAAAATCCCACTAGAAATGAAATTGGATCTTTCCTTGGAACCATAGAAAGCCTTACATTTATTTTATTGGTATAACAGAAAGCCACTGATATTTTAAAATGTGGCTCATAAAGTGCCACATTTAAAAATGTGAGAGAACAGCAAGCTTGTCTGTAGCTTAATACACATTCAACTTTTTAATTCCTTTAGGCCAGGAATGTGTCTGCTGGAGCTTTTTAAACACGCTTCACCTTGCCCACTGCACAAAGAGCGTTCAACAAATGTTGCCGACTGGTTGAGGGGGAGCCTCTCATATTAAGAAATGCAAGTAGCATAAGAGAAGTAAGCTTTACAGGCCTGGTTTGAGACAAGTATTTCCCTTCCAAATGAGTAGGCCTGTTCAGCTCCTTACTGTCAACTAGTTTGAGATCGTGTTTCTTTGATGGCTGGAAATTCAGAAGCATCCATACAGCCAAGTTACATGGTGTCTCATTTGGTGTCTGGAGTGACTGTGTAAATGATTGGGAATTTACAGGCTCACGGTGACTGCCAGGTGGGCTTGGCCATGGCCCTATAGTCACAGATGCCTCTAACTATATGTGGTTCCATGGCATCACATTTACAGACCTGCATTTAGAGCGGTGACTCTGTTTCTTTCTTTTGCAGTGTATTTATGGAAAACCTGCAGGGTCTGTTTTTACCACAAATGCTTATGCTGTTGTCTCGCATCACAACCAAAATCCAGAGTTCTATGATGAGGTAAAAATATATTATCCTGACATTTCTAAAACACAGTGGTTGGAATTCTTTTTCTCTTTGAATCATTTTCATCATTTTACCAGCACTTTCAATCCCTGAGTGTTTTGTTCCATGAAAACAGAAAATATTACAACAAAACAGAGTGTTACTGGCCTGCTTGGTGCCTTTTGATGGTAGTAGAAGATTTACCCCCCAATTTAAGGGGCTCTTCGACTTGAGGTAACAATGCAGGAAACAAACATGAGAGTAGAGCTAGGGTTCTAGCCCTCCTAGCTTTGACAGTGCTGGCTCTGTAACATCAAGTCACTTCCCCCTCCAGAGTCTCCATTTCCTCAGCTTTAAAATGAGAAATTCAGAAGAGATTTTCAGAATGCCTTTCTAGCTCTTTCCCCTTATGGTTTTACACAGTAGGGTGCAGCCTCTCTGTAACTGAAATACTAGGAAAGACAGGGATACAGCTGGGCCACCAGAATCCCACTGGCTGGCCTGCATGCTTGGGTGCAAAGCACATAAAGGGGTATGGTTGGGTCTCTGAGCCTCTGTGGTTCCTCCTGACTCAGCCTCTCAAATTGTGTCTCTGCCTTTGAAACCCTGTCTCTGCCCCTCTTTCCTTCTTCCTACTTCTCCACCTCTACATCTCTGTGTGCTTCCCAGCATGTCTCTTAGCATCTCTGTCACAGCCACTTCTGGTCTGTATGTATCCAGCATATCCAAATCTGTAGTCTCCTTTTGATTCCTATATGTCTCTATGGAACCTGGATGGGCATCCCAGCCCAGACGTTCTGCTGTCCCTGCTTCTCAGTCCACATGTCTCCATTCTTGGCTTGGTCTGAAACCATCCCCCCGGCTGTGGTGATTTTGCCATGTCCACCTGCTGTTGTATGGAAGCCTTATATCCCAGCCTTAGGCCTTGCTCATTTCCTTCTCAATCCAATGTCCCTAGTTTCATGGGGGATGGGGAGGGGAATAGTATTTTTGCCACCCAGGGAGGGAGTATGCCCATATTTATGTGCAGCAGAGCATTACATACCCAGATGGTCTGGATGCTGTGAATAGGCATGTTCTGTAGTGAAATAGACCTAAAACGGACATTAGTTATAACATCAAAACCATGCTTTGTATGAATGATAATTGGACCAGATGTCCATCACCAAGTTGTTTAATATGTGTATCTCTGTAACCAACATCAGTCACTACAAAAAACTTGATCATGTAGTAAGTAACCCACATTATTTTTAGGATACCTAAAATGAACATGCTTTTCTTTTTTTTTTTATAGCTCTGATTTTTTAATATTCCCCTTTTTTCCTCCCTAATCATTCTTTTCTTTTTTATTATTATTATTACACTTTAAGTTTTAGGATACATGTGCACAACATGCAGGTTTGTTACATATGTATACATGTGCCATGTTGGTGTGCTGCACCCATTAACTCGTCATTTAGCATTAGGTATATCTCCTAATGCTGTCCCTCCCCCCTCCCCCCACCCCACAACAGTCCCCAGAGTGTGATGTTCCCCTTCCTGTGTCCATGTGTTCTCATTGTTCAATTGCCACCTATGAGTGAGAACATGCGGTGTTTGGTTTTTTGTCCTTGCAATAGTTTGCTGAGAATGATGGTTTCCAGCTTCATCCATGTCCCTGCAAAGGACATGAGCTCATCATTTTTTATGGATGCATAGTATTCCATGGTGTATATGTGCCACATTTTCTTAATCCAGTCTATCATTGTTGGACATTTGGGTTGGTTCCAAGTCTTTGCTATTGTGAATAGTGCCGCAATAAACATACATGTGCATGTGTCTTTATAGCAGCATGTTTTATAGTCCTTTGGGTATATACCCAGTAATGGGATGGCTGGGTCAAATGGCATTTCTAGCTCTAGATCCCTGAGGAATCACCTCACCGACTTCCACAATGGTTGAACTAGTTTACAGTCCCACCAACAGTGTAAAAGTGTTCCTATTTCTCCACATCCTCTCCAGCACCTGTTGTTTCCTGACTTTTTAATGATTGCCACTCTAACTGGTGTGAGTTGGTATCTCATTGTGGTTTTGATTTGCATTTCTCTGATGGCCAGTGATGATGAGCATTTTTTCATGTGTTTTTTGGCTGCATAAATGTCTTCTTTTGAGAAGTGTCAATGAACATGCTTTCAATCATTCACTGTATATTGACTGAGAGAGACAGAGAGAATATTTGCACGTGTACCTTTGTGGGTACATGCATGTGCATCAAATCATTTAAATCTGTAATTTGTCTCTTACATACTTCCAGGAGGCATTACAAACATTCGGTTGGGATCTGATTAGAAAATTACTTGTGATACTTTATTACAACCATTAATTTTTAACTAAGTTTGTATGTCATGGCTGATAATTTTCATCTTTAAGAGCAAAGTTGTGTTTTTCTTCTAGAGAAATTTCTATAAACTATAATTTGTGGATACTATAAGACCATCGTTACTTTTTGCATATTTATTTGTAATGGCTTAATTTTTTCATGCAAAAGAGAGCAACAACTTAGAAAAAAAGTTGTTTTTCAGATTCAGTGTACATTTTAAATGGGTTGCATTCATTGATGCAGATTGAGTTGCATAGTATCCCTGGGCTGTGATGATGTAGTTTTGACTTAGTGTTTTAGAAAATTCTGCTGCAAAATTGAATCCAGGAGAATCCATTGTACTCTCCAGCAAAAGTAATAAATCAACTCTCACAACTCAGAATATTGCTGTCAAATTGAAACTGACCAGAAAAGCATTTGGAATATATTTAAATGATACCTACTATTTGGCCACTTGGCCAGTCCTTTAGGAAGTATTTTTGGAGCAGTATGATGAAACTGAACTAATGTCTGACAGTTTCAGCTTGAGAAAACGAAGTTCCATGTGTAATTTTGCTTTCATTTCAGATTAAAATTGAGCTTCCCATTCACCTACATCAAAAACATCATTTGCTTTTCACTTTTTATCATGTAAGTTGTGAAATTAACACAAAGGGAACAACCAAAAAGCAAGACACAGTTGAAACTCCAGGTACGTGTTCTCTTTAAATGTCTCTCTCTACAGTTATTTGAAATGGAACTGTCCAGGGTATAACCTCTTTTCACCAAGCTATAGACCACTTCTCCCCTTGACCAAAAACCACTGTATTAGTTCATTTTCATGCTGCTGATAAAGACGTACCAGAGACTGGGAAGAAAAAGAAGTTTAATTGAACCTTACACTTCCACATGGCTGAGGAGGCCTCAGAATCATAGCAAGAGGTGAAAGGCACTTCTTGGCAGCAGCAAGAGAAAAATGAGGAAGAAGCAAAAGCAGAAACCCCTGATAAACCCACCAGATCTCGTGAGACTTATTCATTATCACAAGAATAGCACAGGAAAGAGCGGCCCCCATGATTCAATTACCTCCCCCTGGGTCCCTCCTACAACACCTGGGAATTCTGGGAGATACAATTCACATTGAGATTTGGGTTGGGACACAGCCAAACCATATCAAGCACATTTCTGATTTTAAAAGTTCATTGGTAAAATGCATATTATATGTTCATTTTAGTATTTCTACCAAATATCATTGTCCATATGCTTGCCAATGTGCTTAGACTACTATAAGCAACATAAAGTAATATTGCTATTCTCAAAAAGAAACACATATTGCGATACAGTATTTTTGTTATTTCTTTTATGTAGAATTGCCCAGCAACCAGAATTTTCCAGTTCTGCTCACTGAGGAAGAGGGAAGTGAGCCCAGAGCCAGGGACATCTGTGAGCCAGAGGGAGGTTGGGGGCTGACTAGTTCTAATGAGAAGATAACTGATTTAACAAACTTGAATAAGCTTCAGCAGTGAAGCTCTCGTCATGGGCCCATTCAGCAAGGCTTTACGTAAACCAATGGGTAGCACCCTTAGCAGAAATAGAAGGCCTTGTGAACACAGCTTGTATCACAAGCACTTTACGAACATCAGCATGTCCTAAGATTCAGATCCCAGCTAGTCTGTATTATTCACTCATTCATTCATTCAGCAAATATTTCTGCATACAGGTTGAGCATCCCAAATCCCCAAGTCCAAAATGCTCCAAAATTGGAAACTTTTTGAGCACTGACAAGATCTTCAAGGGAAATGCTTATTGGAACATTTCATATTTTGGATTTTTGGATTTGAGATATCAACTGGTATTATGCAAATATTCTGAAAAAATCTGAAAAAATCAGAAATTTGAAACACTTCTGTTCCTAAAAATTTCAGATAAGGGATACTCAAACTGTATTATGTACAAGATATTGTAGTAGGCACTTTGGAGAATACAGTGGAGAATCAAACACAGATCTCATCTTCAGTGAGGATATGATCTAGTAAGGGAAATGAGTCCTGCGTAAACAATTATAATACAAGATAGAAAGTGGTGTTTAAGAAAGTAGTGCTACGTGAACTCAGAAGAGCGAGTTATTCAGCTGGTGGAGAGACGAGTGGCTGAGAATCAGAGAAGGCTTCTAGGAGATGGTGTTTGAGTGAGGCCTTAAAGGGTTGGGTGGGGTTTGATAATGCAACAATGGCAGGAATGTAGGGGATTATGGGGTGAAGGAACAGCTTGTACAGAGGCAGAGTATCAAGAGGCATGGACAGGAAACCACAAGTAGTTCACTAAGCCTGGAGCACAGGGTGCTAGGAGGGGGATCATAGGATGTCAGGTTGAACAGGAGGCATCAGATTTTGGAAAGCCTTGAATACCAGGCTATAGATTTTATTTTATTCTATCACCACAGTAGAACTATTGGAGGGTTTTAAACATTAGAGCAGTTTTTCAGGAAAACCAACCAGGCAGCAGTATAATGGGCAAGGCAAGTAGAAGCAGGAAGAGGAAGAAAGGAACACCAGTTAGAGGGTTATTTCAAAAGTCCAGGAAAGGAAGAGGCCACACTATGGCAGTAGCAGCGGGGGCAGAGAGAAAGGGAAGTGCAGAAGAAGAACATATTGGACCTGGAAAGTGATTGGCTATTAGAGAGATGATTTAGTTAGCAATGAAGTTTCAAAACTGGGTGATTGGAAAGAAGGTATTGCCAATAGCAAAACTGTGGGTAGGGATGGCAGGTTTGGGACATCAGTTGAGTTTTAGGTGCTAGTGAGACATTGGAGTGATACCCAGCAGGCAGCAGGACTGAATATGAGGGAGTTCCCTTTGCAGGTAGTATGGATATGTTCTTTATCCCCATAGAAATTGCCGTTAGTTCAGGGTAGGGGCTTTGAGGATTGAGAAGAAAACTGGCAGAACGATGAGAACCCATGACCATGTGTACATCCTGAAAGCTAAATTACTGATTCATTATCCAAATCCTAGACAGAAGTGGACAAGATGCTCAGCGGAGCATGAAACAGTTATTCCGTGTGCCACTCATCACTTTGAACTGTGCATTCTTTAAGTGGCTTCCCACCTTTGAGCCAGATGGTGTGCTTGACATTGTACCTTTATAGCTTCCAAGTGCTCTCTATGAGTTTTGAATAGGGGAAACGCTTGGTCGTGCTCTGATTCATTTACAGTACAAAAATGTTGCCTAAGCAATCCCACAGAGACAGAAAGTAGACTATCGGTTGCCAGGGGCTGGGAGGAGAGGGAAATGGGGAGTGACTTCTAAGGGCTATGGGATTTATTTTGGGGGTGATGAAAAGTTCTGGAATTAAGTGGTGGTCATGGAGATACAACTTTGCAAATATACTAAAGACCACTATATGTACACTTTAAATAGATGAATTGTGTGGTATATCTGAATGAGGTCTCAATAAAAATTTCTATTTAAAAATGTTGCTTAAGAACAAGAAATAGATTTTCCTTTCATTTTCCTATTTTCTGGGCTGGAAATCTTTTCTCATTTGTCAAATTTTTAGTTTAACTACTTTGACAGAGTCATTTCTAATGGTTCTTCTGCTCATGTTACTTTCCTCTGCTTTTTATAAAAGAAAAGGTCTGGGTAAAGCATTTCTGTAGTTGAACTAGTAAAGATGCCCGTCAGGCACATTTCGGAGTCTGAGAAAGCCATTTAGTCTACTTAGAGAAGCAATGTTTTAGTCTCCTTTTAAGAATTAAAGCATTTGCCAAATTAAACACATAAATGAAAACATTCTAACCAGATTTGTGTTGACTTCTGTGTTCACAGTATCACACACACACTCACACACAGAGTCACAAATAATTTTAAAGAATCAGAAAGCAGTAGCTTTAAAAAATGTTCTCCAGCCAATACCCTCTCTCATATGCCAAAACTCAGTCCAGAGCAAGCTTTTTTACAGCTGAGTTATAAACACTTGAATCCCAGAGTAATTTCTATAATGGAAATACTGACACCACTCAACTTGAGTAACACAGATGGCTCTGGCTTTTTTAGCTAGAACATGATGAGTTTTCTAATTGAAAGCCAAAAGGCTCTTTTGGGGAGAACTGTTAAGAAATGTAGAGATTGGGGAAAATCTCTTGATGGATTCAAGTCATAAACACTATTTCCTGCCTGCATTCTCCTACCTACACCTACACCTCTTCCTTCTGTAATCAGGACAAGTCTGCCTAACTAAATGATTTATGCCTACTGCCTTGTATAAATATGGAGTGTAGCCGTGACTTTGTGACCTTAATTTTCCATAGTTCCTTACCCTAGGGTTGCCATAAGAAATTTTGGAACATGTGATTGTTATCTGAAATAGTCTCAGCCGTGAGACTCTGCACTCTTAGTGTAAGAATGGATGAGAACTATCTGAGCCTTTTGAAAATAAATCCACCAAAAATATTTCCCAAAGCATAAAGATAATGGTATCGATGCGCTTTTAAAGGTTTAAAATGTTTTCATATAATCTCACTCTAGGTTTCTCAATAATTCTTGTAGATGGAAAGGCCATGTTGCTGTTCCCATTTTTATGGTCAAAGAAATAGAGTACATAACTTGTTAGTGGCCAGGCTGGGATTCAGAGTCGATCCAAACCCATTGTTCCTTCCCCAGTACTCAGTTGCCCAGCACCTGAACTCCCACATACAGATCCCTGGAGACATCACCACCCTGCCCTGCCCCCTAGCAGTCAGCCATTTGTGTAGCTGATTGCATTTGATATTTCATTTCTCACAGTTTGTTATTATCTTGGCAGTTGGGTTTGCCTGGGTACCTTTGCTGAAAGATGGTAGAATCATCACATTTGAGCAGCAGCTGCCAGTTTCCGCCAATCTTCCCCCAGGCTACTTGAATCTGAATGATGCAGAATCAAGAAGGGTAGGAAAATACTGCATTTGTTGAAGTAATCATGATTAAATGTGCAAAAAATAGAATTCTGTTGGTCTCGATTGTTTAGTACAATGTTACTCAAAGTGGGGTCTGAGGGCTGGTGCGGGTCCACAACAAAGATAAACATGGAATGTGCATGTTTAGAATTTATAGCAGTTTGACAAAGTAATTTTATGTCTGTTGATTTTAATAATTTTTTTAGTGGGGCTCAGATTTTGTGCATAATTTTAAAAAATTATTTAAGTAATTCATTTTATCATAATTTATAAAAATAGTCTGCAAAGGATTGGAAATGTAAAATGATTTATGATACATTTATTCTAAAGGCAGGGTATTTTCTCCAGTAATCTCTTGGTATGAAATTAATACATTCATTTCTGAAAAAAATGTTTAAATGCATAAAGGTATTATATGTTATTCATCTATCCATTATTATGTTATAGAATCTCAATTTTCTGTTCACAGCAATGTAACGTGGATATTAAATGGGTAGATGGTGCAAAGCCTTTGTTGAAGATTAAAAGCCACTTAGAATCTACCATTTACACTCAAGTAAGTTGCATCATTTGAATTTTGTCAATTTTTATACTTGAGTTTGTTTGATTAAAATAGACCACATTTGATTCCTACAGCCTTAGAGAATATGTGACCTGCAAGATTTTCTCATTAGTAATAACATCTGTCCAGGTGCAGTGGCTCATGCCTGTAATCTCAGTACTTTGGGAGGCTAAGGCAGGAGGATTGCTTGAGCTCAGGAGTTCAAAGCTGCAGTGAACTATGATTGCGCCACTGCACTCTTGCCTGGAAGACAGAGTAAGACCCTGTCTCTTAAAAAAAAAAAAAAACAGTCATTCTATCTCAAATATTATAATTCCTCTCAAATTACATGATCTTTTAATTCTCATTAACTGATTTGAGCCTCACAGAACTCTGAAAGGAATGTGGAAGCCATCATCTCCATTTTATAGGTGAGGAAACTGAGGCTCAGGCAGGTTAGGTGACTTACCCAAGGTCACAGAGTAGTAATCAGGGGAATCAGGTCAAAACACACATTTCATTATTCTGGTTCCTGATGTAGTCCATGCTGTCTACAGAATCAGTGTATATGGGTTCCACATAGGACAGTTGGACTCCCTTGCCAGTGAAGTGCCATGGTAAATTTGGGTACTGAATGCCTGAGACTATTGTTCTGCTAACTTCCTGCTGCTATCTTTTCTTTATCAGTTCACATCTTTATTATTTATTTATCTGTATCTTTTTCAGTTCATACCTTTATTCCTGCTTATTTCATTAAAATGGAGAAGCAGCCCAACTTCATAGAACACACTAGTCAAAGTCGGAATCAAATGAATCTTTAGCTAGTTGGGCATAAATGGTGGCCTACCCCATGTGCTTGTGTACATGGCAGATTTACCTGGTTTTGCTGCTTTGTATAGTGGTCAAGAGCTGCTGAGCCTGGGCATTAGAATACCGGATAAATAGGTCTGCAAGATACAGGAGGAGGGAGAGGTAGAGAGCTTGCATTTGAGGATAATGAATCAAATTTCATATGGCTGTTTCCATCTGTGTTCCAGGATCTGCATGTGCACAAATTCTTCCATCATTGCCAGCTGATTCAGTCAGGCTCGAAAGAAGTTCCAGGGGAGCTCATTAAATATTTAAAGGTAAATGAACAGCAGCTTTCTGCAAAACGTTTGTTTTTCATGTCTTTCTGTTGCCACATTTTGGTGTGAAAAAAAAAAGCAAACAGACAGTTTAAAATATTTTTGGCTGTATTTCCTCAAGAGAATACTTTCTATGATGTATTTTTCCATCATGTGGCTGTTTAGAAGCAGACAGCAGAGTGGCAACATTAGGAAGAAAATGTAATAGCCACAATGCAGCATCATATTTTTGAAACTCTCATGAAAATGTTTATTTCAGGTCCATAAATTGATTTTTCAGGGGCTTTCTCTTCCTGCTGACTGCCCAATAAAGGTGGAGGATGCTGTGGGGGAAAGGGCCAGGAGGAATGGAATCACTTTGACTTGGAATGAAATGTGAAATTGTTCTTGTGTCCATGGGTGATAGACTAACAAAGGGGCTAGCTAATGAAAGACACATATTTTATGCATGTTGGCATATTGTATCTTACCACATGTATAGAGGACCTAACACTTGGTTTTTTCCCTGTGTGCTAGGACTACAGTGCATATCATAATTTGCCTGACAGTGGCTCTCTTCTTTTAATTGTTCCTTTAGTAAGATAGCTATAGCAAGTCTGAGGAAATATTATTTTAAATGAAACATCTTTAGGATTTACCTTTGGACATATGCTATTACTTAATGATATACTCAGGAAACAAAAATGTTCATTTCTTTCAGAGAGGTAGTATGAGATGAGATCAAATATATGGGTTCTGGAATCATAAACTGAGCTTGTATCCCACATGTCACTTACTAGCTCTGTAACTGACCATGACCAAGTTACTTCTCTGAGCCTTTGTTTCTTCATCTGTCATGTGAGGATAACAATAGTGCCCATCTTGTAGGGTGGTTGTGAGACTTAAATGAGATGATGGAGCTGGGCATGGTGCTTCACGCCTATAATCCCAGCACTTTGGGAGGCCGAGGCAGGAGATTGCTTGAGCTCAGGAGTTCAAGACCGGCCTGACCATCATGGCGAAACCCCGTCTCTACTAAGAATACAAAAATCAGCCAGACGTGGTGGCATACGCCTGTAATCCCAGCTACTCAGGAGGCTGAGGCAGGAGAATCGCTTGAACCTGGGAGGCGGAGGTTGCAGTGAGCTGAGATTGTGCCAGCCTGGGTGACAGCGAGATTCTGGTTTGTTTTCTTTTTTTTTAAAAAAAAAAAAAAAGAAAAAAGAAAAAGATTAGGGCATCTGCCGGATAGTAATCGTTCATGCCACACTTATTTCTTTAGTGCTTCCTATGGGCCAGGCATCATTCTAAGCATTGGAAATTTAAGTGGAGAAAACAAATAATATCCCTATTGTCAAAGAGCTTACTTGTTGAGACAGACAATAAACACATAAGTTAATAAATATATACGTCATCTCATATGGTAATAACTGTTATAAAGAAAACCAGCACAATGAAGGGGAGCAGGGATTTACAAGGGGTCCCTGTTTTAAAGTGGCCAGAGAAAATCTCTCTAGTAAAGGCACATTTGAGCAGAGACCTAAAGGAAATGAGAGTGCCAGCCATGTGGATTTCTCGGGGAGAGCTGGGAACAGCAAGTACAAAGGCCCCGAGGAGCTTGGCTTGGTGTGTTTGGGGAACAGCAAGAATCCCAGTGTGGCTGGGACACAGAGTGATAGGACATTACCTTGGGGAGGTTGCTGGGAGCTTGTCGAGTAAGGCTTCATAAGCCATGGCGAGGAGTTTGAATTTACTCCGAGTGAGATAGGAATATGGAGCTTTGGACAGAAGTGTGACATGATGTGACTTTGGTTTTTAAAGTGTCATTCTGCTTACCATATAGAAAACACACTGTTGGAAGAGTAGAAGGGAGACAGTCAATAAGTGGTGGCTATATGGCTATATGTTCTTAACTATCATTAAGACGTATAATAGGCCAGGTGCAATGGCTCATGCCTGTAATCCCAGCACCTTGGGAGGCCCAGGCAGGCAGATTGCTTGAGCCCAGGAGTTCGAGACCAGCCTGATCAACATGGTGAAACCCATCTCTATAAAAAAATACAAAAATTAGCCGGGCATAGTGGCACACACCTGTAATCTCAGCTACTTAGGAGGCTGAGGTGGGAGGATCGTTTGAGCCTGGGAGGTTGAGTCTCCAGTAAACTGTGATCATGCCACTGTACTCCAGCCTGGGCCACAGCGAGACCCTGTCTCAAAAAAAAAAAAAAAAGAAAAAAGTATGATAATCATCTAACTTTTAAATCCTTTCCTCAGGTAAATATCTAGGACTTCAATATGTATGAATGCTTTGTTAAGGTTTGTTCTTCACATGGGAAAGTTTTATAAAAGTTTCAATCAAGTGGAATGGAAAAGAACATCATTTTCATATATACGGGTATTCTTAAAATAGAAAAGTTCTCGTATTTGTTTTTCTGAAGATGTGGAATTTCTGGTATTTATGTGACCTACGCTCTCCCTCTAGTGGTAGTCAATGAAATACCATGTGATTTCAGAAATAGCCAAGCTCCTCTATATAACCTTAGTGCTGAAAAGGATTCTTAAGACTTTTTTTCTTTCTTTCTTTTTTTGAGACAGGGTCTCACTCTGTCGCCCAGGCTGGAGTGCAGTGGCGTAATCTCAGCTCACTGCAACCTCCGCCTCCTGGGTTAAAGTAATTCTCCTGCCTCAGCCTCCCGAGTAGCTGGGACTACAGGCGCCCGCCACCATGCCCAGCTAATTTTTTTTTTTTTTTTGTATTTTTTAGTAGAGATGGGGTTTTGCCATGTTGGCCAGGCTGGTCTTGAACTCCTCACCTCAGGTGATCCGCCCACCTGGGCCTCCTAAAGTGCTGGCATTACAGGTGTGAGCCACCATGCCCGGCCAAGACTTTTTTTTTTTTTTTTTTTTTTAACAGATGAGGAAGCTGGGGCCCAAGTAGAGGTGACTTGCCTGTAGACATTCAACTGGTTAGTAGCAGAACTGGGGTGAGACTATGACAAGTCCCATGTTCTTTCTACCACACCTTGCTATCTCTTGTTCCTATAAATGACATTGTTTCAAGAATTCATTTACCATCCACTTGTTGAGCTCTTGTTATATATTTAGTATTTTCCTAGCTCTTTGAGGCTTACAGAGAAGAATAATTTAGGGTTATTGTCCATAGGGGAACTTACAGTCTAACTGAAGAGACAGGACATACATAAGTTAAATGACAGTCTGTCAATAATACAATTAATAGTTCAAAGCAATATATGATTAAATGTCCAGTATGTGATACAGGGCACAAGTGCTGAGGGTTCGGTGAACTGAGGAACTACTGTAGACTAGAGGGCTCCTGTCTTTTTTTTTTTGGAGACAGAGTCTCACTCTGTTGCCCAGGCTGGAGTGCAATGGTATGAACTCAGCTCACTGCAACCTCTGCCTCCCGGGTTCAAGCTATTCTCCTGCCTCAGCCTCCCAAGTAGCTGGGATTACAGGCATGCACCAATATGCCTGGCTAATTTTTGTATTTTTAGTAGAGACAGGGTTTCACCATGTTGGCCAGGCTGGTCTCGAACTCCTGAGTTCAAGTAATCCGCCTACCTCAGCCTCCCAAAGTGCTGGGATTACAGGTGTGAGCTGCCGCGCCCGGCCTACTTTCTTATTTTATTCATTTATTCAGTAAGTCACCAAATATTTATTGACCATGTAGTATGGGCCAGACATTGTTCTGGATGCTATGAATCAAATGGGGAACAGTTTAGACAGCATACCTTTTCTAGTTGTGGTAGAGAGATTATAAGTGAGTGCCATGAAGAAAAGAGCAGGTTAATGAGATCCAACATGACCAGGAGTGTATTCTACATAGAGTTGTCAGGGAAGGCCTATTGGGGGAAATAGCATTTCAAGCTGAAAGGATGAGAGGAAGACAACCTTAGGGGGTAAAGTCGTGTAAAAGGATAACAGAATATCACAGTAGGTGTAAACACCTTACATCAGCATGTTTGAAGGACAGAAAAATAAAAGACCGTGTAGCTATAGTACAGTGTGCATTGTGAGGGGAGGATGGCAAGTGACAGGTTTGGCGGGACAGGCCGGGTATGTCGTAGGCATGGAAGCTTATGATAGCTCTTTGTTCGTGGTAGTTTGTTTTGTTTTGTTTTGTTTTTTAACAACAGAAAGATGGCAATGTCTAATTTGCATTTCAGAAAGAACACTCTGGCTGTCATGTTGAGAATAAATTACAGAGGACTGCTACTGGTAGCAGGGAATGCCCATCTCTCTTTTCTACCTGGCACTATTCTATTTATCATTTACCCTTTCTCATCTCTGAGGCCTTACCAGACATTCCCTACCCACTTGCACACTCAGTTGCTTCTTTGTGCATTTTGTATATTCCATGATCATGCTATTTACTGTTGATATTGCAATTATTTAGTTCCATGTGTTTATCCCCTGTACACTGTGAACTACTTGATGGTAGAAACCATGGCCTTTATTTGTTTGGGTTTACTTTTGTTTTTGGTGTGCTTGGCTATTGGAAGTTCATTTGTTTGCCCTTTGTCGAATGAGAAAATGAATGGTTTCACTGAAGTGGGGATTTGTACTTGCCTTGAAAGAGTAGCCAGGATTTGGCTAAAAACGATGAACAGACACAAAGGCAGGAAAGTATATGATATATTCAAGAACAGTGAAGAAACCAGAGATACCAGTTTGGCCTTGTAGAGAACAGTGATGATTGTTTAGGCTGAAAATGTCAGTTAGGTCTGAAATAACTTGGTCTTGATACTCTACGCCAGGATTTCTCAATCTTCGCACTATTGACATTTTGAGGTAGAGTTATTCTTTGTCCGTGAGGGTCTGTGTGTGCGTCGTAGGATATTTAGCAGCATTGCTGGCCTCTGACCACTAGATGTCAGTATCACTCCCTGGTTGTGACCACCAAAACTGTTTCCAGACATTGCCAAATCTGTCGGGAACAAAATGGCCCCTGGTTGAGAACCACTGCCATAGGCTATGGGGAGACATCGAAAAAATCTTGGCAGGAGGTGGTCTAATGTAACGAGTATTTGAGGAAGATTAATTTAGAAATGAGAGTTGGATGTATGGAGAGTAAAGAGAAATTGTACAGAGACCTGCTAAAAAGAAAATGATTTATACTATTTTGGTTATTGATTAGAGGGTCTTGAAGACAGATAGTGGCAAAAGTCAGGGAATCTGGGAAAGAGAATTTATGAGTTTTTTAAGTACAGAGACTTGATTTATCCACCTCTCTATTTCCCCTAGCACTACACATTGAATTGATATAGAAAGATGCTCAGCGAGGTTTGTTTCCTTTTTTTTTTTTTTTTTTTTTTTTTTTTGGT
Source organism: Homo sapiens (assembly GCF_000001405.40). Taxonomy (NCBI): domain Eukaryota; kingdom Metazoa; phylum Chordata; class Mammalia; order Primates; family Hominidae; genus Homo; species Homo sapiens. The sequence continues at coordinate 118,604,553 of NC_000023.11, forward strand.
TAGCTGGTTGAGTGAGTGAATGATGTGGAGAGAAGGGAAGAAAGAAGAAAGAAATTGAACAACTTTCACTGTTTGTATTATTTCTCTGTATATATGATCACGTTTCTTCTTTTTGATGTTTGTAACGCACTTATCATTGGAGACACAGTGTTAGCACTTTGAAGGAAATGTATTGTGAGATTCTTAGACTGCAAAAGTGCTTCCGTTTTGTAGTGGTGATGGTGTAGAGCCAATTACATATAGAACCACTCTTTATTGCATTCCACTTAACTTGTCACCAGATTAACTGATGCCCACATTCCCCTGCAGAACATACAGAATGCCTGGGGGTTAGTAGATGCATCTCCAGTATCATCTCCAAACATCTGTTCCTCCCCACTGCCCCAGGCAATTGAGTGTTGGTTTACCAGGAGTCAGTTGTCAATTTTCTAAAAACTGTTTATCCAAATTATACTTATTAGCTTTAGTAAAGTGTTTAATGTTAAATAACAAAATCTGAGTGCCAAATAGAGGTGTGGATTAAGTAATTAACAAAAAAGCCCCCTATCCAATGGAAAGCTCACTTTTAATTGAGCTTATATGCTAGTCAATGTATTTCTCACTACTTAATTTTTTTGCTGTTTCACATTTGCAAATTTTATCATATTTCTGTTTGTTTTCATAACTAATAATGACTTAATTTTAGTGTTTGCATGCCATGGAGATCCAAGTCATGATACAGTTTCTACCTGTAATTCTTATGCAACTCTTCCGAGTTCTCACAAATATGACCCATGAAGATGACGTTCCTATCAACTGCACCATGTGAGTTTTGGTGTTATAATACAAAGATGCTATTTATTTGAGATCTTTCTTATTTTTTAATGGAGGTATTCATTACTATAAACTTCCCTCTTAGAACTGCTGTTGCATTCCATAGGTTTTGGTATGTTGTGTTTTCATTGTCATTTGTCTCAAGATATTTTAAATTTTCCCTTTTCTTTTTTGACTCAGGAACATGTTTAATTTCCACCTATTTTGAATTTTCCACGGTTTCTCCTGTGATTGATTTCTAGTTTCATTCCATTGTGGTTGGAAACAACACTTGATATGATTTCAGTCTTCTTATAATTCTTAGGGCTTGTTGTGTGGCCTAACATATATGGTCTATTCTGGAGACTATTCTATGTGCTCATGAAAAGAATGGATATTCTGTTGCTGTTGGATGGAATGTTCTGTATATGTCTGTTAGGTCTATTTGGTCTAAGTGTAGTTCAAGTCCAATGTTTCCTTATTACTTTTCTGTCTGGTTGATCTGTCCATTGTTGAAAGTGGGGTATTGAAGTCCTCTATTTTTCTATTGCAATATATTTCTCCTTTCATGTTCGTTAATATTTGCTTTATGTATTTAAGAAGATAAATATATAAGTTCCAATTGAACTTTTTCCAATTATGTAAATGTTCTGCACTTGTGTTGTTCAATATAGCAGCCACCAGCCACATGTGGCTATTGAGACTTCAACTGGGGCTGGTTCAGCTGAGGAACAGAATTTTTTTTTTTTTTTTTTTTTTTGAGACAGAGTTTCGCTCTTGTTGCCCCTGCTGGAGTGCAATGTCTCACTTCGCCTCCCGGGTTCAAGCGATTCTTCTGCCTCAGCTTCCCGAGTAGCTGGGATTACAGGCGCCCACCACCATGCCCGGTTAATTTTGTATTTTTAGTAGAGATGGGGTTTCACCATGTTGGTCGGGCTGGTCTCAAACTCCTGATCTCAGGCGATCCATCCGCCTCGGCCTCCCAGTGCTGGGATTACAGGCGTGAGCCACCGCTTCCTGCAGGAACTGAATTTTTAATTGTGTGTAATTTTAATTTTAATCAATTTAAATAGACACAGGTGACTAGGGATGCATATTTAACAGAATGTGGCCCCAAGCCATCAATTTTTACTTGAAAGAATAAGGAAGTATTATTTTTATGTGAAAACAAACAAGGATATATTGTAGAGTAGAATGCAAAATGCACCTGAATTTTGAAATCAAAACAGGGTACTTAAATTGTGGGCTGAGTGCTGGAAGTTTCTGGCTTTGGCTTTGCTGCCTCTGCTGTTGCCACAACCTCTTCCAGCAGGCCTCACACCACAGCCACACACCATTTGCGGGCATCGCTGCTGTTGGGGATAGTGTTGTTGAAAATGGAAGAAACTTTAGGCCAGTGGTTTCCAAAACATGGTTCCCATACCAGTAGCATCAATATCGCCTGGGAACTTAGTAAAATTGTTAATCATTGAGCTTCACTCCAGACCTACAAAATCAGAAATTCCGGGAGAGGGGCTGAGCAATCTATTAAAAGGGCCCACCAGGTGCTTCTGATATATGCTAAACTTTGAGGACACTGCTAGTCTCTTACCCCCAATTATAGTTCATATCATTACACCTGCCCCGGCTCTCCCTTCCTTTTCCCCGTTGACATGCTTTTCATTGCGTCTTTATTCCTTTCCTTTCCTTCTCCTTTCCTTTCCCTTTCCTTTCCTTTTCCTTTTCCTTTCCTTTCCTTTTCCCTTTCCCTTTTCTTTTCCTTTCCTTCTTTTTTTTTTTTTTTTTTTTTTAGGTGGAGTCTAGCTCTGTTGCCCAGGCTGGAGTGCAGTGGTGCAATCTTGGCTCACTGCAACCTCTGCCTCCTGGGGTTCAAGCAATTCTCCTGCCTCAGCCTCCCGAGTAGCTGGGATTACAGGCGCCCACCACCACACCCAGCTAATTTTTGTATTTTTAGTAGAGACAGGGTTTCACTGTGTTGGAAAGGCTGGTCTCGAACTCCTGACCTCATGATCCACCTGCCTTGGCCACCCAAAGTGCTGGGATTACAAGCATGAGCCACCGTGCCGGGCCTTCATTTTTTTTTTTTTTTTTTTTTGAGACAGAGTCTCGCTCTGTTGCCCAGGCTGGAGTGCAGTGGCGTGATCTTGGCTCACTGCAAGCTCCGCCTCCTGGGTTCACGCCATTCTCCTGCCTCAGCCTCCCGAGTAGCTGGGACTACAGGCCCCCGCCACCGCGCCTGGCTAATTTTTTGTATTTTTTGGTAGAGACGGGGTTTCACTGTGGTCTCAATCTTGTGCCCTCGTGATCCACCCGCCTTGGCCTCCCAAAGTGCTGGGATTCAGCCTTCATTTTATCTTTCTATTCTCTTCCTTTTATTCTCACTAGAGGAGATCTCAATATTTACCTAATTTGAAGTCTTTTACTGGATAGTAGCTACCACCATGCTTCAGACACATACAGAGATTTAGAAACAGATGTGACATCTGGGTTGTCAAATTAAATATCCTTCTTTTGAACTAGGAAATATATTTCATAAGGCCCAAGCATGTTAGATGCTGAAATCTTTGTTATGCCTAAACTATCACCATTATATCTAATGCAATCATCTCACTTTTAATTATTCAGGCAGTGTTAGATGTTTTGGGGGCTAGACATGACGATCTTAAGAATCAAAATATGTTAATTCATTATAGCATGACATGCTGACTCTTGTGAATGTCGTTTCAGGGTTCTCTTACATATTGTATCAAAGTGCCATGAAGAAGGCTTGGATAGTTATCTAAGATCATTCATAAAGGTTTGTGGAGTAAAGTTTCTTTCTGAGCAATTTGTTTTATGTGACAATTTTGTCTTACAGTTCATTTTTTTTTGTTTGTTTATTTGTAGTATAGCTTCCGACCTGAAAAACCGAGTGCTCCTCAGGCCCAGCTGATACATGAAACCCTGGCTACTACGATGATAGCAATATTGAAACAGTCTGCAGATTTTTTATCAATAAACAAATTGCTAAAGGTATGAACACAGGACACAACAAGGAACAAAAGCAGCCATAGACACACTTTTTTTGATACCCTCCCGTTTCACTTCTAGTCTTTCATCAGTTTCACATGTGACCCGTCCTTTCTCCACCATTTTGCCCATGCATCCTTTTCCTGAAGTTCTCCACAGAACCTTCTTCACCCCAACTACCCACCCCCTGCCCTCATTTAAATGTGTAAAAGAAAGAATTTTGGATCAGATAGACCTGAGTTAGAATCCTGTATCCATCACAAAATAGTTTTGTGACCTGGGGCCAGGTATTTAACATTTCTGAGCCTCCAAGTCCTCATTTCTAAAATACAAGTAAAGCATTTAACACATCGTTCCTGGCACATTGTAGGCACTCAAGAAATGATAGCTCTTATTATTGTCATTATTTTTATTACTTCTTTTATTAATGGTAGAATTTCGAGTATCTTGGAGTATATCTGATTGGGGCTTCTCTCTACTCTTCAAATTACATGAGGTAGGCAAACATCTAGGCTACTTAGGCTGCACGAATGTCACATCAAGAGCAGGGTTGGGGTCCAAGCTAAGTGCAGGTGGTAATAAGATTCATTGTCTATAGAGCATTTAAAAGCGGTAACAAGATAAACTAGAAGTTAGTTTGCTCTTATTACCACTTGAGGGCAATTAGAAACAATTTTGGGGATAAAATACTCCCCAGTGGGACAAAGGTTCCCATCCTTCCTTTATATATTACCAGTCAACCCTGAAGTACAATAGTACCTTTTTGCTAAAACCATTTGCAGATATTCTGTGACTTTGATAGTGACTTGGGATCACTTGAAAATGTTAGTAAAATTCAAAGACAAGACCCATATTGATCTGTCAAACTTTGCTAAGCTTCAGAGATTTGGTAACCGTTAAAGATTCTCTTTCTTTTTTTTTCAGTACTCATGGTTTTTCTTTGAAATAATTGCAAAGTCAATGGCCACATACTTGTTGGAAGAGAATAAGATTAAGGTAAGTAAATTAAGGTAAAGAATAACTTTCAATTGGCAAATGATAATTGTATATATAAGAATAATATTTGATGGAGACAAAAAAAGCTAATCTTACTCTCAGATAGCCATGCCATGCAAATCCCATTTTATATTTAAAGGCTGCTAGTGCTTGGCTTTTTCAATGTTGCTTACAAAACAATGGATCTATTGCATAAATCTGAGGTCTCGCAGTTGATATGTTCTCACCGTCTAATCTGCAGAGACTTTTCCACATAGATTCTTTCCTATAATCATTTGCCATGTACATCTCATTACCTTTGAAGCTTTGCCTTTGTCTTATGGCTTAAAAATGTCTCTCGAGAAGACCCATTTGGTTAAATCAGACATAGCGCTTGCCCATGCACGTGGAGTGTTACAAACACTTTATGCACTAGATATGATCCCGGAATGTGATGTATACATTTTGTTGTAATTTTTAATTGTTTGAAAGGTATAAAAATATTTTCTTATTCATAGGAATCATAAAGCTAAGACTTGTGAAGTACAAAATATTTACCTTATACTTAATTATTTTTTATCAGAATTTTCACAGAATATGTTTACTGAAATTGAAGTGCATGCATACTTTGTGTGCCAGGAAAAAAGTAGAATGAAAACTGCGTTGTGTCTGTAACTCAGAAGCATGATATTCCAAAGTTGGGGCAGAACAACCCATTCTTGCTGATAACCTCAGTCAGGTAGATTATTAGAGATCCAGATAGTTCCTGTAATTATATAGAGTGAAGTACATCTTGAACTAGTGATGTCATTTTTAAGTTGGGAGAACAATTATACATCAGTTTTAAGATATATTTATTTGTAGAATGTGTTTGAAAGTAAAAATGGCAATTGATTTAGACCTTTTGGAAGTCTGACTTTTTTCTGTGCCTATTTCATTTCAGCTTCCCCGAGGCCAGAGATTTCCCGAGACATATCATCATGTCTTACATTCACTGCTTCTTGCAATAATTCCCCATGTGACTATTCGGTATGCGGAGATTCCCGATGAGTCCAGAAATGTGAACTATAGTTTGGCTAGCTTCCTGAAGGTGAGTTCAAGGCAGCTAGAATGTGGTAAGGAACTCCTCTTCATTGATAGGAAGCCCAAGAAAAAAATTAAGCACTTTCTAGAGGCTCAGCTAGGTCTTCATAAGACTGTTGGAAAACTTAGGTTGCTTACAAACGTTGGCTATTGTGAACAGTGCTGCAACAAACATGGGAGTGTAGATATCTCTTTGATGCACTGATTTTCTTCCTTTTGGGTATACATCTAAGAGTAGAATGTTGGATCGTATGGTAGCTCTATTTTCAGTTATTTGAGAAACCTCCATAGAAGACATTGGCATTGGCTTGTGTTCTATATGGCGATTCAAAAATGTGAGAGGCTGGCCAGGCACAGTAGCTCACACCTGTAATCCCAGCACTTTGGGAGGCCGAGGTGGGCGGATCACATGAGGTCAGGAGTTCGAGACCAACCTGGCCAACATGGTGAAACCCCGTCTCTACCAAAAATACAAAAATCAGCTGGGTGTGGTGGCAGGCACCTGTAATCCCAGCTACTTGGGAGGCTGAGGCAGGAGAATCCCTTGAACCTGGGAGGTGGAGGTTTCAGTGAGCCGAAATCACACCACTGCACTCCAGCCTGGGCAATAGAGTAAGACTCCATCTCAAAACAAAACAAGAAAAGATGTGAGAAGCTACCTTAGTAGTCAAATTTAACTATATATACAAGATAAAGGTGATAACAATAATACCAGAAATACAAACAAATCTGTTCTTGATAGTGATTGTACTAATTTACATTCTCACCAATAGGGAAGGAAGGTTCCCTTTTCTCCACATCCTCACCAACACTTGTTATTGCCTCTTTTGGATAAAAGCTGTATATTTTAGCTTACCTGATCACAACAAATTTGTCCCCATCCCCCAATGAAATGACAAATAATTAAATCAGAGGACACATACAGGTGGCCTAGTCAGAAGACAAGTGTTGCTTGTTGTACACAGTGTTTTTAAGCATAGTTTGAATGCTTATTTAAATGGGAGCACATACTTTCTAGGTTGCCACCATCCCTACCACTCCTTATTACAGCCCTGAGCCTCCTCATTCATTTAAATCGTTTCTCTGACCCCGTTGGCTTTTGACTTTGCAACTTTTGGACTAAAGCAACCTGTTTGGTGATGTAACCACAGTGTACATGTTGCTAATACGTGTAAATGTAAATTGTTAGTGTTGATCAGTGAGGTTATTTTATTTGGGATATACCAGAAGAAAACTATATTTATGAAAGATGGCAAACTACCATCATTAGGTTTTGTTATTGTCAGTATGTAAGTGGCAGTGAGAGAATGTAACTGTTTTTTCTTTCTTTTTTCTTGCTTTCTTTCATTTTTTTTTAATTTGAGACAGAGTCTCGCTCTGTCACCCAGGCTGGAGTGCACTGGTGCGATCTCAGCTCACTGCAACCTCCGCCTCTTGGGTTCAACTGATTCTCATGTCTCAGCCTCCCAAGTAGCTGGGATTACAGGCATGCATCACCATGCCCAGTATTTTTAGTAGAGACAGGGGTTTGCCATGTTGGCCTGGCTGGTCTTGAACTCCTGACTTCAAGTGATCTGCCCCTCTTGGCCTGAATGTAACTGTGATAAAGTGGGTAACAACAATATTTGATGTGTGGCAGAGACAAGCGTGGGTTGCAAATGCACCTAGTTTTTACTTGCCTCTTTCCATTCTCCCTCTCTTCATTTCTCAAAGCTCTTCATTACTCTCAAAACTCTTCATATTAAGAACCTTGTGGGCAGCAATTCATCCAAGGAGTTTTAGTTTCTAACATATCCTCATTGTTAATTAAAAATTCACAACTAGGTTTCACACATCTTGAGTATGATTTTCTGACATAAGACTTCTCTTTGCCAGAATTAAAATAAAGTTTTAACCCTATTACACTAGCCTTTTTTGTGTATTAAAAAAGCCAACATCCACATATCTTTTTAAAATAAACTACGAATTAGATTATCTGAAATGTAGAATATTAGCTTCTTCCATGGAGTTTAAAGTTGAAGTTTACTATGTAAAGGGAATAGAACATTTTTGGTTTAGTAGCAGTATTTACTTAATTCAAGTCAGCAAACATTGGCTTGACTTCTGTGTGGCAATTCAAAGATGTGAGAGGCCGTGTTAGTAGTCAAATTTGAATATATATACAAGATAAAGGTGATAACAGTAATACCAGAAATACAGACAAAATACTATAGAAAAACTAGAAAGGGAGAGAGAGATTATGACCAGGCAGCATGAAACAAGTAACATAGTGCAGAGTTCCCCAAGACAAGAGTTGAGCATGTTGCAGTTAGAGGGTCCCTGAACAAAGATGAAATATGCATGTTCAAAAATTGTTCAGGGACGAGTGAAAAGTCGTGTGATGAGTTTAGGATGTATGGAGAAAGAGCTGGAAAGGCCATCTGGTGCCAATAATGAAAGGCCTTGAATGTCAGGTTAAGGAATTTGGACTTTGATTCATATGCAATGGAGTAACACCAAATACTTGGGAGGATACTTTTCTTGCTGGTATGATAGATGAAGTGAGGAAGAGACTCGAGTCAGGGCAACCGATTAGAAAACCAATCATCCGCGTGGCACAATCCACTTATCTTTTAGGCTCAGCTCTTCCCTGGCCTTTCCATGCAGTGTTGATCACCCCTTCTGTTGTTCACCTGTCTTTTACATAGCTCTGTGGCACTGTTATTGTGCACTATCTTTTCATTATTTGTTTGTCTTCACTATTAGACATGATTATGGACCATGCCTTATTCCACTTTGTATTTCTCTAGAATGTAGTACATTGTCTCAAACATAGTAGATCCTCTAAATGTTTGTTGGATGCTGGAATAAATAAATATGAGCCTCACTCAGTAATCCAGATGAGAGGTGATGAGGGTCTTACCCTGGGCAGTGGCAGCAGAAGTATAAAGGAGAGTATGAGATGCAAGATGCAGGTAGCTGGTTAATCAAATATTGAATTCTTCGGATTTCACAGAAATATTCTAGGCACTATGAAGGATATAAAGGAAAAGATCATTCTTATTGTCCAATCTAGGTGAGACGACAGGAAAACAGTCAGTAAAATACAAGCTAATACTGAAATAAAGTGTTTAAAAGGATCCATGGACCAATGTAGTTAAGGAAGATGGGATTTCATGAGAACCTTAAAGAATGAATAAGACCAGATAGAAGTAGCGAAAGAATTGCTAGGTGTGGCATAAGCCAAAGACTTAGAGGTGGGAATACACAGTGCATCTCGAGGGGATAATAAGTGAATGATGGCTGAGCATGCTGGTGCCCGCCTTAGTCTCAGCTACTTGGGAGACAGGCAGGAGGATTGTTTAAGGCTGTAGTGCGCTATGACTGTGCTACCACACTCCAGCCTGAGTGACAGAGCAAGACTCTGCCTGTCTCTCTCTCTCTCTCTTTTTTTCTGTTTTGAGACAGAGTCAAAGAAAGTCAATGAGATCTATTGGCAAATGAAGCTGGACAAGTAAGTTGGGAAAAGACTATGAGTGTTCTTGAATGGCAAGCTAAGGAATTTGAAATTGTATTAGAGACAATAGGGAACTATTGGAAGCTTTGGGGCAGGAAAATGACACCATTGGGCTAGGACTTAGAGGTTAATCTGGAAGCAGATGGATAGAGACATGAGAGACATGAAGACTGAGGAGGTTAACTGCAGTTTTTCAGTTGCAAGGTAGTGAGAGCCTTAACTAGGACAATGACAGTGGGCAAATATAAATAACTTGGGGCTGTCACAGAGAAGGGAGGTTTTATGCTTTGACTTCACTGAACACAAAAACTCTTTTGGTCTGAATTATTAATATTTACATAGGCAAGCCTCACTTTCATCAGCTAACAGACTACCTTACACTTCCCTTTGGAAGTGGGAGTTGACCAAAATGAGGTCAACTCGCTTGGGCTTTGAGAGTTGACCAAAATGAGGAAGTGTAGCTGAATAGATTACAGATATGTATGTGTGTCTGTGTATGTATGTGTGTGTATGTATAGATAAATGTATATTTGTGTGTGTGGCTATATATACATCTTGTTCTGAAAACTGTATAATTGAGGCCCTTCAGTCCCAATTCCAGTGATGCCACTTGCCCTTTATCTTTTTCTTTAAGGTCACCTGAAGCTCAGAAAGTTATCTATAAAAATAAAAATGTCTTTCTTTTTGTGTGGAACCAATTTTGAATTTTTAAAACTTTACATTTTTAAAATTTAGACTTTTAGAATTATGTAATTAACCCTTAGTTTTGTTTTGGTTTCTATAGCGCTGTTTGACACTAATGGATAGAGGATTTATTTTCAATTTAATAAATGACTATATATCTGGATTCAGCCCCAAAGATCCTAAGGTAAGTTATAAGGACATGATTGTAGTGGATGTCAGACATCTGAGCATAAGACCAAAGTGACATTTATTCTCTTCTAGGGGATTAGGAACTGTTGTTTTTATTTAGGTAGTTGGACTATAGACATACGTAAAAGCAAGGAATACTGGACTGTGTTTTGGGGTCCCCAGGACCCCCCATGTGTTCAATAGCTCATTTTAAGGATTCACAGACTCAACATATAGTTGTATTGATGGCTGAGATTCATGAGCGTGACATAATGAGGATACTCAGCTGAATCGGGAAAGGAAAAGACATCAAATGGGGTGGGTAGCAATCCACATGCAGCCTTTTTGAGCTCTTTCCCTCCTGTGAAGGGTCTCACAGAGCACAGCCTCCTTCTAGCAGTGAAAATGCACTTGTAAGTGTGCAATATTTCTGTTCAAGGAAGCCTGTTTAAAACTCAGAGTTGAGAGTTTTTATTGGGGGCTGATTATGTGTTGGAGGCTGGTCAAAATTCCAGACTCTCAGAAAGGAAAGCAAAGCAGGTGTTCACTATAAATCACAATGTTTGTACAAATAGTCTAAGCAGGCTGACACAGAAGGTGCAACTTAACATGTAGGGAACATTTCAAAATTTCATTTTTTAGATGCCAGCCAACAAGCAGGCCTTTTAAAGGATAGCAGTCTTGGACCTGCTATGTTAACTCTTTCCTGCACAGGTCGCATCTCAAGGTATGCTTAGAATACTAAGCACTTCCGTTGTGAAAAATAATGCGCTGTATTAAATTCTTAAAATAGCAAATGCCTACTAAATATGAGCTAATGTATCATTTCTTTCCATTTAGGTTCTGGCTGAATACAAGTTTGAATTTCTGCAAACAATTTGCAATCACGAACATTACATTCCTCTGAACTTGCCAATGGCATTTGCAAAACCTAAACTGCAGCGGGTTCAAGGCATGTATTTGCATTTTCCATCATTTGAGTTTGTTTTTTTCCATGTTTTGCTAGCGCTAGTGTAGTATAATGTTTTCTAGTTGAACCAGTCAACTTGAAGGTAATTTCAGAATTGTTACTATCTGAAGTCCATTAATGTTTTTCTGCATTTCCTTCATAATATCAGTAATAATGTTCATAGTGTGAAGAAATCAGGTGTGTTAATAGATTGCTGCTTAAACACAGATGTCAGATACTAGTGAAATTACTTTCTGTAGTAGTGTTTGGGATCTTGTATGAGACTAAATTAAGAAAAAGACATATAAATGCATTTCTCCTCAAAGCATCAAAAAATGTAAAGGTAGAGTAAAATGGTAACATGTTTGTGCTAAATTTATGAAATGCCTTCAGTTATCTCCATTGCTAGTTTTATTGAATGCTTTGTTGTATAGCACTATTCTTATGTTACTATGTTTTTTATTTGTCCCTTTTCTTTTCATATATTAATTAGATTTTTTTTCATTTGCGGTGGACCGTTTGACTTCAGTAGGTAGGTTTAACTCGGTTCACTCTAAATTAGCTTGCTGTTTTAGAAAACAATTGATTTGATGAATTGCTAAGATGGATGGGGGCTTTGTTTGCTTTTCAAATTCTCCCTAGCCAAAATGAGGCTTTAGTTAAAGTACCCAGAAAATCTAGGAGGCAGTGTGTTTGTTTAGTTTTAAAATAAAACTGAGTGTTGCTAGAGAAATCAACTTTAAAACATTTTCCCTCAAAACACAAGTTCCTGCTGCAAGCCAGCATAGAGGCCATGGATGGGGAACTGGAAGTTACTTGTTTTTTTTTTGTTTTTGTTTTTGTTTTTTTTTTGTGTGTGTCTCCTCTCTCAGGCTTGCCTCTCTCAGATGCTGTTTAGTGACACCTTGGCCACAATTTTGCAGGTGTAGATGAAACCACCTGATTGGATTTATTCAAATCACCAAAATAACAAATTGATTACCATTTGTAAAATCTACTCAGATAAAGCCACCTTTGTTAGTCAGTCCTGGCCCTTGTGCATAGAAGGTGATAGGGATTCACAAAAGAGCAAGACCAATGCAGGAAGAAAATAATCTGCCTTGGTCTGTATAGAAGTATCTGCTGAGTGGTGGTTTTAGTGATGGAATTATAGCCAGTGAAAATGGAGAAAAAAATATTTTTAAACCATAGCACTCCTATTCAGCTACCCCCTTATTCGATTCTGAACATGTATAGCTCACATAATTCACCCAATATTTATTTATAACTATGAGGAAGTCAGGAAAAAGAAGAGGTGGACAGATAATCAGGATTTAGGATTAAATTGGACTACTCGCAGCATTTATTAAGTCCCAACTGAATATAAAGCATTGTATTAAGTGCTGAACAGGCCAAAAGAAAAATAGAAAACATAATCCTTCGGCTTCATGGCCTATCTAATTAAATAGCACGGGAGAGGAAATAAAGATAGTAGAAATCTACCACAGAAATTACTAAACTTGGCTGGGCGCGATGGCTAACGTCTGTAATCCCAGCACTTTGGGAGGCCGAGGCGGGTGGATTCCAAGGTCAGGAGTTAGAGACCAGCGTGGCCAATATGGTGAAATCCCGTCTCTACTAAAAATACAAAAAAATTAGCCGGGCATGGTGGCACATGCCTGTAATCCCAACTACTCAGGAGGCTGAGGCAGCAGAATTGCTTGAACCCGGGAGGCAGAGGTTGCAGTGAGCCGAGATTGCGCCACTGCACTCCAGCCTGGGTGACAGAGCGAGACTCTGTCTCAAAAAAAAAAAAATTACTAAACCTGATCACAATCCCCTATAAGTACTTATAAAGCAAGTCCCAACCATGATATTAACATCTGGGATTTAAAATAGACTGAGGATCTAGCCTGGGCACAGTGGCTTATGCCTTAATCCCAGCACTTCGGGAGGCCAAGGCAGGCAGATCACCTGAGCTCGGGAGTTCGAGACCATCCTGGCCAACATGGTGAAACCCCGTCCCTACTAAAAATACAAAAAGAATTAGTTGGGCATGGTGGTGCACGTCTATAGTCATAGCTACTTCAGAGGCTGAGGCAGGAGAACTGCTTGAACCCTGGAGGCAGAGGTTGCAGTGAGCTGAGATTGTGCCACTGAGCTCCAGCCTGGGCAACAGAGTGAGACTCCATCTCAAATAAATAAATAAATAAAATAGACTGAGGATCTTAAAGGAAGGGAAAGACTTAGTTCGAAGTGATTATTTTCTGATATAAAATATTTGTTTTTGAGTGATGATGGATTGGAATGAAATGAGACTGTTTTCCTTATTGTTCTTATGTCCCATGTATATTTTCAGCCCAATATATAATATTTACTAAAACAGTCAATACTGTCAGACTATTCAGTTGTTTAGTTTGTCTTTTCCCACTTTATAAGTATAAATGGATAAGTAAATCAAGTATTATTACATAGAATTTTTCAAATTTATAGTTGTGACAAAATCTCTTCAGCTATAAAGAAATCTGTTAAAACGTTGCAAAATATATAATTATTTTATTGTAGTTTCTATCCTAAGATTTCTATGAGTTTAAAAGAATCTAGGGGAAAAAAAAGAATTAGGGACTTTCTTTCTGACTGAAATGATCATTAAAGCTATCGTTTAGCCCAAAATATGAGTGCTCCTGTCTTGTAAATTTTGCATGCTTATTCTAGATGATAAAAGAATTGCTCAGAATCATTAATAATAAAAATTATAGCTCTTGCTAGCATGATCACATATTATTAAATAATACAGTATTTTAATTATAATCATGTTTTGAATATTTTCATAAATGGGTTTTAAATTTCATTGTACTGCAGATTCAAATCTTGAATACAGTTTATCAGATGAGTATTGCAAGCATCACTTCTTGGTTGGTCTACTTCTGAGGGAAACTTCCATTGCTCTTCAGGACAATTATGAGATCAGATATACAGCTATCTCTGTTATAAAGAATCTTTTGATAAAACATGCATTTGACACAAGATACCAGCACAAGGTAAGGATATCCATGCAGTCATCAGTATCACACTGGTAGAGTTCTACTATGATTTTTTATAGAAGATGAAGTTTTTGTAGCAAGGAGCATTATATAAGCATTGAGGAAAATTTATTTTTGCTTCAAATCATAAGTTGTTTTTTTTTTGAGACAGAGTTTCACTCTGCCACCCAGGCTGGAGTGCAGTGGCATGATCTCGGCTCACTGCAACCTCTGCCTCCCAGGTTCAAGCGATTCTTGTGCCTCAGCCTCCCGAGTTGCTGGGACTACAGGCGAGTGCCACCACGCCTGGCTAATTTTTGTATTTTTTAGTAGAGATGGGGTTTCACCATATTGTCCAGACTGGTCTCGAACTCCTGGCCTCAAGTGATCCACCCACTGTGGTCTCCCAAACTGCTGGAATTACAGGCATGAGCCACTGTACCTGGCCTCAAAACATTAGGTTTTTAAAAATACCATTTGGGACCGGGAGCAGTGGCTCACACCTGTAATCCCAGCACTTTGGGAGGCTGAGGTGGGTGGATCGCTTGAGGCCAGGAGTTTGAGACCAGCCTGGGCAACATGGTGAAACCTCATCTCTACTAAAAATACAAAAATTAGCCGGGCGTGGTGGCACACACCTGTAGTCTTAGTTACTCGGGAGGCTGAGGCAGGAGAATCACTTGAACTGGGGAGGCAGGAGGTGGAGGCTGCAGTGAGCTGAGATCATGCCACTGCACTCCAGCCTGGGCGACAGAGTGAAACTCTGTCTCAAAAAAAAAAAAAAAAAATATATATATATATATAGTTTAGTTAACTGTTAAAGAAATACACTGTTTTCTCAACTCATACTTAAAGAATAACATAACTGCTTCATGATTAAGAATTTTTAAAAAATTTATTCTGTGAAACATATGCTTTAATATATCTTTAAATATATATCATATGTAAAATATGTAATAAGTTTTTCTTCTTACTGAAAAAAATGTTAATGTGATGGTGTTACTATAAATAGCTGTGGGTGTGGCTATAAATTTTACATACGTTACACTGTTGTCTATGAGTAACGGTCACAGCTACAGTTTCTATTTACTGCACTAATTTTGTTTTCTTTCTTTTTTTTTTTTTGAGATGGAGTCTCGCTCTGCCACCCAGGCTGGAGTGCAGTGGTGCGATCTCGGCTCACTGCAACCTCTGCCTCCCTGGTTCAAGCAATTCTCCTGCCTCAGCCTCCCAAGTAGCTGGGACTACAGGCACACACCGTCATGCCCAGCTAATTTTTGTATTTTTAGTAGAGATGGGGTTTCACTATATTGGCCAGGATGGTCCTCATTTCCTGACCTCATGATCCGCCCCCCTCAGTCTCCCAAAGTGCTGGGATTACAGGCGTGAGCCACCATGCCCGGCCTATTTACTGTACTTTTAACATATATATTGAAATCTTACTGACATTAAATCCTGTTGGCTTGAAAAAGTAGAGTGCAAACTGTATGGATTTAGAAGACTCTAATTTACTTCCACGGTATCATAAATCACTCTAGGAAACATAATATTGTTTCATAATAAATAATTTATCCTTTTCTTTTTACATTCCAATATAAATAAAATTATGATGTCATTTATCATCGGTCATTTTGGAAGGCTGACTTGGAGCTTTTATTCTTTTTCTACGGTATTCCCATTTGTCCTTTTTAAACAGAAAATGCCTGCCAGTGACATCTGCTCACATTCCTTTAATTACAGTGATTTTCATACATGTAAATCTTGCTAGTTTTCTTCATGTGATTGTATCCTAAAGTAGATTTAACTCCTTTGCTTTAAGATGTAATTTATTGCTTACTGCAGTTTGCTTTGTTTTTGACACATTATAACATACCTCCACTTAGTGTAGTTGGCTCAGTTATGTGCCATTTTCACTTTTTGTGAATGTTGATATTGACTTCACACAAATTAACTGGTATAATATATCCAAATAAAAAGATATCTTAAAAGTCCTCCAGTCCAATCAAGCTTGGTCAAGCCTTTAAAAATGCATTATCGCTGGGTTCTGGCTAACTACTTGCTTATGCCTGTAAGTGGGGAAAAGGATCTTATGCCACGTGGAGGAAAATGTCTTTAGCCATGATTTTAAATGATTCACTGGAAAAGTACAAAATGAACTTCCCCTCTCTGAAGCAAAAAGTTGTATATTTCTCCACTGCCTTTTCACATGAAAGAGAAAGAAAATTGGATTTTGCCAGTGGGATTCTCACCACCTAGAGGCAGAATTAAATATTTTATATCACAAATTTGGACACTTTTAACTTACTTTTTAAATTCTTAGAGCAGTGTGTGTACACACGCAGGTATTGTTACCTGTAAATAAGTTAGACACTCTTTGAGTGTTTGAGGTTTTAAACTACAGGAAAGATTGAAATGCCAAGCCTTATTACTCTTTCAATGACTTCTGAAGCTCTTTCCTCTTTGTTCAGAGGCTTCATACAGGCATTAAATGACGATAGAGTTTTCTCCATAAGAAGTTTGTTTACTTCGTGGGCTTGGTTAACCAAAGTTTCAATTCTAGAGTATTGGATGAGGATATAAAAGGTCCTTTGTCTGTTTTGTGCAGTTTCCAGGCAGCCTGTGTAAGAGTTCATTTATCAAATACATCCAAGTAGAGCATGTTTCCTATTAATGATGACACCAAGGTGAGGGATTGGAGGGAGCCTTAAGCCCTCATATTTTCCATCAGTTCTCTAAAGGGACCCCAAAGTAATAAACCAAAAAAAGAAAAGAATGTTTCCTATGAAAAGCCTGCTTTGAGACTCAACTCCCTAATCATCCCCACCCTTTCCAGCCAATTGCCACTCCTAAGCCCCTGCTCTTAGGAAATTCTGGAGATATTGCTGGTCCCTGTTATGTGTTACTCATAAACTATTTAGCAATATCTCTCTCTTTTTTTTTTGTGACGGAGTCTCGCTGTGTAGCCCAGACTGGAGTACAGTGGCACAATCTCAGCTCGCTGCAGCCTCCGCCTCCCGGGTTCAAGCAGTTCTCCTGCCTCAGCCTCCCGAGTAGCTGGGATTACAGGCACGCACTGCTATGCCTGGCTAATTTTTTGTATTTTTAGCAGAGATGGGATTTCACCATGATGGCCAGGATGGTCTTGATCTCCTGACCTCGTGATCTGCCTGCCTTGGCCTCCCAAAGTGCTGGGATTACAAGTGCGAGACACCGTGCCCAGCCAGCAATGTCTCTTGTTATAATTACCATGAGACATTTTTCCTTTTCAGAACAAGAATGTTCAATATCTAACATTTACCCTGGGGCCTGTATAGTTCTTGTACCCACTACAAGTAATGTTCATACCTAAGAGAACTGCAGATTCTACTTCTAGTTCGGCTGTGGGCAAATCCTTTTTCCTTTTTTGAAAAAGTAATCCACGTGCATGGTGAAAAACAAAAATCAAAATGCCTGTCTCCCATTCCTTACCTCCACTTACCAATTCATCTTTCCAGAAGCAACTACTCTTGTGAGTTTATTTATACTTCTATTTTATATAAGCACAAGCCTATATGACATATATGTATAAAATATAACAGAAACCATTATACATTTTTCTTTTTTCACTTAACAATACAGCCTGAAGGTTAGATCTACCGCATTTTAAAAAGTAGCTGCATAGTATTCTATCATATGGATATACTTTATTTTATTTATCTAACTAGTCTTCTATTAATAGATACTTAGGTTATATTCTCTGTTGTGCAGGCAAAATTTTTAACATATTTGGCAATGACTGTATGTTTTCCTGTGTTCCTGCTTCCCTGAGAGAATTGTAATTTCTCTTCCCCTAGAGATCACTCATTATCAGAACTAAAATGGACTCCTATTTAGAAGCCATAATATTAATAATAGCAGCTAAAATTTATTGAGGACTCACTATATGCCGAACACTATTTTAAATACCTCACATTAATTGATATCATTATTATTACCCCCATTTTACCAAAGAGAAAACTGTAGTTAAGTGACTTGATTGTAATCAAGTAGCTAGTAATGGGAGAGCTGGGTTTTGCGCATGTCTCTAACTGCAAAATCTGTGCTGTCAGCCACTAGCTATACTGCCTTTTAAATCTCAACTTGGGACATTGAAAAATTAGAGAACCACCAGAAAAAGGGTAATCACTAAGTGAAAAATCTTGACACCAAAGTCATGGAACAAAGGAAAGTAATGAGAGTTAAAAGGCCGGGAGCGGTGGCTCACGCCTGTAATCCCAGCACTTTGAGAGGCTGAGGAGGGTGGATCACCTAAGGTTGGGAGTTCGAGACCAGCCTGGCCAACATAGTAAAACGCTGTTTCTACTAAAAAGGGACAAAAATTAGCCAGGCGTGGTGGTGGATACCTATAATCCCAGCTACTTGGGAGACTGAGGCAGGAGAATCTCTCGAACCCAGGAGGCAGAGATTGCAGTGAGCTGAGATTGTGCCTCTGCACTCCAACCTGGGTGACAGAGTAAGACTCAGTCTCAAAAAAAAAAGAATGAGTTAAGATGATTCATGGTAACTGTATTCACATATTTAAAGGGTTGCCATGCAAAAGTAGAAATAGACTTATTCTTTGTAGCTCCAAAGGGCAGAGCTATACCTAGGAGGTAGAACTTAGGAGGAGTGTATTTCAGATAAAGGACCTTCCTAATAGAACCCATGAAACGGCTTGAGTTTTAAAGAAGTTTAAAAAACTATTTGTCAAGGATACATGTAAGGGCCATTCATTCCTGCCTTCAGCAGGAAGTTGGACTAGGTTAGTGGTTCTGAAACATTTATGCACATCAGCATCATCTGGACCAGTCCAGACCTGGTAAATCAGAATCTTCTGGTGGTAGAGACTATTACTGACGGGGTACTATGTTGGAAGAAAGTCTGTTAAGAAGGGAAGGGTTTTTGAAATTCACAAATGAAGTGCAAATGGCCAATTAACACGTGACAAATTGTTCAACCTCAATAGTAAATGCAAACTAAAACAATAGTAAGAGACCAGTAATCTTCTACATTCTACATATTGACCATTTTGCCCTAGAGGGCCTTATCTAATTCTCCAGAAAAACCTCCTAAAGTCATGAAAGATAGAGGGCAATGCTTGTGCTACCACAGCCACTATTTTCTCTGATTTGAGTGTATATACATATCTGGCGAGGAATGTCTATAAGCTGAGGAAAGAAATAAATTTGTATAAGAGGTACCACATTAATTAAGAGCCCTGGTGGCCAGTTTTATTTACATATTTACAAATATATCAATCTCCCAAGTCTTAAAATTGACTTAGGGGACCAAGTTCATATTATTGTAATTGTAGCTTTAATGGAAGCAAAAAATGTTTCCTGAATGAATACAGTAACTTACCATTTTTTCACTTCTTCCACTTACTCATTCATTCCTTCAGCTAATATGTATTGACCATCTGCTATGTGCCCAGGCATTGGGGATGAAGCAGTGAACAAGACAGACACTGTCCCTGCTCTCATGAAGCTCAACGCTCACTGGAGCTGAAAAACAGGAATAATATCATCTGCTTTATAGGCCAACTTCTATTTTTTACAAAAACCTTTTACTTCATGTCATTATGTTTGAGGGATGTAATTTGAGTCTGTATCATGGATAAATCCAAAGGCCAACAAAGTTCTGTGGTAATTAGTTTTCAGACTATAAGTATAAAGAGATTCATGCTTCAGTAATTTGTTATGGATGTTAGCCTACTTTTTAGTCTTTAAATTGATATATGAAGCCAACTCCATTTATTTGTAATATATACATATTATATACGTATTAAGCTTTCAATAATTATTTTTCAGAACCAACAAGCCAAAATAGCACAATTGTACCTCCCCTTTGTTGGACTACTTTTGGAAAATATACAGCGATTAGCAGGTCGAGATACCTTGTATTCTTGTGCAGCCATGCCTAATTCTGTAAGTAGTAATGTGTTTCTGTTGGAGTTTTATCCTATTTTATTGAATGCATTTGGAATTGGGGTCATATGCTATATGATCTCAACCTTAAGAGTTCACTTTTTTTTTTTTTTTTTTTTTTGAGCCAGAGTCTCGCTCTATCACCCAGGCTGGAGTGTAGTGGCACAATCATAGTTCACTGTAGTCTCAAACTCCTGTGCTCAAGTGATCCTCCTGCTTTGGCCTCCCGAGTGGCTGGGACTACAGGCATACGCCACCATGCCCAGCTAATGTTTTTCATTTTTAGCAGAGACAGGGTCTCACTGTGCAGCCCAGGCTGATCTCAAACTCCTGAGCTCAAGGAATCCTCCCCTCTCAGCCCCGTGAAGTGCTGGGATTACAGGCATGAGCCACCGTGCCCAGCCAAGAGTTCAGTTTTTACTCCATGTACACTGTTTTTCCTAATACAGTGCTTTGCAAACTTTAATCTGCATATGAATCACCTGGGGAATTTGTTAAAACAGGTTTTTTTTTTTTTGAGACAGAGTCTCGCTCTGTCGCCCAGGCTGGAGTGCAGTGGCGTGATCTCGGCTCACTGCAACCTCCGCCTCCTGGGTTCAAGGGATTCTCCTGCCTCAGCCTCCTGAATAGCTGGGACTACAGGTGCCCGCCACCATGCCTGGCTAATTTTTTTGTATATTTAGTAGAGACGGTGTTTCACCATGTTAGCCAGGCTGGTCTGGAACATCTGACCTCAGGTGATCTACCCACCACGGCCCCCAAAGTGCTAGGATTACAGGCGTGAGGCACCACACCTAGCCAACAGATTTTAATTCAATAGACCTGGGGTGGGACTTGAGAGCATGCATTTCTAACAAGCTTTTGGCTGCTTCTGGTCCAAAGATTGCACTTTGGAAAACAAATTCCAAGAGAACACCACAAATCCTTTGAACGCTGTGTTTTCGTTCTTAACATTTTCTGTTGTTGTATGGCTTCATACATTTATTCAACTTAAACTGAACAAAAGATTCTCTACTTCCAAGATATTAGGCACTGGGGACTAAACTGTATTCCTTTGCTTCTCCTTTCCCTTAGTAGTCTCCTTCAGCACTTCTTGGTGAGACTCTTTTAGTTTATCACAATTGGTCTGTGCTTTTTTTGCTCCCCTTAGAATTTTAAGAATTAGAAGGAACTTTGGAGGTGATCAGTCTCCTATTTGGCAAAACAACCTTTTGCCATTGTAATAATTTAAACATTCCTTCTCACATTAGACCTAAAAGGTTTTCTATCCACTGGTCTTACTTTTGTCTTCTAGAGACACATGAAACACATCTGTTCCCACCTCCAAATGTACCCTTTCCACTTGTGCCTTCTAAATTTTTCTCCAAGCCACCAAATATCTCCACTAATCTGTCATTCCAAATCCTTTACTTTTTTTTTTTTTTTTTTGAGACAGAGTCTAAGTCTGTCACCCAGGCTAAAGTGCAGTGGCATGATCTCAGCTCACTGCAATCTCTGCCTCCTGGGTTCAAGTGATTCTCCTGCCTCAGCCTCCTGAGTAGCTGGGACTACAGGCATGCGCCACCACGCCCGGCTAATTTTTTTTGTACTTTTAGTAGAGACGGGGGGTTTCACCATGTTGGCCAAGCTGGTCTTGAAATCCTGACCTCAAGTGATCTGCCTGCCTCAGCCTCCCAAAGTGCTGGAATTATAGGCATGAGCCACTGTGCCCGGTCCCCAAAACCCTTTGCTTTCGTGGTCACCCCTTTTCCAAATATGCTTCAGTTTACCAGTAACCCTATTAAAATACAATGTCCAAATTATACACTTTATAGTCTGCCCAGTGGACTGTTAACTTCTGCCCCCATCCATGTTCTGTATGGCCCAAGATCACCTTTGCACTTTGGCTGGCCACGTAATATTGTTGGGTAGCAGGTTAAACTGTGTCATTTACAGCTTCCTCTGCAAATTCCCCCTATGAAATGCTACAGCCAATTTGTCATGCCTGTCCTGTGTTCCTGAGGACGTTGCTTTTAAGCTTTTCTAGTGGCTTGCTTCCCTGTGACTCCCAGTCATGTCAACTGGCTGAATGTGGATACTACACCTACCTGAGTGTCAGGCTGGTCTCACTTTACAAATACAGTATCTCATGCTTATGCTCCCTCCACATAGATTTGACAGCATTATTTGGAAATATTTCACTTCTCTGTATTCTTTGCAGCTCAAGTTTCCCTAGGGCTTCTGGTCACACACCTTCTTCTAGCATTGCCCTGGTTCTAAGGAGGAGAACTGAATCATGTTAAGACTTTACCAGGCTGGGCGCCGTGGCACATGCCTGTAATCCCAGCACTTGGGGAGGCCAAGGCAGGAGGATCACTTGAGTCCAGGAGTTTGAGACCAACCTAGGCAACATGGGAAAACCCCATCTCTAAAAAAATGAAAAATTAGCTGGGTGTGGTGGTGTATACCTGTAGTCCTGGCTAATCTGGAGGCTGAAGTGAGAGGGTCACTTGAGCCCAGGAGGTTGAGGCTACAGTGAGCTATGATCATGCCACCGCACTCTAGCCTGGACTACACAGCAAGACCCTGTCTCAGAAAACGAAAACAAAAAAGACTGTACCAGTTGCAGCTGTACCAGTTGCAGCTATCTAGAATTATGTCACTTGGCTAGAGGTCATGGTTACAACAGTATGCTAGTAGCTTTTTTTTTTTAAAAAAGAGTCACCTAAATACTAATTACTAGTATCTGATTTAGACTTTCACAGTGAGCTTTGTTTAAAATCAATGTAACATTTTATTCTGTTAATTCAGATTTCTTATCCTATATACGAATTTGTTTAAATGACACAGGTATCATATTCTGTTACAGGCATCCAGAGATGAGTTTCCATGTGGCTTTACTTCACCTGCCAATAGAGGGAGTCTGAGCACTGACAAAGACACCGGTAATTAAACCTTTTGGAGATGATACATTGCGTGGGTGTTTAGACATGTACCCTCTACTTCTCAGTATTTTTGATATATTTCATAATAAAGACCATACATAGCTTGATCTCTACTAAAGTTTAATTAAAATCTG
The DNA here is from genome assembly GCF_000001405.40 of Homo sapiens. Taxonomy (NCBI): domain Eukaryota; kingdom Metazoa; phylum Chordata; class Mammalia; order Primates; family Hominidae; genus Homo; species Homo sapiens. The sequence continues at coordinate 118,627,714 of NC_000023.11, forward strand.
ACTTATACTTGCAGTCAAATTTATTTGCCTAGGTTTCCTTGTCTAAGCTTATTTAGAACATAGCTTGGCATACTGAGAAAATAGAGGATAATGAGAAAAATACTGGTTTCCACTCTTCTTATCTGTCACCAGTTTTAAGCCAGATACTCCCATCTATGGGCTCAAGTTTCCTTGTCTATAAAATTGTCTTTTAAATTGTGTGGCTTTATTTTACGGCTTCCAAGGAATTTCTTGTCATTTTGTACATGCTAAAGTGTTTTGAAAGGTGAAAAGTTGCTTCACTTTTACATGGTTTCTTATGGTGTTTTGATATAATAAACTTCACATTTTAGATGTCCAAGATCTATTCCCTACATTAATGTCTCTACTTAAATTAGTTCCGTACTTTTTAAATATTTCTGACAGTTCCCCCTCTTGCCAACAAGGGCTTGACTTTTTTTTTTCCCCAGCTTATGGGTCTTTTCAAAATGGACATGGAATTAAGAGAGAAGATTCAAGAGGTTCCCTCATCCCAGAAGGAGCAACAGGATTTCCAGATCAGGGCAACACTGGTGAAAATGTAAGAACTTAAATATATAGGATGACCCTAGTGACACATTAGCCTGCAACAATTTTTTTATAGTATAAATATGAGCATCTGTACTCACCTGTAGTCCATCCTGGCTCTGCGAAAAGCATCCCATAATTCTTAGATATTTTAGCAGTATCTTCCTATAGTGGCAGCTGCTACTTCAATGTCTTAAACTATTTATAGAGAATAAGGCATTCATCCTCAAGAGTTCTAACTCTGAATATCTCCTTTAACCCTAGCACGCTATTTTAGTGAGGAGAAATTCAAGTTTAAAATATCTAATGTGCCTTGTTATTTAAAACGAAGCACATCCTGGCAGGATTAATGCAGTCTTTCATTCTTTTGTAATAGAGTAATGATATTAATTTGGGAGGAAAAAATATAGGTCCCAAAATTGACAATCTTAGGGTCCCAGCATCACTTAATCAGAATATATCCTCCCAACTCTTCTATCAAGTCGTTTCACGCCTACCATTAAAGTTTGAGATGTGACTGCCTTAAGGCAGAAAGACCTCATTTTAGACGAGTAAAGTTTTGCCATGTTGTTATGTAAAATCATTGAATCGTATAAAATTATATTAGAAGGGACTATAAGAACAATAAATTCCAACTCTCAATTTACAAATGAAAATTGGGATTATGACTTAGAACAACCAGCTATGGCAGGACCATACTCGAACCCAGATTTTCTAATATGAGCACTTTGTCTCCTATATCATGGTGCTCTTAGTGTACATCAGCATCACCTGGAGGGCTTAAAAAATAGATGTCTGGGCCTCACCCCAGGGTGAGATTCAGTAAGTCTGGAATAGGGCCTGCTAACATGTATTTCTAAGTTCCCAGGTGATGTTGATGCTGCTGGTTGGGTATTGTTACCCTTGAGAACCAGTGGACTATACTTCCACTGGTTCCTTGAGCCTTTGGGTAAACAGTAATTTATTCACAAATGTTTCTCTTTTACACCATTTAGAAATTGTGACAACAGGTACTGTCATAGCTAAGGCAAATAAAGGTCAGAGAGGTTGAATGACTTGCTAGTAGTCACATAGTAGCTAGGCAAGCAATCAGAACCTAGGTCTGTTTGCTCCAAGTAAAAGTTCTTCCTTAGTAAATTCCACCCTAGTCAATGGTGCATCCCCAGTTTAGCTCAACTGAAAGTATTAGTTTTTAAATTTTTTAGATTATTGTTATTCTATTCATATAAATCCCCAAATAAGTCAGATCTTGTCATGCTTAATTTCTGATATTTTTTAAAAAGTCATTAAATAATAGGAACACATCAGTACTTTGTAGAGGTACTAATTTTGAAGTATTATTGGGTACTCCTAAGTGTAATTATCGTAATATAATTAGCCCATTTTTTAATTTATTTATAGTTTTTAGAAATAGGGTCTTGCTCTGTCACCCAGGCTGGAGTGCAGTGACACGATCAGTGCTCACTGCAGCCTTGAACTCCTGGGCTCAAGCAGTCTTCCTGCCTCAGCCTCCTGAGTAGCTAGGACTACAGGCATGCACCATCACACCCAGCTAAATTTTTTTTTTTTTTTTTTTTGTAGAGACAGGTTTTGCTATATTGCCCAGGCTGGTATTAAACTCCTGGCCTCAAGTGATCCTCCCACCTGAGCGTCCCAAAACGCTGGGTCTACAGGTGTGGGCTACTGCGCCTGGTTTTATTAGCCCTTAAGATAGATTTTCTAATGTATGATTTGGAGGTTGGATTTTAATAAACTCTAAGGAAAGATTCAAATGAAAAAGTTTAAGATGTTTCTTATGCTTTCACTCCATGTAAAAGCTATCTTTCCTTAAATAGCCATGATTATTTTAAAATTTTACCACTAAAACACATGGCATATGAGAATGAAACACAGTATTCATGGCTATATCTTTGTGAAGACTCCAAGGTAATTTCTAGTGATATTACTAGCTATTACTAGGAAAGAAAGATTCAGCCCATTCACCTTCAAGTTGTGATATAAAATTTAGATTTATGTTTAGAATTTTCCCAAACAGATCTAATGATAAAAAAAGAGTTACTGAGTTAAAGGCTGTGGAAAATTGTACTGATACTATTTCACGAACATCCTGTCCTTACAGACCCGACAGAGTTCTACAAGGAGTAGTGTATCCCAGTATAACCGCCTGGATCAGTATGAAATCAGAAGCCTCCTGATGTGCTACCTGTATATAGTAAAAATGATTTCAGAAGGTGAGTTACCATCATATTAAGCATGGACTGTACTAGACATACACCCTCACAGGTTCACAAATTCATGCAACAATATTTGATCATCATCTGGAGGCAGAGCACATGCACATTATAAACAGTTATTTGGAGACTCTGACTTTAAAATGTTTCTTAAATTGAACTTCAAAATAGGTTCATGTCAGTCACACAAGTTCGAGTCTTTGAAATAATTTTAACATAATTTTGCAAATGAATTTCTAAAATGAGGCAATGGTTTTAGAAGTGCTAAACATTTTGTTTTCATGCAGAGCATTTAATTCATTAAATGACCAATGTAACTGAAAGGAAATAATAACCACCAGAATTCATATTTAATACTTCAGCTTTTATTTAACCCAGGATTTGACAAATAAGAAACAAAAAGACAGGAAGAGTTCTTGAAGGGTAGGGAATGTCATCATTATCTTTGCAGCAACACTGTATGATATTGTCTGGTATCGCGTTCTTTGTCGGGCTCTGTTTTTTCTCCTTGGTATAGAGCCGTATTTACTAGTGTCACCAGTTCCTCTTTACACTATATGATGGAATACAACCGAAGGACTTTCATAAACTGCATGTCCTCGGGAAGTAAAAGCAGGTTATTTCCAAATACCACATTTACTTAGACAGTTCCCTCCCTTCTCTTCCTTTTCGCAATACTTTTGCTTAAAAAAAAAAAATGCAAAAATGGAAAACATAAAAGCACCTGGGATCATCATAGTGATTGCTATCTTTTACTCATTTTCTATTTTTTTATTTTTAGTAATTATTTCGTTTTAAATATTTTATAATAATGCAGGATGTAAAGACATAAAATAAGTTGATATCTAAGTAGCTATAGAAACATTAAAATAAATAGCTAGATATGAGTAAATTCTAAAGTTCATTAATAAAATAAAAATAACTGGAATATTCAAGTTCTAGGAATGTACGATTTAGCATAAATATCAAACATTATGTTGTGGAATCTGGAAATTGCTAACATTTATGGAGTTTCTTCTTAAGGCAATGAAAATGTTCTAAAACTGTGGTGAAGGTTTCCTTAGTCTTTGAATAAACTATAAACTATTGTAATATTGTGGGCTATTTATGTGGGCATTTTTATGATAAATGAATCTCTCAGTAAATGTTTTTTTTTAAAAAGAGGCCCAATCTTTATCTGTTCTCCACTCCCATTGCCACTTGACTAGCCTTAAAAAAAATAGGTCCAAGAGATACATTAGAAAAAAAGCAGAAGTGAACAAAAAAGCGGTTGAATACCACCACAGCCCAAAGAATGAGGGAAAGAGAGAGAAGGTAGGAGGAGGGGAAAAGCTGCATTGCTGACTAGTTCTCTCCCCTCCTCCACTGTAGGTCTCACACACACATACACACACATATACATCACATTCTATACTAACCAGAGACAAGTCTCTGGTTGTTATTTTTAATGTCATGGGTAAAACCATGACTGTTTTTGTTTTGAAGATGGAGTCTCACTCTGTCGCCTAGGCTGGAGTGCAGTGGCAGGATCTCAGCTCACTGCAACCTCCACCTCCCAGGTTCAAGTGATTCTCCTGTTTCAGCCTCCCGAGTAGCTGGGACTACAGGCGCCCGCCACCACGCCCGGCTAATTTGTTTATTTTTAGTAGAGATGGGGTTTCACGGTGTTAGCCAGGATGGTCTCGATCTCCTGACCTCGTGATCCGCCCACCTCGGCCTCCCAAAGTGCTGGGATTACAGGCGTGAGCCACCACACCCGGCCCATGACTGTTTTATTTCTTGTGAACTTGATAGTTCCTCTTATTCTTGCAAATGTTGACCATGCTTGCTCAGTGGCAGTACTCTGTGCCGAATATTCAGTCTTTGTTAATTAGGTTTTGTAGTCTTCTGCTCTTGCTTTTTGATTTTAAAAAGCACATTTTCAATAACTAGTATACAGTCTATGTCACATCTGTTTATCTTTTATATGTATAAAGTCATGCTGTATATCTGTAAAGTCATATTCATTTTGTTCTAAGAAATGTCTTCTAGATCCTTCTCAATGGATGTATTCTAATTACTTTGTCTTGTCCGGTAAATATTGTTTTAGTTACTCTATATGCATTTAAATATTTATCTCTTTCAAGTCCACAATCTTGAGGTCCTCTCTTGGCTTTCTTTTTTATTGAGTCATAAACAGTAGCAACTTTAATGTCAATGAAAAGATGTTCTATCTCTACACTTTTATATGGATTCTGGAGAATAAATTTCATTCTCTACTTATAGCTGCATTTTATTAATTGACAAAAATTTGCTATTTCAAAGTCTTAGATTCATTTGCCAAACATTTTCAGGCCTTACTGCTTAGTTTATTATATCGTGAGAAAAGGAATAAGAGTCAGGAGTTACCAGTTACGAAGTCTGAATTGACAAGAAGACTGTTCTGTTGGAAAAGTAAAACATTGTTGCTTCCTTAAGAGAGAAGGTGGTGGGGGGCGGTGGGGGGGGGGGTGAGGGGGGTGGGGGGGATGGGGAAGCTACTTCCTCTTTCTTTGTGACTGTGTCTTCACTTTTCTCTTTAGCCCAGACTCCAAAAAGACACTCTCAGTATCACATTGAGGCTTATCGGCACCATACCCTGCACTTGTAGATTCATTAATATTCTCCGAAGCAGACTGTTCATTGGAAGGTATCTGGTTAGAGCTATCTCTCACTGCAAATTTGGTGTTAGAAGGAATAGCAACCACTGCTCTTCTTTTTGTACTAGATTTTAAAGTAGAGTCTAAAGGCAAGACATTCAAAGGGATTATTTTCTTTTCCTTTGCAAGAGGGCTATATGAGGTTATAGAATAATCCTCTAAAGTTTCCAGTAAACTTTCAGATACATGAGTTGGGTATTCTCCTGGGGAGATAGCGGAAGGGTTCCATGATGTGCCAATCTGAGTTTCTTTTTGCGGGGAGACCTTTGTTTCAAGTGTCCCTTTTGGCTGGCCAATCTTGTCTTCATGAAGATTGAAAAAATCTTGAAATTCATACCTCTTTTGAGGACTAAGTGAAGTTGTTAAAAGAGAACTTGCCAGTGGCTTCTGGCTGGCAGGGTCTTCTATGTTAGGCTTAGTGTCATTAGAGGAACTTTTCGCAAAAGAGGTCTCTGGCACTTCAAAGAGGCCTTGACTAAAAGATGGAGCTGGAAACTCTGAACTTTGTTGCAGTTCCTTTGTGCTCGTAGGTTTCATCTGCTTACTTTGTGACTGGCTTATCGATTTGATAGGCACATGCCTCTGCCTTCCTTGTGCAGGCTCCCTGACTGAAAAATCTGACATAGTCATTTGACTACCAGAAACGAAGTCATCACTACCAGAAGTCTGAAATTGTTGTTGCCTCATTATTATTTTAGAAAGCCTTTTATTTTCTTCTCGTAATTTATTTGTTTCTTTAGTGAGTTCCGCAATAAAGAAAAGATTTTGTTGTTGGATTTCATAATAGTCTTTCTCTAGCGCAAGCCTGTATGTTTCTGTCATTGAACAGCAGTCACAGGTTTTTGCCTTTAACTGATCTTTCAAGTCATTAATGGTGCTCTGCAGGACTCTCTGCTGTTTAGTCAACTCTTTAATTTTGGCTGTGGAGCCCGTCCGCCTCCCGTCTGACAATCGCTGTTTCCTCAGACTTGTTAATTTTGCCTGTAGACGCCGCAGCTCTTTATCATGGAGCTCTTTTAGCGCCAGCCATGTTTTTTTAAAATTGTCAGATTCCAAATCACATACACTAAGCCGTGATGATTCTCTTCCTGAAGATTTCTTACAACCTCTCCTCCCTCCTACACCCTCGTTCCCTGCCTGCATCATGTTTCACAGATTTGGAAATGGGAGGGATGGCCTCGTCGCTCAACAACAGTGCCGTTAAGAAAATGGCGGACTTGCAGTGGATTGGAGCTAGTTCGCTGTGAGGGCGAGCACTTTTACCCCTTTCACAGACCTTCTCCGAAGCTACCTTAGGACATGGGGCGAGGGAGATGGGTGCTCACCGTTGGACGCAAAGTCCCAGGTTTTCGCTGGAGAGGAGGCACCAACTTTTCGGCTAGAAGAGCTAACCCACAGGAGAGGGAGGCCAGCACCCTCAGGCAGTGGCGCAGCAAGCTGCCCTTTGACCGGAGGCCGGAAACGCAGGGACTTCTGGGGGGGAACCCAAGCTTCTGTGAGTAGACACCCAGTGGCAGATAGGCGAAAGCGGAAGTCACTGCTAGCTTGATATATATTTTTTTAATTTAATTTTTTTTAGATGGAGTCTCACTCTGTTGAGCCCAGGCTGGAGAGCAGTGGCGCGATCTCAGCTCACTGCAACCTCCGCCTCCCGGGTTCAAGCAATTCTCCTGCCTCAGCCTCCTGAGTAACTGGGATTACAGGCGCGCCACCACGCCCAACTAATTTTTGTATTTTTAGTAGAGACAGGGTTTCACGATGTTGGTCAGGCTGGTCTCGAATTCCTGACTTCAGATCCACCCGCCTCGGCCTCCGAAAGTGCTGGGATTACAGGCGTGACCCACTGGGCCTGGCCTAATTTTTAAAACAAGTCAAATTTTGAGTCTATTTTCAGTTTTATTCTTGATGATTAGCATTTTGTAATAATTGAAACCTAGCAATATTCGTGGTCTTATAAAACAATTGGAAAATTGGAAGTAACTAAGTCGACCTCCCCTGTTCCCTCATCCTCCTTGCCCCTCCATAAAGCCAACATTGTCTTGTCTTCCATCTTTATCATTGAGAGGTTCTAGCTCAGTTGGGAATTAAGTCATTTGCCTGCTTTTGTGACACCTATGCGATTTTTACAGTTAGAGGAGGGTCTGCTGACACCATTAGCTCCATCAAAGTAGGATAAAAAAGGAGTGGAAAGTCAAGTGGTGGCACTGTTTGTTTTGTTTTGTTTTGTTTTAAATCTCACTAAGTAGGTGTGTTGGGGAAGAAATGGGTAAGAAAGAGAAGTATATGTGATAGATTTAAGAGACTTTTGTGTCTGAAATAGTTGTTCCACAGATAGATAGGACATCAGAATTTATAATGCAAAGGCAGAGAGAAAAAGGAAAGTTATCTGTCTCTCCTGAAGTTTAAAATTCTCTTTTTTATTTTTATTATTTTTTTTGAGACGGAGTCTCACTCTGTCGCCCAGGCTGGAGTGCAGTGGCACGATCTCAGCTCACTGCAACCTCCACCTCCCAGGTTCAAGTGATTCTCCTGCCTCAGCCTCCCGAGTAGCTGGGATTATAGGCGCTGGCCACCACGCCCAGCTAATTTTTATATTTTTAGTAGAGAAGGGGTTTCATCATGTTGTCCAGGTTGGCCTCGAGCTCCTGACCTCAAGTGATACGCCCACCTTGGCCTCCCAAAGTGCTGGATTACAGATGTGAGCTACCGCAACCAGGCTGAAGTTTAAAATTCTTAAACCTTTTTATTCACAGAGCCCTCTGAGTAGCAGGCAACGGCATTTGACCTTCTCAGAAAAATGCACATAAACACACCATCTGGCATAAAATTTTAGGGAGTTCATTCAAAACACCTCATCTAAAGTAAAAACACAGCAACTTCCCTTACTCTGTCTTCAGAAATGATACGAAGATTGGGATAAGCGACCCAAAAGGACATACACAAAGCACATAAAAAGGATCATTGATGCTGAACTAATTACCAATTAAATGATATATTTGGAATTAATTCAAAAGAATACAGAGTGTATACTGCGCAGTGGGAGGGGAGAGGAGAATATAGATGAAACAAGATTCACCTTGAGTTGATAGTCCTTGAAGCTACATAGGACTTGGGGATTCACTGTGCTATTTGCTGTAATTATTTCAAGATCTAACACTTTATTTATTCCATTTTCAGATACTCTCTTAACTTACTGGAATAAAGTATCACCTCAGGAGCTCATAAACATTCTTATACTTTTAGAGTAAGTTATATTAATTTATCTTCATATACTTTCCCCTTATTTGGGGAGAATTCAACTGTTACAATTTTTTCTGTTTTTAATAGCTTATTTGCTAATAATGTAGAAAATGTTAAATTATTTTGATAATATAGAGCCTGACATAGAGGTTCTTTACCTGCAGACAGAAGAAAAATGTGAACGTGGAATACTTTGTATACTGCTGAAACTCTAGCTAATAATAAACCATCTTTAAAGCCCAGCAAAAGGCTTTCTGTGATCTGAAAAACTAGAAGTAGTATCATCTGTCGTGCATCATTCATTTGGAACAGATGCTGGATTAGTGGAGCAGTGTAAATGATTGGAATTTAGAATTTGTACTTTCATGTAGAGCTGAGTAATTCTACCCACTGCAGAAATGTGTCTGTGTATTTGTGTGTACACACACACACACACACACACACACACACACACACGTGTATATGTATGTATTCCAAGACTCTTGGGGGGAAACCTAGTCTGGACATGGGAAGTTGTCCTATATTTCATCCTGAGCTATTTTTATATGATTATTGGAAGCTAAAAGAAAAATTAGAGATAGAATGAAATGCAATAAATTTTTAAATAAATAGTACACGTATATGATTTGTATGTGCATGTCTACAAAAACAAAGCATATCAATACAAAACCCTTGGATTAAAGTCTTACAAACTTTTACGGAAAATGTCAGAAGAATAAACAGCAGTTAAGATTTTTTTTTAACTACTGTAATTGTACTGAAATATTTACTAATGAAAATATCTGATGTTGGGGATTTGCTTTAGAAACACAGGGGTAGGGAGGGTGGAGGGATATCAGGGGACCTATTCAGGGCAGAGGTCAAACAAGAATAGCCATGAGTTCAATCATTGTTGAATCTGGGGGATGATTGGGTATGTAGGAGTTAACTATGGTACTCTCCCTACTTTTGTACGCGTTTGAAATTTTTAATAATATAAAGTATTTTAATGCTATTATTTAAAATGTAGAAATTGCCCCAATTTTTAGTGTGGAAGAACCTTTTAGAGATATTATTGACTATGCTGGCGGGCCAGGCGTGGTGGCTCACGCCTGTAATCCCAGCACTTTGGGAAGCTGAGGCAGGAGGATCACTTGAGCCCAGGAGTTTGAGAGCAGCCTGGGCAACATAGTGAGACCTGATCTCTACAAAAAATAAAACATTAGCTGGGCATGGTGATGTGCACCTGTGGTTCCAGGTACTTGGGAGGCAGAGGTGAGAGAATAATTTGAGCCTGGGAGGTCGAGGCTGCAGTGAGCCGCGCATGATCATTCCACTGCCTTCCAGCATGGGTGACAGAGCGAGGTCCTGTGTCAAAAATAAAAAATGACTGATGGAGACCTTTGCTATGATAAGTTACAGAGCATAAAGGGTGATTTGCATTGACAGGTTTTTTAAACCTGTCATTAAAATTGTATATGAAAACATGATGTAATTGTAGCAAATAAATGTAGAAAGAGAATATGGCAAGCCCGCAATTAATTATCTATGTATTTCTGTATAGCAAAACACTTATCATTATAATATGATTTAAATAGGCTATTCTTTGTAACTTATGACTTTTAAAATATCACTTGTTAATCTGTAGAGGATGTTAATATATTACTAACATGCTATTGTTTTTCTTTCTAGAGTATGCTTGTTTCACTTTAGATATATGGGGAAAAGAAACATAGCAAGGTAATTCCCATAGCACTGCAATTTCTACTTTTTCCTTCTCTTCCAACAGAGGGCAATCTTAGTCATGCCATGTAAAACCTAGGTTGCATACTTTGAGTTAACATTGGGATACCGGTGATTTAGTTAACATGTCCCAATTGAAAGTTTAAACGAATGGGAACTTTTACATTTTCAAGCTTCCCAAGGAGTGATGATTAAAGTGATATACAGAGTTTCTACCTTGTGAGATGCTTATCTTTTCTAAAGGAATCCAGAAGAGGCTAGATCCAGGGGAAGGCAGGAAATCATAAAGTGAGGACAACTGTAAGGTCTGTATTTTTGTCTGAAAACTATCAATACTCACCTCAGTTACTAAAGCAAATAGAAATCCCCAACAGCAATTGGGACATAAATGATACATTATCTATTTCCTCTTTTTGCCATGTAAGTCCTAGTGAAATAAATACTTAAGGAAATATTTGAGAGATTCTAAGGTGAAGAAGGTTACTTGCTTATTTCAATGAGATGTATTTTAGGGGTAGAGTTAGTCATTAAAGGAGCTCAAAAACAGTTTTAAAAAATGTTTAATTTTTAAGAGGCTGTGTGGATGGGGATTACTGTTCAGTCTCTGGAACGTCCTAAGGATAGGTAGTTTGGGTGGTGAGGGTTCCAATTTCAACCATGTTTTCCCATAAGTTGGAGCTGGTATGGCCATTGTTACCATGAACCTCAGTCTCTAGGATTCTGTCAACTCTCCCACTACGTTTACTAGAGGATAAACAAACTATTTCTTCCTTAGTCCATGTATGACCCAGTTGTAATTTTTTAAATGGAAACAACATTAAAGTAAAACAAAGAAAAGTTTGTTCATCTTAGCAATGGACATGCTTACAGAGTAAAAATTTCTAATCCAAACTTACCTCAGGTTCAGAAACAGATTAGATTGGCATTCATTCTTGAACATCTGGCTCTAGGAGTTTCCCCTCTCATTTCAACTCTTAGTGAACCTCTGGCTGTCTTCTTCCCACTCTTGCCCTTCCTCACCTCCTGTGAAAAGATTAAATCTTATTGGAGTGTTGGCCACTTATCTCTGATGTTTTTGAGAAGAAGGAGGGAAGTGGAAGCTCTTTCTAAATTCCTTAATTATATTCATATATGCTATTTTAAAGATACATTAAAACTTCATCCAGTTTCTAGTGACACTTCATTTAATCCTTGAGTGTACTACTATGTTTATGTGGAAACCTAATTTTTTTTAGTTAAAAAGATGATAACATTGAGATATGTTATTAGAGCACTCCAGTTCCTGACTTTAAAATTTATTTTAGGGTGCATGATGCCTGGCTGTCAAAACACTTCGGAATAGACCGAAAATCGCAAACCATGCCTGCTCTTCGAAACAGATCAGGAGTAATGCAGGCCCGGCTTCAGCATCTTAGTAGCCTAGAAAGTTCATTTACACTTAATCACAGTAAGTGAAAATGTGTGTGTGGTACCCATTTGACCTTAAAGAAGTCCTGGTTTAAATAATAAAAACTGAAGGTGATGGATACCATAAATACCTTGATCATTACACATTATATGCATGTAACAAAATATCACCTGTATCCCTTAAATATGTATGAAGAAAAGAAGTCCTGGTTTAAATTGCCAATATGATGGGAAATGATTTCCCATACATGTGTTTGCATCTCTCTGCTATGTATATAATCAATTTCATCATACATGACTATAAAATGATAAAATACACATGGATTTTTGAACAATTTTAGGTCATGATGTTTTCTTCTTAGTGTTAAAGAAACTAAATTTTTCCCATGGAATTGCTATTCTCATAATATTTTTATATTGAGTATTCTTCATTCCTACTGTTAGACTTCAATGCAAATATTGACATCTTAATATAATAGTATATGTAATATTTGTTTAGTTACTTTTGGTCATTTAATGATTAGGGAATGAACATGCTGAGTTGACTGCAGAAATCGGTGAATCCTAAATACTAGTTTGGCAAAGGTGTATTTCAGACAGGTTGAAGTATTGACAAGGCAAATAGGGCAAGGAGAGAAATCTTGCCCAACTGCGGAAGCTAGAGGGTTATATAAATGGAAGCTATCCTATGAAAAGCAAATATTAATAACAACTCAAAGAGTGAGAATGTTTTGTTTCCACACAGTCCTCTGAAGGTTTCAGAAAAGGAAGCCAGCAAAACTGGCTTTGTGGTAAGACCTAGTAATAAAAAATAATGTTTTGCTAGACCCTGAACTAATAGACTCAGGACCTTTAAATCTGCATGTTTTAAAGCCTTCAGCTTCTTGTAAAAATATGATGAACCACTTCCTTCAGTTGCCTCCAAGATACCTTGTTTTCCTTCTGATTTAGAAACAAATGTCATATAATTGGCATAATTGAAAATGTCTGACCATAGGGCACTACTGTTTATCTGTAGCTGAATTTCTATTTAGTGGTTTCTCATTTTTACCCACATAATTAGTGGCATGACTTAGAAGGCCTCCCACATTATTTCCTAGTTACATCGCCAGAGTTCATCACTGAAACCTTGTCTCCAAAGAGGTGGGCACCTAATTATGTCCTGCAGAGCTGTTGATACAGAACTGTAATGAAAACTAATGAAATTGATTAACCCAGACTATATTTGATGAAGGAGTTAAATACAGTATGACACTGTGAGCCCTCTTTTTTTTGAGACGGAGTCTCACTCTGTCACCCAGGTTGGAGTGCAGTGACGTGATCTCGGCTCGCTGCAACCTCTGCCTCCCGGGTTCAAGTGATTCTCCTGCCTCAGCCTCCTGAGTAGCTGGGATTGTAGGTACGTGCCACCATGCCCGGCTAATTTTTTGTATTTTTAGTAGAGACAGGTTTCATCATGCTAGCCAGGCTGGTCTTGAACTGACCTCATGATCTGTCCGCCTCAGCCTCCCAAAGTGCTGGGATTACAGGCATGAGCCACCGCACCCAGCCGAGCCCCCTTTCTTGTCTTAAGTCTTTGGGTAGAAAGTCATTCAACACCATTATGTGCATCTTCGTGTTGGGAAAAGTTTAATTTACTTTTTTAATCCTAGGTTCTACAACAACTGAAGCAGACATTTTCCACCAGGCACTTCTTGAAGGCAATACAGCTACTGAAGTTTCCCTAACAGTACTAGACACCATATCATTTTTCACTCAGTGCTTCAAGGTAAAAATGAAGAGTTATAATTCAGTTGGTACCATTGCAAAGTAACATTATGCAGAAATTACCTAGTCAATGTGGGGTAGTACACTGAAAAAGGCTGGCATGAATAGTCAGGAAATGTGGATGGCAGTTCTAGTTTGGTTATCATGTGACCCTGGAAGTCACTGAGACTCACTTGTGTCATCCATAAAGGGAAGGGAGTGGACTAACTTGCCCTTAAGCTCTCTTCTACCTCTTAAATTCTATTAGATTTTCGTATTTAAAAACAAAGTTTCCATACTTTAAGTAGCCAGCAATTTTTAGCCCAAAATATGATTGGATCTGTTTGCCCAAATACCCATTGTGATGAGATGTCCTGTCAGGGTAGATGATGTCCGGGCAGTCTGGCTGGCTTCCCTAGGCGCGCACTTAGTGTTTTTTCTCAGATGTTTGCCTCTCAGTGCAAATCATCATTGCTATGATTTTAAAAAGAAGGTAAAAGCAGTTATCTAGCAGGATTATTGGAGGGGGAAATGGGATAATGGACGTGAGAGTGCTTTGAAAAGTAAAAACGGTGTGACCATAATGTAAGAACTCAAAGGTGAAAATCTTGCTTGCTTTCACTTCAGTTATACAGATTTTTTTTTTCCTTTTTCCCCTCTTCTCTAAGTAATTAAGTTAATTGCTTCAGACCTCGAGATTTTCTATGGAAACCTGGCCTGTGCTTTTCAAAGAGGCTTATAAAGGAAAATTGAATTAGATACTAATATAAAATAGGCTGCAGAATACCTTTAATAAATAGGCTACAGATCCCTTTATGAAGTATTAGGTTTGTTCTATATTAAAATGCAACACAACTCCATGTTTCATCGTGCCAATAACTAAGAAAGCCATTAGATCTCATGATGTACATTGTATTCCTTCCTCCTATTCTGATACCTCTAATTTATTTAACAAACATTTATATAGTCTCTTGGTAGATATCAGGCACTGTCCTAAGTGCTTTACAAATATTAACTCACTTTTTCATTGTGAGGCTGGGAATGAGAAAGGGGAGTGATCTTTTTGAAACAATGGAAATGTTCTAAAATTGGATTGCGGTGGTCACCCAACTCTGTTGCCGAATTTACTAAATGTAATTTAATTGTATACCTGAAACTGGTGAATTTTATGGTTTGTAAATTATATCTCAATAACTTAAAAATACAAATATGAACTCACTTTTAATCCTCATAATAGCCTTATGATGTAGATACTGTTATTATTCCCTTTTGATAATGGGGAAACTGGGGCCCACAGGAGGTTAATGTCAAATAGCTGGGCAGTGGCAGAATCAGGATTGAGATCTAGGCCAGTTATAAGAGACCATGATTCTAGCCACTATACCATGCCTTGAAATATACTAAGGAAAGTGCCAGAAAAATCAAACACCATTCAGGGATTCTGGCTGTCAGTATTATCATTAGATTGTTGTTGTTTTGGGTTTTGTTGGTTTTGGCCAAGCTGTAACCTGCTGGTTACTTTCTTGAGGGTTAGCAGGATAGGGCTGGAGAAATTAACCATTGCTGATTAAAACAAAGTTGACAAACTAAAAGGTATTTCTCTACAATTTGTTGTTTCTTTGCAAGGGACATTTAAACAATTTACATAGTCTGTTCAATTGTGATACCTGTTAATTATCTCTACTCATAGAGGGCTTATTTTTTCACAAATGGCTAACCATATACTAAACATACTTTTAAAGTAAATTAGATCATAATCTAATAAAATAGAACTGGTATTTTCCTTCATTCATACATTACAATATTTAGTCTCTCAGAAATACAAAGGCTGATTTGCTTGTATTCATTATTAATTTATTGATTTCTTAATTGAGAAGCAATATGGTATAGGTTAATAGAAAATACTCTTCCCATACTAGTCCTGTATATTGCTGTGTTGCATTGAAAAAAAATCTACCTGTTTAAAATGTTGGGATTAAATATTTTAGATATCATGTATGTAGTAGTTGTTTGAGATTTCCAAGTTGAAAGATGGCACAAATATTTTGAAATTATATGCAAGAGCCTTTTATTTTCCTGAAACTTCCAAACAGTGGTTTCATAAACAGGTATTGGTGAAATCAGTTCTGTCATTCTCAGTGGGGCATAAACCATATTTTTTAATGTTTTATAGACCCAACTTTTAAATAATGATGGCCATAACCCATTAATGAAAAAAGTGTTTGATATACATCTTGCTTTTCTTAAAAATGGACAATCTGAAGTGTCGCTGAAACATGTATTTGCCTCACTGAGAGCTTTCATCAGTAAGGTAAGGACAGAAGCTTGGGAGCAGCCGGTGGGCTCTCTTCATTGCAAAAAGGAAAGATGGGACAATGGGGGTCATTGTGGTGACATATACAATGCCAGCTCATGAAGCCATTAAGTACTGCCTTTGTAAATAGAAATACAGAACAACAAAGCACACACAGAGGGCCTACCATGAACCCCCTCAAATCAGAAGCTACTTTTTATTTCACCCCATCATACCTTCCCTTTTCCATTAAGCTCCTTTGAAGAATATCGTTTTAAAATTACCAAACCTGCCAGTTCTCTATTTTGCTTCTTTTTAAAAGTATTGTCATGTTGGAGGTATATAAGCCATGAGTGCACTCATGTCTAAACACTTTGAAAGGATCCAACTTTTGTAATCCCAGGGTCTTGTATAATATCTTGGAAATGGTAAGCACTCAGTACATGTTCAAATGGATGAATCCTGCCTTTCAATGCTAGCCATAACTGAGGGCCCTAAATGTGCAGTCCACTTACCTCAGCTAAACAATAACCTCAGACTTGGCTTTTAGGAAGAAATATGACTGAAACAGACAGCAAAGATTTATTTTCTGTGCTCAGGGGCTTTTTAAACTTAAGAATAAACATAATTAACCAAGATAGAGCCAAGGTTATGGAAAGGCACAGTCCAGATCTTCCACTGGTTTATGTAACTACAATAAGACAAAGAAATTCAGTTTCTTTATTTGTGTAATAGGCTAGCTAAGCTTTGAAAACTTTTTGCCATCCTCATTATTTAGATAGCAGCCAATTGTGTTTAATAGATACAGAAATTAGATGAATTTGAAGCTTTTTATTGCCATTCTTTAATATAATTTATGAATTAATCTATGGGAAGCCAAGTTCAACACAAGCATGTTACAAAAACTAAGGGAAAGAGATTCAGAACTAATTCATTTAACAAAAACTGTAGGTACTTACTGGATATAGTCCCTAAAGGCTTATTGTCCAGTAGAGGGAGGCACACACACATCAAGATACACATACACAGAAACAAATACCATCAGGATAAAATAAGTCTGTATAGACCTCTGGGGGTGAGCAGGAGAAGAACTCTAATTTAGCAAAAGTTTTTCTGCAGCAACGGAGCTAGGATTTAATATGGATTCACCAAGAGATGAAACTAAAGATGTAAATGGAGTACAGATCATGTGGACTCATCTTAAGAGTTGGATTTCATCTTTCAGGCATCAGGTAGTCATGGAAGGGTTTTAAGCAGGGAAGTAACACAATTATATTTGTATTAAGAGGGAATTGGTAAGGACTGGGGAAAATCTCTTTAAAAGTTGTGTTGAAGAAGGATTGGTGACAATGTCAAAGGCAGTAAAAAGACTAGTTGCAGTAAGCTAGATAAGAAATGAGGGCCTGAAGTAAGGCAGTGACAGTGGATATATGAAGGATCAAAGGCAGATGAGACATGTTGAAAAAGGATTTACAGGATTTGATCATCAGTCCACTGACAGTATGGTGGAGTGTGGTGGTTGATGTGAAATACAGGGGAAAGACTACATTTGCAGTAAAAGTTAATGAGTCCTGTTGAATTTGAGTGCCTTTGGGACATTAGGATATATGGATCTTTGCTCTGGAGAGGGATCAGATTGGAGAGCCAGAGTTGGAGTCATTCTCCATTCATCCATACTATATTTATTGAGGACCTTCTCTGTGTCAAGTGCTGTACTAGGTCCTGTAGATACAATGGAGATACAAAATAAATATACTCTTTGCCCTCATGAAGCGTTCAGTCTTAGTGGGGATAGGGGAGACAGAAAATAAATAATAAAAGAATTAGTAATCATGAGCCGGGCGCAGTGGTTCACGCCTATAATCCCAGCACTTTGGGAGGCCGAGGCGGGCAGATCACCTGAGGTCAGGAGTTTGACACCAGCCTGACCAACATGGCGAAACCCCATCTCTACTAAAAATACAAAAATTAGCCGGGCGTGGTGGCGGGTGCCTGTAATCCCAGCTACTCAGGAGGCGGAGGTTGCAGTGAGCCAAGATCGCGCCACTGCACTCCAGCCTGGGTGACAGGGCAAGATTTCGTCTCAAAAAAAAGAATTCATAATTATTATATGTTCTAGGAAGGAAACAAACAGTGTACTGAGACAGTAAATGATTTGTGGGAGATAATCTTATCTTAGATAGGTTTGTCACTTTTAAAATGAGACCTGAATCTGTAATCCCAGCACTTTGGGAGGCTGAGGCGGGCAGATCACGAAGTCAGGAGTTCGAGACCAGCTTGGCCAACATAGTGAAACCCTGTCTCTAGTTAAAAAAAAAAAAAAAAAAAAATTAGCTGGGCATGGTGGCAGGTGCCTGTAGTCCCAGCTACACGGGAGGCTGAGGCAGGAGAATCACTTGAACCCGGGAGGCAGAGGTTGCAGTGAGCCGAGATCGCGCCATTGCGCTCCAGCTTGGGCAACAGAGCGAGACTTCGTCAAAAAAAAAAAAAAAAAAAAAAACACAACAACAACAACAAAAAAACAGAGAGACCTGAATTATTGAAAAGGGGCCAGCTGTAAAAAGAGCTTAAAGAAGAACTATCTAGGGAGAATGACATACATGTGCCAAGGCTCTGAGTTGGGAAACAGTTTGCAGTATTCTGAGAACTAAAAGGCTGGTATTTTTGGAGCATAGTGAACTAGCGGGAGCATCAACATACAAGTGGTAGTTGAAGCCATGGGAGTGGTTTGATTTTCCCTGGAGGGTACATTGAAGAAGAAGAATAACAACAACAACAAAAAAAATCAGGAGCAGAACATTGGAGAGAAACAACGTAGAAGGGAGGTTCAAAGACGAATCTGTAAGGGAGATGAGAGGGAGCAGTCACAGAGGTGGGAAGAAAGGTAAGAAAGAAGGATATCATGGAAGCCAAAGAAGGAAAGAGTTCCAACATTGTCATGACGTATACGGAGTAGTCAAATAAGAAAGGAGAAAAGAGGTCTGTTAGAATTGGCAATTAGGTCATTGATGATTTTAGCCATTGCCCACTCAGAGAAGTGAGTGATGTGGGTAGAAGACTTAGTGTAGTGATGAGCTACACTATAGCTATGATCTCCCTTAAATGTTTATTTTCATACCAGAGTATCTGCTTCATCCAGAGTTAGTTTAGTTTGGTGAAATTATTAGCGAGATTTCCCAATTCCCAATCAGAAAACATTTATTAAGCATTCATTATCTGCATAGAATTACACTTGGTATTAAGGTGAAATAAAGGGTAGATTCCTATATGTGGGTCTAAATTCAAGGTTCCTAAGAAATAATTTTTAAAAGATGTCCCTCTAGCTTCACTCTCTGAAAAACATCTATTGTGTATCCTGAAGCAGCTTGTTATTTGCTTGCCTAGACCTAAAAGCATGGGAAATTGTAACAAGTCTGTTACCTGTATATTGTGTCTTCCACAAAGCAGACTGAATACATTCTTAAAGGAACAGGCCACTTGTCTCTTTTGATAATTAGTCACTTTCTTACTCCTTTTCTATGCTAAAATGTATCTTAACTATCAGTGTTTATGTGAAGAGGATATGTGTGTGTGTGTGTGTGTGTGTGTGTGTGTGTGTGTGTGTGTGTGTGTATCTCCTATATCCCATTTGTTAAAAGATGAACTTCACTTGCTGAGTAGATTTTAGCTATAATTTTCTCAGCACGTTGATGTTCACAATAAAGGAACTGTTGAAATATAAAGCAAAAGAGTAAGTAATGAAAATTGACCTTCCCATTTTTAAGCCCCCATTTGAGACCCATCATTCATCATTTCAGGCATTCTTTCAAAACATATTGAGAACCTGCTTACTGTATTATGGCGGTGCAAAAGTAATTGCTACTATATCACTATATAGTGGCAAAAACCGCAATTACTTTTATATATATTATATTATTATATAATATATTATATAATAATATAATATATAATATAATATTATATATTATATATGTTATTATATATTAATATAATATATTAACATATAATATATCTTATATATTAATATATAAATATAATATATAAGATATATTATATGTTAATATATTATATGTTTATATATTATATATTAATAATTATTATATAATATTATATTATAATATAATATATAATAATATAATATATAATAATTAATATAATATAATATAATATATAATAATATATAATATATTATAATATATAATAATATATAATATATTATAATATATAATAATATATATTATATTATTATAATATAATATTTAATATATATTATAATATAATATTTAATAACATGTAATATATAATATTTAATAATATATCATGTATTATATATTATAATATTATATATAATAAATAATATATTTTATAATATATAATAATATATAATATATAATTATATATAATATATAATAATATATAATATATTATTATAATATATAATATAAATTATAATATTATATAATAATATAATATATAATATATAATATAAATTGTAATATATATAATATAAATTGTAATATTATACAATATAATATATAAATTGTAATATTATATAATATAATATATAAATTAATATATAATAATATAATATATAATATAATAGTAATATATAATAATATAATATATAATATTATAATATTATATAATAATATAATATATATATAAAAGTAATTGCGGTTTTTGCCACTATATAGTGATATAGTGGCAATTACTTTTGCACCGCCATAATACAGTAAGCAGGTTCTCAATATGTTTTGAAAGAATGCCTGAAATGATGAATGATGGGTCTCAAATGGGGGCTTAAAAATGGGAAGGTCAATTTTCATTACTTACTCTTTTGCTTTATATTTCAACAGTTCCTTTATTGTGAACATCAACGTGCTGAGACAATATATTATTATATAATAATATATTATATTGATATGTTAATATATTAATATGTAATATATATATATTTATATATTTATATATAACATAAATTATATATATTATATACATATATATAAATATATAATATATATAATATATTAATATATAATATATAATACATATATAATATATAATAGATATAATATAATACTATAATATGTTGCAGACTCTCGAGCTCTTCTCAGATCTATAGCATTTATATTCAGTACTTCTACATCTTTGTAATAACTTATATACTGACTTAAGTTCTATTATTATCACATGCTGGTGTTTATGTTAACTAGTTCAGGCTCTCTGGAGAGCAGAGCCTGCCTTATGTTGATTTTGTATCCTCAAAGCCCCCAGCATAGTTTTAGGTGAGGATATAGAGGGCACTTGATATTCTATTGATTTTATGATTGGATTTTAAATACTTATTTCTGTTTTCCCTGTTCTTTAGTTTCCTTCAGCATTTTTCAAAGGAAGAGTAAACATGTGTGCTGCATTTTGCTATGAGGTTTTAAAGTGCTGCACATCGAAGATTAGCTCAACCAGGAATGAAGCATCTGCACTTTTGTATCTTTTGATGAGAAACAACTTTGAGTATACCAAAAGGAAAACCTTTTTGAGGACACATCTACAGGTCAGTGAAAATAAAAGCGCCTCTTCATCTTTCTTCTCTTCAATCTTTAACCTCTAGATCAAGATCCAGAGCCACCCAATCCAGTCCAATACAATGTGGCCATCTAGCACTTGATGTGTGGCTAGTCTAAATTTAGATGTTCTGAAAGTGTAAAATATACTATGGCTTTTGAAGACTAAGTATGAAAAAAATAGAAGATCTCAATTGTTTTATATTGATTATATGTTGAAATGATATGTTGCCTGTATTAGGTTAAGTATATTAAAATAAGTCTCTTTTTAGTGTGGCTACTAGGTAATTGATAATTACGTATGTGGCATGTGTCATATTTCTATGGAATAGAGCTGCTCCTGAGCAGAGAAGAGCATAGGCTTTATTTCAAATTTTATTTTATTTTATTTTATTTTTTGAGACGGAGTCTCGCCCTGTCACCCAGGCTGGAGTGCTGTGGCATGATCTCGGCTCACTGCAACCTCCACCTCCCGGGCTCAAGTGATTCTCCTGCCTCAGCCTCCCAAGTAGGATTACAGGCATGCACCACTATGCCCAGCTAATTTTTGTATTTTTAGTAGAGACGGGGTTTCACCATGTTGGCCAGGCTGGTCTCAAACTCCTGACCTCAGGTGATCCACCCACCTTAACCTCCCAAAGTGCTGCGATTACAAGCATGAGCCACCGTGCCCAGTCTCTAGTTTAAATTTGAGGACTGCCACATACTATGTGACCTGGAGCAAGTTACTTCCTTAGCCTCTCAGTGCCTCAGTTTCTGCAAATCTGGTGGGGTAAATATTGTTACCTAGCTCATAGGATTTTTATGAGGATTAAATGAGATGATTAAATAACAAGCTTGTTAGATTTTACAGAACAGATAACACAGTTTATGTTTTTCATGCTCCAGTATGCCCACTTATTTTAAAAATGAGAGATGTGTCAAGGTTTAGTGGAAAGCATTGACTTTGGAATCAGGCCTACCTGCACTTAAATCATAGCTTAAATCCTTACATGCCCTGTGACCCTAAGCAAGTCACTCAATCTGACTGAACCTGTTCCCTTATTTGTGAAATGAGACTGAGTATTTCACTTTGCAGAGTTACCCTGAGGATTAAAATAAGGCGTGTATAGTGCCTATAGTGCCTGACACAATGTGTAGCACAAGATAGATACTTCCTACATGATAGTTATTATTCAACATCTCCATACTTTTGGGTTTATTGGATGAAATAGCTCTGAACTAAACCACAATTGGGACTGCTTGACTCAGTAGCCTTCATTGTAATATGGGAAATCCTTGGTCCTATTTATATCTTTACTGTCATGGTCTGTCCCATTAGAGTTGTTTACTGGAGATAAGATTATTAGTGGGGAAACAACCATAAGCAGCTTGTTGAAAAATGTCATCAATAATGTGAAAATCTAATAGGAATACTGTGTATGCTTCCTGTAAAAGTCTGCTATATAATTACTTTTGCATGTTAGAGTCAGCCATCATTACACATTAGGTCCTTTACTATTTGCTTTTATATGAGATGGCATTTGGAAACCCACCTTCCCCTAGAACATTGTTCTAATTTGTGTGCCAATATACCTGAAATTCCCCCATTGGTATTGATTCTTCTGGGTCAAAGCATCAGTTTTCTTTAAGTCTTTTATTCAAATATAGACAAATTAATAAATATGAAGACTTAGAACACTGTCTGGCACATAATAAGTGCTCAATAAAGGATTAACTAGTACTCTAATGGTTATGATCTCTTTCATCCTCTACAAAGTAGGGATTTTTATCATAGGCATTTTACAGATGAGAAACATGAGGCACAGAAAGGTTAAATAGCTTTTCCAAAGCCACACAGTGAATTATTGATAAAGTCAAGATTTGTATCTAAGGCATTCAACTCTAGAGCCCATACACATGGCTATTACTGTATCTTGCTTCCTAGGACCAGTGGTAAAGCATCCAGCCATTAACATCTTAGTATGAATTGTTTTGGCATTCACCCAAGGGAGACTGAGAGATTTAAAAGTCCCATCAAAGACAGTGGTTCATGCCTGTAATCCTAGCACTTTGGGCGGCATAAGTGGGTGGATCACTTGAGCCCAGGAGCTCGAGACCAGCCTAGGCAACATGGCAAAATCCTGTCCCTACAAAAATATAAAAAATTAGTTAGGTGTGGTGGCACACATCTGTAGTCCCAGCTACTTGGGAGGCTGAGGTGGGAGGATCACCTGAGCCTGGGAGGTTGAGGCTGCAGTGAACCAGTGAACCAAGACCGTACCACTGCATTCCAGCCTGGGCAATAGAGTGAGACCCTGTCCCAAAAAATAAGAAGTACCATCAAAGTCCATTCCATAAACTTCTGTTAAACTAGGTAAACCCTGGTCAAAAACAAAGAAAGTTGCTGAGGCACTGGACTTGGAAGTCCAGCCAACTAAAATAGACTAGTGAAAAGGAATGAGAAATCATCAAAGAAAAACATGATTTATTCTCACCTTTGCCACAGCTACAACCTAGAAAGCATATTTAAAATGGAGACCTGACTACCATTGTATCAGTTCACTATTATGAAAATAGTTTTAGATCTGGCTATGCTATGAGTTTTGAAAAATTGTTTACGTCTAACCAAGAAAGATCCTTTAAAATTTGAAATAGGGCCTTTCAAGTTACTATTTCAGCAGAAGAATGTAAACCCCTCATGTATGAAGGGTACATTATGATGGTACAGTGTAGAATCTTTAAAAGAAGCATTTCATGTGAGTGCTTATATACTTATAAAATGATGAGCATAGACAGCATTTGTTCAAAAGTTATTTGGAAAATAATATTTACTTCTTCCCACAGATAATAATTGCTGTAAGCCAACTGATAGCTGATGTAGCACTAAGCGGAGGATCAAGATTTCAGGAGTCTTTATTCATTATCAATAATTTTGCAAATAGTGACAGACCTATGAAGGTATGTTCTCATTTCAGATAATAAATTAGAACCACCTTTGCTATCAGGGAAGTTTAAACTCTTAAACTGTCATTGGATTCACAACTTTTGTTAGTATAGAATGTACGGAATGTGAGTTTTATGAGTTAAGGGCTTTGTCTTATACATCACTATATCTCTAGTACCTAGAACACTGCCTGGTACATAGCATATATTCAATATCAGTTTAGTGGATGGATGAATGAATATACTATGTATTCATAGTTGTTATGGCAAGTCGAATCTGAATTTTTTTTTTCTGGGCTTCATTTCCAAACTTGCTCAGAAAATACATAGATCCTTTATTTCTTAACAATTGTCACCACTTTTAATATTGGTTAAAAAAGCACTGAATTTGAAATTTCACAAAATTTCACTTAGAATAGCTAACAGTTGCCTGATCCATTGCCAATGGATGAGAAATGGCACAGAAGGGATTCATTATTTGATGGTTTTGTGAGTTTTGAAAATTATCTGTTAACACCAAGGCTGTCACTCTTAAGCACCATTTTGCTGAGGCCAAACCCAAGACTCTGACCACTGTTCCACTTTCTTTCCTATATGCTTAAAACTTATAGCACTGTAAAAATTCATCTGTTGCTTTGTTGCGTAGAGTGCAGGTTCTGATCTTCAGTGACACATGTATACAAGGGAAGAAGAATCCTTTGCCAATAGGACTTTTCCTCCCAGAAGAATGAATCATCCCCATTCTTGGGAAAGGTCATCTTCCAGCACAGTTTGACAACATTGTGTAAAATCTGAAAAAGATTAAAAGCTCATAGTCACAGCATATTTGATGTTTGGATGTGTAGAATCTAAGTACCAAAAAATATTCCCATAGGAATGTTGCTTGTACTGAAAAATAACAGCGTGTAGTGCCAGCCGCTCTCAGGCTGGGAAAGTTTGCTTTCCAGCCAGTTCTACTAGTTCCGCAGGGGATCAGTATATGCTCCAGCTAATCTTGTGAGCATAGAAACAAGTTACACCACTTATGCTTATACTCTAAGGAATTGTTTTTACCAGTTGTTACCATCCTTAGTACTATGTTATATAGGTAGATTGGTAAGTTTTTCTAGGTAAATGGGGCTTGTATATTCTCTCCTTGATAGGAAATCTTTTTCTTTTCCATATCTCATTTATGAAATGACTTAGTTTTATTCTGTTATGGCAGTCATTACCAACAAACCCTATTACGAAAAGATACAGCTTTCCCCTGGTAAATGGGATCTCTATTAATGTATAGAAAGGAACTTTATGTATATAATTATTATTTTTAAAGGGAGTCAAAGCCAGGTAGGTATTTTTTATTTCTATTGTATTTATTTATTTACTTAGAGACGGAGTTTCACTCTTGTTGCCCAGGCTGGAGTGCAATGGCCCGATCTTGGCTCACTGCAACCTCCACCTCCCAGGTTCAAGTGATTTTCCTGCCTCAGCCTCCCGAGTAGCTGGGATTACAGGTGCCTGCCACCACGCCTGGGTAATTTTTTATATTTTTAATAGAAATGGGATTTCACCATGTTGGCCAGGCTGGTCTCGAACTCCTGATCTCAGGTGGTCCTCTTGCCTCGGCCTCCCAAAGTGCTGGGATTACAGTCATGAGCCACTGCTCCCGGCCAAGAAGGCAGTGTTTCAAACCATTTCCCCCACATATTGTGTTTATAT
Organism: Homo sapiens; assembly: GCF_000001405.40. Lineage (NCBI taxonomy): Eukaryota > Metazoa > Chordata > Mammalia > Primates > Hominidae > Homo > Homo sapiens. The sequence continues at coordinate 118,653,761 of NC_000023.11, forward strand.
TGACAAGCTCCCTAACCCCTGTACCTGTCTCTTCCTCATCATCTCTGAATCATATAGATAATTGTGATTACTCCTGTGGGGGTTAAGAGGATGCAATAGGACTTCCTTAGCAGTGGCTAGGGTAAAGAGGAAACTCTGGTATTCTTGGTGCCAAAAACAAACTTTGAAAGCTTAATGATCTCTCTAAACTTTCTGGAACGTTCTGTGATTCATGACCTCCCATTTGTGTAAACAGAAATTTCTGCAGTATGGTTTTCACCTTAGTGTATGTGGTAGTTAGTGGATGGAGTAGGCATGCTTATCAGAATGGAAGAGTGGCCAAGAGCACCAGCTCTAGGGCCAGACTGCCTGGGTGAAAATCCTGTCTCTAACATTTACCAATTTTGAGACTTTGGTCGAGCATTTAAACACTTTTTTATAATAGTGCTTAACTCATAGGGTTGTCGTAAAAATTAAAACATGTAAAGAACCCAGACTAGTGCTTGGCACATAGTAAGCTATTAGTTTTTAGTTACTGTTACAAGAAAACGGCAAACAAAGATCACTCCCATGGCTGTGCAATTCACAATGGAGGATCTGGGATTCAAAGCCAGGTAGTCTGGCTCCAGAGCTAATGCTTTTATGTCCTGTGAATGTACTGCCACCAAGGTTAGAGCCTTTGAAGCCTGGGCTAGTTACATATTTAAAAAATAATTTATTTAAAATTATTTCAGTGTACTATATGCAATACCAAGAACTGTAACAGGAAGTGAAAATCATATGTCCTCAGCATTGGATGACAAGCCTTAGAGCACATCGATATTGTTGTTCAACTTGTCTTTTTTGTTTGTTTTGAAATTAGGCAACTGCCTTTCCCGCAGAAGTCAAAGACTTGACCAAGAGAATCCGCACTGTTCTTATGGCCACTGCCCAAATGAAGGAGCATGAGAAAGACCCTGAAATGCTAATTGATCTCCAGTATAGCTTAGCCAAGTCCTATGCAAGCACCCCAGAGCTCAGGAAAACCTGGCTTGATAGCATGGCCAAGATTCATGTAAAAAATGGAGATTTTTCAGAGGTGACTACTTAAAGTTTTGTTCTAAACAGCCCTTCAAAACACCTTGAGCATGTTCTGACAGTTCTTTCTCTGTCATCCTTTTTCAGGCTGCGATGTGTTATGTCCATGTAGCAGCTCTAGTTGCAGAGTTTCTTCATCGAAAAAGTAAGATATTTCTGTTTTTAGAGATGGGGGGATTTTCATTTAGCATAATAGTTTTTTATCTTTGTAGTTTAGCTATGAATATGATATAATAGAACACTGAAAAATATGTTCACCCTTGGCCTTATTCAGTGTTAAAAATAAGCTGTTATAAAAGAAGACTGGATTGTTTGTTGTCCCTTCTGCTTTCATTAGAGATTACAAGAAAAGTTAAATAGTACAGGGTGGCCAGGTGCAGTGGCTCTTGCCTGTAATCCCAGTGCTTTGGGAGGCCAAGGCTGGAGGATTGCTTGAGGCCAGGAGTTTGAGACCAGCCTGGGCAACAGAGTGTGATCCTGTACCTATTTTAAAATAAAATATAAAATATAAAAAAAAAATAGTACAGGGCCAGGCCTGATGCCCAGTGTTTATTTTCCAAGACTGTCCCTCCCTGGAAGACTGCCACAAATTAAACTCTTCTCAAGGCTCAAGTCGGGATAACACAGATTATTTGTTTCCCCGTCATGTGTCTTAACATCACCAAACTGCCCATAGACTATGTCTCTCCAGCCACTTTAGTGCAGTGATACCTGGGTACTAAAAGGGAGTCATACTCTTGAAGGGCTTTAGGTCCAGCAGCCCTGGATTCCTAATTTAAGATTCCTAATTCAGGAAATCTACTTGGAAGTGTCCCTTTCCATAAACAGTATTGTTGGCTACTGCTCAACAGTATTGTTGAACAAACTGCATCTGCTCAAATAGTAACCCAGTTGAGTTAGGTTTAAACATTGATTGGCAATGGAGCTGGCAACCAAGAAATCTCTATCTCAATGTCCAAGCTACTTCCTTTAAGGCAGTGGAATGAGTAACAATACGGCAAAATGAAACCAACTTATTAAAGGAGTCATATCACTCTGGCTTCAGCTGTACGAACACAACCATATTTTGTTTTATTTTTTAATTACAGAATTCCTACAGTTAACTGTATATCTATCATTTCACACTGAGGCTCAGTGTTTGATTGCCTCATATAACACCCATGTGGAGAATCTTTTTCTAAAAAGATTCTTGGCCGAGTGTGGTGACTCAGACCTGTAATGTCAACACTTTGGGAGGCATGGGTAGGTGGATCACTTGAGCCCAGGAATTTGAGACCAGCCTTGGCAGGAATGGTGAAACCCCATCTCTACAAAAAATACAAAAATTAGCTGGGCATGGTGTCACATGCCTGTGGTTCCAGCTACGAAGGAGGGTGAGGTAGGATCATAGCTTGAGCCCAGGACACTGCACTTCAACCTGGGTGACAGGACAAGACCCTGTCTCAAAAAATAATAAATAAATAAATAAATAAATAAATGAATAAATAAATTTTTTAAAAAAGATTCTTCTTAAGTAAAATGTAGATTCATTTTACTTATATTTTAAATTAACACTTTCTGTCTGACTCTGGAATTCTTTTGAATAATCTATGTGTTTGATATACTTTAGTTTTCTCCTTTTAGTATACATATGTGAGTTTTAAACAGAGAAGGAGATTAATTACCAAAATAAGGCCCCATTTGAGGGTTTTTTTAAAAATCACTGGTATGCATATGAAATCACAGTATAAGTAAATATTGAAATTACACACCTGAAATTCCAAATAAACTGACAAGATATGAGAACCTTAAACGGAGTACCGTGATTTCAAGTATGTCTTCAGAGAAATAGATTAATATTATCTCATCTTTTTAATTAGAAATCTGGCCAGGCATGGTGGCTCACGCCTATAATCCCAGCACTTTGGGAGGCCAAGGTAGGTGATCACCTGAGGTCAGGAGTTCAAGACCACCCTAGACAACATGGTGAAACTCCGGACGTTGTGGCACACACGTGTAATCCCAACTACTCAGAAGGCTGAGGCAGGAGCGCTTGAACCCAGGAGGCGGAGGTTGCAGTGAGCCAAGATCACGCCACTGCACTCCAGCCTGGGCAATGAGAACAAAACTCCATCTAAATAATAATAATAGCAGTAGAAATCTGAAGATTTTTATGTCCACTAAGTCTAAAACTGTACTTTTTAGACTTTGAAAATAGTTAATTATATTAAAACTATTTCCTGGAATGTTTTTGTTTTTTTCACAAGTGCAGAGACATTAAAGCTAAGCAAAAATCAAGAATTATTTGTCTTTATTATCAGTCCTTAAGCTTTAGAAATATAATTTCTTGCTATGGTTTTTCTGGATATTAGCATGGGGCAGCTAGCATAAACACCAAACTGATACATTTCAGGAAGTGGAAATAATATTTTCAACTAGCCATTTATATATTTCATAATACCCTCAAGGTTTCTTAGAATTTATTCTTCATAGAAATCAAAGCACTCTTCACTAATGAGGAGAAAATGTTGTTTTGAATGTTAAAAAAAATGATGTTTAAGAGAATTTACATATTTATTTATAGGTGTCATCTATTTTTAAATTTCTTTTAATTAAATTTTATTTTATTTTAAGTTCTGGGATACATGTGCAGGATGTGCAGGTTTGTTACATAGGTAAACATGTGCCATGGTGGTTTGCTGATGCCATCTATTTTTAAACCTGGAAAATTCTATTTGCCTAAATTAGAAAACCTTATTCTAAAATAGTGGTAGTAGTAAAAGTCCTCAGGGTTTTCCCCACTTAGCTTCAGTGATCCAAAACACCTTTTTTTTCTTAATTAGCTGATTCAACTATGCTAGCTATACCGAGGTCGACTACCAATTTAAAACACAAGTTAAAAACGTAAACTGAGTATTATTCTAAGTGAACTAACTCAGGAATGGAAACCAAATATTGTATGTTCTTGCTTATAAGTGGGAGCTAAGCTATGAGGATTTAAAGGCATAAGAATGATATAATGGACTTTGGGGACTGGGGGTGGGGGCCAGGGAGGAATTAAAGACTACACATTGGGTACTGCTCGGGTGACAGGTACACCAAAATCTCAGAAATTACTGCTAAAGGACTTATCCATGTAACAAAAAATCACCTCTTCCTCCAAAACTATTTTTTTTAAAAAACCTGTAATCTGTTAACCTCCCATCCATTCTGAGAAAGCATTAGTGAGCTTTTTGAAGTCTAGATAAGACCCGGCAGTTGACAGAGTAAATGAAAATACATTTGAGTGCAGAACTGAAAAAAAATCATTGAATTTACACTTAAGACCAACGTATTTGACAAAGATAATTGGGCACCTTTAGAACTCTTTGTTTTCTATCATTAAGTGCCCTTTGATAATGAAGCCAAGAGGGAAGGAGCATTAGAGTATATTTTAAATCCCTGATACATATCCATTGCCAAAAATGTTTTGTTTTCTCTAATTCCTAACCAGTTTCTCTTGAAGTACATTATAAAACATTTTTAAATCAAGATGGAATAAAATACTACTCATCAGTTGACACATTGGAAGCAGATGTTCTACTGTGTAGCGTTTTTAAGGAAAAAAAATACTTTGCCCTATTGGATCATTGCCTAAGCAGGGAAGGGCTTAGGGGCCCTTGCCCCTCAAAGGTGACTGCACAGCACCCACAAGGGACCATTTCCAGATCCTTTTCTTCACTGTGTCAGGCACTGAATTGACAGGAAAAGGGAAAGGAGGTATGCAGTACTCCCTGCCCCCACCCTCACCCTACCCTCAAACTTCTTTCAGGCAGCCTGAGCTCTTGCTTGTTCTACCAAAGAGACTTAAGGATCACTATTCTCTTCCCTTTATTGAAGGCACCTCAAAGTGATAATACTGAGTGTCAGCTATTCTCCTTCCTCCCAAAAAATATAAAATAAAAAATGTCAGAATTTGCTTATTTTTATTTTGTTTGAGAACCTCAAATTTTCTAGATCACATTCTCCCTTTTTTCTTTTCCTAAGAGAGGGTACAACTGTTTTCCCCAGGGAAGACAAGAGTCAAGTCTCTGCATTCTTTCACCACCAAATAGCATCCTAGGTTCAGCAAAGCTTCAGGCCTGCAAGGATTCACCCATCAACCCAGAAAAAGGAATTTCCTTTCCCATAGAATCTGGTTTTTTTCATTCCTTACAGGGTAATGTTGCTCTCTTTCCCAAGACGTGGTATCCAGGATCTGATAGCTTGAGTTTCATGAAGCTTTTTATTCCCTCATTCTTTCCTAGTCATAGCTTTTCCCCTTCTTATCCTCCCCTCAGGACTCTTAGCTCTTATCCTTCTTCTGACTGGCCATCCTTTTTAATCAAGGGTTGCACTGCTATCCCATCTTCCACACCCCTTCCCACTTTTTTTCACGGGATAACTTGGATTCAGGGTTATGGTCTCTATCTGAACAGTTTCCATCTTGCTTTCCCTAGAACAGCAGTCAGGAATACAGAAGTTACAGCTATAAACAGCAAGGTCAAGAGTCCTGGTCAAATACCAGAGAAACTGATAGCAGACTCTCCAGGACCACCTTCTACAGGGCTGCATAGGTCTACATGAGATCCCTCAAACAGATGCATCCTTCTGTTGGGATATGTACATTGGCCAATTCTAGACTCAGCAACTTGTTTCATCTGAAAATCTTTCTAGAACTAAGAGGAATCAGGATTTTCTCCAAGCATTTTAAAGATTCTAACAAAGGGTCGTGATGTAATTGGATATTGATGGGTGTTGATAACTTTAGCAAAAAGGGGGAGGAATATAGTCATCTCTGGGTAGAGATCCATTATCAGGCAGATGCATTAAGATAACACACTTAGCAAGAATATTGGACTCTGAAGCTGAAAATTCACAATAGTAGTCTTTGCACTAGATAACCCAGACACGACTTTCAAAAGTGGGTGTTTATGTCTTTGTTCCTGAGATAAAACATAATTTTCCCTACTTCTACTTAAGATACACCGGAAGACTCTAGCAAGATGCTTTTAGCCTCATCTCATCTGGCATAGGAGTGTGCCTTTCTTCATCCTCCCTTAAATCCCAGCATTCTAGAAAAGCCCTACATTTGGAAATGACTTAAAGTAATAATCTCTTTTGAACAGATGGGAATTTTTTTTCTCCCAGTCATGGACCTAGCTGCCTGAGGCCTTCAGGGATTCACTATCTTCTTCAATAAAGGCTATGTTCTTTGTCTCTTCACTCAAGTCTTGGGCCCTCTTCTTTACGGCCTGGCTCTTGACCTGATAGTGCTGATCAAGTGGGATGGTTTCTTCTACATTTCAAAAAGTTCTCCTAATGCGCTACTGCACAAAGAGTATCCCACAGACCAGCTGCTAGTCTGAGAACTATTTATCACATGTTTACAACAAGATAAGGAGTATTGTCCTGAATGTAAATTAACCATGTCACTAAACACTCTGTTTGTTCAACTGACTTGTTCCTTTTAATAGAAAGACTTTGTTGAAGAAGGAAATGAGGAATTGATTTACATTCTGGTGAAAGTTCCTTATCTTTTTATGGTCCAGTACTTTGAATAGAACTCTCTAGAGGTCTTGTAACAGACCATTTTAGGCATGCTTATCTTCAGAAATGAAGCAGGCTATGTTTTATCTTCAGCGCCTTTTATTTATTATTATTATTTTTTGAGATGGCGTCTCGCTGTGTCACCCAGGCTGGAGTGCAGTGGTGATCTCGGCTCACTGCAAGCTCCACCTCCCGGGTTCACGCCATTCTCCTGCCTCAGCCTCCCGAGTAGCTGGGACTACAGGCACCCGCCACCACGCCCAGCTAATTTTTTGTATTTTTTTTTTTAGTAGAGATGGGGTTTCACCCTGTTAGCCAGGATGGTCTCAATCTCCTGACCTCGTGATCTGCCTGCCTCGGCCTCCCAAAGTGCTGGGATTACAGGCGTGAGCCACCGCGCCTGGCCCAATGCCTTTTATTATCTACTTTATTTGAACAAAAATGGTCCTACAGCTTGGTGGGTCAAAGTAAATATCACTTTCATTCCTGGGGCTCCTTCTTCCTTAATTAAAACTCACTGACTACTCCCATGTATTTCTCCCTTCTTGAAAAAGTATTTCAAAGCCAGGCGTAGTGGCTCACGCCTATAATCTCAGCACTTTGGTAATCTGAGATGGGTAGGATCACTTGAGCTCAGGAGTTTGAGACCATCCTGGGTAACATGGCAAGACCTGGTCTCTACAAAATATATAAAAATTTGCCAGCCGTGGTGGCTTGCACCAGTAGTCCCAGCTACTTGGGAGGCTGAGGCAGAAGGATGGCTTGAGTCCAGGAAGTCGAGGCTGGAATGAGCTATGATCACGCTACTGCACTGCAGCCTAGGTGACGGGGTAACACTCTGTCTCCAAAAAAAAAAAAAAAAAGTATTTCAAAATAATCCTATCTTCCCCTAGCAGACTTTCATCTTTCTCTCAAAGAAGTGTGGTTCCTACTTCTGTGTGTGGTTCCTACCCATGTTCTGTTAAGCAGCTTACCCAGAAGATACATGTCTAGTGATTAGGTTTCATTTAGACAAGAAGAGTTGGAAAAATCCAAGCCCTGATATATAACCTCTTTTCCACCAGAATTCTGAGAAATCTCTTCAACATGAGGTCTGATTTTTTTTTTAAACCTTCCTTCTTCCTTCCCCAACCTCTAACAGGAAGATTACCAGATACTTAATTGTAAGTAAAGGTCATTATTTGTAAGTATCACTGTTAGGTTGTAGAACAGTAGATTGCAACAGCCATTTTTTTGTGTCTGTGTGACTAGCTCCTATCAGAAGGAAACTTTTTCATTGAAACGTTTTCAATGGTTATGTTATAAAGAGGCAGAATTTTCCTTGAACTCTAAAATTACAGCCCACTTAGATAAAGGTAAAGGCAGACACAGTAGGAATGTTTACACATGTTCCCCTGTCTAGAATCTATAGGGGAACCATGTGGCCTTTACACCTCGACTGTTGCTTGACAGTAACAATTTGGTCCAGAAGCCTACAGCAGGTGTTCTCAGCTTGAGTTCACTTCCTACTTCCCAGGAGTCCAGCTGGCAGCCATTATTTTATTCTACCTTGAGAAGGCTAGTTTATTTATTGGTAGGCTTATTTGCTAGTAATAATTCATTGAGTACTTATTTACTAGGCTCCATTCTAAACACTTTACATTTCATTTAATTCTCATAGCATAGTTATTTATTATCCCTGTTTTACAGATGATAAAACTTTTTATAGTCCCAGGGAGATAAACATTAGCACAAAATCACACAGTTAGTGATAGAGCTGAGTCTATGTAACTCCAAAAGTGGTGGTTCTTCCAGTGCCCCATCCTGTTTTCTCTAGGATGCTTCATCCCTGCCATCTGTTTTATTTCCTGACTCTCTTAAAAGTCCTAGGCCAGACCTTCTCCAACATCTCACTTCCTCTCCCAAATCTCAGTGAAATTAGGCACTAGACATGGTTACCAAAGATCACTTAGTGGTTACCTGAAAAGTGCCTGCCCTCTTGTTTAGATGATAGAACACAAATGTATACAGGATCAAAGTTTAAATAAAAATGTTTAGATTGCACTAGGTAAACATCTATCCTAGCCATTGAAGATGATACATAGTCAAAGAATAAAAGTTATTCATAACTAACTTAAGCTCACTTTGTAGGGGGAGAAACTAATAAAATATGTAGCAAATGGAAACAAATTTAAAAATTTTTGTAAGTGAAAATTGTACTTAAGACTTTGATTCTTACAAAAATAATGTGTTTATTTTAAATAGCCCATCTCTGTAAGGCTCACTGTTATTTACTAAATGCTTTCTCATAAATTCACTCCACTGTTTTTTTTATTCACACAGAATTATTTCCTAACGGATGTTCAGCGTTCAAGAAAATTACTCCCAATATAGATGAAGAAGGAGCAATGAAAGAAGATGCTGGGATGATGGATGTCCATTATAGTGAAGTAAGGATTCCAGGGCCTGCATTGCCAGTTATATAAATTTCACTTCTTAAAATTCATATATATTAAACAATTATTACAGCTAACCTAATTTTGAAGGTAACTAAGGGTTAATGAACTTTAAGTATTAAAACTGTCCAGGGCAAAGATGTTCCTGTTTAGAGGGCCCTGTCTCTTGAACTGGTCCCATTGTCTAGTTTTAGAAATACAGCATTTGCCGTCCTCAAGTCACCATTCCAATAACTAGATAAGAGTCAACACATGTTGGAAATTTTTCCATAAAAAATAGAGTTAACATTGCTCTTTACTTCAACTAAGACAGACTATGCACAAAAGTATTTTTAAATGGAAAATTTCTGCTCTAAACACCACATGGATAGAAAACAGCTTTGGCTGTCAGTCAACCACCAAAGATTTATTGAACATTGACTTAACAGCAAGGCCTTGGACTTGGTGACCTAGGAGCTTTAAATAATTAAATATGATTAGTCCCTGACCTCCAAGGTCCACCTGAAGAGATAATACATGTACATGAAATGGAAAAAAGACTTTTGAATAATATTTGAATAATGCAGACAATATGTGCCATGCAAAGTCAAAGGTGAAAGATGCCTTAGAGCTCAGGTAAAATAAAGGAAGTATGATCAGAGAGGGATTGGAAGAATGAGGACACCCTGAAGGCATCCTAAGAGACAGGAGAAGGGCAGGGACCACGACTAAGAGGTAGGAAAGTGTAAGACATGTTTGAGGCACAGTGAGTGGAAGTGGATCCTTTTGGCTATAGCAGTAGGTTCCCATAGAGAAGAGTATTAGTTGAGGCCAGATTTTGAGAAACTTTCAATGTTTGGGCTTTATTCAGTAGAATATTAAATTGGCATCAAAGTCTTTTTTTTTTTTTTTTTTTTTTATGGAGTCTCGCTATGTCGCCAGGCTGGAGTGCAGTGGCGCAATCTTGGTTCACTGCAACCTCTGCCTCCCGGGTTCAAGTGATTCTCCTGCCTCAGCCTACCGAGTACCAGGGACTACAGGCGTGCACCACTATGCCCAGCTAATTTTTGTATTTTTAGTAGAGACAGGGTTTCACCATGTTGGCCAGGATGGTCTCGATCTCTTGACCTCATGATCCACCTGCCTTGACCTCCCAAAGGGCTGGGATTACAGGCATGAGCCACCGCACCTGGCCTCAAAGATTTTTGAGCAGGATGATGACTACATGAAAGCAAGGAAGAGGGAAGGCTAATTTGGTGATGATGTGGGAGATGTATTGAAGATACAGGGATAGGAGCTAGAGGCAGGGGCTAGAGAGAAGGCTGCCCTAATTATCCAGATACGAGTAGTTAAGGCTTAAACCAGGGTAGTGAAAGATTCAGGAAATAGTGTGAGGAAAAGATGCTGATTTGCTGGCTGTGGGAGGGGAAGGGTCAAAGGTAGCTCTAAGATTTCAGGTTTGGAGGTTAAGGGAAAATGATAGATGGATGGTTTTGCAGGAAAAGTGATGAATTTCATTTTATAGGTGAGTTGATTTTGATGTGAAAGCTTATCAAAATGGAAATAACCATCAAGCCATTAGAAATGTGGAACTGAGGCTGGGCGCAGTGTCTCACGACTGTAATCCCAGTACTTTGGGAGGCTGAGGCAGGTGGATCACCTGAGGTCAGGAGTTCGAGACCAGCCTGGCCAACATGGCTCTACTAAAAATACAAAAATTAGCCAGACGTGGTGGCACCTGCCTATAATCCCAGCTGCTCAGGAGGCTGAGGCAGGAGAACCACTTGAATTTGGGAGGTGGAGGTTGCAGTGACCCAAGATTGTGCTACTGTACTCCAGCCTGGGTGACAAAGTGAGACTGTGTCTCAAAAAAGAAAAAAAAAAGAAATATGAAACTGAATCTAAGGAGAGAGATTAGGGTTAGAAATACACATCTGGAAGTCATATCCTTATGAGGACCAAAGCAGACTGAATGTTAGACATAATAACGGCAAGTGAAGACCGGAGAATCAAGGACTGAACCATGGGGGAAAAGTTCACAAAGAGTGTGAACGTAGAAAACAAGAAAGAAACACAGAAAAGAGATTGAAGTTACAGTCCCATAAAATTACATTTCTTAAAAAAATTGTATTAAACAATGAGATGAAAATTACAGTGACACACTTCATAAACACTTTATGAATTGATTTTTTAAAATACACAAATCTCAACTTAGCTCTGGCTTATTTAGTTAAATTAATGATACACCTAGAAGCTTTACCTACTATTTCTACATAGTCTGTCTCCCTATCAGTAAAATAAGGACAATAATACTATCGTGGTCACTTCACAATACATGCGAAAACTTAAAAAGTCATGAAGTGTGAGAATAATGTCAGGTTTTATCATTGACCTACTTGGCAGTGAGATTTCTTAAAAGCAAGTTGGTGTCCTTTTACCCTCAGAACCTACAAGGATAGATACTTAAAATATGTTTGTTGAATTGATTGATCATAACAGAGATGCAAGATACTTGAATTTTTATTCCAGCTTAATTTTTGACTGTATAGCCTTGGACAAGTTAATTCATGTTTCTGGATATTAGTTAGATGATTTCCCAGAGACCTGCAGGTTTTACAGGCTGACAGCAGGAAGATTCAGAGGATTTCATGGGGCTTAACTGGTTCAGTACAACTGAACTTATATCCTTGCCTTCTAAACAGCAGCTTCAGTGTATTCATAGAAATGGCTTTGAGCTTGACCCTTTTTTATACTCTTAAGGAGAGCAATAACTTTTCTTAATAATCAAAAACTGTAATTAGTTTTCTGTATAAACACATTTGTTGGAAATCTTTTGGGTTCTACAAGTAATTTATACATACTTCTATTTGATATATACAGGTAGAATCATGTTTTACCAAGTGCCACTTTATTTTTCAGTTTGCATAATAAGGCTTCTTCCTTAAACCCTAGCCAATTAAAAAAACTGACACTGATTTAGAAGTTACATTGAAATGAAAAATACAAACAGTTGTCCATTTAGTGCTTGTATTTAAATATGTGAGTTAAACCGGTAATAACGCAATGTAACTTGTTTCCAAAAATGTATTTCTGACTTGATTTGCAACAGTTTTTTTTTTCTGCATGACACCACCTCAGGAGGTCCTGATGACGTGTGCCCCTGCAATCGATTTTAAACATATAATTAATATATAATTGGGCTGGGCGTGGTGGCTCACACCTGTAATTCCAGCAGTTTGGGAGGCCAAGGCAGGCAGATCACTTGAGGCCAGGAGTTCAAGACCAGCCTGTCCCCATGGTGAAACCCCGTCTCCACTAAAAATATAAAAATTAGCCGAGCGTGGTGGCACAGGCCTGTAATCCCAGCTATTCAGGAGGCTGAGGCACAAGAATCTCTTGAACCCCAGGGGCAGAGGTTGCAGTGAGCCAAGATCGTGCCACTGCACTGCAGCCTGGGCAACAGAACGAGACTGTGTCTCAAAAATAAAAATAAAAATGATATAATTAATATGTAATAAAATCTTAAACAATTTGATGAATTTTGACAGTTGTATACACCCATGTAACCTACCATCAGAAACAAAAAATAGAACATGCCCATTCCTTCGGGAAAGGTTCCCTTGTGCCCATTTCCAGTCAGGCTCCCCACCTCCACCATCTGATTTCTATCACCATGAATTAGTTTTTATGGCATAAAAATGGAATCAATCATTCAATATGTACCTTTTTTTAATCTGGCTTCTCTTGTTTAACCTAATGTTTTTGAGATTCATCCATATTGTTGGGTATATCAAAAGTTTGTTCTTTGTCTTTATATACAAATTTTAAATCCATTCAGTTGATGGATTTTGAATTGTTTCCAGTTTCAGGCTGTTACGAATAAGTCTACTTTAAACATTCCTATCTATGACTTATTGTTGACATATGCTTTTTTTCTCTTGGGTAAATACCTAGGAGTAGCATTGCTGAATCCTAGGGAAGATATATGTTTAACTTTTAAGAAATTTCCGAAGAGTTTCTCAAAGTGGTTGGACCGTTTTATACTGTTTGCCAGTAGTAGATGAGAGTTCTAGTTGCCCCACATCCTCCCTAGCATCTGATATTGCTGATCTTTTTAAATTTTAGCCATTCTATTAATATTAGGTGTGAATCAACATCTCATTGTGGCTTTTATTTGTATTTCCCTAATAACCGATGATGTCTACCACTTTTTCAGGTGTTCCTTGGCCTCTTTTGTATTTTCTTTTGTGAAATGTTTGTCTTTTATCCGTTTTAGAAATCACATTGCTTACTTTTTATTGTTGTTTTGTGGGAGTTCTTTCCTGGATATAAATCCTTTGTCAAGATATATGTGCTGTATATTTCTTTACCAGCTTCTGACTTGACCATTCACTTTCTTAATTGAGTCTGTGGTTGAGCAGAAAATTTTGGTTTTGGTTGTAATTGATGAAATCCAGTTTATTATTTTATAATAATTTGTTCTTTTTGTATCTGGTCCCAAAAATCTGTGCCTACCTCAAGATCCTGATAGTGTTGTCCTGTGTTTTCTCCTAGAAACTTGTTTCCGAGTTTTGTTTAGGTCTATAATATATTTAAAGTTCATTTGTGGAATGAAATAGAGGTCAAAGCTCTTTTTTTAAGACAGTTTTTTTTTTTTTTAAGACGTACCATTTGGGGAAAAACAAGACTTTCCTTTTGTCACGTTGAATTTACTTTGGCACCTTGGTCAAAAGTTCGGTTTTTCATATTTGTGTGGGCTATTTCTGGATTCTCGGTTCTCTTCCACTGATCTATTTGCCCATCTTGATGCCAATATCACACTTGATTACTATAACTTAAGTCTTGAAATCAAGTAGTGTTAGCCCTCCAGCTTTATTCTTTTTCAAAGTTGTTTTGGCTATTCTACGTCCTTTGAATTTCCATATAATCTTTAGAATCATCTTTTCTACTTCCTCAAAATAGCCTGAGAATGGAGAGTTTAACAATATTGAATTTCTCAATCAATGGACATTTATCTGGGTTATCTTTAACTGCCAATAATATTTTGTAGTTGTTAGGGTAGAAGTCTTGGGTTAGATTTACTGGTAGATATGTGATGTTTTGATGCTATTGTAAATAATATTGTTTGCTTTTATATTTTTATTTTTTATTATGTTGTTGCTAGTATATAGAAATATAATTGATTTTGTATGTTGATCTTACGTCCTGCAACCTTACTAAATCTGCTTATTAGTTTTCATAGTTTGTATGTCTTTTATGATTTTCTACATATACAATTATGCCATATGCACGGAACAATTTTACTTTTTCTAATCCTGTATGCTTTTTCTCTTTCTCTTGCCTTATTGTACTGGCTAGAACCTTCAGCATAATGTTGGATAGAAGTGGTGAGAGCAGACATTCTAACTTGTTCTCAATCTTAGGAGAAACATGTCTAGCCTTTAAGGTTTTTAGTAAATGCCCCTTATCAGATTGAGGAAGATCTCTTCTATTCTTTGTTTCTTGAGTTCTTTTTAAATATCATGAATGGGTGTTGAGTGTTGTAAATGCTTTTTTCTTGCATCTATTGAAAGAGATATAATTTTTCTTTTTTATTCAGTTTATGAGGTTGTATATTACATTGTTTTTTTTTTCTAATTGTAACCTAACTTTACATTCCTGGGATAATTCATACTAAGTGTGCACCTTATTTTTAATTCCCCCAATGTTTGTCCCAAAATTGCTGGAAATTTTAATTTGGCTAGCAGATGTTAATATACAGATGTTTTATTCAAGTAGCAACATTTATTTCACATATACTATCCAGTGACACTAAAATAATTACTGGAAAAGCCAATGTAAGTAAAATATTGTCCCTACTCTCAAAGAATCACAGCCTATTGGAAAAGTCAGATATGTAGATAATACGTAAATAATGTACAAATATAGTGATAAATCTTTGCCAAAAAAGTAGTGAAATAGAAAAAAAGATGTGTAGTGTCTTGCCTACCCTATATTGATAAGGAGAAGGATCCTGGAAAAGGTGATACCTAAAGTGTTTTAAAGAGATTAACCAAGTAGAAGGGATTAAAGGGAGGAGGGGCACAGCCTGAACAAAGACATAAAGCTAAGACACACCATTGTGCTTCAGGGAAACTGCTAGTAGTTCGCTGTTGTTATAACATAAAGTACAAAGTTTGGTATGATGAATGATGAGATTATGGAAGTATCAGCCACATCATTGCAAGCTTTATGTGCCACATGAAGGAGCGTGTCCGTTGTTCTGTGAGTGATGCGGAGCCATTGCCAGATTTTAAGAAAGGGAGAGTGGCACGCTCAGGTTTGCATTTTAATCAGAACCCTATGGCAGATGTGTGGAAGATGTATTTGAAAGGGCTAAGACTGGAGGCAGGAAGATAAATTAAGAAAAAACAATAGTGAAATTTTGCACCTTAGCAATGAGAGAAATGGAGAGAAAGGGTCAGATTTGAGAAATATTTAGGAAATAAAACTGGCAGGACTTGGTGATGAACTCATTAGAGAATGAGTAAAGAAAGAGGGTGTAATAGTTGCGTAGATATCTGAGCCTATTTGGGCTTCTATAACAAAATACCAGAGACTGGGTAGGTTATAAACAACAGAAATGTATTTTTCACTATACTGGAAGCTGAGTAGGTGAAGATAAAGGTGTTAGCCGACTTGGTGTCTGGTGAGGATCGACTTCCTAGTTCATAGATGGTATCTTCTCACTGTGCCCTTACGTGATGGAAGGGGGTGAGCTAACTCTCTTTTTATTAGGGTACTAATCCCATTCATGAGGGCTCTGCCCTCATGACTTAGTCATCTCCCAAAGTCTCCACCTCCTAATACCATCCCCTTGGGGGTTAGGATTTTAACATACGCATTCTGAGTACACAGAAACATTCAGGCTGTAGCACTAAGACTGCAATATCAAAGTACCACAAATTGGGTGGCTTAGAACAAGAGAAATTTATTGTCTCACAGTTCTAGAGTCTAGAAATATGCAGTCAAATTGTTTTCAGGGCCATGCTCCCTCTAAGACTCTGGGTAGAAGCCTTCTTTGTCTTCTGGTGGTAAGAGTTGTTCCTTGACTTCCCCTGACTTGTGGCTGCATCACTCCAGTCTCTGCCTCTGTAGTCTCATGGTGTTTTCCCTGTGTGTCTCTGTCTTCATATAAAGATACCAGTCATATTGGATTGGGGCCCACCCTACTCCAGTATTGCTTCATCATAAATGATCATATCTGCAATGACTTTATTTTCAAATAAGGTCACATTCTGAGGTACTTGGGGTTACAACTTCAACTTATCTTTTTAGGAGACACAATTCAACCCATAACAGACAATAAAGTCAAAACTGTGCTTAGTTTACTACCTAAGGGTCTATAGGATATTGCCACTGGTGAGATAGGAAACACAGGTATAAGAGCTAGAAGATGAATTCGATTTTCTAAAGGACATACAGGAAGAGCTGTTTTAGGAATCAGTTCTACAGGTTTGAAGTGCATCTCTTTAAGATAGAAACAAGCTGTTATGACTTACGGGTAGCATCAGTAATTGGCTTCATGTTTTCATCGTTGAGAACATGAGATGAAGGTTCACAAAAGAGTTTTATAGCAACTGTTATTCTGGCAGCGCTGGTGATCTCTATTTTGAGCTGTTATCCTATCATTCTCAGTAATTTTAGAACCATCAGTCGGGAAGTGTTCTTTATCAAAACTGAGTCATTTTAATACCAACCCACAAAAATAAAAACTAAAAAAATTTAAAAAAACATCGAATCATTGTAATAAACACCTAAACCACCAACACAATAGCTTGAAAAAGTTGTCAAATTTTCTTAAGACTAATATGGGTAAATATTGTTTTAATATAAAAAATAATAGATGTTAGACATTCAGACATCCTCAATTTGGAACAAACAATATATTCCCTTTTTAAAAATATTCTTTCTCGATGTGTTAACGTTTACAACTATAGTTAACATCTTCATTATGTGAATAAACAAAATAATCATAGTTTACTATTGTTAACATCAATTTTATATTTTTAAGAATGTTTTTAACTTTAAATATTTTAAATATTTGATTTAGAAAATATCGTCACACAAGTATGTTCCTTTTGTGCATCTCATTGAATTTAGTACCATCTGTTTGTTTTCTACCAACTTGAAATGCTTCAAAATTTATTTGTCCAAAACTCTAAAACTATTTTTAATTCCTAATTGGATTTTTCTCTTAATGCAGGAGGTCTTGCTGGAGTTGCTAGAACAATGTGTGGATGGCTTATGGAAGGCAGAACGTTATGAAATAATTTCTGAGATTTCCAAGTTGATCGTTCCAATTTATGAGAAACGTCGTGAGTTTGAGGTAGGCAATTTGAACATTTTTATCATTGACTTATGTATTTTATTTTGGTTTTAGGGAAAACAGTAATATAGTTCTGTCACTATTATTCGACTTGTGTCCTCTGAAGAATATAAGGTTCATTACATTATGACTTTTGCATTTTATCATAGAGTATAGTCTATCATTTTGACACATTTGTCCAATTTCAAAGTGACAATTCCTAAAAATGCTATTAAATCCTGAGATTTTTTAATGATTTCACCACAAAGGAATGATAAATGTTTGAGATGATACATTTACTAATTACCCTGTTTTGATCATTACACAATGTTGGCATGTATGGAAACAACATTTCCCCCATAAATTGTACCCCATAAATATGTACAGTTATTATGTGTCAATTAAAGACAACATAAAACTTCCTCTGGTCCTGCTTATGAAAATAAAGTAAAACTTAAAACATCCTACCTTATATTCATTTATGTTTTCCAAATGAAATTAAGGGTAAAAGATCCAAAATAGAAATTGAGATTTAAATTAGACCAGTGGTTCTGAAAAAAAAAATTTTTTTTTGAGATGGAGTCTCGCTCTGTTGCCCAGGCTGGAGTGCAGTGGCGCAATCTTGGCTCACTGCAACCTCTGTCTCCCGAGTTCAAGCAGTTCTCCTGCCTCAGCCTTCCCAGTAGCTGGGATTACAGGCATGCACCACCACGCCCCGCTATCTTTGTATTATTAGTAGAGACGGGGTTTCACCATGTTGACCAGGCTTGTCTCGAACTCTTGACCTCAAGTGATCCTCCGGCCTTAGCTTCTCAAAGTGTTGGGATTATAGGCGTGAGCCACTGTGACCGGCCTGAAAATATTTTTATCTAGCAACCTCCCCTCTTCCTCTCAGAGCGTAAAATAATCAGTGTTGTTTTCACTAAACCTTCACTTCAAAAAGCTGTCAAATTTCCATGTTACCCAGGGAAGAGGCATAGACATGATTCTATTCTTTATAATTTAGCGGAGAACCTAAAGGTGCTGGCAAATGACAGTGGGGTAGGTAATAATACACTAGTAATACCCCTATTATGAGAATTTTAAAATTTTGACTTGCCAGATAAACTATTGATAAAGTTTAGTTAATAAAGAATAGTAGTATAATGCACAGCAATTGCCACCAGCACTAAACAGGATTTTTTAAATATTCAAGTCTCTTAGTCCATATCATAATTTCTGTTGCTACTATGCTGGGAAGGGATGATTTAGGATTCAAGCCATTTTAAAAAAGCAAGGCAATTTATTCTTTTTTTTTGTTTTTTATTTTATTTATTTAGTTTTTTTGAGACGGAGTCTTGCTCTTTGGCCCAGGCCGGACTGCAGTGGCGCTATCTCGGCTCACTGCAAGCTCCACCTCCCGGGTTCACGCCATTCTCCTGCTTCAGCCTCCTGAGTAGCTGGGATTACAGGCGCCCGCCACCGCGCCCGACTAATATTTTTTTGTATTTTTAGTAGAGGCAGGGTTTCACCGTGTTAGCCAAGATGGTCTCGATCTCCTGACCTTGTGATGCGCCCGCCTTGGCCTCCCAAAGTGCTGGGATTACAGGCGTGAGCCACCGTGCCCGGCCTGGCCATGTATTCTTAAATAAAGCAGTTAGGCCTTTCCTTGTTGACGTGGTTTCTGAGAGTGAACACACATAGATTTAATATAATCTGAGTAGTGTTTTCATCTCTCCTCCAAACTAGCTCTGATCAAATTCACTTTTTCTTCCCAGATTCTAGGTCTTCCTCTCTCTGCCATACTTTTGGTGTATATGGGGCATGCCTGAAAACTCATAGTAGAATTCAAGTGAATATATTAATAAGCTGAAGTATAGGTCATACAGATGGCAAAGAATAGCCTATGAGACAAAACCAGATTTGCCATTACCCCTCCTATCAAAGCATTACATCTGAAGAACCTTTGTAGTAATTTCAAAATAAAGTCCCCATTTTTTGACTCTTAGGATGAAGGAAGTTCTGGCTGTTAGAAACCCAGGGAGCCTTTTGCTACTTAGCCAACCAACAGGGAAGAAAGAAAAATATATCTTCTTTATACATTAAAGGAAATGATGTTTTCTACAGGGGAACTACTCCTATTTCCTTGGAGGGGTGTAAGGGTCTGTATAAATCCCCTAGAACTCTGTATAGATGAAGTAATTGTGTTTAAGACTGATGTAGCTGGAGCATGGTATACACGCCTGTGATTCCGGCCACTTGGGAGACTGAGGTAGGAGGATTGCTTAAGTCCAGGAGATTGAGGCTTCAGTGAGCTATGATTGAGACACTGCACTCCAGCCTTGGCTACAGAACAAGATCCAATCTCAAAACAAAACCAAAAAGTAGAACACTGATGCATACTTTTTCAGTGTATCTCTATGGAACGGGCTGAAAACTATCAGAGATAGCAGCCAAAGTAAGGAAGATTTCCCTCCAATTGAGCTCAATTATAAAAGATAATATGGGAGGAATTTTAGAGAAAGAAGCTTGTGTGTTTTTCCTTTTTTGTTGAGGTGAAATTTATATAACATACAATTAACCATTTTAAAGTATAGAAATCCTATTATCCTATCATTCTCAATATGCACCCACCACCTCTTTCTAGTTTTAAAACTTTTTCATCTCCCCAGAAAAACACTCCATACCCATTAAGTAATTACTCCCCACCCCACTCCCATTTTCCAATAACCACTAACCTGCTTTCTGGATTTGCTTATTCTGGATATGTCATATAAAAGGAATACAGATTGAGCCTCTCTAATCTGAAAATTCGAAATCATAAATGCTCCCAAATCTGAAACTGTTTGAGCATGGTCATGGTGCTCAGTGGAAATGCTCATTGGAACATTTTGGATATCAGATTTTCAGATTAGACATGTTCAATTGGTAAGTCCAATGCAAATATTTCAAAATCTCAAACACTTCTGGTCCAAAGCATTTCAGATAAGGGATACTCAGCCTGTGATATTATATGTGACCTTTTATGTCTGGCTTCTTTCAGTTAGCATAATTTTTTTTTAATTGAGACAGAATCTCACTCTGTCATCGAGGTTGGAGTACAATGGCATGATCTCAGCTCACCGCAACCTCCGCCTCCTGGGTTCAAGCAATCCTCACACCTCAGCCTCCCAAGTAGCTGGGAGGTGCACACCACCACTCCCGGCTAATTTTTGTATTTTTAATAGAGATGGGGTTTCACCATGTTGTCCAGGCTGGTCTCAAACTCCTGACCTCAAGTGATCCACCTGTCTCAGCCTTCCAAAGTGCTGGGATTACAGGCGTGAGCCACCGCACCTGGCCTGTTAACATAATATTTAGAGGTTCATGTATCAGTTGTAGCATATATCAGAACTTCATTCTTTTTTATGGCTGAGTAAGATTCCATTGTATGGATATACTGCAGATTGTTTATCCATTCATCCATTGATGGACATTTGGGTTGTTTCACCTTTTGTCTATTATGAATAGTGCTGTTGTAAACATTCATGTGCAAGTTTCTGTGTGGATATATATTTTCAATTCTCTTGAATATATACTAGGGAGTAGAATTGCTGGATCATTTGGTAATTCTATGTTTAACTTTTTGAGGACCCACGAAGCTGTTTTCCACAGTGGCTGTACCGTTTTACATTTCGATCATCAGTGTTCTAGGATTCCTATTACTTCATATCCTTACCAACATTTTTTATTTTCTGTTTGTTTTATTTTGTTTTATAAAATCCATCCTAGTGCATGTGAAGTGGCACCTCATTGTCTTGGTTTGCATTTCCTTAATGACAGTGAGATTGAGTGTCTTTTCGTGTCCTTCTTGGCTGCTTGTACATCTTTGGAGCAATGTCTATTCAGGTCATTTGCCCATTTTTAAAATTGGTTTGCATATATTTTGTTGTTGAGTGGTAAGAAGTCCTTAAATATTCTGGGTACTAAACCCTTATCAGATCTGTGATTTGCATATATTTTCTTCCATTCTGTAGCTCGTCTTTCACATTTTTGATAATGTTCTTTGCACAACGTGCTCTCTTTTTCTGGAAGTGCGGAAAAACATATCCTTTGGAAATATCTGTGAACTTGCATAAAAGCAGTCCTCACTGCAGCTTACACCATTGCTTATTTTTATATTTGCATTTTATTTTCCTTTTTAAATACATGGATTGTTTATTCTCATAGCTCTCTACCTGAGGGCTCAAGCAAAGCATTTGGCTGCCCTTTCAGTTAAAAATATTCCGATCCTGTAGAAAATAGTAGTTGATAATACAGTATTTCAAAATTTAAAATTTCCATTGAGATGTGAATGAAATGAAGCATGATATTAAGAAATACATTGTCATTGAGGAACAGAAAACCACATACCGCGTGTTCTCACTCAAGTGGGAGCTGAACAATGAGAACCCATGGACACAGAGAGGGGAACAACTCACACAGGGCTTGTTGTGGGGTGGGGGGTGAGGGGAGGGAACTTAGAGGATGGGCCAATAGGTGCAGCAAACCACGATGACACACATCTATCTATGTAACAAACCTGCATATTCTGCACATGTATCCCCCCTTTTTTTTTTAGAAGAAATTTCTTTTAAAAAGAAATACAGTGTTATTTTACCATTTTAAGTTCTACCCTTAGACCTAAAGTTGTTGAGGACTTTGATTGTTACAAAGGGAGATGAGTATGAATGGCCCCACCAAGACCATTTTGAAAAGAATATACTGGTGCTTTTTATTTTTGTACATTCATCTTGAAGACATTTAGTAATTAAACAAAAAACAAAGCTGATTTGTATATTTTTATTTTTCAGAAACTTACTCAAGTTTATAGAACTCTTCATGGAGCTTACACAAAAATTCTGGAAGTTATGCATACAAAAAAGAGACTTTTAGGCACTTTCTTCAGAGTTGCCTTTTATGGCCAAGTAAGTGTACTTGAATCCATAAAGTTTTCCTTTTTAAACATTCACCTTTGAATTACTAGTTTACTATAGCAGCTAGGAGTCTATCCAGATAGAGTGCCTATTACAACAGCAGGGAGCCTCTTTTGTATGTATAAAGTTCACTTTGGTTCTCATATCTAAACCCTTCAGGTCAGAATACAACAGAAAAGGTTTTGATTTCTGTCAGTTTCATTTTCTGTTAAGCTTTTTAAAGTACATATTAAATATATAGTAGTTAAAACTTTTAAATAAAAAACAGGTAAGTGTACAGGGAAGGAAAAAACCTAGTTTGGAAATCTTCCTCAGGCCATATGTTTATGTGATTATAAATTTGAAAATTACCAGGAATTTAAAAATTCTCATGTATTTGAAATTAAAAGGGTAAATACAAGCATGGGACTTTTAGTAATATTATTCAAAATTTATTTCAAATATATTATTACTAGTTATTTAGTAGATTTTCTTTAAATGTTGTGTTTGCTCATATTATTTATAAGTTATTATTTGTTTAACTTTATAATAGTCTTTTTTTGAAGAAGAAGATGGAAAGGAGTACATCTATAAAGAACCAAAGCTCACTGGCCTCTCAGAAATTTCCTTGAGACTTGTTAAACTTTATGGTGAAAAGTTTGGTACGGAGAATGTCAAAATAATTCAGGATTCAGACAAGGTAACACATACCCTACATGTTGAAATCATTATTTGTTAGTTCCAGGCATTGTACATTGCTCCTGACTTTTTCCTTTTTTAACTGGTAGAGAAGCATGAAAACAGAGCTTTCCAGATAATAAAAGAAAGAACAGGGGCTTTGGAGTCAGAGATACCAAGCTTCAAATCTCTACTCTCTGCCACTCACTAGCTGTGTGACCATGGGGAAGGTACTTAACTCTCTGTGCTTCATCGTTCTTAGTAATAAAATGGAGATAATAATAGTAGTATTTTCCTCATGAGGTTGTTGTATGGATTAAATGAGTTAATATATGGAAAGTATAATCACTTTCCTGGTACATAAAAAGCATTCACTAATAATAGCAAGCTAGCATGCTCACTAAAGGTTAGATATTATTGTAAATGCTATTGTACATCATGATTCTCCGTTACATCATGATTAAAATCACCTTGGGGCACACATTTTATTCTAAGATATCCTTAGTTCAGTAATAGT
This sequence comes from Homo sapiens, assembly GCF_000001405.40. Taxonomy (NCBI): domain Eukaryota; kingdom Metazoa; phylum Chordata; class Mammalia; order Primates; family Hominidae; genus Homo; species Homo sapiens. Next base: position 118,677,233 of record NC_000023.11, read on the forward strand.
GACTGTAGTTAACATTTGCAATGAAATAGGTTTAGGAGAGATCCTTGAGCCTTGCTCTAAAGGTTATCCATCCCACTAGGCCCTGCCAAGGCATAGTGAGAAGGCTTATATTATAGCAAGAGAGGCCCTTTCCTAGGAAATGCATAGTTCCCTATAGACAGGATTTGGGGGAAGCACTGTAGGAATGCCTGACTGTCCTTAGTTGCCTTGGGTGTGCCCAGACTTAGAGCTGATTTTTAAGGGTAGGAAGCTCATATAAAGTTCAAGATTTGTATCCACAGTGATATTTACTGAGTGACTATGATATGCGCAGTGCTATGCAGAACACTTAAAAGCTAGCAGGAAGCATTACCAGAGTGAAAAAGCCCATGGCTATTGTAAAGACACTTCATTGTCTACCACGAAAATAATCTCTTCACTTTGTATACTTACATATATCTCTTGGAGATGACTTTATCTTAAACACATGCCTAAGACATTTAAAAATAGATTTGGTGGTAGTTTCAACGTAATATATGGCAAACACTCTCTACTTCTTTCCTTATCAGTTTCACTATTTTGTGTTGTTTCGTTGAATTGAGACAACAGAAGATTTTCTCCCCTTGCAGCCAGATAGTGTAAGACTTGTTCCCACAATATTGATTACTGTATAAATGGAAAGGTAATGAAAAGTCAGACTTTCTGTGCAACATGCAGTTTTCTACCTTATTCTGCCTCTGAAAACTGGGCCAAAGAATGCTAGCGACAAACCACTACAGGTGGCTGGACTCCTGATGTTTGTTATGTATCATATTTTAGTAGTTCCCCACAGGCAACAGACATAATAAGCAGTTCTGGCTTTTAAAATATATTTATTGTTTTCTCAGTTTGTGAAAATAAAAATTAAAAATATTCTTTTCCCTTGCCAAAGAACAAAATCTGCTTAAGGGCAAAGGCAATTTGAAGAGGAGTTTGGCAATATCTTCCAATATTTTAAATGTATGTGTCCTTGGACCCAACAATTTCACATTTAACATTTTATCTTGTAGATGTACACATATAAATGTATATGTTTAAAGTTGTTCACTGCCACAAAATTTATATAGCAAAAACCTGGAAGCAGTCTAAATGTCCATATGGTTAAAGAAATGGCGGTATTACCCATATAATGGATATAACCACCTAGACATTAAAAAGCATGAGAGATTTGTAAGTGTCCATATGAATCTATCAAGATGTATATTTTTTTCTTTTCTTTTTATTTTATTTTATTTTTTTTTAGACAGAGTCTTGCTCTGTCACCCAGGCTGGAGTGCATTGGTGCCATCTTGGCTTACTGCAACCTCCGCCTCCTGGGTTTAAGCAATTCTCCCACCTCAGCCTCCCTAATAGCTGGGATTACAGTCGCTCACCACCACACCTGGCTAATTTTTGTATTTTTAGTAGAGCTGGGGTTCCACCATGTTGGCCAGGATGGTCTCGAACTCCTAACCTCAAGTGATCCACCCACCTCAGCCTCCCAAAGTGCTGGGATTACAGGCCTGAGCCACCACGCCTGGCCGCTTTTAATTTTTTTCGAGACAGGGTCTGGCTCTGTCGCCCAGGCTGGAGTGCTGTGGCACGATCACAGCTCACGGCAGCCTTGACCTCCTGTGCTCAAGCGATCCTCCCACCTCAGCCTCTTGAGTAGCTGGGACTACAGGTGTGCACCACCACACCTGGCTTATTTTTGTTTCTTGTGGGGTTTTTGTGTGTGTGTGTGTGGAGACGGGGTCTCACTATGTTGCCCAGGCTGGTCTCAAACTCCTGGGTTCAAGCAATCCTCCTGTCTTAGCCTCCTGAATAGGTGGGACTACAGGTGTGTTACCACCATACCCCAGCTAATTTTTTTATGTTTCTTAGAGACAGGGTCTTGCTATGTTGCCCAAGCTGGTCTCAATCTCCTGCGCTCAAGCAATCCTCCTGTCTTGGCCTCCCAAGCCCTCAGATTACAGGCATGAACCACTGCAACTGGCCCCATGTAAATCTTTTAACTAAGCAATTTCTTTTCTAGGAATTTATCCTAAGGAAAAAATCAGAAAAAAAATGCACACAGTTTTAAATACAAGGATGTTCATCAGAACATTATTTACAACAGCAAAAAGTTGGAAAACAGCCTGTCTCCACTAATGAGAGAATGGTCCAATAAGTCATGTTTATCCATACAGCCATTAAAAGTAATGTCAGTGACTATAGTATAAACTATTGGCCAGACATGGTGGCTCATGCCTATAATCCCAACACTAGGGGGCTGAGGCAGGAGGATCACTTGTGCCCAGGAGTTCCAAGCTAGCCTCAGCAACACAGGGAGACCTCATTTCTACAAAAAAATTTAAAAATTAGCCAGGTATGGTAGTGCATGTCTATGGTCCCAGCTACACGGGAAGCTGAAGTGGGAGGATCACTTGAGCCCAGGAGGCTGAGGCTGCAGTGAGACATGATCACACCACTGCACTTGAGCCTGGGCAACAGAGCGAGACTCCATCTCAAAAATAAATAAATAAACTATGATACCTGTGTTTTTATTGAGGTGTAATTCACATAATGCACAATCAAAACTGTTTAGTCTGACCTCAATTTTCTGAATACATAGGCATAGAAGAAAGATGAGAAGGAAATATATAAAAATGTGAATAATGATCATTGCTGGGTAGTAGGATTACAGTAATTTTTTTTTTTTTTTTTTTTTTTTTGGAGACAGAGTTTCACTTTGTCGCCCAGACTGGAGTTCAGTGGCGCGATCTCGGCTCACTGCAACCTCCGCCTCCCAAGCTCAAGTGATTCTCCTGCCTCAGCCTCCTGAGTAGCTGGGACTACAGGCTCATGCCACCCCGCCTGGCTAATTTTTGTGTTTTTAGTAGAGACAAGGTTTCACCATGTTGGCCAGGCTGGTCTCAAACCCCTGACCTCAAGTGATCCGCCCGCCTCGGCCTCTTAAAATGCTGGGATTACAGGCATGAGCCACCGTGCCTGGCCAATTACAGTAATTTTTAATTTCTTCGTATGTTTCTGTAGTCTCCAAATAGATTTCTGTAACTTCTTTATAATCAGAAGTAAGTGATTTTTAAAAAGAAGAATGAAGACGCCCTTTATTGGAAACACAATTATAATGGCAATGTTCCTCACTTGGTCTCAAAGAAGTTAGTAGGTTACCTTATCTCCTTTTCCCTTCCACTGAATAAAATAAAAAATAAAATAAAATAAATAAATAAAAACTTTCTTATTTTATAGGTAAATGCCAAAGAGCTTGATCCAAAATATGCTCATATACAAGTTACTTATGTGAAGCCTTACTTTGATGACAAAGAACTCACAGAAAGGAAGACCGAGTTTGAAAGAAATCATAATATCAGCAGATTTGTTTTTGAGGCCCCTTACACTTTATCAGGCAAAAAACAGGGCTGTATAGAAGAACAGTGCAAACGCCGTACAATCTTGACAAGTAAGTACAATTTTACATATTAACTTCTTATTTGTCTTGGTCTTTTTCAGCATACACGAGTAGCAGCTGGCCAGCTGGAACATACAACTGAAATTTTAATTATTATTTGTTCTGCTGTTCAGTTACAAGTTTGCACAAGCACGTCCATGTGATAAACCATCATTTTCCCATATGTCATCCATGATTGCCCAGAGGTGTCTCATAAAGAGAATTTCTCTCTGAATCCTGAAGTACTATATGGGACCCTAAGTCATCTTCTAGATAAAGGATGGGGAGAGTTAAGCACAATAGAGTTTTTTCTTTAATTTGGCTGTTTGAACAAATGATTTTCTAAAGTCAGTAAATCAATCTTAACATTTTAATAGCTTCAAACTCGTTTCCTTACGTGAAGAAGAGGATTCCTATTAACTGTGAACAGCAGATTAATTTAAAACCAATTGATGTTGCCACTGATGAAATAAAAGATAAAACTGCAGAGCTGCAAAAGCTTTGCTCCTCTACTGACGTGGACATGATTCAGCTCCAACTTAAATTGCAGGGCTGTGTTTCTGTGCAGGTACGTTGGTCATCCAACATGTATTGAATGTTTCTTGATGTTTCTTTTGGTTTTATAAGGGCACAGAGCAAGCATTAATTGTAATTATGTGTTGGGCACTTACTGAGTGCAAAAACCTGTGCATTATTTTTTGTTCATTTAATGAAGATATTACATTGAATTTTTTAAAGTTTTGTGTTATGTCAGAGGACTTTAACATAAGTCCGATGACTGTAGCGAAGCCCTGTATGTACATATCAGAAATCACTAACTTACTAGAATATCATCTTTGTAGATTATTTTCTTTAGTTAATGGTTTTTTGAAATAAACTTGAAATAAGCATATATTTCTCAGATATGGATTTCTTGTATATTTTGGGATTTTTAATAAAAAAGAGAAATGCCAAAACTTCTTTTGATTATTGCATTCTGGAAACACTCTCATTTTTCTTCTATTGTGATATAGGTCAATGCTGGTCCATTAGCATATGCAAGAGCTTTCTTAAATGACAGCCAAGCTAGCAAGTATCCACCTAAGAAAGTGAGTGAGTTGAAAGACATGTTTAGGTAAGTGTTTTATAGTTTTCAGGTTAGACCCGTGTTCGTTTTCTCTATTTTCTTCTTTTAAAAAACAACAAAGTATTGACCAAATAATACCCTTCCAAAAAGGGACATTCTCTGTGGTCTTTTACAATATCTAAGTGACCTCCTAATGGCACTTTGAGCAAATGTGAGATCAGTTTCATCCTGCAGGACATTAACAATACCCTAGTGACCCAAGAGATTAAATATGCCAGTTTACTATATTGCTTTGAATATTTTAAGTGACACAAACACAAGCCTATGTTCCTTATGTGCTTTCCTTCTTCACCCAATTGACCTCCTGTTACAGCATTTCAGACCATTTGGGGTAGGAATAGAAGTGGGGCAGGAAAGATTGCATAGGCTCACTCCAGTCCCCTGTCCTTACTTCTACTTGGACTCTGCCAAACTAGGGCATGCAACATCTTGTCTTCAGTGAGCGGCTCTGTAAGCTTAGGCATGTATGAATGCTCCTACATTAGAGAAATATCTTTAATATATAAAAGTCTTCATTCAGAAGAAGAGAAACAGTTGAGTAATATGGACTAAGGAGAAAGATGATAATCTATCCACTCATTTGCTCCCGACTTATTTTGTTTACTTTTCCTGTCTATGTTTTATCAGCTGTTCCAGAGTGCAGAGTAACCAGTAGTCATTCATTCACCAGTATTAATGCCTGGTACATGCAAAAGACTATTTGTTGCTATGACAGGGATATAAAACAAATGGACAATGAAGTACTTTGTCCCCTAAGACCTACACTCTAATTGTGGACATTAAACATAAACACATGAAATAATGGAAAAAGACTTTTATGATAGGTCATCAACTTTCTGTTCTCCTTCCTAGCAGCCCAGGGAAGATCCTTCATACCTGTACCACCCAGCACTGTACTAGCCACATAGTAAGCTCAAAATAAATTCTTTTTGAATGAATGACTCGTTATTTATAGGTGCAAATTAATGTCAGCACAACTTTAGCTGATAGAATGCCAAGGAAATGATTGAGCAAGTAGGCTTTCCAGAGGGTATGTGTTTTGAGCCAAGTCTTGAAGGAGATAAGAAATGAAACCATAAGGCAAAGGTGGAAAGGAAAGAAGGCATTTCAGACTTAGGAAGAGACATTAAGAAATAAATGCACAGTGAGAAAATAGAGGATTCTGATCTTCTTCCTAGGCAAGCCATGGCTAAACTGAGTTATCAAATGGATTGTCAGTGATACTTCCTAAGAATAAATAACAAGACCTTTATCTTTGATATTCATCCACAGGAAATTTATACAAGCATGCAGCATTGCACTTGAACTAAATGAGCGGCTAATTAAAGAAGATCAAGTTGAGTACCATGAAGGGCTAAAGTCAAATTTCAGAGACATGGTAAAAGAATTATCTGACATTATCCATGAGCAGGCAAGTATTAGGGTGACTAAAACTGAAAACATGATCTGCGGGTCCCAAAATTGTTGCTTAGCAAAATATAATGGTTCAAAATGCACAACCTTAAAGTTATTAAGTCTATATTTTAAACTTTTTTCATATTATCTTTAATCATTTAAGTGATACAATACAAATCAAATTTGCAACAATTATCTAAAGTGGTTAGTGATGCAGTTATCTGTAAGAAACCATTTTGTTTTTTGTGCTCCAGTGTCAGAGGCAAGAGGTTGAACTGAGGTATACCGTTATCAAATAGATTACATAGTTTGTTTTTAGAAACTATCTAGTTGATGAGTTTCTATTCCTCATAATGCATAGAAAAAGCAGCAAAAATTCCTCCTTCACAAAAGATATGACAATTGCACATGCTATTTTAAGTGAGTATCTACTATATTACAGTTATTTCATTTGCATGCAGCTGCATGACCTAGTGTTGAACTCTAAATTATTCAAATTGAAAACAAATTATTCAATGTACTGTTATTACTGTAATCAAGATATTCTGAGTGGTCATTTTATAAAATTTTGTTTTCCTTTTGAAGCATGGATTTTTCAAATCTACTGTCGTATTTCCCACTTGTCTGTATCAGTTATTCCCATAAAACATGGCTATTTCTCTTAGATATAGAGACCAATAATTTAGACTCTTAATATTGTATATTGATAGCTAACCAAGAAAACTCTTAGTTTCTATTGGCTTATATTTATGCAAGCCATCCTGTCATTATGAAACATATTTGGGTGTGCCTTACTTTTGGCAAATGTTGACTTTGTAGTGAATTGAGTTTCACATAAAAGAGAGCCACCTTGTAGTCATACACTTTGAGGCATATATTAATACTGAGAAGTAAGACAAGTGTTAATGTGTACTGAAATTTGAAATATTCTCTTGAGCTCCATAAATGATTACTTGACAAAAAGACATGACTGGATATTCCTTGTCCCCTTTCAGTGTAATCTGTTACAGAATACCGAAGTATATAGTCCTTTCAAAAACTTCTTCAAGCTTTTTTTTCTTTTTTTTTTCTTTTTTTTTTTTTTTTTTGAGAGGGAGTCTCACTCTGTCGCCCAGGCTGGAGTGCAGTGGCACAATGTCAGCTCACTGCAACCTCCGCCTCCCGGATTCAAGTGATTTCTCCTGCCTCAGCCTCCCAAGTAGCTGGGACTACAGGCACGTGCCACCACGCCTGGCTAATTTTTTTGTATTTTTAGTAGAGATGGGGATTTCACCATGTTAGCCAGGATGGTGTCGATCTCCTGACCTCGTAATCCACCCGCCTCGGCCTCCAAAAGTGGTGGGATTACAGGCGTGAGCCACCACGCCTGGCTGCTTTTGATTTTTAAAAGGATTTATATTATCATAAAGCTATAAATTACAGATTTCTCAGATAGAGTTGGGGGTGGTCATTGTAGCATCTGTTGGGTATGTTTTGTAATTTCTTAGCAATAAGTACCCTCCTTGCCTGTCACATCTGACCAGCATAGATAATCAGTTATTCATCTCTTAACATTCTAGTATGCTTTCAGATTAGTGTCATGAGTTAATATTTTTGTAAGAGGAAATTTCTCTATTATAAATTTTATTTAAGCCTTATGATTTGTAGCAACACAAATGATATGTCTCAATACTGCCACTATAGATCAATCTGTGGGCTTAATACTGAAGTTTCACAACTAACTTGAGAACCAAGTATTGAAAGCTTGGGACCTAAGTTAGGACTTTATGGTAAAGAGAGTGGATATAATGTATATAGCGTTTTTTACCTCAATCTACTTTAAGCACAAGATTTCTGTTGCTTTTTCTTTAGATTACACAAAATGGATCATTTAAAAAATATTTAAACTAATACGAATATCTATGTTTATATACTTACTGGAATACAATCTTTAAATTTTATATTTATGAAGTTCTTCCTTTCCAAGAAAAATCTTCTGTATCAATTAGCTTATACAATTATAATGTGTCTTTAGAAATATGCACTTAAGACTTTTATCTTCATTTACTATTATTTTCAAGTCTCCAGGGAAGGAACATAGGTATCTGCATGTTTCAAAAGTCCCATAGATGATTCTGAGAACCACTGTGTTAGATCATTCATAAACTCATGTCAGAGTCTACCATTTAGAGCTCTTGTTATGACCATCTGTTAAAAAATATTTTAAAGATTGTGTTACCTCTCGCTTTTTATTGAATTTTGCATTTTACAGTCTTTGTTTTTCTTAATGAGTAACTAGATCTTTTCTGCTTTTTTGATATGCTGCCTTTGTAATACAGCTTTGAAGACTTAAGTCGGTAATGTTATTCTTTGCTCTCTCTGCTTTCTGTCTTTTTAAATAACTGTCAGTGATAAATTGAAATATGCCTGCAATTTCATATACACATTCTTTTTTTGGCAGTGGCTATTTTGCTTCATGATAATCATGCTGATTTCTTCTGTTTTAGATATTACAAGAAGACACAATGCATTCTCCCTGGATGAGCAACACATTACATGTATTTTGTGCAATTAGTGGTACATCAAGTGACCGAGGTTATGGTTCCCCAAGATACGCTGAAGTGTGAGGAAATGCAGATGTACGTGACAATGAGACTGACCTTTCTCAGGAATATTTGGAGCTGTGCAAATGTTAAAATTTAAAGATTTGATATACATGGAGTGTTTCTTCTCGACACCAAAATTTTCATGTGTTCCAACAGGGTGCTTACATATTTGTAAATAAGCAACTTGAAAGTGCCTGGAAAATTGCACCACTGTGCTTGGTTTGTACTTTTTTAGGTAAATCTATATGCTGAAAAGTAGAGCTCAAAAACAGTAGTTCAATTTGCTTAATTATTGCTTAAAATAATGGTACTATGTAAAATTGTATAATGGAATACAATAAAAGGTAAAACTTATTTGTAATTAGAAGTGAAAGAAATAATACTTTGAACTTAGCATTTTTCTTGACAAGAAGCTCAATTCATTATCATACTAATCCTTGGTAGGAGGAGAAGAAAATTGATAACATTTCCGTAATACACGGATATTTAAAATTGGGGAGATCATTTGAATCCTTGCCAATTAGTAGTCAAGGCTGGGCTAAAGGAACCAAAAGCATTATTTCACAGAAAATTTCAAAAGGAAAGGATATATTTACAAATATACGAAGCTTAGGCTGGACACGGTGGCTCATGCCTGTAATCCCAACACTTTGGGAGGCTGAGGCAGGCGGATCATGAGGTCAGGAGTTCAAGACCAGCCTGACCAACATGGTGAAACCCCATCTCTACTAAAAATACAAAAATTAGCTGGTCATGGTGGTGCATGCCTGTAATCCCAGCTACTGAGGAGGTTGAGGCAGGAGAATCGCTTGAACCCAGGAGGTGGAGGTTGCAGTGAGCTGAGATCACGCCACTGCACTCCAGTCTGGGCGACAGTGAGACTCTGTATATATAACATATATATAATAGTAAGCTTGAGATACCATATATATATGTTATGATCTGATGACGCTAGGTAATCTAGTAGGTCTCCCTTCTACATACAAGACATCTAAGGGATTTATACAGGGCAAGCAGCATTTGTTGCCAAAGCTTTATCATCTGGGGCCATCTACAAAGATAAAACATTTCTGAGATTGCAGTCAGTACATCCCACAGAACTTCAAAGCTTTTACAGCAATCTGAGGTAGGAGTTTTGTAATGATTATTTTCTTCAGTTACAAGATTAATAAACATTTTGATTAGAACTTAATGGTTGCAGCATGTCTTGGGTCAATGTAGAAAACCACCACAGATTTGGCAAACTAGCTTGGGATTATATTTCTGTCTATGAAGAAATCTCAGATTGCCTAAATAATTCAGGAGAAACCAAGATGTGAATGACATTTTTTAGCTTGAATTATCCAAATCATTTTGGCTGCCTTCTATGGGAACTCGGGTTCTAGACTTCCTTTTTTTTTTTTTTTTGAGATGGAGTCTCGTTCTGTCGCCCAGGCTGGCGTACAATGGCGCGATCTTGGCTCACTGCAACCTCTGCCTCCCTGGTTCACGCCATTCTCCTGCCTCAGCCTCCCGAGTAGTTGAGACTACAGGCGCCTGCCACCACGCCCGGCTAATTTTTTGTATTTTTTTTTTAGTAGAGACGGGGTTTCACTGTGTTAGCCAGGATGGTCTCGATCTCCTGACATCGTGATCTGCCAAAAGTGCTGGGATTACAGGCATGAGCCACTTTGCCCAGCCTACACTTATTTTCCTTATGTGGTTTAGCCTCTTTTACAGATGAAAAAACAGTCACTAAAATATAAATGGATTGCACGGGGCCTTGGCTTTTTGAGCACTTTGTGATCAAGTAAATCCTAGAGATTATGCTCCTGGCCTGACCATTTTTATTTTTATTTTTTGGGGGGTACCATTTTTTCTTTTTTGAGACAAAGTCTTGCTCTGTCACCCAGGCTGGAGTGCAGTGGCGCCATCTTGGCTCACTGCAACCTCCATCTCCCGGGTTCAAATGATTCTCCTGCCTCAACCTCCTGAGTAGCTGGGATTACAGGCAGGTGCCACCACGCCCAGCTAATTTTTGTATTTTTAGTAGAGACGGGGTTTCACCATGCTGCTCAGGCTGGTCTCGAACTCCTGACCTTGTGATCCACCCGCCTCAGCCTCCCAAAGTACTGGGATTACAGGCGTGAGCCACCGCGTCCAGCCCATTTTTTCTTTATATGTCATTTTTAAGCTTTCAGGAGAGCATGAACTTATTTATTAAAAGTTAATTTTGTATTTTAATAGGGGACTTTTACAAGTATTTCCAAGGCAGTTTGTAATTCCTTAATATCTTAGAGTAACCTGTAGAGTTAGTTTCACCTTTAAAGTGATTATATTTGATATGTATGTGTGAGGAATCATCACCTCTAGTAAATGCTGCATTCTGAGAGTTTGGCATCTTGAGGAGACTCCAGCACTCTTCTGTCTGTAACTAGTCCCTGTCAAAGCCCCTAGCACAGCAATATGCACTGTGGGTAGATTTTTTAATGTAATAAATGGCCCCTATTGCCAAGGATCTCGCAGTCTAGTTGAGAAAGCAAGACGCACAAAATTAAATAGTACAAGAATTAACAATGTAAGACAGGAGAAGTCATATGTGAGTATTGCCAAATGAACGACAGCATTCATAACTCAAATCACATTCAAAGAAAGAGATCACTGTGAATTGTAAATGTTCAGGGAGGGTTTAGTGAAGAAAAGTTAAGCTTTGAACAGGCTTCCAAAAATGGAGAGGGGTATTCTAGGCAGGAGGAACACCATAAGCAAAGGTGCAAAAAGAATTTGTGGAGGTTCAGGGGATAGTAAGGAGACCAGTTTTGTCCAAGAGGTGGTAGATGATAAATCTAGAAAATACAGGCTGGGCGTGGTGGCTCATGCCTGTAATCCCAGCACTTTGGGAGGCTGAGACAGGCAGATCACTTGAGCCCAGGAGTTCAAGACCAGCTTGGCCAACATGGTAAAACACTGTCTCTAATAAAAATACAAAAAAAAGTTAGCCAGGCATGGTGGTACACACCTGTAATCCCAGCTACTTGGGAGGCTGAGGCACAAGAATCGCTTGAACCCGGGAGGTGGAGGTTGTAGTGAGCCTAGATCATGCCATTGCACTCCAGCCTGGGTGGCAGAGTGAGATTCTGTCAACAACAACAACAACAACAACAACAAAAAGAAAGAAAAAAGAAATAAAATACATTCGGACTGAGATTTTGGAAGGCGCTGAATACCAGGCTAATGGTATTTGGAGTTTACTCAATAGGCATGAGAGAGCTAGCCAAGGTTTTTAAACAGATTACTTAATTAAATGTTATTTTTAGAAATTTAATCTTTTATATTGCTGCCAGATGTATTTGAGGTAGAGAGACATGGAAATTAGGAAACCAGTTACATAGATATTGCAATAAACTAAATTCAATAAACCTCTAGATGTGAGTGATATGACAAGAATGGAGAAGAAAGGACGAGTCCCAGAGACATATATGGAAGGACTAGGTAAGACTCATTGGATGGCCAAGGGAAAAAAAAAAAGAAATGTGAAAGATAATTTTGTGTCCTGTGGCCAGGGAGTTTGCCATGTCATGGCACAAGCTCACTAGATTTATTTTTCCAACTCTCAGACTAAAGGTAGCAAGCTGTAGAGAACAAGGTGGGCTCGAACAGAGAAAGCTAGGTAAATCTGTTTTTTAAACACTACATGTATTAGGCATTAAAGTGTATATAGTTTAATGATTTCTTGAAGTGATTTGTCCTCTACAAATTAATTAACACCAAAGAATACATTTCTCCTATACTGATTGTTTTGCAGTTAAGCTTGAGTCCAATTTCCCCTAGAAGTTGTTGTTTTGATAGTCTTTGGACATACTGTGAAATGTGATTAAGTCACCCTTGGTAGTGTTAGTTTATCACTACGGTGAAAAACCATAGAGAAAATAAGAAATTCCATGGAAATTTTCCTAGTAACCAGTTGTCACCACTGGCATCATGTATATAGATGGGATTGTTATTGTTACCGTATTTATATGATTTGGCTGCCTATCAAAATATTATATATTTTCAAAAGTGAAACAGAAAGCAGCAGTGGTAGTAATGTCCTTGGAACCTTGACCAACAACACATCATCCTAGAACTAGAGATGACTCTAATTAAGAAACTAGATAAGTCATGATAATAAGAACGCACATTTTTAAAAAACTATTTCGTATCTTTTTTTCTTCTAACTTTTAGGTTCAGGGGGTACATGTGCAGGTTTGTTCCATGAGATATTAGCTTTCTCTGAGATGAAGAACCTGAGTGATATAATGGATTAATAGGAATTTCCAAACTCTTCAAAACATTGATAATTAGACATATGTCTTGGGCTTCTGATCTCCAAAATGTTGGGCTACCTTTAGTCTCAGTCTTGTTCTAACAGTACACTAGTTCAGCTATCAAAAGACAAGGAGAGGAAAGGAGTAAAAGTTGGTTGTGGGTGGGGAGTGGGTTTGTGTAACAAGGCTATACCCCTGTCTTGGGAGTTGGTGAGTAAGAGTGCTTTATTTATCTTTTTTTTTTTTTTCTAAGCACTTAATGGTCACTGTCTAAAAACAGTGTATCTATGTTTGTTCATCTCCTAATGGGAGTCGTGGCTAAGTTCTAAGATTTTGCCTCTGTGCATAGCATTTTAAAACTTTTCCAATGTTCTTTTTTTTTGCTTTGTTTTTCCTTTTTATTGAGATATAATTCACATACCATACAATTTACCCATTTAAAGTACACAATTCAGTGTTTTTTAAAATTACATCCACAGAGTTGTGCAAGTATCACTACAATTTAAAACATGTTTATCACCTGAAAGAGACCCCATACTCATTAGCAGTCACTCCTACCGGTCATCATCCTCCAGCCCCTGGCAACCACTAATCTACTTTTTGTCCCTACAAGGTTTACCTGTTCTGGACATTTCATATAAATGCAGTCATACAATATGTGGCCTTTTGTGTCCAGCTTCTTTGACATAGCATATTTCCAAAGTTCATCGATGTTGTAGAATGTATCAGTACTTCATTCCTTTTTATGGCTAAATAATAATCCATTATATAGATACACCATATTTTATCTTCTCATCAGTTGATGGACATTTGGGTTATTTCCACTTTTTGGCTACTGTGAATAATGTTGCTGTGAACACTCACAAGTTTTTGTGTGGACATGTTTTTAGTTCTCTTGGGCATGTACACAGAAGTGGAATGACTGGTTCATATGGTAACTCCATGTTTAACCTTTTGAAGAATTGCCAGACTGATTTCCACGGCAGCTGCACCACTTTATATTACCACCAGCAATGTATGAGGGTCCCAGTTTCTCAATATTCTTGACAACACTTGTTATTATCTGCCTCTTTGATTATTGCCATCCTAGCAAGTGTGTAGTATCTCTTTGTGGTTTTCATTTGAATTTCCCTGATGTCTAATGATGTTGAGAATTCTTTCATGTGGTTACTGGCCATTTTTGTATCTTCCTCAGAGAAATATCTCTTTTAAGTCCTTAGACCATTTGCTTTTTTGAGACAGGGTCTTGCTGTGTTGCCCAGGCTGGAGTGCAGTGGTGCGATCTCAGCTCACTGCAACCTTCCCATCCCGGGCTCAAGCGATCCTCCCTTTTCAGCTTCCCAAGTAGCTGGGACTACAGATGAACACCACCACACCTGGCTAATTTCTGTAGAATTGGGGTTTCGCCATGTTTCCCAGGCTGGTCCCGAATTCCTGGCCTCAAGCAATCCACCCACCTTGGCCTCCCAAAGTGCTGGGATTACAGGTATAAGTCACCGTTCCCAGCCCCTTAGCCCATTTTTAAATCAGGTTGCTTTACTATTATTACTATTATTGTTGAGTTGCAGGGTTCTTTATTCGAGATGCAAGTATATGATTTAAACATATTTCTCCTGTTCTGTGTGTTGCCTTTTCACTTTCATGATGGTGTTCTTTGAAGCATTCAAGTTTTTAAAAATTTTGATGCAGTCCAATTTATATTTTCTTTTGTTGCCTGTGCTTTGGCATTGTATCTAAGAAGACCTTGCGTAATCCAATTTCACAGAAATTTACACCTATGTTTTCTCTTAAGAGTTTTATAATCTTAACTCTTACTTTTGGTCTTTGGTCCATTTTGAGCTAATTTTGTATATGGTGTGTTGTAGGGATTCAGATTCATTCTTTTGCATGTGGATAACCAGTTTTCCCTGCACCATTTGTTGAAAAGAATCTTTCCCCCATCCAATTGCCTTGGCACCCTTATAAAAAATCAATTGACCAAAAATATGTGGGTTTATTCTGGACTCTTAGTTCTATTCTATTGACCTCTGTATCTGTCCTTACGCTAGTGCCACAAAGTCTTAATTACTATAGCTTTGTAGTAAGATTTTGAAATTTGGAAGTGTGAGTCCTCCAACTTTATTCTTTTTCAAAATTGTTTTGTATATTCTAGGCCCCTCGCATTTCCATTTTTATTTTATTTTATCTTATTTTTTTGAGACGGAGTCTCACTCTGTCCTCCAGGCTGGAGTATAGTTGCACGATCTCGGGTCACTGCAACCTCCACCTCTTGGGTTCAAGTGATTCTCCTGCCTCAGCCTCCTGAGTAGCTGGGATTACAGGAACATGCCACCATGCCTGGTTAATTTTTGTATTTTTGGTAGTGGTGGGATTTCACCATGTTGGCCAGGCTGGTCTCGAACTCTTGACCTCAAGTGATCCACCCTCCTCGGCCTCTCAAAGTACTAGGATTACAGGCATGAGCCACACGCCCAGGCCCATATTAATTTTAGCATCAGCTAGTCAATAGCTGTTTAAAAAAAAAAAAAAAAAAAAAAGGCAGGCTGGGCGCAGTGGCTCACGCCTGTAATCCCAGCACTTTGGGAGGCCGAGGTGGGTGGATCACGAGGTCAGGAGATGGAGACCATCCTGGCTAACAGGGGGAAACCTCGTCTCTACTAAAAATACAAAAAAAATTAGCCGGGCGTGGTGGCAGGTGCCTGTAGTCCCAGCTACTCGGGAGACTGAGGCAGGAAAATGGCGTGAAGGTGGGAGGCGGAGTTTACAGTGAGCCGAGATTGCACCACTGTACTCCAGCCTGGGCAACAAAGCAAGACTCCATCTCAAAAAAAAAAAAAAAAAAAAAAATGGCCGCTGGGATTTTGGCAGGATTTGCTGTGAATCTGTAATTCAATGTGCAGAGTATTGCCATCTCAATAATAATAAGTGTTCCAGCCCCCATGAAATAGGATGTTTTTCTATTTATTTAGATCATCTTTAATTTCTTTCAACAATGTTTTACAGTTTTCAGTATATAAGTCTTACACTTCTTTTGTTTATTCCTTATGCCCACAAGGAAGTTTATTCCTTAGTATTTTATCCTTTTTAATGCTATTGTAAATGGATTTGTTTTCTTTTCTTTTCTATTTATTTATTTATTTATTTATTTAGTGAGATGGAGTTTCGCTGCTGTGGCCCAAGCTGGAGTGCAATGGCGCGATCTTAGCTCACTGCAACCTCTGCCTCCCGGGTTCAAGCGATTCTCCTGCCTCAGCCTCCCAAGTAGCTGGGATTACAGGCCCATGGCACCACACCTGGCTAATTTTTTTGTATTTTTAGTAGAAACGGGGTTTCACCATGTTAGCCAGGCTGGTCTCAAACTCCTGACCTCACGTGATCCAGCTGCCTCAGCCTCCCAAAGTGCTGGGATTACAGGCATGAGCCACTGCGCCCGGCCTGATTTGTTTTCTTAATTTTATTTTTGGATTGTTCATTGCTAGTTTATAGAAATACAAATGGTCTTTGTATATTGATCTGATATCCCAAAATCTTGCTGAATTTCTGTATTAGCTTTAATCGTGTTTTTGGTGGCTTCTTTAGGTTTTTCTATACATAAGATCATATCATCTGCAGATATAGTTTTACTTCTTTTTAAATCTTGATGTCTTTTATTTTATTTTGTTACCTAGAACCTAGCTAGAACTTCCTGTATAATATTGAGTAGCAGAATTGCAGATAGCCTTGTCTTGTTCCTGATCTTTGGGAGAAAGCTTTCAGTCTTTCACCTTTCAGTATGGTGTTACCTGTGGGTTTTTTATGGATGCTTTTTATCTGGTTCAGGAAGTTTCCTCCAACATGTTTTGCATCTATTTTCTGATCCAATTCTCCTTATATATGTCATATAGGAATCAATTCTTCATGTGATCCTGTATCACATATAAGGAAATGGATGCATAAATGGTTAAGAAATGCACTCAAGACACGCAGGAAATTAGAGATGAGGTCACGGTATCCTGATTTATAGTCTATTGTTTTCAACTCTACTTTTTCCTTTGGTCTTCTGCTTCAACTTCTTGCAACTTTCTAGAGACTAAAAAGGGTTCATCTTTTCCACTTTTTCATTTAAAAGGTAACCTCCATATGGGTAGAGTCTGGATCTGAACTTTTCCACCTCTGTTTTCCCAGAACCTAGCACAGGATAAGTGCTTGAGCAGTCTCAAGGAAATAAAGCCAGTTTAGATAAACAGCACCCCTGGAGCCTTTATTATGTGCAAGGTATTGTGGGCAGATATCCCAGAACTCGGAGAGACTGTGGTTGAGGGAGATAACAAATAGTCACATTAAAAAGATATTATGGGCCGGGCATGGTGGCTCATGCCTATAATCCCAGCACTTTGGGAGGCCGAGGCAGGTAGATCACCTAAGGTCAGGAGTTTGAGACCAACCTGGCCAACATGGTGAAACCCCATCTCTACTAAAAATACAAAAAGTTAGCCAAGCCTGGTGGCACGCCTGTAATTCCAGCTACTGGGGTGGGGGGTGCGGGGGTGGGGGAGGGCTGAGACAGGTGAATCGCTTGAACCTGGGAGGCGGAGGTTGCAGTAAGCCGAGATCGCACAACTGCACTCCACCCTGGGCAACAGAGCAAGACTCGGTCTCAAAGTATTATGAAGAAGTCTGATAATAGCAAATCAGTGGTAGTTACAAGTGCTTGAAAAGGCAGAGTCTTTATAGATGTAGACTGAAAAAGGCTTCATGGAGGAAATGCCATGAATTTTTCTCATTTTTATTAGAACTGCCACTAGCGTGTCTGTGTTGAGGAAGTACTTTAGGCCAAGTTTTTAACAGGAAGTTTAAAAAATTAACTTCTTTATTTTTATCATTATATGAATTCCAACAATTAAAACCATCCGTAGTACACAATATGCAAAGCAAAAATAATAAAGTGCATATAAAATCAGGTAACATTCTTTATATGTTTTTTCTCAGACTCTCTCATCCTGTTTTGGTCTTAGACACAAGCCAAGTTAAATCAGCTTTTTCTTTTTGTCCAGAAAACTTATGCTCAATTTTCTTCATCCTCTTGATAGAAAACCTTTACAGCCAACCTCAGTCAATTTCTGATCGACAAGTCTCATTCTTTATATACCATAGTGTTTTGTAATAGTCATTACTTTAGTAGATCTCCTAGAATTGAGTCTTACAGGCTCTAGACTTCTCATCCTGCATGCTTACTGCATGTGCCTTTCATAGAAAATCAGTGAAAACTATCATATGAGCAGGTAAAGGCTGCAGTGTGGAAGCTGTAGACCATTCATTCATCCATCACACATTTATTGACCACCCACTGTGAACCAGGTATATGAATGATCAAGGCAATATTTCACAGGCAGATAATGCAGATGGGATGTTATAATCTAAAAGATAATTCAAAAGTAGTCTTCTTCTGTCAATAACGAATCTTCCAAATTCTGTATTCTTGAAGAGAGACATCTTATGTCTCTGATGAATGTGAGTAATAGTTCCTAGTACTGATATATTGTAACAATTAATATGTTGATTGAGAAGCAAAAGCTAAGCCATTATAGATGTGGAATTATGTTCAATGCAAAGCTGACCAGCTCCTATAGTACTCATGCAGTGGGTTATTTCAGAATTCTTCTGTGGCATAGTCAGGATTTGAGATACCTTCAGAGCCACGATGATATCATGTAATAGTACTATGTCCTCCCTCCCCATCCCAAACTAAATCTAGACACAAATACACATGCAATGAAAGAGGATTAGAGAGAAAGAAAGGTGGAGTTGACAAAATTATCCCTATCAGAACAAGGAAAATGAAAATGAAGCCGGGCATGGTGGCTTACTCCTGTAATTCCGGCACTGGGGAGGTCAAGGTGGGAGGATCACATGAGCCCAGGAGTTTGAGACCAACCTGGGCAACATGGCGAAACCACCTCTCTACTAAAAATACAAAAAATCAGCCAGGTGTGGAGGCATGCACCTGTAGTCCCAGCTACTCAGGAGGCTGAAGTGGGAAGGAAACTTGAGCCTGGGAGGCAGAGGTTGCAGTGAGCCAAGATTATGCCACTGCACTCCAGCCTGGGTGACAGAGTAAGACCCTGTCTAAAAAAAGAATAATAATCATAAAGAAAATGAAAGACTTCCAGAAGAAAGCATTGCTGCAGTTTGTTCCACAGCAACTCCCAAGTAGTCACAGAGCCAGCTGAATACAGTTCAGGTCACATGTAAGAGAATTTTTAAAAATGTACCCACATTATTTGTACAAACTTGTAGGGTACATGTGAAATTTTGTTACATGTATGTAATGCATAGTGATCAAGTCAGGGTGTTTAAGGTGTCCATCTCCCAAGTACATTTTTGTTTTAACTGTAGTCACCCTATTCTGCTATCAAACATTGAATTTATTCCGTCTATCTAACTGTACCCTTTAACCCACTTCTCTTCATCCTCCTTTCTGAAGAGAAATTTTCATGGAAATGATTTTGGATATTTACACAGAATGTTTTATTTTTTAAAACAAAGTAACCTCTCTAACCACCACCACCTCTTCTTTGTTGTAGAAACAAAACTCAGAATTGAAGTTTTAGCCCTGGAATATCTTCAGGAGGGGAAATTCCAGCTCTCCCCATTGGTTTAACCATCTTGTGATTTTTCTCATTTTTATTAGAACTGCCACTACCGTGATGGCCTCCAAGTTTATTTCATTATAGCTCTGTGACGCTAGATGAGACTGTTGGGTTGGGGGGATGCTGCCGGGGGAGGGGGGTAGTTAGGGGTACCCATACCTACCTGGGTGTTTTGGCTGCTCTCCCTCTAATGATTATTCTCATCTTGAGAGTTTTGGCATCCCTACTGTACAGCACATTTGTTAAGTATACAAATTCTGAAGCAGGTTGACTGGGTCAGAATCCCAGTTTTGTCATTTACCAAGCTGTGGGACCTTGGTCACATTACTTAACCCCTCTAGGTCTTCATTTCCTCACCTGTAAAATGCAGGTATGAATTGTCCCTACCTCCTAACATCGTGAGGATTCAATGAAGCCAAGTATATAAAGCATAGAGAATGATGCCTGGACTGGGCATGGTGGTGTGTGCCTTTAACCCTAGCACTCTGGAAGGCTGAGGTGGAAGGATCACTCCTGGAAGAGCCCAGGAGTTTGAGGCTGCAGTGAGCTATCGTGCCACTGCACTTCAGCCTGGGTGACAAAAGCGAGACTCTGTCACTAAAAATATAAAAATAATTTTTTTAAAAAAGGAATGCTGCCTGGCACATCTACGTAATTGTTACATCTATATATGTGTTATTTATAACTGTAATCTTTCCCCCACAGCATAGGATAATTTTACCAGCCATGATACCCTCTGTGTCTCTGGGCCCATCCCTCCATCCAGGTAGGGGTAATGGATGGGTCAAGGTCAGGCAATTTTTGCCATTTGATATCTTACAGGTCACCTCTGGCCTCCGTTGATCTCACCATATGGTGAAGATCTGTTCCCCCATGAAGGGACATTGTTTTCTGTGTGGTGGTATAAGTACCAACAAATATACACAGATGCTGGCTGTTAGCAACTAGTACTGCCATACTGGCGCATCTTGGCTGAATATCAGCCCTGCTCCTGTGTCTGTCTTTTTTTTTCTTTTCTTTTCTTTCTTTCTTTTTTTTTTTTTTTTTTTTTTTTTTTTTTGAGATGGAGTCTCGCTCTGTCGGCCAGGCTGGAGTGCAGTGGTGCGATCTCGGTTCACTGCAACCTCCGCCTTCTGGGTTCAAGTGATTCTCGTGCCTCAGCCTCCCAAATAGCTGGGACTACAGGTGCACGCCACCACGCCCAGCTAATTTTTGTAATTTTAGTAGAAATGGGGTTTCACCATGTTGGCCAGGCTGGTCTCGAACTCCTGATCTCAAGTGATCCACCCGCCTCAGCCTCCCAAAGTGCTGGGATTACAGGCGTGAGCCACTGCATCCGGCCCTGTGTCTGTCTTCTTGAACAAAGCCAGTGGCTTATCTTTATGGCTTTCTTGTGCATCTGAGGATTGATGAAAATTCCCATGTGCCACCTAACTATAGGATTTCTCTGCTTACTGGCACTTCCTTTGGCTTTGTTACACTACCAGAACTACACAGAAAGTGGTTTTGGATTTGAAATTCAACTAGTGGGACTTGCTCAGTATTCCCTCCATAGAGAGCCTCTCATACACAGTCTCCTACAGTTAAGTTTAATTTATTCCCCTCATTTGGATTTCCCTGTCACTGGTCACAGATTGCTATTTTATGGCTCTCAAGTAGATCAGAAAGGTTTTCAGAGTTCCCCTTCCCCACCTCCTACCCACTTCTCTGTAACGACAGACACCCTTTAAGGGAAACTTGGCCCAACCAATATTATTTGAAGACATTTCATTCTCACTTAGGTAATGGGGCTTGGAGTTGAGGTCTACCTTTTTGTTGCTTTCTAGTAAAGCACTGACCCCTATCTCACAGTACTCTCCTAAGCCCTGTCCTCCCTGACAACTTAGTTGCTTTATCTTTCCAGGAGCACCCTCACATTCCTATATTGTGCACACTCAAGACAATTTCCCAGTGTCCACTTCCTGGCTGAATCAATTTCCACAACCATGACGTGTAACTCCAGCTCATCTCACCAAAGGGCATTTTAGCAAGTCACTGCAGATGCTGCAACTCGGAAAAACACGTTTAGTTAGGATCTGATGAGTCTTCTCCATTAGATAAATGTTGTGAGGTGGAACTTACTGTAATTTCCTTCTCTCCACCCAAGATCTAAAATTTTTCTCTGAGTTGGCTCCCTCTCTACCTTCAGTCTCCCTTCCTGGAAGATTTACCCCAGCAAGGATGTCTTCTTTCAGATGGATATGAGTAAGTTAGTTTCTGCCCTCGTTCTGTTTCTTCCTTCTCCTGCTCTGATGTTGGCACATCCTTAGGAAGTCAGCTACTCCACCCCCTCTACCAAGATGTGGCCCAATGAGGGTAGGGTATCTTTCACTTCCCCTTTCTGGGAGGCCGACTGGCCAAGACTGAACTACCTAGACCCCCCCACCCTTACCACTGTCAT
Organism: Homo sapiens; assembly: GCF_000001405.40. Classification (NCBI taxonomy): domain Eukaryota; kingdom Metazoa; phylum Chordata; class Mammalia; order Primates; family Hominidae; genus Homo; species Homo sapiens. The sequence continues at coordinate 118,699,142 of NC_000023.11, forward strand.
TCTACTCACTGACCCCACATGCTCATTTTTTGGTTGTTTGCTCCACTGTCCCTGAGATCTTAGAGGAGGGGTTCTTAACTGGGGGTGGTTTTACCCCCTAGGGAACATTTAGCAATGCCTGGAGACATTTTTGGTTGTCACAACTGGGGCAAAGAGGTTGCCACTGACACCTAGTGGGTAGAGGCCAGGGATGCTGTTAAACATCCTACTATGCACAGCTAGCCTCCTACAACAAAAACTCACCTGGCTCCTGCTATCAATAGTGCAGATGTTGAAAAACACTGGCTAGAAGGAATGCCTGCCTCACTGGAATGTGTGATGCCTACTCCACCGCTGGTTTGTCTTCAAGGAGCCTTTTGCTGGTCAACTCACCAATAAATCCACTAGGAGATCTCTCCCATTAATAGCTGTTTGTACCCTCATTTACATCTGTCTGCCCCCTCACATGTTTGCATGCCACAAGTAATGGTGGTCTGCTCAACCTTCATTCCTAACTCTGCACTTCATCTGCAGGTTGGCCATACTCAAGAACCTGAAGGTGCTCAGGATCTGCTTCATGATCTCCGTGGCTATCCCTTTCACTTTCCGGTGAAGTAAAGGCTTTCTCATTACTAGAAACCATCCAAGTTAACTAGGCCATACAATTACAATGTCATTGCTACTACCACCTATGAAGCAGTATAGTTTATTTAATAAAACAAAACCTAAGACCTCTAAGTTATTAGCCCTGAAGGAGAAGCAGTAAGTCGGGAGGACTTGTCTACTGAAGGACAAAAACAAACTCCCAAATCAATGGAGAGACATATTTTGTTAGAATTATAAATATGTGACTTCTCTCCTTAATATCTGTCAATTCAATGCCACCTTAGTCAAAATCCCAGAAGGATTATTATTATTATTATTATTATTATTATTATTATTATTATTATTATTTTGAGATGGAGTTTTGCTCTCTTGCCCAGGCTGGAGTGCAGTGGCACGATCTTGGCTCACTGCAACCTCCGACTCCTGGTTTCAAGCGATTCTCCTGCCTCAGCCTCCCCAGTAGCTGGGATTATAGGTGCAACACGCCCGGCTAATTTTTGTATTTTTAGTAGAGACAGTGTTTCACCACGTTGGCCAGGCTGGTCTCGAAATCCTGACCTCGTGATTCGCCTGCCTCGGCCTCCCAAAGTGCTGGGATTACAGGCATGAGCCACTGCACCTGGCCAGGATTTTTTTTTTTAACTTGGCAAAATGATTATAAAATTTATCAGAAGCACCTGAAGTCCCAGCTACTCAGGAGGCCAAGGTGGAAGGATTGCTGGAGGCCAAGAGTTCAAGACTATCCTGGGCAACATAGCAAGACTCTGTCTCAAAAAAAGGAAAATTGAAATAAAAAATAAAATTTATCAGAAGGAATCAAGATGTAAAAACAGCTAAGAAAATACCAAAGAAGAGGAGTAAGGAGCCCTGGCAGACATTAAAATGAATAATGTAGCTAATTAAAATTGAACATTTTACCCATAAAAATTAAACCTAAAAATAAATTGGACATTTACTAATAGAGAAATAGGCAGAAGGATGTAATAGGACACAGAATCTGTATGTATATAAAAATGTGTATGATAAACGTTGGATTTCTGCCGGGCGCAGTGGCTCACACCCGTAATCCCAGCACTTTGGGAGGCCAAGGTGGGTGGATCACCTGAGGTCAGGAGTTCGAAACCAGCTAACATGGGGAAACCCCATCTCTACTAAAAATACTAAAAATTAGCTGGGCATGGTGACACAAGCCTGTAATCTCAGCTACTCCGGAGGCTGAGGCAGGAGAATCGCTTGAACCCAGGAGGTGGAGGTTGCAGTGAGCCAAGATCGTGCCATTGCACTCCAGCCTGGGCAACAAGAACAAAACTTGGTCTCAAAAAAAAAAAAAAAAAAAAAAGTTGTATTTCAAGAAATAACAGTGTCAAGATCATTCAATAAATGGTGTTGGAATAATTAGGTAAGCATTTGCACCTTTTTTTTTTTTTTTTGAGACGGAGTCTCGCTCTGTTGCCCAGGCTGGAGTGCAGTGGCACAATCTTGGCTCACTGCAACCTCCACCTCCTAAGTTCAAGCGATTCTCCTGCCTCAGCCTCCTCAGTAGCTGGGATTACAGGTGCGTGATACCACACTTGGTTAATTTTTGTATTTTTTAGTAGAGATGGGGTCTCACCATGTTGGCCAAGCTGGTCTGGAACTCCCGACTTCAAATGATCCACCCGCCTTCGCCTCCCAAAGTGCTGAGGTTACAGGCATGAGCCATTGCACCCGGCCTTATGCACAAAATTTAAGGGCTCTCTATTTACACAAAAATAAATTTCAAATTGATTAGAGATTTAAATGTAAAAGACAAGATCCTTTAAAAACTAAAACTGGGCATAGATTATTATATGTGCAGTAGAGGTGAGGAAAGTCTTTCTAAAGAAGACTTAAAAACCAGAAGTCAAAAGGAAAAGCAATTAATACATTTGATCATATAAAATTTAAATTTAAAAAGATTATAGGCTGGGCATGGTGGCTCACACCTGTAGTCCCAGCACTTTGGGAGGCTACGGTGGGAGGATCATCTGAGGCTAGTTCGAGACCAGTCTGGCCAACATGGTGAAACCCAGTCTTTACTAAAAATACAAAAATTAGCTGGACACAGTGGCATGTGCCTGTAGTCTCAGCTACTCAGGAGGCTGAGGCAGGAGATTCACTTGAACCCTGGAGGCGGAGCTTGCAGTGAGCCAAGATTGCACCACTTCACTCCAGCCTGGGCGACAGAGCGAGACTCTGTCTAAAAAAAAAAAAAAAAAATTATAAAGTCAAAAGGAAAATAATAGTAAAATATTTGTAGTATACATGATAGGATAAGGATAAATATTCTTACTATAAAAAGAGCTCTTACAAATCAATAAGATGAAATTTCTCAATAAGAAAACGGGTAGGCTGGGTGCAGTGGCTCACACCCGTAATCCCAGCACTTTGGGAGGCTGAGGTGGGTGGATCACCTGAGGTCAGGAGTTCGAAACCAGCTAACATGGGGAAAACCCATCTCTACTAAAAATACTAAAAATTAGCTGGGCATGGTAGCACAAGCCTGTAATCCCAGCTACTTGGGAGACTGAGGCAGGAGAACTGCTTGAACCCAGGAGGCGGAGGTTGCAATGAGCTGAGATTATGCCACTGTACTCCAGCCTGGGCAACAGAAAAAGACTCCTTCTCAAAAAGAGAAAGAAAAGAAAATGGGTAAAGAACGTGAATAGGCAATTTGCAGAAGAAAAAATTCAAGTGGTCAATAAACATAGGAACTAATGTTCAATTTTATTATTAAATAAATATGAATTAATACTAGACAAAGGAGGAAATATCTTTTTTAAACTCTAAGAAGAAACAAAATGATAAACATCTGAGATATCTAGTCTAAAAAAAGGTTGGTACAACTTCAGAGACACTTTATCTGGGTTCCTTGCTTTTTCTCTCTGCTTCTTACTCCCCATAAACCTACTTCTCCCCACAGGAGGTGCCTTCTAGACATCTTGACATCGTGGTGAAGATGGAAAGAGTGTTTTACTAGACATGCCAAGAAAGGCTCTCCCAGTTCAAGTTTGCTTGTTTGGTTGTTTTTTTGTTTTGTTTTTTGTTCGTTTGAGAGACAGACCTTTTTACCAAGGTGGCTAACACAAAGAATTAACTTGTCCAGCTGAGAACTCACCCCTGAGTCACAGAGGTTTATGTTACTCTGGTTAACTCAAACATAGAACCACAACTAAGCAAACCGCAACAACTGCGGCATTCATAAAACAAGAATCATGCTTAGGCAGTCATTTAAGTGGGCTCATCACAGGACAGTAAATAATGACAAAAGAAAGCAGGGTGTGGAAGGGAATTGTGATGTTAATAACTCGTACAATGCTTAAATGCATGCCCGGCACTGTTCTAAATTAAATCCTTCAATGATCACTACAACTTTGTTAGGTAATGACACATATCCCTCATTTTATGAATGGGGAAACTAAGGCACAGCAAAGCTAGATAACTTGTTTGAGATCACACAATCGGTGGCAATGCTGGAATTTGAACCCAGAGAATCTGGTGTAACAGTTCACACTCAAGCCACCACTTTGAGAGGAATCAAGGGAAAAAGAAGAGAGATCTAAGAGAATAAAAAGGGGAGGAAGGAGGAGGAAAAACTCAGCTCACTAACACCTGAAGGCAATTGCTACATGGTACCCAGCCTCCTTTTTCAGGCCCACACCCAGGTCTTTGCAGTCCCCACCTCTACCTCTGTTATCAAGCTTCCTAAAATGACATGATTTGGGGATAAGTGTTCAAACTATTTTTTTCACAAATAAATGGTGTCCAGAGGAATTGATGTTGTTTCTTTTTTCTTTTTTTTTTTTTGAAATGGAGTCTCGCTCTGTCACCCAGACTGGAGTGCAGTGGCGTGATCTCCACTCGCTACAACCTCTGCCTCCCAGGTTCAAGTGATTCTCCTGCCTCAGCCTCCCAAGTAGCTGGGATTACAGGTGTGTGCCACCACGCCCAGCTAATTTTTGTATTTTTAGTACAGACAGGGCTTTGCCATGTTGACCAGGCTGGTCTCAAACTCCTGTCCTCAAGTGATCCGCCTGCCTCGGCCTCCAAAGTGCTGGGATTACAAGCATGAGCCACTGCGCCTGGCCTGATATTGCTTCTATTGTATCTTAGATTCAGGGGGTACATGTGCTTGTCTGTTACATGAGTATATTCTGTACTGGGAGTGGGCTTCTAGTATAGCCATTACCCAAATAGTAAACATTGTACCTGATAGGTAATTTTCTAACTCTCTCCCCAATATAATAATAATAATTATTATTATTATTATTTTTGAGACGGAGTCTCACTCTGTTGCCCAGGCTGGAGTGCAATGGCATAATCTCGGCTCACTGCAACCTCCGCCTCCTGGGTTCAAGCGATTCTACTGCCTCAGCCTCCCGAGTAGCTGGGATTACAGGCACCCGCCACCACTCCCGGCTAAGTTTTGTATTTTTAGTAGAGACAGGGTTTCACTATGTTGGCTAGGCTGGTCTTGAACTCCTGACCTCAAGTGATCTGCCCGCCTCAGCCTCCCAAAGTGTTGGGATTACAGGCATGAGCCACCGTGCCCGGCCTTATTATTTTTTATATTACAAACAACAATTGTTTTCAGAAGGAATCCATGTGAATTCAGGAATATAAAAATGCTGCCTTGGCCAGGCACCATGGCTCATGCCTGTAATCCCAGCACTTTGGGAGGCCGAGGTGGGTGGATCACGAGGTCAGGAGTTCAAGACCAGCCTGGCCAACATGGTGAAACCCCATCTATACTAAAAATGCAAAAATTAGCCAGGCATGGTGGTGTGTGCCTATAATCCCAGCTACTTGGGAGGCTGAGGGAGGAGAATTGCTTGAACCCAGGAGGCGGAGGTTGCAGTGAGCCAAGACCACGCCACTGCACTCCAGCCTGGCAGCAGAGCAAGACTCCGTCTCAAAAAAAAAAGAAAAAAAAAGCTGCCTTTTTGGTTTCAGTTTTCTTCCCTCTGCCTATGTGCAACCTAGAGCACCAAAATCAGAAGATCCATTCATGCCTTTTCCGCAGCACTAAGCTATAATTTAAACAGGAAAAGGCAAAGTTGCAGCTTTTGAACAGCCATAAGCCCTTACATCCTAGTAAGATGGCAGACTAAATTGTAGATAACTCCAGCTTCTCAAATTCTTAAAAGCCCTGTAGTCTTCATCCACCCTGTGCCATGTCTTTAGGATTCTATAAGACAGTAAGACTTTATTTCTAAACCAACTACTGAGATTGAAGATAAAATTAGAGCTTTAAGCCCCTTACCAAATTAATGGGAAGAGACTCTGAAAATTTAGAAATTCACTTCTGGAGTAGTGGAAGAATGGCGAAATTCACCTACTCAGTTTACAGTGGGGCCTCTCTCCAAGTTCGAGAGCCTGACACCCAGCTGTTTGCTGAGCTTCTCTCCTTAGGTGATCCACAGGCACCTCACAATCACCATGCTCCTCTTTCCTCTCAACCTGCTCCTCCTCCTCTGTTCTCCGTCTCAGTTGAGGACACCCCTTCCTATCCAGTGACACTGGCCAGAAATTTACAAGTCACCTAGACTAGTGGTCAGTAAGCTTTTCCTATAAAGGACTATTTATAGAAATATGTGAAGCTGGCGACAGAGTGAGACTCCGTCTCAGAAAAAAAAAAAAAGAAGAAATATGTGAAGCTTTGCAAGCCATACACTCTCTGCTGCAGCTACTCAACTGCTGCTGCAGGATGAAAACAGCTACTGAACAATATGTAAGAAATGGGCAGGGCTATATTCCAGTCAAATTGTGTGAGTGCTAAAATTTGGATGTCATGTCATTTTCATATGTTACAAGATATTCTTTTGAGTTTTTTCCAACCACTTAAAAATGTAATAAACCACTCTTAGCTTACAGGTTGTACAAAAGTAGGTGGGCTAGATTTGGTATATGAAGAGCTTGCTGCTCTAGAATCCTCACTCTCCTCCCTTCCCCACATCTGATCAGACAAGTCCAACAATCTCACTTTGTTTTCTTTTTTTTTTTTTTTTATCTGAGAAGGGGGCCTTACTATGTTGCTCAGGCTGGTCTCAAACTCCTGGTCTCAAGTGATCCTCCTGCCTCAGCCTCCTGAATAGCTGGGACTACAGGTGTGCACCACCATGCCTGGAGATCTCACTTTTTAAATGGTTATTGAATCTCTTCATCCATCTTTACATCATTTTAGTTCAGGTACTTGTCCATTTTGCTTTTTTTTTTTAATTTTTGAGACACAGTCTCGCTCTGTCACCCAGGCTGGAGTGCAGTGGCACAACCTCGGCTCACTGCAACCTCTCCACCTCCTGGGTTCAAGCGATTCTCCTGTCTCAGCCTCCAGAGTGGTTGGGATTGCAGGCACGCACCAAGCCCAGCTAATTTATTATTTTTTTTTTTTTGTATTTTAGTAGAGACGTGGTTTTACCCTGTTGGCCAGTCTGGTCTCAAACTCCTGACCTCAAGTGGTCTGCCCACCTTGGCCTCCCAAAGTGCTGGGATTACAGGCATGAGCCACCGCGCCAGGCCCATTTTGCTTTCTGACATAGACAGTTAAGCAAAATTGAAAACTACAAGGAAAGATCCTCTACAACTATCGTACATGGAAGTACATGTCCTTCCCATGTTTTTTTAAGTTCCTTATAGTGTATAGCATAAGTTACAGATTAGTTTGCCCCTTCCTTCAGCTGGCACTGGATAAATAATATGTTAATGCATGCCACCATTTTCTGCTGTGGCCTGGGAAGAGAGGGCATATGATGCTCTATCAGCTACCTCCAGTGAAAGGGTCTACAAAGCAGAGAGTGGGAGACAGCATTTGAGAGCATGCTGGCTGTTTCTAACCTCAGGGGCTGGCTGGACTATGTCTGGCCCCTTCTTTCCAGTGGTCTCCACACTGGATATTCAGATCTGCTTTCACTTGGAACCACACATCTGCATGTGGCTAGGACCCAGCTAATCTGCCAAGGACATTTGAGGTGTTTGCTCCTCAATTTCTAGTTCTCTGCCCCATCTATACCTTTGATGAGGCATTGGACAGCAATAGCATTCTTGTCTGGAAACATGACCGGCGGGCAAATATCAAGGGAGCTAGTGCCACCTACATGATGACAGTCACCACATCATGGTGACAGCGAGCAAGAGACATTAGGTAAACCACTCTTTGATGTCATTCCTTCTGTGTAAAGGGGAAAAAGAGGAAATCCAATCTAGTTCCTATTTTATTCAATTACTGGAATATAAGAAACATTTCAGGCCGGGCACTGTGGCTCACACCTGTAATCCCAGCACTGTGGGAGTCCAAGGCAGGTGGATCACTTGAGGTCAGGAGTTCCAGACCAGCCTGGCCAACCTGATGAAACTCCGTCTCTACTAAAATACATAAAAATTAGCTGGGCGTGGTGGCGGGTGCCTGTAATCCCAGCTACTCGGGAGGCTGAGACAGGAGAATTGCTTGAACCCAGGAGGCAGAGGTTCCAGTGAGCTGAGATTACACTACTGCACTCCAGCCTGGGTGACAGAGTGAGATTCTGTCTCAAAAAAAAAAAAAAGGAACATTTCAAATTTGTGATTGTTTCCTTTTTCTATGGTGTCTAATCAGTTTCTTTTATTTACTTATTGTTCTACTTTTTAAATGTTTTTGTGGGGATGAGAGTCTTGCCATGTTGCCCAGAACTGTTCTCGAACTCCTGGGCTCAGGTGATCCTCCCACCTCGGCCTCCCAAAGTGCTGGGATTTATGGGCATGAGCCACCATGCCCAGCCAGTCAATGTCTTAATAAAACATCTTCTGCCTGATTTTCGACAGGATGATTGTTATCTACTTATCTTTCAATTTAAAATTACTGGCCGGGTGCAGTGGCTCACACCTGTAACCCCAGCACTTTCGGAGGCCAAGGCAGGCGGATCACTTGAGGTCAGGAGTTCAAGACCAGCCATGGTGAAATCCCATCTCTACAAAAATGCAAAAAAAATTAGCTGGGTGTGGTGGCACATACCTGTAGTCCCAGTTACTCGGGAGGCTGAGGTGGGAGGATCACCTGAGCATAGGAGGTCGAGGCTGCAGTGAGCCAAGATCGCACCACTGCACTCCAGCCTGGGTGACAGAGGTAGACTCCGTCTCAAAGAAATAATAATAATAAAATAAAATTACCTTTCTCTTCATTACAAAAGTGAGCTATGACAGCAAAACTTGCTCAATGAATAACACAAAAACCCTTTCCACAACAAACACCTAGAAATGTAAAATATAACAACATCACAAATAGCTATTTAATATCATCTCCCCTTTCCTCAAACCTTGTTTCCTCTTCTGCATCTCACTGTCAGCAAATGATCTTCTTTCTCATTGCACTGAAAAAAAAACTGGAATCAGAAGAGAGTATCCTCCTCCCACTGCCAAATCTACCAACCTCCCTGCTGCCTTTCCTGATCTCATCCAATCTCATGGTCATATATATAGGCTTATGGCTCCCAAATTTGAGTTTCCAACCCAGATTTCTCTAATCTCAAAAATATTATGCCTGGCCAGGTACAGTAACTCTCGTCTGTAATCCCAGTACTTTGGGAGGCTGAGGCGGGTGGATCACTTGAGGTTAAGAGCTCGAGACCAGCCTGGCCACACGGCGAAATCCCGTCTCTACTAGAAACGCAAAAATTAACTGGGCGTGGTGGCTCACACCTGTAATTCCAGCTACTTGGGAGGCTGAGGCACGAGAATCACTTGAACCCGTGAGGCAGAGGTTGCAGTGAGCTGAGACTGCACCATTGCACTCCAGCCTGGGTGACAGAGTAATACTCTGTCTCAAAAAAAAAAATTATGCCCAGTTGTATTATGACCTTTCCCATTGCATATCTCAAATTTAACCTGGCCAGAACAGTACCCTCAATCTACCCCACAAGCCTGTTCTTTTCCCAGAATTCCCCATCTCGGTAAATGGTGTCACCACTCAATTAATTGCTCAGACCAGAAACCTAGGAGTTGAGTCAGCCTCTCTCTTTCTCTCATACCTTGTATCTAATCCTTCACTAAATATTTGTGTCTCTCCCTTCAAAATATACTTTTTATCTCATGCCTAGCTAACCACAATAGCCTTCTAACTTATCTTCCTGTATCCACTCTTTACTACCTTAGAGTCTATTCTCAACTCAACAGCCAAAGTGATCCTTTTAAAACATAATGCAGGCTGGGCACAGTGGCTCACACCTGTAATCCCAGCACCTTGAGAGGCCAAGCTGGGCAGATTGATTGAGCCCAGCAGTTCCAGACCAGCCTAGACAACATGGTGAGACTCCATCTCTACACACACGTGCACACACACACACACACACAATATATATATATATATACACACACATACACTATATATATACACACTATATATAGTGTATATATATACACTATATATATACTATATACATACACTATATATATACTATATACATACACTATATATACTATATACATACACTATATATACTATATATACACTGTATATACTATGTATACACTATACACTATATATACTATATATACACTATATATACTATATATACACACTATATATACTATATACACACTATATATACTATATATACACACTATATATACACTATATATATACACTATATATACACTATATATATACACTATATATACTATATATACACACTATATAGTGTGTATATATATATACACACTATATATGTGTGTATATATATATACACACATATATATGTGTGTGTATATATATATACACACACACACTATATATATATATATAAAATTAGCCAGGCATGTTGATATGTGTGTAGTCCCAGCTACTTGGGAGGCTGAGGTGGGAGGAGTGCTTGAGGCCAGGAGGCGGAGGTTATAGTAAGCTGAGATCGCATCACTGCACTGCAGCCTGGACCACAGAACTAGACCCTATCTCAAGTTTTAAAAAACCAACAACACATAAGGCAGGTTAAGTCATGCCTTTGTCCAAATCCTCCAATGGCTTCTCTTCTCATTCCAAGTAATCGCAAAAGACTATGAAGCCCTGGCTAATCTGGCACTTTGCTGCCTCTGGAGAAGAGCTGCTATCCCTCTCCCACTCCACTCCAGTCACTCAGGCCTCCTTATTGACCTTTGTACACACCACGTCCACTTCCACCTCGGACCATTTGTAGTTGCTGTTATCTCCACTTAGAATGCTCTTGCCCAAAATGATACCATAGCTTTCTTCCTCATTTTAGGTCTCGACTCACGTGTCACCTCATCACAGAGGCCTTCCCTGAAAAAAAAATAACCACTCACCCCACTCCCGGGACCCCCCCATCCCCTTAACCTGCTTTATTTTTCTCCATACCAGTTCACACCCTCTGACATCATAGTATTACATTTTCTGGATTATGGTCTGTTTCCCCCAAATAGAATGTAAGCTCAATAAGGGTAGGACTTTCATCTTGTTCACTGCTGTATCTTCAGCTCCTAAAACAGTTTCCAGCACATAGTAGATGCTCAATAAATATTTGTTGAATGAATGGATAAATGAAAGGCACAACTGAGTGCAAGAAAAATAGAGTCCAGAAAGGATGAAGGAAATGAAAACTAGAGGGACATGCAGGTGAACTGTGATCTAGTGATTCGAGATTCAACCCCTGTGGCCAAGACTATTAGTTCTGCTCTTTCTTTTCCTTTCTTTCTTTTTATTTCTCCCTTCCTTTCTTCCTATTTTTTTTTTTTTTTTTTTTTTTGAGATGGAGTCTCACTCTGTCACCCAGGCTGGAGTGCAGTGGCGCGATCTCAGCTCACTGCAAGCTCCACCTCCTGGGTTCAGGCCATTCTCCTGCCTCAGCCTTCCGAGTAGCTGGGACTATAAGCGTGTGCCACCACGCCCGGCTAATTTTTTGTATTTTTAGTAGAGATGGGGCTTCACCGCGTTAGCCAGGATGGTCTGGATCTCCTGACCTCGTGATCCGCCCGCCTCAGCCTCCCAAAGTGCTGGGATTACAGGCGTGAGCCACTGCGTCTGGCCTGTTTCTCTCTTTCTCTCCCTCTCTTCTTTCTTTCTCTCTCTCTTTCTGCTTTCCTTTTCTTTCTTTCTCTCTCTTTCTTTTTGAGACAGAGTCTCACTCTGTCACCCAGTGGCGCGATCTCAGCTCACTGCAAGCTCTGCCTTCTGGGTTCAAGCAATTCTCCTGCCTCAGCCTCCGGAGTAGCTGGGATTACAGGCATACGCCACCATGCCTGGCTCATTTTAGTATTTTTAGTAGAGACAGGGTTTTGCCATGTTGGCCAGGCTGGTCTCAAACTCCTGGCCGCAGGTGATCTGCCTGACTTGTCCTCCCAAAGTGCTGGGATTACAGGTGTGAGCCACTGCACCCAGCCCAAGACTATTAGTTATTTTCTAACACCCATTCTCCTCTACGTCCACAGAAATAGAACTACTAATTTTTAACTGCATACATGGCTACCCAGAGTAATGACCACTGTGACTAACCTCTCACCAAGGGGATATAAAAGCAAATTTCATGTGGAGGTACTGGGAATCTCAAAAGATAGCTGCCATGTCCCTTTCTTCTTGGCTCTTTAGTTTTTCCTATTGGCTGGAATGTGAAAGTGAAGCCTAGAGCTGGAGGAACCATCTTGGACCATGAGATGACCTGAGAAATAGAGGTCATATAGAGTAGAGCAACAAGATCAAAGGAGGCTGGAGTGCCTGAGAACATTACGAGGACAAACAGTCCACACTGGCTTTGGACTGCCTTTCTCTAGACTGTTCCATGAGAGATCAATTTTCCTCTTGTTTATGCCACTATTATTTTGAAGCTCTGTTTCTCTCAGCTGAACCTAATACTAACCAATACGATGAACATACAGAGAGAAAAGCCAAGGCCCTGGAACCAAGAACCCCATATACAGACTGGATCTTCACTTACCCTTTCCCTCAGTGAAATGGTGAATTAGAAAAAAATCATATCAGACTTGGGGGGTGCGGGTGGCTCACAACTTTAATTCCAGCACTTTGGGAGGCCAAGGTGGGTGGATCACCTGGGGTCAGGAGTTTGAGACCAGCCTGGCCAACATGGTGAAATTCCGTCTCTACCAAAAATACAAAAATTAGCCGGAAGTGGTGGCACATGCCTGTAATCCCAGCTACTCAGGAGCCTGAGGCAGGAGAATCACTTGAAACTAAGAAGTGGAGGTTACAGTGAGCTGAGATTGCACCTCTGCACTCCAGTGTGGGCGACAGAGATTCCGTCTCTAAAATAAGGCTGGGCCTCGTGGCTCAGGCCTGTAATCCCAGCACTTTGGGAAGCCAAGGCAGGTGGATCACGAGGTCAGGAGTTCAAGACCAGCCTGGCCAACATGGTGAAACCCCGTCTCTACTAAAAATAAAAAAAAAATAGCTGGGCATGGTGGTGGGCACCTGTAATCCCAGCTACTTGGGAGGCTGAGGCAGAGAATTGCTTGAACCCAGGAGGCGGAGGTTGCAGTGAGTCGAGATCGCGCCACTGCACTCCAGCCTGGGTGACAGAGCGAGACTCAGTCTCAAAAAATAAAATAAAAGGCAGACACCATTTTTTAACATAATATCTTTTTGTAGGCCGGTATTTACCTTCAACAGTATTATTTGCCTAGAGAATGTTTTCAATAAATATTTGTTAGCGGTGAAACGTATCCATACAGCTCTGCGGCAACCTCAATTCTTGCCTCCTCAGAAGAATTCGACTGACGGGCGTAAGGGAAAAGGAGAGAGTGAGGCAAGTTTTAGAGGAGTGAAAGTTCGTTAAAAAGCTTTACAGCAGGAATGAAAGGAAGGAAAGTACACTCAGAAGAGGGCCAAGTGGGTGACTTGAGAGACAAGTGCCCAGTTTGACCTTTGACTTAGAGTTTTATAGGTTGGCATACTTCTAGGGTCTTGTGCTATTTCTCCTCACTCGCCCAACTCCTGAGATCTTATCAGGAAGTTGCTCATCACCAGTTTCAGGTGTTTTCTATTAGGAGACTGCCTTTCCCTGGCACCGGCTGTGACCAATTATTACTTTTTTTTTTTTTTGAGACAGACTGTCCCTCTGTCTCCCAGGCTGGAGTGCAGTGGTGCAATCTCGACTCATTGCAACCTCCACCTCCCAGATTCAAGCGATTCTCCTGCCTCAGCTTCCTGAGTAGCTGGGATTATAGGTGCACACCATCACGCCTGGCTAATTCTTTTTTTGTATTTTTAGTAGAGGCGGGGTTCCACCATGTTGGCAAGGCTGGTCTCAAACTCCTGACCTCAAGTAATCCGTCCATCTCGGCCTCCCAAAGTGCTGGGATCGCAGGTGTAAGCCATCATGCCTGGCCACAATTATTACTTTAGAAAGACAGTTAACCACTCATTGCCTGACCATCACGGGATGGTTGCCTGACACTACTGGTGTGTGTGTCGGGGGAGCCCTCTCCTGCCCTGCTCATACCTTACTAGCTACCTACTGTAACATACTTACTGAATGATTGAAGAGAAACACAAGAAAGCCCACCTACCTTTCCATACAGAGGCAAAAAGTTTAATTTCCTTGGTCAATCAGGAAAGATAGTCCCCAAGACTCTTTTCTATTGTTTCAGTTTTCATTAACCTTTTCGTTGAGATATAATTCAGTGATTTAAAGTGAATTCAACGGTTTTTAGTATATTCATTGAGTTACAGAGCCATCACCACAATTAATTTTAGAACATTTCAATGAAATTTACGACATTTTCATCAACCCCCCAAAAACACTTGTGCCCATTTGCTAATGTGCCCATTGGCAGTCACTCCTCTTCCCTGCCTGCCCTCCCCCCCTCAGTCTTCCCGCCAGTTCCTGGCAACTATTAAATTACTTTCTGTCTCTATAGACTTGCCCCTTCTGGACATCTTATATAAATAGAATCACAATATATGGTCTTTTGTGACTGGCTTCTTTCACTTAGCATGATGTTTTCAGGGTGATATATTCATACAATGAACTATTATCTGGCAAGAAAAAGGAATGCAGCCAATTTATAAGGTATTGCAAGATTTCAGACATATTTATACATTTTATTTTGTACATTTTTATTGTGGTAAAACACACATCACATAAAATTTACCATTTTAACAATTTTGAAGTGTACAATTCCATGATATTAAGTACATTCATATGTTCTGCAACCATCACCACCATCTGTCTCCAGCACTTTTTCATCATCCCAAATTGAAAACTCTGTATGTGGCTGAGTCCAGTGGCTCATGCCTCTCTAATCCCAGCACTTTTTGGGAGGCTGATGCAGGAGGATCACTTGAGCTCAGGAGTTTGAGACCGGCCTGGGCAACATGGTGATATCCCATCTCTACAAAAAATACAAAAATTAGCCAGGTGTGGCAGCACCCATCTGTAGGAGGCTGACGTGGGAGGATCCATTGAGCCCAGGAGGTCAAGGCCTAGTGAGCTATGGTTGTGCCACTGCACTCCAGCTTGGGCAACAGAGTGAGACGCTGTCTCCAAAAAAAGAAAAAGAAAACTCTGTATGCATTAAAAAATAACTCATTTCCCCTCTCCCAGCCCCTTGTAACCACTATTCTACTTTCTGTGTCTATGTATCTGACTATTCTAGGTACCTTATTTAAGAGGAATAATATAGTATTTATCCTTTTGCGACTGGCTTATTTCACTTAGCATAATGTCTGCAAAGTTCACGTTGTAGTATGTGTCAGAATTTCTCTCCTTAAGGCTGAATAATACTCTATTGTATGTGGATACCACATTTTGTTTATCCATTCATTCACTGATGGACATTTGGGTTGTTCTCATCATGTGGCTATGGTGAATAGTGCTGCTATGAACATGGGTGTACAATTATCTGTTCAAGTCCCGGCTTTCAATTATTTTGGGTATATATTTAGAAGTGTAGTCATTGGATCTTATGACAATTCTGTTTTATTTTTTGAGGAACCTCCATACTGTTATCCATAGTAGCTGCACTATTTTACATTCCCATCAGCAGTACACAAAGATCTAATATTTCTACATCCTGGATGACTCTTTTTATCTTCTGCTTTTTGATAATAGCCAAACCAACCTAATGGGTGTGATGTATCTCATTGTGGTTTTGGTTTGCATTTCCCTAATGATACCTTGTTTTTTGTCTGTTTTACTTTATTTTTAATAAATCATATTATCAGTTAAATACCTTGAGAGAATTCAAGAATCTGTTTATGGCCAGGCGCGGTGGCTCACACCTGTAATCCCAGCACTTTGGGAGGCCGAGGCGGGTGGATCACAAGGTCAGGAGATTGAGACCATCCTGGCTAACACAGTGAAACCCGGTCTCTACTAAAAATACAAAAAATTAGCCGGACGTGGTGGCGGGTGCCTGTAGTCCCAGCTACTCAGGAGGCTGAGGCAGGAGAATGGCATGAACCTGGAAGGCGGAGCTTGCAGTGAGCCGAGATTCTGCCACTGCACTCCAGCCTGGGCGACAGAGCAAGACTCTGAGACTCCATCTCAAAAAAAAAAAAAAGAAAGAAACTGTTTACAAAATAAATAACCCCTATGTGTCTAAAAGTTGTTTAATTTAGTTTGTTTAAAGTCAAGTACATTTGCAACTGAAGAAACTAATTGCTGCAGTCATTTAAGCATTAATACGGCAGGCATTGTGCTGGACAGTTGTCACAGGTGAGGTTCCCCAGGAAGTAAACTCTGAGACAGGTGGTTAAGTAAGGAGTGCTCTGGGGATGAATAGCTGTGGGAAAGAGGGAAAGCAAGCAGGAATCAGGTCTTCCACAATTTTTGAAAGTTTAAAGGGGTCTCTAGATCAAAAGTTTCAGAGCCACTGGTCTACAGCATACTAGGAGAGGTAAAACCCCCGCAGAGTCACTTCAAATCAAATATTTATCTGGCTACTAATAGTGGAAGACCCTCTCTCCTGTTCATCTCTCTCCCGCTCTCATTCCCTACTTTCTCTCTGTCTCTCTCATCTCCTTTCCTTTTCCCACTCTTTCCTAAAACTATTTCCTATATGGGTTTCACTCTGCATCCCCGTGTGTTGGTCTCCCGTTTATGTTCATTTCACCTTCTACTCCTCAAATCTTTTCTGTGGATTGCAAGATACTGTGTCCGGAATTGGTGGGTTCTTGGTCTCACTGACTTCAAGAATGAAGCCGCGGACCCTCGCGGTGAGTGTTACAGCTCTTAAGGTGGCGCGTCTGGAGTCTGTCCCTTCTGATGTTCAAATGTGTTCCGAGTTTCTTCCTTCTGGTGGGTTCGTGGTCTCCCTGGCTCAGGAGTGAAGCTGCAGACCTTCGCGGTGAGTGTTACAGCTCTTAAGGCAGCGTGTCTGGAGTTGTTCGTTCCTCCTGGTGAGCTTGTGGTCTTGCTGGCTCCAGAAGAGAAGCTGCAAATCTTCGCGGTGAGTGTTACGGCTCATAAAAGCAGTGTGGACCCAAAGAGTGAGCAGTAGCAAGATTTATTGCAAAGAGTCAAAGAACAAAGCTTCCACAGTGTGGAAGGGGACCGGAGCGCGTTGCCACTACTGGCTTGGACAGCCTGCTTTTATTCTCTTATCTGGCCCCACCCACATCCTGCTGATTGGTAGAGCCCAGTGGCCTGTTTTGACAGGGTGCTGATTGGTGCATTTACAATCCCTGAGCTAGATACAAAGGTTCTCCAGGTCCCCATCAGATTAGTTAGATACAGAGTATCCACACAAAGGTTCTCCAAGGCCCCACCAGAGCAGCTAGATACAGAGTGTCGATTGGTGCACTCACAAAAACCTTGAGCTAAACACAGGGTGCTGATTGGTGTGTTTACAAAACCTTGAGCTAGATACAGAGTGCCGATTGGTGTATTTACAATCCCTGAGCTAGACATAAAGGTTCTCCAAGGCCCCACCAGAGCAGCTAGATACAGAGTGTCGATTGGTGCACTCACAAACCCTGAGCTAGACACAGGGTGCTGATTGGTGTGTTTACAATCCCTGAGCTAAACATAAAGGTTCTCCAAGGCCCCACTGGAGCAGCTAGATACATGGTGTCCATTGGTGCACTCACAAACCCTGAGCTAGACACAGGGTGCTGATTGGTGTGTTTACAATCCCTGAGCTAGATATAAACACTCTCCACGTCCCCACCAGACTCAGGAGCCCAGCTGGCTTCACCCAGTGGATCCCGCACTGGGGCTGCAGGTGGAGCTGCCTGCCAGTCCCACGCCATGCGCTGGCCCTCCTCAGCCCTTGGGCAGTCGATGGGACTGGGCGCCGTGGAGCAGGGGGTGGCATTCGTCGGGGAGGCTCGGGCTGCACAGGAACCCACGGAGGCGGGGGAAGGCTCAGGCATGGCGGGCTGCAGGTCCCGAGGCCTGCCCCGTGGGAAGGCAGCTAAGGCCCAGCGAGAAATCGAGCACAGCGCCCGTGGGCTGGCACTGCTGGGGGACCCAGTACACCCTCCGCAGCCGCTGGCCTGGGTGCTAAGCCCCTCACTGCCCGGGGCCGGCTGGCCGGCCGGCCGGCCGCTCGTAGTGCGGGGCCCTCCAAGCCCACGCCCACCCGGAACTCCAGCTGGCCCGCAAGCGCTGTGCGCAGCCCTGGTTCCTGCTCACGCCTCTCCCTCCACACCTCCCCGCAAGCTGAGGGAGCGGGCTCTGGCCTTGGCCAGCCCAGAAAGGGGATCCCACAGTGCAGCGGCGGGCCGAAGGGCTCCTCAAGTGCCGCCAAAGTGGGAACCCAGGCAGAGGAGGCGCTGAGAGCAAGCGAGGGCTCTGAGGACTGCCAGCATGCTGTCACCTGTCAATACCAAATTGCTCCTGTTTCTATGCTCGCAGTATCATTGTCTTTGATAAAGATAGATACGATAGATTATATATAGTTTGTTTTTTAGAACTTCTGAATAATATAGAGGCATTTTGTTATTGTAGATGCAAGCAGTCAGAAATATATTGCATTTCATCTACCTTGTAAGTTGACATTGTAGTTTTGTAATAAAGAAATTTCAAAAATTACCAACAGTGTCTATTTAAAATTTACCGTGAAGAATGATAGCACATGCTGAGTTGTCATCAAAATATTGGACTCTCAAGTTGTCGTGAGACTCGATTGAAATATGGAAGTTCGGCACCTCTGTTTATTTCAATCCAAGTGTGGAAACCACCAGAAAACAGAAAAGCACCCAAAACTCCACCAAGTGCCAATGTTCCTCCAGTGACACAATGAATCTTGAAAGTACGTCATGCTACAAAGGACATGAAAAAGCAAAATCTAAAGCAACTAGAGAAAGGAATCTCTACAGCAATCAAATACCAAATTAGAAGAAGGCTTTTTGTTGTCGTTTTGTTTTGTTTGAAGAGTTTTTGCTTTTTTGGAAACAAAATGTTTTGCTTTCTCCATGCATCATGAAGGAAACAAAAATACACAGCTTGTTAAATTTAGTTGCGGCTCTGTCACAACAATGATGACAAAATTTTCCTCTGACCACAATGTGTTTGAGTACAAATGGTTCCTCTTTCCAGGCTCTGGCCTGTGCATACACAAATTCCTAGTGAGGTGAGACCCACTCCCCCACAGCGGGGCTCCTTCTTTTTTTTTTTTTTTGAGACGGAGTTTTGCTCTTGTTGTCCAGATTGGAGTGCAATGGTGCGATCTCGGCTCACTGCAACCTCCGCCTCCTGGGTTCAAGCGATTCTCCTGTCTCAGCCTCCCGAATAGCTTGGATTACAGGCATGCGCCACCACGCCCGGCTAATTTTGTATTTTTAATAGAGGCAGGGTTTCACCATGTTGGCCAGGCTGGTCTCGAACTCTGACCTTAGGTGATCCGCCCGCCTCGGCCTCCCAAAGTGCTGGGATTACAGGCATGAGCCACCGTGCCCGGCCCTACTTCTTGAGAGTGGAGAGTGAGGATCCAGCTATCCTTCATACATGAAGGTGCTAAGGAATTCAACTGTATCCTAGTTGGTGAACGCTATGGCCTTTAAACTCATTCACAAAAACCGGTGATCCCAGCTGATCTAATTCCACCATGGCCAGCCAGGAGTGGTGCCCAGCGTTGGCTATGTGTACCTTTGCCAGCTTGTGGAGTGGGGATCAGTAGACAAGGCACTCCTCCCTGATCCTGTCCCTGCTGTGCCACCAAGCCCCTTTACATTGACTCTCTTCCCCAAAAGGGCTTCATCATTGCAGCTTGTGCATGTAGCTTGCCTGGGGATGAAAGGGTAAGAGGAAACAGGAAATTGAGTGGCAATAAAGGAGAAATGAAAGAAAAAGGACTAAGAACAAATGGGACAATGTCAGCAGAAAGGAGAACAACAGAAGCGGAACCTCAAGAGACAAGGGAACTGTAAAGATGAAAGAGTACTAGAAATTCTAATAATAGTTCCCATTTATTAGTGCTTATTATGTGCTAGGCACTGGATAAGCATTTTATGTCAGTTTCTTCATCTCATTTAATCGTTACAATAAACCCTGTGGTAGGCACTATTATAGCATTATGCCTGGTTTACAAAAGATAAAACATGCTCTTGTTATTTAAAAAGGCCAAAAAAAAAAAATGCCCACAACATTTAACACAATTCTAGAAAGAAGATAAAAAGAAACAGAAAAATGGGACAAATAGAAAGCACAGAATCAGATGGTAGATATAAGTATAAATATATTAGAAGTCTGGCTGGGTGTGGTGGCTTATGCCTGTAATCTCAGCACTTTGGCAGACCAAGGTGGGAGGATCACTTGAGCTCAGGAGTTCAAGACCAGCCTGGGCCACGTAGGGAGACCCCCCCATCTCTACTAAATTAAGAAAAAAGAAAGAAGTAAATCTAAGTGAACTAAAGTCTACAGTTAAAAGACAACAATTGCCTATTGGATAGAAAAAACCGAATTTGCACTTTATGCTGTTCCCAAGATCAGACCCAAAACATAATTGCACTGAAAGGAAAATAAGGATGTAAGAAAATGTACCAGGTACATACTAAACAAAAGAAAGTTAATGAAGTTATAATAAATTAGTCAAAATACACTTTTAAGACAAAGAATAGTACTTCATTAATGAAAGGTACTTCATAGTGATAAGTGGTTTGGTTCACGAGGAAACTATAACAATTCTAGATTTGCGTGTATTTGATGAAATAGCGTCGAAAAAGATATATAAAGCAATAATTAACAGAATTATAAGAAGAATTTGACAAATGCACCCTCATAATATCATAGTGAGAATCGTTAACACCCTCAGTAATTAGCAGGTCCAAAGGAACAAAAAACCAGCAAGTATGTTGATTTGACCAACACAATCCACAAACTTGACTTAATGGAACGTATAGAACACTGGGCCCAGTAATTGGAGAATATGCATTTTCCTCAAACACTCATGGAACATTTACAAAAACAAACTATATGTTGTGACATAAAGCAAACCTCATCACACTCGCAAAGATTGGTACCATCCTGGAAACTGGGAATAAGAAGTTAAGGAGGGGTCCTTGCTTCTGTGGCTGAGAAGTAGCAAGGCTGGTGCAGCATAGCACCAGGGATGCCAATGAGGTCACACTGCAGTCAACTTGCTCTATGACTGAGGGTCGGAAAAGGCAGTCCAGGTCAACGACTATGGGAAAGATGGGTTTATGCAGGGACTGAACTGGGGTGGGTTTTGCTGCTCCTCCAGAAGCCTGGTATTTTCCAATCCACAAATGAGGCCTCAATTCTGTGCTTGCACAGGGATCTGTCCAATAGCTAGATATGCAGAGTGACCTCTGGGGATGCTATTGGGATATGCAAATGACAGCATTAATGGGGTGGAGTTACAGATATGCAAAGAGCCCCCTCCTTGGAGAGGTGTTGTGGATTGGGGCAAGAGGGACTAGAGGCTTCTTTGTTTAAATGAAAATACTAATTGCCCTACACTTTCAAAGCAAACAATGGAGACCTTTCAAGGCAAGAAGGTGCAGGTGACTAACACACAAATGGAGCATTTGAATCTTTCTTTCTTTCTTTTTTTTTTGAGACAATCCTGCTCTGTCGCCCAGGTTGGAGTGTAGTGGCGTGATCTCGGCTCACTACAATCACCTCCTGGGCTCAAGCCATCCTCCAGCCTCAGCCTCCAGAGTAGCTGGGACTACAGCATATGTTACAGTTCCTGACTAATTATTATTATTTTTTTTGGTATTTTTTGTAGACATGGAGTCTGGCCATGTTGCCCAGGCTGGTCTGGAACTCCTGTGCTCAAGTGATCTGTCTGCCCCAGCCTCCCAAAGTGTGAATGTTTAAACTGAGGAACCCTAAGGCCGAGGAGAGATCCTAACGCCAGGGAACTGAGTGGCAAAGCACTAACGGGGCTGGTAAAGTGTACAAGGATTGGACCTGTCCTGCCTGGACCAGAACAGGGGACAGGCCCTACATAGAGTTTTAGATCCAGGGTGGGGAAAGTGCAGTGAAAAGGTTGTAGGGGATCCTGGCTAAGATGCCAGGGTAGTGGTAGTGGCAGTGATGATAGCAACGCAGCCAGAAGCCAAAGGAGGGGACCTGGATGCTAAGACACAGAGGCCCTTCCTCTTTCAGAGACTGAAGTGTTGGAAAACAGAGCAAGGCCAATTCCAGAGAGGAAGGGTTGGCAGCCTGGAGGAAGTGAGGCCAGGGAGCTTCTGAAAGGAATAATGAATGCTTTCAAGGGGAGCAAGAGAGCGTAGGGGCTCCAGGCCCCAGGAACATGCTCCTGTGTAGAGCAGCACCCCAAGTCATTTTGCCCAGGGAAGAATCAGCCTCCTGGCACCTGGGCTCTGACTGATGGAGCCAGCAGTTTGCCTGGAGGCTGGCCCTGTCCCTGGCTGCCAACACCTCAAATATTCTTTCCTGGGCCTTCTTACCTCCAGACAAGAATTAACAAACTCTTGGTAATTCATCTTAGAAAGCAAAACACCACGTATTATGTCAGCATCTTGTTTGTAAAAAGCCTGCTGTGACTTCTTATTGCTTATGAGGTCAAGCCATAAACTGACTGCTCTCTCTCTCTCTCTCTCTCTCTCCTCCTAACCTCCCTCTCTCATTCTGGTCATCCTTCAAGGTCTAGTTCAACTCCCATCTACTGTACGAAACCTTCAAAAGCACAGGCCTGTGTCACCTTTCTTTGAACCCATATCACAGATGAGCATTTGTACCATTTTTGTTTGTTTGCTTTTTACATTTTCTCTAATTGCTCTCTATACCTTTCCACAACTTAGACCAGGAGTTTCCTAAGAGCAGGCCTTTGGTTTGTTGGTTGGTATTCCTCACAGCACCTAGAAAAATGTACAATTTATTTATTCAATTAAAATATATTTATTGAGCATGTATTATGTGCCACATATAGTTTTGAGTGCTGGGGATCCAGCTGGGAACCGATCAGAAAAAACTTCTTGCCCTGATGGAGCTTACATTCTAGTGGAGACAGCAAATGACCCAGGAAGCGGAAGGAGAGAAAGGAAGTGGCCATGGGGCTTGCAGTTTTCAATGGGGTGGCCAGGACAGGTCTCAGTGAGAGATCTGACAGAAGCCAGGGAGTGAGGCATGAGGATATCTTGACGGGGAGAGAGCAAATAGCCAAAGAAAAAGTCAAGGCAAAGGCCCTCGGGCAGGAGTGCACTTAGCTTGTGTGAAGAACAGCCAGGTGGTCAGTGTTGCTGGAGGAGAGTAAGGGAGCCAAGGAGAGCAGTAGGAGAGAAGGTTAGAGAGATAATGGGGTCAGATAGGGTAAGGCCTTGGAAGCCATCTTGAGGACTTTAGCATTGGAGATTTCTGGGTAAAGGGAGTGCCTTGTTGAATTAAAGAGTCAATTTAATAACTGCTGTAGGCTGGGTGCAGTGGCTCACGCCTGTAATCCCAGCACTTTGGGAGGCCAAGGCGGGCGGATCACCTGAGGTCAGGAGTTTGAGACTAGCCTAGCCAACATGGCGAATCCCCATCTCTACTAAAAATACACAGATTAGCTGGGCATGGTGGCATGTGCCTGTAATCCCAGCTACTTGGGAGGCTGAGGCAGGAGAATCTCTTGAACCCAGGAGGTGGAGGTTGCAGCGAGCTGAGATTGCACTGCAGTCCAGTCTGGGCAACAGAGCGAGACTCCATCTTAAAAAAAAAAAAAAAAAAAAAAAAAAACCTGCTGTAAAGTTTGGAGGCCCACAGGTCTACGGGTTTCAGGACACTGACCCAGTCACCTAGAAGCGTGCCTACTCTCAGGCAAAACCCAAAGGGTCCTGTCAGTGGCCTCTTGTGCAAGCAACACTCCCTTGAGTGAACTCCACTAAAACTGTAGAAGAAAACCACCTGCTGAAGAGCAAGGACCTTTAATTCAATTAAACCCAAACATTGAGAATGAGTTATGAGCCACTAACCATGTTCCATTCATCTTTATATTCTCTGTGGTGCCAGAGGATGCCTTTCTCCAAGCTCCCCCGACTCAATCCACTCAGAATCTAAGTAAGAGTAGAGCTCTTGCTGTACATACATGGCTCCAAGACAAGGCCCCTGGGGATTGTTCCTTCCAATCAGATTACCACCACTAAGCTCCTCCTAGGTAGAAAACCTGGAGTCACCCTGGACAGTCTGACCTCCAGGAGCTTGAATCCAGTGGCAGAAATAGACATGCACACAAACCTCTGTGTGATTTGATATGATAGAGGAACGTGTCTGGTGCTATGAGCACACACACAGGAGGGAGCAAAGAATTTTGCATTTGGGAGTTAGAGAAGCCCCTAAAAAATGTGACACTTGAGAAATGGAAAAGCATTTTAGATAAAGGGAACAGCAAGATAAAAGGTTTGCAGTGAGAAAATATCACAGGTGACAAACAAGAACCGGGCAAGTCATAAGTGAGGAAACGCTGACTAGGCCAGGGAGCAATAGGGAGCCCTAGGGCATGTGCAGACAGGAAGTACATGCCCTGTTAACAAGGTGGCAGCCCATCTGACATCTGCTGACGGTTTCTACACTGAAACAGGTCCAATATTACCAGGACTTTTGATTTATTAAGAGAAGCTGGAAATCTGGGGCCTTAGGCAAAATCTCCTGACTTAAAAAAAACACTTTGGCATCTAGATCCCCATGAATTCCAACATGATATGGACCAAACACAATTGCTCACAAGGGAGATTCAGCCTGAAGGTGGCCAGTCAGCCACCTGGAACCTGGAAGCTTGGCTGGAAGTGAAGCTAGGAAGAGTGTGGGGAATCTAACCTGAAGAGGCAAGCCTGCAGGCAGAGGAGTTGAGACTGCCTTTTGTGGCATTTGATGAAGGGAGGGGTGTCACTTAAGCTTAAGCTGAGGAGTGACATGGACAGATTGCTCATTGGGAAGATCTGTCTTGTAAAGGGTAGACCCTCATGGCCAGTTTGAAGACTGTTTCTGGAATGGTAATAAAGTCCTGAAATAGAACCATAGAGGCGAAACTGGGTGGTCGGGGGAGGAATAGATCTGAGAGATGTTTTACCATCTAATCAGTGACTGCAGGACTAGACAGTGGATGGGGAACTGGGGGTACGAGATACAGGAAAGGGAGTTGTCAAGAGTACATACTTTTAGCATTCATCTCTAATTTTGGCCAGGCATGGGGGACAGTGGGTGGGTGGGGACCAAATACAAAAGACAACAAAGAGTATTCTAGCTTAGGATCTCTCTCACCTTTGGCGCTGTTGTCATCTTGAGTAGAGTAAGTCTTTGTTGTGGGGGCGGTCGTGTGCATTGTATTAACAGCAGCATCCCCAGCCTCTACTCACTGCATTCCAGAAGCATGCCCCCGCTTCAGTCATGACAACCAAAAATATCTCTCCATATTGCCGAATGTCCCCTGGGATGTAAAATTGCCCCTGGTTGGGGGCCACTGATCCAGAATCGGGAGGGAAATTCCCTGTTTTCAACTTCTCCTTTTTCTTTGTTTTGCAGTGGTGTGAGGTTTTGCTTAGAGGACTCTTTGTGAGATTTTTGTCTAAGGGACCAGCACTTTTAGCTAAGCCCTTGGAATATGCTGGTGTCTGTGTCCCTTTTGGACTCAGGAAGGTGTCTCTAAATGGATGGAAGGACACCTGACTTTGGAAAGAGGGACATCATTCTTTCCTGCCAGACATTTTCTTGCATATGCCCTTTTCAGCCTCCAGTTACAGAAATGGACGAAGACTTAGTGAGAAGGGCAAAGGTCAAAACAGTTGAGTGGAGTGGCCTAGGTACACAGGGCAGCGCAGAACTCCAGCCACCCCGGGCCAAAGTGAAAGAAAGGCCACTGGTAGTCTCGCACCCAAGTCATCAGGACTCTAAGGGTTAAACTTGATGTTGACTCATCATGATTTTGATTTACACAAAGCCAAACTGAAAGCTCCTTGTCTACTGCAGTTCCTGGAAAGCCTTCTATCTGTCTTCATTCTTCCTGCAGACCAGGGCAGTGGCCTGATTCAATCCAAGACGCTCTTCGAATCACACTACACGGAGATTACAAATACAAGTTTTATGTTGAAGAAACAGCATTCCTGACTCTTTCCACCCCCTTCCAAAAATTTGAAAAATCGTTGCATGATGTTCAGGGTCGGGAAGAAAGGAAAGTAACAATATAGTCTTAAGGCCAGCAGGCCGGAACTATCTTGGTGAAAAGAAATCAGGTCTCTCCCCTCTCCACACTGCCGTTTGTTTTTTTTCCTCACGATGTTCAGATTCTCAGGGCTTTTCTGGAAGCTCATGACAAGCTGCAATCCCTATTTTTCTAATCATTTGCTACCATTACTGTTTTATTAAGCGCTTGGTCAATCTATGCCAAGCAGTGCCCATGATGGCACTCAGCCAGTCCCCAGGGGCTCCTGTTCCAACTAAAGACTCCTTAAAAGGCAGATGACATAACCATTTTGGAAACGTTATTATAAACTTATTGTATAATGTTTATAGCAAATGTCAACAAGTGTATATGTCCGTGGTGGTGGAGGAAAGGCCTTGGGATACACAGTGGCTGACCTATTTGTGGGAGGGATTTAGAAATAATGATACTATCTCTCAGTTCTACAGGCCTTGATACTTTACAAACTGTTTTCATAAACATTATTTTGTTCGATAACACATGCAAGCCAGGATTTATTTTTTTTTTTTTTGAGAACGGGGTCTCACTCTGTTACAGACCCAGGCTGGTTTTGAACTCCTGGGCTCAGGTGATCCTTCCACCTCAGCCTCCAGAATAGCTGGGATTACAGGTGCATGCCACCATGCCTGGATTCTGGAATTTATTCTGAACCGTTAGCCAAAAGAATCAACATCCTGAGATTCAGCACAGGCAGGCCCTCCTCCTGGAAGCTTCCCTTGCTCCTTCCCTCCCAAAAGGTACCCTTTTTGTATCCCATAATTCCTTGTTCTTGCCCTTATCATTGCCCCTCAGACTGACTGCAGCTTTCTGTTAGCAGAGCTTGCTTTTGGTGAGTGTCTTCAACAGTTCCTGGAACAATTTCATAAATATTTATTGAGTTTGAGAGCCTTAATTCCAAGAGTGGAACCTTTGTTGTGAATAGGTTAAACAACCCTGTGCCCTTTGGGTGGGGTCTAGACTAGGTATATTATCAGCATTTTTATTGCTATACTTTTTGTAACTGTTTTCAGGTATATGCATTGGCTTAATTCGGCCAAAATACACCTCATTATGGGTCTCATCATCCACCTAGACATGATTCTTTTTTGGGAGAAGGTGATAGAATAATGTCCCCCTCCCATGATTCCATATCGTGATCCCCAACACCTGTGAATATGTTAACTTACATAGCAAAAATGACTTTTCAGTTATGATTAAATCAAGGATTTTGAGATGGGGAGATTATTATGAATTATCTGGTGGACCTAATCTAATCACAAGGGTATTTATAAGGGAAAAGGGGAAGTAAGAGGGTCAGAGTCAGATACGACAAGGGAAGCAGAGGTCTGAGTAGTTCCGCAACAAGCCAAGGAATGTGGGTAGCCTCTAGAAGCTGGAAAAGTCAAAGACACAGATTCTCCCCTAGAATATCCAGAAGGAATACATCTCTGCCCACACCTTGATTTAAGCTCAGTGTCACTTCTGACCTCCAGAACTGTAATAAAATAAAACTGTTAAATCACTAAATTTGTGGTCATTTTTGACAGCAGCAACAGGAAACGCCTAAGGACTCTTGTTTTCCTTCCTCCCAGCCTCACTGACCCTCATAGGCGCCCAAGTATCAATGTGTATTCTTCCGATTCACCTCCCATCCCTTTGAAAAATATGTAGAAAGTTTGTCGTGTGCTTTAAAAAATGCACGTATGGTATCCTCCCTCATGTTTGGAATGTTCCTTTTAAAATCAACATTATGTATTGCCAGCTTTCAAATATGCCCTTTGTCCTTTTCACAAAGCACAGTACTGCCAGTGTCCCCAACTCCACCCAGTGAAGTAGGGCTGGTATTACTAACCCTGGAGTCAGCGCTAGCAAACAAGGGCTCAGAGGTCAAGGGCTGGAAGCCAGGTCTCCAGACTCCCAGGCCAAGGCTCTTTTCCGCAGATGACTCTGTCCTGGTGTCCAGCAGGGCACAGCCCCTAGCACCTCCGAGGCCCCGCAAGTGTGCTGGCAGCGGCGACGCCGGCTCCGCCACGCGGAGGGAGGAGGCCCAGGCAGCGCCCGGAGTGGGCGGCGACGTGGTGGAAGAAGTTTTGTTCGGTCAGAGACCGGACGCGGGAGCTGCGGGTGGGCCAGGTGTCCAGCCTTGGGAGCCGTAGGAGCCGCCAGAGCCGCCAGAGCCGCCGGCGCCCCGCCCCGCCTCCTCCGGCCGCTCTCGCCGGCTCAGGTTACCTGAGGCCGGTGGGCGGGGCGGCCCTTCCCGTCTGCGCCGGCCCCCAGCCTCCAGGGCGGCGGAGCCGGGAAGTGGAAGAGGGAGCGAAGGAGGCGGGGACTGCCAAGGCTCCAGCCCGGCCGGGCTCCGAGGCGAGAGGCTGCATGGAGTGGCCGGCGCGGCTCTGCGGGCTGTGGGCGCTGCTGCTCTGCGCCGGCGGCGGGGGCGGGGGCGGGGGCGCCGCGCCTACGGGTGAGTGCGACCCTCGGGGCCCGAGGGGCGGCCGGAGGGCTGAGGGCGGTGAGGGTCACGGCTGAAAGGCCCCGGAGGTCAACGCCGGGCGGAGGGCCGAAGCTGGGGTGGGTGCTGGGGGCTGCCCTCGCGAGGCCCCGCGCTCGGCGGCTGCGGCTTCCCGCGCGGGATCTCTGGGGCCCGGTACTGGGGCCGGTTCGAGGTGGGACCCGGGAGCTGCGGGGTTTTCCCGAACTCCGGGTGCGGCGGAGGTGGCGGCAGCGAAGTAAGAGGGCTGCGACTTGTAGTGGGAAGAGCCCAGGAGGCTGGCGTCCAGGCGTGCGGGGGCGGGGGGCCCGAAACATGCCCACGGCGTCAGAGGGCCGTGGGTCAGCGCCCGGAATGTCGCCTGTGAGCCCGGGAGGAAATGAGGCGCCAGAGCCGGCGGGGACCACGACCGAAGTCCAGGCGAGCTGAGAACGCGCCGGGGCTCTTTGCCCGAGGCCGCGCCAATCCTCACTGTCTAAGGGTGGCTCTTGCGAGTGGAAGTTGAAGGGAACCTCTAAACATCTCAGTCCTTGTTGAAAAAGGACGTGACGCTCATGACCTCCTCTGGCGTCGAAGAAATCCTTTGGGAAATCCAGAATAGCATCCCGGCAGATGCTCCCCCCACCCCACTCTCTTTAATAAACCTTATATTTTAGGGTAATTGTAGATTTATGGAAAAGTTGCAAAGATACTTCAGAGAGTTGTGTATATCCCTCACCCTGTTTGGTAACTTCTAGTTAATCAACCTGGCAGTTGTGAAAAATTGGGAGTTAATGACTTCCTTAGGAGCAGCTCCTGGAAGGAATGGCCTTCTGGACGTTTTTGGTGACAATGAAAGCCCCAAACTGTATAGGTTTTATTATCACATTGACACAAACACTTATATATGCTTATTGCATTTTTACCAATGTGCTTTGAAATCCAAGTTGAAATGTTGATTAGGAAACCTTAATGCCCTCTATGGATTCAGTCAATAAAATACATGCTGCCAGGCAGTGTTTAGGGGCTGAGGATGCAGCAGTGAGCAAAACAGATGAGGTGCCTGCCCTCAGACATATCGGGGGGTGGGGGTAAAATATATGATATGTCTGAGGGTGTTAAGTAGAGAAAAACAGAGCAGGTGGGAAGGGGTTTGCCATTGTAAAAAGGGTGGATCGAGAAGAAAACAAATGTTGCTGAAAGGTGGCATTTGAGTAGAGACCTGAGGGAGACTTGAAGCTTGTCAGTCAATAATTATTCAGGTGTCTGCCTTATTTAGTACTGAGTCAGGCCCTCTAGGTTGACTTAGAACCTGAGAGTGTATAGCAAAATTCTTGCCCCAAAAGGGCCTCTAGTTTAGTTGGGTACACCTGATTTCCGTAATCATATGGGGACATTGCAGTCCAGAGAAGGGAAGGAACTTGTCTAAAGTTACCCGTCTCATTAGTCTCCTGATTTTCACAGTGCCACTCCAGCACCCTCCCTCCTACAGACTCACTCCCACACACACCTGAAACAACAGCTGGCCATCTAGAGAATACTGGCAACTCCCAACTTCATCAGTCCTGTCACAATGGTTTGTCGTTAGCTTGCTTATTTAGAAAACAAACTTCTTTCCCCATTAAAAGTATTGATAGAATTGCATTGAGGTATGGTGGGAAAAAATTAGATGTTTCCAGTGAGACTTGAGTTTTAGTGGTTCTGATATTTACCACCTGTGGGACTCTGGGCTGGTCATTTCCTCTCTTTTGTGCTGCAGTTAGTTTTCTCATCTGTGAAATGAGGAGGTTGAACTGCATAAATTCTAAGAGCTCCTCCAGCTCTAATCCTCAGAGTGTTTATAAAAGTGATTAGATTACTAGCTTAGTTTAACCTGTCCCACTCAATGGCCCACATTGTGGCATGTCTTAATTATAACTAGCATGTATATAGCATTTATGCCCAGCAGTTTTCTAGCTGCTTTACTTGTACTATTTCATTTAATCTTTACCAATAATATAACTTGTAGGTGCTGTTATTAGTCCCATTTTGTACACGAAAAAGTTGAGGCACAGTGCGACCAAGACCCTTGCCCAAATTCGCATACCTGGCAAAGTGGAAGAGCTAGGTTTCCAACCCTGGCAGCCTGATTCCAGAGGCCATGCCCTTAACCACTGTACTCATTGCTTCTGCCCAGCAGAAAAGACGAGAGTCCTTAGCTGGACACCTCCCAGGGTAGCAGGGCAGGACGGCTTGGGACCCACGAAAGTATGTGCAAGCCATTTGTTAAGAAGCTAATGATACTATATTAGGCCGGGTGCAGTGGCTCATGCCTGTAATCCCAGCACTTTAGGAGACTGAGGCAGATGGATCACTTGAGGCCAGGAGTTTGAGCCTGGCCAACATGGCAAAACCCCGTCTACTAAAAATACAAAAATTAGCCGAGTGTGGGATTACATGCCTGTAATCCCAGCTACTCAGGAAGCTGAGGCATGAGACTCATTTGATCCTGGGAGGCAGAGGTTGCAGTGAGGGAAGATCAGGCCACTGCACTTCAGCCTGGGCGACAGAGCAAGACTGTCTCAAAACAAAAAAAGAAGCGAATGATACTACATTGGAGACTGGCTTTATAGTGGCTGGGCTGTGTGGTCCAAACAACTAGTACTATAGGCATTCAAAAGAGAAAAAGCTGACGGTTGGTAGTGTTATGGAAGAGGTAAAACTTGAGCTAGATCTTCTGGATGACTGGGATTTGAGTAGGTGGAGAATTTATTCCAGGTGGGGGCAATAGCAGGAGCAGAGACCCAGAAATGAGGGCAAGAGTGCTCCTTTGTGGTCAAGAAGGAACCTGGCTTGGCAGGAGAGTGCATTGGTAAAGTCAATCCAGGCAGAATAGCTTGATTTGCCCTTGAAAGCTCTGAGTCCGGCACAGCATGGGAAAAATAACACAGAAGGAGGAAGCAAGCAGGGAGACTTCACTGGGTAGGGGAGCCCCTGGAGTGTGAAGCTACATAAGAATCTATGGTTGCAGGTCTCCACTAGAAAAATGTGCTGCGAACCCTTCCTGTCCAGGACCATGACTTACTGGTATCTTCCCACCTGGTGGGGCACAACAGAGCATATTTGCATGATTGGGGTAACTAAGAAAGATGTTGGAAGAAAAAAACGAACAGGAGTTGATGCCTGAGTGGATGTAAGGGAAGGGACAGATGACTCATATATGACTCTTGTGATTTCCTTAACTTTTCCCAAAATGTGCATGCCTCTGCTAGCTGCTGTGATTGGACAGGCGAGAGCAAAAGCTATAAGCTAAGCAAAATGCCTTCTTATGAAATAGTAGATTGTGTTAACTCTTAATTTAAATAGGATGTTGTGCTAGATGACTGTACAGACTTGGGATTTGAGGTTTAGATACAGACATACTTGGGTCCCTTCCTACTCCCTTTTCTGAAGTCAGTGGTGCAATCCCCAAGACATGGTTGAAATTAGGTGCCTAAGGGAAGCTTATCAGGTAGAAGGGATACTTGTTCTGTCTCAAAGGCCAGGGACACATATCAATTCAACAGAAAACCAAAGCAACCCTGGCCAGGCACAGTGGTTCACACCTGTAATCCCAGCACTTTGGGAGGCCGAGGTGGGTGGATCACTTGAGGTCAGGAGTTCGAGACCAGCCTGGCCAACATGGCGAAACCCAGTCTCTACTAAAAATACAAAAATTAGCCAGGCGTGGCAGTGCACACCTGTAATCCCAACTACTCGGAAGGCTGAGGCAGGAGAATCGCTTGAACCCAGGAGGCAGAGTTTGCAGTGAGCTAAGATCACACCAGCGCACTCCAGCCTGGGTAACAGAGCGAGACTCCGTCTCCAAAAAAAAAAAAAAAAAGCAACTCTTTAGAATTGTTTTGTCTTAAAGAAATAAAGCAGATAGCTAACACATAGCACTTGCTGCCTGTGGGCACTATTCTAAGCACATTGCTTGTATTAACTCATTTAATCCTCATAATAACCCTTTGCAAGAGGTTACTATTATTATCCTCATATTAGAGATGAGAAAACTGAGAAATAGAGAGGTTAAGTAATTTGCCTGCTGGCAAGTAGTAGAGGTGGGATATAAACTCAGGCAGTCAGGCTCCAGAGTCTGTGCTCTTAAACACTACACTATGTTGAAGTTATACACGAAGAGCTGTTAGAGACCTTTACAAGTAGTATAATCATCACTTAATCATATATATGTCT
Organism: Homo sapiens; assembly: GCF_000001405.40. Lineage (NCBI taxonomy): Eukaryota > Metazoa > Chordata > Mammalia > Primates > Hominidae > Homo > Homo sapiens. The sequence goes on from NC_000023.11 coordinate 118,731,948, forward strand.
AGGCATGTTGTATACACACACAGTTCACATGTATTTGTATATATTTAAACATTTGGAGATTAAAGTTTCAGTGCCTGTGTTTTTTTCAATTTTTTATTATAAAATACACATAAAATTTACCATCTTAATCATTTTTAAGTACACAGTTCAGTGTTACGAAATACATTCATAATGCTGTGCAACCATCATCACCATCCATCCCCATAACTCTTTTTATCTTGTAAAACTGAAACTCTGTACCCATTAAACAATAACTCCTCATTTTCCCCTGCCCCTAGCCCCTGGCAAACACCATTCCACTTTCTATCTCTATGATTTTGACTACTCTAAGTATCTCATATGAATGTAATGATATACTATTTGTCTTTTTTGTGACTGGCTTATTTCTGTTAGCATAGTGCCCTTATGGTTCATGGTGTATCATATGTCAGAATTTTTCCTTTTTTAAATTTATATATATATATATATTTATTATACCTTAAGTTCTAGGGTACATTGCACAACGTGCAGGTTTGTTACATATGTATACATGTGCCATGTTGGTGTGCTGCACCCATTAACTCGTCATTTACATTAGGTATATCTCCTAATGCTATCCCTCCCCCATCCCCCCACCCCACAACAGGCCCCGGTGTGTGATGTTCCCCTTCCTCTGTCCAAGTGTTCTCAATGTTCAATTCCCACCTATGAGTGAGAACATGCAGTGTTTGGTTTTTTTGTCCTTGCGATAGTTTGCTGAAAATGATGGTTTCCAGTTTCATCCATGTCCCTACAAAGGAGATGAACTCATCCTTTTTTATGACTGCATAGTATTCCATGGTGTATATGTGCCACATTTTCTTAATCCAGTCTATCATTGTTGGACATTTGGGTTGGTTCCAAGTCTTTGCTATTGTGAGTAGTGCTGCAATAAACATACGTGTGCATGTGTCTTTATAGCAGCATGATTTATACTATTTGTCTTTTTTGTGACTGACTTATTTCTGTTAGCATAATGCCCTCATGGTTCATGTTGTATCATATGTCAGAATTTTTCCTTTTTAAAAGCTGACTAATATTCCATTGTATGCATATACCATATTTTGCTTATCTGTTTATCTGTCAATGGACACTTAGGTTGCTTCCATGTTTTAGCAATTTCACAATACTATTATGAACCTGGGTGTAGAATATCTCTTTGAGACCTTGTTTTCACTTCTTTTGGGTATATACCCAGAAATGGAATTATTGTATCATATGATAATTCTATTTGTAATTTTTTTGAGGAACCACCATACTGTTGTCCATAGTGAAATTTTAAATTTCCACCAACTGTGCACCGGGGTTTGAATTTTTCCATATCATTGCCAACATTTATTTTCTGTTTTTTGATAGTAGCCATTCTAATGGGAGTGAGGTGAAATCTCATTGTGGTTTTGGTTTGCATTTTCCTAAATATTAGTGATGATGAACACCTTCATGTGCTTATTGGCTATTTCCTTATCTTTGTTGGTGAAATATCTATTTAAGCCTTTGCCTATTTCTGAATTGAATTTTTTTTTATTGTTGAGTTTTAGGCATTCTCTGTATATTCTGGATATTAATCCCTTATCAGATATATGATTTACACATATTTTTCCATTCTGTGAGTCACTTTTTTCTGTGAATATTTTGATGCACACGTTTTAATTTTTTCCATGAAATCCAATTCGTCAATTTTTTCTTTTGTTACCTACATTGTTGGTGTCATATCCAAGAAATTGTTGCTGAATCCAATGGTATGAAGCTTTTGTCTTATGTTTTCTTCTAAAAATTTTATAGTTTTAGTCTTAAAATTTCAGTCTCTGATCCATTTTGAATTTTTTTTTTACTTGGTATTGGGTAAGCGTCCAATTTCATTCTTTTTCATATGGATATCCAGTTTTCCCAGCACCATTTGTTGAAAAGATTGTCTGCATTGAGTGGTCTTGGCACTGTTGTCAAAATCATTTGACCATACATGTGATGGTTTATTTCTGGACTGTCTATTCTATTACATTGATCAGTATGTCTGTCTTTATGCCAGTACACACTGTTTTGATTATTGCAGCTTTGTAGTAAGTTCAGAAATCAGGAAGTGTGAGTCCTACAGCTTTGTTTTTCCGTTTCAAGACTGTTTGGCTATTCAGGGTTCCTTGAGATTTCATAAGAATTTTAGGATGGATTTTTCTATTTCTGCAAAACTATGCCATTAAGATTTTGATAAGGATTGAATTGAATCTATATATCACTTTGGATAGTATTGACATCTTAACAATATTAAGTGTTCTAATACGTGAACATGGGATGTGTTTCCATATCATCTACAAACAGAGATAATTTTACATCTTATTTTAACTGGATGTCTTTTATCTCTTTTTCTTGCCTAATTGCTCTGGGTAGAACTTCAAGTACTATGTTGAATAGGAGTGGTGAAAGTGGGCATCTTTGTTTCATTCCTGACCCTAAAGGAAAAGCTTTCAGTCTTTCACCATTAAGGGTGATGTTTACTGTGGGTTTTTCATATATAACTTTTAAGTCAATTTTCTTACACTCCTAGTTTGTTGAGTGTTTTTATCATGAAAAGTAAATTTTGTCTAATGCTTTTTCTGTATCAATTGAGATGATCAGGTAGTTTTTTCCCCTTTATTCTGTTAATGTGGTATATTACATTGATCAAGTTTTGTATGTTAAAACATCTTTGTATTCCAGGAATAAATCCCACTTGGTCATGGTCTATAATCCTTTTGATATGCCCGTGTATTCACTTTACTGCTATTTTGTTGAGAATTTGTACATCAATGTTCATAAGGCATATGGGTCTGTAGTTTTCTTTTCTTGTAGCGTCTTTGTCTGGCTTTGGTATCAGGTAATGCTGGCCTCGTAGAATGAGTTACGAAGTTTGAGAAGGTTTGGTACTAGTTCTTTAGATGTTTGGTAGAATTTTATCTGTGAAGCTATCAGGTCTAGGGCTTTTCTTTGTTGAGAGATTTTTGATTACTGATTCAATCTCCTTACTACTTATAGGTCTGTTTAGATTTCCTATTTCTTTGTGATTTAGTTTTGGTGGTTTTGTGTTTCTGGAAATGTGTCCATTTCATCTAGGCTGTCCAATTTGTTAGTGTACGGTTGTTCATAGTACTCTCTTATAACCCTTTTTATTTCTCTAGAATCAGTAGTGATTCTAGAGAAATACTCATTTTCATTTTTGAAAATGAGTAAAGTTCTCATTTTCATTTTTGATTTTAGTAATTTCAGTCTTCTTTCTTATTAGTCCATCTAGCTAAAGGTTTGTCCGTTTTGTTGATCTTTTCAAGAAGCTTTTAGTTTCATTGATTTTCTCTATTTTTCTATTCCCTTTTTCTTTTATCTCTGGTCTAATCTTCATTATTTCCTTCCTTATGATAGCTTAAGATTAGTTTGTTCTTTTTCTAGTTACGCAAGTTGTAAAGTTAAGGTTGCTGATTTGAGATCTTTCTTGTTTCTTAATATGTGTTTATAGCTATAAATTTTTCCAATAGTACTGCTTTCGCTGCATCGTCTACATTTTAGATGTTTATATTTACGCCTTTCATCAAATTTGGGAAGTTGTCATCCATTATTTCTTTATTTTCTTTTTTTGAGACAGAGTCTCACTCTGTCACCCAGGCTGGAGTGCAGTAGCACGATCTCAGCTCACTGCAACCTCTGCCTCCCAGGTTCAAGCGATGCTCCTGCCTCAGCCACCCAAGTAGCTGGGATTACAGATGTGCACCACCACACTCAGCTAATTTTTGTATTTTTAGTAGAACTGGGGTATTGCCATGTTGGCTAGGCTTGTTTCGAACTCCTGGACCCAGGCAATCTGCCTGCCTTGGCCTCCCAAAGTGCTGGGATGAGCCACCACACCCGGCTCATTATTTTTTCAAGTATTCTTTCTTCCTCTTTCTCTCTCTTCTCCTGGAACCCCCATAATGCATACACTGGTCTGCTGATGGTGTACCACAGGTCTCTTAGACTCTGTTCACTTTTCTTCAATCTTTTTTTCTTTCTGTTCCTCGGACTCAATAATTTTTATTGCCCTAATTTCAAGTTTATTGATTCTTTCTTCTGCCTGCTCAAATCTACCTTTGATTCTTTTTAGTGAATTTTTCATTTCAGTTGTGCTTTTTCTGCTCCAGAGTTTCTTTTTGGTCTCTTTTTAGGTTTTCTATCTCTTTATTGGTATTTTCATTTTGCTTACATATCATTTTCTTGACTCTCTCCACATCTTCCTTTAGTTCTGTGAACATCTGAAGATATTTGTTTCAGAATCTTTCTTTAATATATTTGCCATCAGGTCTTTTTCAGGGACAGGTTTGCTGTTGTTTAACTTTTTTTCTTTGGGCCATAGTTTCCTGGTTTTTTTGTTTTGTTTTGTTTTGTCTGTCTTGTGATTCTTTGTTAGAAACTGGACATTTAAATCTGGTTTCTCTGGAAACCAGATTCCCCCTTCCCCCAGGATTTGCTGTTTTTTGTTATTGTTTTGTTTATTGTCTTTATTTTTTTGATTATTGTAGGCTGTCTGTGTGTTGAGCATCAACCTGAAGTGTAAACTTAGTCTTCTCAGGTTTTTTTCTGGGCTTTCCCTGAGCATGTGTGGTCACTTTCTGTTTTTCTCTGTATATATAGTTTTGTTTCATTTTGTTTTGTTTTGTTTTTGAGACCTAGTCTCGCTCTGTTGCCCAGGCTAGAGTGCAGTGGTGTGATCACAGCTCACTGTAACCTCGAATCCCTGGGCTCAAGTGATCCTCCCACTTCAGTCTCCTGAGGAGCTGGAACTACAGATTCATGCCACCACACCTAGCTAATTTAACCAAACAAACAAAAAAAATTGTTTTGGTGGAGATGGGATCTCGCAGTGTTGCCAGGGCTGATCTTTAACTGCTGGCCTCAAGTAATCCTCCTGCCTCGGCCTACCGAAGTGCTGGGATTATAGGTGTGAGTCACCATGCCCAGCCTCTGTAGTTGTTTAAGAATTTCTAATCTTTAATGCCTGGCTCCCAAAAGTGGAAAAGGAGAAAAATGAGGCGACAAGGGAAGAGCGCCATTCTTTTACATCTTCTGGAAATCACTTTAGCTAGATAGGGAGGGCTTGCAACAGTGGGGATAGGTGCAACCACAATGGCTGCCAGCCTCTTTGTCTGTACCTCTGTGATCAGAAGCAGCAATCAGTAATCAGAATACAAATCCCTGATATTTGGAGGACAGAGTACTTCTGCCCACATAGCCCACAAGCTGTGGGCAGAGGGCTCCAGGAACATGTGCACAGCCGCCTGCCATGGGGTTGGGGATGAAGGATGGGCAGCTACTACTATGTAAAAGCTGACATTGATTGAAATTTATGGCAATTTGTTGTTCAAGCCTTTCCTGGGAAATTGCAAGCCTTCAATGTAAGTGTTTCCTGATATAACTCTGCAGTCTTCCAAAATTGTTACATCAAACAGACTCTGCCACTACCATTGTTATCTAGGTGAGGAGATAGATGTCTGGTGCTTCCTACTCTTGCCTTATTCCCAGAATCCATGTGTGTGTGTTTTTAAAGTGTAGGAAGTAGAAAAATCAAAAGATATGGAGGAAACCAGAAGAGAAAAAGAAAAGGATAGCAGATAGCCCCAGGAAGCCCAAAATGCAAACCAGTTAGAAGATCTGACCAAAGGACACTTCAAAACAGATGGGAGAATATTAATCCCATTTGAAAGGTTGAATATAGGGCAGGCCATTGTTTTATTTCAAAACTGAGGTTAAAGTAGGTTTTAAATTACCTTGAAAATAAATTGGAGTACAATTGAAATGAACCACAAATAGGTATATTTTTATTATCAGGGCTTTAATATTTGTGTGGGAGTGGGAGGTAGGTGGGTAGGGAGAGTACTGGAAGTGCTAAACTAGGTTTCTTGGATGTGTTTCTGGGAACTGCAGAATAAGGCAGATAATCCTACAGTAAATTGTAGTCTCCAGTAGGAACAATGTTTTTATTGGAGGCTCTCTACCTGACAAATGATTTGTCTTCAAAAATATCATTGATATGGTGTTAGAAAGGCCAAAATGGAATAGCCATACATGCTTTTAATCACTTAAAATCCTAACTTTAGCACTGTTGCCTGAGCCATTGGTGCTCCCTGGTACTAGCTCAGTTTTAATGCAGTGCAATAGGAATTCTTTGTTTCCACAAGGCCTTGTCCTGCTGTGGGCTGCTCCTTCCCACAGTTGGACCTTGGGAAAAGGTAGAGTTAGAAGAGGGAATGATTTTTTTTATTTCAAATTTTATTATAGATTAAAGGGTATATGCACAGATTTGCTACATGGGTAAACTGCATGACGCTGAGACTTGGGGTCCAACAATCTGATCACCCAGGCTGTAACCATGGTACCCAACAGGTGGTTCTTCGGCCCCCAAACCCACCTCCCTCCCTCCCTTGTCTAGTGATCCCCAGTGTCTATCATTTCCATCTTTATGATCATGTGTATTCAGTGTTTAACACCCACTTATGAGTGAGAACATGCGGTATTTGGTTTTCTATTCTTGCATTAGATCACTTAGGATAAAGGCCTCCAGCTCCACCCATGTTGCTGCAAAGGGCATGGTTTCATTCTTTTTATGGCTGCGTAGTATTCCATGGTATATATGTGCCACATTATCTTTATCCAGTCCACTGTTGGTGGGCACTTAGGTTAGTTCCGTGTCCTTGCTTTTGTGAATAGTGCTGCAGTGAACATACAGGTGCATGTGTCTTTATGATAGAATGAGTTATTTTCCTTTGGGTATATATCAAGTAATGGAATTGTTGGGTTGAATGGTAGTTCTATTTTAAGTCCTTTTTTTTTTTTTTTTTTTTTTTTGAGACATAGTCTTGCTCTGTTGCCCAGGCTGGGGTGCAGTGGTGCAATCTTGGCTCACTGCAACCTCCACCTCCTGGGTTCAAGTGATTCTTATGCCACAGCCTCCTGAGTTTCTGGTATTACAGTTGTACACCACCATGCCTGGCTAATTTTTGTATTTTTAGTAGAGACGGTGTTTCGTTATGTTGTCCAGGCTGGTCCCGAACTCATGATCTCAAGTGATCCAACCGCCTCAGCCTCCCAAAGTGCTGGGATTATAGGCGTGAACCACTGTGCCTGGCCTATTTTAAGTTCTTTGAGAAATCTCTAAAGTGCTTTCCACGGTGGTGGAACCAGTTTGCATTTCCACCAACAGGGTATAAGCATTCCCTATTTTCCACAGCCTCATCAACATCTGTTTTCTGACTTTTAAATAATCACCAGGGAATGAATGTTGAGGGTCAAGGGCCTTTGTAGACTGCTGACCAAGTAGCTGCTATGTATAAAATTGACTGTTAGAGAAACCTCAACTACAGAGTGTCTGTGAGTTTGATGTTTTGATGTTTTGGGACAAATGGAATTTTTTGCTCAGTTAGGGAGGAAGGTAACAGTATAAATATTGCTGATTATGTAACAGGCCCAGTGCACTCCAAAGTATTAGCATAGAGTACAAGATTTAACTCTATCATTTGGTAAATTACTATTACTATAATCCTTAAGTAATTAATAATGGTTCCGTTCATCACTTTAGAAAATTTGGGGGAATTATTTTCAAATAATTTTAATAAACTTCTATGTTGAAATAATTTTTGATTTACAGAAAAGTTGCAAAGGTGGGACAGAGGGTTCCTGTATACCCATCACCCAGTTTCTGGGGGATGATTTTGATAGTCTCAGGAGAACTTCTCAGGAAAGTTTAAAATGATGTTTCACAGTTCCTCCTCTTTCTCTTCCCTCTTCAGATTAGTCAAAGCTCTAGCTCCAGCTGTTTAGTGTCAGACCTCAGGGGAACAAGGGCTGCTAAGTCTCTTTCTCAGTACTTCTTTGGAAAAGCTATAAAAAAACAATTACCAGGTCATGTTAGCAAGCAGAATTAAAGATGAGCTTCTTAAACTTACTTATAGAACTGCTGAGATTTTGAACAATCTGATTTTTTGTTGTTGTCATTGTTTTTGAGACAGGGTCTTGCTCCGTCACCCAGGCTAGAGTGCAGTGGCATGATCTTGGCTCACTGCAGCGGCATGATCTTGGCTCACTGCAGCCTCAAACTCCCGGGCTCAAGTCATCCTTTTGCTTCAGCCCCCCAGTACCTGGGACTATAGGCATGTACCAGCATGTTTGGCTAACTTTTGTAACTTTTTTGTATAGATGGGATTTTGCTATGTTGCCGGGGCTGGTCTCAAACTCCTGGGCTCAAGCCGCTTGGTCTCCCAAAGTGCCAGGATTACAGGTGTGAGCCGCCGTGCCCAGTCTGAAGAGTCTGTATGGAGTGAGGTGTGGATCCCAAGGTTAGGGAACCCCAAATTCCTGGAAGAGAACAACTTGGAAATATTAGTATTTAAGAATATCACTCTTCTCTATGGAAGTGGTTAAGAATGTGACCTTGGAGCCACACTTTTCAAGTGACACTCCCAGCTCTGCCGTTTACTGTAGCCATGGGATATGGAACAAATTACTTCACCTGCTTGTTGCTTCAGTTGCCTCATCTTTAACATGAGGCCAATAGGCCAGGTGTGGTGGCTTTATACCTGTAATCCCAGAACTTTGGGAGGCCAAGGTGGGCGGATCACTTGAGCTCAGGAGTTCGAGACCAGCCTGGCCAGTGTGGCAAAAACCCATCTCTACTAAAATTACAAAAATTAGCCAGGCGTGGTGGCATGTGCCTGTAGTCCCAGTAACAGGCTAGGTGAATCACTTCACCCCAGGAGGCAGAGGCTGCAGTGAGCTGAGATCGTGCCACTGCACTCCAGCCTGGGTTACAAAGTGAGATTCTATCTCAAAAAACAACAACAACAAAAACATGAGGCTAATACTAGTCCCTATCTCCAAGATTGTTGTGAGGATTAAATGGATTAATATGTGTGGAATATTTAGAATAGTCCCTGGCCCAGTAAATGTTAGATGTTGTTAACTCAGTTATTACTGTCTTGTCCTCTAGGACTTGGGAGAATTAAGCAAACCATTAAAAATACTGTTGATAAATTCATTTTTTTTTGTCCTTGATTTGAACAGAAACTCAGCCACCTGTGACAAATTTGAGTGTCTCTGTTGAAAACCTCTGCACAGTAATATGGACATGGAATCCACCCGAGGGAGCCAGCTCAAATTGTAGTCTATGGTATTTTAGTCATTTTGGCGACAAACAAGATAAGGTAAGTTTTCTGCAACATGTTACATTGATGAGGTAAAGTGAACACTATGAATTGGAGCCAAGAATAAGCCAAATTCTAGTCTTACGTCAAAGTGGAAATTGTATTTTAGGGTGTGTTTAAATTTCAGTTGGGGAAATTATAGAAGCAACTATTGACACAAGTGAACACTTAAAAATATTTGCTAATTATTTGACAATTAAATGCAATTGAGATTGCTCTGACAGGAAATACTAGATATCTTTTTCTCTAAGGTACTCAATAAATAATTATGTTATTGTTAAAATTTGTTCCTATGTTCCTGCCTGTAGCTGTATTGCCTTGTATCTATATAACACTTAATTTTGGGGAATTTTTACATTTACCATCTTGCTAATCACATGGACAAATAGATGTACAGGCACTATGTGGTGTAAAAGTAAACGGCCATATGGAAAGTGAAAAAGTAAGTTGTCAGTGGCAGGTGTGTTTGAGTAGAGGGTTCTGTAATGCCCGCGGAAAAAGGAGGAAGACTTTCAAGATTTCTAGTCAACTGATATAAGTGAATTTTTGTTAATAGGTTTGGATAATTTCAGGTCCTTTATGATAATCTTATTCAACTTTTTTTTCAAAATCTTTTTATACCTTCTTTCGGTGTGTATGTGTTTGTTGCAGGGTGGCGGCGGTGAGTGGGTTGGGTGTTTGGGGTTGAATTTGTCCAGGATTTTGAGTAGGCAGAATGAGAAGTTATTAGCAACAGTGCTTTGCATCAGTGAATTGTAGAAGCACCAAGTTCAGGCAGCTTTGGTGGCAGGAAGTCAGGAGAACTAGCTTCTGATTGGCACTGTCACTCTTAGCTGACTCTATGGCCTGGAATAAATTGCTTAACCTCTCTGAGCGTTTGTTTCCTTATGTATAAAGTATGGCTTTACTCACTTCGCTGGCTTGCTGGGACACAGAAAATAATGTATATATACAAAAGTTTAATAGTCAGGATGGAACATGCTCTTCCTCTGGAGGGAAATTTGCTAATCTGCCTTCCTCTCCCTTGTCCTGCTGAGGTGTTACTTATGGTTTAGGCGTTAATTGATAAAGAATTGAGGCTTATCAGAAGTATTTGCATTTTAAAAGAGGTCTTCTAAATGTGGAAGCCAATGATACTACTAGCAGTGAGACTGGAGTTTGCCTTTACATACTGTCGGCTTCCTCTTGTTCCTCCTAAGGAAGGGCCTTAGGCATTTGGAGTCTTAGTGGTGATTTTTGGTAATTGAGCCTTGAGAAATTCACAGAAAGACCCTAAGTGCCTCTGGCTGTAAGCCCTGTAATCACCCAAGTGTCTAACTGAAACCCTGAGCAGAGGTTGCTTTTCAGGTCCCTTTTCCTTAAGTTGTCAAGGATCAATCAGGTAGCCAGGCTGGTGTTCTAGCCTAGAAATGGGGCTATTTCCTCAGAGTATGTGCAGAAATCTAGAGTTAAATGTAACTTTAGGAGACAGTAGAATCAGATAGAATTGTGCTTGAAATTTTATCTCTTCCCGTTTCAAGCTGTTTGATTTTGGGCAAATCACTTAACCTCTCTGAGCTCCCATTTTCTTGTTTATAAAATATGGGGTTGTTTTGGCGGGGGGCGGGTAATAATAGTACCAACTGAATATGGATGGTGTGTGCATTAAAGGAGATGAGGTTTGTAATGCACCTGACACAGAGTTAGTGCTAGGTAATTGTTAGCTTTTATTATTGTTACTGTTGTTAGGTTGAGCCATGTGAAATTACCACTTTTATGGGTCAAAATGGTTGAATGTTGTCAGTATTATTTGTCAGCCTAATATTATCATTTAATCTTGTTTCCTCCATTTTACCCCTGAAGAAACCAGATAGAGACCAAAAAGGGTGACCTCTGCCTAAGGCCAGCTCATTCATTGTAGCCATTTGACAGCATTGATGGCCATCAGTCCTACATTTGTGATGAACACGGATTATTCCTTCCAGTCAGTGATAGGAGATATCCTGTCTGGACCTTTTTCAAGTTTATCATCAGGAGGCTGAAAATGAATGGCAGAAGTAATTTTCCTCTCCTCTTTCTGTCCTTTGGGTACAGCATTAGCATCATTGGGCCAAACTGAGGTATCCCTGAAGCATATTGAAGCAATGGCATTATGATAGTTTGTACATTAGGGGGCTTAGGAAAATGTTCAAAGGTCCCAAGTTGCTAAATGAGATAAACCCTTGAGGTCATTTTCAATCTTAAGATTGGAGGCTCATCAAGTTGAGAGACAGGGATTTGCAGAGGATTTTTGGAAAAGAAAAGATTAGTGTAAATGGCAGCCCTCCACCATTTTTTAGGCAGTGTCTAATAGTTCCTCAGCTGGCAAGTAGAAGGAGGATCTAGCATCAGATTTTAGATATCTTTCATCACTAAGAGATGGGCAAGTCCCATTAGGCAAACTAATCAAAAGGCCAGGCATCCAAATAGGAAGATGCTGAAGCTAACTCCCTTTCTTTTTGAGAAAGGAATTCTGGAGTTGAGAAAGGTGCAGTCCAGCCAAGTGAACATTGGTCTGGGGAGATCAGTTCAGGACTCTTGCCTTGGTTTTTGATAAATTTTCAAAGGGAATCAGATTCCCTGCAGGGTGGAGCATAACATCATACAGCAGCTACCAGTGGGAATGATTCACCAAAGCCAAAAGTCACATGGGAGCCATCACACATACCTCATCAAGATCTGATGGGAGGGTTGAACGTGGTGACTCATGCCTGTAATCCCAGCACTTTGGGAGGCCGAGGCGGGCTGATCACCTGAGGTCAGGAGTTCAAGACCAGCCTTGCCAACATGGTGAAACCCTGTCTCTACTAAAAATACAAAAGTTAGCCAGGCGTGGTGGTGTGCACCTGTAATCCCAACTACTTGGGAGGCTGAGGCAGGAGAATCGCTTGAACCCAGGAGGCAGTGGTTGCAGTGAGCCGAGATCATGCCACTGCACTCCAGCCTGGGCAACAGAGCAAGACTGTTTAAAAAAAAAATCTGATGGAAGGAATTTAGGAATTTAGTTTCTTGTGTGATACAGAGAGGTGTACTTGACTTGGCAGTTGTTGATAATCTGGGTTCCTACTTTATTAGTGCCAGTTTAATATTGTTTACCTTGAACTTTGAAAGAAATTAAAAAAAAATTATTTGAAAAAATTTTCCCTCTACTGTCCCTTTTCTATGTTATTATTCATATGCCTGAAGCATAAGGTTCGGATTTAGATACTAAGGCATTTTTTAATTTTTTATGTTATTTTATTTTGAAATGGAGTCTGCTCTGTCACCCAGGCTGGAGTGTAGTGGTACGATCTCAGCTCACTGAAACCTCTGCCTCCTAAGTTCAAGCAATTCTTGTGCCTTAGCCTGCCAAATAGCTGGAACTACAGGTGCATGCCACCACGACCAGCTAATTTTTTTTGTATTTTTAGTGGAGACAGTGTTTTGCCATGTTGGCCAGGCTGGTTTCCAACTCCTGACCTTAGGTGATCCTGACCTCAGGTGACCTTGGCCTCCCAAAGTGCTGGGATTACAGGTGTGACCCACCACGCCTGGCCACTAAGGCATTTTTTAAATTAAAAATTCCATTGTGATAATTTTTGTGTACTAAAACTCCGTAACCCTCTAACTGGAACAATGTCCATTATAATATGAAAACTGGGATTATCTTCATGATGATTCTAATTTGACTGTATTTGACTGTACAGTCTAATTTGACATTTGACTGTACATTTTCCCCTGATGTCTTCAAAGGGCAAATATAGCTTCCAAACAAGAATTGCCATGGATCCTTGGATAAGGGTGGCTTCTTCAAAGATATATGGGACTTGTGCTTAGTAAAATTGTGAGGTTGGTAAAATTTGTATTCGAAGCCTTCCTGCCACCACTACCATGATCCTGGAGGCAGGTCTTCAGCTTCACATACTCAGAAACTTCATTTCCTCAGCACACATGCATCTCTCAGGGGCTGATTTTTTACTTTGTTGTGAAAATGGAATGGTAATGGTGAAGCATTCTAGGAAGATTTCTGTTAGCATAACTGGTGCATTTCATCCCTGTCGGCAGAGCCTATATGGGAAGCCAAATGTTAAGTAGGTTTCTTGGTGAGGAATCAGAAATTAGTTGTAAAAATATACTTGTCTAAGAATAGCTGGAGGCCCTACTGAGAGTAAACAGCTTTGCCAGTGGGACAGAAAAATTCAATGCCCACATTCCTGTATCACCCTCTTTTTCCTGCCTGTCAGGATTTTGCTCACAGACATTTCTTTTTCTGTTCTTCCAGGGCTGACCAACTCCCTTTTCAGAGTACTGTCTTGACTGGACCTAAGAGCTATTCTGGTTCTATAAAGTGATTTTGTTTTTGTGTCCTTGCTATGATTTATTCATTGTTGACTTGGTAGTTACTTCTCAGAGGCCATCCATATGTCCTGGTTTTGGGGGTATCTCACAGTTGCCCTCATGCTCAGCTGGCAGCAGGCATGTGACATGGCAGAATAGCTCTTTAGGGTAGCAGATAGAACTAACTGTGGCAAATTTTCCTCTTCATGGCCGTCAACATGTAGATGAAAGGAAATACTATCTCTGACTTGAGTCAGAAGCTATTGCAAAACAGGAGGTGCTCTCCTTGGAGCTCTGATTAAAAGCAGCTCCATTCTTAATTATTCCAACTCTGTCAGTTTGGGAAATGTTAATTTCCCGGAGAGCCCATTAATCTTATTATTCTCAGTCATAGTAACCAGACTGGTGATTTATGTCTCTATGATGTCTATAAATTGGCTTCCTATGGTTCCACAAAGCTTATCTACTTTTCAGAATGAGAGTGTATATACTCAGCACATATAGCAATGTTTGAAATTTATACATATATATGAGGTAGTCAAAATAGTCAAACAGTAGAGAAAGAGGTTTAATGAAAAGTCTCTCTTCAGCCCTCAGGCCCTCCTCCTTTACTTCCTTACCCAGAAGTAACCATGATTACTGGATTTTTTTTTTGAGACAGGGTCTCACTGCATTGTCCAGGCTAGAGTGCAATCTTGGCTCACTGCAGCCTCCCGCTCCCAGGCTCAAGTGATCCTCCCACCTCAGCCTCATGAGTAGCTGGGACTATAGGCATGAGCCACCATACCTGGCCAATTTTTTTTTGTACAGATGGGGTTTTGCCATTTTGCCCAGGCTGGTCTCGAACTCCTGGGCTTAAGTGATCTGCCTGCCTCAGCCTCCCAAAGTGCTGGGATTATAGGCATGAGCCACTGAGCCTGGCATGATTCCTGGATTCTTAAAGCATCCCTTTTTAACCTTAATTTTCCTGGTACAGTGCATCTACTTCTAAGTGAATTTTGATAATCATATTGTTTCCTTTAAAATTGCTTTTAGAGAGTTGATATGTTAGCATTGTAGGTTTATAGGTAAATTTCATGTTTATACCTTTAAAATGTGGGAAATTGTTGTATCTACACCAGGGTTTCTCAATGGTGACACTAGTGACATTTGCTGAAGGGTTTGTTGTAGGAGGAGGGGGGCTGTTGTGTGCATTGTAGGATGTTTAGCAGCGTCCTTGACCTCTACTTACTAGATGCTGGTAACCTCCCCCTCCCAAGTTAGGACAATAAAAAGTGTTCGATATTACCAAATGTCTCTGAGAGCGGTAGGGAGAACAAAATCAGCCCCAATTGAGAATCACTGATCTATACCATTTGATAACTTTTTTGATAAAAAAAGCACCACATTTAGACATGCTAATGTTTCATTATATAAGTGTGTGTTAGCTGAAGCAATGCCTTTTTCAATTTTCTAACCTTAGAAAATAGCTCCGGAAACTCGTCGTTCAATAGAAGTACCCCTGAATGAGAGGATTTGTCTGCAAGTGGGGTCCCAGTGTAGCACCAATGAGAGTGAGAAGCCTAGCATTTTGGTTGAAAAATGCATCTCACCCCCAGAAGGTAACAACTGAAAGCGCTATCTCTTGGTGTTTAGAGAATAAATCTGAATGCTCCAATGCTTTTGTGCATTGTTCATTAATTAATTCAATTCTCAAACATTTTCTGAGTCTAATAAGTGCCAGGCATTGTACTAGGTGCTAGCAGCTCAATGAAAATATGAGTATGTCTCTGCCTTGAAGAAGCTTACAAACAACTTGAATAACAATGCCTAATAGTTATATAAAATTTAATAATTTAAAAAATGATATACACATGCACGCGCGCGCACACACACACTCACACACACACACACGCACACCCCTCCTTTAGATCGAGAGTCACAAGCTTATCTTGTGAAGTGAGTAAGGCATGTATTATTACCCTGATCCATTTTATGAGGAAGAAAGGAACTGCGTGACTTGCTGTATGTCTTCACATTTCAGGCCCAGTGCTTTAAAAATAAAACACAAAATACTCTCTTACCCATTATGTGTGATACTTAGTTTGATATGCAGGATATATTTGGGAAAAGATGTTGTTTAAAGAGAAAAATATTATGCTGGCCTGGCTCCAATACAAGTCTAGACAAGATAGTACAAGACAACCTTAGGAAAAGCTGTCAAGTAGTGAGGATGATCATTGTTCCCCAATCCCACCTCTCCCAATGTCCTTCTGGCTCTTATGTTACATACAGGGAGTAGCATATACTGATTAAGAGCAGGGCTACCAGAAACCAACTGTCTAACTTTAAATCCCAGCTCTGCCAGCTACTAGCTGTGTAACCTTGGGCAAATTTCTTAGCCCCTCTGCACCTTAGTTTCCTCATCTGTAAACTGGGCATGATGATAGTATCTATCTCCTAGAATTATTGGGATGATTACGTAAGTCAGTATATGTGAGGTACTTAGAATAGTGCCTGGCAAAGAGTGAATGTTGTGTGTGTGTGTGTGTGTGTGTGTGTGTGTGTACACACACAAAAAACATATATATATAACACATATATATACTATATATAATATATATTATATACATTATATGTAATATATATAATATTATATAATATATAATTATATATAATATTATGTTGTCCCTTGGTTGGGTAGGGCTGGGCCCCATCTCTTAACCTCCAGTCCTTAGCTCTATGTGCCCTTTGCTCTAAGCCATTCCATTTACCTGCTTTGTACTGATCACAAACACATGAAGTGCTGTTTGTAAAATTATAAAATTCAGGACTGCCAGGAGATTTGAAACAACTTACCTGCCCTATTCTCCTTTCCTTAGGAGTTAACGAAAAAAAAAAAAAAAAAAACGGCTAGATGCAGTGGCTCACACCTGTAATCCCAGCACTTTGGGAGGCCAAGGTGGGCGAATCACCTAAGGTCAGGAGTTTGAGACCAGCCTGGTCAACATGGAGAAAAATAATAATAATTAGCCAGGTGTGGTGCATGCTTGTAGTCCCAGCTACTCAGGAGGCTGAGGCAGGAGAATCGCTTGAACCTGGGAAGCAGAGGTTGCAGTGAGCCAAGATCACATGACTGCACTCCAGTCTGGGTGACAGAGCAAGACTCTGTCTCAAAAAAATAATAATTACTATACTATGACATAAAATGGTTGATGATGGCTCAGTGTAGTACCCCTTCAAGGATCATGAGGGATAACAGATTTACATTTTAAACAGAGGTGTTTAATTTAAAGACATTATACCTTAACTAAAATGGCTTTATAAAGATAGAGATTTTAGGTCAGAAAGATACTAGGGCTCTTAAAGTCATGACACTTAAGAGGCAACTACTAAGAGTTAAATTAGGCTTACCTTTCCCCAGAATTGCTTCAGGAGGAATGTTTGTTTGTTTGTTTATTTAGAGACAGAGTCTTGTTCTGTTGTCCAGGCTGGAGTGCAGTGGCAAGATCTTGGCTCACTGCAACCTCCACCCCCCTGGTTTAAGCAATTCTTGTGCCTCAGCCTCCCGAGTAGCTGGGACTAAAGATATGTGCCACCACACCTGGCTATTTTTTGTATTTTTAGTAGAGACAGGGTTTTGCCGAGTTGGCCAGGCTGTTCTTGAACTCCTGACCTCAAATGATCCACCCTTGTTGGCCTTCCAAAGTGCTGGGAATACAGGCGTGAGCCACCCTGCCTGGCTGAATGTTTATTTTTTAAAAAATGTGTCAGTATTGATCAAAAGACAGAAAGTTAAATTGTACCTCAATAATTTTTTAAGACAGATATATATAAGGGTTGTTTGTATATCCACATTCATTTAGGAATTGTGTAGATATTGTCTATGATTGAAATAGTTTTTGATCTTTTATCTCTCCCTCCAGTTAGGAATATTAGTTAGGGTCCCTCAGTGATAGGGAAGATGTTTTCTTTGTATCAGGAGGTAAGAGAGAAGGTTGTGAACAAATTAGATTTGAGTTTCCTCCATCCTGGGTGACTTCTGGGTAAAATGGGGTGAGAGATGAAGCATTTGCTTTCTGACAAAGCAGCATGAAGCACTCTCATCATCCCCATGCCAAAGAGTGATTTGCTACTTTGCATTACAAGGAAAGAAGGGTCTTAAACTCTTGGCCTGGATATTCTAGGTGATCCTGAGTCTGCTGTGACTGAGCTTCAATGCATTTGGCACAACCTGAGCTACATGAAGTGTTCTTGGCTCCCTGGAAGGAATACCAGTCCCGACACTAACTATACTCTCTACTATTGGTGAGTATGTACAGTACAATTACTGGAAGACTGATTGTAATTGTGTTGGGAGCCTTTGGATCCAACCTAGTCAAAAAAAAAAGAACTGTTTAATTTTTTCTGCAAACTCAACAAGATGGACAGTTTGCTTCAATGAAAAATGCATCTGTCTTTGGTGTCTACTTTTTAAATAAACTTTCTATTTTTAAATATAGATCCTGTATATTACCAGAAAAAATGTACAGAGAGATCCCATATACTCCACTCAGTTTCTCCCAGTGGTAACATCTTGTGTAACTATAGTGCATTATCAAAACCAGAAAATTGGCATTGGTACAATCCAAAAACCTCAGTCCTATTTCAACAGTTTTACATGCACTCGTGTGTGTGTATATGTAGTTGTATGCAATTTTATCACATGTGAAGATATACAATGGTTGCATCACCATAAGGAGTTGCTCTTTTATAGCCACACTCACCTCCGTCTTAAACCATCTCTCCTTGTACACCCCTCTCCCCCAATCCTCTAACCTCTGGCAACCACTAATCTGTTCTCCAGCTCTTTAATTTTATTATTTCAAGAATGTTACTGAAATGGAATCCTATAGTATATAACCACTTAAGACTGGCTTAAAAAAAAAAAACTCAGCGTAATACCCTGGAGATCTATACAAGTAGTTGTATATCACGAGGCCACTCCTTTTTATAGCTCAGTAGTATTCCATGATATGGATGTACCAGTTTTTTAAACCATTCATTCATTAAAGGATATCTCAGTTTTTTCCAGTTTTTTGCTATTATGAATAAAGCTACTGTAAATATTCACATACAGATTTTTATATGAACATAACTTTTCATTTCTCTGGAATAAATGCCCAAGAGTGCAATTGCTGGGTCATATAGTAATGGCTTATTTAGTTTTTTTTTTTAATGCCAAACTGTTTTCTAAAGAAGTTAGTTCACCTTACATTTCCACTAGCAATGCATGAGTTATTGATGTCTACTTTTAAAAAGGAAAATGATATGTCCGGGGTCAAAAAGTTGTTTGTTTGTTTATTTATGTTTTTGAGATAGAGTCTTGCTCTGTCACCCAGGCTAGAGTGCAGTGGTGAGATCTAGGCTCACTGCAACCTCTGCCTCCTGGGTTCAAGTGATTCTCCTGCCTCAGCTTCCCAAGCAGCTGGAATTACATGCATGCACCACCATGCCTGGCTAATTTTTGTATTTTTGGTAGAAACAGGGTTTCAACGTGTTGGCCAGGCTGGTCTCGAACTCCTGGCCTCAAGTGATCTGCCCATCTCGGCCTCCCAAAGTGCTGGGATTACAGGTGTGAGCCACCACACCCAGCCTCAAAAAGTAGTTTAGCTTCCTGCAAAACAACTTTGATATTTTGATATTTGATACTTTAGTATTTGGTATTTGTGACTATATCTACTACAAAGTTTGTTAAATTTCTAAGTTAGTCTTCCATCATTCCCTTTAGAGCCTAGAATTATTAGCAACAGAACAAGGAAGAAAGACCAGATTAATCCAGTTTAATTCAGTAAACCTTTATTTAGAACACTTTGTGGATAAACCACTGAATGCACAGCAGAGACAAAAAACATATCTCTTCTCTCCTAAAGCTCAAAATATAGAGGAGAAGATAGTGCCTGATACAGTGACCTGCATTAAATTAAGTAAGACAGTGTATGCTGAAGGCTGTTGCAGAGGGATAGATAGATTCCTGTGGGAAGTTAGGTTGGAGCTTGGGGTGGTGGTCGAGGGGAGGTGGATGGGTGGATGGAGAGGGGACTGAGAGGCTTTGATGAAGGAGGAAGACTGCCTAGATGGGGGAGTTTCTCTGATGCTGGCCTCTGGGGAAGAGCATTTTGAGAAATGGAGGTATTTAATCGTTGTGATGTCAGGGTGGAGAAGGGGAGACCTAGCATAGGCAGTCTGCCTCTACATGGCCTTGTTCCCTGACTGTCATTTGTTAAGACTTCTTCTGAGAGAATGGGATGTGGAGAGCCATGTCCAAGACTTGTGAAGCTACTGGATAAACATGGCCTTTCATGCTAGAGTGTCTATTTTGCCTGATGACATGATGGAAAGCATTTTTGATACATTAAAACACTCATGGCTATATCATGGAATAGAATGCAAAAAAAAAAAAAAAAAAAGTAACACACATTTTTGGATGAAAACCTCCAAAGTTGCCCCAGGATTCACATCCGCACTCCTCCCTGGTGGAAGGATCCTCCTGGCAAAGTTGGGAAATCCTGCAGGTGGAGCCAGAAGTTCTGTGTGGTTATGTCTGAGGTCTGTTTCTTTTTCCCCCCCTGATGTAAATCTCATTTGAGGTTTTGTAGTTTCACCTGCTCACTCTTGGTACCTGTTGTTTCTCCTTTACTTAAAACCCTTCAGTGGCTCCCTGGTGGCTTTAGGTTAAAGTCCAAACTCTCCAGCATGACAGACAAATCGCTTTATGACAGACCTGGCCCCTGTCAACCTCTCCAGACTCGGTTGCATCTGCCTCCATGCACCCCCGCCCCTCTTGCAGCCTACCATTCGCCCGCAGCAAACTTCTTTCAGTTCCTCAGACTGCTTTCTTCAAATACTCAAACACAACACTAGATTTCAAACAGAATATTCAAACAGAATAGTGGAAACATTCTGCATCCTCTTGTAGCCTAGGCCTTTCCTTTTCATTTGGATGCCTCTTATTTGTCTTTATCCTTATTTCAGCCCAGACACCATTTCCTCTCCAGAAAGCCTTCCTTGACCTCTCAAGTCTAGACATGTGTCCCTTCCTCTTGTCTCACGGCACCTTGCAATTTCTTGTGTCATACTACCCAGCACATTGTGTTGTCATTTCCTGTTACTTGGTGGTAGCCTGCTACAGGCTTCAGTTTCTCTTGAGAGCGGGAGCTGTGTCTTGTTTCTCCTGGTGCCTGATATATAGTAGGTATTCCATAAATAAGTTGTGAATGTTTGGTAGGATCCAAAGCTAGAGAATATTCAGGGTTGCGGTGATGACTTATGAGGTATAAGCAACTGAGGAATATTATGGTTCATGAATAAAAAGAGAGAAGGATTGAGTAGATCCAGCTCCCTAAAGAATTGCTAAGAAGGGGCCAAAGAACTAAGCCTTACTAAGAAGGAGTAGCCTGGCTGTTGATGTTGTAGTAAAGTTTAGGGAGAGCTGTTACACAGGCTTTTAAGATGTCTTGTGAGTTGGCAGCATCCATGTGTTTATTATGCTATTAACCCCTCTTGTTTTCCCTGGAATCATTATTGGTAAAACCGCAGGGAAAACCTTTAAAGAATCTATGTCTATATAAGGGACTGGAAAAGAAGGGAAGAAGTCTTAAAACTGTATCTCATTCCATGGCAGACTGGGTAGAAAATTATCCCAGCTATTAGAATCAGGGTGGCACTGGAGGCAGATGGTAGCCTAGTCCTTGGGGTTCTTCTAAGACAAAAATAGGGAAGTGCCTTGGGGATATACTAGCAAAAACAAAGTCTCAATGCAAATTGTTAAAAGAATGTTTCCTCTGGGTGAATGAATTACAAAAAAACCTGGACTGACCAATTTGAAAAAGCATTCCTCTTCCTCTGGGCTGAAGCAGGCTCTCACCAAAGCTGAGAGCAGATGGTACTTGGGCTGGCTTTCAGCCCTCAGTTGATGTCTTTTTGCAGGGAACAATCTGCACAGCCACTGGAGGTCGCTCAAGATGCAATTCCAAGATAGTGGTGGGTCACTAGCATCCAAGGGGGCAGATATCAAGGATCCTACTTTTTTTTGCGATAGGGTCTTGCTCTGTTGCCCAAGCTGAAGTACAGTTGGTGTGATCATTGCCCACTGCGGCTTCAACCACCCAGGCCCAAGCCATCCCCCCATGTCAGCCTCCTGAGTTGCTGGGATCACAGGTGTGTACCACCATGCCCAGCTAATTTTTGTGTTTTTTGTAGAGATGGGGTTTTGCTATGTTGCCCAGGTTGCTCTCGAACTCCTGGGCTCAAGCCCGTCTCGGCCTCCCAAAGTGCTGGGATTATAGGCATGAGCCACCGCACCTGGCCTACTTCTTGTCATATACAGTCCCAGAGCTGGTCATCAGCAGGGGATCTTTCTGTAGTGTAGTTCTGTGCCATCCAGTATAGGAGCCACTGGCTACATGTGGCTAGTTACATTTTAATTTAAATCAATTAAAATTGAATCAAATTAAAACTTCAGTTGCATAGTCTCGCCAACCACTTTCACAAGTGATGAGTGGCTCTTGTATTGGACAGCACAGATAGCGACCATTTCCATAATCCCAGAAAGTTCTGTTGGATGGTGCTGGTATAGATTCTGTATCTTATCCCCTTACCACCCCACAGCTTATTCTTTCTGGAGCCACACTGCTTGGGTTGAAATCCTGGCTCTCTTCCTTACTTTAGTGTGATTTTGGGTAAGTCCCTTCTCTCTCAGCCTTAGTTTCATAATCTGTGAAATGGAGATAGTAATAATAGTGCCTACTTCTTAAGGTTGTTGTGAGGGCTAGTGTTTAGAGCCATGACTAGCTGCTAGCATATGTAGAGTAAGTGCTCAATCCATAATAGCTATTATTACTATTGGCCAGGCGTGGTGGCTCACGCCTGTAATCCCAGCACTTTGGGAGGCTGAGGCAGGTGGATCATGAGGTCAGGAGATCCAGACCATCCTGGCTAACACAGTGAAACCCCGTCTCTACTAAAAATACAAAAAAATAGCCAGGCGTGGTGGCGGGCACCTGTAGTCCCAGCTACTCAGGAGGCTGAGGCAGGAGAATGGTGTGAACCCGGGAGGCGGAGCTTGCAGTGAGCCGAGATCCCACCACTGCACTCCAGTCTGGGCAACAGAGCAAGACTCCATCTCAAAAAAAAAATACTATTTATTATTATTATTATTGTTATTATCCCCACTCCTTTGCAGATGCAGTCAGTACACAGCGCTGGCCTCTTCCCGTCTCACAGAATTAGTACCTAACCCATATCTCCTTCTTTCTTGCTCTCCTCTAGATAGATCCTTTCTAATCAAAACCACAAAAGAAAGGGAGTCAAGACACAGTGCTCATTAGCAAGCACCAGAAATGGTTTAGGTACCAGTATAAATCACATCAAACAAACTGCCAGAGACTGTTTTCCCTAACCCCCAACCATAAAATACGGAGTCTTTCTTTTTTTTTTTTTTCTTTTTTTTTTTTTTGGAGACAGAGTCTCATTCTGTCGCCAGGCTGGAGTGCAGTGGTGCGATCTCGGCTCACTGCAGCCTCTGCCTCCCGAGTTCCAGTGATTCTCCAGCCTCAACCTCCTGAGTAGCTGGGATTACAGGCACGTGCCACCACACCTGGCTAATTTTTGTATTTTCAGTAGAGACAGGGTTTTACCATGTTGGCCAGGCCGGTCTGGAACTCCTGACCTCAAGTGATTCACCCACCTCAGCCTCCTAAAGTGCTGGGATTACAGGCGTGACCCATGGCGCCTGGCCTGGAGTCATTTTTTGAAATCAAAATAATTCATTGAAGCCCTAGGGCAATGACTTGTGTCCCTGTAGGGACAGTCTGGCATTGAACAGACCCCGGCCTGAAGAGCTTCAGACTAGTCATGCCAGCGAATTTTAGGGATTTTTTTTTTTTTTACCACATTAATCATCTTCTGAGTTGGGAGAATAGTCTTTAATTTGTCAATTTCCTTCTCATATCTGCAGTGTGACTCTGCAGATGAATTCAGTATATAAATTTTAACAGGAATCACCTGCTGTTTTAGGTTAATGTTTCACAAGAATTCAAGAAATGTTATCTATTCAGAACCAGTATTTTCCCTTCTATAATTATTTCTAAATTACAACAAAATTGTTTTAAAATTTCATTATCTGAGATCCATGAGCATATGCAGAATACTCAGGGTACAGAAATGAAAAAGGGATCAAGAAGATTGTGCATTCGAGGAGTTCCTTTCATCATTAAAAACAATTTTACACATGGCTTTCTTTAGTTATGTAAGAAAAATGTCATTAAATTTCTTCAGTTTCTGTTTTTGGCCATGGGCGGAAAACATTCCAGGACAGTCTGATCCAAAAACTAGTCATGACAATAACTTCATTTTTACAACACTGTTTTCTTCATAAACCACAGGGCGCTGCAACTAGGGGGAAAAGCTTATGTACTACCTATTGAAGGAAAAAAGCATTTTCTATATCGAAGCATTCCTTTGTGCAGCCTTTGAAGGAATAAATACATTAGCTCTGAGTTTTTTTTTTTTTAAACTGACTTGCAGCAGAATCTCCTGGAGAATTGCTGTTCAAATGCTGGTTCCTAGGTCCTGGCAAAACCTTCTAAATCAGATTTTCTGGGAGAGGGTTTGAGAAACCTGCATTTTAAAGTAGTACAGAGGATTCTGAGGTAACAGGTTAAGGATTTGGGACTCTTTACTCTTAGTTCATTTTTCTTAAAATTGTCTTCCTTTTCTGCAAAACCTTTGTGCAACTCCCTTTGTGGCTGATGATGTAAGACTTGACTCTGTCTTCTGCCAGTTACTACAAAACAGTTCTCTGATAGCCTAGACTAAAAAAAAAAGTGTAATAAACACATTGTCTGCCTGCGCTGGGCTAGGTGCTGATGATCTTTGGGGAAAGGTATGTGTCGAGGAGAAATGGGAAATAAGGTACCTGTAATACTGCTTATGGAAGACAGTTAAAGCCACACAGTGGAGTGAGACACTTAGAAAGCCATTGTGTTTTAGAACATTGACCTGGCAGTGATTGGAGGGCACTAATAATGAAGGTCAGGGAGGTCAATCTGAAGAAGCAATGGAGCCTGTAGTCATTAGGGTATGAATCTCAGGGTGTGGGCAATGGATGTATCATAAAAGACGAGGATCCATGAAGCTTTGCAAAGGAAGAAAGAACAGAATTTGGTGATAGAATACAGGGAACAGAGGTGGGGGAAAAGGTGATTTTAATTTAAATTACCTAATCTAGGAGCCCAAAGAAAATGAGCTCTGGCTGATAATGGGAAGGTTGGAAGAAAAAACAGTTTGGTGGAGAAGAGGGTGCATGATGTGTTTTGGACACTGGATTTGAGGCAATGGTAGAACACTCAAATGGAGCAGTTGGAGATCTGGGATTTGTTCTGAGGTGAGATGTCAGGATTAGGAATTACCAGCATAGAAACTGTAGTTGAAGGATGAGGGAGTGATAAACTGGATGTGAGTGGATGAGGGAGTCAGAAAGAGGGAAGAATGTGAGTAGTCCTCCTACTCCCCCTCTGCTGGAAGAGAGAGGAGGGAACAGAACAAGCCAAGAAACAAGGAAGGAGCAGGGCAGAGGGACCAGAGGAGGAATCGTAGACTTCAGCAGATAGGCATTTTCAAGAAGCATGAAACTTCTAATCCCAGCCTTAGAATGTCTTCTCTTATACAGAAGAAATAGGCCTCCTGTAGTCTCTATAGCTGCTGACAGTACCAGTGTTCATCAAAAAGGAACAATCTAGGCTGGGTGCAGGGGCTCACGCCTGTAATCCCAGCAGTTTGGGAGGCCGAGGCGGGTGGATCACTTGTGGTCAGGAGTTCGAGACCAGCCTGGCCAACATGCTGAACCCGTCTCCACTAAAAATACAAAAATTAGCCGGGCGTAGTAGTGTGTGCCTGTAATCCCAGCTACTCAGGAGGCATGAGATTCACTGGAACTCGGGAGGCGGAGGCTGCAGTCAGCTGAGATCGTGCCACTGTACTCCAGCCTGGGCAGACAGAGTGAGACTCTGTCTCAAAAAAAAAAAAAAAAAAAAGCAGAAAACAGTCTTTTCTTCCTAGCATATGAAATGAGTCACATTGTACAATAGGGTTTTTTTAAAAAAAGTTATCTTGCCCATTGCAAATATTGCTTTTCATGGACATCTCAGTCATTAAAAAGAATTCTGCCTTTTTTTTTTTTTTTTTTTTTTTTTTTTTTGTGGAAGGGTCTTACTCGGTCACCCAGGCTGGAGTGCAGTGGTGCAATCTCAGTTCACTGCAACCTCTGCCTCCCAGGTTCAAGAGATTCTCCTTCCTCAGCCTCCTGAGTAGGTGGGATTACAAGCACCTGCCACCACACCCGGCTAATTTTTGTATTTTTGGTAGAGACAGGGTTTCACCATGTTGGCAAGGCTGGTTTCCAACTCCTGACCTCAAGTGATCCGCCTGCCTCAGCCTCCAAAAGTGCTGGGATTACAGGTGTGAGCCACCGCGCCCAGCCTGCTCTTATTTCTTGAATACTCTGTTGAATATAATGCAGAAGATTGTCTCATTTTATCTTGTAGGCACAGAAGCCTGGAAAAAATTCATCAATGTGAAAACATCTTTAGAGAAGGCCAATACTTTGGTTGTTCCTTTGATCTGACCAAAGTGAAGGATTCCAGTTTTGAACAACACAGTGTCCAAATAATGGTCAAGGATAATGCAGGAAAAATTAAACCATCCTTCAATATAGTGCCTTTAACTTCCCGTGGTAAGTTTTAGAAGTCCTCTAAAACAGTATGGATAAAAAGTGTGTTATATCTTTTGCACAATCAATACAAATAATAAAAAATGATCATTCTGGGTTTAAGATCTTCTGAAAGAAGGGACTATATTGATGTATAACTTTCTTTGATAGATCCTTTTTAAAGAAGTAAACTTGGAAATTCTTTTTATTGAACACATGTGCCAGATGCTTTATCCTTGTTTAGAGTACACTGAGAGTTAGAACAGTTAGTTGTAGAACCAACATTGGAATTGTCTTAGTTCATTTTTTGTTTGGTATTTTCTGGTATTCTGTTGCTTATAACAGAATACCAGAGACTGGGTAATTTATAAAGAAAAGGAATTTATTTCTTAGAGTTCTGGAGGCAGGGAAGTGGAAGGTCAAGGGGCCAAGTCTGATGAGTGCCTTCTTGTTTGTGGGGACTTTCTGCAAAGTCCCAAGACAGCACAGGGCATCACATGGTTAGGGAGTTGAGCATGCTAGCTCAGGTCTCTCTTCCTCTTTGTATACATCCACGAGTCCCACTCCCATGATAATCCATTAATCGGTCAATAGATCAATCAATTCATGAAGGCAGAACCCTCATGACCCAATTATCTCTTTAAAGGTCCAACCTCTCCATACTGCCACATTGGGGATGAAGTTTCAACATGAGTTTGGGAGAAGATAAACATTCAAATCATAGCAGGAACCCAGGCCATCTGACTCTAAGGTCTAGTCTCTTGATACTTAAAGAGGATGATACTCATAATGATCATATGTAGTTCCTAAATAATCTGTCTCTTAGAAAAGGCATAGACTTAAGGTAGTGTAATCGGGTGATATTCAAAATATTTAACATTCTGTATGGCATGGGCACTGATCAGTTAGAAAAACCAGTATAGCCTTAACTGTGGGTGCCAGCTGCATGTCAGCCTGTTAGAAAGCACCCTCAGCTTGAACACAGATTATCTGATTAGGTTCTAACTCCTTCACTTTGGGCAAGGCATATAAACCCCCTTCAAATATTTCCTTATCTGTGAAATGGAATATATAATCTCCCTCTATCTAAAAAAATTGTCATAAGGTCCAAATGACATAAAGCGTATTAACACATTGTGTAAATTACTAAAGCAAATTCCATTAGCGTAATGGTTTATTTGTTGAAATATCCCAACTGGGAGCTCAGATTCTGGCTTAGATAGTCATAGAAGTGAATTCTAATAGGGTACCAAAGTCAGCTTACTTTGTAGGCCAAGGGAGTGAGGTTGGAGTATTTTGCCTAGTGGGGTAAGCTGAAGCAGAGCCCTTCTCTTTGTTTGGCAGATTATCTTAGATGATCTTTTAAGTCTTATTTTGCTGTTTTCCTCTCTGGATATTAATGGTGACATAAAGGAAGAAGGAAGATCCTTCTCAGATAGAAGATGATATCTTCAAGTTGTTTTCTGTTAATTACCCATTATCTTCTATTGCTTGGTCTTAAGTATAGCTGACTCCTGAAAAAGTAAATTGACCAGGCTAATGCATTTTTAAAAATAAATTATTTTTTTCTTTTTCTGAGACAGGGTCTCTGTTGCCCAGGCTGGAATGCAGTGGCGTGATCACAGCTCACTGCAGCCTTGACCTCCCGGGCTCAAGCTATCCTCCCATCTCAGCCTCCCTAGTACCTGGGACCACAGGCATGTGCCACCACGCCAGGCTAATTTTTGTATTTTTTGTAGAGACGGGGTTTTGCCATGTTTCGCAGGCTGGTCTCAATCTCCTGAGCTCAAGCGATCTACCCACCTTGGCTCCCAAAGTATTTTACTCTTAATTGTGGTTATAAACACACAACATTAAAATTACCATCATAAACATTTTAAGTGTACAGTTCGGTAGTGTTAAGTATATTCACATTGTTATGCAGCAGCTCTTTAGAACTTTTTCATCTTGCAAAACCGAACTCTGTTCATTAAACATTAATTTCCCCTCCCCTCCGCCCTTAGCAACCACCTTTCTACTTTCTGTTTCTATGAATTTGACTACTTAAGATACCTCATAGGAGTGGATTCATACAATATTTGTCTTTTGTGACTGGCTTATTTTACCTAGCATAATTTCCTTGAAGTGCATTTATGTTGCAGTGTGTGTCAGAGACTAAGCCAATGTTTTAATGGTGGTCTTTGATTGGCATTAATAAGTGACAACTAGGGAAGCCCCTTGTATCTGGTGCCTTATTACTCATCAGGTGGAAGTACATCTGGATCCAAGCCTTTCTTTATTCTCTATGTTGCGTCTAGATGTCCTGATTATACCCTGGCCATTTTCTAACCAGATGCAGGTCAGAGTTCATATCATCTGCTAGATACCCCAAATATGTTCCTTAAATTCATTTTACTAGGCAGTTTTAAATAAACTTCTTCTATAATTGTGGCTAAATAGAAATTCTAAAACTATGTATCTGATCATGAAAGGCCACTAAATGCATCAGCTCTGTTTTGATTTAACTTTATGAACCCTGCATATATCTGCAGTTGTCTCTCAGTATTTGTGAGGGATTGCTTCCAGGAACTTCCAAGGATACCAAAATCCATGGATGCTCAAGTCCCTGATAAAAAGTAGCATAGTACTTGCATATAACCTATGCATATTTTCTCACATACTTTAAATCATGTCTACATTACTTATAATACCTAATACAATGTAAATGCTATGTAAATAGTTGTTATATTATCTAGGGAATAAATGAGAAGAAAAAACTCTGTACATGTTCAGCACAGATGCTATTTTTTAAAAAATATTTTCAGTTCATGGTTGGTTGAATTCATGAATGTGGAATCCATGGATATGGAGGGCCGACTGTGTGTTTGTGTGTATAATCAAGCTTTGGAAGCTTACTTGTGTTCTATTTTTGTTTTTCAGTGAAACCTGATCCTCCACATATTAAAAACCTCTCCTTCCACAATGATGACCTATATGTGCAATGGGAGAATCCACAGAATTTTATTAGCAGATGCCTATTTTATGAAGTAGAAGTCAATAACAGCCAAACTGAGACACATAATGTTTTCTACGTAAGGTTTTAAAATTATTGTTTTTATTTGGCTATTTTTCTTTTACTTGAATTTCTTACATTGAAATATCAATGAAACATAGCTCTTACATTTGTCACCTTATGATGATGATGGTAATGAAACTTCTTGTCTAAAATAAGGCATGGTGGAAGATTTGAAGATTTATGGTATGATAGTATCAGCTGCAAGTTTCAAGCCATTTATTCATCTGTAAGCTTCTTAGAAAGGCCTATTAAACGATAATTCATTTGCTCAACACGTTCTTATTAAATATCCACCACATGCCAAGCACTCTTTTGTGTGCTAGGGATAAGGCAGTGAACATGACACCTGACAAGTTTTTTTCTTCATGAAACCTACATAATAGAAAACGTAAGTAAATAAGCAAGCTAATTTCAGAGGATGAGTGCTGTGAAGAAAATAAAATGGGCTGATGTAGTAGAGTGACTGGGAGAACGAGAGGGAATATTAGGTAGGGAAATCATCTGAGGTAATAACATTTGAGATGAGACCAGAATGATGAGCAGACGCTAGCCATGTGAAGATCTGGGTGTAGGGGGTCAGCAGATACAGACTCTGAGGCAAAAATGAGCTTAGCATGTGTGAGAGAACAGAAAGGAGGGTGGTGTGAACAAAATGTAGCAGGAAAAGATGTCTAAGCAGTAGGCAGACATCAGATCTTGCGGACACTTTGGAGGCTCTGATAATACCATTCTGTTTTCTTGGAGTTTGTGGCAACTAAAGTAATCAGATTTGAGTAGTCAATATTTGTTGGATTATGTGCCTGTATGCTATTCAGAATCAAATGCAGAACATGCTAATTAGAGGCCCTGTAGGACACTGACCAGAGTGTACTATAATCTCAGGACATCAGTCCAGTTGTTCTGCTTTAGGGTAAAGGTCACAAACTAGGGCCTCACACTTTTTTGTGTGGAACACAAAGTCGTGTTTTGTTTGTTTGTTTGTTTACTAGATTTGAATTTTTTGCCCAGATTTTAAATCATAGTACTTTAAGAGTGTGTGTCCATAAGATGGCGCCTTAAGACCATGAAGACTGCACCACTCACTTGTCTGCTACCTGCCTGGACCCTTTGTGTGTTTGAGTTTTAGAGATTAGAAGTGAAGTGTTTTATATTGGCTTTTAAAGGAGCCTAGCATCTCGCACGTGGGTAAATTCCTTGGTCCAGTTGTTTTAGCTCATCATGGAACTTCCAAAATGCTTGCTAAAATAAGCCAGTGTTGACAGGCTATAATTCCAACTCCAGAGGGAGTGACCAAGTCCACAGCAGAACAGAACAGCAAATGCTCTTCTGGGCATTTGCATTATGAATCCTTCTGCTGAAATATAATAATCATTACTAGTACCAGAAATTAAGTGCCCCATGAAATGCAGCAAAGGGAAAAATCTAAGGGCTTTCATGTGGAAGGGGGCTGGTACTTGAATTTACAACAAAAGGAGTTATCAGAAAGCTGAAATACACTTGTTTACTCCAGTCTTTACTGTTCTCTCCTGTCTGAAATCCTGAGATGCATGTCTGAAATCCTGAGATAGTATTCATTTTGCCACTCAATTATTTTCTGCTGTTTAACCTATCACATGTATGCATTTTCTCTCCACTGAAAATATAGACTCCTACAGAAAACCAAATGCCACATGTTCTCACTTATAAGTGGGAGCTGGACAATGAGAACACATGGACACATGGAGGTGAACAACACATACTGGGGCCTGTGGGGGCTGTGGTGGGAGGAGGGAGAGCATCAGGAAGAACAACTAATGGATACTGGCCTTAATACCTGGGTGATGGGTTGATCTGTGCAGCAAACCACTATGGCACACTTTTACCTATGTCACAAACCTACACACCCTGCACATGTACCTCAGAATTTAAAAGTTGATATTTTTTAAAAAAAGAAAATATAGACTTCTGTAGGAAGGAGTTTGGTGCTGTCTACTTTGTGCAGTTCCTGCTACTAAATAGCAGCTAACCTGTATTGAGTGATTACTATGTGCTAGGTATCTTAATAAGCACTATATCTGAATTGTTTCATTTAATCTTCACAATAACCCTAAGGATCTAGGTCCTGTTATTTTGTCTCCATTTTACAAGATAAGAAAACTTAGTTACTCCTAAGGTCACATTTTTAGTAAGTGGTAGAATCAACATTTAACCAAAGTTGTAACGCTAAGACTTGGATTCTTAACCGCTAGAGAACACCTCAATACTTCCTCTTAATAGCAATAGCTATCATTCATTAAGTGTTTATGGCATGCTACAAAGATGCTCTTCTATGTGCTTCTTAATACAGTAGCTCATAGCAACCCATGAAATAGAAACTATTTTAACCTACATTTTATTGAAAAAACTAAGGCTCAGAGAGGTTAAGTAACTTGCTACAAGCCACACAGCTAATAAGTCAGTAACACTTCAAAGGTTGGTTGGTCTCCATGTATTTAACTTTGACCAAGAATACTTAGCATAATGTCATGTGCACAATCATCATTTAATAAATTATTATTGAATTGAGTTACTTTTTTTTTTTTTACAAACTTCTGAACTGAAGAGAACACATACACTATGGAAGTTATCTACCTAAATCAGAACTATTTTCTATTTGGAATTAACTCTGTTTGTACACTTGAGTTTAATATTCTTCCTCCTAGCAGATGTAGAATGTCATCAGTTTTTTGTGTGCTCACAGATTTTGAACTCTGCTGCTTAGATTTTTCTTTTTTTTTCCTTTTTGAGGAATTATTTTGCCTGGTGTTACACTTAAGAGGGGGAAGTAAGCGGGAACATGAACTGGTACCAACACATGGGGGCTGTGGTCAGAGGTAGCTCATGACAGAATTATGAAGTAAGGAACAACTTGTCTGTGACCACCCCCCACCCCCCACCCCCACCTTCCCAGCAGACTATCTTCTTGGTGCCCTGGCTTTCCTTCTCTTAGTGGTCTCTGAAGAGCCAGTAAACTATGCAGGGGGATTTACATTTGAACAAGAGCCTAGAGACGTAAATCTACAGGTTGATTCGGCAAGTTTGGAATTTCTATATATGGGAGATGGTCCAGGGGAGGAGGGACATCAATTTGCAACTTGATCCCTCACTGGTAGTTGACGCTTGTGATTCCCCAACAGGTCTACGATTCTAAATGGCCAGTAATAGGGTATACTAGCCCCCTGAGTGGGGTTTTTTTTTTCTCAACCTCTGTATGAAATATTGAAAGGATGTCCCTTCATCATTTGCTTGGCCTCTCAGCTCTTTACACAGGCTGGTAGGAACTATTTAGTGAATGACATTGAATGTCAAAAATAATATCTATGTGTTCTGGTCTTGGTTCCAAGTTTAAACGTCTCTTTGATAGAAGTTGACTATTTAAGCAACAGATTTTCATGTGTTTTTTACTCCATTTTGGAAATACTTGCATTTAAGGAAATTAGTATTCTCTTTACATTAGACAGCAAGTGACTTTTATTGTGTGGAGGAGAATTTTGCATTACACTTTCTTTTCTCCAACCCAGTCAAGTTTTATATCTTATACTCTCAACAAGGGACACTGGTTTCTCGCTCCCTGTCTCTTTTTAAAAAGTTTTTACTGAGTTATAATACATGAACAAAATTACACAAATCATAACCTATAGCTCAATGATTTTTCACAAATGATTTTTCACCTATGTAACCAGCACCACAGAAGCCCCCTTCAGTTGCTGTCCTCCCAAAGAGCAGCTACTCTCCTGGCTTCTAATCCCATAGATTGATTTTGTTGCTACTTTAAAACTTTATATAAATGGAATTATATAGAACGTACTTTTTTTTTTCGAGACAGAGTCTTGCTCTGTCACCCAGGCTGGAGTGCAGTGCAGTGGCGCAATCTCAGCTCACTGCAACCTCCACCTCCCGGGTTCAAGCGATTCTCCTGTCTTAGCGTGCGGAGTAGCTGGGATTACAGGCACATGCCATCAAGCCCAGCTTTTTTTTTTTTTTTGTATTTTTTAGTAGAGACGAGGTTTCGCCATGTTAGGCAGGCTCCTGGCTCTCGAACTCCTGGCCTCATGTGATCCACCCTCCTCAGCCTCCCAAAGTGCTGGGATTACAGGCGTGAGCCACTGTGCCTGGCCCAGAATGTACTTTTTTGTGTGTTTGCCCTTTTTTTCACTCAACATTATGTTTATGAGATTCACCAATGTTGTTTCTTATAGCTGTAGATGGCACGTTCTCACTACATTCATTCCATTGTGTGAATATACCATACTTTATCCATTCTCCCATTGATGGACGTTTGGATAGTTTCCCATTTGGTTTTATGAATGGAGTTCTTATGAACGTTCACATACTTGTCTCTTGGTACACATGTGCGTACATTTGTATGGGGCATTTATATAGGCATATGTGGGTCATAAGGTTACATATGATTGTCTCTAGTAGATAATAACAGTTTTCCTGGATGGTTGTGCCAGTTTACACTACTAAGCAGAAATTGTGAGTTCTAGATGCTTCATATCCTCACAACACTTGTTGTTGTCAGGTAAGTGTGTGTATTGTTATCTTGTGGATTTAATTTGCATTTTTCTCATGACCAGTGATGTTGAACACTTTTTCAGATGTTTATTCGCAACTTGCTTATCCTCTTATGAAGTGCCTGTTCAAGTCTTTTGCCAGTTTTTTTAAAATTGGGTTTTCTGTTTTTGCCTTATTAGTAGGGTAAGAAAAAATACATATGCAAGTCCTTTGTCAGAAATTGCAAATATGTTCTCACACTCTATGCATTGCCTGTTTATTTCCCTATAAGGTGTCATTTGATCAACAAATGTTTTTAATTTTAATATGGATGACTTTATTAAAAAATTCTCTTTATGGTTAATATGGGAGGTTTTTTTGGTCTTGTTTAAGAAATATTTCCCTTCTTCAAGGTCATTAAGATATTCTCTGTTTTTATCTAAAAGCTTGCTATAGTTATGTATTTATTAATTCATTTTATCTTACACATTTAAATCTGCAATATATCAGGAACTGATTTTGTGAATAGTATGAGGTAGGGCGTCAAGAATCTTTTTTTTTTTCATATGCATATGTAATTGACCCAGCACCATTTATTAAAAAAGGCCAACCTTTTTTCACTGTACCTGATCATCTTTTAATGGGATAAAAGGAAAGCTTGTTAGAAATGACTAGGTGATAGAAAATGGGTTTTTAAACATTTAGGACTCATTAGTTTATTTATTTATTTTTATTTTCAAGGTCCAAGAGGCTAAATGTGAGAATCCAGAATTTGAGAGAAATGTGGAGGTCAGTAAATTCAACATTAGCTATTTGGGTTTAGACTTAGAGCAGTTGGGGGTGGAGCATAGCCTAAATATGAGCTGCTTTGAGAAAAACAAATTACGTTGTTCCGTGAGTTATTGACAATTTTTTCGAAAAGTCAAAGATAATTTGAATTGCAATCCAAGTCTTAATCATAGACAGAATTTGGCAGATAATTGTATTATGATTCAATAACAGTGAAAAAGAATAAACTGGTAATATTCCTTGTGTATTTTTATTTTATGCCTAAGAATACATCTTGTTTCATGGTCCCTGGTGTTCTTCCTGATACTTTGAACACAGTCAGAATAAGAGTCAAAACAAATAAGTTATGCTATGAGGATGACAAACTCTGGAGTAATTGGAGCCAAGAAATGAGTATAGGTAAGAGAACAGAATTTTTATTAAAATTTAAAACACTGATGTATAAAAACTAAGCTGAAGCAGAAAATAGACTGGGGAAAGGGACTGTCATGCTCTCTTGATGTCAGGAAAAGAGTACTTACAATTGAAATTTATTTTCTTCTTAATCACTTTCAAACCACCCAGGGTTAATTGACAGTATACAGTTATTTAGAAAACCATAATCCAAATGGTTTTATGTTCTTTTCTATCTCATTTCCATTTTTATTAACAAACTGAACAAAAATATAGAAAGCAGGCATAGGCTGCACACAGTGACTCACGCCTGTGATCCCAGCACTTTGAGAGGCTGAGGCAGGAGGATCGCTTGAGCCCAGGAGTTGGAGACCAGCCTGAGCAACATGGTGAAACCCCATCTCTACAAAAAATACAAAAATTAACCAGATATGGTGGTGCACGCTTGTGGTCTTGGCTACCCAAGAGGCAGAGATGGGAAGATCTCTTGAGCCTGGGAGGCGGAGGTTACAGTGAGCTGAGATTGTGCCACTGCCCTCCAGCCTGGGCGACAGAGTGAGACCGTCTCAAGGAAGAAGAAAAAAAAAAGGCAGGCATAATAAAATTTGCACATTGTACAATACTAGAGACTGTCCTACATGCTGGTTGGCAGAAACAAGAGTGGAGCCATTTAATAGAAACCTGTACCTAAGTTTGAAAAAAATCATTTATTAATTGAAAGGCTGAGCAAGCTAGGCTCAAGTACAGGACTGGAAAGACCTGTGCTTTATGGATGTGTGTGTGGTGGGGTGGGATACACGGCTTTATAAGTGCAATGTGACTCAACATTGTAATCTTAAATGTGTCAAAAAGGCATATACAATCTTAGGAGTGATAAGTGCAGCACCCAGAAAGGAATGCTGCAGGTTGGGGCACAGAGCTATGGTCACATCAGAATTGTGCAGTATTCCATTCTGAGCACCACATTAAAGGAGTTGCCTTGGCAGACTGGAATCTATCCTTGAAAGGATAATCAGGATGTTGAAGAATCTCAAAACTTGGCAAGGAACAATTGGTAAAGTAACTTTGAGGAGTCATGATTGCTGATTTCTAATATTTGAGG
Organism: Homo sapiens; assembly: GCF_000001405.40. Lineage (NCBI taxonomy): Eukaryota > Metazoa > Chordata > Mammalia > Primates > Hominidae > Homo > Homo sapiens. The sequence continues at coordinate 118,768,073 of NC_000023.11, forward strand.
TATTGTCAGGTACAAGAAGGAATAGGCTTTACTTTTTGTGTCTCCAAGGGGCAACACAGAACCAACTTAAGAACTTTTTAAACAGCTGTATATTGGTCAAACAGGTTGTCGAGGTAGCCAATTCCCTATTAATTGAGAAGCTCAACAAGTTATGTGCCAGGCATGGTTGTATTCGTTTATTTATTGTTGTATAACAAATTACTCCAAAGTTTAATGGCTTGAACCAACATACATTTACCATCTCACAGTTTCGGTGAGTCAGGAGTCTAGCCACGGCTTAGCTGGAGGTCTCATGAGGTTGCAGTCAAGCTGCAATGAGAACTGAAATATGTCTGAAGGCTTGACTGGGGACAGAGCATCCATTTCCAAGTTCACTCATATAGTTGTTGGAAAGCCTCAGTACCTCACTGGTTGCTGGATGGAGGCTGTTGCAGGTTGAATTGTATCTCCCAAAAAGGTATGTTCGTAGGTTCCAACCCCGGTACCTGTGAATGTAACCTTATTTGGAAATAGGATTTTTGCAGATATAATCAAGTGAGGATGAGGTCATGCTGGATTAAAGTGGACAGTTAATCTAATGACTAGTATCCTTATAAAAAGAGAAGCCACACAGAGACACACAGACACACAGGGAAGAAAGCCATGTGAAGATGGAGGCAGAGATTGCAGAGATGCAGCTACAACCAAGGAACAACAAGGATTCCCAGGAGCTACCAGAAGCTAGGAAGAGGCAAAGAGGGATTCTTCTCTAGAGCCCTCAGAGGGAGCATAGCCCTGCTGACACCTTCATTTTGGATTTCTAGCCTCCAAAACTGTGAGATAATACATTTCTGTTGTTGTAAGCCATTCAGTTTGTGGTAATTTGCTTCCCTTAGTTCCTTGCCACTTGGACCTCCCCATAGGGCTACTTCCTGACATGGAAACTGGCTTTCCCAAGTGAGTAATCCAAGCAAGAAACAGTGTGAGAGAACACGCAATATGGGAACCATGGTCTTTTATAACCTAACCTTAGAAATGACATCCCATTACTGCTGCTGTTCTGTTTTTTAGAAGTGAGTCAATTAGTCTAGCCCATGCTCAAGGAGAGGGGATTACACCAGGGAATGAATATCAGGAGGCAGGAATCATGTGGAGAAATCTTAGTGACTGCCTAAAACAATGGTGCCAGGCCTTGATGATGCTTTCTAGATGTTCATGACCTAGTGGGAAAAATGAATTTGTATATAGACAAATGACAGTCTATATGTTAGATGTAGCAAGGCAGGCTTTGGAATTGGACAGTGGAACTGGAATTTGAGGCCTGATGCCATTATTTACTAAATCCTTCCGGATGACTTACTAAACCTCTCTGAGCCTTATCTTTCTCATCTGCTTAAATGGGAGATAATGCTATCATTATAGCATATATATGAGATAAGCATGCAAAACCACCTAGTGTGGTATCAGACATATAGTAGGTGCTTATTTAAGAATAATAGTAGTTGTTAGGATTATTTTAGGTATTTTAGTAGTGGTAAGTAACCAGTAAAATATGTAGTCACTGTTAATAAGATTACATATTTAATATAGCATCTTTGTTAATAGTATTTAAAACTAGTTAAGATCTTCTGATTTACCTGAGCGGGTGGGGAAACCCACCCCATGAGCATCCCCTGGGCTCACCCAGTGCACAGAGGGAGGCCTCCCGTGGCTGGGCCCCTCTCAGTCAGCCCATGTGGCTGCCATGACCTGGAGCACCACAGCCGGGGGCGCCCACCAGCTCAACACCACCACATTCACGTGGCAGCACCTCCCTGCCTGGCAACCGCTGCTGTTGGCCAGCATTAGGCTGCAGCTCTTCTTCTACGTGGGCCTGGCCTTCATCAGCCTGGACCTCTATTACTCCTCCACCAGCATCAAGGAGCTGGAGTACAACTACACCGGCGACCCGGGCACCAGCAACTGCTCGGTGTGTGCTGTGGCTGGCCAGGGCTGTGTGCCACTGCCCATCTGCTCATGCGCCTGGTACTTCTCACTGCCTGAGCTCTTCCAGGGCCCTGTGTACCCCTACTACGTGCTGACCAACTTCTACCAAAACAACCGGCGGTATGGAGTGTCCGCGACAACGCGCAGCTGAGCGGGCTGCCCAGCACGCTGCACCATCCAGTCAATGAGTGCACCCACTGCGCCGCCTGCCCATCGTGCACCCTGCAATGTCATCACCAACAGCCTCTTCAACGACTCCTCGCTGTGGCACCAGTGCTGGCCCGGCGAGCCCTACGTGGAGGTGCCGCGCTACCGCACTGCACCTGCATCACCCGGTAGACCAACTACCCCATCAAGTTCTGCAACCCACCACTGGTCAACGGCAGCCTGGCACTGGCCTTCCATGGCACAGCACCCCTGCCCAACTGGCGCTGGCTGGTCTACGACAAGCTCAGCCCCATCCCCAACAACAACGGCTTCATCAACCAGGACTTCGTGGTGTGGATGCGCATGGCAGCGCTGCCCACGTTCCGCAAGCTGTTCCGCAAGCTGTACGGGCACATCCGCCAGGGCAACTACTCAGCTGGGCTGCCGCGGTGTGTCTACTGTGTCAACATCACCTACAACTACCTGGTGCGTGCATTTGGCGGCCACAGGCTCCGCATCTTCAGCAGCATCTTGTGGATGGGTGGCAGGAACCCCTTCCTGTGCATCGCCTATGTGGTGGTCAGCTCCCTCTGCATCCTTACTGGCTTTGTCATGCTGGTCATCTACATTAGCTACCAGGACCTACCAGAAAGATGATGACAATGAGGAGGAGGGGTGATTCCAGCTTTCCAACGACCCTTCCTGCTTCTTACCAAAATTCTGCAAGCTTTTTTCAGTCTCTCCCCTTTGCCTCTCATCCTATTCCAACCTCTCCTCACTTTTCCTCCCTTTGTGAATGAGGGGGCCAGAGAAGGGAATTACCCACTTACTCTTGGGGGCTGCTAAACTCTGTTGCCTGGTGGCGGAGGGTTGACTGCAGAGTGAAACATCCTTGCAAACTCTCCCCACCTCCTTCATGATGCTGAGATGCCATGTTAGGTTCTCCAAGTCCAAGAGTGGAAGGGATCCTTATAGAGACTCATTTTCAACCCCTACCAGAGGAAGAGATTGAGAGACCTAGCAACATCAAATAACTCAATCAAGATCAGGCAGCTGGCAAGTGGTTCCTGACGCTAAGGCTAGAGCTTTTGCCACTACAGTACAGTGGTTTTCTTTTCTTTGTGGGGAGGGTGGGTTGGGATGGAGAGTGAGACCCACAAATTATCTGCAGAGGCATGGAGGGGTGTGGGAGAACATATTTGTTAAATATGCAGATAGATGAGGAGGCACCAACCCCAGAGATTCTGACACAGTAATGCTGGGGTGAGATGCTTGAAACTGTGTTTTAACAAACTCCTCTGGAGATTCCTGTATTCTCTCAAATTTGGAAATCACTACCCTGAACCTGGTTGGGCCTGAAGCAGTCACCTGAGTCCAGTTTTTCAGATAGTAATTTGTTCCCAGGGACAGTGACACCATAATGTTGCAGGTTTGGTCTGGCACTCTGCCTTAAATATAGTATGCTCTAATGACTTGTGGAATGAATTTTTAAAAAATCACTATCTCTGGGCTGGGCGCCATGGCTCATGCCTATAATCCCATCACTTTGGGAGGCTGAGGCGGGTGGATCACTTGAGGTCAGGAGTACAAGACCACTCTGGCCAACATGGTGAAACCCTCTCTCTACTGAAATATAAAAATAAGCTGGGCATGGTGGCAGATGCCTGTAGTTCTAGCTCCCGGGAGGCTGAGGCAGGAGAATCGCTTGAACCCGGGAGGCGGAGGTTGCATTGAGTCGAGATCGTGCCACTGCACTCCAGCCTGGGTGACAGAGTGAGACTCTGTCTCAAAAAAATTAAATTAAAAAAAATCACTATCTCTGGAAAACTAGTTGGTGTACAGATTTGTAGGCCAGGGTTTGTGTCGATTTATTTGATATTTTAGTATAACAGCAAACAGGCAAACTTTACCAGATACTGTGTAGAAATTTGAAAATGTGAGGCCAGTTTGTACAGTTCAGAGGGAATGCTTTTTAACTGTAGAATCAGATAGCTGGAAGGGATCTTTGAGGGAAAGTAATTTCCCTAGTCACATCTATGTCTCCTGGCTCAGTCTTCTTTGTCATTTAATCTGTGTGTGTGGGTGTGTGCGTGCGCACACGTGCGTACTTACAAAGGGCTTCATTCATACCTTTTCTCTTGGATCTGGAAAAAATTTTTTTATGTTTTCCAATGAGATACATTTGTAGTAATCATATTTGAAACAATGCTAAGGTATATATAGTCTTATATGTAAACTAGAATCTTAACATTATTTGAATCTTGGAGATAATGTTAAAAGTCTTAGCTAAAATGATTCCATTGATTTTATCGATTGACTAACATCAATCAATATGTTTAAAGTTATTCTAAGAAGCAATATTTTTATTTAAAAAAACCTTTCTTTCATGGCAAAATAGCTTAAAAGAACTTTAAAAAAAAACCCTATGTGATATGTTCCAGTTTATTTGCTAAAAGCAAACAGTTATTTGGTATTTGTCAGACAGAATTCTTCAGTACCTGCTTTCTATTATAGCTATTTTCCAGTTACCACTCATTCGTTTATACTCCTTCCTTTAAAGCAGCACAAGATCTTGAAGTTTTTTTTTTATCAGTTAAGAAATATTGGATTGTATTGGATAGTATACATAGTTTAGTCTGTTAGTTCTCTGAAAGTTACTGAACAATGGACAATGTGCATGTCACTGACATCCGTCTCAGATCTTCTGGGACAACTATGATTTAAGAGATTCTATCTCATTATTACAGATACCAAAAAAATACTTGGGTAATTCCAGTGTGTTGGCTTTCCAACTCCTGAACACTACACAATTTTATTATCAGTTTTTGTATGGTGATTTTAGGCTATGAAAACATTATTTTATGTACATAGAGAAATTTTTATTATGAATGTTTGAGCTCACTAGCCCAGCCCTCCTCTATTTTGAAAAAGAGAGTTTACTACATTTTTTACTATGTAGTTGAAAACAACATGTATTTTGTCATTTTTAGAATGGTCAGTCTATTTCTATAAAATTTTAAATGTGGCTGGGCGCAGTGGCTCATGCCTGTAATCCCAGCAATTTGTGAGGCTGAGGCGGACAGAACACTTGAGGTCAAGAGTTTAAGACCAGCCTGGCCCAAATAGGGAAACCCCGTCTCTACTAAAAATACAAAAATTAACTCGGTGTGGTGGTGTGCGCCTGTAGTCCCAGCTACTCAGGAGGCTGAGGCAGGAGAATCTCTTGAAACATGGAGGCGGAGGTTGCAGTGAGCCAAGATCGTGCTATTGCACTCCAGCCTGGGTGACAGAGTGAGAGACTCTGTCTCAAAACAAACAAACAAACAAAAGTTTAAATGAGACCATCAAATTTAAGGGATTCTGATCCAGATTAAATTAATGAATATGGTTCCAGGTCCTAGTCTCTGAGTTTTTGAAAGAGAATAAAGCTTATGTTTGTCTTTTAAAAAATATCCTAATTTCAGGTAATCTTTTAGGTATTTGCTCGCCTAGGGAAGTTCAGGCACCAGAGGAGGACTTTTTTTTTTTAAACTATTAATTTAACAGAAGATAAGATAATTGAAGAGCTTGGGAAAATAGGTTGGGGGAGGGAGCAGAAATATTTGTGATCTTACTAGCTAACAGAATTGCTGCTTGGTTTATTACTAAAAGGGTTTTATTTCTCAAGTCTTTCTGTTTGCTTTTCATTCTCCAGGTAAGAAGCGCAATTCCACACTCTACATAACCATGTTACTCATTGTTCCAGTCATCGTCGCAGGTGCAATCATAGTACTCCTGCTTTACCTAAAAAGGTAAGGTAGCTGCCCAGGCAGGTTTTGCAGTTTCTGATAGCCTGTTTGCTGTGGTTATTACTTTTAGTGCTTGTGTTTTATGTCTGCCCAGTGTATTAGAAGCATGTTGCCTGTAAGTGGCTTTCGGGAGTATGACATGACAAGGAAGTATTACCACGCCCACTTTCTTTTCTTTTCTTTTTTTTTTTTTTTTCCTGAGATGGAGTCTCTGTTGCCCAGGCTGGAGCGCAGTGGTGTGATCTCGGCTCACTGCAGCCTCCACCTCCTGGGTTCAAGCAATTCTCCTGCCTCAGCCTCCCGAGTAGCTGCGATTACAGGTGCCCACCACCACGCCCGGCTAATTTTTTGTATTTTTAGTAGACAGGGTTTCACCATGTTGGCCAGGCTCGTCTCAAACTCCTGACCTCAAGTGATCCACCCTCCTCAGCCTCCCAAAGTGCTGGGATTATAGGCATGAGCCACTGCACCCAGCCGCTATGCCCACTTTCTAATGAAAACCATGTTGGATTAGTTTTCCAGGGCTCCCTGCTCAAGCACTGCTGCCTTTGCATGTGTTTAGGATTGTTGAATAGGTCCTATGTTCACATAATACTCTTTCAAATGCCTAATCTATCAAGTTAGTCAGTAGTTCTTAGAATGAAGTTTTAGAAATGGAGACCTTTACTAATAAAATGACTTGTCTGGTATTAATGCAAAGTAGGCTACTACTTAATATTGTGGGAAAGAGAACTTCATCAAGTTGTCATGAATGTATGGTATCCATTCCTTGAGAATATTTTATTTTCTCTATCTCATTATAGGACTGTTATTTGCTCTTGTAGTAAATAACTAAGGTTGAAATAAGGTTATTAAGTTGGATCCAGAACCAATATTTTATCATTATTTCAACATTTATTCAACATATATATATACTCTCTCTATATATGTATATTTTTTGAGTGCCTATTTGTGAACCAGGTACTGTTCTAAGTGCTAAAGTTACAGCAGTGAACAGGACAAAGTCCTCATCTACATTCTAGAGGGAAAGATACACACATGCACATACACACACACACACAAAATAAATAATAAATACTATAATTTCACTTAGAAGTATAATTGACAGTAGTGGGGTATGGCTAGGAGGTGATAGGAGGTGCATTTTATGTAGGATGTCACCAAGAAAGTGACATTTGAGGAGAGACTCCCAGTAATGTAAAGGAGTGAATCATTCAGATATTCGAGGAAAGAGCACTCCAGGCCATGGGAACAGCAAATGCAAAGTCCCCAAGGCTGAAATGCACTTGGTTTGTTTGGCTGGAGTGGAGAGTGCAGGGTAGAGAGTGGCAGCGAGGGAGGACAGAGGTTGGCCAACCACATCACGCAGGCCATGGCAAGGAACTGAGATTTTATTCTAAGCATGATGAGGAGCATTGGAGAGTTTTGAGCAGAGTAGGCACATGGTCTGAGTTACTGTCATAAAGGATTATTGTAGTTGCTGAGTGAAGAACTGACTTGGGCAAAAGTGGAAGCCGATGGAGTAGTTCGGAGGCATTGCAGTGTTTTGGCAGAAAGATGAGGATAACCTATACTAGGGGGTTAGCAATGGAGATAGCAAGAAGTGGTCAGAAATAGTATATATTTTGAGAGTAGAATTGATAAGACTTGCTGTTAGTTGCCTGTCTGTGGAGGTGTGAAGGTAATTAAGGATTCAGAGATACCTCTTAGATTTTTGGCTTGAGCAACTGAGTGAATGCTGGTGCCATGTACTGAGACAGAGAAGGCTGTGAGGAGAGCTGGGTTTGAGGGAAAGATAAGGACTTCAGTTTTGCATATGTTAAGTTTGAGATGCTTATTAGATATCCAAATAAGGATGTTAAATAAGCGATTTTGTGCATGAATCTGGAGTTGAAGGGAGAGGTCTGGGCTGAAGATCTAATTTTGGGAATCCTCGGCATGTGAATGGATTTAAAGCCTAAAGACCGAAAGGAGTGCTCATAAAGTGAATGAGATAGACAAGAAGACAAAAAACTGAATCCTGGGGCACATCCATGGACACTCACTGGGAGATGGAGGCAAGCTATAAGATTGAAAAATGGAGAGAAGTAGGAAGGAAAAAGAAACAGAGGAATGTATCCTGTTCTCAGATTATTCTTTTCAAAATTATACAGAGCAAGCGCCCATCTGGTCTGTTAAAAGTAGAGTAGCATATTATTTAGATGATAGGGTATAAGTAATTCATTTATTCTGATGGTCCCTGTGCTCCACCTATGGGCAAGAGTAGAACTTAATGCCCTTAGAACATTGATTTTTGTGTACCCTATTTTAGAAATTTCTTCACAACTGCCTTGTCAATAAAGATGACTTGTGTACCATGTCTTTTGTCCATGCCTTCTTTTAATATGGTGGTATTTATGTGGGACACTCCTATGGACTGGAAGGTTTGAATCAAATGTCTCTGTTTTCTTAAAGGCTCAAGATTATTATATTCCCTCCAATTCCTGATCCTGGCAAGATTTTTAAAGAAATGTTTGGAGACCAGAATGATGATACTCTGGTAAGAACAGATTTCATGGGGCTTGAAATGTTTTTTTTTTTTTTTTTTTTTGGAAGCTATGGCATTTTTTAAAAAAGTGTGGTAAGGTATCCATAACATAAAATTTATTATTTTAAGCATTTTTAAGTATACAGTTCAGGCTGGGTATGGCAGCTGACGCCTGTAATCCCAACACTTTGGGAGGCTGAGGCAGGAGGATCACTTGAGCCCAGCAGTTTGAGACCAGCCTGGACAGCATGCCACTGCACCCAGCTAATTTTTATATTTTTTTGCGAGATCTCATTTCCACAAAATATATAAAAATTAGCCGGGTGCAGCGGCATGCACCTGTGGTCCCAGCTACTCAGGAGATTGAGGTGGGAGGATCCCTTGAGCCCAGGAGTTCAAGGTTGCAGTGAGCCATGATCATGCCACTGCATTCCAGCCTGGATGACAGAGCGAGACTCTCTAAAAAATAAAATATATATGTGTGTATATGTGTGTGTGTATATATATATATATATATATATACACACATACAGTTTAGTGTCATTAAATACATTTATAAGTTGTACAACCATCGCCACTATCTCTTTCCAGAAATTTTTCATCATCCCAAATAGAAACTGTGGCTGTTAAACAATAATTCCCCATCCCCTCATTCCTCCCACCCCTGGTAGCCTCTATTCTACTTCTTGTCTCTATGAATTAAATATTCTAGATACCTCCTATATGTGAAATCATGCAATAATTTGTCCTTTTGTGTCTGGCTTATTTCATTTACCATAATGTTTTAAAGGTTCATTCATGTTGTAGCATGTATCAGAATTTCCTTTTGAAATTGGTTCTTCTAAAGTACAATTTATTTTTAAAAATTTGAAGGAGAGCTGATTTAAAATATAGTATCTGAGGCCAAGCATACCAGTTAAAAAGTCTTCAGAATACTTTGCTCATCTTATATAACTGGGCTCCATTCTCTCTCTGGTTAGGAGACATATTTTATCAAAACATGCAGGAAGAAGGGCCTCCTTTATGAAGCTAGCCTAATGAGCAGGCCTTCTGACTCTTGGATAATTTAAAAAACTTGATGTGGGGAAATATAAACATAGGGTAAGCAATTGAAATGCATTGTGTTCATGTTGTTTCTTGGAAGGCTAGACTCCAAAGATATAGAAATGGAGCAGCCCTACCCCAACTGTTATAGTTGGTTTCCTGCAGATTCTCATGCTAGAATTTGTGGCCAGAAAACCTAAGACATTATGGGAACAAAAGGGTTTGAGGCTTCTAACTTTAGTTGGATTTATCATCCACCCTACTGAAATAATAAAGACACTAAATGAAATAAATATTATTATCATTGTGTATATCTTAAAGGAATAATAACAAGCATAGGGCAGTTAATTTAGGGAAGTAGTACTGCATAGTAGATAATAGCCTGATTTCTGGAGTCAGATTGTCTGGATTCATATCCCTGCTGTGTCATTTACCATCTTTTTGACCTTGGATAATTTTCTTAGCTTCTCTGTGACTCAATTTTTTCATTAGTAAAATGGAGGTAACAATAGCACCTGCCTCATAGTGTTGTTATGTGGATTAACTTAATACCCAACAGTTAATTGAATGGAAACTGCTTAGCCTACCTGGTACCTTGTAAGTGCTTAATAAGTGTTAGTGATTAGTATTACTATTGATAATAATTTATTTTTATCTTTAATTCCCAAATAATTATTGTAATAATGGGTGATTCTCAATGGTAGTGATGATATTTGGTTAGGGAAGGAAGGCAGAGAGGCAAATATGCTATCAGAAGAGGATTCATTTGGATCACTTTTTAACCAGGTCATCTTCACAGACAGTAGATAACTCTGCCAGACCCTGGGAGTCAGGGCATGTAGACCCAGAAGTTAGGTACCTGATGAGGAAATTGTATGCCGTATCTGGAGCGAGTATGATAGCTATGGTTCTCCAACTTTAGTTGAGTCACAGTCAACTGGAGTGCTTACAAGAAATACAGATTTCTGGACCCTACTTCCAATTCCCTGACCTGACCTGATTTGGCAGGTCAGGGACGAGTTCTAGGACTCTGCATATTTAATAGGAGCCCACAGATGATCCCTGTCCTGCTAAGAGAGTCTGTGGACCACACTTTGAAAATCAGTGATAAAGATATTTACCCCTGTCTCTTACTTCATTTCACCAGCTGTGATAGATGCTGGAGGTTGGGAATTGTACAAGTACCCTAACAACTTTCACCAGCTATTGAAAGTCTACTATGTGTCAGACAATGTATTAAGTGCTTTGCCTATATTACCTTATTGAATCTTCATAACCACCCTATGGAGAAGATGCTGTTGGTATTATTTTACAGATGAGGAAATGGAGCCCCAATGAGGTTAAGCAATTTAGCTGCAGTCACACAGCTAGTTGGTGGTAAGGTAGAATTTGACCCAGGGCTGTCTTAATGCTAGACTTCTCTTGGTCTTTCTACTAGGCTGCATTGCCTCTTGTAAGATAGAATGCTTGTTCTGAAGAACCTCACCATCTTCTAAGACATCTGTATGACAGAAGTAGAGGGTTGGCATAGGGGATTTCTGAGAAAAAGATTTAGGGTTGTATTATGAATAGCTTTAAATGGGAAGATATTGGCATGTCTTGTATATATTAATGGCACTTTTCATGCACTGCTGGTGGGCCTGTAAAATGATAGATATCCTTTCTGGAGGGCAAACTGGTAAAATGTAACAGGAATCTTTGAGCCTATGATTATACTTTTAGGAACCAATTTTGAGGAAATGATCCAACAATGGCACAAGAGTGGTCAATGCGGCATTTGCTTTTAACATGAAAAATTAGAAGCCAATGAAACATAACAATTGAGAATTAGTTTAAAAAAATATGTTAGGTTTTCAAAGCATTTAATGTTATAACAAAATACTCAAAATACAGGAGTAAGAAACTTACCATAAACATGTAGTATATTACAATCATAATTTTTATCAAAAATGCATTAATATATACATAGAACGAGGGGAAGGAAATGGGTCCGAATGAATGATCATTTCTAGGCAAAGGGATTGTGGGTAACTGATATTACTCTCTCTCTACCTTTCTAAAATTTCCAGATTGCCTATAGTGAGCATGTACTACTTTTATAATAAAAGAAACCCTGTACAAGTCATTAAGGGAAAAAGAAAATACTGTAGTCATCCAGGTCTGAGAGATAATAGGAACTTGAACTTAGGTGGTAGCAGAGGAGATTGACGTAAGAGACATTATTAAAGGAAATCAACTCATTATGACTTGGTGAGTCTGTGTGGGTGATGAGAGGTAGGGAGAGTAAAAAATAATTTCAAGTTTTCAAGTCTGAGTAATAGAGTGAATGATGGTAACATTGACAGCAAAATCAGATCAATTATCTTTCTCAGAGATGGGAAAATTGCTTTTTTCAATTTGCTGTCTAGAGGATAATATGTTGTTTTTGTCCCGATGAGTCAGATAATTCTGTAATTTGGTGACGCAAATATACTGACAATATGGACCATTAAAAGCACAAGGTATTTTTGTTTTGTCCATTGCAGACCATTAAACAAAATCAGTTCTTTAAAACTAAAAGTATAATAAAAATTCCAGATATGGGGAAGGGTAAGAGAACAAATTTTTATGTCGGCTTTTAACCAAATGAAAAAAATCTGCTTTCTTCACATGGCATCAATTCTCACAAATTGAACTGCATATGCTGCATACTCTTTTACTTCTAGCATCATTGAATTATTGAATGAACATAGCCCTAGAGGTCATCTAATGAGGTGGATGTTGACATGTTTAATTATTTCCCTTTAATTATAAATGTTCAAAACTCGAGATTCTCACTCATCTCCCTCTCTTTAGAGATGGGGACATGAGGAGCCACAGAGAAGTTTCTCAAGGACTGTCACTGTGTTAAGCCAATCTTGTATTGCTATAAAGACATACCTGAAACTGGGTAATTTATAAATAAAAGAGGTTTAATTAGCTCATGGTTCTGCAGGCTTCACAGGAACTGTGGTGCCAGCATCTGCTTCTGGTGAGTATCTCAGGAAGCTTACAGTCATGGTGGAAAGTGAAGGGGGAGCAGGCATCTTACGTGGTGAGAGTGGGAACAAGAGGGGGTAGGAGGTGCCATACACTTTTAAACAGCTCTTATGAGAACTCACTGTTGTGATGACAGCATTAAGCCATGAGGGATCCACCCCTATGACCCAAACACTTCCCACCAGGCCACACTTCCAACGTTGGGGATTACAATTCAGTATGAAATTTGGCAGGGACATATATCCAAACTGTCAGTCACATAGAGAGGCAACTGCAAAACCTGGACTAGAACCCATATAGCCCAAAGTTACCAACTTCCAATCCAAATAAATAATCTTGTCCTTTTTTAAACACTGTCTTCTTCCACACTGCACCATTAATAGTTGTTCTTATAAAAACTTATTTAGTTATGGCCATGAATAAGTTAAATCTTCAGTATAGTTTTCCTTAAAGTTACTCGTGTTTTGATGATGTTTTGTTCATTACTATAGTAATGTTTTGGCCAACAGCATTTCTTTCTGTTGCTTTGCTATTTGCCTTTTCCTTGTGACTAATTGGGCTTCTGGCCATATTGAGGGGAGGTAAGGGGAGTTGCAGAGGGAATTGCTTCTCCTCTCTATCTGCATTTCTCTTATCCATAAAAAAAAAATCTGTCCTCCCCCTGCTTCTTGGAAACCAATTCTTATTTTCAGCATTGTGCCATTTTTATATTCTTGTTCAGAAAGGAGCTTTTTAAACATGGGGATAACATCCAAATACTGCTGATTGTTATTTTTTACTTCAGTGTGTATCTTTTTTTTTTCCTTTTTGAGATGGAGTCTCATTCTATCACTCAGGCTGGAGTGCAGTGGCACGATCTTGGCTCACTGCAAACTTTGCCTCCCAGGTTCAAGTGATTCTCCTGCCTCAGCCTCCCGAGTAGCTGGGACTACAGATGGTGCCACCATGCCTGGCTAATTTTTGTAATTTTAGTAGAAATGGGGTTTTGCCATGTTGGCCAGGCTGGTCTCGAACTCCTGACCTCAGGTGGTCCGCCCGCCTTGGCCTCCCAAAGTGCTGGGATTACAGGCGTGAGCCACCACGCCCAGCCTCAATATTTATCTTTAAAAGCTAAGAATGCTTTCCTACATAGCCAAAATAGCATTACTGTACTTTAAAAATTATTAATTCCTTAATTTCATCTAATACTCAGTCCATATTCAAGTATTTCCAACTGCCCAAATTGTCAGGAGACAGATATTATCCAGTCATCTCACCACTGACCACTAAGACAGTGGTTGAGATTGACCACTATATTTAAGGTGATACAACAGCATGTCCCCTCCTGCCATCTGCACTTATTTCCCCATTGCTTCAACACAGATAATCTGTGTAGTGTTATGCTAGCACCTTGTCAAGTCTTCAGCTAATGCTTTTTACATCAGTTGATATCCTTGCTTGAATCAGTAATTTCCTTAGGGGTTGGGTTGAATATTACAGTTTTTCTCTTTCTATCATTTCTACATTTACTTTTCTTTTTTTTTTCTTTTGAGACAGGATCTTGCTCTGTCACCGAGGCTGGAGGGCAGTGATGCAACCTCTGCTCACTGTAGCCTCGACCTCCTGAGCTCAAGCAGTTTTCCTGCCTCAGCCTCCTGAATAGCTGGGACTATAGTCACGTGCCACCACACTCAGCTAATTTTTAAATTTCTTTTGTAGAGACAAGGTCTCACTATGTTGCCCAGGCTGGTCTTGAATTTCTAGGCTCAAGCGATCCTCTTGCCTCAGCCTCCCAAAGTGCTGGGACTACAGGCATGAGTCACCGTGCCTGGCCCATTTCTACACTTATTAGCTGACAGGTATCTATAAAGCGCTGCTTTCAGTCATCAACTGAGCTCTTTAGTTGTTCTGAAATTCAGTTCCTACTAAAAAGGCAAGATGCATATTTAATCATTTCCCTTTATTTATCCATTAAGGTGAGGAGTTGGATTAATAGACACCTCATAGTACCAAGTTATTCCTCTCCATACCACCACATTCAACTTGGTGTTTTTTTGTTTTTGCTTTTTTTTTTTGAGACAGCGTCTCACTGTGTTGCCCAGGCTGGAATATAGTGGTGCAAACATGGTTCACTGCAGCCTCAACCTCCTGGGCTGAGGCAATCTTCTGATCTCAGCCTCCCAAGTAGCTGGGAATACAGGTGTGCACTACCACGCCCAGCTAATAATTTTTTTTTTTTTTTGTATGAATGGGCTTTTGCCATGTTGCCCAGGCTAGTCTCAAACTCCTGGGCTCAAATGATCTGCCTGCCTTGGCCTCCCAAAGTGCTGGGATTACAGGCATGAGCTACCGTGCTGAGCCTCAACTTGTTCTTTTTCAAGTTGCAATGATTTTAAGGTGTGGAGATCTACAATTCATTTTGTATAACTTTCTGTTTTGAATGATAATCTGAAGAGAGACTGGGGCATGAAATAGGTAGACTTGTATACCAAAGGCCAGTGTTTTTGCATGGGGCTAAGGTACATGAAGCTCACTTCACTTCTGTAGACAATCCACTCTGGAAAATATCTTAACCAAATCTTGAAAGTAATCTTAAGTTGAGACTTGATATTTCATTGTACTACCAAATTTATGCCTTTAAATTATAAAAACCTATATAACATGCCGTTTTTCTAGGCTCACATAATTACCAACTAAAAGCCAGTTGTGTAAGCCCCCTAATCACTGATTTTCTTCATCTATGATGTTTTTCATCTTTGGCCATTACTCTGTTGTTGATTACTTTGTTTTTAAAATTGGCAGTAAGGATTGAATTTTGGGCTGGTAATTGTGTGGATTTGTTTATTTTTTTCTACAAGTGGTTTTAAAATTAGACAGGCATATAATTCACAGAATTGAATAATAGGAAAGAGCCATTGCATTTATTTCTTTTACCTTACATGGACATATTCATAGAAGCAGTACTCAGGAAAAGGCCACTGTGTTGATAAAGGGTGGAAATGAGAGTAATTCAAATTTTGGGGATGAAAAAAGGCAATCAGAAAGATTAATGTATTCTGAGAAGCCCTTTCTGTTGTAGTGTTCACCTCATTAAAACAAATTGCTTTTTTCTTGTCCAGCACAGCCAAGTGTTGGTCTAATGACCGGAAACAAAAGTAATTTTCAGGGTGCATTTTTAATAGTTATACAGTTTTTATTTGTGAAAAATCCATATTACACACACACACACACACACTTCACCACTATACATTCATGCATTTTTTAAATTAAAACTTTTTTTTTTTTTCTGATCACTTGGGAGGATGAGGCAAGCGGATCACCTGAGGTCAGGAGTTCGAGACCAACCTGGCCAACATGGTGAAACCCCGTCTACTAAAAATACAAAATTGACCAGGCATGGTGATGCATGCCTGTAATCCCAGCTACTTGGGAGGCTGAGGCAGGAGAATCGCTTAAGCCTGGGAGGCGGAGGTTGTAATGAGCCGAGATTGAGCCACTGCACTCCAGCCTGGGCAACAAAAATGAGACTCTGTCGCCAAAAAAAAAAAAAATATATATATATATATATACGTATATATGTATATATATGTATATATATATATATATACGTATATACACATATATACGTATATATATTCTTTTAAAAGCAATATACATTTAGTATAGACAAATTAGAACTACAGATAGTCAAGAGAGAAAGACAAAATCACTCTTAATCCTGTCACCCAGATATAACTATCTTTAATGGTATGTGAACAACATAGGGAAACTGAAATACCTTTAGTGATAAATGGAGTAATAGCAACCACAATAATAATAGTTCATACTTATGGAACCTTTACTATGTGTCTTAATAACACTGTCATATTGAATTGTATTTGAATGTAACAAATGAGAATTAAAAGAATTTCTGAACTTTTGATATAAAATAAATTTTAATGATGATTGAAAAGATATTTTTCCATATGCTCTCCCCATTTGCTCCCCATTTTTATAGTTGTTGAACATCTCCATTGTGTCCTCATATAGAGCCCTCATTTAGTCTTACTTCAGTGTGTGGAGATACACTTGATGCTCACTACCATTTTTTATGTCAACATTGCTCCAGTCATTTGGGTTGTTTGAAGCTGGAAAGTTTTCTCAGGAAGTATTCATGGGACCGGCATTTCCTGAATTATTTACAAATTGATGGAATTTGCTACATTTATCATTGAAAGTCATTTTGGCAAAATATAAAATCCATGGCTCATAGGTCCTGCGTTGCGTATCTTAAATGTGTCATCCATTTTCTTCTGGCATAATATGTTTTGTCAGAGTCAGCAGACAATATAATTTTCCTCCTGTATTAAAACACTTGGTCTTTTTGGCTGGTTGTCAAATGATTTTTTTCTTCAAAGTCCAATAATTTTACCAGAATATGTGTTGGCGTTGTGATTTTTTGCAGTGTATGGTGTGCTTTCTCAGTATGTAATTTTAGATCTTTTTTTTTTTAATTTTAGTAAAAGTTTCTTCACTTACAGATTTTAGTTATTCTCTTCCCATGTTTTCTTTGACCTTTCACATCTTTTTTGTTTTGGCACAGGGTCTTGCTCTGTTGGCTGGGCTGGAGTATGGTGGCACCATGATAGCTTATTGCAGACTCCAACATCTGGGCTCAAGTGATCCTCCCAACTCAGCCTCCTGAATAGCTGGGACAGGCATGTGCCACCATGCCTGGCTAATTTTTAAATTTTTTTTAGAGATGCAGTCTTGCTGTGTTGCCCAGTCTGGTCTTGAACTACTGGCTTCAAGTTATTCCCCCACCTGGAACTTCCAGAGTTCAGGAATTATAGGTGTGAGCCGCTGCACCCAGCCCTTCCAGCCCTTTCACATCCTCTTGAATAATTTTCATCCACCTTCATTTCATTTTTGTTAAAAAATCCTACTTTTTAATCTATTTAAGATCTTATCTGATGATATGTTGTGTTTATTTGCCCTGTGTTTCTTCTAGCTTAGTCTTCAATTTTGAAATGATTATTTTCCTTTACTTTTATTTTGTTTTATTTTTTGAGATGGAGTCTCACTCCATCGCCCAGGCTGGAGTGCAGTGGTGCGATCTTGGCTCACTGCAAACTCCGCCTCCCAGGTTCAAGTGATTCTCCTGCCTCAGCCTCCCAAGTAGCTGGGATTACAGGCACATGCCACCATGCCTGGCTAATTTTGTATTGTTATTAGAGATGGGGTTGCACCATGTTGGCCAGGCTGGTCTCGAACCCCTGACCTCAAGTGATCCACCCACCTTGACCTCCCAAAGTGCTGGGATTACAAGCATGAGCCACTGCGCCCAGCCTTCTTTTACTTTTAATTCTTCTGTGAGTTTTGTCATCCAATTTCTGAGTTGTTTATATTGACTTTTAATATATTCTTCTACATTGATTACTTTTTTTATATCATGTAACTTTTTAAATATACTTCAGCTAGTTTTGAAATATTAGGTTGTAGTTTTCATCTATTTTGTGGATATATCGTTCTGTTATGTTTTAATTCTGTAAGAGTATTATTCTGTGGCTCATTTTTATTTTATTCTTTAATTTTAAACATTTTTTATTTTAAAAATAATTGTCACTTTGGGAGGCTGAGGCAGACAGATCACAAGGTCAGGAGTTCAAGACCAGCTTGGCCAACATAGCAAAACCCCGTCTCTACTAAAAATACAAAAAAATTAGCCAGGCTTGGTGGCGGGTGCCTGTAATCCCAGCTACTTGGGTGGCTGAGGCAAGGAGAATCGCTTGAACCTGGAGGCAGAAGTTGCAGTGAGCCAAGATCACGCCTCTGCACTCCAGCCCGGGCAACAGTGTGAGACTCCATCTCAAAAAAAAAAAAAATTATTATTTTTGTAGAGGTGGGGTTTCACCATATTGCCCAGGCTGGTCTCAAATTCCTGGGCTCAAGCAATCCTCCTGCCTTGGCCTCCCAAAGTGCTGGGATTATAGGCGTGAACAACCACACTTGGCTTCTGTTGTTCATTTTTGTATGAAATCAGTTTCCTGAACTTTTAGAAGGAGGCTTGATTGAGACAAGTTGTTTCTTTCCCTAATTTTATGGCTGTAGAGCTCCATCCTCTAATGAATTACATTCTGAAATCTCCTGGCCCTTTCTGTCTACCTTTCTGCTTTGATCTAGGCTTTCTTTTTTGTCGCTCTTGTCCCTGTCCTGACTAATTTGTAATCCAGTTTCACCAGTTTCTCCTCAGAGTGCAGCTTTGCCCTGGAAGGGATTAAGGATTAGTTTTGAGTTTCTGGAGGCCCAGGCTGCTTTCAGTCTAGACCACGGACTCCTTGCACTCAATCACTGTTTGAAAATGCAAACCCTTCCCTTTATCAGTTGTTCATAAATTTGCTTGCTGAAGTTGAGTTATTTTACAGTTCTCAGATCTATAGGATGCCATGTTGAGTCCGTTTATATACTCTTCCACAGCTTATACCATTTTGGTCCTGTAACTATCTCTAATTTGTCCACATTCACTCTTACTTTGAGGTTCATGGGGGAAATGTTTTCATCTTGTTTTGTTGTAGATTTCATCTTGTGTTGGTAGATTTTGGATTTACTTTCCTATTGGGGGAACCAGCCCCCAATATTTCAACGTAAGTTCTTTTCTATTTTCCCTAAGTGTCAGCCGGTCTGATAAATAAAGGGAAAGAGTACAAAAGAGAGAAATTTTAAAGCTGGATGTCTGGGGGAGACATCACATGTCAGCAGGTTCCATGATGCCCCCTAAGCCGTAAAACCAGCAAGTTTTTATTAGCAATTTTCAAAGGGGAGGGAGTGTACGAATAGGGTGTGGGTCACAGAGATCACATGCTTCAAGGGCAACAAAATATCACAAGGCAAATGGGCAGGGCAAGGTCACAAGGCCAGGGCGAAACTAGAATTTCGCCTGGTTCCTGGTCCTGCTGTGCATGCATTGTCATTGATAAACATCAGGAAACAGGGTTTGAGAGCAGACAACCATTCTGACTAAAATTTACTAGGCAGAAATTTCCTAATCCTAATAAGCCTGAGGGTGCTGCAGGAGACTAGGGCGTGTTTCATCTCTATCTATGACTGCATAAGGCAGACACTCCTAGAGCAGCCATTTTAGAGGCCTCCTCCTGGGAATGCATTCTTTTCCCAGGGCTGTTAATTGCTAATATTCCTTACTGGGGAAATAATTCAGTGATATTTCTCGTACCTGTTTTTGGCAATAAGAGAAATATGACTGTCCTGCCCGGCTCCAGGCAGTCAGACCTAATGGTTATCTCCCTTGTTCCCTGAACATTGCTGTTATCCTTTTCTTTTTTCAAGGTGCCCAGATTTCATATTGTTCAAACACACATGCTTTATGAACAATTTGTGCAGTTAATGCAATCATCACAGGGGCCTGAGGCGACATACATCCTCAGTTTATGAAGATGACGGGATTAAGAGATTAAAGTAAAGATAGGCATAGGAAGTTATAAGAGTATTGATTGGGGAAGTGATAAATGTCTATGAAATCTTCACAATTTATGTTCAGAGATTGCAGTAAAGAGAGGCGTAAGAAATTATAAAAGTATTAATTTGGAGAACTAATAAATGTCCATGAAATCTTCACAATTTATATTCTTCTGTCATGACTTCAGCAGGTCCCTCCGTTCGGGGTCCCTGACTTCACGCAACACTTTCCTATTTATATTTCCAACTTGTGTTTTTTTATGGTGATATTTGGGAATATTCAAAAACGATGCTGCTACCACCATCTTCTTCGCAGAATTTTTCTGCAAACTATAGACCAAGGGGCAAATTCTGCCTGCCACTTGTTTTTGTACAGTCTTTAACCTAAGAATGGTTTTTGTGCTTCTAAATAGTTGGGAAAAAAATGTAAGAATACTATTTCATGGCACATGAAATTAAGATTTCAGTGTCATACAGTTTCGTTGGCCAGGCCCATTCATTTATATATTGTCTGTGGCTGCTTTCATGCTACAACAGCAGAGTTGTTTTATAGGCACAGAGACTATATGGCCCCCGAAGCTGAAAATACTTCTTATCTAGCCATTTTCAGGAAAAGTTAGTCAACCCTGGTCCCCTATAATATAGTTTTTAGTGGCTAAATAATATTCCATTGTGTGCACATATTATAATGTACTTAACAAAATTCCTATTGGCATTTGGATGAATCCTAAATTTCATTGTATAGGCATCATTTCACAGCTAAGTATAAGCATATGTATTAATATTTTATTACTGTCTTAGGATAAATTGTTACAAGCCAAATTGCATGATCAAGGGGGAGGGTATATGTATTTTAAACTCTTTGACTGATACAGGCTGAGTATTCCTAATCTGAAAATCTAAAATCCGAAATGCTCCCAAATCTGAAACTTTCTAACATGACGTTCAAAGGAAATGTTCATTGCAACATTTGGAATTTCAGATTTTTGCGTTAGTGATGCTCAGCTGGTAAGTATATAGTGCAAATATTCCAAAAGCTGAAACACTTCTGGTCCCAAGCATTTTGCATAAGGGATATTCTACCTGTATTGACAAATTGTCATCCAGAAAGGTTGTACAAATTAAATTCCCATTAAGGAAACTGGCTAAATAAGTTATGGTGCATTCATGCAATGAAATATTATGTAGAGGTTAAAATGAGGTAGATCACTTTTACTGATGTATAAAAATATAACATACACTGTTAGGTGAAACACCCAGGTTACATATGGAGAGTATGATTCCTTTGTGTTAAGGAAACTGGGGCATTAAAATGCACAAACAAATTTTTTCATAAGAAGCATAGATTACAACTAAGTTGTGCCAGTTCATATACCTACCAGCAGTATGTTCGACTGGTTGTTTGACCATACTTTTGCCAATATGATATTACCTAATTTTAAAATTCTTGCCAAGTTAATAGATGAGAAAAGAGCGTCTTAATTTTACAGTCAGGTTTTGTACTTTTTCCCAAGTTTATTGGCTTGAATTAATTCTTTTGTGAAATTCTTGTTCCACGTCCATTTTTCCTTGTTGTATTCATCTTTTGGTGGTTTGTAAAGCTCTTTACGTATTAGATATTAACCCTCTGGCTTCTTATCCATGTTTTCCTTTGTATTGTATTTAGGGTGATTAATGATGTACAAAAGGTTTTTCCTTTTTTATGCAGTCAAATCTTCCTGTATTTTTAGGTGTAAAGAGCCCTTTCCACCTTAGATTTATATAGTTGTTCCTCTACATATTTTTCTAGTACTTATTTGATTTTTTTTAACATTGAGATCTTTAATCCATCAGGGATTTATTCATGTAGGCTATGAGGTAGGGTTTAGCATTGTTTTCAAATGCTTATATTACCCACTTGTCTTAGTGTCATTTATTAAATAAGCCATTTTTTCAAGGTTATATAATTTTTTCAAATTGTTTTTATTAGAAATCTATACATTTCACATGTTTTAAAATCAAGTTTGAGGTGTAATTTACAATAAAATTTACTCTTTTTTGAGTGTTCAGTTAGAAGAATGTTAGCAAATATATGCAATTTTGTAACCACTGCTCCATTAAAAATATAGAATATTTCCATCATCTCCTAAAAGTTATCTTGTAGTCCTTTGCAGTCAACCCCCTCTGTTAATCGCCTTGCAAACACTGATCAGTTTTCTGTCCCTAAAGTCTTACAAGATGTCCTATAAATGAAATCACACAGTACATAGCTTTTTGAGTTTGGCTTCTTTTACTCAGCATAATGTGTTTAAGAGACATCCACACTGTGGTGTGTGTCAGTAGTTCATTTCCTTTTATTGCTGAGCAGTATTCTATAATATGGTTGTAACCACAGTTTATTTAACCATTCACTTGTTCAAGGACATCAGAGTTGTATCTAGTTTTTAATCTATTATTAGTGAAAATGCTATAAACATTCATGTAGAAGTCTTTGTGTGACATGTTTTCATTTCTCTTGGGTAAATACCTGGGAGTGGGATTTCTGGGTCATGTGGTAAGTGTATGTGTTATTTTATAACCAAGTGTCAGACTGTTTTCCATAATGATTGCACTATCTTATTTTTACCAACAATACATAGAGATCTAGTTTCTCTGCGTTCTTATGAGCGCTTGGAATTGTCGGTATTTTTAATTTTAGCCATTCTAGTAGGTGTGTCAGGGTTATATAATTTGTTTAGAATAATTTGCATATTTTGAGCAGTGTTTCCCAACTCATCCCCTCATCTCTTAACTTGCCCAGTCCATCTTCAGTTGCACAACCTGAGGCAGCTCTTGTTTCTGTTTTTCTTCTTTCCATTTCTTTTCTAAGAACATCTGTGCAGAAAACGAGCTTAGACATAACCTAATGCAGGGTTTGGTAGACTTTTTTCTGTAAAGGGCCAGATAATAAATGATTTTGTTTTTGCAAGCCATTCAGTCTCTGTCACAACTCAACTCTGCCATTATAACATGAATGCAGGTGAAGGCAATATGAAACAAAGACCAGCATTCAGCCGGATTTGACCTGTGGACCATAGTTTGCTGACCCCTGGTTTAGTATAACAACTTTATTTTACAGATGAGAGGACCGAGCTCATGTTTCACCCTTTCCTCTGATTTACAAGTAAAAGTAAAAAAAAGGCAAGGACCAGGATATTGGCTTTTACCATAAGAGACATGCTTGAATTGGGTTCAAGATAAGTGTGCTTTATGTGTAATTTCCTGTTCTAGCAAATGATGTTAGATGAAGCTCTTAATATAGGGTCTTTCGGCAATTTCGATTGCAGTAAGACTTTAGGAACATCTTATGTTTTACCATTCATCTCAATGCTACTTGACTTTTTGAACCTATTATGTCTCTGGAGCAATGAGCATTAAGAAAATAAAGGTAATAAAGGTCTCAGCAAAACAGTTGGAGTAAGAACGGCATGACATCCTTTTATTCTTCTTAATAGATTTTATTTCCAGTGGTGGAAATGTCCAAATTTGTTTATTTCTGGAGATAGTCATTGTACATCATGTAACTATCTCATGATTCCCACCTCCATTTAATATTAATTCCTGATTGTTCTGTTTCATTAATCATTCAGATAGATAAAGATTCTTAGGTCAAAAAAAAAAAAAAAACAGGAAATCATACCCCTACGGTTCCATCCACACAAACCTAAAAATAAGCATTGGCACTAAGTACTCAGGGAAAGAACACTGTTTAGATATGTCATTGTGTATGTGTTTTTTTCCTCCCTTCTAGCACTGGAAGAAGTACGACATCTATGAGAAGCAAACCAAGGAGGAAACCGACTCTGTAGTGCTGATAGAAAACCTGAAGAAAGCCTCTCAGTGATGGAGATAATTTATTTTTACCTTCACTGTGACCTTGAGAAGATTCTTCCCATTCTCCATTTGTTATCTGGGAACTTATTAAATGGAAACTGAAACTACTGCACCATTTAAAAACAGGCAGCTCATAAGAGCCACAGGTCTTTATGTTGAGTCGCGCACCGAAAAACTAAAAATAATGGGCGCTTTGGAGAAGAGTGTGGAGTCATTCTCATTGAATTATAAAAGCCAGCAGGCTTCAAACTAGGGGACAAAGCAAAAAGTGATGATAGTGGTGGAGTTAATCTTATCAAGAGTTGTGACAACTTCCTGAGGGATCTATACTTGCTTTGTGTTCTTTGTGTCAACATGAACAAATTTTATTTGTAGGGGAACTCATTTGGGGTGCAAATGCTAATGTCAAACTTGAGTCACAAAGAACATGTAGAAAACAAAATGGATAAAATCTGATATGTATTGTTTGGGATCCTATTGAACCATGTTTGTGGCTATTAAAACTCTTTTAACAGTCTGGGCTGGGTCCGGTGGCTCACGCCTGTAATCCCAGCAATTTGGGAGTCCGAGGCGGGCGGATCACTCGAGGTCAGGAGTTCCAGACCAGCCTGACCAAAATGGTGAAACCTCCTCTCTACTAAAACTACAAAAATTAACTGGGTGTGGTGGCGCGTGCCTGTAATCCCAGCTACTCGGGAAGCTGAGGCAGGTGAATTGTTTGAACCTGGGAGGTGGAGGTTGCAGTGAGCAGAGATCACACCACTGCACTCTAGCCTGGGTGACAGAGCAAGACTCTGTCTAAAAAACAAAACAAAACAAAACAAAACAAAAAAACCTCTTAATATTCTGGAGTCATCATTCCCTTCGACAGCATTTTCCTCTGCTTTGAAAGCCCCAGAAATCAGTGT
Organism: Homo sapiens; assembly: GCF_000001405.40. NCBI lineage: Eukaryota > Metazoa > Chordata > Mammalia > Primates > Hominidae > Homo > Homo sapiens. Next base: position 118,792,753 of record NC_000023.11, read on the forward strand.
TGGCCATGATGACAACTACAGAAAAACCAGAGGCAGCTTCTTTGCCAAGACCTTTCAAAGCCATTTTAGGCTGTTAGGGGCAGTGGAGGTAGAATGACTCCTTGGGTATTAGAGTTTCAACCATGAAGTCTCTAACAATGTATTTTCTTCACCTCTGCTACTCAAGTAGCATTTACTGTGTCTTTGGTTTGTGCTAGGCCCCCGGGTGTGAAGCACAGACCCCTTCCAGGGGTTTACAGTCTATTTGAGACTCCTCAGTTCTTGCCACTTTTTTTTTTAATCTCCACCAGTCATTTTTCAGACCTTTTAACTCCTCAATTCCAACACTGATTTCCCCTTTTGCATTCTCCCTCCTTCCCTTCCTTGTAGCCTTTTGACTTTCATTGGAAATTAGGATGTAAATCTGCTCAGGAGACCTGGAGGAGCAGAGGATAATTAGCATCTCAGGTTAAGTGTGAGTAATCTGAGAAACAATGACTAATTCTTGCATATTTTGTAACTTCCATGTGAGGGTTTTCAGCATTGATATTTGTGCATTTTCTAAACAGAGATGAGGTGGTATCTTCACGTAGAACATTGGTATTCGCTTGAGAAAAAAAGAATAGTTGAACCTATTTCTCTTTCTTTACAAGATGGGTCCAGGATTCCTCTTTTCTCTGCCATAAATGATTAATTAAATAGCTTTTGTGTCTTACATTGGTAGCCAGCCAGCCAAGGCTCTGTTTATGCTTTTGGGGGGCATATATTGGGTTCCATTCTCACCTATCCACACAACATATCCGTATATATCCCCTCTACTCTTACTTCCCCCAAATTTAAAGAAGTATGGGAAATGAGAGGCATTTCCCCCACCCCATTTCTCTCCTCACACACAGACTCATATTACTGGTAGGAACTTGAGAACTTTATTTCCAAGTTGTTCAAACATTTACCAATCATATTAATACAATGATGCTATTTGCAATTCCTGCTCCTAGGGGAGGGGAGATAAGAAACCCTCACTCTCTACAGGTTTGGGTACAAGTGGCAACCTGCTTCCATGGCCGTGTAGAAGCATGGTGCCCTGGCTTCTCTGAGGAAGCTGGGGTTCATGACAATGGCAGATGTAAAGTTATTCTTGAAGTCAGATTGAGGCTGGGAGACAGCCGTAGTAGATGTTCTACTTTGTTCTGCTGTTCTCTAGAAAGAATATTTGGTTTTCCTGTATAGGAATGAGATTAATTCCTTTCCAGGTATTTTATAATTCTGGGAAGCAAAACCCATGCCTCCCCCTAGCCATTTTTACTGTTATCCTATTTAGATGGCCATGAAGAGGATGCTGTGAAATTCCCAACAAACATTGATGCTGACAGTCATGCAGTCTGGGAGTGGGGAAGTGATCTTTTGTTCCCATCCTCTTCTTTTAGCAGTAAAATAGCTGAGGGAAAAGGGAGGGAAAAGGAAGTTATGGGAATACCTGTGGTGGTTGTGATCCCTAGGTCTTGGGAGCTCTTGGAGGTGTCTGTATCAGTGGATTTCCCATCCCCTGTGGGAAATTAGTAGGCTCATTTACTGTTTTAGGTCTAGCCTATGTGGATTTTTTCCTAACATACCTAAGCAAACCCAGTGTCAGGATGGTAATTCTTATTCTTTCGTTCAGTTAAGTTTTTCCCTTCATCTGGGCACTGAAGGGATATGTGAAACAATGTTAACATTTTTGGTAGTCTTCAACCAGGGATTGTTTCTGTTTAACTTCTTATAGGAAAGCTTGAGTAAAATAAATATTGTCTTTTTGTATGTCACCCAAATGTTTTCCTTTGGTCTTATTTTGGGGAAATGGTGGGAGGTAGAGAAAATTGGAGTTAAAAGAAGAAACATTATGAAAAAATTCCAAGCCAGCTATTTTATCTTATAATCATTCATCATGAGTTTCTTTGATGTTCTGGCTGTTCCGGTGTGCCTATGTTTTCTGATAAGGGCATAAATACACTTAGTTTAATATTAATTTAGCCTTTGTAAGCAGCACTTGAAGGGACTTAAGTATTCAATAAATTGTAGTTATGATAATTAATGGAAATGGAGGGTTGGTCCTTTCTAATATTAAGCTAAAGTGGAATGCAATATGATTAATGATATACATGATGTGCAATGTCTAGTCACAAGGGAATATATTAGCAGGTTAGATTAGAGACCAAGAAAGTCAGTTTTTGACTGGACGCAGTGGCTCACGCCTGTAATCCCAGCACTTTGGAAGGCTGAAGCGGGCTGATCATGAGGTCAGGAGATCCAGACCATCCTGGCTAACACGGTGAAACCCCAGCTGTACTAAAAATACAAAAAAATTAGCTGGGTGTAGTGGCGGGCGACTGTGGTCCCAGCTACTCAGGAGGCTGAGGCAGGAGAATGGCGTGAACCCGGGAGGTGGAGCTTGCAGCATGCCACTGCACTCCAGCCTGGGCAACAGAGCGAGACTCCGTCTCAAAAAAAAAAAAAAAAAAAGAAAAAGAAAAAAAAATCAGTTTTCAATAGCTGTCCTTTTAAAAGCTGGTGATACAGTTTCATATTTTCTATAACTACAGCAAAATGGTTTTAATGTCATGGAGGTTTTCTTCCCCTCATTTGTGTTAAGCTCAAGGAGTGTGTCTTCAGCCAGATCACATTTGCTAATTACCCTGAATCTTTATAGAATCCAAACCCTAGGGAAAGAGTGAGGGTGCTGATCTTGGTCAAGTTATTTATCTGGAATTATCCAGGAAGATTCTGAAAATCCGTTTCTAGGTAAGTGTAGCTGTTTTGTTGTTCTTGTTATTTTAAAATAAGAAACCTCTTTTCTGATTCTTAACACATCAACAGTGAGTATTACAACAGAAAACATTTAAAATTGAGAACCCCCTTGAGGTCGTAAATTTGTGTGAGATCTATGGAAAACAAATTCCTGTAGCCACAAACATGATCACTTTGTCTCAGGGGTAGAGGAGCCAGAGTGATCTAAGCACATTTGATTTCCAGAGGAATTTATCATTTCCTTGTTTCCATGAACTCTTGCTCTTTTGAAGGTGTAACTTATGCTCACATGAATAGCACATTATGCTACTAACTTATTAGTAGTTTTAAAAGAAAGCAAGAGGACAAGAACATTTATTTCAGAGACTCTGTTTTCTTTTAAACCCTAACGGTTGAGTCAAACAAAGTCTTTTTTGTAAATACTGTAGCTAAATCTTGGCATGCTTTTACTTTAAGCAAGGGAGGAGTTTTACTGACATTTGGATGTGCTAGATATTTTTGACATCAATCCCCAAGATGATTTCTTCTTGAAGGTTCTCTGGCTTTTTACTATCTTTCCTAACGGTCACATTTTTAGTTTACCATTAGCAACAGGAAAATATTTAACTGCTGGTTTTCAGCATTTATTGGGTAGACCATTATAAAAAGAAAATTAATAGTTTCTGAGTGGCTCCTATGTGCCGAGTTACATGTGTGATTTCACATAATCTGTATGCTGGTCCCATGAGTTAGGTTGTGTTGTTAACGTCATTTTACAGATGAAGAAACTGAGACATAGAGCGATTGAGCTGTGTATGCAAGATCACATAGCTAGTAAGAGACTAAGACAAAATTGGGAAGCAAGTCAGCCTGACTTTAAAGCCTGTATAATATAGTCAGTGGTATATTTACTTGTCCCCAAAAGGCAGTTACCTAAAGAAAAAAACATCTTATTTCGCATTTTGCCAAATTGCTTATCAACTGGAAGATTTCTGATTTTAAATCATTAATTGCAAAGTGAGCATTTTATAGCATCTTTTTTGTTTTGTTTTGTTTTTTTGAGACGGGATTTTGCTCGTGTTGCCCAGGCTGGAGTGCAATGGCACAATCTCAGTTCACCACAACCTCTGCCTCCCGGGTTCAAGGGATTCTCCTGCCTCAGCCCCCCAAGTAGCTGAGACTAGGTGACCGCCACCACGCCCGGCTAATGTTTGTATTTTTAGTAGAGATGGGGTTTCTCCATGTTGGTCAGGCTGGTCTCGAACTCCCGGCCTCAGGTGATCCGCCCGCCTCGGCCTCCCAAAGTGCTGGGATTACAGGCGTGAGCCACCGTGCCTGGCCTATAGTGTCTTTTAAGAGATTCATTTGTGCATTCATTTATCTACGAGCTAGACAATGTGTTATGTAATAGGAATTTAGAAGTCAATAAGATTTGGCTTAGTATCAGGTGGTTAGTTAAGGGAAGGCTACTTTGTATAGGGGAAAGAAACCTGGATTATCATTTAGGAGTTCCAAATGAATGTGGGCAGATAACTTTCTCTGTCTGGGTCTGTTTCCCTATCTGTAAAATGAAGGTGTTAGACAGTGATGTATAATCCCATCCATGACTCCTAATGGTGACCATAGGTTGTGGAGTTCATTTGGAAGTGAGAATCTTTGCTATAAACACTAGCTCTAGGCATCAGCGTTCTCATCTGTAAAATGAGGAGGTTGGACTAGATTAGCTCTATTAATTTTGACATCCAATAAAGGTTAAGATGATTTTTGTTTTACAAATCAAGAAAATACCTCTTATTCACTACAGGATGTAGCGAAACTGCCAAAAATAACCAGAGGAGCAGGCCCTTTAATGCAGTGGGAAGAACAAAGGAATTAATACATTAGATGAAACCTGTGGTCTACCCAAATCAGGATTTTCACAAGGGCCCAGCCATGATTGCATCTAACAAATATTTCTTAATATGCATGTATGATACTTTAAAAGCCAAAGAGTATTATAGGGCTTATCATTTAAAAAAAGCAGCCTCCTGTCCCACTCCTCCTTACCCCTGATTCCTGCTCCTAGAAAAGATGTCAACACCCTAATTCTGGGACCTGTGGCTATGTAACTTTACATGGAAAAAGGAACTTTGCAGATGTAATTGTGGTTCAGGCCTTAAGATAGATTTTCCTGGATTATCTGGGTGAGCCCAATATCAAGCCCTTAGAAGCCGAGAAATTGGCTGCTTTGGCTGAAAGCAGAAGAGGGAGAAAGAGCCAAAGCACAAAAAGGGCTCAAAGTGCTGTTGCTGGCTTGAGGATGTAAGGGGCCATGTAGGAAGTGTGAGAAGGAACTGGATACTACCAGTAACTTGAGTGGGCCTGGATGCAGATTTTCTCCCAGAGCCTCCATATAGGAGCACAAGCTGGCAGACACCATAATCTGGGCCTTGTGAGACCCTGAGCAGAGAGTGCAGCCACACTGTGCTGGACTTCTGACCTACAGAAGTGTGATATAATATGTTTGTGTTATTTTAAACTACATTTAACATGTTTTACCTGTTTCTTTTGGTATATAACCCTTTACTTTTGAATAATACCCTAATATTGCAATTTCTTTAGATTTAGAAATGATCTTTCTTCTGTAGAAGATGAGGAATTAGCTTGCTTTTATGCCTCTCAACACGCACTTGTGCACACATACTCACACTTCTCTTCCAAAAATATAAATATTTTCGTTAAAATAGTCAATATTTGCATTATACTTATATAAATATTGCTTGTGGTTAACTTATGCACTGTACCATTAATTATATTTTTTTGTTTTTTTCCCCATATTGTCTCCCCTTTATTTTTTTATGTACCTGTCATGAGTTCAATCCCAAACTTTTCCCCATATTGTCTCCCTTTCTTTGATTTATTTTTGTATGTACCTGTCATGAGTTCAATCCCAAACTTTTCTGAAGAACCATAACACTTCACTCAATATGATCAAACATGTTAGGTAATCCATGAGTTTCATGAATTTTTGGGGGGAGACAGCCCTCTTTAGAGTTTGCTGCCCTCCTGATCCATCCTGAAATGGTTGTTCTCTAGGCCGAGCACCTAGCTGCCATCCTGGGAATTCCCTCCACTTCCAGCTTCTGTTTCCTGCATTCCCAGTTGTCCCCCTTCTTGGATTATGCCCTGGTTTTGCTGGACCACACCGTTTACTAAGTTCCTTAGAAAGGTTGCATGGGAGGTGATTTTTATTTTTTTCAGACAGGGTCTCATTCTATTGCCCAGGCTAGAGTACAGTGGTGAGAGGGGACAGCGTGCTGGCAGTCCTCACAGCCCTCGCTCGCTCTCGGCGCCTCCTCTGCCTGGGCTCCCACTTTGGCGGCACTTGAGGAGCCCTTCGGCCCGCCGCTGCACTGTGGGAGCCCCTTTCTGGGCTGGCCAAGGCTGGAGCCCACTCCCTCAGCTTGCAGGGAGGTGTGGAGGGAGAGGCACGAGCGGGAACCGGGGCTGCGTGAGGCGCTTGTGGGCCAGCTGGAGTTCCGGGTGGGCATGGGCTTGGCGGGGCCCGCACTCGGAGCAGCCAGCCAGCCCTGCTGGCCCCGGGCAATGGGGGACTTAGCACCCGGGCCAATGGCTGCGGAGGGTGTACTGAGTCCCCCAGCAGTGCCGGCCCACCGGCGCTGTGCTCGATTTCTCACCGAGCCTTAGCTGCCTTCCCGCGGGGCAGGGCTCGGGACCTGCAGCCCTCCATGCCTGAGCCTCCCACCCACTCCATGGGCTCCTGTGCGGCCCGAGCCTCCCGGACGAGCACTACCCCCTGCTCCACGGCGCCCAGTCCCATTGACCACCCAAGGGCTGAGGAATGCGAGCGCACAGTGCAGGACTGGCAGGCAGCTCCACCTGCAGCCCCTGTGCGGGATCCACGAGGTGAAGCCAGCTGAGCTCCTGAGTCTGGTGGGGACGTGGAGAGTCTTTGTATGTAGCTCAGGGATTGTAAATACACCAATCAGCACCCTGTGTTTAGCTCAAGGTTTGTGAGTGCACCAATCGACACTCTGTATCTAGCTGCTCTGGTGAGGATGTGGAGAACCTTTATGTCTAGCTCAGGGATTGTAAACACACCAATCATCACCCTGTGTGTAGCTCAAGGTTTGTGAGTGCACCAATCGACACTCTGTATCTAGCTGCTCTGGTGGGGCCTTGGAGAACCTTTATGTCTAGCTCAGGGATTGTAAACACACCAATCAGCACCTTGTGTTTAGCTCAAGGTTTGTGAGTGCACCAATCGACACTCTGTATCTAGCTGCTCTGGTGGGGCCTTGGAGAACCTTTATGTCTAGCTCAGGGATTGTAAACACACCAATCAGCACCTTGTGTTTAGCTCAAGGTTTGTGAGTGCACCAATCGACACTCTGTATCTAGCTGCTCTGGTGGGGCCTTGGAGAACCTTTATGTCTAGCTCAGGGATTGTAAATACACCAATCGGCACTCTGTATCTAGCTGAAGGTTTGTAAACACACCAATCAGCACCCTGTGTTTAGCTCAAGGTTTGTGAGTGCACCAATTGACACTCTGTATCTAGCTGCTCTGGTGGGGCCTTGGAGAACCTGTGTATCCAAAGTCTGTATCTAACTAATCTAATGGGGAGGTAGAGAACCTTTGTATCTAGCTCAGGGATTGTAAACGTACCAATAAGTGCCCTGACAAAACAGGCCACTGGGCTCTACCAATCAGCAGGATGTGGGTGGGGCCAGATAAGAGAATAAAAGCAGGCTGCCTGAGCCAGCAGTGGCGACCCGCGCGGGTCCCCTTCCACTTCTTTCACTCTTTGCAATATCTTGCTACTGCTCACTCTTTGGGTCCACGCTGCTTTTATGAGCTGTAACACTCACTGCGAAGACCTGCGGCTTCACTCCTGAGCCCAGCGAGACCACGAGCCCACCGGGAGGAACGAAGAACTCCAGACGCGCTACCTTAAGAGCTGTAACACACACCGCCAAGGTCTGCAGCTTCACTCATTAGCCAGTGAGACCACGAACCCACCAGAAGGAAGAAACTCGGAACACATCTGAACATCAGAAGGGACAGACTCCAGACGCGCCACCTTAAGAGCTGTAACAGTCACGGCGTGGGTCCGCGGCTTCATTCTTGAAGTCAGGGAGACCAAGAACCCACCAATTCGGGACAGTGGCATGATCACGGCTCACTGCAGCCTCGACCTTCCGGGCTGAAGTGATCATCCCACCTCAGCCTCCCAATTAGCTCGGACTATGGGCACATACCACCATGCCCAGCTAAGTTTCATTCATTTTATTTTATTTATTTTTTTTGAGACAGGGTCTCACTTTTATCATGCAGGCTGGAGTGCAGTAATGCGAGCTCGGCTCACTGCAATCTCCACCTCCCAGGTTCAAGCGGTTCTCCTACCTCAGCCTTCCGAGTAGCTGGGACTACAGGCACTTGCCACCATGCTCAGCTGTTAATTTTTATTTTTTTGTAGAGATGGGGGTCTCCCTGTGTTGCCCAAGCTGATGTTGAACTCCTGGGCTCAAACAATCCTCCCACTATGGCCTCCCAAAGTGCTGAGATTACAGGCATGAGCCATTGCTCCCAGCCAAGATGATTTTTGTAAAATCATTTTTTGTCTAAATATAATCTTCACACATGATTAAAATTTTTACTAGGTGAAGAATTACTAATTGGAAACAATTTCCTCTGAGAATGTTGAAAGCATTATTCCGATGTGTTGTTGCTTCTAGTGTTGCTTTAGAAATGTCTGATTTCTAATTTTCTACATGTAACTTTTATCTGCAAGGTTTTCTCTTGGCCTCTTTTCTCTTGGTGTTTTAAATTTTAATGATATGCCTTATTGTGGATCTTCTTCCATTTACTGGGCTGGACTTTGTGAGCCCTTTCAATCTAAAATCTCATGCTTCATTTTTAAGACATTGCTTTCTATTATTTCTCACACAATAGCTTCCCTTGTGTTTTCTTTATCTCTAGGATTCCTATTAGTTGTACATTGGACATCCTGGACTGATTCTGTAATTTTCGTATCTTTTTTCTCCCATGTTCCCTTTATTTGTCTTTTGGTTCTGCTTTTTGGGAGATTTTCTTAACTTGATCTACCTGAGGCTCAGTCCTCATCTGTAAAATGCTGATAAAAGGACCTACCACCTAGCGTTGCTGTGAGGTGTCAGTGAAATAAAATGTAAAATGCTTAGCACAGTGAACTTTAATAAATGGTAGTTGTGGTTGCACATACTGTTATTCTGGAACCAATTTCTTGTCCCTCCTCATGTGAAAATGACAATCTTGGTTTACAATATCATACTATAATATTTGCCTTCATTGTAGTGAATTTGTAATGACATGGCATTTTCCAATTATACTGTTTTTAGAAAAAAATTCTATGGTATAAATCCAGTTAGCAACATTAATTCTTATTTATGCTTCTACAAACACTTAAAAGTATTTTTTTTCTTTTTTCTTTTCTTTTTTCCACTCTCCCCTCATCCCTGGGGTAGATGAGAACTGGAAAAATAATGCTGGGTATCCACTCCCTGACAGTGAAATAGGTAGTTTGGAGCCCCAATTAATTACTTTGTTAGGATGAGAGTGCAGATCAAACCTTTAACATGTGAGGGTTGCCGTACACTCTGCCTGCTATGCAGCCCCAAATAAGGCTGGCCAGTACCTAGGAGCACTGAGGAGGCTAATGGACAATTAACAAACATCGAGTCCAGAGGAGGCCTGGATTCTCTGTAAGCTTTGCAGCCAAAGGTGGCCCTGCCTGCCCACTTAGGGCCCCATGAAGACTAGAACTAGAATTACAGAAAAAGAATGTCTGCAAGTCAAGAACAATCTGGCTTTACTACTTTATTTTCATTCCTTCATCTGTTCAGTTGGGGGGCGATGTTAAAGCTATGTGACATGGGCACCAACCAGTCAGGTCAGATGCTGGCTATAATTACTTGGTAGGTTATGTATCAACCCTGGATTCAACAGATATTTATTGAGTGTCTACCATGTGCCAGCACTGTGCTAGCTAGGTACTGTATGATGCAGGGCAAGTTTCTTTCTTTCTCTGAGCTTCAGTTTGCTCACTTGTGAAAAAAAAGGAGTAAGTGATCTACAAGGGCTCCTTTAGGTCTAACATTCGCAATCAATAAAATAGTAACTTTTGATTGTTTTGGGAAAATAATGGAAACAGCTATAGAAAACAAGCAGCTGACCTAAGACTTGTAGATTTGAAAATGGGGGAAAAAACAGAAAATTATTCTGAGTTATTGTTTGACTTGAGATTTGGATTAAGAATCAGTTCTACATGTCTTATTTTCATGATGTTTCCAAAGGGAGACAAAGATAGCTCTAATCAAAGGGTGAGTTTGTTTTACAGCCTTGAACATTCAAGCTCCACCCCACTATCCCCCACCAACATGCATATACAAGACACCTTCCCCCTAAGGAGGCTACTACTTTCTTTTAGCATCCTCTCTCCAGCTGCTACACTTCAAACCCTTTCGTTCAGTGGTTGGCAATAGCTTGTCCACTCTGGCAAGAGTCCATGTTCCAAGCCTTTCTTAACTTCCTCTTTTCAGACTTGTCCTGCCTCATTTCCTGTTCCTTGTGGCCTCTGCCTCATAAGATGTTTGATCAATTCATCTTTGCTAATGTAGCCAAGGAGGGCTAAGAAGTTTGTGGGTTACCATTTCTGGATAAAATTCATATTACAAGGAGCCTCCCCAAACCATGCTACCACTTTTATGGTGGATTAAAAAAATATTATGGGAAAGTTCAAACATATATAGAAGTAAGGAGACTGTTACAGTGAATGGTCATATACCCATCAACTAGCTTCAACAATTATCAAAATGGTCAATCTTATTTCATTTATACTGCCACCCATTTCCTACTTCCTACATGACGAATTATTTTTAAGCAAGTCCCAGACATCACATCATTTCATCTGTAAATACTTTAGTATATATCTCTACAAACTAAGGACCCTTTTTGTTTTAAAAAACTGCAATACCATTATCACACTTTAAAACTAAACAATAATTGCTTAATATTCTCAATTATCTAGTCAGTGTTTACATTTCCCCAATTGTCTCATAAGTCTTTTTTTCCTACAATTTGCTTGAATCAGGATCCAATAAGGCTCACGGTGATTTTTTAAATAATGATGCTTTGTAATATACAGGGGTGAGAATTTGGGAACAAATGATTGTTTGGCCTTTAAAATCGTACTACATTGGCATTTAGGAATGAATACAGCCCTGCTGCCACAAAGTAGCTCTTTTTCCCTTCCAGATTGCTTTGACTAAAAATTTGTTTAGCATCCCATTGGATTCTGGAAATTCTTCTTGTTTTCTCTTTTCCTTCCTTCCTTCCTTCCTTCCTTCCTTCCTTCCTTCCTTCCTTCCTTCCTTCCTTCCTTCCTTCCTCTCTCTCTTTTTTTTCTTTTTTCTTTCTTTCTTTCTTTCTTTTTTTTTTTTTGACAGAGTTTTGCTCTTGTTGCCCAGGCTGGAGTGCAATGGTGCGATCTCGGCTCGCTGCAACCTCTGCCTCCTGGGTTCAAGTGATTCTCCTGCCTCAACCTCTCAAGTAGCTGGGATTACAGGCGCCCGCCACCACGCCTGGCTAATTTTTGTATTTTTAGTAGAGACGGGGTTTCACCGCGTTAGCCAGGCTGGTCTCGAACTCCTGACCTCAAGTGATCCACTTGCATCAGCCTCCCAAAGTGCTGGGATTACAGGCGTCAGCCACAGTGCCCAACAAATTCTGGAAATTCTTTATAAGCGTAGTCAGACATCTGTGAAGGAAGTGAAAACTGAAGTTTGGCCTTGAAGCTTAGAAGTTCTCACACAACCAAGACATAGTCTTCCTTAAAACAGAAAAAAAACACAGCCATGCATACACACACACACACACACACACACACACACACACACACACAAATGCCAACTTCTAATATGTCTACGGAATGTTTTTGCAAATGGTAGTACAGAGCATATCTGTGTTGTGTAATTTTTTCCCACATGATAAGGACCAATATAAACAAATTGGAAATGTGATACTAAAAGAGAGTACTTCAGCATGGATTAATTAAGACCAATATGGGGCAATCCTTTTCTGATATTTTACAATGCACTGAAAATTTTAAAGCAAGGTGGAAAAATAGGCTTATGGGTCTGAATGTTAGGTTGAGAAAAATTATCTGTGGTCAAGTGTGTGCTTTGTAAATCTGCTGAGTTTACACTTGATCATGCAGTTTTCTATAAGTTGCTGGCTTGAATACCACTGGGAAATATACAGACCATGTGACTATGAAACCAACCCAATTGTCCCACAGAGCTGATGTTTCTGATCTCTTTGAATAAACATAGAAATTGATCCTTCCAGTCTTAAAACTTGAGAAAGTTACATTTGTCTTATCTGAATTCCTTTCTCAGGAAACAAACCATCAGGCCTCCCAGAAAGTATCCGGGATCTGAAAATCACCAAATCACCACATCCGGACAGTGAGAAGCCAGATCCCTCACCCTTCTTGATTGGCTGACAAACCAACTGCTTCCTGTTGACCAACTCCTCTTCCTTATCCCTCCCTAATTCCTGTTTTCCCACACATGGTTTCACTTCTTCCCTGCTATACAAACACCTAATTTTAGTTGGTCAGGGAGATGGAATTGAGACTGATCTCTTGTCTCCTTGGCTGCTGCACCTGATTAAAGCCTTCTTCCTTGGCAATACTCATTGTCTCAGTGTTTGCCTTTCTGTGCAGTGAGAAAACAGGACCTAGATGGAACTCCTGCTGTTTTGGTAACATTACTACAGACCTCTCAGAATGGCTAAAATAAAAATAATGACAACACCTCAATAATAGTAAGGATGCAAAGAAATCATATCACTCATATATTTCTTGTGGGTACATAAAATGGTACAGCTACTCTGAGAAAGAGTGGCAGTTTGTTTAAAAACGAAACATGCAACTATCACATGGTCCAGCAATTGTACTGTTGGGCCTCTATCCCAGAAAAATAAAAACATATGTTCACACAACAAACTTTACATAAATGTTTATAATGGTTTTATTCATAATTTACAAAAACTAGAAAAACTCAGATATCCTTCAATGGGTGGGTGAATGGTTGAACAATTTTTGGTACAGTCACATCATGGAATACTACTTAGCAATAAAAGTGAATGAATATCACCTCACGCTCATTAGAATGGCCACTATAAAAAAAAACCCATAAAATAGAAAGTGTTGGTGTGGATGTGGGGAAATGAGAATCCTTGTGTGCTATTTGTGGGATTGTGAAATGGTGCAACAGCCATGGAAAACAGAATGGTAGTTCTTCAAAAAGTTAGAAATAGATCTACCTAGGCTGGGTGCGGTGGCTTACGCCTGTAGTCCCAGCACGTTGGGAGGCCGAGGTGGGCAGATCAACTGAGGTTGGGAGTTCCAGACCAGCCTGACCAACATGGAGAAACCCCGTCTCTACTAAAAATACAAAAATTAGCCGGGCGTAGTGGTGGGCACCTGTAATCCCAGCTACTCGGGAGGCTGAGGCAGGAGAATTGCTTGAACCTGGGAGGCAGAGGTTGCGGTGAGCTGAGATCGTGCCATTGCACTCCAGCCTGGGCAACAAGAGTGAAACTCCGTCTCAAAAAAAAAAAAGAAAAAAAGAAAAAAAAAAGAAAAAAGAAAAAGAAATAGATCTACCATATGACTCAGCAATCCCACTTCTGGGTATTTATGCAAAAGCATTAAAAGCAGGGTCTTGGGATATTTGCACACCCATATTCATAGCAGCAGTATTGAAACATGGAGTCTGGGAGCAGCATTCCTATGATCAGTGTCTATGCTATTCCACTTTGTGCTTTTATTAATTCATTCAAGAAGGCTTTTGACGAATATAGATCGTGTACGAGATGCTGTAGTAGATTCAAAGAATAGAGCATGCTTTCTTTTCTTTTTTAAAAAATTGAGATGGTGTCTCACTATTTTGCCCAGGCTAGTCTCAAACTCCTGGGCTCAGGTGATCCTCTTGCCTGCCAAGTAGCTGGGACTACAGGTGCAGTGCATACTTTCTGTCCTATTATTGCTGATAGTCCAGTGCAGGAATGGCAAATTTGTTTCATTTTGTGGATCAGTTCTTCTGGAATACTGTTTCCCGAAGGATTTTGAGATTGGGTTTGGGCTCAGTGGGAAGATGGCTAAGATCTATCAGTGATGTCTCTTGTTGGGTACTGGTGGGGGGGTGTTGATGTACTTGTGCCACATGGTTGCCACCTTGGCTAAGGGCTAGAGTGACATATTTATGTATATAAATAATGGATTATCAACAAGACAGAATATTAGCAATTAGAGTTATGAAAGGAGGTCCAAGTAAAGTGCTGTATACAGGCAGTGGAAAAAATGATGGGGGTGTCGGGGCTGGGAGGATACCCAGAAAAGTTTTTTGAGGGCAGTGCTAGTTGGTCTGCACATTAAAGCAAGAGTAGAATCTGAAGAGATTAACAAAAGGGGGCATCCCTGTCCTCAGAAGGAGTTTGAGTAGAGTGGAAGGATGGATTGTGAGAGAAAGATGACAGAGATAAGCAGATGACCTAGGGATTAGGCAAGAGGTGGAGAGGATCCGCTCCATGCCTGGCAAACAGGAGAGGAGGACACAGATCTGAAGTAGTTTAGAGGTTGACTCACCAGGACTCCATGAATGGGAGGGAGATGCTCAAAATGTTATAGAGAAGCACAGGCTTGGGTGGGGAATGGGGAGTAGATGAGAAATACGAATTTCATTTTGGACATGTTCACTGTAGTATGCTAGAGGAACCATTAGGTTATGATTTCCTACAGGGTTGGGGACACTCACGGATGGCAATGAGAGGAGGGCAGCTTCAAGAGTCAGGGTTATGGGAGCCAGCTGCCAGGGAAAGACCAATGAGGTCATTCCCAAAATAAGACACATTGCAAGCCCTCTCAGCACAGTGTGAGGACAACCCAAATCTAAGCTAGCTCTGGGGGCAGTCATGGCATGGTAGGTTAGATGTCAAAGCAGAGACTTCATCACGAACTTGGCAGCCCAAGAGTAACACACTGCTGCCATCTGGGGGCTGCATGTAGAAATTGTAATGGCAGCTTTGTGAAAGCCACTTAATGAGAGAGGACATTATTTTGGAACCAGCAAGACCCTTCCTCTCAAAAGCCTTTTATAGTTCTTCCTTAAATTCTTTTCTGCCTAGTTCTACTTCTCTGTCCCCAATGAAGGAAACCATGGGTGCACATGTTCTGTAGCATATTTCCAGAAGGACTGAACCCCTGAAAGCAGAATACTTTCAGTCAGCTACAGCATCCTAGCACTGGATTGAGATACTCCATGCTGCTGCTGCTACTGTGCTCTAGCAACTGACCAAAGTTCTTGCCTGAACCACCCTCTGCCGGATCTCCCAAATCCCCTCATTTTGACTTCATCACTGCCTGGTTCTGACCTTTGATACTAGAATACTGAATTTTTGCCTCCAGGGGCACAATTTACTCTTCTATGTTTTCTTTTGCTAGCATCTTTTTCCTAAGTGGAACTGGATTTTCATTTACTCATTTTTCATTCAACAAACATTTATTGAGTGGCCACAGTGTGTCAGGTACTAGGATACATTTGGGAGCAAAAATAGATGGGTCCCCTCAGAAACCTGTATTACAGTCTAACTGTAAAGACAAAACAATCATTTTAAATGTGATAATTGCTATGAAGGAAAGGTCAATGATGCAGTGAGATGTAGTGAGGTGAGATGAAGAAAAGGTCGATGAGGCTGTGAGAACAGGTAACAGGGGATTCTGACCTAGTCTTGCAGGGTAGCAAAAACTTTTCTGAGGATGTGACATTTAAGCTGAAATTTTAAGGATTGGTAGGAATTAGCCAGAAATTAACTGTTCTGAAAACTATGAAACCTATAAGACTGGGAAAGAAGGGGCCATCCTCCTTGTTCCTCTGTCTTCTACAGTGGTAATACAGCAGGGAGATTCAATTGCTTTACATAGGACAGTCTCTAGGAAGATCTTTCATTCTGAATTAGCATGTCAACTACAGTGAAAACATGTCTAAAAAATAACAATTACAACAACTAGAAAATCAGGAAATGTAGAAATAAAGAACCCCCCCTAAAACTCCTCCAAATTAGACTGCCCTAATGAAAATAGGAATAGGTATAAACAGACAAAGAAATACTAATGTTCTTGAAGTCTTGAAATACTATCTTTTGGTTTATTTCTTTTCATTTTTATTTTTCATTTAAATAATTGAACCGATTTTTTATTTTTTGAGACAGGGTCTTGCTCTGTTGCTCAGGCTGTGGTGCAGTAATGTGATCACACCTCACTGCAGCCTTCAATTCCTGGGCTCAAGCAATCCTCACACCTCAACCTCCTGAGGAGCTGGGACTACAGGTGTACACCACCACACCAACTAATTTTTTTTTTTGTATTTTTAGTAGATACAGGATTTTGCCATGTTGTCCAGACTGGTCTTGAACTCCTGGGGTCAAGTGATCTGCCTGCCTCAGCCTCCAAAATTGCTAGGATTACAGGCGTGAGCTGCTGTGCCCAGCCGAACTGCTTTTTAAAAATCTCCATATACACTTATTTGAACAACTTGATCATAATTTCTGAAATCTTTTAACACATCAGACCTGAACCAAATCAAGATACCAAAACCCACCTGAGCTTCAGATGCCTCATTGGTAAAATAGGGATTATAGTATAGTAATAGCTACATCTTACGGCTTTTGGAGACTTAATGAGTTGACACTTACAAAGCACACCATTGCCCTGCTCATTGTAAGTGCATAATACATGTTAATATTATTATTCCAGGGCTGACCTGTTTGTAGAAGGTGTCAGGGGAAAATATTTCCAGGTTGATGGAACGTTGAGGTTGCTTCAACCCCATGCCATGGTTGGTTACTTCAGCTACGCAAGGACCAGCCCCGACATGAGAAATGATAAGTGAAAAAAAGAGAATCAAGCCCAGTACATAGCATATAATTCACCTGGCCTGCAGAAGTACACACAAAAGCTTATTCTGTAGTTCATATTCATAAGAGATATCCCCTCCCTCGTTCCTAACAGGTAATCGTCTAGTCTCTGCCTAAATCCCTGCAGCAACAGGGAGTGCCCTATTTATGGAGAAAGGCCATTTTATTTATTGATAGTTCTAATTTTCTGGATCTATCTTCAAATTCCAGAGTAAAAAGTCATTTTTATCATGTATCTTCCCATTAATCTTCCTTATGCCCTGGAGAACCAAACAGAACAAAAAAAGTCCTCACTCAAAATTGGCAAAATTGAGTAAGGACATAGATTACAATATTGCATCAACTATCAAGTGTCCTAATTTTGGTAATGGTCTTCTATAAGAATGGCTGTGTCCCTGGGAAATATGCATTGAAGCATTAGGGAGTAAAATGGCATGATGCATGTGACCTGCCTGCAAATAGTTCCTAAAAAAAAAGAACATTAATATGTAAGTAATGAGAGAGAGTGATAAAAACAAATTGCCAAAATATTTAAAATTGGTGGGATCTGCATAGATGGTGTATGGGAATTATTTGTTCTACTTTTACAACTCTTCTGTAATTTTTAAATTATTTCTAAATAAAAAGTTAATAAAAATCCTGGGCTGGGCATGGTGGCTCACGCCTGTAATCCCAGTACTTTGGGAGGCTGGGGTGGGTGGATCACTTGAGGCCAGGAGTTTGAGACCAGCCTGGCCAACATAGCTAAACCCCATCTCTACTAAAAATACAAAAATTAGCTCGGTCTGGTGGTGCACACCCATAGTCCCAGCTACTCGGGAGGCTGAGGCAGGAGAATCGCTTGAACCCTGTAGGTGGAGGTTGCAGTGAGCCAAGGTGGCACCACTGCACTCCAGCCTGGGCGACTGAGCGAGACTCTTTCTCACCAAAAAAAAAAAAAAAGATAGTAAAAATCCTCTCTCTTCCATAGCAAAGCTCTTCAAAGGTTTGAGAGCAATTACCACATTTATTCTGTTCTACATTTCCATCTCACTTATTTGCTTACTCTTCACTCATTCATTTATTCTTTGATAAATATTGATTGAGCACTTGCTTTGTACTATGCCCAGAGCTGGGCACTGTGGAAGTGGTGGAGAAGAAAGTCAATTCTACCTGGCTCTCATGGAATTCAGGGGCACTTGGTGGAGTCCAAAGGTAATCAAATTATTCTACAAGTAATTGTATTATTTCTAACTCTGATAGGGCTATGACATAAGAATCAGGGAGGGTGGGATGGTATGAGAGAGCCTGCCAGAACGTTCTGAACCTGCTAAGTGGACCCAGCATTTAAGGTTGTAGGGGTGCAAAGGGCAGTGTGCCAAAGAGATTAGCATTCCTTTATGAAAAATCTCTTGGCTGAGGGGAAGGATTTGTGAGCCCAGGTGAGCAGCTTTGGACAAGCTGTTCCATTTGTCAAGTTGTTCCATCTGCTTCCTTAAGTGTCACAAAGTATTGAAGAGAGATTGCCTGGGCTTGAATGACAGCTGCTGTTTCCTAGCCATGTAGTTGTGAAAGAGGATAGCAGAGCCTTGGTGCCTTCACGCAGATTGAGACCCTTGTCCCCCATCAATCATAGCTATGTCTGATGGCATGGCTATGGCAGTTGGGTCCCTTGCCACACAATTTCAAGCCTGGGCCTGAGTTGAGCCCAGATGAGTCCTGGGAACAGAAACTCCAACAGGAATCATGTCAGTTTCTGTAACAGGATTTGCCTTGCAACCTAGATGAGAAAACTGAGCTTTAGAGTCATCAGCATGTATTTTTTTTCCCAAGAAAAATAGCCATTAAATGTGGGGGTGGATTTGAAGATCAAGCTGAGAATGTGCATGTGAAGCTTAGCACTTAGAACATAATATGCCTCCAACAAATGGCAGCTATCATTCTTTTCATCACTGATACCAAGGTGGGCTGAGTGAAGAAAAATGAGGTGGCTGAGGATGCTGGATATTTAATACCTCCAGGGCACTGTCAAGGGACAGGGGACAGGGCTCCAAATGGAAGGATGCAAGAACTTGCTTTTTTTTCTTTTTTTTTTTGAGATGGGGTCTTGCTCTGTCGCCGAGGCTGGAATGCAGTGATATGATCTCGGCTCACTGCAGCCTCCACTTCCTGGGCTCAAATGATCCTCCCACCTCAGCCTCTCGAGTAGCTGGGACCACAGGTCCACATCACCATGCCTGGCTAATTTTTTATTATTTGTAGAAATGGGATCTCCATATGTTTCCCAGGCTGGTCTTGATCTCCTGGACTCAAACAATCCTGGCACCTTGGCCTCCCAAAGTGTTGGGATTACAGGCATGAGCCACCGCACCCAGCCGAGAACTTACTTTCACCCATCTCATAGTTTTGCTTGTGATGATCACCTAGTATTCTAAACAGTCAGTACTCGAACTCTAGTGCAATATTATTCATTCAATGAATGTTTATTGAGTACTTGCTATATGACAGACACTGTCCAGGTGCTGGGGCTACACAAGGAAACAAAACAAGTGAACACTTAGCTTCATATTTCTATATACCATGAGAGTTTTCACAGTGCTTTCATGTCCATGATTTCATCTGTTCCTCATGACAATACAATGAGATAGGTCCTATTATTATTTTCATTTTATGGGTGGGGGAACTGATATATCCAGAGATTAATTAATTAACTCAAGAGCGATAGAACCCAGGCCCCAGGTTGTAGTTTAATGCTCCCTTCACCACACACACATTCGGAACGGCCACCATCCTGATCTACCTCTTGCCAGTCTCCCTCTTGCCAGTGGGCCCCCAGGGCTTTCCAGCCTGACTTCTGCCTCTGGACCCCACCCTCCTCCCCCACTTGCTCTAGATCTTGTCTCTGCCACAGCAGTCCAGCTGATCAGTCAGCAAGGATTTCTGAAGCACCCAGCACCATGATTTTACCATGATTTCCCAAAGGGCTACTTGGGTCTCAGTCATTTCAGTCAATCCAGACCAGCAGGCTGGCCTACATTTTCTGAGGTGTTGCAGCTATGCAGAATTGGTTGGACTTTTTGCTGGGCCCCTCTATGGTGGTGCTTTGGGAGGGCACTCTCCTGTGTTCAGATAACTGGGGCAGAATTAGAGGAATTAACAAAATAACAGTTTTGGATGCCAGGTTCCCCATTAGGAGTTTGACTCTGCACTCCCTCAGATTTGGTGGCGTGTGCTCTCCTGCTGGTAATACACTTCCTGTGACCTGGAAATCCTACTGCTATATTCCTTAGGTTTGGCCAGACTTTAAAACCCGCCAGATCATTGCAACTTAAGCAACTTCTAAGAACATCTCTTTACCAGGTGTTATTTAGAGAACGCAAGAGATTTACGTCTGCTCTGAAATGTTACATTGGCACTATATAAACTTTCCCAGTACACAAAGCTCTCAGGCTTTTGGACATGTTTTCTCCTATTAAGTCATATAAATAGCTTAATAAAACAGTATTTGGTTAAACATCATTTGAATTTCCCACTGAATGATGGTTATATTCAACTCCAAGAAAACGTGGAAAGTGCAAAGGCTTTGGAATTAGACGGATCTGTTTTCAAAACATTACGCCACCTCTTAAAGCTGTGTGACTCCAGGCTTCTTACTTAACCTCTCCGAGTGTCAGTTTCAATTACACATACCATGCCTGTAATCCCAGCACTTTGGGAGGCCAAGCGGGGTGGATCATTTGAGGTCAGGAGTTTAAGACCAGCCTGGCCAACATGGTGAAACCCCAACTCTACTAAAAATACAAAAATTAGCCAGGCGGTAGTGGTGCACGCCTGTTATCCCAGGTAGTCGGGAGACTGAGGCAGGATAATTAGTTGAGCCTGGCAGACGGAGGTTGTAGTGAGCTGAGATCACGCCACTGCACTCCTGTCTGGGCAACAGAGTGAGACCTTGTCTCAAAAAAAATGCAATTGTATTATTTTCATGTATGGTATCTAGAATAAATGGAAAATAGGACAATAACAGACATACAACAGGGACTCAGAATTAATGTATCTCATAACGAGCTTTAGAAAGAAATAATAACAGATGCCAATTATAAAGCACTTACATGTCAAAAAACATACTCAGCTGGGTGTGGTGGTAGGCACCTATAGTCCCAGCTACTCGGGAAGCTGAGGTGGGAGGATTGCTTGAAGCCAGGAGTTGGAGGCCACAGTGAGCTATGATGAGTACAGTGAATGGCCACTGCACTTCAGCCTGGGCAACAGTGAGTTCCCTTATCTAAAAAAAATATTCACAAGGTATTACAAGGATAATCTTCTTTAATATGCACAGTAACATTTTAGCTAGATGATATTATAATCTCCACTTACAGATATGGAAACTGAGGCCCAGAAGGATTGTGAAACTAAAACTTAAGTGGTAGATGCAGAACCTATTTGGTTTTGCTGTAGAGCCTGCATGCTTTACCACTATTTCCCTATCTTTAGTGCTTTGCACAGGAACCAAAGAAGCACGTCTTTTAGGAAAGTCAAATCTTTTTACTCTATCCAACACTCTCTCCACTCCTATTCCCTCTTTTAATCTTACGGACACTTAATTTAGGAACCCTTTTCTTGAAATATCTGGAATCAATAGCCTGGCTCAGTCCAATATTTTAACAATTCAGTGTAGTCCACATACACTCAGGTGAATGAGTTTAATGTTAACAGTTTATTGAAAATAGAACAGATATACAGAAATGTGCATAAAACATGTATGTAGATTTTTAACAAATCGTTAGAAAAGAAATACCCATGTAACCACCAAGAAAGATCAGAAATCAAACACTAGGATGCCACAGAAGCCCTCTGTGGTTCTCTTTTTAATCAAAGCTCTTCTCTCACCCCCAGGCGGAACCACTAGCCTGACTTTTATAGGAATAGTTCCATGCTTTCTTTTAGTTTTTGATCATCTCTGTATGCAAGTCTAAGCAATATAGTTTAGGCTCACCTTTGTTTGAACTTTATATAAATGGATCCACACCGTAAATATTCTTTTTCTAAAAAAATCTTTATTGTGATATAGTGTACATCTTTAAAATTCATCCTTTGAAAGTGTACAATTCAATGGTTTTTAAATATATTCAGTTACATGACCATCATCACAATCAATTTTAGAACATTATCATCACCACAGAAAGAAACCCTGTACCTATTAGCAGTCACTCCCTTTTCCTTCCTACCCCCAACCCCTGGCAACCTCTAATCTACTTTCTATCTATGTGGATTTGTCTCTTCTGAATATTTCATATAAACAGAATCATACAATATGTGGCCTTTTGTGTGGCCATCTTTCACTTAGCATAGTGTTTCCAGGGTTCACCCATGATGTAGCATGTAAAAGCACTTCTTTCCTTTTATCCATTCATTAATTGATGGACATTTGAGTGGTTTCCCCTTTTCGGTTATTAATAATGACACTATGCACATTAGTATACAAGTTTTTGTGGCCGGGCACAGTGGCTCACGCCTGTAATCCCAGCACTTTGGGAGGCCAAGGCGGGCAGATCACGAGGTCAGGAGATTGAGACCATCCTGGCTAACACGGTGAAACCCTGTCTCTACTAAAAAATACAAAAAATTAGCTGGGCGTGGTGGCAGGCACCTGTAGTCCCAGCTACTCAGGAGGCTGAGGCAGGAGAATGGCGTGAATCCGGGAGGCGGAGCTTGCAGTGAGCCGAGATCACGCCACTGTACTCCAGCCTGGGCGACAGAGCGAGACGCAATCTCAAAAAAAAAAAAAGTTTTTGTATGGACATAGGTTTTCATTTCTTTTGGGTATTCACCTGGGAATAGAATTGCTGGGTCATATAGTAATTCTATATTTAACCTTTTGAGGAAATTTCCAAACTATTTTCCAAAGTGACTGCACCATTTTACATTCCTGTGAGCAATATTTCAGGATTCCAATTTCTCCATATCCTTGCTAACACTTGTTATTATCTGTCTTTTTAATTATAGCCATCCTAGTAGGTATAAAATGGTATCCAATTGTGGTTTTCGTTTGCATTTCCCTGATGACCAAATAATGTTGAGCATCTTTTCATTGGCCATTTGTATATCATATATATTCCCTGGAGAAATGTTTACTCAGATCCTTTGTCCATTTTAAAATTAAGTTGTCTTTTTATTGTTGAGTTGTAAAACTATATATACTAGATAAAGATCCTTCATCAGATATATAATTTCCCTATACTTTCTTTCATTCTGTGGATTGTCTTTTCCCCTTCCTGACAGTGTCTTTTTTTTTTTTTTTTTAAACTAGGTCTGGCTTTGTTGCCCAAGCTGGAGTGCAGTGGCGTGATCTTGGCTCACTGCAACCTCTGCCTCTCAGGCTCAAGCCATCCTCCTACCTCAGCCTCCCGAGTAGCTGGGATTACAAGCACATGCCACCGTGCTGGCTAATTTTTGTATTTTTTGTAGAGACGGGTTTCACCATGTTGGCCAGGCTGGTCTTGAACTCGTGAGCTCAAGCAATCCACACCCTTGGCCTCCCAAATTGCTGGGATTACAAGTGTGAGCCACCATGCCCGGCCCTGACAGTGTCTTTTGATGCACAAAAATTTTAAATTTTGTGAGCCGAGATCGTGCCACTGCACTCCAGCCTGGGCAACAGAGTGAGACTCTGTCTCAAAAAAAAAAAAAAAATTAAATTTTGATGAAGTCTAGTTTTTCTGTTTGTTGTTGTTGTTGTTGTTGCTTATACTTTGGTGTCATATCTAAGAATGCTTTGCCTAACTCAAAGACACAAACATTTACTTCTATGACTTCTTAGAGTTTTTATAATTTTAGCTTTTATACTTAGGTCTATGATTCATTTTGAGTTAATTTTTGTACATGGTGTGAGGTGGTAGTCCAAATTCATTCTTTGCTTGTGACATCCATTTGTCCCTGCACCATTTGTTGAACAGACTTTTGTTTCCCCATTGAATGGTCTTGTCATCCTTGTCAAAAATTAACTGACCATAAATGTATGAGTTTATTTTTGGACTCTCAATTCTATTCCACTGATCTATATACTATCCTTATTCCAGGACCACACGATTTTGATTACTGCAGCTTTGTAGTAGGTTTTGAAATTGGGAAGTGTCAGTTCTCCAACTCTGTTTTTCTTTTTCAAGATTGTTTTGACTATTCTGGGTTTCCTGCATTTCTTTCTTTCTTTCTTTTTTTTTTTTTTTTGAGACGGGGTCTCACTCTGTCACCCAGGTTGGAGTGCAGTGGTGTGATCTTTGCTCACTACAACCTCTGCCTCTCGGGTTCAAGCCATCCTCCCATCTCAGCCTCCTGTGTAGCTGGGACTACAGGCTCAGGCTTGCACCACCATGCCTGGCTAGTTTTTGTATTTTTAATAGAGACAGGGTTTCACCATGTTACCCAGGCTGGTCTCAAATTCCTGGGCTCAAGTGATCCGCCCACCTCGGCTTCCCAAAGTGCTGGGATTAGAGGTATGAGTCACCACACCCGGCTCCCTGTATTTCTGTGTGAATTTTAGGATCAGTTTCTCAGTTTCTACAAAGAAGCCAGCTGAAATTATGCTAGACATAACATTGAATCTACAGATCAATCTGTAGATTGCCATTTTATCAATATTTGGCCCTCTAAACCAGGATGATCAAATGTCTTTCATTTATTTATATCTTTAATTTCCCTCCACAATGTTTTGCAATTTTTAGTGTAAGCTTTACACTTCATTTGTTAAATTTATTCATAAGTATTTTTGATGTTATTGTAAATGGAATTGTTTCCTTAATTTCATTTCCAGATTGTTCATTGCTAGTGTATAGAAATACAATTAAATTTTGTATAACAATCTTGTATTTTACAATCTTGTTGAACTCATCTATTAGTTCTCATAGTTTTTCAATGGTGTCCTTAGAATTTTCCATGTACAAAATGATGTCATCGTTCAATTCCCACCTATGAGTGAGAACATGCGGTGTCTGGTTTTTTGTCCTTGCGATAGTTTGCTGAGAATGATGGTTTCCAGCTTCATGTAAATGACGAGTTAATGGGTGCAGCACAGCAACATGGCACATGTATACATATGTAACAAACCTGCATGTTGTGCACATGTACCCTAGAACTTAAAGTATAATAAAAAATGATGTCATCTATGAATACAGATGGTTTTATTTCTTCCTTTCCAATCTGGATGTCGTTTATTTCTTTTTTATCTTGTCTAATTTCCCAGGCTAGAACCCCTAATACAATGTTAAATGGAAGTGGCAAGAGAGGACATTCTTGACATGTTATAACATTGCTTTCTATTTCACTAATTTCTATTTATCATATTATCGTTTTTAAATTTTATTGGGCTTATTTTGTTTGTTTTCTTACATCTTGAGATGGACAATTCATTAACTCATTAACTCGTGGATTTTCATCATTGCTTACAGATACAAGGGTGGGTTTTTTTGTTTTGTTTTGTTTTGTTTTAGAGACAGGGTCTGGCTATGTTGCCCAGGTTCATGTGATCTTCCTGTCTCAGCCTCCTGAGTAGCAGGGACTACAGGTATGCAGCACTGTACCGAGCTCCCACAATTTTTGATATGAGTATTTCCATTATTGTTCAGCAAAAAATATTTTTAATTTCACTATCATTGTTCTTTGACTCATCAGTTATTTTAGAGTATGTGTCTTGGTTTCCAAACATACTGACATTTTCCAGTTATCTTTTTATTATTGGTTTGTAACTTACTTGCATTGCAATCAGATTTTAATTCTTTGAAATTTGTTGAGGCCTGCTTTCTGGCCTAACATATGGTCAAATTTTTTTTTTTTTTTTGAGACAGAGTCTTGCTCTGTCGCCCAGGCTGGAGTGCAGTGGCATGATCTCGGCTCACTGCAAGCTCCACCTCCCAGGTTCACGCCATTCTCCTGCCTCAGCCTTCCGAGTAGCTGGGACTACAGGTGACCGCCACCACGCCTGGCTAAATTTTTGTATTTTTAGTAGAGATGGGGTTTCACCGTGTTAGCTAGGATGGTCTTGATCTCCTGACCTCATGATCCGCCCGCCTCGGCCTCCCAAAGTGGGTCAAATTTTATAAGGGTGTTGTATGTGTATTCTGTAGTTGTTGGCTGTGGTGTGGTGTTCTATATATTGGCTATTAGTTCATTATTAATAACATTGTTCAAAAATTCTATATCCTTAGAGGCATTTTTTGTCTCCTTGATCAACTACTGAGAGAGGTGTGGTAACACTTTCCATTCTAATTTTATATTTGCTTATTTCTCCTTTAGTAAATTAATTTTCCTTTATATATTTCAAGGCTTTGTTATCAGCATAATCATTCAAATTTGCTAAACTTCCCGGTGAGTTGGAACTTTTATCATAATAAAATAACCTTCTATATCTCTCGTAATGCTTTTTGCTTTTAAGTATATTTTGCCTGCTATGAATATAGCTATACAAGTTTTCTATCTGTTATATATTATTTGCATGATTTTTCTGTCTCCATGTTTTTACTATCAACCTATGTGTACCCTTATATTTTGGATTTGTCTCTTTTAAACAGCATGTAGTTGTGTTTATTAATCCCATTTGACATTATTTTTTAACTTGAGCCTTTAGCTTTTAAAATCTTTTATGTTTTGTAATTTTAAAAATCCTTTTATTGATACATACTATTTATACATATTTATGGGATACATGTGACCTTTTGATACATGAATACAATATTTAATGATCCAGGGTAATTAGGATACCTATCACCTTGAACATTTGTCATTTCTTTGTGTTGGGAACATTTCAAATCTTCTCCTCTAGCTATTTTGAAATATACAACATATTGTTTTTAACTATGGCCACCCTATTGTGCTATTGAACACTATAACATATTATTTTAATGTAAGTCATTAACTAATCTCTCTTCAACCCTCCCCACAACACACACCCTTCCCAGCCTCTGGTAACAATCATTCTACTCTCTAACTCCGTGAGATACACTTTTTTAGCCCCCACAGATGAGTGAGAACGTGCAATTTTTATCTTTCTGTGCCTGGCTTATTTCAGTTAACGTAATGACTTCCAGTTCCATACATGTTGCTGCAAATGATAGGATTTTATTCTTTTTTATGGCTGAATAGTATTCCATTGTGTATATATACTCCATTTTCTTTATC
Organism: Homo sapiens; assembly: GCF_000001405.40. Lineage (NCBI taxonomy): Eukaryota > Metazoa > Chordata > Mammalia > Primates > Hominidae > Homo > Homo sapiens. The sequence continues at coordinate 118,819,660 of NC_000023.11, forward strand.
CATTCATCCATTGATGGACATTTAGGTTGATTCCATATCTTGGCTATTGTGAATAGTGCTATAATAAACCTGGGGGTGCAGGTATTCATTCAATACACTAATTTCATTTCCTTTGGCTATATATCATATGATTTCTGGATGGTATGATAGCTCTATTTTTTGTTTTCTGAGGAACCTCCAAACTGCTCTCCATAGTGGCTGTACTAATTTACATTCTCAGCAACAGTGTATAAGAGTTTTCTTTTCTCTGCATCCTGGCCAGAATTTTTAATTTTTATCTTTTGATAATAGCCATGCTAACTGGGGTCACTGTGGTTTAGATTTGCATTTCCCTGATGATTAGTTGAGCATTTTTTTCATATATTTCTTGGCCATTTGTATGTCTTTGAGAAATGTCTATTCAGATCCTTTGCCCACTTTTAAATGGGATTACTTGGGGTTTTTGATGTTGTGGATCATAAACATTTAATAAAATTATTCATATATTTGGGTTTAAAGCTTAATTTTATTTTGTGCTTTTATTTGTCCCATTTATATTTCTTTCTTGATTTAAAAAAAATTGAAAATTTTGTGTTGATTATTCAACTTTTTCCCCTCCCTACTATTGATAGCTTGGAAATTTACATCCTGTTACTATTATTTTAATAGTCACATACTATTAATTACTAGATATATAATTACCTTATCAGAATATAAATTTAATAAATACCTAAATAACTTCCAATACGATACCAGGCCCTTAGAAAAGTTGAAATCCATTTAAGCCCCTCCTGACGTTTTTTCTGATTGTATGATACATTAAGTTTATTTTTTAAAAAGAAGAATAGATGTTTTTCTGATTTCTTCTTCTGCCAATGTTCTCTTACATTGCCCACGTACTACCACTTCCTTTGCTCTTCATTCCTTCCTGTATTTATTTCTTTTAAGGTCATGTTCCTCCTGAAGTACATACTTCAGAATTTCCATTAGCTTGGTTTGCTGGTTACAAACTCTCTGTTTTGTTTGTCTAAAAATAACTATTTTATCCTCTTTTTGAAAACTTTTTTGAGTGATGCTGCCCTTAGAATGCCAGGTTAATATGTGCAGCATCTCCCATAAGCACCCCCATCCAGTCTTTGATATCCCTGAGCCGAAGCCCGAGTTTGAAGTGACCATATGCTCTCAGAAACCTTGGTGAAATAACAATGCCTATCTGAATAGGTTTGATGAGACACTTACATGAGATAAGGATGGAAAATTCCTGGCACAGAGGTTGAAGGCAACTAAAGGGAGTTATTCTTTCAACTGAAGGCATTGGCTCTGAATCTTAAGGATTTTAAGGGTTTTTTGTGTGTGTGTTTTTGTTTTGTTTTGTTTTGCAATTGGAAAATGAAATGTGGCCTCCTTAGAACCACCAGAGCTAGAATTCTTGTAATTGGAAGCCCCCTTACCCCCAACCCCTCTCCTATAATATGAGGCCAGAGATAAGGTATGCTCTGTATCCAACTGGAGCCAGTTTAGCAAATGCTCCTCCAAGCCCTATATGAAGAGACCTCCGCTTGGTTCTGATGATGCAACCCAGGCAACTTTACACAATCAAAATTTTTTGCACAGCTCTGAGACACAGTCTTTGTCCTTTCTGATGCCACCAGGTCCAACTGCAGAACACCTGATTTGGCGATGAAGCCAATTTAAATGTAGAACACGATTCTGCTTAGAGGCCAGGGTCAGATGTCATAGTATTGGGGAGCAGAAGCAAGAGTCTGAAGAAAACCCCTAAGCTATTGCCAGCATCACCCCCGACTGTGTGAAGTAAGCAACCTGCCTTCTCTGCACCTCCAAAATCCTCCACCCACCACCACCACCATTCCAGTGTTCCATCCACAAGAGAAAGGTCATGCCCCTGAGATGAAGGTGCTTTGTCTTTAAATGTAGATTGTTTACTCCAAGGAATTCTAGGTATTGGAGTTGGAAATAAGAAGGCAGAAAGAAGCAGGTAAAGTACCTTGGCAGGCTGAAGCTGAAATTAACAGCAGCTGAAAAGCATCAGACTGTTCACTCACTTCCAAACATCAGGAGTCAAGAACAAGCAACTCCTTTGCACTTGGGCAGTCCAAGTGCACTTGGTCTTGACCCCCCAAAGTTCCCACAGGAGTCTCTTAACCACACTTTACATGAGAGAAGGAAGGCTTGCTTTCCCAGAACCAGAAGTAAGGGAAAATGGAGTGCTGCAGGCTGAATTATGTTCCCCCAAATTCATTGTAATCCTAACCCTCAGTACCTTAGAGTGTGACTGTATTTAAAGATAGGGCCTTTAAAGAGGTTATTAAGGTAAAAATGAGGCCCTTAGGGTGGGCCCCAATCTGACTTGTGTCCTTATAAGAAGAGGAAATTTGGACACACTGAGAGAACCCAGAGGCACATATGCACAGAGAGGATGGCCAAGCAAGAGGGCAGCCATGTGCAAGCCAAGGAGAGAAGCCTCAGGAGAAACCAACCTTGCTGGCACCTTGAAGTTGGACTTCCCAACCTTCAGAACTATGAGCAATACATTTCTGTTGTTTATAAACCACCCAGTCTATGGTATTTTGCCATAGCACCCCAAACAGACTAAAACAGCACTGTAACAAATTATCACAAACTTGGCTTAAAACAAGAGAAGTTTAATTTCTCACAGTTCTAGAAGCCAGAAGCTTAACATCTGTTTCTCTGGGCTGAATTCAAGGTGTCAGTAGGACTGTGCTTTATTCCTTGCCTCTTCCAGTTTCTGGTGGCTGCTAGCATTCCTCTGCTTATGGCCACATCACTAATCTCTGGTCATTGCCTTCTCTTCTTGGTGCACCAACTCTCCCTCTTTTATAAGGGCACTTGTGGTTTAGATTTCAGCCTGCCTGGAAAATTAAGTCAAAAAGCCTTAACTTAATCACACCTGCAAAGACCATTTTACTTTATAAGGTAACATTTACAGGTTTCAGGGATTAGGACTTGATACATTTGGGTGGCCATTATTTAGCTTCATACAGAGTCCGAAATCTTTGCATACAATTTCAGGAAGATCATGGATTCCAGGTAGGCACATCTGCTCTGGAGTTGCATTTCACCACAGATACCTGTGGACAGATATTGGAGACAGGCTCATTTACTTATTCACAAACCTTGCTACAACTCAGAACCAACCGCAGCGCCGGTTAAAAATACTAAATACAAAACCACATCACAACCGCTAGTCCTAGTAAATCTGAATCCACCAGAGTTGGGGCCCAGAGCCTACATTTCTTTTCTTTTCCTTTTTTTTTTTTTTTTTTTTTTTTTTTTTTTTTTTTTGAGAGGGAGTCTTGTTCCCTTGCCAGGCTGAAGTGCAGCGGTGCGATCTTGGTTCACTGCAACCTCCGCCTCCCAGGTTGGAGAGATTCTCTAGCCTCAGCCTCCCAAGTAGCTGGGATTACAGGCACGCGCCATCATGCCCAGCTGATTTTTTTTTTTTTTTTTGTCTTTTTAGTAGAGACGGGGTTTCAACATGTTGGCCAGGATGGTCTCGATCTCTTGACCTCGTGAGCCGCCCGCCTCGGCCTCCCAAAGTGCTGGGATTTCAGGCGTGAGCCACCATTCCCGGCCAGAAGACTGCATTTCTAACAAGCTCCCCCAAATGACTCTGATGTCTTGCCCCCATACTTGAATGGGTATTGGTTGAGAGCCTTGTTCTCCAGCTCTCCTCTCTGTTAAATGGACATACTGCTACTTCTTTCACAGTAAAAGAGGAGATGTGTGTGAAAGCCTGTTTCCGCAATGCACGTGCTAATGCTCTTCCCGCCCCTTCCCCTCTTCCCCGTCTTTTCCCTATACCAAGGTGAAGAACTTTTATTATTCACTTGATTTTGGACCCACTTCGTGTTTAATGCACCTGGCCTAAGATGCAGAGTTGAGCCCAGGGAGAAGGGACGGGTTGGGGGAGGAAGAAAGAGTCGCAAATTCCCAGGCAGATTGGCTCCATCGGTCTAATCAAGCTGCACTTGACGCTCCGCGGGCCTGCTGCGCCCCCGCCCCCTCAGGCGAAAACTCGCCTCTGCCCAAGGCTGTGCGGGGCGTCCGCCCCCGCACTTCGCTGATTGGCCGCACTAGCCCGCTCGTCACGCTCTTTTGTCTCAGCTGGCAGAGGATAAAAGCCGCCGCGGCTGCCTTAGGAACGGCGCTGCCTCGTCTCTGCTACCCCTGGTTGGGCGGCCCTGCGAAGCAGCTCCTTCGGGCAGCCCCGGGTCGCTTAGCGGCCAAGGAGGCTTCAGTTCTTTGCCGCCTGCAAGGCGGAGACCAGAAGGCGGAATCCACAGCTGGCGACGCGGGAGCATCTGCTGTCCACCAGCGGAGCACAGGTAAAGAATGGGGGTGTGATTGCCCGGCGGGGAGAGGGGTGGGGGAAGACCCACCAGTACTGGGCGGCTCCCAGCTTGGAGAATCGGTGACTGTGAGGCAGGGGTAGGAGTACTCTCGTGGCCCGGCTGCGCTGAGGGAGGAGGTGGGGTTCACCTGGATACTGCGGGCTAGGTAGGATTTGCCTGGATTTGGGGGTGGGAGGAGAGGCGAGGAGTAGCGGGGGGAGGAATCTCGAGCTGTTTGCTTCGAACATCCTTTGCATCTCCTCATCTCTTTCTGGGAGGAATATGTGGGTGGGTGTGTCCAACTCCTATTCCCTTTCTCCGTGGCAGGCCATCAAAGCCGCATCTGAACTTGAATTCTGTGCAGCTGATTGCAGAGCTGGTAGGCCGACGGCTTCCCGGGGGAAATGTAATGCTGGAGGGTGGGGGGCTGGTCTCTGGCTTATAGTCAGGAGGGGGCAGAGAGAATTTTTCGCCTGGCAACAGCGGAGGTGGTGGGTAGCAGGATGACGGGTGAAGCTGCTTCTAACCCTTCCCTTCTCTGGCCTTCTCCGCTGTGGCGCAATCTTGAAACCTCAAGGACCCGGATCTGCGACCCCCTGTGGACAGAGGTTGACCGTACCCCGGAGAGGAGCTTTCTCACGGAGGGCACTGGTTGCAGAGGCTGGAAGTGAAATAAAGACGCGCTCTTGTTTCAGAGTTCGTGTAAGAATCTGAGAAATAACAAGGGGGACGGGCGTGGGGGGCACTTTGAGAAGGGGGTGTGGTTGAGACCAGAGACCATGAGGTTAATGAGATCTTATTTTATTTCCACAAATCTGCGATCATTGTACTCTATTTGGAGAGCCCAATATCAGCTCCAGACACTGCTACACCTAGAATTTGAAGCAACAGTTACCGTCCCTCTTGGAGGACTGGTGGGAGGGATGGATGTGGCTGCAAAAAGCACCTTGCTAGCACGCAGGCATCGGGTAGCTCTGGGAGGTTGTAAGTGTCAATCTCCTACAGGATTATTTTTAGGGTAGTGGGCAAATATAAAATGTACTGCAGGATATTCAGGTAGGAAGAGAATGCAGCTGCAGCCCGCTCCCTTATTAACCAGCCCCCCTTTCTTTTTTACAGCCCCTGCTGAGATAGGAAGGCAGAGCCACCTCCTCTCCTCTCCCACCTGCAGATTAAGCTTTTCTAAAAAGCCTAGGCATCTTCTTATATTCAGATACCCTATCGTCGTCAGTCATGGCTAGCATCATTGCACGTGTCGGTAACAGCCGGCGGCTGAATGCACCCTTGCCGCCTTGGGCCCATTCCATGCTGAGGTCCCTGGGGAGAAGTCTCGGTCCTATAATGGCCAGCATGGCAGACAGAAACATGAAGTTGTTCTCGGGGAGGGTGGTGCCAGCCCAAGGGGAAGAAACCTTTGAAAACTGGCTGACCCAAGTCAATGGCGTCCTGCCAGATTGGAATATGTCTGAGGAGGAAAAGCTCAAGCGCTTGATGAAAACCCTTAGGGGCCCTGCCCGCGAGGTCATGCGTGTGCTTCAGGCGACCAACCCTAACCTAAGTGTGGCAGATTTCTTGCGAGCCATGAAATTGGTGTTTGGGGAGTCTGAAAGCAGTGTGACTGCCCATGGTAAATTTTTTAACACCCTACAAGCTCAAGGGGAGAAAGCCTCCCTTTATGTGATCCGTTTAGAGGTGCAGCTCCAGAACGCTATTCAGGCAGGCATTATAGCTGAGAAAGATGCAAACCGGACTCGCTTGCAGCAGCTCCTTTTAGGCGGTGAGCTGAGTAGGGACCTCCGACTCAGACTTAAGGATTTTCTCAGGATGTATGCAAATGAGCAGGAGCGGCTTCCCAACTTTCTGGAGTTAATCAGAATGGTAAGGGAGGAAGAGGATTGGGATGATGCTTTTATTAAACGGAAGCGTCCAAAAAGGTCTGAGTCAATGGTGGAGAGGGCAGTCAGCCCTGTGGCATTTCAGGGCTCCCCACCGATAGTGATCGGCAGTGCTGACTGCAATGTGATAGAGATAGATGATACCCTCGACGACTCCGATGAGGATGTGATCCTGGTGGAGTCTCAGGACCCTCCACTTCCATCCTGGGGTGCCCCTCCCCTCAGAGACAGGGCCAGACCTCAGGATGAAGTGCTGGTCATTGATTCCCCCCACAATTCCAGGGCTCAGTTTCCTTCCACCAGTGGTGGTTCTGGCTATAAGAATAACGGTCCTGGGGAGATGCGTAGAGCCAGGAAGCGAAAACACACAATCCGCTGTTCGTATTGTGGTGAGGAAGGCCACTCAAAAGAAACCTGTGACAACGAGAGTGACAAGGCCCAGGTTTTTGAGAATTTGATCATCACTCTCCAGGAGCTGACCCATACTGAGATGGAGAGGTCAAGAGTGGCCCCTGGCGAATACAATGACTTCTCTGAGCCACTGTAAGGGACCACCCCCAGGTTTCAGTGAACCCTTACCTATATTCAGCATCCAGTAGTGGGAAAACTGGGGTGGGGGTGGGGGTGGGACTTCTAACTGCATGAATTAATCCACAAAGCGGCTATCTTTTGGGGTGGAGTAGAAAGGGTCTTGGATACCAGCACATTGGAGGGAGATAGCCTGACCTCTGTCCTTGCTCCTTCTCCCTGCAGCCTACGGGTCTGTTTTCTGTGTGTGCCCATTTCCTTGACAGCTTTATTCTTTGTGAAAGTGGTATAATTTATTGTTAAATATTTGAACAATAAAAAAGGTACAAAAAGTGAAGTACAAATTACCCAAATCTCTCCACCCTTATATAATCATTGTCAACCCTTTGATGAGTGATATTTCCCTATACCTATGTACCCAGATAGATATATGCATAGATAAAAGTGATGAAATATAAGTGCTGTTCTATCTGTATTTTTTCACCAAACAATATATGTTGTGAGCTTCTATGTCAATAAATATATATATCAGCATCTGCCTTAATGTGTCTGTGCTGTTAGGAAGAATTTTTAAAAAAGAAAATATAGTAAAAAACTGTAAAGGGGGGTTGTACTCTGAGGTGGGATTTTTAACCGCATTTTGCAAATGAAAAAAAATAAATGGGCTGAGATACTTCCCAAAGGTAAAAGGACAGAGCCCCCTTACCACAACTAACCTGTCCCTTCGCTCAGAGAGCCAAATTGTGACACCCACTTGTTGACAAAACACCAGTGCTTTCTTCTCTGATATACCCAGGAGACTGATGGGGGATGGGGGAGTCCGGTGCTGAGGTAATAGCCCAATATGGGGATTCCAGGGGCTCCATTTCTGTTCACTTTGGGGATGGGCAGTTCTTCATCTGGGCAGATTCCTTAGATTGTTGTTGCTGTTGCTGCCTCTGGACAACGTCCTGGTCACAACAAGGAATCTCTCCTGTGGGCTGACACCACCTTCTGCCCCCTCCCCAGTTAAGGAAAAGAGAGAGCAGCCACTCATGGGAGCTCAGCATTAGCAGGCTCAACTCCTGACGGCGCCAGAGCCTCCCCTATAAACTCTGAAGCTATGCGCTGGAGGCCACCGGCAGCCCACGGACTCCAAGTTAGCTTGGGAGACACGAAAAGCAATATATTTGCTGGAGCACGTGAAGGAACATGGGAATCGGAAAGCCAGGAAGCCCTGCACTCTATGTGAGCAGAGCCAAGGGCATCCATAGGAGAGGGAGAGAAAAGAGGGACCACCTCCTCATCTCATCCTGGAGGGCGATAGAAGAGGACTCGCGTGTGACCTCAGGCCCCAAAGGTCCCTATGTTTCTTGTAGGTGCCTAGGTCCCTATTTTTGCGAGCAGGACAAGGCTGGGGAATGGGGTGGAGGTGGTTGCACTTAAGGCAGAGGTCGAGTGTGAAATGAATATGCAGATTTGGGACCCTCAGGGAGTCTGCCCTGCCGGAAATAGGGGCTCCACGGAGCTGAGAGGATAGAGTATGAAGCAGTGAGTGCTGGTGTGTCGAGGAGAAGCACAGGGCTCGATGGGCGGGAGAGAGGAGAGAGTGCTGTGACCAGTCAATTCACAACTTCATTGACTGGGACAGGGAGCCTCGGAGATATCATAGACCCTAGGGTTTCAAACTCGTCTCTGGGCTGTGTTGTACCAGAAATGGCTCCGGTTGAAGGTCCCATGGAGGGGTATTGGGGTTCTGATTATGTTGGCAGTTGATGGTCCACTCCGTGGGGACAAAGGGGGTTCAGTCTGAGGCCCCAAGGAAGGAGTGGTAGCCAGGCACTACAAGAAGTGTTCCCTGGGCTGCCATGCCAAGAATCTGGCGTGAAGTGCTTCTCTTTCTAGAAACAGGCTCTCAGCTACTCCCTGGCTTATTGCCCCTGCTCCACTCATGACCCCACCATTTGACCTTATAACCACCAGCCCACTGCCCTCCTGGAGCCACGTACAGCTGCTGGTGGAGGGTGTGGAGCTCAGTCTCCTGGGCTCTGCCCAGTCTCCCTTCCCTCCTCCCCACAGCATTCAACATTTACCTTAAGCCTCAGCCTCCTTTACCCTCCTGGCCAAAAGGAGACTGGGAGGGCCCTTCTGCCTCTAACTCTTTTTATTTGAGACAGAGTCTTGCTCTGTCTCCCAGGCTGGAGTGCTGTGGCACGATATCGGCTCATCACAACCTCCACCTCCCAGGTTCAAGCGATTCTTCTGCCTCAGCCTCCCAACTAGCTGGTATTATAGGCAAACGCCATTGTGCCTGGCTAATTTTTGTAGTTTTAGTAGAGACGGGGTTTCACCGTGTTGGCCAGGCTGGTCTTGAACTCCTAACCTCAGGTGATCCACCCGCCTCAGCCTCCCAAAGAGTTGGGATTACAGGTGTGAGCCACCGTGCCAGGCCTCAGCTTCTGACCTTTTAGCTTAAGAAAAACTGGGTCAGGAGCAAAGACTCAAGAGGGCCACTCCTTGCATCCTTCTGGGGCATCTCTGGGCCCCTGGCAGCAATCTCAGTCTCTCCAGAGCCAAGAGGGACCACTTGTGCACCCCCAGACAGGTGGCAGCTCCACTCAGGCCCCCAAAGCCAAAGAGGCCCCCAACATTCTCCAGCTTGCATAGAGTTTAACCCTTAATTCCTCCCTAAATCTACTCCTGGGTGATATCTACCCTTCTCATCTAGTACAGATTCGAATATTGTTCCATTTCCTGTTCACGTTTTTTGGTTTTACTCTATAAACACTTGTTGAGTGATTTGTCCAAAGACACAGATTATGCTGCTATTTCTTTCTATTACCAGGGGGAGTAGAAAAATGAATAAATCCTATCCATACCACTACTTCCCTTTCACTGGAGTGAGCTTGGATGTTCAGTATAGACCACTGCTTTCACTGCTTTGAAAACCTATTTTGTGACTCATTCCCTTTCATCCTCGCCCCCTCCCCTTTTTTTTTAAACTCTGACACTGGCTTTTAGTTTATTCAAGAAATATGCATTCTTCCTAATTGGATACCTGGGCATTCAGATCAGATGAATAGAGTTACCTAAAAGGCTTTTAGAGAATTTTGTGTCGGATAGCCTTCATTTAAAGATATGGGCTTATTTTCTTCCTTTCTGCCTTCATTCTCATTGGTCGCTAAGAGATGAGAAATTGCTATTTCATCTTGTCAGAAGAAACCAGTCTCTGAGTGCCCTTTTACACAATCTCCCCGCTTCCTGGCATCTTGTCCCTCCGTTTCCATGACATCCCCCCTCACAGTTCCCGCTTCCTGACCTTTTGATGCCCACTTCTCGGTCTCCTTTGCTGAATCTTCTTCTTCTTCTTCCTGATCCTTCCATAATAATGATACAATAAACATCATTAAAATTTTTATTTTTTTTGAGACACAGTCTCGCTCTGTTGCCCACGCTGGAGTGCAGTGGTGCAATCACAGCTCACTGCAGCCTTGACCTTCCCGGCTCAAGCAATTCTCCCATCTCCCAAATAACTGGGACCACAGGTGCATGCTACCATGCCCGGCTAATTTTTTAATTTTCAGTAGAGACAGGGTTTTGCCATGTTTCCCAAGCTAGAAAATTGCTATTTTTAAGAGCTTATTGTGTGCCAAACATCCTGTATCAGGCTCTTTGAAGGCGTTGGTTCCTTGAATCCTCATCTTAACCCCATATGGTATTGCCATTTTTACATATTTTAGATGAGGAAATAAACTGGAACATTAAGCAGCTCACCTAGGGTCGGGCAGCTAGTTAGTGGTAGAGCCAAAGGTCACATTCCTGGGGACTGGCTCCAAAGCATATAATTCTTTTTTTTTCTTTTCTTTTTCTTTTTCTTTCTTTCTTTTTTTTTTTTTTTTTGAGATGGGGTCTCACTCTGTCGCTCAGGCTGGAGTGCAATGGTGCAATCTCGGCTCACTGCAAGCTCCGACTCCTGGGTTCACACCATTCTCCTGCCTCAGCCTCCCGAGCAGCTGGGACTACAGGCACCCGCCACCATGCCTGGCTAATTTTATTTTATTTATTTTATTTTTTGTATTTTTAGTAGAGACGAGTTTTCACCATGTTAGCCAGGATGGTCTCGATCTCCTGACCTCGTGATCCGTTCGCCTCAGCCTCCCAAAGTGCTGGGATTACAGGCGTGAGCCACCGCACCTGGCCCAAAGCCTATGCTTCTTACATGTCTCCCATGTTCACAGCACCCTATCATGTAGGTGTTATTATCTGCATGTGACACGAAACAAAATTGAGGTTTGTAAAAATTCAGGATAATAAGGCCTGCCTTTCCAGGTGTGCCCTTTATATGAGTGATTAACATAGGGTTGGTCCATTGTAGACTCCCACAGACTCTCAAGAAATGGCAGCTACTGGACATCTGCTGAAATGCATTACTCTGCTACTGAAGGAAGGGCAGGAAAAGTTAAATGCTGTCCATGCCATGCATACAGTGCTTATTCAGTGTTAATCTGATGATATGACAGTCTGGTTTCAGGAGCTACACTGAGCTTGGCCCCTGACAGGAGTCCTTTACAATTCAGGTGACCCTGAAATCCTGCCACTGCCAGAGTTCTCAGGGGCAGGATAAAAGGAGGCAGCGAGACTAGCTCTGGGTCTTGAGTTATCATCCTGGCAGGAAATATGTATGGATCCTTAGCTGCAGCAGCTCATTGCAGACCAGAGCTGACAACTTAGGTTGGCCTCACACACATTCTTCTTCCAGATATGTAACATGTTCATCATCTCCATTTTACAGACTAGGACATTGAGGCACACATAGTTATTGTCACTTGCCTAAGATTACACAGATAGTAAGGGTTGGGGCTGGAATTGAACTTCAGATCTGCCTCTCCCCAGAGCCAGAAGTCTTTACAGTTATACTATAAAGTCCTTCCTAATGGGTACAATATATCTGATCATTCTATCGGTTGCATCCTGGGAACCAATTTCTAATTGCCATACTCACGACCAAAAGCCTGCACAGTAACATAGCCTTGGTCTCATTTCTTTTATTAAACAAGACGGAAAAAAAAAGATCAGTTTAGGAAAGCTCCTTCTTAGAGCCTGTAACTATCTTCTCTTCATATTTATTTTTATATACAATTTCTGGGATAAGATACTAAAAATAACAAACTGTTGATGAGGATGTGGACAAGCAGTCTCTCTCCCACACTGCTGGTAGGACTGAGGATTGAGGCATTCTTGCTGGAAGGCTGACCAGGAAATGCATCAAAGGTTGAAATATAAAAATCCCTGGATCCAACAGCTGCTGAAATTGATGCTGAGAACATAGCTGGACAAGTGTAAAAAATTTTTATGAACAAAGATGTTTACCCTAGTTTATTTTGTGTAATAGTGGAAAACTGGAAACAAGTTAAAAGACCATAAGTAAAACTTGGGTGAATAAATTAGGCTTCATACTTGCAAGACAACGCTCTGCATTTCAAGCTCTCGGTGTGCCTTCAGATCATTGAGTCTAATTGGAAAAATTAAATGTGGCCGCTCTAAAAACGGGCTTAAAACCCCAGGCCATCTGTGTTCTCTCTGACCCCCAGTGTGCTGCTCCATCAGTCTGGAACTCTTTTCACCTGGCAAAACCCTTGTCAAACTTCAAGTATCCTCTCATCTGGCACTCCCTCGGGCCAGCTTGCCCTGACCCTGCTAAAGCTCATTCCCCGAATCTTAGGTAGCATTTATCATTGTGTTGTAATTGCTTGTATAACTAGCTGTCTTCCCCACTAGGCTTTTATCCTCCCAAGCCTAGTACAATGTTGTTGGGGCATCTTGACACAGACTTCAGGCACGTTCCCACCTCACCAGTTTGCACTGGTTGTTCTCATTGTTCCTCCAAATAGCCCTGTGCCTTAATCATTCCCCATGTTCCTGTATTTGCTCAAATGCCATCTTCTCATTGAAGCTGACCCTGAACATCCCATTTAAAACAGCACATCTGATCATCAGCACTCCGATTCTCTCTTGCCTGCTCTATTTTTCCATCACATGCCTTTCTTCTAGTATACTACATAATTTACTGAGTTATATTGTACATTGATGTCTCTCCCCACCAGACTCAACGACAGCAGGCATTCTAGTTAACTGCAGCATCACCAGCTCCTGGAACACTCCCTGGAACAGAGCTCATTCTCAGTAAATATTTGTGGCTGGAATGAACAAAGTGCCTGGCACACAGTAGGCCCTCAGTGAATGCCAGCTTTTGTTACTGCCTCCTACCTGGAACAAGTGCTGCCAGAAAGGAGACAGTCAATGAGAGAATAGTGCACATTGCTGAGCCACCACCCACCTAGCCGATGAAATCACAAACCTGGAAGACATTCTATATCCATTGCTTGGTTTTCACTTCCCCAGGGTATCACTTATTAGATGGACCATTCACTCCTAGCATGGCAGAAAGTGGGAAATGGGTTTCTTTGTAGCTTCATCTATGTCACATTATCAAACTTTGGGTTTAAGAGTTTCAAATCCCCAGGCCGGGCATGGTGGTTCACGCCTGTAATCCCAGCACTTTGGGAGGCCCAGGCAGGTGGATCACGAGGTCAGGAGATCGAGACCATCCTGGCTAACACAGTGAAACCCCGTCTCCACTAAAAATACAAAAAATCAGCCAGGCATGGTGGCGGGCAACTGTAGTCCTAGCTACGCAGGAGGCCAAGGCAGGAGAATGGCATGAACCTGGGAGGCAGAGCTTGCAGTGAGACGAAATTGCGCCACTGTACTCCAGCCTGGGCGACAGAGTGAGACTCCGTCTCATTAAAAAAAAAAAAAAAAAAAAAAAAAAAGAGTTTCAAATCCCTAATCATCCCAAGTGCATTTGTTTTGTAATCCCATGGGCATTTGCAAGATGCCCCAACAACATTGTGCTAGTCATAGGGGATATAAGCCTGATAATAACTCATAGGTCCTGAAGCTAAACTGCCCAGATCTGAAGCCCAGTCTCAGCATTTACTAGTTGTGATCCCAGTCAAGGTATTTACCCTCTCTGTGCTTCAGTTGCCTCTCTCTAAAATGGGGACAATAACAGTACCTATCTTAGAGAGTAGTTGTAAGAAATAAGCAAGTTACTATATGTGAAACACATATTACAATGTCTGGAAACAGGCAAGAGCTCTATAAATGTTAACTATCATAAGCCATTAGTATTTAACAAATATGAATGCCTATAGGCACGAGTTTGAGGAATGAAAAAGAGGGAAGTGGAGACATTAAATTTATATTTTTCTTTACCCAACTCATGAAATATGGGGAGATCAGAGACAGGTTAATATAGCTAAAGAGAACCGCGGGGTCAATTCAAGCATTACACTTCCTTTATCAACCCCCATTTCCTGGAAAGTTGCCCAGTCCTTCCTTTTCTGCTCCTATGTAGACTTTTACCATAATACATATAAAACTGTCACAAAGGCCGGGTGCAGTGGCTCACGCCTGTAATCCCAGCACTTTGGGAGGCTGAGGTGGGTGGATCACCTGAGGTCAGGACTTCAAGACCAGCCTGGCCAACATGGTGAAACCTGTCTCTACTAAAAATACAAAAAATTAGCTGGGCGTGGTGGTGGGTGCCTGTAACTCCAGCTACTTGGGAGGCTGAGGCAGGAGAATTGCTTGAACCCAGGAGGTGGAGGTTGCAGTGAGCTGAGATCGTGCCATTGAGCTTCAGCCTGGGCAACAAGAGCGAAACTCCGTCTCAAAAAAAAAAAAAACAAAAAACAAAAACCTGTCACAAACATGTTTGTTTTGTTATTTACTCATGTGTTTAATATCCACAACATTCGTGTTTTACATGTCTTTTCTCTATCCTAGAATCCAGGCTCTTTGAGTGCTGGGGCTGTGTCTTATTTGTCTTTATAAAAGGATTTCTTTGTTAGTGCTTTATTTTTAGAATATGTTCACATGCTTAGAGTAAGGAAAACCACTAAAGAGAGAAAGACAAGGAATTGGCTAAATTCCTTAAAAATATGAAACTACCCAGGTTTGGGGATAGTAACTGACCAGGAGGGCTTTTTTTTTTTTTTGAGACAGTGTCTCGCTCTGGAGCCCAGGATGGAGTGCAGTGGCACGCAATCATGGCTCACTGCAGCCTCGACTTCCCAGGCTCAGGTGATTCTCCCACCTTTGCCTCCTGAGTAGCTGGGACCACGGGCATGTGCCACCACACCCAACTAATCTTTGTATTTTTGGGGTAGAGACAGGGTTTTACCATGTTGCCCTGGCTGGTCTCAAACTCCTGGACTCAAGCGACCTGTCCACCTCGGCCTCCCAAAGTGCTGGGATTAAAAGTGTGAGCCACTGCACCCGGCCCATTTTATCATTTGACTGGGGCTTTGGGAAAGTATGAAGAGGTTAAGAAGGGAAGTTAAGGAAAACCATAGCTAGTAGTCCCAACTTCCTCTATAAATTTTAACACAAGACATCTCCGAGAGACTATGCTTAATTGGGGGAGTAGAATTTGTTGAAGTCTCCTTGCATGTGCCTAACTTCAATTCCTTTTCATGAACATTTTCACCATCTGTTGCAATTTCCCTGCAGTTTACTATTCTCTTTCAAAAAGCAGTACTATACAGAGTATTCCAGATGTCATCAGATCCATATAGTGGGACTACCACCTTCTTCAATCGAACATTGGTCAAATGGAAATAATAGTCTCGATCACATAGTGTTGTAAAAATTAAATGAAAAATTTAAAAAAGAAAATAACTGTCTTGAAAAATATGGGTATATTGGGTACTCTTTGCTATTTTCCTTCTATTAAGGAACAAACAAGAGTGATAATAGGACCGGGCATGCTTGCTCAGGCCTGTAATCCCAGCAGTTTGGGAGGCCAAGGCACACAGATCACTTGAGGTCAGGAGTTTGAGACCAGTCTGGCCAACATGGTGAAACCCTGTCTCTACTAAAAAAAAAAAAAAAAAAAAAAAAAAATTAGTACGACTGTAATCCTAGCTACTTGGGAGGCTGAGGCAGGAGAATCATTTGAACCTGGGAGGCAGAGGTTGCAGTGAGCTGAGATCGTGCCACTGCACTCCAGCCTGAGTGACAGCCTAAGACCCCGTCTCAATAAAAAAAAGATAATAATAAATGATTTTCAATCACTATGTATTGAACATGTCAATAATATAGTAAGAATTCTTAATCCCATTTAAGAGAATATCAATGAGTCTCAGCAAAAGATAGTAACAGGACTAAGGTCATACAGTCAGTAAGTGAATGGTAAGTTGGGCGGCTCCAAAGCCTGTGAACTTTCCATCACATATTTTAAGTAAAAATATTGACATTGCTTAGAAAAACTGTATCATAATGGAAGATTAGTTCTTGGGGCAGGAGAAATAAGCAGATATGAATATTTGACCAATTTCCTATTCATCAAGACAAAGCTGTTTGAAAAACTATAAGTAAAGGAACTTAAATTTTACTAGTTGGAACATGATAGAGGTTTTTTTTTTTTTTCTTTTTTTTTGAGATGGAGTCTTGCTCTGTCACCCAGGCTGGAGTGCAGTGGAGCGATCTGGGCTCACTGCAAGCTCTGCCTTCCGGGTTCACGCCATTCTCCTGCCTTAGCCTCCAGAGTAGCTGGGACTACAGGCACCTACCACGACGCCTGGCTAATTTTTTGTATCTTTAGTAGGGACGGGGTTTCACCGTGTTAGCCGGGATGGTCTCGATCTCCTGACCTTGTGATCCGCCCTCCTTGGCCTCCCGAAGTGCTGGGATTACAGGCGTGAGCCACCGCGTCTGACCAGAGGTTGGTTTTAAATATCCTGGATGGACCAAGATCTAATTTTGGCTCAGGAAAATATAATTTAAGGTAGAATCTTGGGGCTGGTTATGGTGGTTCATGCCTATAATCCCAGCACTTTGGGAGGCTGAGGCAGAAGGATTGCTTGAGCCCAGGAGTTCAAGGCCAGCCTGTGAAATATAGTGAGACACATCTCTACAAAAAACTTAAAAATTAGCCCGGCATGGCGATGTATGCCTGTGATCTCAGCTACTTGTAAGGGCTGAAGCGGGAGAATAGCTTGAGCCCAGGAGGTCAAGGCTACAGTGAGCCGTGATCATGCCACTGCACTTTGGTTTGGGCAACAGAGTGGGACCCTGTCTCAAAAAAAAAAAAAAAGATTCTTGGCCAAGTGCAGTGGCTTATGATTGTAATCTCAACACTTTGGGAGGTCCAGGCAGGAGAATTACATGAGGCCAGGAGTTCGAGGTTGCAGTGAATTGTGATGGTGTCTGAGCCTGGGCAATGAGACTGTCTCTAAAAACAAAACAAAACAAAACAAAAAAACAAAAAACAGAAAAGAAATGTAAATTTTTTCCTTCTCTGTGTGCCAGAATGTTTGTAAAACTATTTCATTTATTAAATTATTTTAGGTTTGTTACAAAAGTTGAATATTTAGAGTGTCACAAAATTATGTAAAATACAGTTAATACTTAAATAATCATAAAAGTATACAGTAAAAGAAAAAATAAATCATAGGTAAACACTGAATATTTTGGGATATTTCTTTTATTTCTTTTTTATTTTTTGAAGACAGGGTCTGGCTCTGTCACCCAGGCTGGAGTGTAGTGGCACCGTCTCAGCTCACTGCAACCTCTGCCTCCTGAGCTCAAGCCATCCTCACAACTCAGCCTCCCAAGTAGCTGGGACTTTAGGCGTGTGCCACCACACCTGGTTAATTTTTGCATTTTTAGTAGAGATGGGGTCTTACCATGTTGCCCAGGCTGATCTTAAACTCCTGGACTCAAGAGATCCTCCCACCTTGGCCTCCCAAGGTGCTGAGATTAGAGGTGTGAGCCACCATGCCCAACCTGGCATATTTCTTTTAAATCTTTTTTCTAACCCTGTGAATGTAGATACATGTATAATTTACTTTATTGGGATTGTACTCTCTAAAAAGGGAGTTTTACATATGAAGTATTTATAAAATTGTTTTTGTTCTTTTTCTAATGACAAATGTGATAATTTTGAGAGCAAAATTAAAGATTATTTGTCAAAAAAGAGGAGTAAAGGGGTAAAGCCTGAGCAAATATAAAAACATACTAATAAAAAAACTATAATAAACACTGTGTTGTTACTGGCTGACAAATATCCATCATAAATTGTAATAAATATGACTCTTTTCCTAGAAAAAGCAAGAGAATTGATGGAAACACAGCTGAAAATAAAACAATGAGGGACAATAACATAAAACTGAATGACTTAGGAGAAGAAAATGATACTACTCTTTTGAGTGCACCTGTTAGAAGATTTGAATGAATGGAGAAAACTCAAGCTTAGCTGGAGGGTGGTAGGCCTGGTGGCTGGGGTAAAGAGGAAGATATCACCATAAAATCATCCAGGCCCCAGCCACATCATAGGCCAACCTCACCATTACAATGCAGGGACCCCCTGCTCCAATAGGCTTGCCAGTATGTGAAGTAGTTCACTGGGAATGAAACAAGTGTGAGGCCCGGCTTGGTGGCTCAAGCCTGTAATCCCAGCACTTTGGGAGGCCGAGGCGGGTGGATCACTTGAGGTCACGAGTTCAAGACCAGCCTGGACAACATGGTGAGACCTCGTCTCTACTAAAAAATACAAAAAGTAGCCGGGTGTGGCACGTGTCTGTAATCCCAGGTACTCAGGAGGCTGAGGCAGGAGAATCACTTGAACATGGGAGGCGGAGGTTGCAGTTAGCCAAGATCATGCCGCTGCACTCCAGCCTGGGTGACAGCGAGACTCCATTTCAAAAAAAAGAAAAATCGTGCAAATGCTTGGCTAATTATTCCAACACCATTAATTGAATAAGTGGGAGGATCACTTGAGGCCAGTAGTTGGAGAGCAACCTGGGCAACATAGCAAGACCCCATCTTTAAAACAATAAAAAATCAAATGCTCGCTCCCCATATATCACCAATGCACCTGATGATATGACGAAGTGCATTTATTGCTTCCCTCACTACGGGAGAACACCACTTCGTGAAGCTTTAGCGGTGCTTCAGACAGGAAAAGAAAGATCAGAATTTATTGAGAAATGAAAAATGGGCTTAAGGCGGTGAGTCTTTCAATGCTGGGATTTGATTGGGATTGGGTAAGAACCACGAGATACCAACATTCTAGGATTGGTGTAAGCAGCAAGAGGAGGATTTTAATGAGAGGCATTCAAAAAATTTTAGAGTGCAAACTGTTGGTGCTGTCCATTGACGAGTTGATGGGCCTTTGCAGAAGATCCTGTAATGCAGAAACTATTCGCCTGCAGAGAACGTCCTGGAAAAGTAATGCGAATGAAGACAGTGGATTAGCAAAGTCCTTTTTATGTAGATGCTACAGTGGGGTTTTTGATTCTCAGTGTCCAGGCCGAGTTTGGGGATAGATGGTTTTAATTCCCATATACATACATTTTTAATGGACAATTCACCTTAGGCACGTGTTTATTTTATGGTGTCAAAATCCTTTCATTTCTCGAAGGTGTTTACTGAGACCTGAGTTAGTTGCTAAACTAGCTGGTTTAAAGCTAAACAAGTAGCTTAAACCTGTCTGCTAAAACCTTCAGGTGGATTATTTCATTTGCTCCTCACAAACACCTGTGAATCCTCACAAACACTTCACCATTATTGTCCCTATTTTATAGAAGAGGAGAATGAGACTCAGAAGTAATAATTAGCTCACAATCTCGGGGCTACAAATACATGTTTTCAGGAGCATCAGCAAAACCCTCTTAATCAAACAAACAAACATAAACTCCAAAACCCTGCCTTATTCTTCTGTTTTTGCACAAGGAGCTGGAATCCAGGTTCAAGATAATTATCTGGCCATTCTGTCTTCTTAGAGGTCCTTTTCCCTTTCGGGGGAAGGGAGGAAAGGGTGGAAGCGGCTTCCACCCACTCCAGTTCGGGCTTGGGTCAGCTCCCTGGGCTTCGCGGAGCACGCCCTGGTGCCACCGGCGGGGCCATTTCCGCCGCGGGGGCCCAGACAGCGCCGCCGGCTCGCGTAGGGTCCAGCGGACCGGCAGGCTCGCCCTCGCGGTGCCAGCTCTGCTCTCTTCTGGTCACCAGGGGGCGCCAGAAGCAATGGTGCATCCCGAAAGGGACGGCGGCCACGTGACAGGGGGGTCACGCGCAGGGTCGTAGGGGACCGCCTGGGGATCCCCGGACGGCTGCGAGGAATGAGCGGTTGGCTCGGGCTGGTTTCCTCCCTCCACCGCCTGCTTGTTTCGCCATGCCCGGGCCGGACGGTGGGGCTGCAGCGGCGAAAGCGACTGAAGTCCGGGAGCAGTCGCATGAGCTTCCCGGTCACCAGGAGGCCCCGGGAACAGACACCTCACCCTGACATTGTGGCAGGTTTGGCCCTTCCCGCAATGCAACAAAGGAGGGACTTTGTCCCAGCCTTTCCCCTAGCCAGGAGAGGTGCTGTTAAATCCCTTTGTGCCTCCCCACCGGCCTTGGAGAGATGAGATTTCCCCTGTAGTACCCCAGGGGACGGGCCGACGGGATGGACTTTGTATCTTTTGGCTGATCTGGCCGGACATCCTTGCCCAATAAGCACTTACCCAGTTGCCCACCCTCCAAAAAAAGGAGAAAATCAAATCAGTAATTTGATCGATCATTTTCATAGATATGCTGTAATAGAACAATTCACCTGGTTGTGAACTGGGCTGGGGAGTTTCAAGACGTGAGTTTGTTAACTGACTAGTTTCTTGCTTGGTGTAGAGGCCTTAGGCACTCTCACACTTAAACCAGCAGAAAGGCCAGGGAGTATCTAGACTACACACTGGGGTCACTCAACTGGAAACACGTTGTACACCTCAAGACATCGTACAATTTCTCAGACTGAGATGCTGGCTGTGATGTCTATGCAGCACAGCCCCAAGTCCCAACTGACAGAAATGTCTCAGAAACTTAATTCACCACGGTCTTTTTTTTTTTTTTTTTGAGACAGAGTCTTGCTCTGTCGCCCAGGCTGGAGTGCAATGGCGCGATCTCGGCTCACTGCAACCTCTGTCTCCTGGGTTCAAGCAATTCTCCCGCCTCAGCCTCCTGAGTAGCTGGGATTACAGGCGCCCGCCACGACACCCGGCTAGTTTTTGTATTTTTTAGTAGATATGGGGTTTCACCATGTTCGCCAGGCTAGTCTTGAACTCCTGACCTCAAGTAATCCGCCCATCTTGGCCTCTCAAAGTGCTGGGATTACAGGCGTGAGCCACATGCCTGGCCTCACCACGGTTTTATTTTTGTTTTTGTTTTTTTTTGTTTTTGTTTTTGTTTTTTCTTGAGACGGTCTCACTCTGTCGCCCAGGCTGGAGTGCAGTGGCACGATCTCGGCTCACTGCAACCTCTGCCTCCTGGGTTCAATCAGTTCTCCTGTCTCCAACTCCCGAGTAGCTGGAATTACAGGCATGCCACCACCATGCCCAGCTAATTTTTGTATTTTTAGTAGAGACGGGGTTTCACCATGTTGGCTAGGCTGGTCTCGAACTCCTGACCACAGGTGATCTACCCGCCTTGGCCTCCCAAAGTGCTGGGATTACAGGCGTGAACCACTACCAGCAGCCTCACCACAGTTCTTAATAGAAGTAGTCTATTTGAGGAAAAACAGTTAATTTATAAAGAAACTGAATAATGTAATAAATTGAGGAATTTTTTCCCAGCCTTGTACTTTTTATACCATCAAATCCACTGACTTTAAGTGTACAGTTTAAAAAATAAATTTAGCCAGGAGCGGTAGTGCACACCTGTAGTCCCAGCTACTTGGGGGCTGAGGTGGGAGGATCACTTGAGCCAGGGAGGTTGAGGCTGCAGTGAGCTGTGATTGTGCCACTGCACTCCAGTCTGGGTGACAGAGCAAGACCCTGTCTCAAAACTAAACAAATAAATAAAAATAAATTTATGGAGTTGTGCAACCATCACCACAA
Organism: Homo sapiens; assembly: GCF_000001405.40. Taxonomy (NCBI): domain Eukaryota; kingdom Metazoa; phylum Chordata; class Mammalia; order Primates; family Hominidae; genus Homo; species Homo sapiens. Next base: position 118,841,347 of record NC_000023.11, read on the forward strand.
TACAGTTTTAGGACATTTTCCCTATCCCCCACGAATTCCCAGAAGCAGTTTGCAGTTAATCTCCTCTCTCATGTTTAGCCCTAGGCAACCATTTGTCTGCTTTCTGTCTGTATATAGTTGCTTTTTCTGGACATTTCACATGAATGGACTCATACAATATGTGGCCTTTTGTGTCTGGGTTCTTTCACTTAACATGATGTTTTCAAGGTTCATCCATTTTGTAACATTATCAATACTCCCTTCCTTTTTCTGGCTAAATAATATTACATTGATGGATATACCATATTTTGTTTTTCCACTCATCAGTTGATAAACATTTGAGTTGTTTCCACTTTTTGGTTGTTATGAATAATTCTGTGAATATTCGTATACAAGTTTTTGTGTGGACATGTTTTGGGTTCTCTTGGGTATATACCTAGGAGTGGAATTGCTGGGTTTTATAAAGTAACTGTATGTTTAACTTTTTAGGAACTTCTGGATTGCTTTCCAAAGTGGCTGCACTGTTTTCTATCCCCACTGGTAAATGTATGAGGATTTCTATTTCTCCACATCCTTACCAATACTTTCTTGTCTGTCTTTTTGATTAGTGTCTCATTGTGATGTTAATTTGCCTAGATTGAGTGACTTTTGGTTGTATTTGGTTTAGCTAGTTTCACTTCATTTAATGAATGCCTTTTTTAGTGTTATAAAAATTAGGAGCTGAAATGAATAATACATAGTCCTTCCTTGCAAGGAGCTCATAGTTCCTTCAGGAAGACAGACAACAAAACAATGACAGTATAGCTTGTTAAGTGCTCTGAAGGGAGTTGAGGACAAGATGCTCTGGGGAGCAGAGAAGAGGAACACTTAACCCTGCTTGAAGGCGGGTGGAGGAAAGTATTAAGGAAACCTTTTACAGAAGAGGAACACTTAACCCTGCTTGAAGGCGGGTGGAGGAAAGTATTAAGGAAACCTTTTCCAGAAGAGGACTTAATGTGCCTCTCGTTTTCTTTTGTTTATTTTAATCAAAATTATACAAGTACATACTGTAGGTTTTTTATTTGTTTTGAAACAGCATCTCGCTCTGTCACCCAGGTTGGAGTACAGTGGCGCGTGCAATCACAGCTCACTGCAGCCTCAACCTTCAAGCAATCTTCTCACCTCAGCCTCCCAAATACCTGGGACTACAGGTGCACACCACCATGGCTGGCTAATTTTTAAATGTTGTGTAGAGACAGGGTTTCACAGCCAGGCGCAGTGGCTCACGCCTGTAATCCCAGCACTTTGGGAGGCTGAGGTGGACAGATCACCTGAGGTCAGGAGCTAGAGACCAGCCTGGCAAACATGGCGAAACCTCATCTCTACTAAAAATACAAAAATTAGCTGGGCGTGGTGGCATGCACCTGTAATCCCAGCTACTCAGGAGGCTGAGGCAGGAGAATCGTTTGAACCCAGGAGGTGGAGGTTGCAATGAGCTGAGATCGCATCACTGCATTCCAGCCTGGGTGACAGAGCAAGACTCCATCTCAAAAAAAAAAAAAAAAAAAGAAAAAGACAAAAAAAAGACAGGGTTTTGCCATGTTGCCCAGGCTGATCTTGAACTCCTAGGCTCAAGCGATCCTCCCATCTCAGCCTCCCAAAGTGCTAGGATTACAGGTATCATACTGTAGTTTTTAAAAATCAAATAGTTCTACAAGATTTGCTTTTTTTAAAAAATGAATCATTTGCTTTCCTTCCCATTCCATGTTGCCCCCAAAAGCAACCACTTTCTATTCTTTTAAGTCTTTGAATATTTACCTGTATATCTTTAAAGAGCATATTTATATTTGAGAAAAAGAAGCCCCAACATAGGCCAATTAATATCCTCACTTGCACTGATTTTTAAATTGGTCAGCCCTATTAAATATTAACACATAGTTAGTTATGAAAGTGACGGTCACAATGCAGCCTACCTTCTGTCCATCTAAATGAAAGAAGACAGGCATGCTCAACAGTTAGCTACTAGAATAACTGAAGTAACACAATACATACTTTTAAAAAATGTGGGCTGGGCGCGGTGGTTCACGCCTGTAATCCCAGCACTTTGGGAGGCCGAGGTGTGTGGATCACCTGAGGTCAGGAGTTGGAGACCAGCCTGGCCAACATAGGCGAAACACCATCTCTACTAAAAATACAAAAAGTAGCCAGGCGTGTGCCTGTAGTCCCAGCTACTTGGGAGGCTGAGGCAGGAGAATCGCTTGAACCTGGGAGGTGGAGGTTGCAGTGAGCTGAGATCACACCACTGCACTCCAGCCTGGGCGACAAAAAAAAAAAAAAAAAAGTGGCTGAGGAATTGTTTTTCTCATTGGTGCTTTACTATCATATAGCTCCAATAAGCCAGCACCCAAATGTAACTGTCAATTATGAGGAATGTTATTTTCACTTAAACTTTAAAAGAAAAGCAAACCACAAACAAGCTGCATGATGTAGTATAGGAATTAGCAATCTATGACCTGTGAGCTAAGAATGTGTTTTCAGATGAATAGTGACAACAAATTTGATGATAGGGAACACTAATTTTCAACCCTAATGAAGCAAAATATTATTTTTCTATTCTAACCTTTTCATTAGTAGAACTGTATTATAAAACCTTATAGTCAATTGTTATTACTTTTTAAATTTCATTAATTAAAAATTTGTACAATTTTGTTTTCTCTCATTATGTAAATACTTATATAATATCCTCGATCTTGCTTCTTGGTTCATAAATTCTAAATTATTAATTCTCTGACCTTCACAGAAAAGCTTGCTAACTCCTGGTTTAATAGAATAAAAAGGGCTGGGCGCGGTGACTCACGCCTGTAATCCTAGCACTTTGGGAGGCTGAGGTGGGCGGATCACGAGGTCAAGAGATTGAGACCATCCTGGCCAACATGGTGATCAAAAGATCGAGACCATCCTGGCCAACATGGTGAAACCCCGTCTCTGCTAAAAATACAAAAATTAGCTGGGCATGGTGGCGTGCACCTGTAGTCCCAGCTACTTAGGAGACTGAGGCAGGAGAATTGCTTGAACCCGGGAGGCAGAGGTTGCAGTGAGCTGAGATTGTACCACTCGCAGTGAGCTGAGATTGTACCACTCTACCCCAGCCTGGCAACAGAACGAGACTCCATCTCAAAAAAAAAAAAAAAAAAAAAAAGGTATGGAAAGCAATTGACATGTACTTGCTGTGTGACCTTGGGAAGTCACTTTATGTCTCTGGTCTTTATTTTTATTATCTATAAAATGGAGCTAAAGGGTAATGGGTTGATGAGATAAACTCTACCATGAATCCCCCAGTTTTTGATTAATTAATTATACAAGTATTTATTGAGTTACTGTTATGTACCAAGAACTGTTAAATGCATTGGGAATACAGCATGAAACAAAATTTTTGTCCTGAAAGAAGACACTGTTCTCAATGAAAAGAGACTTAAGATGCAGTGTGTGGTCTGAGATTGGATCATGATTTAAACAAACTTGCTTAATGGGACATTTTTGGGAAAATTAGGGAAATTTGTATATGGATGGTTATTAGATGATGTGAAAACTTTTTAAGATGAAATGGTGGAGGTCATTAACTGAAAAGGGCAGTTGTAAAACATTTTGTACAGTATTTCATTTTTGGAAGAAAATGCGTATATGTATTACATATACTTAGAAAAAATATCTGAAAAGATATATACTAAGCTGTTAATGGTGATTTCTGTGTGATGGGAACACAATGTTCTATTTAGTTATTTTTGCTTTCAAATTTTTCACAATGAATATACACTGCTTTTGTAAAAATAAAAGATTGTTTCTAATTTAAAAAATAATCTCTCTTTTCACAAAGCTTATAGCTAATGCCTCTTGTAAGTATTCATATTGCCAATTTGTCACTTTTTTTTTTTTCAGGGCAGGAAAACATCTAAGAAAGGAGGCTCCCCCCTTCCCTTGCAGGTAACAAAGTATCGGGGTGATCTCTGTGAAATAGCTACTGAATGTAAACTGATGCTACTGGCATTCCTCTGGGACTTTTACTGATAAGTAGAGCTTTCATAGTCTTCCCAATTTCAGATGACTCGAGATTGAATTTCTTTTTCTTTCCTTCCTTCCTTCCTTCCTTCCTTCCTTCCTTCCTTCCTTCCTTCCTTCCTTCCTCTCTCTCTCTTTCTTTTTTTTTTTTTGACCGAGTCTCGCTCTGTCGCCCAGGCTGGAGTGCAGTGGCACGATCTCGGCTCACTACAACCTCTGCCTCCCAGGTTCAAACGATTCTCCTGCCTCAGCCTCCCGAGTAGCTAGGATTATAGGCACCCACCATCGTGCCTGGATAATTTTTGTATTTTTAGTAGAGATGAGGTTTCACCATGTTGGCCAGGCTGGTCTTGAACTCCTGACCTCAGGTGATCTGCCCGCCTTGGCCTCCCAAAGTGTTGGGATTACAGGCATGAGCCACTGCACCTGGTCTAGATTGGATTTCTTATCTTGCAAAGCCAAGGTGAAGTCCAGACCATGAAAAAGCAGAAAATGTATCAAGATAAATACTACCTTGTGAGCCCTATCAATAGTCCTACCAATAGCTTTCTGATATTGGAGGCTTTCAAATGAGATTTTTTTTTTTTAGGGTTACCAGCAATTAAAAAGAAGTACTAGAGAGGCAAATATCGGCAGTATACATCTAAGCGCTGGTCGGAAAAGAAGGAACTCAGCCCAAGAACTTGCCCAATCTGATACTGGAGGTAGGTGTATCTCTGTTGCATCCATGAACGCATCAGGCTACCAAAGCCCGATGTGATTAAGCATTTGAATCGTGTAACTGCTTCTCTTATTGTAGGCCAGGAGTCAGCAAACTTCAGCATGTGGACCAAATCTGGTCTGCCATCTATTTTTGTAAATAAAGTTTTATTGTTTATTTGTTTATGTATTGTCTATTACTGCTTTTACCCTGTGATGGCAGAGTTGAGTAGTTGGCAACAGATACTGTATATGACCTACAAAGCCACAAATATTTACTATCTGTCCATTTATTTATTTATTTATTCATTCATTCATTCATGAGACAAGGTCTCGCTCTGTCACCCAGGCTGGAGTGCAGTGGAGTGATCACGGCTCACTGCAGCCTTGAACTCCTGGGCTCAAGCAATCTACCCACCTCATCCTCCCAAGTAGCTGGGACTACAGGTGCGCCCCACCATGCTCAGCTAATTTTAAAATATTTTGTAGAGATGGGGTCTTACTGTATTTCCCAGGCTGGTCTCAAACTCCTGGGCTCAAGCGATCCACCCGCCTCAGCCTCCCAAAGTGCTGGGATTACAGGTGTGAGCCACCATGCCCAGCCTATATGGCCCTTTAAATAAAAAGTTTGTGGACCCTTCTTCTAGATTCACCAGAAAACTGCCTCAGTACGCATGCCTGTGGGAGAGAATAACCACTTATATTATTTTCTTTTTTTTCCCTATACATTTAAGTAGTGTTCCTTTCATCCAACGGAAAATGAAGAAAGGGACTTTCTTTGGTCCCTGCCTGTGTTCACCTTTGCCAAGGACCTTTCTCTCATGAATCCCTCTCTGCTCTTTTCAAGGAGGGTTTCAGGTTCTGTGTTATCACCCAAATTGTGACCTTTACAAAGCCCCGCTGGTCTGCTTGGAATTTCACATGATGTGCCCTTCTCTAGATTTAGGTCTTTACATGTAGTACTTGCTTATTTAAATTTTATTTGCCTTTCAAGGTGCCACTCAAGAACCACTCCCTCCAAGATGTTTTCCTGGATTTCCTCAGCCTAAAGTAATCCCTCTTTTTCCTGGGTGAGTTATATCTTTTAGTTTATTTCTCTTGTTAGGCTCACGTTCACTGATTTACATCCATACTCATTGCTTTGTGCTTATTTGTATTTGTGAGTTACATTCTCTACCAGATTTTAAATTCCTTGAGGGTAGGTACATATGTTGTTCAACTTTTTTTTTTTTTTTTTGAGACAGATTCTCGCTCTGTTGCCCAGGCTGGAGTGCAGTGCACGATCTCAGCTCACTGCAACCTCCACTCCCCGGGTTCAAACAATTCTCGTGCCTCAGCCCCCCGAGTAGCTGGGATTATGGGTGCATGTCACCACGCCTGGCTAATTTTTTTTTAACAGTTTCTTCATGTTGGCCAGGCTGGTCTCAAACTCCTGACCTCAAGTGATCTGCCCGCCTTGGCCTCCCAAGATGCTGGGATTACAGGTGTGAGCCACTGCGCCCGGCCTTTTGTTCAACTTTAAATAAATTATTTTTTCCCCATCATCAGATGCAAAAGAGGTTCAACAATAAAATAAATTGGTAAGTTCCCCCATATACTTCAGATCTAATCTTTAGTTCTCCAATGTTTCCACTGAGGATTTTTCCTGTGAAATGCTGGAGTCACTTCCTTTGTCCGTAGTGATCCTTGTAATTTCAAGCACCAGGCTATGATTTTCTATTCCATTGCTTTGATGGAGTTACTTCCACTAGGGGGAGCTCCTTACTTTGCTATATAGTCAATTTCCTTCTCTTTAGGAGACAAAAGAAGGGAGACTTCCTCAGACAAAATGTCAAAACAATGGTAGGAAGTAGCAACTAAAAACATCTCCTGGGGCTTGACTAGGTCTCAGCACTAGCTGGCTCCTCAAATGCCATTTCACTTGTCATATTGCAATTTGGTATAATTCTGGCCCATGTGTCAAGATTTCCCCCTACCCAATCTACTTCATTCATTCCATTTACAAATACATATTGAGTACATACTTTGTGTCAGGTATTGCTGTAGATGCTGGGGCTTCATCTGTGAATAAAACAGACCAAGTCCCTGACTTTATGGAGCTTATATTCACATATGGGCAGCGGACAATAAGTGAGATGAATAAAGAAAATATACAGTCTAGTAGATAGTCTAGTAGATAGATATTTATCTAGTAGATAAATATAAAAGAAAAAAGCAATGCAGCATCTTGTAGGCTATTGTGAGAATTTTGAATGTGATGGGAAGCATTGGGGAATTTTGAGTAGGGGAGTGATGTGATCTGACTTACATTTTATAAGGATTGCTGTGGTTGTTTTGTGGAAAGTAATTTTTTTTTTTTTTGAGACGGAGTTTCGCTCTGTTGCCCAGGCTGGAGTGCAGTGGTGCGATCTTGGCTCACTGCAAGCTCCACCTCCCGGGTTCACGCCATTCTCCTGCCTCAGCCTCCCGAGTAGCTGGGACTACAGGCACCCACCACTACGCCCGGCTAATTTTTTGTATTTTTAGTAGAGACGGGGTTTCACCGTGTTAGCCAGGATGGTCTCCATCTCCTGACCTCGTGATCTGCCTGCCTCGGCCTCCCAAAGTGCTGGGATTGCAGGCGTGAGCCACCGCGCCCAGCCTGTGGAAAGTAAATTTTAAGGGGGCAAGCTTGGGTCAGGGGAGGAACAGTGGACTTGGGGAGAAGTTGTTGGATTTTGGATACATTTTGAAGGTAGAGCCAACTGGATTTGCTAACAGATCAGATGTAGGATGTAAGAGGAATCAAGGAAAGCAGGGTCACCATATGGCATAACACTAATAGCATTGACAAAAATGTGACTGGTGCCCCCTGGAGTTCTGTAACACAGCATCTCTGTCCAAGATGATGCCAAGTCTTTTGGCCTGAATGGTCGGAAAGATAGAGTTGCCACTAACTGCAATGGTGAAGACTGTCAGATGAACAGGGTTGGGAGTGTGTTGGAAGCTCAATTTTGGATATGTTTAATTTGAGCTGCCAGTTAGACATCTAAGTGGGGATGTTGAATAAGCTGTGGGATGTATGAACCTGGCATTCAGAGGAGTGGCCTGGGCCAAAGATAAACATTTTTGAGTCGTAGGCATCTACATAGTATTTAAGGTATGATATGGACGAAATCACCAAGGAGTGAGAAGGGTTAAAGAGAAGGAGACCAAGGACCAAGCCCTGAGACATCTCAACATTTAGAGTTTAGGAACGTAAAGAGGAACAAATAATGGAGGCTAAGAAAGACTGGCCAGAAGGTAGAAGGCAAACCAGAAGAGAATGGTATCCTGGAAGCCAAGTGAAGAAGGTGCTTCAAAGAAGAGAGAATGATCAACTGTGAAAAATACTTATGGTTGGCCAAGTAAGCTGAGGTCTGGGAAGTTTTGGTAGAATTTAACAACTTAGAGGTCACTAGTAGCCTTGATAAAAGCTGTTTCAGTGGACAAAAGCTTGATTAGAATGGTTCAAAAGGGAAAGAGAAGAGAAAAATTGTAGACAGGGAGTATAGACAAATCTTTTGAAGATTTTTGTTTTAAAGGTGAGCAGAGAAATGAGGCAGTAACTCAAATGGTTTGTGGGGTCAAGAGAGGGTGTTTTGAGTGGGAGAAATAATTGCAAGTTTGCTCTAGGAGTACTTAGCGACAGTTGAGTTCACTTGTACTTATTCACCTGCATTTCTTGGGGGTAGTACCCAGTAATCCTCAGGGAAGGTAGCTATCACAGGAGGGGATGTTGCCAATAGGTTTGAGTGGAATGAACTCTAAGGGAACCCATGGATGCCCTTTAATAAAACTGAATTCAGAACCTCTGCAGTTAGCAGAGCAGAGAGTATCTTAATGTATGGAAAAAATCAGGGCTGTGAGGTCTAGCTATCCCTCTCACCCACATGGTGATTCCAGCCTCCTTTGCCAACCTTGAAAGATCTGGCCTCAAGTTACACTAAAGAGAGTCTGAGGGTCTCCTTCCAGAAACATTATCTATTGTATGGAAGGGAGAGGAAAGGAAGTTCTTACAGGTGCTGTGAAGCTGACTAAAACCCCAGGGAGTGTTTCAACTAAGTGGGAAACTTGACATAAAGATTCACTGGTCATTTCCCGGTTCCTTGGTGAGAAGTGGCCTCAGCAGTAGAAGACAGTATAGCACTGGGCTTGTTTCTTAGCTTTGTACTTTAGTAGTGATGGCTTTGAAAACACATACAAGTTTTACTGGTCTCCATGTAGCATTTTGGTTTGAATTTTTTTAAATTACTTTTATGTTTTTGAGACACAGTCTCACTCTGTCACCCAGGCTGGAGTGCAGTGGTGTGATCTTGGCTCGCTGCAACCTCCACCTCCCGAATTCAAGCAGTTCTCCTGCCTCAGCTTCCCGAGTAGCTGGGACTACAGGCACCTGCTACCACGCCTGGCTGAGTTTTGTATTTTTAGTAGAGATGGGATTTTACCATGTTGGCCAGGCTGGTCTCAAACTCCTGACCTCAAGCAACCTGCCTGCCTCAGCCTCCCAAAGTGCTGGGATTACAGGTGTGAGCCACTGTGCCTGGCCTGAATTTCTTTCCTATTCTCATACCTTCAAGGCCCAGCTCATATGTTACCTGCTCTACAGAGCCTTCTTTGAGCTCCCTCTCTGGCAAAAATAATCATTTCCTCTCTGCATCTATAGTATTTTTTCTCTTTCTTTCTCTTAGCACATATCACATTGCGTTATGGTTGTGTGGTTGTAAACTGATGAGGCAGTAGAGTGTAATGATGAGAGCATGGGTTCTGGAGCTAGGCTGCTTGTATTCAAATGGTGGCTCTTGCAAGTTGCTTAACCTCCCTGAGCCTCAGTTTCTTATCTGTCTCATCTCAGTTTAATAATAACAATATGACTGGGATCTCATAATAGGGATTTTGTAAAGATTAAAGAGATTAACAATGTGAAGTACTTAGAACAGTGCCCAGCACATAGTAAGTGCTTAGTGACCTTTCGTTATTTGTTTCTCTTCTTGCTGAGGAATAAGACCATATATATATATTTTTTTTTATATGGAGTCTCACTGCTTGCCCAGGCTGGAGTGCAGTGGCGCGATCTGGGCTCACTGCAAGCTCCATCTCCCGGGTTCACACCATTCTTCTGCCTCAGCCTCCCGAGCAGCTGGGACTACAGGCGCCCGCCACCACTCCCAGCTAATTTTTTTTTTGTATTTTTAGTAGAGACGGGGTTTCACTGTGTTAGCCAGGATGGTCTCGATCTCCTGACCTCGTGATCCACCCGCCTCGGCCTCCCAAAGTGCTGGGATTACAGGCGTGAGCCACCGCGCCCCGCCAAATAAGACCATATTTTTATCTTTTATATATATATATATATTTATTATACTTTAAGTTCTAGAGTACATGTGCACAATGTGCAGGTTTGTTACATATGTATACATGTGCCATGTTGGTGTGCTGCACCCATTAACTCGTCATTTACATTAGGTACATCTCCTAAAGCTATCCCTCCCCCTCCCCACACCCCACAAAAGGCCCCGGTGTGTGATGTTCCCTTTCCTGTGTCTAAGTGTTCTCATTGTTCAATATAAACAGAACCAAATACCATATTTTTATCTTTGTACCACTGATGCTTAGCACTGGGCTTGGCAGAGAGTACTGGGTATCTACTTAATCAATTTTTGTGTGAATAAACCAGATTTCTAAATCAACTTCAGTTCTTCTTTAATAGTTTCATAGGTATATAGCCCTTTTATGAGATCACTCATTCATTCCTGTGTACCACTCTGTGTAGTAGTTAAGAATGAAGGTTCTGGAGCCTGATCACCCAGTTTGTATTGTTGTTTTGCCAGTTATTGGCTGGATGAGATTAGGCATGATATTTAACATCTCAGTGCCTCAGCTCTCTCACCTGGAAAATGAGGAGAAATATAGGACGTTAAACATAGAGTTTCTGAACACTCAAAAGTTAACTATAAGTATTATTAATCTTATCAGCAATTAAGCGACTTAATGAACACCTACAATGTTCCAGGAATTGTGCTAACAGTGGGGATGCAGAGATGAATAAGGCTTGGTCCCTGCTCTCAGAAATCCTATAAGCTAGTGAAGGAAACAAGTGTGATCAAATCAGTATGTATGGAGCCTAGCAGAAGATGGGATCAATTTAACAGGAGGGAACAGTAACAGGAAAAGGCAGGGTAGTAAGACTTTATAGAGGAGGGAATTCCTGAGCTTTGCATCTGTGGGTTGACAGTCCTGGGATATTAATGTCAAGTACATATTGAAATCCCTTTTGTGGTTTATCAGAGATGAGTTTTATAACAGATTTCTCCCATCAGATTTTCTTTTTTGTTTGTTTGTTTTTGTTTCACTGAAAGCATTTACCTGGAAGATTTTCTTAATAAGGCCACTTAACAAGAGGCCTCCAGACGGTGATGATCTCTGTCCTCACTTGGCAGCATGGTGACTGCACTGCCATGCAGCTCCTCCGTCTCACCTTGCCTTTTGAGAGATCTGGCTGGTTTTAGGAGCACTGTTACTGGATTCAACATTGCATCTAGACTTGAGAATTCTTTGTTCACATCTGGTTTGAAAAAGAATGTTTGAATGGCTTCTGTCTGTCCTGTTTGCTTGGAAACAGAAACAGGGCTAATTGTTTTATGGAACCCTCAATCTGCTATTTGAATGAATTTTATGATAAATGCATATAACCAAGACCAGTATTGATATTGCCTTCTAGTTTGGGGGCCTAAGAAAAATTTTAATCCTTCTCAGAAAATATGGAATTGTCATGTCAATAAATCTTGTCCAATGCCTAAAGAAAAAGCCTCACCCTGGCTGGGTGTGGTGGCTCACGCCTGTATTCCCAGCACTTTGGGAGGCTGAGGTGGGTGGATCACGAGGTCAGGAGTTCAAGACCAGCCTGGCCAAGATGGTGAAACCCCGTCTCTACTAAAAATACAAAAAAAAAAAAAAAATTAGCCAGGAGTGGTGGTGAGCACTTGTAATCCCAGCTACTCAGGAGGCTGAGGCAGAGAACTGCTTGAACCCGGGAGGCGGAGGTTGCAGTGAGCTGAGATCACGCCATTGCACTCCAGCCTGGGTGACAGAGTGAGACTCCGTCTCAAAAAAAAAAAAGCTTCACCCTGCCTTTTGAATCCCAGAGAACCTGTTCTGGGCCAACAATGCACCACCAGGCTTTCCCAAGTGCACCAAACATAGTTTTGAATAGTTTTCCTTGGGCAAAGCTCCTCTTTCCTTTTGAACTTCAGCCAGAGGGCCCTCACAGGCAGAAGACTAAATTTCAGATGCTTCTGTCTTGCCCTCTCCCTCCCTCTCAATAAATTTTCTGAAAAAGTTGGCATTTGGATTCTTCTTTTCCCACCCTAACAATCAGGCAGGAAGGAAGTAGAGAATAGCATATGTTCTAAGAAAAGGCTGGTGCCCCTTTCTAGCTCACCCTTTTAATAGAGGCCTCTTAGAGATGGTGGGACTGGAGCTACAATTAAATTTTTGAGATCAAAGACAGGGTGCAGATAGATGAAAATCTTAATGTCTTTTGTCTCTCAGAAAACCAATAGAGCCATCGAAGCTTGTCTAGTTCCCCCAAGTAGTTAATGAGAACAATAGAATTTTGAGTTCCTGGTGTTCTTTGGAGCTGATTTTGGCAAATGACAAGCAGTTTGTAAAAGGGCTTATTATTCGAGTAGAGCTTTGGCTGCCTGACTTTTAAGGTTGATTATTTGTTTTGCATGTTGTATAACAGGAGTGTTGGGCAATGCTCAGAAGAGGTTTTTGGGGTCAGAGATGTAAGGACTTCTCTGACTGTCTTCTCCCAACAGAACCAGATTCCAGCTGCGGAGCAAGAGGCAAGCTTGTACACAGGACCAAAGCCATGGCTTTTGTATAGCCCCTTACCACCAGACAGGCCTTTTCACTGGTTCCTTTAGGGGGAGAATATATCAAAATTTCTATCAAGTCAGTAACCCAAGAAAAATATTTCTCTGTGTATGTAATTTCTCAAACTTTCATTGGTGATGTGACCTGCTTTTTAAAGAAACATTTTTAAGGACATAGTTTGGTCTTTTGCAATAAACAGTTGTATATGGGGTCCCTGTCAGCTCAGTAAGTAGATGCTCTGAAAGGTAGAGCCTTCAACTGGTTATAGTGAAAAACAGCTAAGAGAGGTCTTCCCTCATTGGTGAAGAGTGCCAAGTGGATGTTGTCCCAGCCCTTTTGTTTTCAAGGTTTAAAGTGTTGTGCTTCCTGACCAGGTGCAGTGGCTCACACCTGTAATCCCAGAGCTTTGGGAGAATGAGGCAGGTGGATCACTTGAGGTCAGGAGTTCGAGACCAGCCTGGACAACATGGCAAAACCCTGTCTCCACCAAAAATACAAAAAAAAAATTAGCCAGGCGTGGTGGTGCACGCCTGTAATCCCAGCTACTGGGGAGGCTAAGGCAGGAGAATCTCTTGAACCCGGGGGACGGAGGTTGCAGTGAATGGAAATCGTGCCACTGCACTCCAGTCTGGGTGACAGAGTGAGACTCTGTCTCAAAAAATAAAAATAAAAAAATAAATGAAATGTTGTGCTTCCTATCTTATGCTGGACCTGCTGGCTCACTGAGAGATAGAGAGGCAAATATTAGACATTTTGGAGACAGTGAATGAAGGATGTTCCTCTCCCTCCTATTCTAAACTTTAAAAGTACACTGAGCCAGGGCCTACAAGAAATTGAGATTTTTTTTTTTTTTTTGAGATGGAATCTTGCTATGTTGCCAAAGCTGGACTTGAATTTCAAACAATCCTCCTGCTTCAGCCTCCCAAGTAGCTGGGACTACAGGTGCTTGCCACTATCAGATGGCTTTGATAAACAGAAACTTAGTTGTGTCTCCTTTTTTGTTTTTTAATGGGAACCTAATATATGAGGGAGTTCTGTGTATAAAGGCTATAAACTAGCATTTGTGTCCAGTGCCATCAGTAAAATGGGAAGTAGCAGAAGGAGATGATAGGTACCTAGGAAGAGATTTCATGAGCTATTCAATAAATTTTGGATGCTTTTTGATATTTGGAAGATGTGTGTCCTTAGGAGAGATGGCCTCTACACTTGAAGTTACTAATTCATGGCAAACCATTCTCCTTCAAAGACAAAGTTTTGCTGAAGAGAGTCTTGGGAAACATGAAATCTGATCATCCTGGTAGAGTTTGTGTCTCTAAAAGGAACTATACATTGTGGGTGTGAGTAGCTTAATTTCTTGCACTAAAGTCTCTGGCACCCTAAATGAAACACTGCTTTGGTGCCTATATTAATCACGATAGGCTAGACCGATACAGTGACAAATAGCAGAGGTTTATTTGTTGCTCACATAATGTTTGATATAGACTGGTTGGTCCTCTTCTGTCTTGTAGCTATACCATCTGGAACAGATGACTTCCAAGGACACCGTAGCAAAGAAAAAGAGAACTGGAAGCCCATGTGCCTTAATCGCTTCATCCTAGAGGTAACACAGAACTTCTGCATACATTTCATTGGCAGGAACTAATCACCTAACCCCAATTTAACCACAAGGAAGACTGGGATATGTAGAGGCATAGCTAGTAGATTTCACGTCTATTAACAGTCTCTGCTATACCCCCTCAGTACCAACTGACCACTAACTTCCCACCCCACTCACCAGGAATGTATAGCTGCTGATGATTTTCGAATTCGGTAAGAGACTGGATTGTGAATATCAGACCACCTCTTCAGTCTAACAGACAGTGCTTGTTTTACCTAAGGTGAGGAGACAGCACAGGCAGTACTCACTTGTTTGTCAGTTACAGTCCTTTTCCTCTCCCTCTCTCATTACTCACCATGAAACACACATTGTCCCTTCTACTTCTGTCCCAAGCGTCACACTCATAAGAACATAAGAAGTGCCCCCAGATCAAACAAGAGTGCTTGAATAGAAAGTGAGATATTTCTTCTTTATAAGGTTGACCTTACAAGGCTGAGGCAGGCTATGCCTAATTATGTAGGGACCCTAATGTCTCATGGTTGTGTCAGCATAAATTAATTAATGATTAACCCTCTAACAAGGCTAAGTGAACAGAATTCCCCAGTGTCCTGAGAGAAGGAAAGTTAATGTGTTCTTTCTCCCAGGAGGAGGATAACCAGTGGAGCCTTTTCTGGATTTCTCACTAGAAGTAAAGACCAAATTTCCAGAAGGAACCTGAGAGATAAAAAGTGGTTGGCTGCTCCTGACCTGACTCATAGTGTTTAACTGAACCATACCACTAGTGTATACTAGTGTGTGTGTATGTACATGCATACACACATGCACACACACATTCACACACAATCCTATGGTATTTGGTGACTTTGGATGCCCAGCTCTTGCAACAATTTCCTGCTGTCATTCTTTTCCCTTTGAATCTCAGGGGTGAGCAAACTAAAGAAATACTATCATCTTACTGCTTTTAGTATATTCCATAGAAAAGGAGTGGCTGGAGTCAGTGTAGATCAACCCAAGCAGTACAAATCTGCCAGAATTGCAGCTCAGCTTCCTTACCTCCAGCATGTGTACCTTTCTGAAGGGTAGGCCCTTAAGCCAGACATAAGTAAGTTATCCACTCTGTGCATAACTGTCTGACTTGGCTTAGAAGCATGAAAGGGGCAGAAATGTAAGATGGGTAAAGAAGGGCTTCATCTGAAATAGGGCCATGATGATTAGCTCTCTCTTTCCTTCCTTTGGCTTCATTGCTGTATTCCATGTGGGTCTTGATATCTTGAAACTGGATGAGATACCCAAATAGTCAGTCCCTGAATATAAATCATTTCCTTGTACAGAATCACTGCCAAACTCAGTATGGTTAAAAGATTTTTAACACCCAGCTGCAGCATTCACTCTGGTTAGAATTGGCCATTTAAATTTATTTCACATATGTAAGTATCATATCCTTTATAATGCATTCTTAATTGTTGCTCAGTTCTTCCAGATTGAATTCCTTTAAAAAATTCCTTATGTAATCTTTTAATTCTAGTTGGAAAACATCACTTGACAGTTGCTGTTTATACAGGCATGCCTCGTTTTATTGTGCCTGGCTTTATTGTACTTTGCAGATACTGTGTTTTTCACAAATGGAAGGTTTGTGGCAACCCTGCGTTAAGCAAGTCTGTTGGCACCATTTTCTCGACAGCATGTGCTAACTTTGTCTCTGTCTCACATTTTGGTAATTCTCTCAATGTTTCAAACTTTTTCATTATGATTACATCTGTTATGTGGAGCTGTGATCAGTGATCTTTGATGTTAACATTGTAATTGTTTTGGGGTGCCACAACTGTGCCCAGATAAGACAGTGAACTTAATTGGTAAATGTTTTATGTGTTCAGACTGTTCCACTGACTAGCCCTTCTTCAAACTCTCTCACTCTCCTTGGGCCTCCCTATTCCCTGAAATACAACAATATTGATATTAAGCCAATTAATAACCCTACAATGATTTCCAAGTGTTTAAGTGAAAGGAAAGACATGTATGTTTCACCTTAAATCAAAAGCTAGAAATGGCCAGGCGTGGAGGCTCACGCCTGTAATCCCAGCACTTTGGGAGGCCAAGGCGGGCGGATCACAAGGTCAGGAGATCGAGACCATCCTGGCTAACACGGTGAAACCCTGTCTCTACTAAAAAATACAAAAAATTAGCCGGGCGTAGTGGCAGGCGCCTGTAGTCCCAGCTACATGGGAGGCTGAGGCAGGAGAATGGCGTGAACCTGGGAGGCGGAGCTTGCAGTGAGCCGAGATCGCGCCACTGCATTCCAGCCTGGGTGACAGAGCGAGACTCCATCTCAAAAAAAAAAAAAAAAAAAAAAAAAGCTAGAAATGACTAAGCTAAGCTAAGTGAGGAAGGCACGTCAAAAGCCCAGCGAGGCCTCTTGTGCCAGCCAGTTAGCCAAGTTGTGAATGCAAAGGAAAAGTTCTTGAAGGAAATTAAAGTGCCATTCCAATGAGCATGTGAATAAGAAAGCAAACAGCCTTATTGCCGATATGGAGAAAGTTTTAGTGATCTGGATAGAAGATCAAATGTTTTCTTAAGCCACGATATTCCCTTAAACCAAAGCCTGCCTAATCCAGAACTGGACCCTAACTCTCTTCAATTCTATGAAGGCTGAGAGAGATGAGGAAGCTGCAGAAGAAAAGTGTGAAGCTAGCAGAGGTTGGTTCATGAGGTTTAAGGAAAGAAGCTGTCTCCACAACACAAAAGTGCAAAGAGCAGCAAGTGCTGATGGAGAAGCTGCAGCAAGTTATCCAGAAGATTAACTAAGATCATTGATAAGAGTAGCTGCACTAAACAACAGATTTTCCATGTAGACAAAACAGCCTTATATTAGAAGAAGATGGCATCTAGGAATTTTTTTTTTTTTGAGATAGAGTCTCACTCTGTTGCCCAGGCTGGAGTACAGTGGGGCGGCCTCAGCTCACTGCAACCTCCGCCTCCTGGGTTCAGGTAATTCTCCCTGCGCCAGCCTCCCAAGTAGCTGGGATTACAGGCGCCCGCCACCATGCCCAGCTAATTTTTGTATTTTTTAGTAGAGATGGGGTTTCGCCATGTTGGTCAGGCTGGTCTTGAACTCCTGACCTTAAGTGATCTGCCTGCCTCGGCATCCCAAAGTGCTGGGATTACAGGCATGAGCCACCGTGCCCGGCCAGCATCTAGGATTTTAATAGCTGCAGAGGAGAAGTCAGTGCTTGGCTTCAAAGGTTCAAAGGACAGGTTGACTCTCTTGTTAGGAGCTAATGCAGCTGGTGACTTTAAATTGAAGCCAATATTCATTTATCATTCTGAAAATTCTAGGGTCCTTAAGAATTATGCCAAATTCTGCTTGTGTTCTCTAAATGGAACAACAAAGCCTGAATGACAGCACATCTGTTTACAGCATGGTTTTCTGAACATGTTAAGCCCACTGTTGAGACCTACTGCTCAGAAAAAAAGGTTCCTTTCAAAATATTACTGCTCATTAACAATGCACTTAGTCACCCAAGAGCTCTGATGGCTATGTACAAGGAGATTAATGTTGTTTTCATGTCTGCTAACACAACATACATTCTGTAGCAGATGGATTAAGGAGTAATTTAGACCTTCAAGTCCTATTTTTTTAAAAAATACATTTTATAAGGCTGCAATGGAGCTATTCCTTTGATAGATCTGGGCAAAGGAAATTGAAAACCTTCTGGAAAGGATTCACCATTCTAAATGACATTAAGAACACTCATGGTTAATAGGAGGAGGTCAAAATACCAACGTGGACTGTAATCCCAGCATTTTGGGAGGCCAAGGCGGGTGGATCACTTGAGGTCAGGAGTTCAAGACCAGCCTGGCCAACATGCTGAAATCCTGTCTCTACTAAAAATATAAAACATTAGCCGGGTGTGGTGGTGGGCGCTTGTAATCCCAGTTACTTGGGAGGCTGAGGCAGGAGAATCTCTTGAACCCAGAAGGTGGAGGTTGCAGTGAGCCGAGATTGTGCCACTGCACTCCAGCCTGGGCAACGGAGTGAGACTCCATCTCAAAAAACAAAACAAAACAAAACAAAACAAATAAACAAACAAAAGACAAAAAAAAACCCAACATTAACAGGAGTTGGGAAGAAATTTGATATGGTTCAGATCTGTGTCCCCACCCAAATCTCATGTCGAATTGTAATTCCCAGTGTTGGAGCTGGGGCCTGGAGGAAGGTGGTTGGATAACGGGGGTGGTTTCTCATGGCTTAACACCATCCCCCTTAGTTGCCGTCATCACATACTTGTGAGATCTGGTTGCTTAAAAATGTGTATCACCTCCTCCCCGCTCTCTTTCTCCTACTCTGGCCATGTGAAATTACTTGCTCTTCCTTCGCCTTCTGCCATGATTGGAAGCTTCCTGAGACCTCCCCGGAGGCTGATGCTGCCGTGCTTCCTGTACAGCCTGCAGTACTGTGAGCCAAATAAACCTCTTTTCTTTATATATTACCCAGTCTCAGGCATTTCTTTATAGCAATGCAAGAATGGACTAATACAAAGTTCATTCCAACCTTCATGGATGACTTTGAGGGGTTCAAGACTTCAGTGGAGGAAGTCACTGCAGATGAGGTGGAAATAGCAAGAGAACTAAAATTAGAAGTGAAGCCCGAAGATATGATTGAATTGCTGCAATCTCATGATAAAACTTGAACAGATGAGGTATTGCTTCTTATGGATGAGCAAAGAAAGTGGATTTTTGAGATGGAATTTACTCCTGGTGAAGATGCTGTGAACATTGTTGAAATGACAACAAAGGATTTAGAATATGACATAAACTTAGTTGATAAAGCAGTGGCAGGGTTTGAGAGGACTGACTCCAATTTTGAAAGAAGTTTCACTGTGGGTAAAATGCTATCAAATAGCATGGCATGCTATAAAGAAATCTTTTGGGCCAGGTGCAGTGGCTCATGCCTGTAATCCCAACATTTTGGGAGGCCGAGGTGGGTGGATCACGAGGTCAAGAGATTGAGACCATCCCGGCTAACATGGTGAAACCCCATCTCTATTAAAAATACAAAAAAATTAGCTGGGCATGGTGGCACATGCCTGTAGTCCCAGCTGAGGCAGGAGAATCACTTGAACCCCGGAGATGGAGGCTACAGTGAGCCAAGATTGTGCCATTGCACTCTAACTTAGTGACAGAGCAAGACTCTGTCTAAAAATAAATAAATAAATAAATAATCTTTTAGGCCAGTCGTGGTGGCTCACGCCTGTAATCCTAGCACTTTGGGAGGCTGAGACGGGCAGATTGCCTGAGCTCAGGAGTTCCAGACCAGCCTGGGCAACACAGCGAAACCCCATCTCTACTAAAATACAAAAATCGGCTGGGCGTGGTGGCGGGCGCCTGTAATCCCAGCTATTCAGGAGGCTGAGGCATGAGAATTGCATGAACCCTGGAGGCGGAAGTTGCAGAGAGCTGAGATCTTGCCACTGTACTCCAGCCTGTGAAACTCTGTCTAAAAAAAAAGAAAAGAAAGAAAGAAGGAAAGAAGAAAGAAAGAAAGAAAGAAAGAAAGAAAGAAAGAAAGAAAGAAAGAAGGAAAGAAAGAAGGAAAGAAGGAAAGAAAGAAAGAAAGAAAGAAAGAAAGAAAGAAAGAAAGAAAGAAAGAAAGAAAGAAAGAAATCTATCTTTTGGAAAGGAAGAGTCAATTGATGTGGCAAACCTCACTGTTGTCTTATTTTAAGAAATTGCCCCAGCCACCCTAACCTTCAGCAACCACCACCCTGATCAGGCAGGAGCCATCAACCTCAAGTCAAGACCTCCCACCAGCAAAAAGATTATGACTTGCTGAAGGCTCAGATGATCATTAGTATTTTTTAGCAATAAAGTATCTTAAATTAAGGCATGTTTATTGTTTTTATAGGCACAATGCTATTGCACAATTAGTACACTATAGTATAGTGTAAACATGACTTTTATATGCACTGGGAAACCAAAAAAATTGTGTGACTCACTTTATTACGATATTCACTTTATTACAGTGGTCTGGAACCCAACCCACAATACCTTCAAGGTATGCCTGTATTTCCCCTTTCTTTCCCAGTAACAAAATTTTAATTCTTCAATTTCACATTTTCCCGTCTTCCTCTTCCTATTTTGATCTCTGCTGTTGGTTGCCACTTTCTTTGCTAAGTTTCCTTTCCTTTCCCAACATCAAATCCTAAGTTTTATTCCCTTTTCTGTATATTTAATTTCAGTTATTTTGTGCGATTTCTAGCACAACTTTTAAGTAACTGAAGATATATAACTCTGAGCCAGTTAGAATCCCTTAGACTTATGTGATCCTTCCAAGGAGTTCAAAGTAATTCACCTTAAAAATTAAACTATTCCACTGTAGTACTTCATTTATCATCTCCAGATATCTGGAGACTAGGTAGGGGCGACTTTTACCCTTCCTATTTTAAGAATGGACAAATCGAGATTTCGAGATGATAAATAACTTTTCCATCATCATTATCCTGCTGGTTCTTTGATGTCCAGACCAAAGTAATGAAATGATGACCTGTGAATTCTACATTATTACCTCCTTCCTTGATTAAAAATGACACTGGGACAGGCTGAGGGAGACTGCTGTGCATTGTATGGGAGTGAATAATCTGGCAGAGGCAGAACTCTATAGTTAGGCATCCCTAAAAGGCAGGGACCCCAGCATCTAAACAATCCTCCTTTGATATCCTGTGTCTGGCTGGGCCTTTGGCATCTGGCCCAGCGCTCCCAGCAGAACCCTGTGGTAATCCTTGCCTACAGAGTATGGGGATGCAGTGAGCATTTAGCTGCCAAGAATGTTATAGACAATAGAAATAGAGAAGTTTCAAGTGTTCCTTCCTAGAGTAGCAAGTGACAGCTTAGGATGGGAGGGAGAATGGCCTTCTCTATAGCTTACCAAATGAGTTAGTGACTATGAAAGTGGTTTCTAAGTAGTAAAAATATGGAACACACGATGGTTATTGCTGTGACATTATAAATTGCCTGTGTTGTTTTTCCCCCAAGGTTTGTAAGAAGACCACAGAGATCTCAAATATTGCTACAGTCATGAGCTCAGCCTCCTGAGTAGCTGGGATTACAGGTGCCCGCCACCACATCTAGCTAATTTTTGTATTTTTAATAGAAGTAACACTTACAGTTCCCCTAGGCACAATGCAGAGATTCTCCTCTGTGGAAGTTAGAGCAAATTCCCCAGGCTAGTGTTACCCCTGCTTTGTCAGCACTTACTTCATTTTCTGAAAGAAGAATCTGGCGTGGCTTCATCTTTATTCCTAATTGTTCTTCCCAATTTTCTGTCATTCAAAGCCTTCTGAGCTCTAGGGAGTTGAGTGGAGGACAGGGGAGCTTGAGGCATGGCCTGATCCCAGGCTTATATTCCATAGTACAGCATTTATCCCCAGGTCGGGCCTCTGGCATCCTCTGCTCTCTGAAAATCTGCTCCAAATCTGGATGGAAGAAACAGTCGCAAACTCCCTCAAACACACAGAGGTAGCCTTACAGCATTAAAGGTCTGTTATTCTTCAGACATTTTCTAGTCCCTTGTTTATAACGTAGCTCTAAAGAGTCCTGTAATCTGGTTACCTAGCTGCACAGATTAGAAGCAACAGGCAGATATATTGCAGTGGGGGAGGGAGGGAAGAAGCTCAGACAAACTGATGGAGGAAGTGCCTGCTGAAGGCCTGAAACCCTGGGAGGAGGCAGGAAAACAAAATAGCATAACGTAATGAAGGATGTGATTGTGATTACCCTGAGTAAGCTGGAAAAAGGTTCAAGTGGGCTGGGGAATCTGGAAAACATGTTATATAAACATGTATATTTCACATGTCATGAAAATACTGTTTAAAATTTTTGGCATTTAAGGGATAAGGTTCCCTTATCTATACAAATCCAGTTATTTCTAAGTCTGCCATAACTCACCTAAACCAGAATTATGAGTATTTCCTATAGTGACAATATAATGCTTTTTTATAGTAAGGATTTGAAGCCCTGTTTTTGTGAGTGTGATTCAGGCATCGTGTGAGAATGTGATTGGAATGCTGAATTCATTCATTCCCTGATTTGGTACGCATATAGAAGTGTTAGCCAGGTGCGGTGGCTCACGCCTGTAATCCTAGCACTTTGGAAGGCTGAGGTGGGCAGATTGCCTGTGCTCAGGAGTTCGAGACCAGCCTGGGCAACATGGTGAAACTCCGTCTTTACTAAAATACAAAAAATTAGCTGGGTGTGGTGGCGCTCGCCTGTAGTCCCAGCTACTCAGGAGGCTGAGGCACGAGAATTGCTTGACCCTGAGAGGCAGAGAGGTTGCAGTGAGCCGAGATTGCGCCACTGCACTCCAGCCTGGGTGGCACAGCAAAACTCTGAGTCCAAAAAACAAACAAAAAAAAGTGTCACATTTCAGCCTTCATACAAGGCTCTCTCAACCGCCCTTAGACTTTTCCTCACATTTCTTTCATTGGCCCAGGAGTTGCTTTTGATCCTCCATGGAAGCCTGAGCTGTGGAAGACTGCATCTCAGGACTGGAGGTCCCAAACAGGAAGTGACTTCAATCTTCAGGAAAGTCACTGCCTGGTTGTCACCTGGATTCACGTTCAGTGTACCGATGAACTAACTAGCCCAGTGCATTTGTCACTGCTTCTGAGTCAAGCCTGGGCAGGGCACAGAGGCTGGTGTACAGATTCTACCTTGTGAACTGTCCTGCTCGCAAGGCCATAAGCTTTCTGAACAGCTGCTGTGAACTGGCAGGTGCTGGGTGGGAGGTGATGCTGGTTGTGCCAGAGCTTTCTGGTGCTGTCATATGCTTCTACAATTACCTCCCTTCTTTTGCTTGCAGATTCATAGTTTGGCCACACATCTTTGCCAGCAGGAAGGTCTGTTTTATTCACTCCTCTCACTGACCCTCCCCCCACCCCCAGTCCATGACAGAGAGTATGATTGACTTGGCTCAAAGCAAAGAAGCAGCAAGGCTGCAGAGCCCATAAAGCAGTCAGAAACATGTCTCACTTAGCTCTTGTAATTGTGATGTCTTGGCTTGGCCTTTTGCCACCCTTCCCTGTTCTGGTCCTTAACATGCTTCACCGAGGGGTAGTTGCTAATTGGGAAATTTAGTGCATCCTTCTTTGAGGATGATTGTTATGGCTATAGAACTGCAAAATAGGACACTAAGATGTGGTGGAGCACTGGACTTAGAATCAGGAAGCCTGGTCCTGATTCTAATCATATTCTGGTCCTGGGTCAGCTGTGGATTGCTGTGTGATCTTGGACAAATCTCTTCCTCATCTGCTGGAGGGGCAAGGGGACAATGGTTATACTAGTCAATCTCTGAGATCTAAGCATTAAATCTTCCATTTTCTTTCCTGTTCATGCAGAAAGAAATGTTTTGGTTCATTTCCTAGAATGTCTTCTCTTTTTCTCTGTATCCACGTCTCCTTTCACCAGAACCTGTCTTTTGGTGAAGCAATTACTCATCTATTTCATTTTAAAGCTTCCCTGGGAATATGGAAAGATTGTATAGAGGTGCCTAGGTTCTAGGAGTTTTTATTTTGAAACCGATGTATGGAATTCAAGATTAATAGAGTTATTGTAGTCCCATCTGGAATTTTAATCACTGAATCACAGGGAGAGCAGCCAAGCCAACCATCCATGATGCAGTTAGATTTGGAACTAGACATCTCAGCCTCAGTTCTCTCCTGCAAGTGACTGGGGTGGGAGCAGAAGGAATATGCTATCCCATCACCTCCCATCATTAGCACTGCCCAGAAAAAGCAGAGGAGAGACTGAAAAGGGTGTGGTAGCAAACTTGGACAAGGATACCAGACAAGTGGCAGACTTTATGAAATGTCCACTGTTTGGCAAATGAGCCAGGCATTGTGGAGCAGGGAGACTAAGGACAACTTTCTACAAACAAACCCTGCCTGTTCTTGCTTTTGGGCCTATATCAAGTTTTCTCCAATTGGCATGCCCTCCTTTTCCTCGTAGCTTATTCAAAGTCCTACCCATCCAGCAAACTCCACCTCTTCTATTTAAGTTCAGCAGACCTTTATTGAGGACCACCCAATGACCCAGCCCTCCTTTAAGGATACAAAGATGAATAAAAACTTAGTGCCTGGCCTTGGGATGACAGTAATATATTGTCCTGCTTGGGTCACTGTTGTTTCATGTGTGTTTCTTTTCCCTCTGCAGCTAAACTGTAAGCTCTTGGAGGGCAAATTGTGTTTTGAGGGGTCCCGCAATCACCCCAAGTTGGGTGATTTACTAGAAAGACTCATAAGACCCAATAGCAGGTTTTACTTACAGCTAAGGTTTATTACGCCAAAGGATACAGAACAAAAGCTGCAGGAAAAATATACATTGAGTAGGCACAGGTTTTCAAGTCCTTTCTTATCCATGGCTGCACAGGAGCATCTAACAAATTAACAGCAAACTACAGGGACACCTGTGAAATGTCTCTGTCTAGGAAAGCCCACCCAAGTCTCAGAGTCTCTGAGGCTTTTGCGAAATGACACTCAGGATCCCAACATCAAAACCAGGTACATCATGAATCTTGCAAAAACAATCCAGAGAAGTCCTGACAAGTAGATACAGTATACCTCATTGCTCTGGATGTATAAAATGACATCAAGACATCATCAATTGGTGACATAAAGAACATCTGAGGGCTGTATTCCCAGAGGTAGGCCTAGGGGCAATCATAATTCTAGGCTCCCCTGAAGATGTGCAAGGACTGATCAATTAGAGCTTCTGTGTTAACCCTTTCTTCAACGCTGTGTCTTACACATTTCATACATCCCCTCAGAGTGTTTAGCACAGACAGGTCCTCTTCTCTAAGCCCAAGACTCATATATTTCACTATCTCTTATGTTCATTCCCACAGACATCAGCACCTCAACATGTACAAATATGAACTAGATTTCCCCCCTTACCCCACTTTCTCCATCTCAGTAACTGTCAACATCATTCACTCTGTTGCTCAGGCCCCCAAATCTTTGTTTTCCTTTTGATTCTCCTCTCCCCGTCACTTCCCACAACCAATCAGGAATTTTCTTTTGACTCTAACTTTGAAGTATATCCCAAATGTGATCTCTCATCCTCTCAGCCACCCTAGTGTAAACCATCATCATCTTTCATCTGGACCACTTGCCTCCTAAATGTTTCAATTTGTTTCCTCTATAGCCTGTTCTCCACTCACCACCAAGAGTGATCCTTCAAAATGTACATCAGACTATGTCACTTCTGGCTACTCACAACCTCCAATTGTTCGTTAATATGCTTGGAATAAAACTGAAACATTTTACTCTCTTGCTCACTTATTGTGCTCTAGCCTGAGACCCCGTGAATGAGTATGTTTCCTTCTCACATGACATTCCTTTTTCCAGGACTGTTCTTCCTCTAACGCTTTAAATGCCTGGATGCTTTTCCTTTAAGTGTGACCTTCACTATCAGCCCCTCATGGAGACTTTTTCTGATCACCCTATCTAAGGTAGCCCTGCTCCTCTGCTCACCTGAAATCATAATTGTTTATTTGTTTATGTATTTGTTGTCACTCTACACTGATTAGACTATAAACTCATGAGAGAAGACCTTTGTCTCTCATTCATAATGATATCTTCAGCGCCTAGCACTATGCCAAATTTAGAGTAGGCTTCCAATAAATATTTGTTAATGAATATAATAGGTTATTAATAAATATATTTGATTACTTAAAAGTGATGAACTGGCCTCTGCCCTTAAAAGGTTTATGTTCTACTGAAGAGTTGAGTAGGAAAGAAACTCAAAATAGATGGAAAACTTTTCTGTGTTGTCCGGGATCCAACATAGGACATATCAGCATTCTGGACAGCAGAAACCAACAAGCAACAGAGGGACCACATCAAACAGCTGGAATCTATCCAGCTCAGCATTCTCTCTGGCAGGGGTTTCTGGGGTCTGTTTGAAGAGAGATACAAGAAGCTTGGAAATTCCATGTGGAAAGCAAGGATCGTGGAGAGTTGATGTCTTCTTTAGGGTAGTGGCAGTGGAGTTTTTGCCAGCGAAGCACCCACAGTATGGCTGCACCTTGTTTCTGGCCTCTTCAGGGCCTCGCTTTATGGGTCGCCAGAGATCCTGTGGGTGGTCTAATATTGTTTAATAAATTTCCTTTCTGCTTAAACTAGTCAGAGTGGATTTTGCAGTTTGCAGTTAAGAACTCAGACCTATCTAATAGGTTGAAAAACAAGGTTGAACTTCAGAATGGTGACTTGTAACTGACATCTAACTTTGATAGAAAGTGTTAAAATTATACTGATGTTGGAGGCATTACTTCAAAACTGAACCAAAACATATAGCCATATCAAAATGACATGCTAAGTTTGAGACAAAGCAATTTATTTAGTCACATCCATGGGAAAAATTGTATATGTTTTCATGTGTCTATAAAGCACTATTGTCAAAAATGAGCATTTTTAAGCATTTACTTCTTTAAGTTGATTGCTATTATAATCTGGTGTAATTTTTATTACAAGTATATCAGCAACTAAATGAAAAACACTTAAAATATTTTTAAAAGGCAAAACTAAACTATTACGTTTAAGGTTGCAACCTGAGCGATAAAACTATAATGAAATCAAGGAAGAGAGGAAGAGATTTCCATAAAAGTCAGCGTAGTGGTTAATTTTAGGATTGGGATGGGACATGTGCCAGGCTTCTAAGGTAGCTAGCAAAGTTCTATTTCTTGACCTAGAAGTAAATATCTAAAAGTGTATTTACTTTATAATACTCTATTAAGATATGCATTTTTCTATTATTATATCTTGCAGTTAAAATGGTTAAAAATATGTATATCAACTACTCAAATGTGAATTATTTTTATGGAAATGTCCCCTGTATGTTTTCATTTCAGGATCCCTGAGGACTTTCTTACGGATTTTTGTCTGTGGGAACTTGTGAATTACCGTATGAGCTTAGCAGGAGAGTTAACTTAAAATGTTTATTGTCCCTTATGACTGGGCGCGGTGGCTCATGCCTGTCATCCCAGCACTTTGGGAGGCAGAGGCAGGCCAATCATCTGAGGACAGGAGTTGGAGACAAGCCTGGCCAACATGCTGAAACCCTGTCTCTACTAAAAATACAAAAATTAGCCAGGTGTGGTGGCGCACGCCTGTAATCCCAGCTACTCGGGAGGCTGAGGCAAGAGAATTGCTCAAACCCAGGTGGCAGAGGTTGCAGTGAGCTGAGATCACATCACTGCACTCCAGCCTGGGCAACAGAGTGAGACTCCGTCTCAAAAAAAAAAATTAATTATCCCTTATAATCAAAGTTATGCAAATGAAAACAAGACACCATTATTCCCCATGGAACTGTCAAAGATGTTTTAAAAAGTGTTATTACTCAGTGTTGGTGAAAGTATGGAGAAATGGATACTTATATATGCCCTGATGGCAGAAATGTAAATGACTATAATCTTTTTTTTTTTTTTTCTTTTGACAGAGGCTTGGCCTGTCACCCAGGCTGGAGTGCAGTGGTGCAATCTTGGATCACTGCAATCTCCGTCTCCCGGGTTCAAACGATTCTCTTGCCTCAGCCTCCCAAGCAGCTGGGATTACAGACGCCTGCCACCATTCCCAGCTAATTTTTGTATTTTTTTTCAGTAGAGATGGGGTTTCACCATGTTGGCCAGACTGGTCTTGAAC
This sequence comes from Homo sapiens, assembly GCF_000001405.40. Taxonomy (NCBI): domain Eukaryota; kingdom Metazoa; phylum Chordata; class Mammalia; order Primates; family Hominidae; genus Homo; species Homo sapiens. Next base: position 118,869,241 of record NC_000023.11, read on the forward strand.
TCCTGACCTCAGGTGATCCACCCGCCTCAGCCTCCCAGAGTGCTGGGATTACAGGTGTGAGCCGCTGCACCTGACCGACTACAACCTTTTTGTAAAGCCATTTTGAAGTCTGTAACAAGGGCCTAAAAATGCTCATTTTTTTTTTCTTTTGAGACGGAGTCTTGCTCTGTCACCAGACTGGAGTGTTGGGGCACAATCTCGGCTCACTGCAACCTCTGCCTCCTGGGTTCAAGTGATTCTCCAGCCTCAGCCTCCCAACTAGCTGGGACTACAGGCTTGCACCACCAAGCCCAGCTAATTTTTGTATTTTTAGTAGAGACAGGGTTTCACCATGTTGGCCAGGATGGTCTCGATTTCTTGACCTCGTGATCTGCCCACCTCAGCTTCCCAAAGTGCTGGGATTACAAGCGTGAGCCACCACACCTGGGCCCAAAATGCTCATTTTTAGGAAACTTTAACCCAGTAAACTCAATCCTAGGAAATTTATATTAAGGAAATAGTCAGAGGTGTACAAGAAAATATATGTACAGGGATGTTTCTTGCAGTAGTTTTGTAATAGTAAAATTTTGGAAACAACATAAATGTTTAACCCTAGGGAAATGGTACAGTCACAAAACAAAATATTATACAGCCATCAATATGAGTAGTTTTGAATGTATACACATAGAAGATAATAATGATAGTGATGGCCAACATTTATTGATCACTCAATATTTGCCAGGGACTATGAAACCTCTTTACATGAATTATCTCATCCTTGAGATAATACTGTGAGGTGAGTACTATGATTATTCTCATTTTGTAAATAACAAAACTGAGACTCAGAAAGTTTAAGTAACTTGCCCAAGGTAAGTAAGCAATAGAGTCAAGGTTAAATACTCCAAATTTACATAAAGGCTGTTAACCCTAGTAATCTTTAAGTGATGGGATTATAGTTATTTTTGTTGTCTGCTTTATATTTTATTTATTTATTTATTTATTTTGAGACAGTGTTGCTCTGTCGCCCAGGCTGGAGTGCAGTGGCATGATCTTGGCTCACTGCAACCCCCACCTTCCAGGTTCAAGCAACCCTCCCACCTCAACCTCCTGAGTAGCTGGTACTACAGGTGTGCGCCACCACACCTGGCTAATTTTTGTGTTTTTACTAGAGATGGGGTTTCCCCATGTTGACCAGGCTGGTCTTGAACTCCTGAACTCAAGTGACCCATCCACCTCAGCCTCCCAAAGTGTTGGGATTACAGGTGTGAGCCATGGTGCCTGGCCTCTACTTTATATTTCTCTTTATGCTTATAATTTTTTATTTTTTTAATTGATAAATGATAATTCTATATATTTATGGGGTACAGTGTGATGTTTTGTTTGATGCATGAATATATTGTGAAATGATCAAATCATGGTAATTAGCATACTCATCACCTCAAACATGTATCATTTTTGGGGGTTGAGAGAGGATTTAGAATCCTCTCTTCTAGTTATTTTGAAAAATCTTAATTTTATAAAATAACCACTTATTACTTTTGTAATCAGAAAAAAAAAAATAGCTCTTCCCAGATATTCTTGCCACACAGAGATGCACTGACTTCTGGGGAAAGTGTCCTGGGATGAGGTTAGGGCCAAGGGTCTTGAGGCAGGAAATAATACAAAATAGTTCTGTCACCCAGGCTAGAGTGCAGTGGTGCGATCTCAGCTCACTGCAACCTCTGCCTCCCAGGTTCAAGCAATTCTCCTGCCTCAGCCTTCCAAGTAGCTGGGATTACAGACGTATGCCACCACACCAGGCTAATTTTTTGTATTTTTTGTAGAGACTGGGTTTCACCGTGTTAGCCAGGATGGTCTCAATTTCCTGACCTCGTGATCCACCTGGCCTCGGCCTCGCAAAGTGCTGGGATTACAGGAGTGAGCCACCACGGCCAGCCTGTTTATTTTTTATTTTTTATTTTTTTGAGACAGAGTCTCACTCTGTCGCCCAGGCTGGAGTGCAGTGACACGATCTCGGCTCACTGCAACTTGTACCTCCTGGTTCAAGCGATCCTCCCACCTCAGCCTCCTGAGTAGCTGGGATTACAGGCATGCGCCATCACACCCAGCTAATTTTTGTAGTTTTAGTAGAGACGGGATTTCGCCATGTTGGCCAGGATGGTCTTGAACTCCTGACCTCAGGCGATCCGTCCGCCTCCGCCTCCCGAAGTGCTGGGATTATAGGCGTGAGCCACTGTGCCTGACACAAAATAGTTTTCTTGTGCTCAGCTTCCCCTTCTCTGTGAATAGTCCAGTTTTTTCCTAAGAACATTACCTCCCAACTACAGACTAGAAACTTGGCTGCCTCGGTTTGGACCCTTGCTTCTGAGCAAGTAGAATCTTGCTGAAGAAGGGAATGGCATGTGGGGCAGTGACAAAGGGCAGGAACTACCTGCTTTCTGAATTTCCTACTAAATTTCCTACTTAAAGCCCTGCATTTCACACTATCCCCCTCATAGCTGTGGGTTATGCATCAGGAGTTCTGATTTGGTGCCTCTTGTTTACTTCTCTGCCACCTCTGCCTCCAGACCCAGGGTCAGGGAGCCTCCTTTTGGCTCTGGCTGGGCAGCCACCTTGGTTAGTCCAGAAGGACTCGTGGCTCCCAGAGGGTCATCATAGCTTGGTACTGTTCCATCGTATGTCAGCTACTCCACCTTCCACCTGATCACAACCAGTCTTTTCCCAAACTTGGATCTTTTGAGGAAAGATGAGACAAGAAAATGTAGCAGACTCCATGTGAACCCTTCTCTAGACCTAGGAAAACTTATTCAATACTCCTCCTTACTAAGAGCTAATCAGTATATGAAATAAAGACACTCAGGAAGTTTGCCTGAAGGTTAACTCAGAGACCTGGGAGTGAAACCTAGCTCTCCTGCTTCCTAGGCCCCTCTGTGCCATCTATTTTTAGCCAAGCTGCCCTGAGCCTTGTCCATCTTGTCTGAAAGCCAAAGTAGGCACACAGTTTGCTCATAAACATTCCTGTGCTTGCCAGCTCATGCTAGCCAACCATTTAGATGTTGGTTTTAAAACTGCGAGCCTTCCCTTGTACCTACCTCCTAAGGCCTGCAAAGAATACACACCAAGGGATCAATAGCCTGAGTTTTTCCCGAAGCCAAGTGACCTCAGTCAAATGCCCTCAATTGAGAGGCGTGTCTATTACTCGTTCATCTTGGCACAGGGTGCAGCAAATGACTCCCTCTCAGAGCCACTGTTCCTGGTCACAGTTCTTTGAGTGTGCTGACCTACTTTCTCCCCTTCACAGGAAAAACAGAAACCAATAAATGTCTCCAGTGAGTAATCTTGCTTTCAGGAGCACTGACTCTGTGTTTTGGCCTCTTGTCCTTTCCCTGCTCCATTATCACTCTGCTATAACCATAAGAAAATGGTTCATGACTGAACTAGAACTCTGTTTGTTGTTTACTGTCCCCATTCTGTAGCTGGGTTTTCAGAGCAACTATGGCCCACATATCACAGGGATGGGGGCAGAGCCCTCCCTACCTTTCCTTTCCCTACTACAATTCATTGCTAAATAGCATAATGTGGACTAAAGTTGCTTCTGCACAAGAATGTTGGGAATCAACAGAGTATCTCTGGTTTTGGCCACACATGCTATGCGACTGGTAGCATTATGGACTGAGAGGCATTCAGCTTGAGACTCCTGACTTAACTTACTATATACCTTTGGAGTGGGCCTCTAAGAAGAGTCAGGTGGCTCAATTCGGTTGCCTTGACAAGCAGAACCTCTTTACTGAGCGTGTACAGGTGACTCTCAAATACCCACACTGAGATTCTCTGTGGCTAATGGATTATTTTAGGCTGTCCTTACCCTTCACAGTCTTCATGCTATTGCCCACTCCCTCCAGCCATCATCTGGAAGCAACTTGGAAATATATGCTCATTTTAATGTCAGTCTGAGAAAAGTTAACTAGAGGAATAAATCTACTGGGGTTCAGAGGCAAGGTGTTGATAGGACATATAATGTATTCCAGAGTGCCTTTTGGATTATCTACCGGTTTTTAATAACCTGGCATGTCTGTTCTTCATGACCATGGATAACTGAGTATATCTTATTTTGCTCCCCTATCCCTGGGCACTGTGTCTCCTTTCTTCCTCACTTGTCCTTGTGTGTACAACAGATTATAACCAGCTTGCCTTCTAGAATCCTGTCAAATTTCATTTATATCGAATGTGCTGGCCAGGTGTGGTAGCTCACCCCTGTAATCCCAGCATTTTGGAAGGCCGAGGTAGGAGGATCACTTGAGCCCAGGAGTTAGAGACCAGCCCGGGCAGCATAGCGAGACCTCATCTCTACCAAAAAAAAAAAAAAATTAAAATAGCCAGGCATGATGGCACATGCCTGTAGTCCCAGCTACTTGGGAAGCTCAGGCGGGAGGACTGCTTGAGCCTGGGAGATTGAGACTGCAGTGAGCCTGGGAGATTGAGACTGCAGTGAGCTGTGATCATGTCACTGCACAACAGCATGGACAACAAAGCAAGACCCTGGCTCAACAAACTGGAAGTGCTAACATGGGCTTTTAAAAAGGTTCCAAGTCCTTTTCACCAGCTCCAAAGTCATATTCGAAGTCTGGGCAACATGGAAAAACTCGTCTCTACAAAAAATACAAAAAAATAGCCGGCCATGGTGGCACACACCTGTAGTCCCAGCTACCTGGGAGTGTAAGGTGGGAGGATCACTTGAGCCTGGGAAAGGGAGGTTGCAGTGAGCTGAGATTGTGCCAGTGTGCTCCAGCCTGAGTGACAGAGTGAGGCCCCGTCTCAAAATAAATAAATAAATAAATAAAATCAATATACATTAGGAAGCAATGAGGTTTTTTTTTTTTTTTTAAAGCAAGTTGTAGACAGATATATACTGGATGATACTGTTTTTATCAACTTGGATAGAAATTAATACACAAACAAGAGTATATTTTGTTTGAGGATAGGTATATATGTAGCAAAACACAGACTGAAAGACTAAGCCTAATTCATGATAAGTCATTTCAACCACTTCGTATCATTCCATCATGTAAACGTACCCTGATTATTTATATATTATCCTTTTGATGGACATCAGCTTCTTTCCAATTTTTGTATTTTGCAAGCTGTGCTGCAATGTACATCCTTTTATGTGTCTCCCAGTGCATATGTGCAAAAAGTTTCCCTACACCAATGAATACCTAGAATTAGAATTGTTGGGTCCTATAGTATGCTTACTTTCAACTTTACAAAATATTGCTAAATTGTTTTCCAAAGTTGTTGTACCAGCTGGGCACAGTGGTTCACAACTGTAATGCCAGCACTTTAGGAGGCCAAGGTGAGAGGATGACTTGAGGCTAGGAGTTTGAGACCTGCCTGGACTACATAGCAAGACCCCATCTCAATTAAAAAGATAATACAAATATAAAATATATATAAAGAAAAAAAATCATATTGTAGTCATAGTGGCCACAAGAGGCTGCACTTCAGCAACTAGCTTATCTCAGGCCAGCTGGGCCAGGGTTAGAGTGAACCCTTCCTCTGAAGAGCTGGGCAGGTAGCAGGTGGTAAGATAGGACATGGCTGCAGGCAACAGCCAGGAATCTCTACTTCTGGAGTAGCCATTCATACTTGTGGTTGTAAAGCATGTGTCCCCCACCCAATCATCTGGGTTGGAGGTAGGATGTGGATGAATGACAACAGGACCTCTGCATTCACAGAACTGGAGAGGGGAGGGGGCAACTGGGATGGGGAATGAGGATGAATCGCAAGCAGCAGCAGAAGTGAGGAGAACAGTAGGGAGATAGAAAGGGTAATATTGCTAGTCACCAAAACAATGGGACAAAGATCCCAAAGACATTTCAGAGATCATTGAGTAGGTTGTCCCTCCCATTACAAATTCAGAGCAGGGCCTTGAGGGCAGGGTTTCCAGAAAGGTGCCCACCAGACCTCAGCATTCACTGCCCAGGGCCACCTCAGGACTCTGCTTCCCATGTTTTGGTGAAGAGCTCCTTGGCTGCTCCAGCCATGGCTCAAGTGAGCCCATGTGCAGTTCATGCCACTGCTCTGGAGGGTACAAGTGTAAACCTTGGCAGCATGCACAGGGTGCTGACTCTGCAGAAGTGCTGAGCGCATGAGTTATGGGGCCATTGTGGCATCTACCTAGATTTCAAAGGATGTATCGGACAGTCTGGGGGCCCAGGCAGAGACTTGTTGCAGAGGCAGAGCCACTGCAGAGAGCCCCCACTAGGGCAATGCCTAGTGGAGCTGTGGAAAGCAGGATCCTGCAGAGTCTCCACTAGGGCAGTGCCTAGTGGAACCGTGGGAGTGGGACCACCACTGGGACCCCAGAGCCGTAGAGCTACCAGCATACAGTGCCAACCTGGGAAAGCTGCAGGCATGAGACTCCAACCTGAGACAGCTGAAACATGTGCTGAGCCCAACAAAGCCATAGATAGGGGCAGGGCTGCCTGAGGCCTTGGGGGCTCAGCCCGTGTCTTGGTGTGCCCAAGATGCAGGACATGGAATCAAAGGAGATTATTCTATACCTTTAAGACTTAATGTGGTTTTCTTTGTTGGGTTTTGGACTTACTTGGGACCCCTTTCTTCTTGCCTATTTCTCCCCCTTGGAATGGGAATGTCTATCTTATGTCTGTCCCACTGTATTAGTCCATTCTTACACTGCTATAAAGAAATACCAGGCTGGGCACGGTGGCTCATGCCTGTAATCCCAGCACTTTGGGAGGCCAAGGGGTGCAGATCATGAGGTCAGGAGATCAAGACCATCCTGGCCAACATGGTGAAACCCCATCTCTACTAAAATACAATTAGCCAGGTGTGGTGGTGCGTGCCTGTAGTCCCAGCTACTCGGGAGGCTGAGGCAGAGGAATCGCTTGAACCTGGGAGACAGAGACTGCCGTGAGCAGAGATCACACCACGGCACTCCAGCCTGGCAACAGAGTGAGATTCCGTCTCAAAAAAAAAAAAAAAAAGAAAGAAAGAAATACCAGAGACTGGGTAATTTATAAACAAAAGAGGTTAATTGGCTCATGGTTCTGCAGGCTGTATGTAGATTCTGTAGGTTCTGCAGGAAACATGGTGCTGGCATCTGCTCAGCTTCTGTGGAGGCCTCAGGAAACTTTCAATCGTGGCAGAAGGTGAAGGGGAGGCAGGCATGTCTTACATGGCTGGAGCAAGAGGAAGAGAGAGGGGAGGTGCTACACACTTAAACAACCAGATTTCATGAGAACTCACCATCACGAGAAAAGCACAGAGGGGATGGTGCTAAACCATTCATAAAGGATCCACCCCCATGGTCCAATCACCTCCTACCAGGCCCCACCTCTAACACTGGAGTTTACGATTCAACATGAAATTTGGGCAGGGACACATATCCAAACCACATCACCCAGCATTGTATTTTGTAAATAAATAATTTTGTTTAATTTTTAATCTGTTTCCTCACAGCTGGAGGAAAATTTGCCTCAAGGTGAATTATGCCTTGAGTCCCACCCATATCTGCTTTTGATGAGACTGGACTTTGGATCTTTGAGTTGACACTGAAACAAGAATTTTCTGGCTACTGCAATGGAATGAATGTATTTCGCATTGTGAGGACATGAATTTTGGGGACCAGAATAGAATGCCATGGTTTGAATGTGTCCCCTAAAGTTCATGTGTTGGAAACTTAATTCCCAATAGAACAGTGTTGGGAGGTGGGACATAATAAGAAGTGATTAGGTCATGAGGGCTCTACCCTTATTAATAGATTAATGTCATTATCTCAGGAGTGGGTTAGTTATTGTAAGAGTGGCTGCATTATAAAAGCAAGTTTGACTCTTCCTGTTCCCTCGCTCTTACCCTCTCTTGTACTTCTGCCTTTCATTATGGCATGACGCAGCGTGAAGGCCCTCATCAGATGCTGGCTCCATGCTCTTGGACTTCCCAGCCTCCAGTACCATGAGCCAAATAAATTTCTGTTTATTATAAATTACGTAGTCTGTGATACTCTGTTATAGCAATGTAAAACAGACTAGGACACTCTGCCTGTTTCAAAACCCTCCAGGGGCTTCCAGTTACATTTTGTATAACGTTCAAGCTCTTTACTTTGACCTAATAAGATATAGTAGCCCTTACCAAAATATCTGATCTCATCCCATACTATGTTATTTGTTTATGATGCTTCCAGCTATAATTTGTTCTCTCTTCAGGGCCTATGCACCCTGCATAAAATGTTCTCTTACCATCTTTCTCATCATCCACATCTCAGCTCTAGGGTCAGCTCCTCATAGAGGCTTTCCCTGGTCATCCCAACTAAGGAGCCACCTACTCTGATCAGTATCTCATCATATCACCCTGGTTTTTTTTTTCTCTCTCTCTCTTTTTGGCGGGGCGGGAGTGGGGTTGACCTGGGCTATGGCTGGGTCAAGTGCCTGCTTTATTCAACAGGAAATGCCCAAGTGGGACTCACCCCCACCTTTCACAGTGTAAATGAGCAGGGAGCAAGGCAGGAAGCTAGAAAAATAACACATGGATCTAGACGATCCAGAAAGACCCTGTTAAGTCAGCTCAAGGCCAAGACTGGTCAGCGTGAGAGAATAAAAGAGGTGACGGAAAAGCCTTGGGCAGCCTGGGCCATGATGGGCCTAGCGGAAGTAGTTGGGACATTCGTGGGCAACAAAATGCCAGGTTTGATTAAAAGTGTCCATGACAGCCGGGTCCATGGGCCCTTCCTCCATCACTGCCAAGTTCTGCTCCAGCTTCTCCAGGCTGGACATGCCCAGGATGACCACGTCTCTGTGGGCACCCTGCAGCTGTGAGTGGTGGTACATCCACCAGAGGGTGGGTGGCCAAGGTCATGCTGGGGGCACTGACACCATACACGGCCTGTGTGGCCTTCTGCATCAGGGAAATGGCCTCAAAGTGGTGCTCCTTCCAGAAGCGATTCCTGTGGGTCTCAGCCCAGCTATTCCCAAAGAAGTGGCCCCCAGACTGTTTCCTGCCCTTGTCCTCATACTTGTACTTGCCGGTCAGCAGACCCCCAGCCAGAGGGTTGTAGGCATAGAACCTCAGTCCAAAGTGCCCAAGGCAGGGGAAGAGCTCCATTTCCACCTGCCGGGTGGTGGCATTGTACATGCCATGGTACACAGTGGGCAGGATCCAGCCTTTGCTCTTATTTATTTATTTATTACTTTTCTTTTTTTTTGGAGATGGAGTCTCGCTCTGTCACCCAGGCGGGAGTGCAGTGGCGCCATCTCGGCTCACTGCAAGCTCCGCCTCCCGAGTTCACGCCATTCTCCTGCCTTAGCCTCCTGAGTAGCTGGGACTACAGGCACTTGCCACCACACCCGGCTAATTTTTTTTTTTTTTTTTGTATTTTCAGTCGAGACGGGGTTTCACCGTGTTAGCCAGGATGCTCTCGATCTCCTGAACTCGTGATCCGCCCACCTCGGCCTCCCAAAGTGCTGGGATTACAGGCCTGAGCCACCGCGCCCGGCCCAGCCTTTGCTCTTGCAGAGGGTACAGATCTCGGCCACTTCCCCCAGCCGGCATAGTTGGAGAGGCCAAGCTCCACGAACTTGCCCTCCTGGTGTCGCTGGTGGCAAGCACACAGCGTCTCTTCCACTGGGGTGCCGTGGTCAGGTGCATGTAGGTAGAAGAGGTCCAATCGGGGACACTGCAGCCTCTTCAGTGACGTCTCTAGCTGGGACCAGACACTGTCAGGCTTTAGTGATTTTCCCTCTCAAGGGTTGGCCTTGGTGGCCAATTTCACTCAGCAGTCGCCGCCGCCCAGCCCCAGCCTCAGGCCGCCCAGGATGATTTTGGACTGGCCATCGCTGTACATGAAGGCCATGTCCAGCTCGGTGTGGCCACGCTCCAGGAAAGCGTGCACGGCCGTGGCGCTGGCAGATGTGTCCATGTGGCGCCCCATCTCCATGATGCCCAGCACCATGGTGCGCCGGGCCAGGATGCCCAAGGCGGCCTGCGTTGGTTGTGGAAGGGACATGGCGAGCATGCGGGCCTCGGGTGGCAGGGAGCGACTTGTGCAGTGGATGGCGGCTTGGGGCATGGTGCGAGACGCGGTGCTCAACATGACCATGGTGCCTGCCCCTCACCCTGTTTTATTTTCTCCCTACCACTTAACATTATCTGAAATTGTCTGTTCATTTATTGGCTTGCTTATTATTATATATCTTCACCGCCACTAGAATGTAAATTTCATGAGCATGGCAATCTTATTTGCCTCAGTCCTGCTGAATGTCTAGCAACTAGCACAGTACTTAGCAGGTGCTCAGTGGATTATTTGTTGAATAAATGAGTCAGGATATGGACTGGCATTGTTGAAACCATGGGAAATATGTGATCATATGATCACTTCAAGGAGAGCCTGAAGAGTTAAATGTGGATTATAAAGGAATGAGCAGAGGAAAGAATGCCTACAAAGCAATTTGGAGGAACAACCAGGGAGGTAGGAGGAGAGACAGGAAAGTGTGATGTTACAGAAGGCAATCCTACTTCTCTCCCCAAAAGCAACCAATGCTAACAGATGGGTGGGTATCCTTCCAAATCATGTTCTATATATTTACATACATTCACAAATGTTTATATTACATGCATATGTAGTTTTGGTTTTTATATAAATGAGCTCATAGTACATGTATTATTCTATCATTTGCTTTTTTTTAAAAAAGAAATAACAGCTTTATTGAGCTATAATTCACACACTACACAATTCACACATTTAAAGTGTGCAGTTCAATTATTTTTAATATATTCATGGATGTGTGCAACCACTGCCATAGTCAATTTTTAGAACATTTTCATCACCTCAGAAGGAAACCCTGTATCCTTTAGCTATCGCCTCTTTATCCTTCAACCCTTACCAACCACTAATCCACTTTCAGTCTCTATAGATTTCCCTATTCTGGACTTTGATATTAATGGAAGAATATGTGATCTTTTGTGACTGGCTTATTTTACTTAGCACAGTGTTTTCAAGGTTCATTTATGTTGTAGCATGAATCAGAACTTCATTCTTTTTATTGCTGAATAAAATTGCTCTTGGAGGCCAGGCATGGTGGTGCACACCTGTAATTTCAACACTTTGGGAGGGTGAGGCAGGTGGATCACTTGAGCTCAGGAGTTCAAGACCAGCCTGGGCAACATGGCAAAACCCTGTCTCTACAAAATACAAAAAATTAGCTGGATGTAGCATTGTGTTCCTATAGTCACAGCTACCCAGGAGGCTGAGGTGGGAGGACTGCTTGAGCCTGGGAGGCCAAGGCTGCAGTGAGCCATGATTGTGCTATGGCACTCCTGCCTGGACAACAGAGTGAGACCCTGTCTCAAACAAAATAAAACAAAACAAAACAAAACAAAAAACTTGCAACTTGCTCTTGGCATATCCATTGTGTGGATATACTACATTTTGTTTATCTATTTGTCATTTGGACATTTGGGTAGTTTCTACTTTTTATTTTATTTTTTGATGGACTCTCACTTTGTTGCCAGGCTGGAGTGCAGTGGCGTGATCTCGGCTCACTGCAACCTCCGACTCCCTGGTTCAAGTGATTCTCCTTCCTCAGCCTCCCAAGTAGCTGGCATTAGAGACACGTGCCACCACACCCAGCTAAGTTTTTTTTTTTTTTTTTTTTTTTTTTTTTTTTTTTAGTAGAGACAGGGTTTCACCATGTTGGCCAGGATGGTATCCATCTCCTGACCTCATAATCCACCTGCCTCAGCCTCCCAAAGTTTTGGGATTACAGGCATGAGCCACTGCACCCAGCCAGTTTCTACTTTTTGGCTATTATAAATAACATGGCTATGAGTATTCATGTTCCAGTTTTTGTGTGGACATATATTTTCATGTCTTTTGGGTGTGTATCTAGGAGTGGGATTGCTGGGTCATATGGTAACTCCGTGTTTAACATTTTGAGGAACTACTGGATTGTTTTTCAAAGTGGCTGATCCATTTTACATTCCCACCAGCAGTATATGAGGCTTCCAGTTTCTCCACATCTTTGCCAACACTTGTTAGTATCTGTCCTTTTGATTATAGCCATACTAGGGACTGTGATTTCACTTGCTTTTTTATTTAATGTGTATGGATTTTTTTCTGTATCAGTATATATAGATAGCTTGTGTGTGTGTGTGTATGTGTGTGTGTGTGTGACAGTCTCACTCTGTAGCCCAGGCTGAAATGCAGTGGCACGATCTCAGCTCACTGCAACCTCCGCCTCCCAGGTTCAAGCGATTCTCGTGCCTCAGCCTCCTGAGTAGCTGGGATTACAGGCTCCTGCCACCACGCCTGGCTGATTTTTGTATTTTTAGTAGAGACGGGGTTTTGCCATGTTGGCCAGGCTGGTCTCAAACTCCTGACCTCAGGTGATCTGCCCACCTGGGCCTCCCAAAGTGCTGGGATTGCAGACGTGAGCCACCACGCCCAGCTGATATCTTACATATTTAACTGCTGCATAATATTCCACAGAAACCATGCTTTTCAAGATATTCCTGCCTATATCATTGTGTTATTTCTTCCACCAGGGCGCAGCAGTCTGGAAATAGAAACAATGGTGGTGGATCAATTCAATTGATCCAGATTTGGAAGTTGCGTGGCAAGTGAGAAGGATTTGGATGGTAATGGTGAGAAAGGATTTGAAATAATTTATCAAACCTGGTTCAGATCAATCCTGGTGCATAAGTGACTAACAAGGAGCTGGAGTGGATGGCATAGCATAGTGGCTAGAACCCTAAAACAAGGGATTTTACATGAAAGTGGAAAGGTAACTGTTTGGTTTTGCATTTACCCATTCCCTCTGTTGAGTTTTTTTTTTTTAATACTGAGTTATTCACTACTTTGTCTTCTTTTTTTTTGAGACAGAGTCTCATTCTGTTGCTCAGGCTAGAGTACAGTGGCAATCTCGGCTCACTGCAGTCTCTACCTCCTGGGTTCCAGTGATTCTTGTTCCTCAACCTTCTGAGTAGCTGGGATTACAGATGCCCACTACCATGCCCAGCTAATTTTTGTGTTTTTATTAGAGATGGGGTTTCACCATGTTGACCAGGCTGATCTCGAACTCCTGACCTCAAGTAACCCACCCACCTCAGCCTCCCAAAGTGCTGGGATTACAGGCGTAAGCCACTGCACCTGGCCTGCTTTGCCTTCTTAAACAGATGATTCAGAACATAATATAACCTTGTCTTGTGACTCAGGGTGGCCATTATGATCATCTGCTTTTGACCTGGACCTCTGAGGCATGTAGCAATATGTCTTTCCTTATGTCTTTTCCCTAAGTGTGTTCCGGATTTTTGTGCTTTTGAAGAAGTTCTGAGATCAACGTATTCTTGGTTCTTCTAATGTGTAGCTGTTTGACTAAGGACTGACTCCATGCATCTCCTATGAAGTGAAGTTCATGGGTTTTATGACAGCAATTTTACATGCTGCTTAGATGCTTTTTTCTCATCTAGGTTTTTAGTTATATTATGGCAGAGATTATAAGAAATCTGATCTCTAGAGAAGTGCTGGTACTTCTTTAATTTGGCATAGACTATTTTTGGCAAGCTAGTTTTCTAGCATTGAACACTTTAATGAATAAGTTCATAGTCACCCTATCCACATTCTTTTTAATGGTAGAAAACTGTCTGTCTAATACAGTAGCCATTAGCTACATGTAGATTTTTAAATTTAAATATACATTAATTAAGAGTAGGCTGGGCATGGTGGTTCATGCCTGTAATCCCAGCACTTCAGAAGGCCAAAGTGGGTGGATCATTTGAGGTCAGGAGTTCAAGACCAGCCTGGCCAACATGGTGAAACCCCGTTTCCACTAAAAATACAAAAATTAGCTGGGCGTGGTGGTACACACCTGTAATCCCAGCTACTCGGGAGGCTGAGGCAGGAGAATTCCTTGAACCCAGGAGGCAGAGGTTTGCAGTAGCCGAAATCCGCCACTGCACTTCAACCTGGGTGACAGAGCAAGACTCCATCTCAAAAAAAAAAAAAGAAAGAAAAAATTCCCTTATTGTACTAGCCACATTTCAAGTGCTTAGTAGTCACATGTGGCTACTGGCTACCCTATTGGAAAGTGCAGATGTAGAACACTTTCATCATCAAATAAAGTTCTATAGAGCAGCAATGGTTTAGACATTGAGCCAGTCTCTTCTCAGGCTTCTTGTTTCCAAACTAGAGTCTCATGGTTTAAGTGCATCCTTGTACAAGCAACCATGCTCATACTATTCTCCAACACTCTCTGATTTCCAACCCCTGATCATTGTCATTTGCTCTCTATTAGTATTAATTTCCTATGGCTACTATAACAAATCATCACAAGTTTAGTGGCTTAAAACAACATAAATTTATTATCACATATGACATAGTTTTGATATTTGTCCCCTTCAAATCTCATGTTGAAATGTGACCCCTAATGTTGGAGGTGGAGCCCACTGGGAGGTGTTTAGGTTATGGGGGTTGATCCCTCTTGAATAGCTTGGTGCTGTCCCCATGATAATGAATGAGTTCTCACTCTATTAGTTTACAGGAGATCTAGTTGTTTACAAGTACATAGCATGCCTCCCCTCTCTCTATCACTCCCCCCTCACCATGTGACATGCCTGCTCACCCTTTGCCATCTGCCATGATTAGAAGCTTCCTGAGGTTCTCACCAGAAGCAGATGCTGGCATCATGCTGCTTGCTGCTTATACAGCCTGCAGAACTGTGAGGCAAATCAACCTCTTTTATTTATAAATTACCCAGTCTCAGGTGTTCCTTTATAGCCACACAAAACCAACTAAGGCAATACAGTTTTGGAGATTGAAGTTCAAAATCAGCCATTTTCCAGCTTCTAGATGCTGCCTACATTCCTTAGTTCATAGCTCCTTCCTCCGTCTTCAAAGCCTGCAGCGTAGCATCTTCAAGTCTCTCTGTGACTCTCTGACCTCCGCCTCCATAGTCACGTGACCTTCTCTGACTCTGACCTTCCTGCCTCTTTTATGAAGAGTCCGTAATAAAGATTAGGTCGCCTTGGCTAATCCAGAGCAATCATCTCATTTCAAGAATATTAACTTAATCACACCTGCAAAGTCCCTTTCAGCATTTTACCATTATGTTATACCGGTATGTTGTGAGGACCACTATTCAGCCTGCCACAGACAGTTTTCTACAGTGGCATTTTGTTTTCCTGTGATGGACAGTGATCCAGTGGTCCTTATTTTCCAGGACCAGAGTATGCTGGTCCAGCACAGAGTATGCTGATATCCCAAGGTTTTATATAAAGGGAGGATAATGTTTTAAAATCTTATTTTCTGTGAGAAAACATTTTAAATGGTCCATTTTCAAGGTATGATAAATCTAAGTACTGGCAGCCAGCCTGCGGACGTGACAAACCGCACAGCTCATGCACCTAGAAAGTCGCAATAAGCAAACAGAATGTAGAGGAGGAGTCAGCCTATAAAAGGGAAGAAAAAGTTTACAGAGTTATTGGAAAATCGAAACTTAAGCAGGGAAGGGGACTGGGTTATAACCTTATAAGGGATAATGAAACTTAGGTGACGTCCAGAAAGATTGTAACCCCACAGTATTTGACCAATGAGGAACTGGGGGAGGGACTTGCGTGCTAGGAGATAAATTACCTGCTGTAGCTGCCCCAGCTGTGCCTGCCTACCAGACACCCATTCTTGCACGATCACCATTAAAATTCTCTCTTCCATTGTTCTTTTGTGTCTCTGAGTCCATTCTTTGGGTTTGGACAGATGAATGTGTTTCTCACAAACTTGGGGGCCCATCTGGGATCTCTGTGCCTGCGTGGAGTTGGACTCCAGCCAAGAGGGGAGAGGCGTCCCACCTGATTTAAGTGGCCTGCTCTGTCTGGGAATCCCGGCTCCCTGCAGAGGCCATAGACAAACCTGAGACTGTTATTCAGGAGGCAGTGGAGGTGACACAGGGAGAAAAGCAGGCACCGTGGCAACCAGGCAACCTCATGTACGAGCCAAGGTAGGAAAATTGGACTGTGAGTATTGTCTTGGTGGTTGGGCATTTTTGGAGGTCGAGTGTGTGTGACTGAGACGTATCCTAGGTATGAAGCAAGTGTGGAGACCCAATTTGCGGTTCTGTTCTCTCGCGAGGGGAACAGCCAGAGACGGATGAAATGATTCTCGGTGTGTGCAAGAAACCTCTAGTGGGGGGCTTGAGTACACAGGGAAAAACTCAGACACAGATTGACGAAAATGGGAAACAGAAATTCTAGGCCTAGGGGACAAAGGAAAGAGGGAGCCAAAGAGACTCCCTCTGACATTCCCCCGGATAGTCCTTTAAGGAGAATGCTGCAGGTTTGGAGGGACAACCCTTGAACCAGGGACAAGGAAAAGGAAAAGATGATAAAGTATTGCTGTTTTACCTGTCCCAAAGACCCCATTCGCAAGCCTTCAGTCTTTTGATTTAAGTTTGGCTCAGATGAGAACTGGGTGTGCCAAGCTTTAATTCTCTATGTGAATGATAAAACCCCATTCTAGGCCGGGCACGGTGGCTTACGCCTGTGGTCCCAGCACTTTGGGAGGCCGAGGTGGGTGGATCACGATGTCAGGAGATCGAGACCATCCTGGCTAACACAATGAAACCCCATCTCTACTAAAAATACAAAAAATTAGCCAGGTGTGGTGGTGGGCGCCTGTAGTCCCAGCTACTTGGGAGGCTGAGGCAGGAGAATGGCGTGAACCCGGGAGGCGGAGCTTGCAGTGAGCTGAGATCGCACCACTGCACTCCAGCCTGGGCGACAGAGCAAGACTCCACTAAAACAAAACAAAACAAAATAAAACAAAACAAAAAACAAAAACCATCCTCACAAGAAGAGATAGGTTATGCTCTCTGCTGGATCAAAGAATTAACCCCCACGTTCCCCATCAAAGAAGAAGAAAAAGAGCCTAGTAAAAAGCTCTTGCCCAGTGAAAAGCCCTGGGACCCCCTATCATGCTTGCCCCTCCATACAGCTCACAAAATAGGGGACAGGAAGATCAAGGGGGCAACAGGAGGGTTAGAGGAAGAAAGACCTGGAGACCATGGGGGAACCAAACCAATTGCTCCTTTAAGTCCTCATCCAAATTTAAGAAAAAGAACAGTGTAAGAGGGATATTAAGAACTTCCTTATCCTGTCCACACAGCAGGCATCTAGCATGCTCCCTCTTAGAGAAGTTCCCATGGGACAGGGAGAGACTGGCTTTGTAAATGCTCCTCTTACAAGTTCTGAAGTTAGGAATTTCAAGAAGGAAATGAAACCACGCCTAGAAGATCCCCTCGGTTTAGCAGACCAGCTGGACCAATTCCTAGGAACCAGCTTTTACACCTGGGCTGAAATGATGTCTATCATGAATATTCTGTTCACAGGAGAAGAAAGGGGAATGATTAGGAGAGCAGCCATGACCATCTGGGAGAGGCAACACCCTCCCAGGCAAGGAGTCTTGCCAACCAAACAAAAATTTCCAAATGTCGATCCTAAATGGGATAATAATGATCCCAGGGACTGGACCCAAATGCAGGACCTCAGGGAACTAATAATTAAAGGGATCAAAGAGTCCACTCCTAGGACACAAAATGTCTCAAAGGCATTCAAGATTCAACAAGAAAATGAGGAAACTCCCTCTGCATTCCTGCAGAGGTTCCTGAGAAAATACTCTAGATTAGATCTGGAGGACCCAGTAGGGCAAGGCCTTTTGAAGGTTAACTTTGTAACTAAGAGCTGGCCTGACATTACAAAAAAATTACAAAAGAGTAATGAATGGAATGAGAAACCAGTTGAAGAATTACTGAGGGAAGCTCAGAAGGTCTTTGTAAGGAGAGAGGAAGAGAAGCAGAAACAAAAAGCGAGAATCATGGTTTCCACTGTGGAAAAGGTAGTCAGAAGAAGGTTAGATCAAGATCCCTCTTGAAGGAAACAATGGGATAATAGATTTTGACACAGAGGAAGAAGGGAAAAGCTCCTAAGACTATGAGTTGATGTTACAAGTGCGGAAAACCAGGGCATTTTAAGAGAGAATGTCCTGAATGGAAAAAAGAAGAAAAAATGATCCCCTTCATGACGGTTGATGAAGACAAGGGGGGCCAGGGGTTCCTTCTGAGTAGGACCCTCCAGGAACCGCTGATAAATGTGAAGGTGGGACCCGAGGGAGAAGAAGTGACAGTTTTGGTTGATACTGGGGTGGCTTGCTCCTCCCTAATTCACCAACCAAGGGGTACAGAAGTCTCTAAGAAAAAATTGACAGTATCGGGGTAAAAGGGGAGGGATTTCAGGTTCTGATATTCAAGGAAATGTTAATTAGATTGGGACCTGAACAAATTGAGGTGTGACTCTTATATGTTCCTGAAGCAGGAACTAACCTCCTTGGTCAAGACCTGATTGTGAGATTGGGTTTAGGATTAGGAATAGAGGAAGGACAAATAAAAGTAATGATGGGCCTCCTAACAAAGCAAGAGGAAAGAAAAATTAATCCCCTTGTGTGGATTAGGGAAGGCAACAGGGGAGGGTTAAAAATCACACCCTTACAGATTAAACTAAAACAACCAGGAGAAGTAGTTTTCAGAAAACAGGCCAGGCACAGTGGCTCACGCCTGTAATCCCAGCATTTTGGGAGACTGAGGTGGGCGTATCATGAGGTCAAGAGATCGAGACCATCCTGACCAACATGGTGAAACCCCGTCTCTACTAAAAATACAAAAATTATCTCGGCATGGTGGCACACACCTGTAGCCCCGGCTTCTCAGGAGGCTGAGGCAGGAGAATCACTTGAACCTAGGAGGCGGAGGTTGCAGTGAGCTGAGATCATGTCACTGCACTTCAGCCTGGCAACAGAGTGAGACTCCGTTTCAAAAAAAAAAAAAGAAAGAAAAAAGAAAGAAAAAGAAAACAATATCCCATTTCTACTGAAGGGAGAAAAGATCTCCAACTGGTAATAGAGGGATTGATTAAAGATGGACTATTAGAACCCTGCATGTCACTATACAATACTCCAATTTTCCCAGTCAAAAAGCCTGATGGGTTCTATAGATTGGTGCAAGATCTAGGGACTATGAATCAAATTGTCCAGACCCACCATCCTGTGGCACCTAACCCCTACGCCCTCCTTAATAAGATACTCTATGAACATAAGTGATTCAGTGTGGTGGGTCTAAAAGATGTATTCTGGGCATGTCCCCTAGATCTTAGGAGCAGGGACCTCTTTGTCTTTGAATAAGAAAATCCTATAACTGGGAGAAAACAACAGGACTGCTAGACTGTGCTGCCACAAGGTTTCATGGCAGCCCCAAATGTATTTGGTCAAATAATAGAAAAAGTCCGGGAGGAATTCCAACCTTCCAGGGGAACCCAGTCATTACAATATGTAGATAATCTTTTAATTTCTGGGGAGAGGAGGGCCGAGGTATCAGAAACCACCATAAGCTTGCTTAATTTCCTAGGAGAAAGGGGATTGCAAGTCTCTAAGAACAAATTGCAGTTTGTAGAAAAAGAAGTTAAATATTTAGGACACCTGATTAGTGAAGGGAAGTGGAGAATAAACCCAGAGAGAATATCTGGAATAGTGGGCCTGCCTTTGCCTAAGACAGAGAGAACTCCGAAAATTTTTAGGTTCAACTGGCTACTGCAGGTTGTGAATTGACTCATATGCTCAAAAGACAAAAATTCTGTATCTCAAGTTACTAGAAGAGGAACCCGATCCCATGCAATGATCCCCATAGGAAATTCAGGTAGTGAAAGAGCTAAAGCAGGCCCTCATTACTGCCCCGGTCCTGGCCCTCCCATCTTTAGAGAAACCATTCCATCTGTTTGTAACAGTAGACCAGAGTTTGGCCTTGGAGTGCTCACTCATACCGGGGGAGGGAAGAGGCAACCTGTTGCTTTTGTCTCCAAGCTTCTTGAGCCTGTCTCTCGGGGGTGGCCTGAATGTGTGCAAGCAGTAGCTGCCACAGCCCTGCTGGTAGAGTCAAAAGCTAACTTTGGTGGGGCCCTAATAGTAAGCACCCACACCAAGTCAGGAATATATTAAATCAAAAAGCCAGGAGGTGGTTAATGGATTCTTGGATTCAAAAATATGAAGCCATGTCACTAGAAAAAGATAATTTGGCTGTAACAACAGATACTTGCCTGAATCCAGCCAGTTTCCTATGGAAAGGAGAGAAGAACAAAGAGACATCAGACCATAACTGCTTAGATATCATAGAATACCAAATCAAAGTTAGACCAGACCTTAAGGAAGCTCCACTACATGATGGGATAAGGCTGTTTGTGGATGAGTTTTCCCAAGTGACAAATGGCAAGAGACATAATGGTTATGCTGTTATTGGTGGAAATAGTTAACCAAGTAATGACCCTAAAAGGGTAGAAATAATTGAGGTAAAGGATTTAAGGCAAACTTTAGAAATTGAGACAGGGTACAGGGATGTGAATGCCTGGTTCAAATTTTCAGTACAAGCCCTCAACAAGAGTAATTGCTGGCTGGGCGCAGTGGCTCACGCCTGTAATCCCAACACTTTGGGAGGCTGGGGCAGGCAGATCACGAGGTCAGGAGATCGAGACCATCCTGGCTAACACAGTGAAACCCCGTCCCTACTAAAAATACAAAAAATTAGCCAGGCGTGGTGGCACGTGCCTGTAATCATAGCTACTCGTGAGGATGAGGCTGAGGCTGAGGCAGGAGAATCGCTTGAACCCGGGAGGCGGAGTTTACAGTGAGCCGAGATCATGCCACCGCACTCCAGCCTGGGTGACAGAGCGAGAGTCCGTCTCAAAAAAGAAAGTAATTGCTATGTGCGTGCTGCGGGACGACCTCAGGCCCAGGTGATTCCATTTCCCCTAGGATGGGATACCGATCCTGAAGGCATGCATTGCATGTTGGCTCTATACCAGGACAAAGATGCATGGGAAATGAGACTTGTAAGAGCCTGTCATTGTTCTTTCCTGCATTGTGGTGGTCAGATCCCAGAGCAATCCCCTCATTCTCTATAGGGAATATGAACCACTCCTCTTGTCTCTCTAGGCAGGGGGCAGAGTTCAATAAGCCCGTGGGAGAACTCTCGTACTTGTACCCACATCCTAATTGTCACTGCTGAGTCAGGCAATGGCAATTACTCAGCTCTCCATATACTCTGGGCTGTTGTCTGGTGGTATTGTGGGAAAGGGGACCTCCATAACCTGTTAGTTACTGTCCAACTGGACCAGGACTTGTGCTTTAGTCCAATTGGCCATTCCTTTCACCCTGGCATTCCATAAGATACCCGAAAATACACATGGCCACCAAAACCAGACAGATTTGACAAATTCTTTTGATCCCAATATATATATTGACTCGACAGGAGTCCCCAAGGGGGTGCCTAATGAATTTAAGGCCTGAAGCCAAATAGCTGCTGGGTTTGAGTCAGCACTCTTTTGGTGATCAATTATTAATAAGAATGTGGATTGGATTAACTATATCTGTTATAATCAACAGAGATTCATCAATTGTACTCAGGACGCCCTCAAAGAGGTGGCTAGCGAGTTTGATGCCACCAGCCAAATGGCCTGGGAAACAGACTTGTGCTAGACATGATACTAGCAGAAAAAGGGGGTGTATGTGTTATGCTAGATGGGAAATGTTGTACTTTCATTCCCAACAATATTGCCCCAGATGGGACCATCACCAAAGTTTTACAAGGACTGACAACTGTAGCCAATAAACTGGCAGAAAATGCTGGAATTGACCCATTTACAGACTGGCTAGAAGGTTGGTTTGGAAAATGGAAAGACATGGTAGCTTCAATCCTTACATCTCTCATAATTGTGGCAGGAGTCTTAACAGCAGTGGGATGTTGTATTATCCCTTGTGTGAAGGGAGTAGCACAGAGATTAATTGAAACAGCTATTAATAAACAAATGCCAATGACTTACCAGCAAAATAACCTGCTACTATTAGAAACCAAATTAAACTCACTCTCCTATAAGGAAGAAAGTAGACAACTTCTAGAGTGATTGGAGGACCAAAAGGGTTTAGATGAAAATGAGACCAAAGGAAGTAAATAAAAAAGAGGAGGGAATTTGTGAGAAAACATTTTACATGGTCAATTTTCAAGGCATGATAAATCTATGTACTGGCAACCAGCCTGTGGACATGACAAACCACATGGCTCATGTACCTAGAAAGTCATGATAAGGAAACAGAATGTAGAGCAGGGGTCAGCCCATAAAAGGGAAGAAAGTTTTGTTATTGGGAAATCGAAATGTAAGTGGGGTAGGGGACTGGGGTATAATCTTATAAAAGATAATGAAACTTAGGTGATATCTGGGACTATTGTAACCCCATAGTACTTGACCAATGAGGAACTGGGGGAGGGACTTGCATGCAAGAGATAAATTACCTGCTGTAACTGCCCCAGGTGTGCCTGCCTACCAGACACCCGATTTTGTAAGACCGCCATTAAAAGTCTCGCTTCCACTGTTCTTCGTGTCTCTGAGTCTATTCTTTGGGTTTGGACGGGTGAATGTGTTTCTCACATTTTCTGCCTTTCGCCTATATGGAAATACCAAAATATGATTGTTCTGACCTTCAAAATATGATTCTGTGAGTATAGTGGTATAGGAGTATCTTATCAGCAAGACAAATCCACAGCTAACTCAATATCCTATCAGAGTGTTTGGCTACTGTAATACAGTTATTTCAGGGCTAATCTCTGCCAACTTTTCTTCTCAAACACACACACACACACACACACACACACACACACACACACACACACATAGGGATATGGATGCACCCATAAACAAAAAACTGGGGGCTCGATATATTAACCAAAGCAAAGCCTTCTGAGCTTCTCTTTGCCCCCCAAAAAAGGATGATAAATGAAAGTCTGAATCATTCCTAGGAGAAGAAGCAGCAGACACCAATGCAGGATTGGTCTTCCACTTCCAGTCTGGACAAGATAGCATAGACTCATTTCTCCCTGCTTCTCCCAGGTAAGCCCAACCAGAAATCCTGGAAATAATTCAAGAGGTGGCCACAGGAGAATTCTAAAAGGTGTAAAGGGGAAGGCAGAACGATTAGGAATCCCAGGACTGGAGGAACACCATAGTAGCAGGGTACCTTATGACTCTCAAGCCATAAATGTGACCCAGGCCCAGCATTTCCCAAACCCCAACGTAGCAATAGAAAATGGTTCCTGTAGGTTCCTTTCTCCTCTGCATTGAATGGGAGTCCTACTGACACCAACAGGTAAGCCTGGCAACTCCAGCAAGTGGGATTTAGCAAGGTGCCTCACTGACAATAAGCAGCCAGCAGAAGTGCTGTCCTTTCCCACAAGGTCAGAGACTCCCCTACCCCACTGAAAGATACTCTCCAAGCAAGCACACCATCAAGGGGAAACGTGACCATGACAAGTAGCCTAGCCCAGGAAGCCTGTTTGTTTTCATGGTCTTGAGGCTTCTCTCTTCCTCTGAGAGATACCAGGAAGGCAGGCAGCAAAGTCAGGGGAGTCCCACCAGAACCAGCAGAGACAAGGAAGATTCTTTGTTTCCACAGACTAGAAAAATCACTTCCCCCACCTAGAGGCACCAGGCAACCCTATCTGAGGAACACTCTGCTTCCTCAGGCAGCACCAGCAGGGAAGAGTGGACCCATTAGCACCACATGAATCAAGCAGATCAAAATAGCACTACAGAGGCTCTGAAACTAAATTGTCATTGGAATCACAGCCTTCAAAAGTAGGCCAGGACCTGCATGCTAAACCTAAACAAACTGACTGCCTGCTAAAATCAAATATTTAAGTAGGAATTAGAGTCTTCTAATATAATAGTCAACATATCCAGAATATGATAAAAATCACCCTAAAACAATCAACTGATACCAACACCAAGATGAATTAGATGTTGAAATTATCTGACAAGGGATTTAATGTAGCCACCACAAAAATGCTTTAATAAGTAATTGCAAAGTCTCTTGAAATAAATGGAAAAAATATAAAATCTTAGCATAGCAATAGAAGTTATACAAAAGAATCAAATATACTCCAGGCCAGTCTGACATGGTACATTCAGTCTCTGATTAAGAACGTGGAGTAGGGCAAGGACAAGTTAAGATGGGAAATACATGTGTGGTTCTGTGATGGAGCTGCAGCTGAATTATTTCATCACAAGGGGCTCTTATGTTATCAAAGGACACAGACCTGAACCTTGACTGAGTAGTTTTCTGAGGGGCATTGAGCACTTCCTGGGGAGTCCAGAATTGGGAAACTTGGTTTTGACCTTCATGTGGCTGTGTGACTATCTCTTATCTGCCTCTTTCTGGGAATAGGAACTACTTCAAATCCAGGAAGGGAGGCTGGTCAAATACAAATAACAATAAACAGCCCAATGGCAACCCTTCCTTGCAGTGAGTACTTACTGTGTGCCAAACACTGAACTAGATCTCTTTGTGATCATCCATTCATGGAATCCTCACAGCAGCCCTCCACTAAGGGCATTTTTGAGATCTCAGGTTTAATTGGGTTAAAGTTCCCTCAGTAGACACCTGGGGTATCTACCAGCCTACAAGGACCTGTGCCGGGTACAGGTATAGGTGATACTGTGATGACACCCTTCATAGACACATGTGACTAGAGCTCACAGCAGGTGGGGGCAAGCAAGTTCCTGGGATAGAACAACATGGGGGTCCCAAGGAACAAGTGGCCACATTCTGGGAGTGTTTGGGAAGATTTCCCCTTGGCAGGGTATTTAACTTGGGCCTCCAGATACCAGTGAAAGCATGGGCTTTGGCATCAGGAAGACTTGGATTCAAGTCCTGACTCCTTTGCTTCTTGGCAATGGGACCTTGGTTAAATAACTTAACCTAAAAAAAAAAATTTAACCTGACTGAGCCTCAGTTTCCTCATCTGTAAAATGGGTATAAGTATTGCTATAATCATTGTTGGGTTGTTGTGAGGAAGAAATGGGAAGATGCTCAGAGCAGCCCTAGGCAGGGATAGTCTGTGCCTCTTTACTTGAAGGCCCCTTCTGACACACCTTCTTCCAGGAATCCTTTGATCTCTTCTTCCTTCAAATTCATACATAATCAGGCATTTTATACATGATTAAAACACCTGTTCACATTTTCTAAAGAACCAAATGAAAATTACAGAACTGAAAAATAGATTTTTAAAAATTGCTGGATAGGATCAATTATAGAGCAGAGATGGCAGAGGACAAAATCAGTAAACTTGTTTATAGATCAATAGAATTTACCCAGCCTGAACAACAGAGAGAAAATAGACTGAAAAAAAAGATAGGGCCTCAGGGACCTGTTAGAAATAACAAAAGATCCAACATTCATATAATCAGATTCCCAGAAGGATACCAAAACCAAAGACAGTACAAAGCAAGAAAACTATAGATGAATGAATATCTTTCATGGACTTAGACACAGAAACTGCCGCAAAATAATAGCCAAATGAACCCAACAATGTAGAAAAGAATTATACTCTGGGATTTATTCCCATGTATGCATAGTTCAATATTTTAAAGTTAATCAATGTAATCCACCATATCAGCAGACTAAAATCATTTAACCATATCAACTGGCACAGAAAAAGCATTTGATGATAACATTCAAACTTTTTTTTTTTTTTGAGACAGGGTCTCGCTTTGTTACGCAGGCTGGAGTGCAGTGGCACAAACATGGTTCACTGCAGCCTCAACCTCCTGGGCCCAAGTGATCCTCCCTCCTCAGTCCCCCAGTAGCTGGTACTGTAGGTGTGTGCCATCATGCCTGGCTAATTTTTTGTATTTTTTTGTAGAGACAAGGTTCCACTGTGTTGTCCAGGTTTGTCTCGAACTCCTGAGCTCAGGCAATCTGCCCACCTCAGCCTCCCAAAATTGCTGGGATTACAGGCATGAGCCACCACACCCAGCTTAAAGTTCAACATTTATTCATGATTAAAAACTCTCAGTACACTAGGCATAGAGGAAAACTTCCTTAATCTCATAAAGAACATCTGCAAAAAACCTACAACTAACATTATACTTAATGGTGAAAGACTGAGTTCTTTCTCAAGTCAGAACAAGGCAAGCATGTTTGTTTCCACTATTTTTTTTTTTTTCAGGTGGAGTCTCACTCTGTTGCCCAGGCTGGAGTGCAGTGGCACGATCTCAGCTCACTGCAACCTCTGCCTCCTGGGTTCAAGTGATTCTTGTGCCTCAGCCTCCCA
This sequence comes from Homo sapiens, assembly GCF_000001405.40. Classification (NCBI taxonomy): domain Eukaryota; kingdom Metazoa; phylum Chordata; class Mammalia; order Primates; family Hominidae; genus Homo; species Homo sapiens. The sequence continues at coordinate 118,895,424 of NC_000023.11, forward strand.
AGTAGCTGGGACTACAGGGGCCCACCACCACGTGCAGCTAATTTTTGTATTTTTAGTAGAGACGGGGTTTCGCCATGTTGGCCAGGCTGGTCTCAAACTTGTGACCTCAGGTTATCCACCCACCTTGGCCTCCCAGAGTGCTACAGTCATGAACAACCGTGCCTGGCTGTTCTCACTACTTCTATTCAATATCGTATTGTAAGTTCTATCCAGTACAATGGCAAGAAAGGGGGAAAAATAGCTCTAGCACAACAAGAAAAGGAAATAAAAGGTACATGGATTGGAAAGGATCAAGTGAAACTGTGTTGATTCTCAAAAGACTTAATTGTCTACATAGAAAATCACAGGGAATCTTTTTTTTTTAAAAAAAATAAAACAAAAAAACCTCGTAGAACTATTCACTGAATTCAGTAAGGTCATATGATACCAGATAAACACACAAAAATCAATCACATATATATACTAACAATGTGGAAATCTAAATAAAGAACACAATGCCATTCATCCTTGTGCCAAAGAGCAAGTATAAATTTAACAAAACATGAAAGGATCTGTATGTTGGAAATTATAAAACACTGAGGAAAGAACTCAAAGAAGACCTTAATAATTGCAGAGACATACTGTGTGGGTTAAAAGACAACATAGTAAAGATATCAATTATCCCCAAATTGATCTATAGGCTAATGAAATTCCTATCAAAATCTCAGCAAGGATCTTTATAGACATAGAAAAGCTTCTTCTAAAATTTACATGGAAAGGCAAAGGACCTAGAGTAGCTAAAGTGATTTTTATAAAGAATAAATTGGAGGGAATCACTCTTCCCAATATAAAGGGTTACCATATATGGCTATAGTAATCAAGATACTGTGGTACACGGATATAGACAGTGGAAATGATAGATCATTGCAGACTTGGAAGAGTGAGGGGTGGAAGGGAGGAGGATGATGAGAAATTGGCTAATGGGTACAATATATGTTATTCATGTGATGGATACACTCAAAGCCCTAACTAACTTGGCCTCTGTGCAATCTATGCATATGATAAAATTGCACATGTACCCCAATATTGTACAAATAAAAAGAAAAAAAAGAGAGTATGGTAATGACAGAGAGTAGACACATAGATCAGTGGAACAAAAAACCCAGAAATATAGCAATGCAAACTTGCTCAAACGATTTTTGACAAAGGTATAAAAGCAACTTAAGGAAGGATAGCGTTTTCAACAAACAGTTCAGGAGAATTGACATCCATAGGCCAAAAAAGTGAACTTTTACCTAAACATCCCACCTTATACAAAAATAACTCAAAATGGATCACAGACTTAAATGTAAAGCATACAACTATAAAACATTTTAGAGAAAAAACAAAACCACAGGAGAAAATCTTCATGATTTAGGGCCTAGCAAAGTGTTCTTAGGTTTGACACTGTCTAGGGGTTATCCATGTAAGAAAAACTACATTAAATTGGGCTTCATAAAAAATTAAAAGCTTTGATCTATGAAAGGTCCTATTAAGAGAATGAAAAGACAAGCTATAGACTGAGAGAAAATATTTGCAAGCTACATACCCAACAAAGAACTCGTATCTAGGATATATAAAGAACTTTTGGGCCAGGCATAGTGGCTCACGCCTGTAATCCCAGCACTTTGGGAGGCCAAGGCAGTTGGATCACTGGAACCCAGGGGTTGGCGACCAGCCTGGGCAACATGGCAAGACCACCTCTCTACAAAAAAAAAATATATAAAAATTAGCTGGGTGTGGTGGCGCGTGCCTGTAGTCCCAGCTACTCGGGAGACTGAGGCAGGAGAATTGCTTGAGCCCAGGAGGTCGAGGCAGGAGGTACCACCACACTCCAGCCTGGGAGATAGAGCAAAACCCTGCCTCTGGGGTGGGGATAGATTAACACACCCTATTTTGATTTCCTAGTGCTGTCTCCTGGTATGAAGATTTATATAGCAAAGGCTTGGTTTTTTCATTAAAGTGATGTTCAATTAAACTTGGTTACTGAGAATTTCCAGAAGGCAAACAATTCTTCTTTGGATTACCAGAGGCCCTAAGGTGCTACATACTCAGGTTTGGGAAGTCATTCTTCTTTGTAACTATCCAGCCTGGTAGCCAGATGGCCAATGAGTTTCATGCCTGCACAATGAGCCAGAAAATGTTCAAGGCCCCAATTTTTTTGTTTTTATCTTTTTTTAAAAAATTAAACTTTCTATTTTGAGATGACTGTAGGTTCACATGCAATTGTCAGAAACGGCACATTGAGATATTATGTACCCTTTATCCAGTTTTTCTCAGTGGTGACATCTTATTTACTGTACTATAGTATCACAACCAGGACGTTGCTACAACCTATTACTCTTGTCCAGATTTCCCAAGTTTTACCTGTAATCATTTGTTTCTGTTTATGTGTTCTATGTATTTCATTATATGCATTTTAAAAAAAAATAACAGATCTTTTTCACTAGAAGTTTTATGCAGTTGTAGCACTTGTAGTTCATGTATCCACCAACACAGTACAGAAACGTACTTTCACCACAAGGAATCTTTTGTAGCCATGCCTATCTCTTTTTTTTTTTTTTTTTTTGAGATGGAGTTTCAACCTTGTCATCCGGGCTTGAGTGCAGTGGTGCAATCTTGGCTAACTGCAACCTCTGCCTCCCAGGTTCAAGCAATTCTCCTGCCTCAGCCTCCTGAGTAGCTGGGATTACAGGCACCTGCCACCAAGACCAGCTAATTTTTGTATTTTTAGTAGAGACAGGGTTTCACATGTTGGCCAGGCTGGTCTCAAACTCCTGATCTCAGGTGATCCACTCCCTCGGCCTCCCAAAGTGCTGGGATTACAGGCATGAGCCACCGCACTGGGCTGCCATGCCTACCTCCTATATGCTCCATTCCCTAATGCCTGGTACCCACTAATCTGTTCCCTATCTCTATATTTTTGTCAAGAGTGTTATGTAAATAATCATACAGTTTATAACCTTTTAAGATTGGCTTTTTTTCACTAAGCAAAATTCCCAGGAGTTCATTCAAGTTATTGCATGAACCAATACCTGATTTCTTTTTTTTTTCTTTTTTGAGACAGTCTCATTCTGTCACCCAAGCTGGAGTGCAGTGATGTGATCACGGCTCACTGCAGCTTTGAACTCACTCAAGCGATCCTCCTACCTCAGCCTTCTGATTAGCTGGGACTACAAGCATGTGCTACCACACCCAGCTAATTTTTAATTTTTTTGTAGAGACAGTGTCTCACTATGTTGCCCAGGCTGATCTTGAACCCCTGGGCTCAAGCAATCCTCCTTCCTCAGCCTCCCAAAGTGCTTGGATTATAAGCTTGAGCCACTGTGTCTGGCCCCTGATTTCTTGTTATTGCTGCATAGTATTCCATGGCATGGATGAATTATAATTTGTTTAATCATTAATCTGTTGAAGAATGCCAACAATGTATGAATGATACAGTTTTTCTGCTTATTTGCCAGCATGTGTGTTGTTAACTGTTTTTTAATTTTAGCTATTCTGATAGGTGTTTAGTGATATCTCATTGTGATTTTAATTTGCATTTCCCTTATGGCTAATGATGTTGATTGAGCATCTTTGTCGTGTGTTTGCAATCTATATATCCTTTTTGGTGAAATATCTATTCATATATTTTGCTCATTTTCTAATCGGATTGTTTGAGTTTTGAGAGGCTTTTTTTTGGGACGGGGTCAATTTTGTATTGCTATAAAGAAATACCTGAGGCTGGGTAATTTACAAGAAAAGAGATTTAATTGGCTTATGGTTCTGCAGGCTGTACAGGAAGCATAGTGGCATCTACTTCTGGGGAGGCCTCAGGAAGCTTCCAATCATGTTGGAAGGCAAAGCAGGAGCCGGCACATCACATGGTGAGAATGGGGTGGCCAGGGCAGAGAGAGGGAAGTGTGTATGTGTGTGGAGAGACAGAGAGAGAGAGAAGAGAGCGCCACCACACACTTTTAAATGACCAGATCTCATGTGAACTCAGAGTGAGAGCCCACTTATCACCAAGGGGGTGGCCCAAGCCATTCACGAGGGATCTGTCCCCATGATCCAAACACCTCCCACCAGGCCCCACCTCTAACACTGGGGATTAGATTTCAACATGAGATTTGGGTGAGGACAAATATACAAACTCTATCAGTTATACTGCATAGTTGATGAAGTCTGGGCTTTTAGTGTACCCATCACCCGAATTGTATACATTGTATCCAATAGGTACTTTCTCATCCTTCACCAACCTCCCACCCTCCTACCTTTTGGAGTCTTCTCCAATGTGTATTATTCCACCCTCATTATAGAGTTTTGAAACCAGAAATCAGCATCTTGGGCTGCCTGAACTATTCTTAGATCACTTCTCTCACCAATTGGGGAAACTTACAGGACAGAAGAAGCCAGCTGACTTCTGTACATGTATATGGTTCTTGCCCAGGAGCCTCCATGTGATTCTAGAGCCAGTCCTACACACACACACACACACACACACACACACACACACACACAATAGGTACAACTGCCTCAGGAAGTCATGTTTTAAGGAATTCTTAAACTGCCCTCCTGAGTACCCCCAAATGTCTCTTGCTAAAGTTTAATCATGTCTGAACTTTCCAGCATCAGAATCATCTGTCTGGACTGAGGAATTCCAGAAGACCTCCCTAAAAATGCAGATGCGTCACTTATGAGGATATTCCATGATGAAGTTCGGCCCTGTGGGATTAGAATGATACCTTTTGATTTGAGATGTGTGAGAGGTCTGAAATGGTGCTCAATGCTAAGAAATAGGAACTCCAGCTTACATTAAGAGGTGGGACAGGGAATGACCCTGCCCAGCCAGGTGTCAGCAGGAGATGCTGGGACTCAGAGAGGTGGGCCAGAAGGGGAGGAAAGAGCCAAAGGAGGAGTGGGGGCATGCTGAGTACAAACTTTGCCTATTTCATAAATATGCCTGGATCATGCCCTGGTGGGCCCCACTATTGAGTTGGGTAGCTAGATGCTTGTTGGCTTCTGCCTTATCTACCTACCAGAAAAACACTAAGTAAAAGCTTTGAAATTCAATTCAATAAAAAAGAGTTTATGAATCCAGTGTACTTAGCCAAAATGAGGGATAAGGATGACTTCTGGTTGCAGGAGGGCTTTATTCTTTGTTTAGTTTCCTCTTCTTTTGTGCTTCCCCTTTCTCCTCAAAGGCAAGCCATCACGGAGGTCCTAAGGAACTCAATTGTCAAGTATTGAACACTGCCAGTTTCTATAAGGAAGGGAGTCAGTCTGAGGTAGGAGGATTTAACCTGGAGCTGAAGGCAATAGGACAATCTTTGCACACTGCATCCAGAAGTAAGCATCCCTTCTGGCCCGACACGGTGGCTCATGCCTGTAATCCCAGCACTTTGGGGGGCCGAGGCGGGCAGATCACTTGAGGTCAGGCGTTCGAGACCAGCCTGGCTAACATGGCGAAACCTTGTCTCTAGGAAAAATACAAAAATTACCCGGGCATGGTGGTGTGCACCTGTAATGAGGCGCTTGAACCCAGGAGGCAGAGGTTGCAGTGAGCTGAGATTGTGCCACTGCACTCCAGCCTGGGCAACAGTGCGAGAATACGTCTTAAAAAAAAAAAGTAAGCTTCCCTTCTGCCTGGGGTTAACCAGGGCCATGGTCTTTTTCACCTTTTTTTTTTTTTTTTTTTTTTTTTAAGACAAGTCTTGCTCTTGTCGCCCAGGCTGGAGTGCAGTGGCACAATCTCGGCTCACTGCAACCTCTGCCTCCTGGGTCCAAGCAATTTTCCTGCCTCAGCCTCCTGAGTAGCTGGGATTACAGGTGCCTGCCACCATGCCCAGCTAATTTTTGTATTTTTAGTAGAGACGGGGTTTCACCATGTTGGCCAGGCTGGTCTCAAACTCCTGACCTCAGGTGATCTGCCTGCCTCGGCCTCCCAAAGTGTTGGGATTACAGGTGTGAGCCACCACACCCATCACCAGTGTTATTTTATAGCTCCCCTCCCAACTACAGACATATACAACTAATGAAGTAAGGGTGTGTATGTCCAGCAACACAGCTAATTTCTGTCAATTGGCCAATGCTCAACAATTGACAAATTAGTAGACTGTGCTTGAGTTGACACTTTTACAATCCAGTGCTTCATAAAACAGATGGCTGCTTGTTTTATTCATATATAAGTGGCTCTTAGTGCATCAAAAGGATGTTTAAAACAACAAAAGAACAATCAAAAGCACAATTTGTCACCTCGATTCTTAACAGATTCAAGCCGTATAATGATACGAGCCTTTGGTTAAACAAGCAAAATGACAGATTGCCAGCAGAGGTATTGAGGCAGGCACAGTCCCATTCCTGATGGGTTCTGGCCATGACACCTGTACACCAAGCAGGTGTGTTTACGTGTGCCCCAGGAAGTGGGAGATCTGAGCATTAGGATATTCCAGACCTCTTCACATTAGTAGTCATAAAGGAAGTGCAATTTGAGGAAGAGCAGAAATAAAATACACTCAGGAAGCTAGTAAGGCATTCTGAGACCCAAATGAGAACGGGAAAGAAATGCATCTTTAGTGCTGATGCAGTCAGGAGCCTTTCATGTTGAGCCTTTCACAAATGAGGTGTGAACATTTTCAACTGAGGTAACAACCTCTCCTCCATTTTTGTTGATCTAATTTTCCATTTCAGTTGCTCCTTCTCTGTACCCAGCCCCACTGTGGGACTGCACGCTAATTATCTCATGGTGGTTATACCATCTGCTGAAAAAGCTGGCAGCTGGGCAATCACCGTCTTCCAAAATTGTGGCCTCCCTCTACCTGCCCTGGTACAAAAAACAGAAGGCAGTGTGTTGACCCCTGTACCCTGCTCCAGGGACTGCATCAGCTTCACAGATTGGAACAGAAACCTAGAACTTAACCCGTTCTCCAAGCTGGAGCCTCCTGTGGGGTTCCGTACTGAGGTTTTGGGACTCAGCCTATGTCTACACATTGCCTAGGTGGTGGACCCGATGACACGGTCAATATGGTGAAAGTAATTGAGAAGAGTACCAGACGTGTGGTTTGTGATCCAAGGTCTGAGGTAAAGGAACTAGTTAATTTCTTGGCCACTGCTTTTACCTCTATCAGTAGCCACCTGGGTACACATGATAGCTGTTTGGTCACAAGAGTGTGAGAGAGTATGGATGATTCAGAATAATCTCATCCTCAATGCTAGCAAAAGAACTGAAAGGACATGGCTTATTCATAGATCAGTTGTACCATCTTTTCATAGAAAGGACAGCACAGGCTGAGCATAGTGGTTCACGGCTATAATCCCAGAACTCTGGGAGGCTAAGGCAGGAGGATTGCCTGATGCCAGGAGTTCAAGACCAGCCTTGGCAATATAGCAGTTGCCATTTATTAAAAAATGATTAAAAATAGCGAGGTGTATGGCCAGGCACGGTGGCTAACACTTGTAATCCCAGCACTTTGGGAGGCTGAGACGGGCAGATCATCTGAAGTCAGGATTTCAAGACCAGCCTGGCCAAAGTGGCGAAACCCTGTCTCTACTAAAAATACAAAAATTATCTGGGTGTGGTGGTCCACACCTATAATCCCAGCTACTCGGGAGGCTGAGGCAGCAGAATCACTTGAACCTGGGAGGTGGAGTTTGCAGTTGGCCGAGATCACGCCATTGCACTCCAGCCTAGCGACACAGTGAGACTCCATCTAAAAAAAAAAAAAAAAAAAAAAAAAAGTCAGATATGGTGATGCATACCTGTGTCCCAACTACTTGGGAGGCTGAAGCAGGAGGATCCGTTGCGCCCAGGAGTTTGAGGTTGCAGTGAGCTGAGATCATGCCTTTGCACTCCAGCCTGGGTGGCAAAGCAAGACTCTATCTCAAAAAAAGAAACAATAAAAAAGAAAGGCGACGTGATCTTTATTCACACCCCCTCTCTAAAAGTATTCTTAAACTTCAGAATAGAAGCAAGGAACTTAGGTGTTACACTGGAAAATCATTCCAAGCTGGCAGTAAGGAAGAAGGTGAGCAGGGCACACTGTCTCTAGACTAATTTCCCTCCAAAAAGCTTTGAAGGTTTGGTAAGAATAGTTGATGAGTTGAGAACAGTAGTTATACACCCTTTCTTTTACATATATCAAAACATTCTAGGCTGGGCACGGTGGCAGTGGCTCAGAGCTGTAATCCCAGTACTTTGGGAAGCCAAGGTGGGCAGATCACCTGAGCTCAGGAGCTTGAGACCAGTCTGGGGGGCAACATGGAAAAACCCTGTCTCTACGAAAAATACAAAAATTAGGCTGGGCACGGTGGCTCACGCCTGTAATCCCAGCACTTTGGGAGGCCGAGGTGGGCGGATCACGAGGTCAGGAGTTTGAGACCAGCCTGACCAAAATGATGAAACCCCATCTCTACTAAAAATACAAAAATTAGCCAGGTGTGGTGGCACGCGCCTGTAATCTCATCTACTCAGGAGGTTGAGGCAGAATCATTTGAATCTGGGAGGTGAAGGTTGCAGTGAGCCAAGGTTGCACCACTGCACTCCAGCCTGGGCGACAGAGCAAGACTCCGTCTCAAAAAAAAAAAAAAAAATTAGCCATGTGTGGTGGTGCACATCTGTAGTCCCAGCTACTTGGGAGGCTGAAGCAGGAGAATCACTTGGGCCTAGAGGCTGAGACAGGAGAATCACTTGGGCCTGGGATGCGGAGGTTGCAGTGAGCCGAGATCATGCCACTGTACTCCAGTTTGAGCAGCAGAGCAAGACCTTGTCTCAAAAAAAAAAAATCTCTTAACATTTTATGACAACTGTGAGAGAGGTAATGAAGAGAGAACAATATTCACTATCTCCTCAAAAATTAGCAGGGTTGAGGAGTAAACCTTGATTTTATCAGGAAAAAAAGTGGTTTGTTTCCCTCTTTTGAGCCATTGATTTGCTCTCAAGGGGACACACCCTTACTGTTGTACAGCTGAGCACTGATATTAATAGCAAGAGGTCAATCACATTTTCCCCTATAACTCTCACTTCCTTTTACTTACCATATTTTGTGACTGGGTTTTTGGGGTTTTCTTCTATTGTCATGACCTTGAAAAGAATATAGTCAGCTTCTACCCATTTGTATTAATGTAGGAGAGCAGTGATACAGCTACAAGAAAAGTGTAGATAAACCAAATGTCAAAGAATCATAGGCTGCTCCAATTTCTATGGCTGGAAGAGCCATAGAAATAACAGAAGCCAGTTCATCACTTTTATGTTTGGAGAAATAGAAACCCAGAGAGAGAAGGTGGCAAATCTCATGACTCCTGTTCCTGTTCTCTTTCCAGAATATGATATATGACTTTATTGCCACACACTTTCCTTTCTAATTATGATTTGTAAAGGTTATCAGTTGGCATTCCTGGGACATGTAGCCAATTTGGTGTTAAAAAAATAGATCCAGAGCCATACAAATGGTAGGGAAATGTAGGCCCAAATTAAACATTAATCCTGAACAATCAGATCCAGAGTCGACTCTAGCTTTCATTGTTAAGTGCTGGCTTTCTCCTAGGTTCTGTCCTTGGCCCTCTTTTCTTCTATTTAGAGTAGCTCTACATCCAGGGTTGGTCTATCTGGCAAACGTAAGACTAAGTCTGAATTAGCCCCTCCTGCCCCCTGGCAACTTCCATCATATTCTTTGCCTTTATAAATTTATGAATTTGATTATCTTCTATTCCAAAGAGGAGTGAGATCATGCAGCTTCTCTCTTCTGTGTCTTGTTTATTTCACTTAGTATAATGTTTCCAGCTCCATCCATGTTGTCGAAAATGGCAGAATTTCCTTCTTCTTCTTTTTCCTCTTCCTCCCCTTCCCCTTCCCCTTCTTCTTCTTCTCCTTCTTCTTCTTCTTCTTCTTCTTCTTCTTCTTCCTCTTCCTCTTCCTCTTCCTCTTCTTCTTCTTCCTCTTCCTCTTCCTCTTCTTCTTCTTCTTCTTCTTCTCCTCCTCCTCCTCCTCCTCCTCCTCCTCCTCCTCCTCCTCCTCCTCCTCCTCCTCCTTCTTCTTCTTCTTCTTCTTCTTCTTCTTCTTCTTCTTCTTCTTCTTCTTCTTCTTCTTCTTCTTCTTCTTCTCCCTCTTCTCCTTCTTCTTCTTCGACAGTGTCTCGCTCTGCAGCCTCAGTCTCCTGGGCTCAAGTGATCCTCCTGCCTCAGCCTCCCGAGTAGCTGGGACTATAGGTGTGTACCACCACACCTGGCTAATTTTTTGATTTTTTATAGACACAAGGTCTCATTATGTTGCCCAGGCTGATCTCAAACTCCTGAGCTCAAGCAGTACTCCTAGCTCAGCCTCCCAAAGTGCCGGATTGCAGGTGTGAGCCACTGCACCCAGCCTTTCCTTCTTTTTTGAGGTTGAATAATATTCCATTATATATCTATACACCACATTTTCTTTATCCATTCATTCTGCCACTGCACCCAGCCTTTCCTTCTTTTTTGAGGCTGAATAATATTCCATTATATATCTATGCACCACAGTTTCTTTATCCATTCATTCATCAAAGGACATTTAGGTTTTTTCTACACCTTGGCTACTGTGAATAATGCGGCAGTGAACATGGAAATGTAGCTATCTCGTCAAGATGCTGATTTCATTTCCTTTGGGTGTATACCCAGAAGCAGGATTGCTGGATCATATGGTAGTTTTGTTTTTAATTTTTTGAGGAACCTTCATACTATTTTCCATAATGACTGTACTAATATACATTTTTGCCAGCAGTGTACAAGAGTTCTCTTTTTTCCACATCCTCACCAACACATAACTTTTCTCTTTTTGATAGTAGCCATTCGTTCTAACAGGTGTGAGGTGACATCTCATTGTGGTTTTGATTTTCCTTTCCCTGATTAGAGATATTGAGAATCATTTAATATACCTATTAGCAATTTTAATTTCTTTTCTTGAGAAGTGTCTATTTAGGTCCTTTGCCCACTTTTTAATTGGCTTATTTGTGTTTTTGGCATTGAGCTATACAGGTTCCTTATATATTTTGGGTATTAATCCCTTATTGGATATATAGTTTGCAAATATTTTCTCCCATTCTGTATGTTGCCTTTGCATTTTGTTGATTGTTTCCTTTGCTGTGCAGAAGATTTTTAGTTTGATGAAGACTCGCTTGTCTATTTTTCTTTTGTTGCCTGTGCTTTTGCTGTCATATCAAAAAGTCATTGCCAAGACCAATGTCAAAAAGGCTTTTCTCTGTTTTCTTCTAGAGTTTTGTGGTTTCAGATCTTATGTTTAAGCAATCCATTTTGAGTTGATTTGGTATATGGTGTGAGCTAGGGGTCTTAGTCTTTTTCTGATGCTGTAACAGAATACCAAAGATTGGATAATTTATAAACAATAGTTTATTTGACTCATGGTCTGGAAGCTGGGAAGTCAAAGAGCATGGCACCTGCATCTGGCAATGGCCCTCGTGCTCTATTATCTCATGGCAGAAGGGCAAGACAGAAAATAAGGGGACTGAACTCCCACAATAACTACATACTCCATTGATAGCAGCATTAATCAATCCATGAAGTTGAAGCCCTTATGTCCTAATCATCTCTTAAGATCCCACTTCTTAATACTCTGACAATGGCAATTAAATTTCAACATGAGTTTTGGAGGGAACATTCAAATTATAGCAGGGTCCAATTTCATTCTTCTGCATGTGAATATCCAGTTTCCCCAACACCGTTTGTTGAAGAGACTGTCTTTTCCTCATTGTGTATTCTTGGCACCCTTGTTGAAGATCCGTTAACCATAAATGAATGGGTTTATTTCTGGGCCCTCTATTCTGTTCCATTGGTCTATATGTCTGTTTTTCTGTCATTACTATACTGTTTTGATTGCTATAGCTGTGTAATATAATTTGAAGTCAGGGAGTATGATGCTTCTAGCTTCTTGTATGATTGCTTTGGCTATTTGGTGTCCTATACGAATTTTAGGATTCCTTTTCCTATTTCTGTAAAAAATAATTGGGATTTTGGTAGGGATTGCATTGAATCTGTAGATTGCTTTGGCTAGTATGGACATTTTAACAATATTAATTCTGCCAGTCTGTGAACAGGGGATGTCTTTCCATTTGTTTGTGTGTTTTAAAATTTCCTCCATCAATGTTTTATAATTTCTAGTATACAAATTTTTCACCTCTTTGGCTAAATTAATTCCTAAGGATTTTATTCTTTTTGTTGCTAATATAAATGGGATTTTTTTAAATTTGCATTTCAGATAGTTTGTTGTTAGTTTATGGAAATAACATTAATTTTTTAACTTTTATTTTAGGTCCAGGAGTATATGTGCAGATTTCTTATTTAGGCAAATTGTGTGTGGTGGGCATTTGGTGTACAGATTATTTTGTCGCCTAGGTAATAAGCATAGTACCTAATAGGTAGGTTTTTGATCCTCACCTTCCTCCCACCCTCCATTTTCTTTTTTTTTTTATGAACATGGAATATGTCTCCATTTATTTGGTTTTTCTTTTTTTTTAAATTATACTTTAAGTTCTAGGGTACATGTGCACAACGTGCAGGTTTGTTACACATGTATACATGTGCCATGTTACCTAATGTAAATGACGAGTTAATGGGTCCACCCTCCATTTTCAAATAGGCTCTAGTGTCTGTTGTTCTCTTCTTTGTGTCCATGTGCACTCCATGTTTAGCTCACACTTATAAGTGAGGACATGCGGTATTTGGTTTTCTCTTCCTGCATTAGTTTGCTTAGGATAATGGCCTTCAGCTCCATTCACGTTGCTGCAAAGGACATGATTTTGGGTTTTTTGTTTTTGTTTTTGTTTTGTTTTGTTTTTGAGACAGGGTTTCACTCTCGTCACCCAGGCTGGAGTGCAATGGTGCAATCTCAGCTCACTGCAAACTTCACCTCCCGGGTTCAAGCGATTCTCCCACCTCAGCTTCCCGAGTAGCAGGGATTACAGGTGCCCGCCACCGCACCTGGCTAATTTTTGTATTTTTAGTATAGACAGGGTTTCACCATGTTGGCCAGACTGGTCTTGAACTCCTGACCTCAGGTGATCTGCCCGCCTTGGCCTCCCAAAGTGCTGGGATTAGAGGCATGAACTACCACGCCTAGCTAATCTCTCTCTCTCTCTTTTTTTTTTAAATGGAGTCTCCCTCTGTTGCCCAGGCTAAAGTGCAGTGGCGTGATCTCAGCTCACTGCAACCTCCGCCTCCTGGGTTCAAGTGATTCTCCTGTCTCAGCCTCCCGAGTAGCTGGGACTACAGGCGTGTGCTACCATGCCTGGCTAGGTTTGTTTTTTTGTTTTTTTTTTTTTTTTTTTTTTTTTTTTTTTTGAGACAGAGTCTAGCTCTGTCACCCAGGCTGGAGTGCAGTGGTGCAATCTCGGCTCACTGCAAGCTCCGCCTCCCGGGTTCACGCCATTCTCCTGCCTCAGCCTCCAGAGCAGGTAGGACTACAGGCGCCTGCCACCACGCCCGGCTAATTTTTTTGCATTTTTAGTAGAGACAGGGTTTCACCGTTTTAGCCAGGATGGTCTTGATCTCCTGACCTCGTGATCTGCCCACCTCGGCCTCCCAAAGTGCTGGGAATACAGGCGTGAGCCACCGTGCCCGGCCTGCCTGGCTAGTTTTTTGTATTTTTAGTAGAGACGGGGTTTCACCATGTTAGCCAGGATAGTCTTGATCTCCTGACCTCGATCCGCCTGCCTCAGCCTCCCAAAGTGCTGGGATTACAGGCATGTGCCACCACGCCTGACCAGTCTTGTTCTTTTTACGGCTGTACCCCATAGTATATATGTACCACATTTTCCATGGTATATATGTACCATATTTTCTTTATCCATTCTACCATTGATGGGCATTTAGGTTGATTCCTCTTTTCTATTGTGAGTAGTGTTGCAGCGAACATACGTGAGAAATGACACTAATTTTTGCATATTGGTTCTGTATACTGTAACTTTACCAAGTTTATTTATTAGTTCTAGCAGTTATTTTGGTAGCATTTTTAGGGTTTTCTGCATATATGATCATGTCATCAGGATATATAAATCATTATATTTCTCTTCTTATTTGGATGTCTTTTATTTCTTTCTCTTGCCTAACTGTTCTGGCTAAGATTTCCAGTACTGTGTTGAATAGCAGGACAAGAGTGGGCATTCTTGTCTTGTTCCATATCTTAGAGGAAAAACTTTCAGTTTTTCTCCACTGCTTATGATGCTTGTGATGGTTTTTAATATTTGGGCTTTATTGTGTTAAGGTAAGCTCCTTCTATACCTATTTTGTTGAGGGTTTTTATCATGAAGGGATGTTGAATTTTGTAAAATACTTTCTTTGTGTCTATTGAAATGATCATATGGTTCTGCTTTCATCTTATTAATGTGGTGTATCACATTGGTTGATTTGATATATTTGTATATTGAACCATCCTTGCGTCCCACTAGGGTTTTTGCATCTACGTTCATTGAGGATATTGGCCTATAGTTTTTTTTACTTGTGATGTCTTGTCTGGCTCATGGTATCAGGGTGATGCTGGCCTTATAAAATGAGTTTGGAAGTGTTCCTTCTTCCATTTTTTGGAAGAGTTTAAGAAATTTTGGTATTAATTATTCTTTGAGTGTTTTGTAGAATTTTCCAGAAGCTTGTCTAGTCCTGGACTTTTCTTTGTTGGAAGCTTTTTGATTGCTGATCCTATCTCTTTGTTTTTTGTTTTTTTTTGAGACAGAGTCTCACTCTGTCACCCAGGCTGGAGTGCAGTGGCGTGATCTCTGCTCACTGCAAGCTCCGCCTCCCGGGTTCATGCCATTCTCCTGCCTCAGCCTCCGGAGTAGCTGGGACTACAGGCACCTGCCACCACGCCTGGCTAATTTTTCGTATTTTTAGTAGGGACAGGGTTTCACCGTGTTAGCCAGGATGGTCTTGATCTCCTGACCTCATGATCCGCCCACCTCGGCCTCCCAAAGTGTTGGGATTACAGGCGTGAGCCACTGCTCCCGGCCTTATCTCTTTGTTTCTTATTGGTCTCTTCAGACTTTCTATTTCTTCTTGATTCAGTCTTGGTAAGTTGTGTGTTTCTAGCAATGTATTCATTTTTTCTAGGTTATTCAATATGTTGTTCATAATAGTCCCCTATGATCCATTTTCTGCATCATCCATTGTAATGTCTCCACTGTCATTTCTGATGTTCTTTTTTCTTTCTCTTTTTTTTCTGTCACTGTCCACCTAGAGATACATTTCTGATTCTATTAATTTGTGTTTTCTCTTTTTTTTCTTAGTGTAAGTTTGTTGATTTTATCTTATTGATTGCCTGTTTCATTCCACTGCTGTCTGAGAAGATACTTGGTATGATTTCAATATTCTTAAATTTGTTAAGACTCATTTTGTGACCTAACATGTGATCTATCCTGCAGAATGTTCCATGTGCACTAAAGAGGAATATGTATTCTGCTGCTCTTGGGTAGAGAATTCTGTATATGTCTGTTGGGTCCATTTAGTCTATAGTGTTGTTCAAGTAAGCTGTTTTTTAATTGATTTTCTGCCTGGATGTTCTATCCATTATTAAAAGTGGGGTATTGAAGTTTCCTACTGTTATTGTAGTGCTGTCAATTCCTCCCTTCAGATCTGTCAATATTTGTTTTAAATATTTAGGTGCTCTGATGCTGGGTGCATATATATTTTTAATTATTATATTTTCCTGCAGAGTTGATCCTTTTATCATTACATAATGACCTTATTTGTCTCTAGTGACAGTTTTTGACTTAAAGCCTATTTTGTCTATGTAAGTATAGCCACCCATGTTCAATTTTGGTTATGATTTGTATGGAATATCTTTTTCCTCATTCCTTCACTTTCAGCTTATGTGTGTTTTTATATCTAATGTCAGTGTCTTGTAAATAGCATATCACTGCATCTTGTTTCTTATTCATTCAGCCACTCTATGCCTTTAGATTGGAGAATTTAGTCCATTAACATTGAAAATAATTATTGGCACATAAGGACTTACTATTGCTATTTTATTATTTTTTATCTGTTTTGCAGTTCTTTCATTTCTCTCTTGCTGTCATCTTTTGTTATGTAATTGTTTTTGTAGTTTATCATCTACTGATTGAACCACTTGCAGCAGTCTCTGCCTAATTTGTTTCCCTGCCTCCATAATTGCCCTTCTTCAATTCTATTGCAAATTTATTTATTTATTTTTATTTATTTATTTTTTTGACACAGAGTCTCACTCTGTTGCCCAGGCTGGAGTGCAGTGTCATGATGTTGGCTCACTGCAATCTCCGCCTCCTGGGTTCAAGCGATTCTCCTGCCTCAGCCTCCCGAGTAGCTGGGATTACAGGCGCCCACACTACGCCCAGCTAATTTTTTGTATTTTTAGTAGAGACGGGGTTTCGCCATGTTGGCCAGGCTCGTCTCGAACTCCTAACCTTGTGATTCGCCCGCCTCGGCCTCCCAAAGTGCCGGGATTACAGGCGTGAGCCACCGCCCCAGCCTGCAAATTTATTTAAACCAGTTTAGCCTCTCACATCATCAGGTACTTTTCAGTGATATCAGTAGCTTCTAATGGCTAGAGGTAGCTGGGGAGTTTAGTTCTTCCTCATCCCCCACAATCTCCCAACCAGTTGGTATGTTCTAATGAAAACACAAATTTGGTGCAATTCTGTCAATCATGCATTTTTTTTAGCACTTAGACGTAGTCTTGAAACCTGTCTTCACAAGCTCCATTAAGCCCCATGTAGGAGCAATTCACTTGAAGCACATGCAGCAGTTCTCCAGTAGTAGCATTTTAGCTCAATGGGCAGACCAGGCAATAGAATCATCCATTAGGTGTCAGGATGTAGAAACTAGTAGATTCCTAGAACTAAGATGCCACTCTGGGATCACCAGTTTTTTAGGCTTCATTTATGTGAGGGTAGAGAGAAGTGTCCATCCATGTATCTAGAACACCATTTATTTCATGAATGAATGACTCTTTTATGTGAATGAGCAACCCCTCTAGTGTAGGTTTAGGTAGATTGGTTGCAGTTTTTCAGTAACTGCCTCTGGAGGGTGGACTCACAATTAGTGTCTTTATATGCAAACTAAGTGCTGCTGGAAAGTGTTTGTCACTGGGGGTACTTCAGATATTAACTGCCCCTAGAGTATGTGTATATCTACATGTACATGTGTGTAAGTCTATGTGTATCTCACACTGTCTCTGCGGAGTATTTTTAAGTAAATTGTAGACCATATAACAAATCTACTCTCCCATATGTATCTGTCTACATTGTTCCCCTACATAAAACTCTTTTCTTCTATGATTCTTCTATGTTACCTACAAAATAAAGTCCAAATTCCTTCAAGTGACCTACAGAACTGCCCCTGCCCAGAACAGCCCCTACCTCTTCCTTCCTTGTGCTTTATGGTCTAATGGAGAACTGCCAAACTGCTTGTAGTTAGCCTCCATCAACAATACTGCTGTATGCCTGTGTTTTATGCTCATGCTCTCCCCCTGCCTGGTAAACCTTTCCCACCTTCACCTGGCTCTTTTTTTTTTTTTTTTTCTTTAACAGAGTCTCGCTCTATTGCCCAGGCTGGAATGCAGTGCAGTGGTGTGATCTCGGCTCACCACAACCTCCAACTCCCTGGTTCAAGCGATTCTCCTGCCTCAGCCTCCAGAGTAGCTGGGATTACAGACACATGCCACCACACCCGGCTAATTTTTTTTTTTTTTTTTTTTTTTTTTGAGACGGAGTCTTGCTCTGTCGCCCAGGCTGGAGTGCAGTGGCGCCATCTCGGCTCACTGCAAGCTCCGCCTTCTGGGTTCATGCCATTCTCCTGCCTCAGCCTCCAGAGTAGCTGGGACTACAGGCGTCCGCCACCACGCCTGGCTAATTTTTTTTTTGTATTTTTAGTAGAGACAGGGTTTCACCATGTTGATCAGGATGGTCTCAATCTCCTGACCTCGTGATCCGCCCACTTTGGCCTCCCAAAGTGCTGGGATTACAGGTGTGAGCCACTGCACCCGGCCCTCACCTGGCTAACTCTTATTCATCTTCTGTGACTCAGCTCCAGGCATCAGTCCTTCCAAAAAGCTTTCCTGTAACCTCATTTGGAGTTAAGCTTATTCATTTTATCTAACACTGGTGTAGTGTAGTGCTTACTCTGTGTCAGGAATTATATTCTAAGCACATTTAATCCTCACAACTCTATGAATTAAGTTTTGTTATTATCTTGATTTTCAGATGAGGAAACTGAGGCACATAGAGGTTTAAGTTGCCCATGTTCACATAATTTGTAAGTGGCAAATCCACACTTCAGATCCAGGCTGTCTGGCTTTGAAACTGCCTTTGCAAAAATTTTAACAGTGAGAAAAGTATGGCAGTGGGGGAGATCTGATCTAGCCAATCCCCATCTTGCCTTTAGCCTTCAAGCTACCCTTAATTATTCCTGGGCTTGGGCCAAGCTAACTTTGGGAGATATTTAGTTTATAGTTTATTTTTATTTTGAGACACAGTCTTGCTCTGTCACCCAGGCTGGAGTGCAGTGGTGCGATCTCAGCTCACTGCAAACTCTGCCTCCTAGGTGCAAGTGATTCTCGTGCCTCAGCCTCCTGAGTAGCTGGTACTACAGGCGTGCACCACCACACCTGGCTAATTTTTGCATTTTTAGTAGAGGCAGGGTTTCGCCATGTTGGCCAGGCTGGTCTGGAACTCCTGGCCTCAAGTGATCTGCCCACCTCAGCCTCCCAAAGTTCTGGGATTACAAATGTGTGCTACCACGCTGGGCCTATAGTTTAAATGCTAATAGCCCTTACCCAAAACTCAACTGCCTTTTAAAAGCTAATGAGAGACCACCAGGTTAGGAGGATAAAGGAGCCGAATTCTGCCAAAGTGTAGACATAAACGATTGGTAACCATTATTCCAGAGGTCACCAGATACGCAACTTCCCCATTTACTCTGCAGATAACATCACTATTGTAGAACCTAAGATTGGCTTTTTGAGATATCATTTCAGGGTTTTCGCGTGTCTGAAGGACTGATGGCTCCACCTGAACCTGCCAACCACTCCTGTGGCCTCAACCAAAAGTGACTCAGTGCGCATGAGGACCATTTCCCATACCCCCATGTTTGTACCACCAACCAATCAGCAGCAAGCACCCATTACTTAGCTACCCCCATCCCTTCTTCTAAACTGTCTTTGAAAAACCCTAGCCCCCAAATTATCAGGGAGACTGATTGCAATGATGACTCCATTTCCCACATGGCATGGCTAGCCTCATATCTATTAAATTCTTTTTTTGGGGGGGGGGCGGGTAGAGGGTCTCACTCTGTCATCCAGGCTGAGTGCAGTGGTGCAATCATGGCTCACTGCAGCCTTAAACTCCCAGGCTCAAGAGATCCTCCCACCTTAGCCTCCTGAGTAGCTGGGACCACAGGTGTGAGCCACCACACCCTGCTAATTTTTGTATTTTTTGTAGAGACAGGGTCTCGCCATGTTGCCAAGGCTGGTCTCCAACTCTTGGGCTTAAGTGATCCACCTGCCTTGGCCTCCCAAAGTGCTGGGACTACAGGCGTAAGCCACTGTGCCTGGCCTAAACTCTTTCTCTATTGCAATGCCGTGGTCTGGTTTTGTCTGTGCTGTGGGCAGAAGAACCCATCAGGCAGTTATAGCTTTGGAGTCTGTGCTCTAAATCCATATGCAGTGCTACTTCCCAAGGGCACATCCTCTGTATTCCGGCATGCTTCTATCTTAGCATTTAGCATAATAATTAGAAAATGCGTCATTTCATATGTGCCTGCTAGTCTACCATGAGGCTCTTAAAATGTATTAATATCTAAGGCAGTATGGTATAGTGGTTAAGATCATGGAGTTTGGAATTAGACAGAACTGGGGTTAAGTTCCATCTCTGCTATGTATTGGGTGTGTAACCTTAGGCAAATTATTTAACCTTTCTTTTTTTTTTTTTTTTTTTAGATGGAGTCTTGCTCTGTTGCCCAGGCTGGAGTGCAGTGGCACGATGTTGGCTCACTGCAACTTCTGCCTCCCAGGTTCAAGCGATTCTACCACCTCAGCCTCCCGAGTAGCTGAGACTACAGGTGTGCACCACCATGCCCAGCAAGTTTTTGTATTTTTAGTAGAGATAGGGTTTCACTATGTTGACCAGGCTGGTCTCGAACTCCTGACCTCAGGTGATCTGCCTGTCTTGGCCTCCCAAAGTGCTGGGATTGCAGACATGCACCACCATGCCTGGCCAAATTATTTAACCTTTCTATGACTTGCTTTTTTCACCTGTAAAGTGGTATCTCCTCACTCCTAGCCAGTGCTTTTCCCCAGGGGTAAACATTTCCAATCTTTCTATTTCTGCACCCTCCATGGTTTATTTCTGACTATCTGGACAGAAAAAGAGAGGACAATTCCAGCCTTGTCCTGAGCATAAAACCACTAGCATCGACCCTAGTTTATTTTGTGCACTGTGTGCTTTGACTCATGTCCAGATCCTCTTCCTCACTCTGGAACCCCCTACAGATCCCTCATGATCTGGCTAGAGACCATATAAAGTGGGGCTAAGAATACCTCACAGGGTAATGGAAAGAATGAAATGAGATGATGTATCTAAAGCATCTGGCAGAGGGTCTTACATAGTAAGAAACTCTGAGTAATGCCTGACACTTATAACTCGTTATTAATATCTCTCCATCTCCAGCAACCAGCACGGTGCCTGGACAATAGACATTTGAGAACTATTTGTTGAACTGAACTATTTTGGAAAACTTTAGGCTGACATAGACATCTGAAGCATATCTTAGTATATATGACTTCAGAAATGATTCTCTGTAGTTAAGCAGAATGTGCTACCTCACTTTGCTAGGGCACCCAAAAGAGTTTTAACTCCAAAGAGTAGATAGCCCTGTAACTCTCCAGTCATGCAACTAATAAGCATATCTTTCTGGTCCTTGAAGCCATCAATTTTAATGCAGCTGAAGCTCAAATGGGATAGCTCACCACTTTGAAGTCAGACTTGTTATCGTAAGTCATCTCATCATCATTCAAAATGAAAGAGAACCCCATTTCGTTTCCTTTCCTTAGAACAAGGGCTTCAGAACTCCCCAGGGCTAGCTAGTCTCATTGGATCGCTGACCTTTTCAGTATTGAAATTCCTATGCAAATTTCCTTCTCAGCATCCCAGGGCTTTGATCCTTTGTGCGATGAATTTTATTTGTCGAATGGATGAAAAATGCAGTTATCAGACATGCCCAGGTCACCTTTGGAGAGTGTTGTGATAACAAATGTCCCCAAATGCGACCATTGATTTTCTCTTCCTTTGAGGACCTTAAAGAGCCTCTAGGTTAACCCCATTATCATCAGATCATCAGTGATCACTTCTCAGAAGTTTAGCTAGACAGAAAAAGTGGATGAAATTGAACTGAATTTGTATCAATCCCAGTCATTGCCTAAAATCTGGCAGTTCAACTAAAACTCTGATAGTTGGTTATGTTGTCACTTTTCTCTTTTCCCTGAAAACTGGTATATGGAACCTCCCACCCACCACCAACACGCACAAAAAAGCCCAACTAGTGGAGGATTATGGATTCACATGTTCTGAGGGGATTTAATTTGAGGAAAGAATGACTCTAGTGTGGTTTTGATCAGGAGAGGCTGCCTGGAGAAGGTCTCTAGCCAGACCATGAAGGACTGGTAGGGGATTCCAGAGTCGAGGAAGAGGATCTGGATGTGAGGCAAAGCACATAGTGTGCACATAATAAACTAGGGTTGATGCTAGTGGTTTTATGCTCAGGGCAAGACTGGGATTGCCCTCTCTTCTGTCCAAATCATCAGAAACAAACCATGGAAGGTCCAGAAACACAGAGGCTGAAAATATTCACCCCTAGGGAAAAGCACTTGCTAGGAGTGGGAGATATAATTTATTTTCTTTTCTTTTTCTTTTCTTTTCTTTTTTTTTGGAGACAATGTCTTGTAATATTTCCCAGGCTGGAGTGCAGTGGCAATTCACCGGCACGATCATAGCTCGCTGCAGTATTGAACTCCTGGGCTCAAGCTATCCTCCCACCATGTCCGGCAGAAAATATGATTTCTGATCTTTATTCTACCACTGACTTGTTCTATGATGATGGTCAGGTCATTTAAACCTCTCTTAGATCATTTCCTTGGCAATAAGATAGATGTATAATCAGGCTACCATACAGAACTGGTGGGAAGATTATACGAGAGCTCACAAATATCTATCAGATATAAGTTATTGAGATACTATTATTAAAATGTAAATATCACAGGAAGGGAGACCACCTTCAGTCTTGTCAGCTTGCATCTTATTGGATAATTAATGCAGCTGCTCAAGGACCCCACGAAATGGGCATCAAGTACAGAGAAGAGAGAGAATTTTTTTAAAACAAATGAAGAAACCAAATCTCAGAGAGCTTTAATCACTACCCAGTTGTGAAGCAGGGACTATGCCAAATCATTTATCATAAATGTAAATTACTTCACTGTTTTGTGCCAATACTCTGGAAACCTGTTTGTATCTCTTCGGAAGGCCCTGCCTTCCACAGGAAGGTTCTGCCAGACATGGTGGGAGGATCCCTTGAGCCCAGGAGTTTGAGGCTGCAGTGAGCTATGATTGTGCTGGGAATTGGTGAGAATTTCAAGGGTAAGTGGAAAGCTACTGAGGAGAGTATTTTGGAGGTTGGCAGCTAATCTCAGATACAAATAGTTTAATCACTTGGTGTGCCTTAATCCACATTGATCTTTGAGTGACTTGATAGCCCCTTAAACTTCAGAAGGTAAACCTGTTTACTTCTACTGGTACAGAATTCTAATAAAAATAAATGTATTTTGTGTATTTGGCACAACTTTGTAAATTTTTATTCTATTCTATGTAAACTACAACTATATATCATTCCTTTGAGCCTAACTTAGAAGAGAGAACTGGGAGTTCATAACACTAAAAAAGGCGGTAATATCATAGGCAAACATAGCAAACATTTTTTAGGGAAGTCTCAGGAGAAAGGAAGCAAGTGAAAGTAAAGTGAGCATGGTAAAGAGTTGCACTTGGTAGGATCAGGGTTCAGGGAGTTCAAGTTTATATCAAGGTATATCAGCACATGCCTAGGTAGAGGGAGAGGAAGAAGGAGAGGTAGAGAAGGGAGAAAAGGGGAGAGGGGAGAGAGGGAGAGAGAGGAGAGGAGGTAGAAGGAGAAGGAAGGGGCAAGAGGAGAGGAGGGAGCAGGCACACACACACACACACACACACGTGCACCCACGCTTACATGCAAGCCTGCTGCTCTCCCACACCTGGTAAGTGTGTCAGAGCCCTCCTGGTGCTTGTCCTTATTCATCAAAGCCACTCCAGTTCTCTTTCTAGTCCCTTTGTCAATCACTCTCCTTCTCTGCTACCAGGGAAACTTGACTGAGAGGAAGAGAAAGCTAAAGAAGTATCAAATTCCTCTCTAAGACATCTTCACTAGTCTTCCAGAACATCTCCGCCTTGGGAAGCAGAACTCTGAGGTCCAGGAAGACCTTCCGACCAATCCACTGAGACATTGCTACGGCTGCCTCCTCTTCACTTTCTGGCCTCTTGAGCCAACATCCAACATGATCTTCATGAGAGGTTGCCGGTTACCTTTCTAAAAACGTATTTGACCAGATTTCTTCATGATATTTCAAAATGTAAAGGCAGAAAACAAGTTAAACTTTAAACAAATTTAAATTTAAACAATCTAAAAGGGAATTTAAGTAAGCGTATGACTTTGTTGCAGAGGTTCTAGGCTTCCTTTTTTACAAAAGGATGGGAAATTTTAAAGCAACTGCTCTGACTAACCCAGAAAAATCTTTCTTTGTTTATCTCCTTTGTATTTAGCCCCAATATCTGAGAAAATTTTAAACATAGTTTTTTTTTCTAGGATTGGTGCCTAAGGGTCATTCCCTTACGAAAACCCTAACTTTTTTTACACCTTTGTTGAATGAAGGAGCTGGTGGAAGTTCAAATTTGTGTGTTAACATGTGACTTCAATTAGAGTCTGAAGATGGCCACTTGTTAGTAATCTCACACTGCATCATTTTAAAAAAACACAGCATTTTTGTTCTGGTGAAGAGAGAGGCACTGGAATTCATCCCCATTGTCCACTCCCCACCCAGTGTATTTTACAGAAATTCTTAACAAGTTTAATAGTGTGCTATTATAACATAATTGCAGCATTACACCAGAAGCATTATCAACACTAAGTATTCTCCAATTTAGAATGCATGAATAAAGTCTCTAAAACTCTTAAGAGTATCACTTTTTCTCAGCTAAATAAACTAAGTTCAAAGGGTAAAAGGAATATTTCTTCTTATATTGAAGGTAGCATGTATTTGGGGGTAGTATTTTGATAAGCATTTGTGAGCTCCCTGCTGGTGGATTTTAAAACCTCCTTGGCAATCTCATGGTAACTATGAGGAGTGCGAAAGTGTCTAGAGCATTATTATGTATCTGTTATGGTAACACTAGCTCTGTCACTTTCAACATATGGCATCAAAAGTCACCCTGGATGCTGACAAAACTAGTCAACGCATGGGAAACAAGAAAGAGTGGGTTCTTAGATTGGCCTGAATGTCACACATACCTGTCATAAAGTATCACCTAGATGCAAGAGGAACTAAGAAATGGTAGTTCCGATCTGCAGAGCCACCTCGCTGCCACTATTTAGCATGATGAAAAGGCAGTACTGATATTTGGGGGATAGCTAAATGGCTTTGCCACAGTTGTATTTTGGCAGTTATTAGGTTATTGTCTCAGCTCCAAAACCAGTCTTTTTTTTTTTTTTTTGAGACTGAGTCTTGCTCTATCACCCAGGCTGGAGTGTAGTGGCGGGATCTCGGCTCACTGCAACCTCCGCCTCCCAGGTTCAAGCAATTCTCCTGCCTCAGCCTCCTGAGTAGCTGGGATTACAGGCGCCTGCCACCATGTCTAGCTAATTTTTGTATTTTTAGTCGAGATAGGGTTTTACCATGTTGGCCAGGCTGGTCTCGAACTCCTGACCTCAAGTGATCTCCCGCTTCTGCCTCCCAAAGTTCTGGGATTACAAGAGTGAGCCATTGCGCCGGGTCCCAAACCCACTCTTCTATACCTTATTTCGTGATGCTAGCAATAGGACACTGAAAACCACAAGTCAGTTTTGTCTGCTGGCTTTGTGTTAGCTTCTGCCAATAGGGGTCTGTAGAGGGGGATTGCAAAGCTGAAGGAGAAAAGGACTTGCTCCTAGGTGGGTTGCCTGTCTGCTTGTAGTTCCTATGAGCGCCACCCCGGCCTTGCCTCTTTACCCTGAAAAGAGCAAGTCCTTCCTGTAGAATTGAGTGAGTCCAGTTTACAGTTTTTCCATCACTTGAAAGAACCAATCTCTGCCGGGCGAGGTGGCTCAGGCCTGTAATCCCAACACTTCGGGAGGACGAGGTGGGCAGATCACGGGGTCAGGAGATGGAGACCATCCTGGCCAACATGGTGAAACCCCGTCTCTACTAAAATACAAAAAATTAGCTGGGTGTGGTGGCACGTGCCTGTAGTCCCAGCCACTCGGGAGGCTGAGGCAGGGGAATCACTTGCACCCGGGAGGCGCAGGTTGCAGTGAGCCGAGATTGCACCACTGCACTCCAGCGTGGCGACAGAGCAAAACTCCCTCTCAAAAAAAAAAAAAAAAGTAAGAGAGTAAGAACTAATCTCGACATGCCCTGCTCATAGACAACACCAACAGTCTGTGCCCCTCCTTAGAAATCTGGGTCCCAATGTGTCCGGAATTGGTGGGTTCTTGGTCTCACTGACTTCAAGAATGAAGCCGCGGACCCTCGCGGTGAGTGTTACAGCTCTTAAGGTGGCACGTCTGGAGTCTGTCCCTTCTGATGTTCAGATGTGTTCGGAGTTTCTTCCTTCTGGTGGGTTCCTGGTCTCGCTGGCTCAGGAGTGAAGCTGCAGACCTTCGCGGTGGGTGTTACAGCTCCTAAAGTAGCGCGTCTGGAGTTGTTCGTTCCTCCCGGTGGGCTCATGGTCTTGCTGGGCTCAGGAGTGAAGCTGCAGACCTTCACAGTGAGTGTTACAGCTCATAAAAGCAGCGTGGACCCAAAGAGTGAGCAGTAGCAAGATTTATTGCAAAGAGCGAAAGAACAAACCTTCCACGCTGTGGAAGGGGCCCCAATCAGGTTGTCAATGCTGGCTCAGGCAGCCTGCTTTTATTCTCTTATTTGGCCCCACCCATATCCTGCTGATTGGTAGAGCTGAGTGGCCTGTTTTGTCACAGTGCTGATTGGTGCGTTTACAATCCCTGAGCTAGATACAAAGGTTCTCCATGTCCCCATCAGATTAGTTAGATACAGAGTTTGGACACACAGGTTCTCCAAGGCCCCACCAGAGCAGCTAGATACAGAGTGTCGATTGGTGCACTCACAAACCTTGAGCTAAACACAGGGTGCTGATTGGTGTATTTACAATCCCTGAGCTAGATATAAAGACTCTCCACGTCCCCACCAGACTCAGGAGTCCAGCTGGCTTCACCTAGTGGATCCCGCACCGGGACTGCAGGTGGAGCTGCCTGCTAGTCCTGTGCAGTGCGCTCGCATTCCTCAGCCCTTGGGTGGTCGATGGGACTGGGCGCTGTGGAGCAGGGGGTGGTGCTCGTCGGGGAGGCTCGGGCCGCACAGGAGCCCATGGAGTGGGTGGGAGGCTCAGGCATGGTGGGCTGCAGGTCCTGAGCCCTGCCCCGCGGGAAGGCAGCTAAGGCCCGGCGAGAAATCGAGCACAGCGCCGGTGGGCCCGCACTGCTGGGGGACCCAGTACACCCTCCGCAGCCACTGGCCCCGGTGCTAAGTCGCCCATTGCCCGGGGCCAGCAGGGCTGGCTGGCTGCTCCGAGTGTGGGGGCCCACCAAGCCCACGCCCACCCAGAACTCCAGCTGGCCCGCAAGTGCCGCACGCAGCCCCGGTTCCCGCTCGTGCCTCTCCCTCCACACCTCCCTGCAAGCTGAGGGAGTGGGCTCCGGCCTTGGCCAGCCCAGAAAGGGGCTCCCACAGTGCAGTGGGGGGGCTGAAGGGCTCCTCAAATGCCACCAAAGTGGGAGCCCAGGCAGAGGAGGTGCCAAGAGCAAGCGAGGGCTGTGAGGACTGCCAGCACGCTGTCACCTCTCACCAGCATCACAGGGATCCTCTTCCAAGCTCAGAGATTTCAGCACCAGCAAGCAGATGACCCCTTTTCAGAAGTATGGGTTTTAGCTCCATGGAGCCCCTCCCCCAAGGAAGCTCCTAGGCTTCCCAGGCTTCTTGATCTGTTTTTAGATTTCATAAAATTTACAGTTGAAAATATGGATTAGCCAGGCTCGGTGGCTCACGCCTGTAATCCCAGCACTTTGGGAGGCCGAGGCAGGTGAATCACCTGAGGTCAGGAGTTCGAGACCAGCTTGGCCAACATGGCAAAACTCTGTCTCTACTAAAAATACAGAAATTAGCCAGGTGTGGTGGCACGTGCTTGTAACCCCAGCTACTCAGGAGGCTGAGGCAGGAGAATCACTTGAACCTGGGAGGAGGAGGTTACAGTGAGCCGAGATTGCACCACTGCACTCCAACCTGGGTGACACAGTGAGACTCTGTCTCAAAAAAAAAAAAAAAAAAAAAGGGAGAAAGAAAGAAAGGAAGGAGGAAAGAAAAAAGAAAGAAAGGAAGAAAGGAAATATGGATTCACATACTCAAGTTGTTCCAAGCATACTTAACATTTTTCATTAGCGGAATTATAAATTTTTAACTTTTTACTTTGGGATAATTATACACTCAAAAGAAGTTGAAATAAATAGTACAGAGACGTTCCATGTACCTATCACACAGCTTCTCCCATTGGTGACATTTTCTGTAATTACAGTGCATTGTCAAAACGAGAACATTAACTGGCACAATGCAACTAACCAGACTGGAAGTCTTAATTAGGTTTCACCAGTTTTGGCATGCACATATTGTTTTTTTGTATGTCTTTGTGATTATATAACATTTCCTCACGTGTATAGATTTAAAAAATTGTTTAATTTTAATTTTTGTGGGTACATAGTAGGTGTATATGTGTATGAGGTTCATGACATGTTTTGATACTGGCATGTAATGCATAATAATCACATCATGTAAAATGGGATATCCATCACCTCAACCATTTATCCTTTGTATTATAAACAATTCAGTTATACTCTTATAGTTATTTCAAAATGTACAATTACATTGTTACTGGCTATAGTCACCCTGTTGTGCTATCACACACTAGGTCTTATTCATTCTTTCTATTTTGTGTACACATTAACCATCCCTAACTCCTGCCCTTCCCCCTACTACATTTCCCAGCCTCTGGTAAGCATCCTTCTACTCTCTCTCTCTTATTTTTTTTGAGAAGGAGTCTTACTCTGTCGCCCAGGCTGGAGTGCAGTGGTGCGGTCTTGGCCACTGAAACCTCCGCCTCCTGGGTTCAAGCGATTCTCCTGCCTCAGCCTCCCGAGTAGCTGGGACTACAGGCATGTGCCACCATGCCTGGCTAATTTTTATATTTTTACTATAGAATGGGCTTTCGCCATGTTGGCTAGGCTGGTCTCCAACGCCTGACCTCAAGTGATTTGCCTGCCTCAGCCTTCCAAAATGCTGAGATTACAGGTGTGAGCCACCACACCCGGCCACCATCCTTCTACTCTCTATCTCCATAAGTTCAATTGTTTTGATTTTTAGATCCCACAAATAAGTGACAACATGTGATGATTGTCTTTCTGTACCTGGCTTACTTCATTTAGCATAATGACCTCCAGTTCCATCCGTGTTACAAATGACAGGATCTCACTCTTTCTTATGACTGAATAGTATACCATTGTGTATAATTACCACATTTCTTTATCCATTCATCTGTTGATGGACACTTAGGTTGCTTCCAAATCATGGCTATTGTAAACAGTGCTGCAACAAACATGTGAGTGCAGATATCTCTTTGATATACTGATTTCCTCTCTTTTGGGTATATGCCCAGTAGTGGGATGGCTCGATCATATGGTAGCTCTCATGTGCATAGATTTGTGTGACCACTGCCACTACAATGAAGAGACAGAACTGCTCCATTACTACCATGGAAGTTCCTCATGCTGCCCCTTTATTTTTACTTCCTCTCTTCCCTACAACTAATCCTGGCAGCCACTTATATATGCTCCATCTATATAATTTTGTCATTTTGAGAATGTTATATAAATGGAATCATACAGTATGTGACATTTTGAGACTGGCTTTTTTTAAATTTAAATTTTAATTTTTGAGACCAAGTCTCGCTCTGTTGCCCAGGTTGGAGTACAGTGGCGTGATCTCGGCTCACTGCAACCTCCGCCATCCGGGTTCAAGCGATTCTCGTGCCTCAGCCTCCCAAGTAGCTGGGACTACAGGCACAGGCCACCACACCTGGCTAATTTTTGTATTTTTAGTAGAGATGGGGTTTTACCACATTGGCCAGGCTGGTCTCAGACTCCTGACCTCAGGTGATCCACCCACCTCGGCCTCCCAAAATGCTGGGATTACAGGCATGAGCCACCGTGCCTAGCTGAAACTGTCCTTTTTATTCAGCACAATGCCCATAAGATCCATCTTGGTTGTTGGATGTAGCAATGATACGTTCCTTTTTTATTGCTGAGTAATATTCCATGGTACGGATGTACCACAGTGTGTTTAATCATTCATCTGTTGAAGGACATTTGACTTATTTTTAAATTTTGGTTATTACAAAAAAAGCTGCTATGAACATTTGAGTATAGGTTTTTCTGTAGGTATGGGTTTTAGTTTCTCTGGGATAAATGCCCAGGAATGTGATTGCTGTGATTGCTGCACCATATGGTAACTCTATGTTTAACTTTTTTTTTTTTTTTTAGAGATGGAGTCTCACTCTGTTGCCCGGGTTGGAGTGCAGTGGTGTGATTTCGGCTCACTGCAACCTCCGCCTCCCAGGTTCGAATGAGTCTCCTGCCTAAGCCTCCTGAGTAGTTGGACTACAGGCTCGTGCCACCACGCCCGGATAATTTTTTGTATTTTTAGCAGAGACAGGGTTTCACCATGTTAGCCAGGATGGTCTCAATCTCCTGACCTCGTGATCCGCCTGCCTCGGCCTCCCAAAGTGCTGGGATTACAGGCGTGAGCCACCACACCCAGCCTACATTTAACTTTTTAAGAAACTGACAGAATGATTTCTAGAGTGGCTCTGCCCTTTATTATTATTATTATTATCTTTATTGATATGGAGACTTGCTCTGTTACCCAGGCTGGAGTGCAGTGGCATGATCTTGGCTCACTGCAACCTCTGGCTCCCAGATTCAAGCGATTCTTCTGTCTCAGACTCCTGAGTGGCTGAGATTACAGGCGCCTGCCACCAAGCCTGGCTAATTTTTGTACTTTTAATAGAGACAGGGTTTCACCATGTTGGCCAGGCTGGTCTCGAACTCCTGACCTCAAGTGATCTGCCCACCTCAGCCTCCCAAACTGCTGGGATTATAGGCGTGAACCACCGCGCCCAGCCTGCCTCTACCATTTTACATCCCTACCAAAAACATATGAAAGATCCTATTTCTTGACATCTTCATCAGCATTTGTTGTTATCAGTGTTTTCTTTTTCAGACATTTGAGTAGGTGCATAACAGCATTTCGTTGTGATTTTGATTGGCATATCCCTAATGGCTAGTGATATTGAACATCTTTTCATGTATATATCTGCCACCAGTATATTGTCTTTGGTGACATGTCTGTTCAAGTCTTCTTTTACCCATTTAAAAACTGGGTGGTTGGTTTATTACAGATGAGTTTTGGGAGTTCTTTATATATTCTGGATATATATTCTTTGTTAGAGATGTGATTTGCAAATATGTTCTCCCTGACTGTAGCTTGTTTTTTGTTTGTTTGTTTGTTTGTTTGTTTTGAGACAGGGCCTCACTCTGTTGCCCAGGCTGCAGTGCAGTGGTGTGATCATGGCTAACTGTAGCCACAATCTCCCTGGCTCAAGTGATCCTCCCACCTCAGCCCCCTGAATAGCCGGGACTACAGGTGCATGCCAGCATGCCCAGATAATTTTTTTTTTGAGACAAGGTCTCATCTTGTCACCCAGGATTGAGTGCAGTGGCACAACCTTGGCTTCCTGTAGCCTTGACCTTCTGGGCTCATGCGATCCTCCCACCTTAGCCACCAAGTAGCTGGGACTACGGGTGCACGCCACCATGCCTGGCTAATTTTTGTATTTTTTGTAGAGACGGGGTTTCGCCATGTTGCCCAGGCTGGTCTCAAACTCCTGAGCTCAAGCGATCGGCCCGCCTTGGCCTTCCAAAGTGCTAGGAATACAGCCATGAGCCACCACGCCTAGCCCCAGAGCTTGTCTTTTTATCATCTTAACAGATGTCTTTCATAGAGCAGAAGTTCTGTGAGCTTTTCATCAATATGTTTAGGTTTTTTCCTTCTATGCATTGTGCTTTTGGTGTCATGTCTATGTTCCCTTCACCTAACTCCAAATCATGGTGATTTTCTTTCTACTGTGTTTTCTTCTTCTTCTTCTTTTTTTAAGACGGAGTCTCACTCTTTTGCCCAGGCTGGTGTGCAGTGGCATGATCTCAGCTCACTGCAACCTCTGCCTCCCAGGCTCAAACGATTTTCCTGCCTCAGCCTCCCCAGTAGTTGGGATTACAGGCGTGCACCACCACACCCGGCTAATTTTTGTATTTTTAGTAGAGTCGGGGTTTCACCATGTTGGCCAGGCTGGTCTCGAACTCCTGACCTCAGGTGATCCACCCGCCTTAGCCTCCCAACCAAATTGCTGAGATTACAGGCGTGAGCCACCGTGCCCGGCCTTTTCTTTTTTCTTTGTCTTTCTTCTTCTTCTTCTTCTTCTTCTTCTTCTTCTTTTTTTTTTTTTTTTTTTTTTTTTTTTTTTTTTTTTTTTAGACAGTGTCTTGCTTTGTTGCCAGGCTGGAGTGCAGTGGTGCAATCTTAGCTCACTGCAACCTCCGCCTCCCTGGTTCAAGCGATTCTCCTGCCTTAGCCTCCCGAGTAGCTGGGACTACAGGCGTGCACGACCACGCCCAGCTAATTTTTGTATTTTTAGTAGAGACGGGGCGTTTCACCATGTTGGCCAGGATGGTCTCCATCTCTTGACCTCGTGATCTGCCCACTTTGGCCTCCCAAAGTGCTGGGATTACAAGCATGAGCCACTGCACCCGGCTTTTTTTTTTTTTTTTTTTTTTTTTTTTGAGACAGAGTCTCATTCTGTCGCCCAGGCTGGAGTGCAGCAGCACTATCTCAGCTTACTGCAACCTCTACCTCCCAGTTTCAAGTGATTCTCCTGTCTCAGCCTCCTGAGTAGCTGGGATTAGAGGCATGCACCATGACACTCTGCTAATTTCTATATTTTTAGTAGAGACAGGGTTTCACCATTTTGCCCAGGCTGGTCTCAAACTCCTGAACTCAAATGATCGGCTCACCACAGTCTCCCAAAGTGCTGGGATTACAGGTGTGAGCCACCATGCCCAGCCTCCTGTGTTCTCTTCTAAAAGCTTTATAATTTTACATTTAAATCAAAGATCAAATTTGAGTTAATTTTTGTATAAAGTATGAGGCTTAGGTATAGGTTTATTGTTTATTTCTGCCTATGGATGTGCAAATTTTCCAGCACCATTTGTTAAAAAGAAAATTCCCGTGTTTCTGGGGTCCCATGACCACCCCAGGTTTAGTGATTCACTAGAAGGAGTCACAAGAGTCAATATAGCAGGTTTTACTCACTGCTAAAGTTTATTAAGGAAAGGAAACAGAGCAAAAACAACAGGAAAAATGCATGCATTGGACAGAGTCCAGAGAGGTCAGGCATAGACTTCCCCATCTGAAGCCACACAGGATGTGCTTTCTCTCTTGCAGTGAACTACAGGACCATGTGAGGAATAACTCTGCCCAGAGAAATCTGTTCAAACCTCAGGGTCTGCGGCTTTTATGTGTAGAGGAACAGCTCTGTCATGGCAACCTGACAACAGAGACCACACAGACAAAGACTTGACCTGCAGTTTATCTGAATCTTGGCAGAACTCCTTGTGATCTTCTCGGTATACAAGAGGATAAGAGGTCCCTTTTGTTTTGATGTCATCCTTTTTGGTGTGTGAAACAAGGACCACAGGGAGCTGGCACCTTTGGCTACACTTCTTTTCACTCCCCAGGTAAGTAATAAACTGTCTGAATCTTAAAAGCACTCATAGTGTCTTTTTTATTGGCGAAGTCTGTCAGGCCTTAGCCTTTTCTCACACTTCACCAAATTACTTTTGCATCTTCGTCAAAAGTCAGTTGGACATATTTGTGTGGGTCAGTTCTTTCTAACAGCTTTACTGAAGTATGACTGGCATACAATAAACTGCACATATTTTAAGTGTACAATCTCACTTTGACCCTCAAAGGGTCTCACTTTGTTACCCAGGCTGGTGTGCAGTGGCACAAACATGGCTTACTGCAGCCTCGACCTACTGGGCTTAAATGATCCTCCCACCTCAGCCTCCCAAGTAGCTGGGACTTACAGGCATTCACACCATGGCTGACTAATTTTTTAAAAAAAATTTAGTACAGACGAGATCTTACTGTGTTGCCCAGGCTGGTCTCAAACTCCTGAATTCAAGCAATCCTCCCGTGTTGGCCTCCCAAAGTGCTAGGATTACAGGCGTGAGCCACCTCGCCTGGCCTAGTTTGTGTTTTTTAAGAATTTATGTTTTGCCTGGGCACAGTGGCTCACGCCTGTAATCCCAGCACTTTGGGAGGCCAAGGCGGATGACTCAAGGAGTTCAAGATCAGCCTGGCCAACGTGGTGAAAACCTGTCTCTACTAAAAACACAAAAAATAGCCAGACGTGGTGGCACACACCTGTAGTCCCAGCTACCTTGGTGAGGTGGAAGAATCCTTTGAACCCCGGAGACGGAGGTTGCAGTGAGCCAAGATCACACCATTTCACTCCAGCCTGGGCAACAGAGCGAGACCCTAACTCAAAAAAAAAAAGAACCCCCCCCAAAAAAGAATTTATACGTTTTGATTCATTGATTGATTGAATCATACATCAATTTTTTTCTGACTTCTTTCACTCAGAAGAATTATTTTCAGATTCACCTATGTTAGTTTTTTTTGTTGTTGCTGGTTTTTTTTTTTTTTTTTGAGACAAGGTCTTGCTACTGCCCAGGCTGGAATGCAGTAGTACCATCTCGGCTCACTGCAACCTCTGCCTTTCTGGGCTCAAGTGATTCTCCTGCCTCAGCCTCCTGAGTAGCTGGGACTACAGGCGTGCACCACCACACCCAGCTAATTTTTGTATTTTTAGTAGAGACGGGGGTTTACCATGTTGGCCAGGATGGTCTCGATCTCTTGACCTCATGATCTGCCCACCTCGGTCTTCCAAAGTGCTGGGATTACAGGCATGAGCCACTGCGCCCGGCCACACCTATGTTATTATATATATCAATAGTCCTTTTCTTTTTTTGCTAAGTAGTATTTTGCTGTATGGCTATACCACAATTTGTTTATCCATTTACCTGTTGATGCACATTTGGGCTCTTTCCAGTTTGTAACTATTGCAAATAAAGCTTCTACGACCATTTGTATATAAAACTGAAGTGCAATGGTGCGATCCACAGGATGGAGTGCTGTGGTGTGATCTCAGCTCACTGCAATCTCCGCCTCCTGGGTTCAAGCGATTTTCCCACCTCAGCCTCCTGAGTAGCTGGGACTACAGGTGTGTGCCATCACGCCCGACTAATGTTTGTATTTTTAGTAGAGATGGGTTTTGACCATGTGGGTCAGGCTGGTCTTGAACTCCTGACCTCAAGCAATCCACTTGCCTCCGTCTCCCAAAGTGCTGGGATTACAGGTGTAAGCCACCACGCCCGAACTAAGTGGTATTTTAAAATTTCAATTTCAATTGTCAATTACTAATATATATAAATGAAATTTTAAAAAAACATTAATGATGTAGCCTGCAACCTTGCTAAACTCACTTTCAGTTCTAGAACTTTTTTTAGATTGTAACTGGTTTTCTGCATATGAGCAATTATCTCCAAGTAAAGAGAATACTTCTTCCTTTATCATTTGTGAGCTTTTATTGCATTTTATTTTCTAATTTCTCTGTCCAGACCCTCCAGTACAATGTTTGCTATGGTCTGGATGCATCCCCCAAAATTCATGTGTTGGAAACTTGATCCCTAGTTGCAGCAGTGTTGGGAAGTGGGGCCTTTTGGGAGATGTTTAGGTTTTGAGGGCTCTGCCCTCTAAATGGATTAATGCCATTATAAAAAAAGGACTTGTGGGAGTGGGTTTGCTCTCTTCTACCACATGAGGACACAGCGTTCCTCTCCTCCAGAGGATGCAGTGTTTGAGGCATCATCTTGGCAGCAGAGAGGTCAGGCTCTAACCTGCTGGTGACTTGATCTTGGACTTCACAGCCTTCAGAATTATCAGTAATTAATTTCTGTTCTTTGTAAATTACCCAGTCTCAGGTATTCTGTTATAACGGCACAAAACAGACTAAGGCAATGCTGAATATAAGAGGTGAGAACAAACATCCCTGACTTGTTACTGATTTTATAAGGAAGGCACCCAGTCTTTCACCATTAAGTTTGTTAGGTATAGGATTTTCATAGATGTGCTTTAATAGGTTGAGGATCTTTACTTCTACTCCTATATTGCTGAGAATTGTTATCAGCCATAGATATTGGTTTTGTCAAATGATTTTTCTGCATCTATTGAGATGAGCCCATGGCTTTTCTTTGTTAATTTATTAACATGGTCAATTATATTGATTGATTTTCAAATGTAAACCAACCTTGCATTCCTGATATAAACCACACTTACACATGATGTATTATTTTTTTTTTAATTTTTAATTTTTGTGGGTACATAGTAGGTGTATGTATTTATGAGGTACATGAGATGTTTTGATATAGTCATGCAATGTGAAATAAGCACACCATGAAGAATGGGGTATCCATCCCCTCAAGCATTTATCCATTGAGTTGCAAACAATTCAATTACACTCTTTAAGTTATTTTAAAATGTACAGTTATTATTGACTATAGTCACCCTGTTGTGCTATCAAATAGTAGGTCTTAGTTATTCTGTCTACTGTTTTTTTTTGGACCCATTATATTTTTTATATTCTTATATTGCTAGATTCAGTTTGCTAATATTTTGTTTAGAGTTTTTTGTTTCTATGTTCACTAGGGGATATTGGTTTGTAGTTTTATCTGTCTTGCTTCGGTATCATGGTAATGCTGTCCTCATAGAATGAGTTAGGAAATATTCCTTCCTTTCAATTTCCTGGAAGAGTTTGGGTAAAATTGATGTTATTTCAAACCTTAAGTTTTTGGTAGCGATAACTAGTGTAAACATCCAGGTCTGGAGTTACTAAACTGGAGTTTACTAGTGAGAAGCTTTTTAACTACAAATTATATTTCTATGATAGGTTTAGGGGTATTCATTTTTGTGTGTTTGTATGTGTGTGTATGTATCTCTATACATACAGATAGATAGATAGGTAGATAGCTAGATAGAGATATAATCTCCTTTAATGAGCTTTAGTAGTTTATATCTTTCAAGCAATTAGCCCATCCCATCTAAGTCCTCAAATTTATTGCTATAAATGTGTTTATAATATTCCCTTATTAACCTATTTAGTATTTGTAGAATCTGTGTTAATAGTTTTTTTTTTTTTTTTTTTGAGATGGAGTCTTGCACTGTCGCCCAGGCTGGAGTGCAGTGGCGCAATCTCGGCTCACTACAAGCTCCGCCTCCTGGGTTCACGCCATTCTCCTGCCTCAGCCTCCCGAGTAGCTGGGACTACAGGCGCCCACCAGCACGCCTGGCTAATTTTTTGTATTTTTAGTAGAGACGGGGTTTCACCGTGTTGGCCAGGATGGTCTCGATCTCCTGACCTCGTGATCCGCCCACCTCGGCCTCCCAAAGTGCTGGGATTACAGGCATGAGCCACCGTGCCCAGCCCTGTGTTAATATTTTTATCTCATTTATGACATTGGTAATTTGTGTCTTCTCTTTGTCCTGATCCACATAGCCAGAGTTTTATCAATTTTGCTTATTATCCAAGAGAACCAGCTTTTGGTTTCATTAAATTTCTCTAATGATTTTCTGTTTTCTATTTTATTGATTTCTACTTCTTAGTTTTTGCTTAATTTGATCTACTTTTTCAATTTATTAATGTGGAAATGATGTCAATGATCTGAAATCTTTTTTCTTTTCTTACATATGAATATAGTGCTATAAATTTTCCACTATATAGTGCTTTATGGTATCTCATATTTTGATATATTGTATTTCCATTTTCATTCAGTTAAATATGCCTTCCAATTCCACTTTTGATTTTTTCTTGAATTCATGTTTTACTTATAAGTATGCCGTTTAACTTCCACATATTTGAGTATTTTCCAGCTTTCTGTTTTTAGAATATTATTTAATTCCATTGAAATCAGAATACATACTTTGTATGACTTGAATACACGTTTTGCTTTGTGTATTTTGAAGATTTGTCAAGTACACAAACATTTAGGACAGTTATGTACTATTGATGAATTGACCCCTTTATTATTATCATCCTACCGTGATATTTGCTGCTTTGAAATCTACTTGTTTGTCACTAATATAGCCATCTGTCTTTCCTGCATCTGGTGTTAGCATTAATTAACTAGATCTATTAGTTTCTCATGGCTACTATAACAAATTACTGAAATGTTGATGGCTTAAAAAACATTTATTCTCCCACGGTTCCGGAGGTGAGAAGTCTGAAATCAAGGTATAGGTAAGACCACACTTCCATCATAGAGTCTGAGGGAGAATATATTCTTTGCCTCTTCCAGTTTCTGCTGTCTGTCAGTATTCGCTGGCTTGTGGCTACAGCTCTATCTCTTTCTCTGCTCCGTGTTCATATTGCCTTCTCCTCTGTGTTAGTGTAGCTAAATTAGCTCTCTTTCTCTCCTATAAGGATACATGTGATTGCATTTAGGGCCTACCTGGACAAGCTCCTCGCAAAAGCCTTAAGTTAATCACATATTTTGCCACGTAAGGTAATATTTACAGGTTCTGGGGATTAGAACATAGACATATCTTTGGGGCCACCACTGAGTCCACTACACATGGTATATCTTTCTCCATCACTTTATTTTTCACTGGTTTGTGTATTTAAAGTGTGTTTGTTGTGAACAGCATACACTTAGGTCTTGCTTTTTTGCTTTTTTATTATCCAGTCTGATGGTCTTTTTCTTTTTTTTGAGACAGGGTCTTGTTCTGTCCCTCAGGTTGTAGTGCAGTGGCCTGATCATGGCTCACTGTAGCCTCAACCTCCTGGGTTCAAGCTACACAAACACACACACACACACACACACACACACACACACACACATATATTATTGTAGTCTCCCTTTGAGTTATATTATATCATTTCACAAATAATATAAGAAGAGCCTTCCAATAGTATACCTACATTTCCTCTCTCCTGGCCTTTATGCTGTTGTTTGCATATATTTTACTTACACATAAATTATAAAGCCCACAATGCATTGTTACTATTTTTGCTTAGTCAATTATCTTTTAAAGATATTTATGAAATAAGAAAAATATCATATATATTTATTCATGAAGTTTCTGTTTCCAGTGTTCTTTATTGCTTTACTATAGATCCATATTTTCATCTGGGGTCATTTCTTCTGCTGCTCTTCTTCCTGGTCTTTCAGGCCAGGCATGGTGGCTCATGCCTGTAATCCCAGCACTTTGGGAGGCCCACGTGGGTGGATCACCTGAGGTCAGGAGTTCAAGACCAGCCTGGCCTACATGGT
This sequence comes from Homo sapiens, assembly GCF_000001405.40. Classification (NCBI taxonomy): domain Eukaryota; kingdom Metazoa; phylum Chordata; class Mammalia; order Primates; family Hominidae; genus Homo; species Homo sapiens. The sequence goes on from NC_000023.11 coordinate 118,934,256, forward strand.
GAAACCCCGTCTCTACTAAAAATAAAAAAATTAGCTGGGCGTGGTGGCAGTTGCCTGTAATCCCAGCTACTTGGGAGGCTGAGGCAGGAGAATTGCTTGAACCCAGGAAGCAAAGGTTGCAGCAAGCTGACATTGCACCATTGCATTCCAGCCTGGGCAACAAGAGTGAAACTCCATCTCAAAAAAAAAAAAAAAAAAAGGATGTCTTTCAGCATTTACTACAATTCAGGTCTGTTGGTGATGACTTTTTAAACCTTTTGTATGCTTAAAAAGTCTTTATTTTGGCCAGGCACAGTGGCTCACGCCTGTAATCCCAGCACTTTGGGAGGCCGAGGGGGGCAGATCACGAGGTCAGGAGATTGAGTCCATCCTGGCTAACGTGGTGAAACCCCGTCTCTACCAAAAATACAAAAAATTAGCCAGGCGTGGTGGCGGGCGCCTGTATCCCAGCTTCTCGGGAGGCTGAGGCAGGAGAATGGCGTGAACCTGGGAGGCGGAGCTTGCAGTGAGCCGAGATGGTGCCACTGCACTCCAGCCTGGGTGACAGAGCAAGACTCTGTCTCAAAAAAAAAAAAAAGTCTTTATTTTGGGATGGGCGCAGTGGCTCACGCCTGTAATCCCAACACTTTGTGAGGCCAAGGCGGGTGGATCACGAGGTCAGGAGTTAGAGACCAGCCTGGCCAATATGGTGAAACTCTGTCTCTACTAAAAATACAAAATTAGGCGGGCGTGGTGACATGCACCTGTAGTCCCAGCTACTCGCGAGGCTGAAGCAGAAGAATCACTTGAATCCGGGAGGCGGAGGTTGCAGTGAGCCTAGATCATGCCAGTGTACTCCAGCCTAGGCAACAGAGACTCTGTCTCAAAAAAAAAAAAAAAAAGAAAAAGAAAGAAAGAAAAAAAGTCTTTATTTCACCCTTTAAAAAAATTTACATTGTGGCAAACTACACATAACACAAAATTTATCATCTTAATAATTTTCAAATGTATAGTTCAGTGGCATTAACCACATTCACATTGTTGTGCAGCCATCATTATCAGTTATCTCCAGAACTACTCTTATTTTGCAAAACTAGAATTCTATATCCATTAAACAGCAGCCCCCCATTATCCTCTACTCCTAGCCCTGACAACTAGCGTTCTATTTTCTTTCTTTCTTTTTTCTTTCTCTCTCTCTTTCTTTCTTTTGTTCTTTCTTTCTTTCTCTCTTTCTTTCTTTCTTTCTTTCTCTCTTTCTTTCTTTCTTTCTTTTCTTTCTTTTTTGACAGGGTCTCACTCTGTCACCCAGGCTGGAGTGTAGTGGCATGATATAGAGCTGCTGTGATATGTAGGTTTATAGCTTTCATCAAATTTTGAAAACATGGGCAAATATTTCTTCATATTTGTTTTGTTTCCCTTCCCTTTTCTCCTCTCCTCTGGGGATTACAATTATACATATATTAAGCTGCTTGAAGTTGTTCAATAGCTCACTGAATTTCTTTTCATTTTTTAATAATTATTTTATTATTCTCTCTTTCACTGGATAGTTTCTATTGACATGTTTTCAAGTTCATTTATCTTTCCTTCTGAAATGTCTGATCTATTGTTAATCCTATCAGTGTGTTTTATCTCAGATACTATAATTTTCATATCTAAGTTTCATTTTCATCTTTTTAATATATTACATGGTTCTACATAACTTTTTTACCACTTAAAATACAATTACAATAAATCCTTAAATATCCTGGTCTACTGATTCTAACATCTATGTTAGTTCCTGGTCCATTTTAATTAATTGATTTTTAAAATTACTTGAACATAGTTTTATCCTTTTCAGTCTTTCTTTTAAGATCCGTTAGGTTGGAGCACAGCAGTGTTTTTTTCTAGGGCTAATTATTTCCCACTACAAGGGAAGATCCTTCTGAATAATCTATCAATTTACCATTAATTATGAGGTTTTCCAGTCTGCCTATTTGGGACAGACAGTATTCCAAGTTCTGTGTATATGTTGGGTACTGTTCCTTTTTTTTTTTTTTTTTTTTTTGAGATGGAGTCTTGCTCTGTCGCCCAGGCAAGAGTGCAGTGGTGTGATGTTGCCTCAGTGCAAGCTCCGCCTCCCGGGTTCACGCCATTCTCCTGCCTCAGCCTCCTGAGTAGCTGGGACTACAGGCACCCGCCACCATGCCCAGCTAATTTTTTGTATTTTTAGAAGAGATGGTGTTTCACCATGTTAGCCAGGATGGACTCAATCTCCTGACCTCGTGATCTGCCCGCCTCGGGCTCCCAAAGTGCTGAGATTACAGGCATGAGCCAGGGTGCCGGGCGGGGTACTGTTCCTTTTAGTCCTCTTGTATAGTCCTTTCCTTGGCTTCTGGTAGTTCCCTCACATGTACACACCTATCAGTACTTGAAGGTGACCCACCAAAACTCTCTAGAGTTCTCCTTCTGTGTACTTCTCTCCTTTCTGGTATTCTTCCCTGCAGTCTAGCTGCTTTGAGCTCCCTGAACTCTCAGTCCTGTCTCTTCAACTCAGGGAGTCCTCCTGGCTCTACCTCACCTTCCCTGTGCCACAGCCAGGAAACTCTCTTCAGTCAGTAATCTGGGACAATCCTAGAGCTCACCTCACTTATTTCTTTTCTCTCAGAGAATCACTGCTCTTCTTGTCTGCTGTCCAGCGTATTGGAAACCATTTCATATATTTGATCCAATATTCAGTAGTTTCAAATGTGAGGGTAAATTCAGTCTCTATTATTTCATACTGGCTAGAAGTGGAAGTACCAACTAATGGTTTCTAAATATAAATTTAAATGAATTAAAATTAAATAAAAATTAAAATTCAGTTCATCAGTTGTACTAGCTGTATTTCAAGCACTCAAACGCTGCATGTAGCTATTGTATTGGACAGCACAGTCTTATCTGTGCTGGGTAAAAAGTTATCTTTTTACCCTTTAAGCTACTTAGTTAACAACTATAAACCTAGTTAATAATTATTTATATTAAATCGTCTTTGACCAAATAGCTCATGTGATTTCTTTCTTCTGATTAGAACCTGCTTGATACATTTATTCAGGTAGTTCCATTATCAAGGAAGTATGGTGACAGGCCTTAGAATCTTAATGACATGGGTTCAGTTGTCACTTACTAGCGGTACAAGCAAATTACTTCATCTAGCTAATTCTCAGAATATTACCAGGAAAAATGAGGACAATGTTACCAGGAAAAATGAGGATAATATTACCTGCTTCCCGGAGTTTGTTGTGAGGATATATGAAAATATCTGACACATAGTAGATGCTCAATATATAGTATTTCCTTTTATTAATTTCTTCATCATCATCCTCCGAGCACTTAGATCTATCCATCTCAGAAACAGCTTCCAAGAGTATTTCTTCCCATCTTCCTGTCAAAACCACAATGTGCTTTGTCCCTTTTCCTTGGGACTGTTTTTCCACAAAGGTTTATCTTGAAAAGCAATCATGGGTACTGCAGCACACTGGCTGGAGTAGAGGACTTTGGATGCATGACTCTCCCGCTCCCAAAAACAGCCCCACAACCTGCCGCCCCGCACCACCTTGGCCCAGCTCAGGTGACATGTATACCTGCCAGAGCGCAATGACGGGTGTTTGGCTCTTGTTTCTGCTTTGAGTTCTTTTCAAGGGACCAGGACTCTAGCTGCATAGTTGTGCAGGGAACTACACACCAAAAGCAAGTGAACAAGTCTGAATAGTAAGAGTTACGTGGATCGATTGTTTACCAGAGCCAGGCACCACCAAAAGAAATGTGCACACTTTATCCCATGTAATCCTCCCTCTGGGCCTAAAAGAGCAGCTGGTGTGACTGCAGGCACCCACCTCACGTCATGGAGAGCTGAGTGTATGCCGATGGGGGCTCTTGAGACCCCAGGTGTGCCTGGGAGGAGAGGAGGAAGATGAAGGCCCATGCTCCCCCACCTCCTGGAAAGGCTGCCACTCTGCACGTGCACAGCCACCAGAAGACCCCAAAGACAGGGCCCTCAGGTTGCAGCAGAACCTGGTCCTCATGAAGGAGGCGCTGAGGGCCACCATCATGGACGTCACCATGGTCCTGCCCAGCAAGCTGGAGAAGAGGAGCGTGCTCAATGGGAGCCATGCAATGATGGACCTACTAGTTGAACTTTGCCTTCAGAACCACCTGAATCCATCCCACCACGCCCTTGACATTTGGTCTTCAGAAACCCAACAACCTTTGAGTTTTAAGCCAAATACTTTGATTGGGACCCTGAATGTGCATACTGTGTTTCTGAAAGAAAAATTTCCTGAAGAAAAAATTAAGCCTGTTCCCCCTAAGGTGCCTGAGAAATCTGTGTGTTTGGTCGTGAATTACTTGCAGACACAAAAAGCTGTTGTGCATGTGAGCCCTGAGGTTCCTCTCCAGAATATTCTCCCAGCCATTTGTGCAAAGTGTGAGGTCAGCCCAGAGCACATGGTTCTCCTCAGGGACAACATTGCCAGGGAGGAGCTGGAGCTGTCCAAGTCCCTGAATGAGCTTGGGATAAAGGAGCTCTACTCGTGAGACAACAGAAGAGAAACCTTTAGAAAATCATCGCTTGGCAATGATGAGACAGATAAAGAGAAGAAAAAATTTCTGGGATTTTTCAAAGTTAATAAAAGAAGCAATAGTAAGGCTGAGCAGCTCGTGCTGTCGGGTGCAGACAGCGATGAGGGCACCTCCCGGCTGCCCCTGGGAAGGGGTTTGAATGGCTGTTTAACAACACCCAACTCTCCATCCATGCACTGACCTTCCATTACACTGGGTCCATCCCTCTTGCTGGGCAGCATCTCAGGGGCGTCTGTGAAGTCAGAGATGAAGAAACGCTGAGCCCCTCCTCCTCCAGGTTCAGGGCCACCTGTGAAAGACAAGGCATTGGAAAGGGCTGGACATAGTGCCTCATGCATGTAATCCCAGCACTTTGGGAGGCTGAGGCAGGAGGATCACCTGAGATCAGGAGTTCAAGACCAACCATGGCTAACATGGTGAAAACTCGTCTCTACTAAAAATACAAAATTAGCCAGGCATGGTGGTGCAGGCCTGTAGTCCCAGCCACTCGGGAGGCTGAGGCAGGAGAATCACTTGAACCTAAGAGGCAGAGGCTGCAGTGAGCCGAGATTGTGCCACTGCACTCCAGCCTGGGCAACAAGAGCAAGACTCCGTCTCAAAAAATATATATATATACACACATATATATACACATATATACACATATATATACACATATATATACACACATATATATACACATATATACACACACATATATACACATATATACACATATATATACATATATATACACACACATATATATACACATATATACACACACATATATACACATATATATACATATATACACATATATATACACACACGTAGTGTGTATATATATACGTATATATGTGTGTATGTATACATATATATGTGTGTATATATATACGTATATGTGTGTATATATATGTATATATATGTGTGTGTATATATGTATATATGTACGTATATACATATATATTTTCTAATGTGACTGACTTATTTTGAGTACTTCATGATATGATAGCTGCATTTTCATAAAAAGAAATTTAGGCACAAATGGTACCTTTTTCTTGTATGGGTCTATGATAAGATTATGCAAATGGAAAACACGAAGCTGTTTCTTCTGATTAAAAAAAAGCAATCATGGCAGAACAAAGCTAGAGGACTAATACTTCCTGATTTCAAAACTTACTACATAGCTACAGTAAAAACTGTGGTACTGCAAAAGACAGACATATTGACCAATGGAATAGAATAGAGAGCCCAGAAAGAAACTGTCACATATATGGTCAAATGATTTTTGACAAGGGTGCCAAGAACTATTCAATGGGGAGAGGAGAGTCTTTTCAACGAATGATGCTAAGAAAACTGTATATCCATCTACACATTAAAAGAATGAAGTTGGACCCTTACCTAACACCATATACAAAGATTAACTAAATATGAATTAAATACATAAATAGAAGACCTAAAACTATAAAATTCTTAAAAGAAAACAGAGCAAAAGCTTCATGACATTGGATTTGGCAGTGATTTATTGGATATGACACCAAAGGCACAGGCAACAAAAAAAAATGAACACATTGGACTTCATGAATATTTTAAAAATTTTGTACATTGAAAGATAGTATCAGCTAGGTACAGTGGCATGTGTCTCTGATACCACCTACTTGGACTGAAGCAAGAGGATCAGTCCAGGAGTTTGAGGCCAGCCTGGGCAACATAAGGCAACCCTGTCTCTAAAATGTAATAATAATAAAAGAAATAGTATCAGGCTGGATGTGGTGGCTCATGCCTGTCATCCTAGCACTTTGGGAGGCTGAGGCAGAAGGATCACTTGAGCTCAGGAGTTGTTTGTTTGTTTGTTTTGAGACAGAGTCTCGCTCTGTTGCCCAGGCTGGAGCGCAGTGGCGTGATCTCAGCTCACTGCAAGCTCTGCCTCCCGGGTTCATGCAATTCTCCTGCCTCAGCCTCCCGAGTAGCTGGGACCACAGGCACCTGCCACCATGCCCAGCTACATTTTTTGTATTTTTAGTAGAGACGGGGTTTTACCATGTTAGCCAGGATGGTCTCGATCTCCTGACCTCGTGATCCGCCTGCCTCAGCCTCCCAAAGTGCTGGCATTACAGGCATGAGCCACTGTACCCCACCGAGCTCAGGAGTTTGAAACCAGCCTGGGCAACATAGTGAGACCTCATCGCTACAAAAAAAAAATAAAAATTAACTGGGTGTGTTGCTTCACCCATGTAGCCCCAGGTACTCGGGAGGCTGAGGTGGGAGGATCACTTGAGCCTGGGAGGCTAAGGCTGCTGTGAACCATGATCATGCCACTGCACTCTCACCTGGGCAACAAAGTGAGACCCTGTCTCAAAAAAAGAAGAGGAAGAAGAAGAAGGAGAAGAAGAGGAAGAAGAAGAAGGAGAAGAAGGAGAAGAGGAGGAAGAAGAAGAAGGAGAAGAAGAAGAGGAGGAAGAAGAAGAAGAAGAAGAAGAAGAGAAGAAGAAGAGGAGGAGGAGGAAGAGGAAGAGGAAGAAGAAGACGAAGAAGAAGAGGAGGAGGAAGAAGAAGAATAGGAGGAAGAACAAGAAGAATAGGAGGAAGAAGAAGAAGGGAGAAGAAAAGAAAAGAAGAGAAGAAGAGGAAGAAGAAGAAGGAGGAGGAGAAGGAGGAAGAAGAAGAACGAGTATCAGCAAAGTAAAAAGCTAACCTACAGAATGGGAGAAAATATTTGCAAATCATATATCTGATAAGATATTCATATCCAGAATACATGTGGAGAACTCCTAAAACTCAAGCACAACAACAACAAAACGAACAAGCCAATTCAAAAATGGGCGAAGGACTTGAATAGACATTTCTCCAAAGATATACAAATGGCCAAAAAGCACAAGGAAAGATGCTCAACATTACTAATCATTAGAGAAATACAAGTCAAAAACACAATGAGATACCACTTCACATCCATTAGGATGGCTACTATAAAAAAAACAACAGAAAATACAAGTGTTTGTGAGGATGTGGAGAAATTTGAACCCCTGTGCACTGTTGGTGGGAATGTAAAATGATACAGCTGCTATGGAACACAGTATGATGGTTCCTCAAAGAATTAAAAATAGAAATACTATATGAGGCCAGGCATGGTGGCTCACGCCTGTAATCACAACACTTTGGGAGGCCGAGGTGGGTGGATCACCTGAGGTCAGGGATTTGAGACTAGCCTGGCCAACATGGTGAAACCCTGTCTCTACTAAAAATACAAAAGTTAGCTGGGCGTGGTGGCATGCACATGTAGTCCCAGCTACTCAGGAGGCCGAGGCAGGAGAATAGCTTGATCCCGGGAAGTGGAGGTTGCAGTGAGCTGAGATCATGCCACTGCATTCCAACCTGGGCAACAGAGCAAGACTCCATCTCAAAAAAAAAAAGGGAAGAAGGAGGAAGGAGGAGGAAGGAGGAGGGGGAGAAGGGAGAGAATGGAAGAAGGAGAAGGAGGAAAAGGAGAAGGAGGAGGAGAAGGAGAAGGAGAAGAAAGAAGGAGAAGGAGAAGAAGAAGAGGAAGAAGAAGAAGAGGAAGAGGAAGAAGAAGAAGAAGGCATAATACTATATGATCCGAAGAAGAAGAAGAAATAATACTATATGATCCAGCACTTCCACTTCTGGGTATATACTCAAAAGAACTGAAAGCAATGCAGGCTGGGTGTGGTGGCTCACACCTGTAATCCTAGCATGTTGGGAGGCTGAGGAGGGTGGATTGCTTGAGCCCCGGGCTTCAAGACCAGCCTGGGCAACATAGTGGGACCCCATCTCTACAAAAAGAAATACAAAAATTAGTGGGGCATGGTGGCACGTGCCTGTAGTCCCAGCTACTTAGGAGGCTGAGGTGGGAGGGTCGCTTGAGCCTGGGAAGTTGAGGCTGCAGTGAGCTGCGATCATGCCACTGCATTCCAGCCTGTGTGACAGAGGCAGACCTTGTCTCAAAACAGAAAAAAGAAAGCAATTCAATTATTTTCTCTAAAAGTCTCAAAAAGAGATTTGTATGCCCGTGTTCATAGCATCATTATTCATAATAGCTAAAATATGGAAGCAACCCAAGATGAATGGATAGCAAAATGTGGTATATACACACAATCGAATATTATTAAGCTTTAAAAAGAAGGAAATTCTGATATATGCTACAACATGGATTAACCTTGAGGATATTATGCTAAGTGAAATAAACCGGTCACAAAAAGACTATATGATTCCACTTGTATAAGATGCATAGAGTAGTCAAAATAATAGATAGAGAAAGTAGAATGGTGGTTCCCATGGGCCAGAGGAAAGGGGCAATGGGGAGTTAATGTTTAATGGTTTAAATGTTGCAGATACCAGGATAAATTCACTTTTGTCAAACCCAAACGAATTGGAGCCAGGAAAGCAGGAAGGAGGAGAGTTCATGCCTGCATGTATAAGATAAAGACTGTGTCTCAAGGACCTTCTAAAATAACCCCACAAGATATTCCTTTTATAGGACTGCAGCAATTCAGATAAGATGGTCTGGAAAGAACACTTGGCTAGCACAGCATCTCCATCAATGAACTGATGCCAACTCTGATTTTGAACCTCCTGAACCAATGAACTTCATTTCCAACAGCTTATGTGAAATTATCTTCGCCAATAAAAGCTTCCCCTTCCCCTTCCTTTTTTTTTTTTTTTTTTTTTTTTTGAGACGGGGTCTCGCTCTGTCGCCTAGGCTGGAGTGCAGTGGTGCGATCTCGGCTCACTGCAAGCTCCGCCTCCCGGGTTCACACCGTTTTCCTGCCTCAGCCTCCTGAGCAGCTGGGACTACAGGCGCCCGCCACCGCGCCTGGCTAATTTTTTTGTATTTTTAGTAGAGACGGGGTTTCACCGTGGTCTCAATCTCCTGATCTCATGATCCGCCCGCTTCGGCCTCCCAAAGTGCTGGGATTACAGGCGTGAGCCACTGTGCCCGCCCCTTTTTTTTTTTTTGAGATGGAGTCTGGCTCTGTCGCCCAGGCTGGAATGCAGTGACGTGATCTCCGCTCACTGCAAGCTCCGCCTCCCGGGTTCATGCCATTCTCCTGCCTCAGCCTCCCGAGTAGCTGGGACTACAGGCGCCCGCCACCGTGCCCAGCTATTTTTTTTTTTTTTGTATTTTTAGTAGAGACGGAGTTTCACCATGTTAGTCAGGATGGTCTCCATTTCCTGATCTCGTGATCCGTCTGTCTCGGCCTCCCAAAGTGCTGGGATTACAGGCATGAGCCACCGTGCCTGGCCCCCCTTCCCCTCCCTTCTTCAGATGCATCTGTGGCTTGCCATAGCTGTGCACCCCAGATTATAATCCTCTCTGCTTACTACTAAATAAATGCCTCAAATTAGGAGATTTTTTTCCTGGTGTCTTTCTTTTATTTTTTATTTATTTTTATTTTTTGAGACGGAGTTTTGCTCTTGTTGCCCAGGCTGGAGTGCAATGGCACGATCTCAGCTCTTCAACCTCCACCTCCCGGGTTCAAGCGATTCTCCTGCCTCAGCCTCCCGAGTAGCTGGAACTACAGGCGCCCACCACCATGCCCAGCTAATTTTTTTTGTATTTTAGTAGAGACGGGGTTTCATCATATTGGCCAGGATGGTCTCAATCTCCTGACCTCGTGATCAGCCTGCCTCGGCCTTCCAAACTGCTGGGATTACAGGCGTGAGCCACCACGCCTGGCCTCCTGGTATCTTTCTTTAAGGTTGATAATGGGTGGTCAGATGCGGTGGCTCACGCCTGTAATCCCTGCACTTTGGGAGGCTGAGGCAGGTGAATCACCTGATGTCAGGAATTCGAGACCAGCCTGGCCAGCATGGTGAAACCCCGTCTCTACTAAAAATACAAAAATTAGCTAGGCATGGTGGCGGGCACTTGTAATCCCAGCTACTCAGGAAGCTGAAGCAGGAGAACCGCTTGAACCCCAGAAGCGGAGGTTGTGGTGAGCAGAGATCATGCCACTGCACTCCAACCTGGGCAACGAGAGTGAAACTCTGTCTCAGTAAATAAATAAGTAAATAAATAAACTTGATAATGGATATAAAATTCCAGTTTTACAAGATGAAAAGAATTCTAGAGATGGAGGGTGGTGGTGGTTGCACATTATGAATGTAGCGAATACCACTGAACTACACACTTAAAATAGTTAAGATGGTAAATTTTGTTATATGTATTTTACTACAATTTTTAAAAATGGAAAAAAGTAATTATAGTTCATTGTTCACAAATTATGATGGCTTAGAATGTTCCCTTTCCCAGAAAACCAGAGGAAGTAATATATTTTAGGTACCATGGTGGGGTCAATAAAGGAGATATTAGTGGTGGAGGCAAACTTCTGATTGCCCCAGCATAGCTGACAGTGACTTCTGCATGGAACCAAGCTGAAGGATGTTAAAACTGACTTTTTTTTGGTGCCATGAGACCATTATCAGCTCTAACACCTGAGATGGCCAACTTTTTATTATCTGAGTATAAATTATCCTCGTCATCATTTAAATGCCCCCTGCATCATATATGCCACCTGCAACAACAGATATGTCTGTGTACACAGTCAGGCACATATTTTTATCAATGGTTCTCAACTAGAGGCAATTTTGCCTTCTAGAGGACATTTGGCAATATCTGGAGACAATTTCAGTTGTCACAATTTGGGGAGGGGGTTGTCGCATGTCGTGGGTGGAGACCAGGGATGCTACCGCTAAACATCACTATAAGGCATAGGACAGCTTCACACAACAGAGAGTTATCAGGCCTTAAATGTCAGTAGTGCTGAGGTTGAGAATCACTGGCCTAATCTGAGCTCAAAAGGAAATGTAAATCTGCTCTGCAGCCCCAGAACATAATACCATGCTTTCCAGGGCTCAATACTATTGACTTTTGGATTTCACATGCTATTGCTTCCACTTTTTTTGGATGGAAACTTGAAGGTTGACTATGTGGTACAAATATACTTAAATGTAACCCAGAGCAGCAGAGTTTTGTTTTTTTTTAAGGTTTCCACTTTGTTTTCTGCTAACTTGATAAATCAATGATTTTACACAAAATATTTTACATTGATGCTTTTTGAACTGCATTTTGCAGAATGCAGTTGCAATGGACTGAATGTTCATGTCCTCTAAAAATTCATATGTTGACATTCTAACTCCCAGGATGATGGTATTAGGAGGTGAAACTTTGGGAGGTGATTAGATCATGCAGGCAGAGTCCTCTTGAATGGAATTGGTGCCCTCATAAAAGAGGCCTCAGGGAGCTAGCTCACCCCTTCTACCATGTGAGGACACAGTGACAAGTTGCCATCTGTGAACCAGGAAGCAAGTCCTCACCAGACGCCAATCTGCTATTGCCTTGGTCGTGGACTTGCCAGCTTCCAGAACTGTGAAATATAAAATTCTGTTGTTTATAGGCCACCTAGTTGCAAGTATTTTGTTACAGCCACCCTGACACACTGACAGAGGTATTTCATGGGTCTCATTAGAAAATGGATGAAAAAAGAGCTAAGTCAAAGTTTTTACCCCCACGCTATCTTAGTCAGAATTGCTCTGTTTTCATATTTTACGTGTGGCTATTCTCTGTAAAATTTGTTTGAAAAGAAGTTCAACTGCTAAGAAGAAAAAACATATTTGAACAGCCCTGCTTTATATAATAGGTAAGTGATTGAACATGTGGATATATTTCTCTGTGCACTGGGAACACATAGGGAAATCATTTGAAAGAATATTGCTGCATTCTTTGTAAAATCAATACCTGTGGATTTTCATGAGTCTGAAATAATTAAGAGTGTGTAGGATGAACAGCCCTTAAGGGTAGTGTTGGGGAGCGGGTGGGGCGGATCTGGGGAAGGACATTGTATTGTTTCGCTGACTGTTTTATGTCTTAGCAACAAGACATAACTTAGTACAGCATCAGAGTCCCTCAGGATTACAAATTACTTGAGGGCAGAAACTCTTTTCTGTAGCTCCTTCAGCTCCCTGTCGTGATTCTTTAAATATTTCATGTGCAAATGAGTCAATAAATGGTAGGAAGGCAGATAGAGCAGGAAAATTCTTTTCCTTCCTATTAACTCTTGTCCCCTACTCTTTAAACTCACTGGGCTCGGCTCTAGACAATCAGGTCAAGTTTATCTTTGGCACCCTTTGCTTTAGCAGGCATTCCTTTTTTCCGAGTGCCCAGTGTATCCTCTTACCCAGGGTTATTTCACTCTCAAATCCCAGAAAGGGCTATCTTCCCATATAGTATCTCATGCCTCAGACCTTTCCTAATCCTCTAGGAGAGGCTCTAGGACCTCTAGGCTTCCTTGTTATGAGTTCTACTTCTTGCTCTCTGTAAAAATTTTACAGAGTTAGCATCAGGCCACTTAGAGGATGAAGATTACAGAGAAGAGAGCCTTCAAACTCTTGTCTCTGCATGCAACTGGAATAGAACACTGCCCACCATCGCTCATTGTATCTAAGCACTTAACCCCACCCATGTTGAACAACACTTACCTACCTCCCGAGACCTTTTTTCCTCGAAGGACAGTTTTGTGTGATCCCAGGCTCATTTATTTTTAAGGGCAGGTAAGTTACAAAAACATAGGGCATCCTTTTCTTGGGTTATCATATCTCCCACTCCTCATGGCTCAAAGTTACTGTCCTTCAAATCGATATATTGAAAAAAGCATGAGCCACTGCCAGAGCAGTCATTTCTCTCCCAGTGTGTGGTTATCCTGGCCTACTTTGGCTCACAGGAGTGAAGGAAACAAGCTGCTTGTTTAAATTATGGAGAATCAGGCTGGGCATGGTGGCTCACACCTGTAATCTCAGCACTTTGGGAAGCCGAGGCAGGTGGATCACGTGACGTCAGGAGATTGAGACCAGACTGGCCAATGGGGTAAAACCCTGTCTCTACTAAAAATACAAAAATTAGTTGGGTGGTAGCACATGCCTGTAATCCCAGCTACTTGGGAGACTAAGGTAGGAGAATCACTTGAACCCAGGAGGTGGAGGTTGCAGTGAGCCGAGATCGTGCCATTGCACTCCAGCCTGGGCAACAAGAGCAAAACTGCGTCTCAAAAAAAAAAAAAAAATATGGAGAATCAGTACTAAGGAGTTACTCCTTTAGTTTTTCAAACAAATGGTCATCATGTGCCTGCTATATACTATACCTATTAACCCACTGTGGTAGATTCTGATATAATTAACTTCTTAATGTATCATTTTGTTTTCTGTTTACTCCTTCAGCAAAATTCTTTAGGGAAACTTATGTAACTGGTTCAGTAACAAAAGCAAACAACACTCAAACATACTTAAAACTCATGTAGCTTTTAAACCACTATCTACAAATATTTTCAGTTTTAAGGCAAAAACAACTTGAGTACCAGGTATGACTACAAAATAAAGTGATTATTATCTTTTAACAACAAACATAATAGGGTGTACTCACTCAAAGATATAATCTCCCCTTTAATGTAGCCACCATGAGAGTCCATGCCTTTGTTCTATTGGTGTGGCAACAACTGCTTGTCTTTTGGGACTAAAATTAGACATTACTTCCTTCTTTCAGGAAGCTGGCCCTCACTCCTAAAGCTGGGTTTCATGCCCCTCTTCTGGGCTCCTGTGCTTGCGTCAGTCAAAGCACTTGTCATACTGGATTATCTTTCTCCTTCACCTGGCTGAGTGCTCCCTGAAGATAGGGAGGATGTCTTCTGTGGTTTTTGTACCCCTGGGGCCAAGCATGTACAGGACTAGTTGCTCAGTAAATATTTGTTAGTTGATTGAAAAATATCTCTGCATCACATTTTTGGACCATCTTCAACAACAGAAAATTTTCATTCTTTTAATGGAGAATGATTTTTGGAAAACAAATGTTATTCAGAAACAAGTTGGGCACATAAGGTATTCATCTAGCTTATTTAAAAATGAGTTATGATCATAATATATTGACCACTTTTCTTCTCTGATTCATAGACTGGCTCTGAGAACAACTCCAAAGGAGGAATTACAAAAGGTTCTGAACAATAGAAGCTTCCCAGGGCAACATCTTCGGTTTTTTGTTTTTGTTTTGTTTTGTTTGTTTGTTTGTTTTTTGAGATGGAGTCTCGCTCTGTCGCCCAGGCTGGAGTGCAGTGGCGCGATCTCGGCTCACTGCAAGCTCTGCCTCCCGGGTTGACACCATTCTCCTCCCTCAGCCTCCCGAGTAGCTAATTTTTTGTATTTTTAGTAGAGACTGGGCTTCACCATGTTAGCCAGGATGGTCTCAATCTCCTGACCTCATAATCCGCCCGCCTCCGCCTCCCAAAGTGCTGGGATTACAGGAGTGAGCCACCGCACCCGGCCAGGGCAACATCTTTGAAGGACTACATTCATTTATATGTTTAAGTTACAACATGTGTCTGGAGAATAGTCAAATAAATATTTGCCATGATAATTATTGAATACATACTCTAGGCAGCAGAGCATACCTTTAGAGGTTAAGAGCATTACTCTGGAGCTGGACTGCTTGGGTTCAAGTCCTGGCTGTGCAATTTATTTAGCTGTATAGCCTTGGACAAGTTACTCAACCAGTGGGTACCTCTGTTTCCTCATTTGTAAAATGTAGATTAAACAGTACTTCCCTCCTAAGATCGTTGTGAGATTAATTGAGTCAACCACGTAATATACTTAGAAATAGGGCCTGGTATATAGAAAGTGTTCAGTATAGGTTATTATTGTTATCATCATTACATTTATCATTATTACTATGTTTGAGGTACTGTGTTAGTAATACTAAAGATTTAAAAAAGGGGCTGGGTGCAGTCACACATGCCTTAATCTCAACAGTTTGGCAGGTGGAGACAGGCAGATTGCTTGAGCTCAGGAGTTCAAGACCAGACTGAGCAACATAACAAAACCCCTGTCTCTACAAAAAATGCAAAAATTAGTCAGGCATGGTGGCAAACCTTTAATCCCAACTACTTGGGAGGCTGAGGCAGGAGAATCGCTTGAGCCCAAGAGGCAGAGGCTGCAGTGAGCCTTGATTACGCCACTACACTCCAGCCTGGCGACTCTGTCTCAAAAAAAAAAAAAGTTCCTTCCCTCAGTAAGTTCACAGTCTTATGAAAAATATACACATGTGATTTATCTTATAATACAACTTGATGAGTGCCCTTAGAAAAGTCAACTGTCATTGTGGGGAGGGATCTAGTAGTGGTAACATCTCAGTAGAGTTCTGTAAGTACTGAATGCCCTCCACTCAATTCAAAACAGTGTGTCCCAGGAATATGAATGTCAGTATAGCCAGATACCTGACATTCATGATAGTGATAGCAGCAGAAAGACCTGACTAAAATTTTTTTTTTTTTTTTCTGAGACGGAGTCTCGCTCTGTTGCCAGGCTGGAGTACAGTGGCATCATCTGGGCTCACTGCAACCTGTGCTTCCCCGGTTCAAGCGATTCTCCTGCTTTAGCCTCCCAAGTAGCTGGGACTACAGGTGCCTGCCACCACGCCCAGCTAATTTTTGTATTTGTAGTAGAGACGGGGTTTCACCATGTTGGCCAGGATGGTCTCGATCTCTTGACCTCATGATCTGCCTGCCTTGGTCTCCTAAAGTGCTGGGATTACAGGTGTGAACCACCGCGCCTGGCCCCATTTGTTTTTTAAACAAAGTAATGATATGTGATGTTAATGCCTGTGAAAGTATTTAATGTACCACGCATCGCTCTGAATAGAATCCATTCTGGACAGAGAATTCATAGACTCTATCATTAATATGTCTCTATCTTTTAAAAAAAACCAATTCCACTTTCAAGAACAAAGACATAATGCTGCTCTGATCCTTGAAGTGAATAATCTAGAAGGGCTTGCCACTTTACCAAAATAACTTACAGCTTTACTGTGGATTAAAATTGAATCAAAATTTAAGAAGAGAATTATTTAATAATGACATAATCTACATTTGGGAAGTATATTGTTTCTTTCATTACTGTGTCATTTATTTTACTGTGCAGAAAATATTTTTCCTTTTTTTTTTGAGACGGAGTCTCGCTCTGTCACCCAGGCTGGAGTGCAGTGGTGCGATCTCGGTTCACTGCAAGCTCTGCCTCCCGGGTTCACGCCATTCTCCTGCCTCAGCCTCCCGAGTAGCTGGGACTACAGGTGCCTGCCACCACGCCAGGCTAATTTTTTGTATTTTTAGTAGAGACAGGGTTTCACCATGTTAGCCAGGATGGTCTCCATCTCCTGATGTGATGGAGATGCAGATGTGATCTGCTCGCCTCGGCCTCCCAAAGTGCTGGGATTACAGGCGTGAGCCACCGCACCTGGCCCAGAAAATATTTTTCAATTAAAATATTGGTTTCCTTTTTTTAACTAGAGTTTTTCTCTCTCAGAAGTAGTTATGAAGATGACAATATATATTGCAATCAGCTATTTTGTATGATTCATGAAGAAACACTTCAAAAATAACTTTGTAATAAAGACAGAAAACTGTTTCTTCACGATTGTGATTCATCATAATTATTTTTGAACATTTGGTAAATCTTATTTCTGTGGACTTTTTTTTCTTGAGACTTGGGTCTCACTCTGTTGCCAAGGCTGGAGTGCAGTAGTGCAATCATGGTTCACTACAGCCTTGACCTCCTGGGCTCAAGGGATTCTCCTGCCTCAGCCTCCTGAGTAGCTTGGACCACAGACTTGTACCACCATGCCTGGCTATTTTTTAATTTTTTTGTAGAGATGGGGTCTCGCTATGTTGCCCAGGCTGGTCTCCAACTCTTGGCTTTAAGCCATCCTCCCACTTCAGCCTCCCAAAGTACTGGAATTACAGGCATGAGCCACTGCACCAGACTGTGAACTTTTAAGAACTTTAAAACCCTTTCAGGGCTTATTTCAGGCCCTCCTTTATGAATTCTGCAAAGGCTTCACTTGGTGAAGAAAATGGACTTGAAGTACTAAGTGTAGTATGAAACAATGTGGTTACATATATGTTCCTGCACACTTTTCAGTTTCTCTTCTGAGAAGTTCAAAGAAGTCAAGGGATTATTTGGGGGAATTAAAGTAATTGCAAAGAGAAATAGTGTGGGCCAGCAACCCTTCCAAAATGACATGCTGTGTTCTCTGGGCCCAAGGGGCAAGCAGGAGGTAGGGTGTTTGTTGAAAGAGTTCTCTTTCACAAGAGAAGAAGGTAAGGTTACTATATCAATTCTTTATTTTCTTTTTATGAGACTGAGTTTCACTTTTGTCGCCCAGGCTGGAGTGCAACGGAGTGATCTCAGCTCACTGCAACCTCCGCCTCCCGGGTTCAAGCAATTCTCCTGCCTCAGCCTCCCGAGTAGCTGGGATTACAGGTGCCCGCCACCACACCTGGCTAATTTTTTTTTTTGTATTTTTAGTAGAGATGGGGTTTCACCATGTTGGCCATGCTGGTCTTGAACTCCTGACCTCAGGTGATCTGCCCGCCTTGGCCTCCCAAAGTGCTGGGATTGCAGGCATGAGCCACCCTGCCCGGCCAGTTACTATATCAATTCTTAAGAAGAAATCTGTAGTGGAGCCCCAGATGTGTTTTCTTCTGAAAGAGAAACAGAATATGGCAATGGTAATTGGGGCCATGTACTATATTTGGCATTTGTTCCAGGTCTACTTAGTTAAACTGAATTTTCTGCTTAAAGTTTGGAATTACTATTTTGGAAGATGCCACTCTAAGTTGTACAGAGCAAGTACACAGCTGTCATCTTTATTTCCCCTCAACAGCTATTAACAGTTTATCCTAAAGTGATGGATTTTATTCTGCTACGTGAATCATGAGTAGTGTAATCATAAAGCGTATTAATATTGTGAGGAAACTCTGCATTCTGAGTATGTACATGATTAACACCGTTTCTGGACATGAATAATGATGCCTAGGGTTTCTGACCTCACCCAGAACTTCCTAAAGTTTCAGAAAATGAAATTTTCAGCAACTACAACTACTATAATTTCTGTTGTCCTTCTAATATCAAGACTTAAAAAAAAATCCAAGCATGCACTTTCAGTCATGATTGCTACTTTAGGGGTGCCTGGGTCCTTTTCGTGTTGAAATGCCCCACTTTTAGGCCAGACGCGGTGGCTCATGCCTGTAATCCCAACACTTTGGGAGGCCGAGGCGGGTGGATCACGAGTTGAGGAGATCGAGACCATCCTGGCTAACACGGTGAAACCCCGTCTCTACTAAAAATATATAAAAAAATTAGCCGGGCATGGTGGCAGTTGCCTGTAGTTCCAGCTACTCAGGAGGCCGAGGCAGGTGAATGCCGTGAACCCGGGAGGCAGAAGTTGCAGTGAGCTGAAATCGCGCCACTGCACTCCACCCTCAGCGACAGAGCAAGACTCCATCTCAAAAAAAAAAAAAAAAAAAGAAATGCCCCACCTAATTCTCTCTAGGCAATGCTCCCACTTCCCAATCACTATTCCTCCTCTATGGTCCCTCAGACGTAAAATATCCAAGTGTGGGTATTTGTTCCCTCAAGGCCACAACTCAATCTTTTTAAGCAAAAGAAGTTCCTCTAGAAAGTTCATGAATCATCACTTGAAAGTAAAATGTTATGCATTCGGAGTGGGGGTATTCAAAGGATTCTTTCAATTCTCGAAGAGATCAGTATCCTCCCCCCCAAAAAAATTAAGAAATATGGTACTAAGGTCTAATGCAATGAGGTTGATGTAGTTTCATTTGAAGATTATTTGTAGTTTAGCAGAGAGCTCCTGGAAAGAATGCCTTAACCTAAAGAAAGAATTCTACAATAAAGGAAAAGTAGGCTCCAGTGGTGGGGAACGTATTATTTGGGAGAGGATTTTGGAGTACTTCACCACATTGTATGGGCAACTAATTATTTTTTCTTGCTCTGTCTCTTTAATACTGATGACAAAGGGATATCTGTCTTTTATTTCGCCCTGTAGTTATGGTCCTAACATATACTAGGATATAATACATTTTAAAATGTTAACACAAGTGCCAAAATGGGGTGGGGAAGCATTAAGTCCACTTAACTTTAGCAAGCACTTACTGAGCACCTACTATGTATAAAGCACAGTGCTAGGTGATATAGGATAGAAAGGCAAATAAAATTCTATAAGGTCTGAACCTTCCAGAACCTGACAATCCCTAGGAGGGGGATAGATAGGTGATATAGGATAGAAAGACAAATAAAATTCTATAAGGTCTGAACTTTCCAGAACCTGACAATCCCTAGGAGGGGTATAGATAGACACACACACACACACACACACACACACACACACACACACACACATACACGACAGTACACACACATATATATATATATATAAATAATATTAATGTAAGACAGACTATGAGATATGCTATTGCATAATATGGGAGAAGGCATTGATGCTAACTAGAGAGCACCTAGGAAGCTTTAACTAAAAGTAGAAACAAGGCTACCAACCCTCAAATCCCTGGACCCTTCCCCTTCTCTGAACAACTATCTTCAACAGATTCAGAGATTAGGTCCACTGAACTTTAATTTTTTCTCTTTTTTCTTTATTATGAAATATTTCAGACCTGCAAATGGTATATAAAAACCATTATAAATACCCATGTGCATAAATACCCATAACTTAAGCAAGAAAATGTTACAGATATGTTCTCATTGTTCAATTGCCACCTATGAGTGAGAATATGCATTGGGAGATATACCTAATGCTAGATGATGAGTTAGTGGGTGCAGCGCACCAGCATGTCACATGTATACATATGTAACTAACCTGCACATTGTGCACATGTACCCTAAAACTTAAAGTATAATAATAAAAAAAAAGAAAGAAAATGTTACAGATATAGTTGAAGTACCCACACAACTAGAATTATTTTACTAACATCCTCTGCTTTTATTTAAAAAAAAAGTTTTTTTTTTTTTGAGACGGAGTCTTGCTCTGTCACCCAGGCTGGAGTGCAGTGGCGCGATCTCGGCTCACTGCAACCTCCATCTCCCAGGTTCAAGCAATTCTCCTGCCTCAGCCTCCCAAGTAGCTGGGATTACTGCTTGCCACCACACTCAGCTAATTTTTGTATTTTTAGTAGAGACGGGGTTTCACCATGTTGTACAGGCTGGTCTCAAACTCCTGATCTCAAGTGACCCACCTGTCTCGGCCTCCCAAAGTGCTGGGATTACAGGTGTGAGCTGCTGTGCCCCGCCATCCTCTGCTTTTACTAGCAGCTTTGAAAGATGACCCTCAATGAACCCTGTCTTCTGGTATTCATGCCCTTGTGTCATCCCCCTCCCCCGACTGTGGCTGGACTTAGCGACTTGCTTCTAATGAATAAAATATGACAAAAGTTGTGGGATGTCAGTTCTGTAATTAGGTTGCAAAAGACTTTGACTTCCATCCTGCCAGCACTCTCACTCGTTCATTCTGATGAAGCCTGCTGCCACGTTGTGAGATGCTCTATGGGGTGGCCCACATGGCAAGGAATCAAGGGAAGCCTCTAGCCAACACCTTGTGAAGAACTGAGTCCTTCGTCCAACAGCCCACAAAGAGCCAAATCCTGACAACAACCATGTGAGTGAACTTGGAAGCAGATCCTCCTGGTTAAGTCTTCAGGTAAGACTGAACCCCTGGCTGACACCTTGATTGCAGCCTTGGAAGAAACCCTGAAACAAAAGACTCAGCGAAGCCATGTCTGGATTATGTTTTGAGCTCCTGAATTTTGGGGTAATTTGTTAATTTGTTATGCAATATGAACTAATATACCTTCCAAGAAGTAACCACTGTCCTAAATGTGCTGTTTATCATTCTCATACGTGTGTGTGTGTGTGTATATATATATATATATTTGTATGATCATTCCCATGCATGTGTATATATATAAATTGATTAAATGTTTTTATTCCAGTCTGCCATGGAAGAAGCATATATAAGTTGTATTAAATGTTTTAAAAATCCATATAAGTGCCATTACAATATTTGTATCCCTCTGGAACTAGCTTTTCCCTTATTCATTTTTCTACTGCCACCACTCAATCTTTGCTCTTCCAAGAGGTCTTTCTCTCACAGCCCCTGTGACTTCTAGTCTCCTCCCCAGCCCAGCCTTTGGTGTTCTATTCAGTTTATGTGCAACAGTCCCAAGCCATTGAATTAAGCCTGGTCATACCTTAAACGAAGCTCAGCTTCTTCCCATATTGCTCTCTAAACCAAAATCTGGGCCTAGGCTCTTTAATATTACATGGGCTTCTAGGCTTATCTGGATCATCACTTTGGTTTTCTTTGATAATGCTGCTTTCCATAGCAGTGTGCATGTTAAAGTTTAAGTGTACAGGAATTACTTGTGGATCTTGTTAAAGTGCGATTGTGATTCACTAGGTGTGCAGAGGGCCTGAGACTCTGCATTTCCAAAACACTTTCAGGTGTTGCTGATGCTGCTGATACGTGGACCACATATTTAGTAGCAAGGTTCTAGAAGATAGACATCCATCTCTGTCTTTGCAGAAATTGTTTTAACTTGGTATTTTAATTTATATAGTTCAGCAATAAAGGAACTTAACATAAGCTTACCCAATGATTGAATGTGATAGCTTTCAAAGAAGGGAAGGTAGGCCAAAACAAAAACAAATAATGTAAGGAAACATTTTACTCAGTGTTATTTACCTAAAGCAAGTGAAAAGAAGAGAAAAATTAGAGTGAAAATTAACAGACTAGATAATAGAAAAACAATAGAGAAAAATCACTGAAACTAAAAGCTGCTTCTTGGAAAAAAATTAACAAAATTGTCAAACCTTTAGCTACATTGACCAAGAAGAAAAGAGAGAAGACTCAAATTACTGTTACCAAAACACCCGAGGTTTGGTCTAGATCCTGCTGCTCCTGGCACAGAAAGCCAGTCACTGAGACAATGAGTATTGCCAAGGAAGAAGGCTTTAATGGAGTGGGGGTGAGGGGTGCTGCAGTTGAGGAGTTGGGAGATGAGTCTCAATTCCATCTTCCTGGCTGACTAATATTAGGGGTTTATTTAGTGGGGAAGAAATGTAACTGTGTGGGAAATCAGGAACTAGGGAGGGGTAAGGAAGCAATCATGAGGAATGAGGGGTCTGGCACTTCATTGTCTGGATATGGTGATCTGTTGAGTTTCAGTTCTTCGATACTTTTTGAGAGGCCTGGGGATCTTTTCCTGAGGAAGGAACGCAAATGAAACAAATGGAAGTTTCAAGCTTTAAGAACAGAAGGGTCAATTTCTATGTTTATCCACAAAAACTGTCTCTGGGACTATTGGGTTGGTTTCATTGATAGAATTAGAAATTAAAGAGGGAACATTACTACTGACTTTACAGAAATAAAATGGATTATAAAGAAATACTATTAACAACTGGACATCAATAATTAGATAAAATGAAAAAATTCCTAGAAAGATGAAAACTACTGAAACTGACTCAAGAAGAAAAAACTAATATCAATATACCTATCGCAAGTGAACAGATTGAATTAGTAATTTTAAAAAACTACCCACAAAGAAAACTCTAGGCCCAGATAGTTCAACACTGAGTTCTAACAAACATTTAAAGAAGAGTTAATTTAGCCTGGCGCAGTGGCTCACACCTGTAATCCCAGCACTTTGGGAAGCCAAGGCAGGCGAATCACGAGGTCAGGAGTTTGAGACCAGCCAGGCCAACATGATGAAACCCCGTCTCTACTAAAAATACAAAAACTTGGCCAGGCGCAGTGGCTCACGCCAGTAATCCCAGCACTTCGGGAGGCCGAGGCGGGCGATCATGAAGTCAGGAGATCAATATCATCCTGGCTAACACGGTGAAACCCCATCTCTACTAAAAATATAAAAAAAAATTAGCTGGGCGTGGTAGCGGGCGCCTATAGTCACAGACACTCAGGAGGCTGAGGCCAGAGAATGGTGTCAACCTGGGAAGTGGAGCTTGCAGTGAGCCGAGATGGCACCACTGCACTCTAGTCTGGGCGACACAGTGAGACTCCATCTCAAAAATATAAATAAATAAAATAAAATAAAATAAAATAAAAATTAGCTGGGCATGGTGGCAGGCTCCTGTAAGCCTGTAATCCCAGCTAGTCGGGAGGCTGAGGCAGGAGAATCGCTTGAACCCGGGAGGCAGAGGTTGCAGTGAGCCGAGATCCTGCCACTGCACTGCAGCCCGGGAGACAGTGCTAGACTCCCTCTCAAAAAAAAAAAAGTTAATTTAACACCAGTTCATCACAAAGTATCCCAAAATAGACGATGATGGAACTCTTCCCAACTCATTCTGTGAGACCAATATTACCTTGATACCAAAATCAGATAAAGATATCACAGGAAAAGAATACTAAAGATCAGTAACTTTTATGAATATGGATGCAAAAATCCAAAACAAAATACTAGAAAGCTGAAACCAACAACGCAAAGAAAACAATGCAGTATGAAAAGTGGGATTTGGCTGGGCACAATGGCTCACGCCTGTAATCTCAGCACTGTGGGCGGCTGAGGCGGGCAGATCACCTGAGGTCAGGAGTTCGAGACCAGCCTGTCCAACATGGTGAAATGTACTAAAAATACAAAATGTACTATAAATACAAAAATTAGCTGGTCGTGTTGGCGCGCACCTGTAGTCCCAGCTACTTGGGAGGCTGAGGCAGGAGAAGCACTTGAACCTGGGAGGCAGAGGTTGCAGTAAGCTGAGATCACATCACTGCCCTCCAGTCTAGGTAGCAGAGTGAGACTCTGTCTCAAAAAAAAAAAAAAAGAAGAAAGAAAGAAAAGTGGGATTTATCCTCGGAATATAAAGTTGGTTTAACATCTGAAAATCAATATACCATAGCAATTGAATAAAAACTAAAATTCACATGATCACCTCAATAGATGCAGAAAAAGCATTTGACAGGCTGGGTGCGGTGGCTCACACGTGTAATCCCAGCACTTTGGGAGGCCAAGGCAGGTGGATCACTTGAGGTCAGGAGTTTGAGACCAGCCTGATGAACATAGTGAAACCCTGTCTCTACTAAAAAATACAAAAATTAGCCAGGCGTGGTGGTGGGCGCCTGTAATCCAAGCTACTCAGGAGGCTGAGGCAGGAGAATTGCTCGAACCCGGGAGGCGGAGGCTGCAGTGAGCCTGCCACTGCAGCACTCCAGCCTGGGTGACAGAGTGAAACTCCATAAAAAAAAAATAGCATTTGACAAAATCCAATACCCAATTCTCTTTCATGATAACAATATTCAACAAACTAGCAACAGTAGGGAACTCCCTCAACTTGATAAAGGGCAACTAGGAAAAATCACAGCTGACACTATACTTAATGATGAAAGAATGAATGACTTACTCTTAAGATTAGGAACAAAACAAGGATGTCAGCATCTCAACATTGTATTGGGAGTTCTATTCAGGGCAATTAGGCAAGAAAAAGAAATACAAGCCACCTAGACTGGAAAAGAAAAAAGTAAAAGTATCTGTGTTTGCAGATAACACGATCTTGTATGTAGAAAATCCCAAGGAATCCACAAAAAAAAAGGTCAATCAAGGTTGCAGGATATAAGATCAATATATAAAAATCAACTGTTTATCTATATACTTGCAATAAACAATAAAAAATGAGATTAAGGAAAACAATTCCATTTACAATATCATCAAAAAGAATAAAATACTTAGGAATAAATTTAAGAAAAGGAGTACGAAAATTATGCTGTGAAAACTACAAGGCAATGTTGAAAGAAATTAAAGAAGGTATAAATAAATGGAAACACATTCTATGTTCATAGGTCAGGAGACTTAATATTGTTAAAATGGTAATACTTCCCAAAGTAATCAACATATTCAATGCAATCTTTATAAGATCCCAGCTAGTTTTTCTTTAGAAATTGGCAAGATGGCTGGGTGCAGTGGCTAACACCTGTAATCCCAGAACTTTGGGAGGCTGAGGCGGGTAGATCAGAAGGTCAAGAGATTGAGACCATCCTGGCCAACATGGTGAAAGCCCGTCTCTACTAAAAATACAAAAATTAGCTGGGCGTGGCGTTGTGTGCCTGTAATCGCAGCTACTCGGGAGGCTGAGGCAGGAGAATCGCTTGAACCTGGGAGGCGGAGGTTGCAGTGAGCCAAGTTTGCACCACTGCACTCCAGCCTGGTGACAGAGCGAGACTCCGTCAAAAAAAAAAAAAAAAGAAGAAGAAGAAAGAAAGAATGAATTTGGCAAGCTGATTCCAAAATTCATATGGAATTGCAAGTGACCCAGAATACTTAAAACAATCTGGAAAAAGAAGAACAAAGTAGAAGGACTCACATTTCCTGATTTCAAATTTTACAACAAACGGTAATCAAGACAGTGCAGTAGTGGTATAAGGATATATGGCATAGAATTGAAAGTCCAGAAATAAAACCATGTGTCTATGGTCAACTGATTTTGACAAGAGTGTCAAGACCATTCAATGAGAAAAGAATAGTGTTTTCAACAAATAGTGCTGGGACAACTGCATAGCCACACAGAAAAGAATGACGTTGGATCATGCCCCACACTATATATAAAAATGAACTCAAATGGATCAAAAACCTAAATATGGCCGGGTGCGGTGGCTCATGCCTGTAATCCCAGCACTTTGGGAGGCCAAGAAGGGTGAATCACCTGAGGTCAAGAGTTTGAGACCAGCCTGGCCAACATGGTGAAACCCCGTCTCTACTAAAATTACAAAAATTAGCCGGGTATGGTGGTGGGCGCCTGTAATTCCAGCTACCCAGGAGGCTGAGGCAGGAGAATCGCTTGAACCCGGGAGGTGCAGGTTGCAGTGAGCCGAGACGTTTTCATTGCACTCTAGCCTGGGCAACAAAGAGCAAAACTCCGTAAAAAACAAACAAACAACAACAAAAAAACCCCATAAGATTAAATGTTCATGACCTCAGCTTTGGCAAGGAATTGTTATTTATGATACCAAAAGGACAAGCAACAAAATAAAAAATAGATAAATTTGATCTCTTCAAAATGTAAAACAAGGACACCATCATGAAAGTGAAAAGTCAACCCACAGAATGGGGGAAATATTTTCAGTTCATTAATAAGGGAGTGGTATCTAGACTATATAAAAACCCAATAATAAAAAGAAAAACCAATTAAAAATGGGCAAAGGATCTGAATAGACATTTCTTTGGGGAAGAAGTACAAATGGACAATAAACACATGAAAAGTTGCTCAACATCATCAGGGAGATGCAAGGCAAAATTACAATGAGACACCACTTCATACCCATGAGGATGACTATAATTAAAAAGTCAGATAACAAGTATGGGCAAGGATGTGGAGAAATTAGAATCGTCCTACATTGCTGACAGGAAGGTTAAATGATGCAGCCACTTTGGAAGACAGTCTGGCAGTTCGTGAAAAGTTTAAACAGAAAGTTGTCATATGAACCAGCAATTCCCCTTCTAGGTATATACCCAAGAGTAAGGAAAATATATGTCCACACAAAAACTTATACAGAAATTGTACAGGAGTGTTTATAGCAGCATCCTTCATAATAACCAAAAGGTGAAAACAACACAAATGTCCATCAACTGATGAATGAATAGACACAATGTGGTATCTCCATACAGTGGTATATTATTTGGCCATAAAAAGAATGAAGTACTTACTGATACATGCTACGACATGGATAAACCTTGAAAACATTACATGGAGTAAAAGAACCCAGATACAAAAACCACATATTGTATGATTCCATTAATTTGAAAGTCCAGAATAGGGAAATCTAAACAGACAGAAAGTAGATTGTTGCTCAGGGCTGAAGGGAATAGGGAATAAAACAGCGATAGCCAAAGGGCATGGGATTTCCTTTTGAGGTGATGAAAATGTTCCAAAATTGGTAATGGTTGCAGTATCTGTGAATATACTAAAACCACTGAATTCTACATTTTAAGTGGGTGAATTGTATGGTATGTGAGTTATAGCACAATAAAGCTGTTAAAAAAAATAACCTGGGACATTCATAGGGCTCACCTTGTTTATTTCCCATCTTCCTGGGATCACCATCCTTAGTTACCTACTATTAATATCTAGTGACTTGAAAACTTGCTTCATGTTGTCTGTCTTTATTTGATTTTATTTGGTTGTTTCATTCAGGAGGGTAACTACAAACCCTGTTGCTCCATCTTAGCCAGAAGTGGAAGTCTCCCTATTTCTTAACTGGAGAAACTGAGTCAGCTAACTGGCTTGCCAAAGTTCACATCAGTCAGGACTATAACCAATATTTCCTGACTTCTAATCTGCAGTTGAGACAGAATTGTTTCTTGGCTAACTTCCAGGACAACTTGATAGCAGAAAGTCGATTAATCCGGCATAGAAAAAGGAAATATGTGTGACTTGACAATCCCTGGAAGGTTCAGATCAGTTATCTGCCTTCCCCTCAATCAAGCAAGTATTTGCCACATACCTATGCACAATGTCTTTTGGGAGACACTGCCGGGAATAGAGAAGTCAGTGCTAGCATCTCTGGCAACAGGGGGATCACCATCTATTTGGGAGAAAAAGCTACACATGAAACATCTCTGTGACTCAAATGACTCAACCATGTTTACCTATAATATAATGACTTACTCAACTATGCAGTCAAGAGAGTCAGGAAAGGTCACAGTGTGTGGCCTTTTCTCAAGAAAGGCTTCCCAGAGGAGGAGGGACTTGGGCTTCAAAAGATAGGCAGCATACTCTGTCTGGGTAGGGCAGTAAAGGCAGGACATTGTCTCCACAGGACTTATGTCAAAATGCACGAGGCCTCAGAGGGTTCTTGGCTGTAAAAAACAAACAAACAAAAAAAAAAAAAACTTGAGCCTTGTGGTAAGGAGGAAGGAAGGGGATATTGTCCTGTCCAGAGGACAGACCTAGAGGACAGTCCTAGAAGATTTAATGGAAGTTCTATGGTGAGGAGGATGACGAATAAGGCATCTTTATGCCTACCGCAAAATCAAATCCTCCTAGGTAGACAGTTTTCATTGAAAGCAAAAAGTGTCTTCCCAGGTCATGAAGAGCAGGGCTGTCCACTCGAAGCTGCAGGACAAACACTCTAGACTCTACTCATTCAATCATGCAGTGAACATGTATTGAGCATCTACTATACGCCTGAAGTTGTGTTAGGGGCTGGGGACTCACAGTTGCCTAAGACTTGTGGCTTGCCCCAGTTTAGTCTAGATGAGAAGACAGACATTTGGATGATGATGACAATTTTCCTTAGGGAAAGGTGCTCTCTTTCCCCACCCTACTCCCTCTGTCAGTCAACAGAAGTGGCCAAGTCCTTTCCATTTGCAGACCAACATCAGGGTCAGGGTGGGACAGAGGGAGAGACCTAAAGCCACAACAACCCACAGAGGTTTCCACTTAATGTTGGGATAACAGGCAACACCCCTGGAAGACCAGCCCAAAGATCTACTTTACAGCCTGTCTCAAAACTCAGGGCCTCCAGGCAGCCTACTTTTCTATATCTGCCCCCTACCACCCTCACCAGAGGCCATCCTGAATGACAGTGATATGTGTGGATATGGTTTAGCTCCCCTAAGAAAGGCCCTTTAGGGGGAACGCCCAGGCCTGCCTCAAGTTTGTAACACCCACGGAGCCTGCCACAGGGCTCTGCACCAGGTCAGTGTTTGGTAAATGCTTGCTGAATGACTCAAAGGGCTTTGGAATCACTATCACCATGAATGGTGTTTCTCTTCTACCTGCCTAGGGCTTGACTGTCTACAAAGGGCCTTGCTATCCCCTCTTCCTTTTTCTTAGGATCATTTCCCTGGCCTCACTTGAGGTTTCTGCTCTTCCGGCCTAGTGTGATTCTGCTGTGAGGCTGGGGACAATGAGGGATCTCACCCCTCAGGGGAGACCCTGCGCCCGCCCCCCACATACAGGGAGTGACTTGGTCCCTTGCTGGCCTCCTAGTCTACTGTGTCACAGCCAAAGCAGGCTGTGGGCACTCTCCAAAGAGAAACACCAGTGCAGGAGTGCCATCTCCCTCCAGGTGGGGTAGGGCCCCTGGTCCTCAAGCCCAGTGCTTCCTGCTGCTCCTGGAAGCCACGGGAGGGGTGGGGGACAGTGTGGAATGCTGGTCTCTCTTGGGATTTGACCTTCACTCCCACATCCCATGGGGGTCACTGCACAGGCTCTGTGACCTTGAGCTCAGCCCCTGGGAGTGGAGTTGCCTGTCAGGGCTCCATCCTTCCTGTTGAGCAGGAACTGCAGCCCCACTGGGCCCTGATTCTGGGCAAGTCTGCACCACCACAGGCTCCTTTTCACTTACAGGCTAACCTAGCTTGTGGGATTCGAAGAAAGATTATTATCATTAATACCCTCTGTGTGTGCAGGGCCTTGCCATTCACAGCAACACTTCTTCATCATCTTATTGATGTCTCAGGATAGGCATATCAGTTGGGTTTTTCATAAACTGTAATTTCATCTCCTTCCTCAGTCATTTTTTCCCTTCCTACTGGTTTTCTAACTCAGTGAGTGGCCCTCCCCCTCCAAAAGTATATTAGCAGTACAAGTGTCTCAGAAAAAAACAAACATACCCATGTATCTTGGTTGACACTTTGAGTCTGATAACACCATGCTCAGCAATTACAGGGCAGGGACACACTCCCTGGTGAGCAAACAGTAGAGTTCAGGGAAAATCGCTATCAAGTATAAGTGTATTATGAGGTCAGAGACCAATTTACCAAATAGATTGATGACAGAGTTGCTATTCACAGTTTGAAAGTGCAGTTATTTTAAAAGACATTCATAAAGTTATTGAATTTGAGTGAGTATGCACTTGTGTATTCTATTCCCCTGGGTTTTCTGATACAAGTTTATAAAAAGAAAGTGACTAGTTACATCCCACAGCTAATTAGTGGTCTGGGCTAGGACGCAAGCCCATTTTTCTTTCCTGAGCCTTGGCCTGTTTATATGAGCCTCCCTGGAATGGAAGCGTTTGCTTACAGGCTGCCCATTAAATGCTAAAAGTAAAATAGAAGATAAAAGAGTGACTTGAAGCTCAAGTATTCCAAAACATAGTACACTGATGACCAGTTCAACATTTAGATAAAGTACTATAGCTCTGAAATGAATATTTGCTTCATAGCAGTCAATGGGGAAATGGGACTTGAATTCCTTGAAGTGGCTTTACATACAAAGATCTAGCAACCCATCTAACAGCATCTTCTGAAGAAGTGAACAAAAGATGTCAAGGTGGAAAGCCAGGGTCCTGACCAAATTCTTTAGGCTGTGAGACCTCGTACAAATCACTTAGCCTAGGATCCTCAACTTCCATTGATGTTAATATCTAAGTTACTACCAAAGAGAATCAATTGAGGTCATCCAGTCAGTCTCCACATCTGCTCTGTCTTATCCCTAAATTCCTCTTTTCTCCATCCTCTGTTCTCTCCTTAGCTGAGTCCTCTTCATTTTGCTCTCTACACTGTAGCCAAAGAGATCTTTTGAAAAGGCAAACCCAGTTACGTAGCTCATCTGCTCAAAACCCTTCAATAGGTCTCTGTTATTATCATAATAAAAATCCCAATTCCTTACCCTGGTCTACAAGGCCTTTCATGATCTGGCACCTGCTGGTTTCTCTGGACTCATCCCACACTACTACTCCCTCTTAAATCCTAGGCTCTAGCCATAATTAACAGCTGTTCCTGAGTAAGCCAGCTTCTCTCACCTCCAGCCTTTGCACTAGCTTCTTCTTGTTCCCAGAACACTCAGTGCCTTCCAGCTCCCACTCCCCCTTTTCTTCTTCTAACCCTGTAATATTCTGTATCTATATTACCCACCTGGGAAACCCTCCCCCAGTCTGAACTGCTCTTCCTCTGTGTCTCCCCCGTCACACCCCCGCAGCACCCTATGCTTCTGTCTTCTTAACACTCCTCAGCCTGATTAAACGGCCTTTTTTTCCTTGTTGATTTCTCCCACTCACTTCTGCAGGACTGTGTCTTACTCATCATTATGTCCCCAGTGGAGCTCGTTGAATGAATGATGCATGTTTAAATGCTTTGTAAACTGCAACTTGCTACACAAGTGTTAAGTATTATGTAACGTTATTGTGTTCAGATTGCTTGCTTAGTTATTGTTGGCATACTCACCCATTTGATAATAAAGAATATAATATTTCAAGCACATTATTTTGGCTCCTTCTTAAGCCCAATAGTAATAAAGGCTACCACTTATTGAGCACTTAACCTGGTCTAGGCTCTGCAGTAAGATTTTACATGTACAATCTCATTTACTTATCATTATAGCAATCTTATAAGCAAGGTTCTATTATGAGCGTCATCCCTATTTTTCAGATGAAAACACAGCTTGCCCAATGTTACACAGCCAGATTTTGAATCCAGATTTTTCAAGTTCAAGATCCATGCCCTGCCAAAGTCTTCATATAAGAGAACTATCAACAGAGTGAAAAGACAACTCACAGAATGGGAGAAAATATTTGCAAATCACATAGCCAGTAAGGGATCAATATCCAGAATATATAGAGAACTCCTAAAACTCAGCAGCAATTGTTTTCTTTTTATTTATTTATTTATTTTTTATTTTGAGACGGAGTCTCGCTCTGTCGCCCAGGCTGGAGTGCAGTGACGTGATCTTGGCTCACTGCAAGCTCTGCCTCCCGGGTTCACGCCATTCTCCTGCCTCAGCCTCTTGAGTAGCTGGGACTACAGGTGCCCACCACCACACCCGGCTAATTTTTTGTATTTTTAGTAGAGACGGGGTTTCACCGTGTTAGCCAGGATGGTCTTGATCTCCTGACCTCGTGATCTGCCTGCCTCGGCCTCCCAAAACACTGGGATTACAGGCGTGAGCCACCGCGCCCGGCCAGCAATTGTTTTCTTAAAAAAACAAACTGATTAAAAAATGGGAAAAGGCTTGAATAGTCCTTTCTCCAAAGATGATATGAAAATGGCAAAAAAGCACATGAAAAGATGTTTAACATCACTAATCATTAGGGAGATGCAAATCAAAACCACAATGAGATATTACTCACACTCATTATGATGGCTACTATTAAAAAAAAACAAAACAGAAAACAAAAAGAATTGGCCAGCATATGGAGAAATTGGAACCCTTACGCATTGCTGGTGGGAATGCAGAATAGTGCAGCCTCTGTAGAAAGCAGTGTGTTGGTTCCTCAAAAAATAAAAAGTAAAAAAAATAGAAGGACAGTGTGAACCAGCAATTCCATTGCTGGGTATATACCCAAAAGAATTAAAATCAGGGTCTCAAAGACATATTTGTATACCCATGTTCATAGCAGCAGTATTCACAATAACCAGAAAGCAGAAGTAACCTGTGTCCATCAACAGACGAATTAATAAACAAATGTGAGATTTACGTGCAATGGAATATTATTCAGCCTTAAAAAGGAAGGAAATTCTTGCGGCCGGGTGACACGGTTCATGCCTGTAATCCTAGCACTTTGGGAGGCCAAGGCAGGCAGATTGGCTGAGCTCAGGAGTTCGAGACTAGTCTGGGCAACACGGTGAAACTCCGTCTCTACTAAAAAATACAAAAAATAAGCCAGGCATGGCAGTGTGCACCTGTAAACCCAGCTACTCGGGAGGCTAAGGCAGGAGAATGGCTTAAACCCAGGAAGCGAAAGTTGCAGTGAACTGAGGTTGCGCCATTGCACTCCAGACTGGGCGATAGAGCGAGACTCCGTCTCCAAAATAAAAAGGAAGGAAATTCTCATATGCTACAACATGGATGAACCTTGAGGACATTATGCTAAGTGAAATAAGCCAGTTGGAAAAAGACACATATTGTATGAATCTTCTTCTTTGAGCTGCTTAGAGTAGTCCAATTGATAGAGACAGAAAGTAGAATGGTGACTTACCAGGGGATTGGCAGAAAACAGAATGGGGAATTAATGTTGAACGGGTATAGAATTTTGGTTTTACAAGATGAAAAAAGTTCTGGAGATGGATGAATGATGACGATGGTTGCACAACAATGTGAATGTATTTAATGCCACTGATCATGCACTTAAAAGTGGTTAAATGATAAATTTTATGTTATGTATATTTTACTACAATTTAATAAAAAGATCCAAGCCCTGATTCTAACCATTTCTCAGTCCTGCCAAAGCCTTCAGATAATTTGCTCCTGATGAATGTTTGCTGCTTTCCCTCCAGATAACCTGCCTTTTGTTTCTTTTTCCTCCCATGACCAGACTGCTCTGTCTGGTCCTCTAGAGCCTCCACATTGGTGAGTGTCTCTGAAGAGGGCAGGGCCCAGGCTCAAGCCTCCTGCCCACTCTCCTCTTGGGAAGAAAATGCTTACTCTGAGAGCAGCCAGCGCAAATTTTACTCATAACAATTAACAGATGGCTGTGCATCCCTTCTGTTCCCAGGAATCACATCTCACATCGGGACTAACTGCACTGTGCATTTTCCATCACTGGTAACTAATTCCAACAGTGACGCTGGGCATTGTTATTCATCGGTGAAGAACAGACATAAAGAGAGAGGGGAAGTGGCTTGGGCTGAGTCACATAGCAAAGTTAGAACTCCAACCTCCCAGCAACTAACCTTGCCCTGGGCTCTGTCCCACACACCTGGCAGCTCAAGACTTGCTCCTTTTTGCACTCTGGGCGACAGACTCCCTGGCTAACCAAGCGCGTCTAACTTGTCTTGCAGAGAAATTAAGCGAAATCTTCCTTGGGATAGTATCTTGCCATCTTTCTTTTCTTAGTGGTTGACAGGCCAGTATCTCCACTACTGCTGAATGACCTTGTGCACATCATTGAAAGTCTCTGGACTCTCAGTTTACCCTTCAGTAAAATGTAGGGAAGAATTATTAATGCCACTACCAGGGGAACTGAGGATGAGGTAGGGAGGGAAGAATCGGGGTAAACTCCTCCAGTGTATTCTGCATCATCCTTTACATGGGTGAACATCAAATTTAACTGAGCATCACAATCACATGCGTAGCCTTTAAGAATACAAATTCCTGGCTGGGCGCGGTGGCTCACGCCTGTAATCCCAGCACTTTGGGAGGCTGAGGCGGATGGATCACCTGAGGTCAGGAGTTTGAGACCAGCCTGGCCAACATGGCAAAACCTCGTCTCTACTAAAAATACAAAAATTAGCCGGGTGTGGTGGTGCATGCCTGTAATCCCAGCTACTCGGGAGGCTGAGGCAGGAGAATCGCTTGAACCTGGGACACAGAGGTTGCAGTGAGCTGAGATCCTGTCACTGCACTTGACCAGTCCAGCTTACTTGGAATTCTCTTTTTCCTGGGCCACCTATCCCCCAATATAAAGGAAGTCCCCTGGTATTGAGCCGCAGGATGGTCTCACTTCTCTATTTAAATCCTCTCCAACCTAGCTTAAAAGCACCTTTTCCATGAGACTGCATTGCAGTCTGTCCCCTTTGAGGGCTTCCGTGGACACACTGTTCCCTTAATTTTGGCACTTCTTACAGACTGCCTGTTATTTTTTAAATCTTTGTCTCTTGTTTCCTCAGTTAGCTACTAGAGGATAAGGACTGTGTCACATCCTATTATTGCCCTACAAATGCCAACTCCATTAGCACATAGTATATGCTCGATAAATATTTGCTGAACTGATGAAAATCTTGTAGGTGGGAAATCTGAAATAATTTCTTACAATAAGTAATAAGAAGGAGATACGGGAGTTCGAAACCAGCCTGACCAGCATGGAGAAATCTTGTCTCTACTAAAATAATACAAAATCAGCTGGGCGCGGTGGCACATGCTTGTAATCCCAGCTACTCAGGAGGCTGAGGCAGGAGAATCACTTGAATCCAGTAGGCGCAGTTTGCAGTGAGCCAAGATCACGACATTGCACTCCAGCCTGAGCAACAGGAGCGAAACTCTGTCTCAAAAAAAAAAAAAAAGAAGGAGATGTTCTGTGCTCTTTAGCTTTCTGATCATATGAAAAAAAAAATTTTATAAACAAAGAGATATGAGCCCTAGCTTCCAATTTGGCTGTATCAAATTCATTATGACCTGTGGCAAGTCACTTGCCTTCTCTAGTGTTCAGTGGCCTCATTTGTGAAACCAGAGCTGATGTGTAAGCTAACTTTCCTTCCTTCCTTCCTTCCTTTTCTTTCCTTTTTTTTTTTTTTTTTTTTTTTTTGAAACAGAGTCTTGCTTTGTCGCCCAGGCTGGAGTGCAATGGTGCGATCTTGGCTCACTGTAACCTCCACTTCCTGGGTTCAAGCAATTCTCCTGCCTGAGACTCCTCAGTAGCTGGGATTACAGGCACGCGCCACCACTCCCGCTAATTTATTTTTTTAATTCTTAGTAGAGATGGGGGTTCACCATGTTGGTCAGGTTGGTCCTGAACTCCTGGCCTCAAGTGATCCACCCACCTCGGCCTCCCAAAGTTCTGGGATTACAGGCGTGAGCCACCATGCCCGGCTAAACTTTCTTTTAGTTGTGGGTTTTGGCTACTCTGTATAGCAAGGAGCGGTCTTGCTTTCCATATCAATACCATTAATGTCCATGGTTCCTTTTTTTCCCCCTGTAAGGACTGCAGATTTATGGGTCACCCCAGTTTATAAAATGAGAATATCAGATACAGAACAAATGTGTGCTTTGGCCAAGCTTCCAGGCATAGAGTGTGTGCATGTGTATGTGTGTGCGGGGTTGCTTACACCTTACTACAGGTCTCTGGCTTCGAATGGACTCTTTCGTCCCAGAGTTGCTCAGCAGGCCTTTCCAAGTACAGGACTGTCAACCATTTGTTGTTTGTGTGCCCAGTCTCTGCTTTGTGAATGACCACAGTGCATGGCATTCCAACTGTTTCCTCTTGTCCCTCTGCACACTCCTAGGGCCAGAATGTCCACTGGCATGTTCAGTAAGATCTGTTCAAGCACTGTCCTGCTTATGTCACTGGAGGAGATATAAGACACCAGTCCTTGCCCTCTGAAGCTTCTAGCCTACATGGGAAGCCAGTACAAGGATGTGTGTATGTGGGGAAAGATGCACTATCATAAGTGAGGGAGAGCCTGGGAGTTATGTGCTGCTTTTTTTTTTTTTTTTTTTTGACAGAGTCTCTCACTCTGTCGCCCAGACTGGAGTGCAGTGGCGTGATCTTGGCTCACTGCAACCTCTGCTTCCTGGCTTCAAACCGTTCTCCTGCCTCAGACTTCCAAGTAGCTGGGATTACAGGCGTGCACCATGATGCCCTGCTATTTTTTTTTTTTTTTTGTATTTTTAGTAGAGACGGGGTTTCGCCGTGATCAACCCACCTCAGCCTCCCTAGGTGCTGGGATTACAGGCATGAGCCATCACACCCGGCTGCTGCTTTGATGTGTCTCCAGTATCTAGAACAGTCCTTGGTATGTGGAAGATGCCCAACAAATATATGAAAATGTGTGAAAATTGCTATGGTTTTCAAACTTGATATTGTAAGGGACAGCTTTTCTTCAAAGAAATCATACCTGGAGGCTCAGTTATGTGAAACAGATGGATACAATACTGCCCTGCTTGAGGGGAGCTAGGGTCAAAGCCTGTCTGCTTGTCTCCTCTGAGCCCCAAAGAGATTCTTGAGAGTCCAGTTGGAAAACTACTAGTTGAAAATGAGGGGCAGCTCAATCCTTGCTCTCTCTTCTTGGTTAACCTTAGCCACAAGGTGATCCTAGCAAAATAAATGGAGGTTTAAAGAACCTTACACTCCAAAGGGAATATTTGCACCTGAAAAAGATGGTGTTAATCTCCCCCTTCCCCTCATTCCAGGGGGGCTCCAATTAGTAAGAGCAGAGGGAAGGAAATTCTGAGTAGGAGACTTCTGAATTGGTTCAACAATGTCTATCAATGTAATGGTAATATTTGTTTAACTTAAACAAACAAAGAAAGAAAACCACTGTGATAATGTTTTTCAGCATTCAATAGAAACCCACTTGGTGTTGTCCTACAGGCAGTCTTGATTACAATGTAAAACTCCCTGTGGAGTCTGGTCAGTGAGTAGCTGGTACTGCCATTTACACCAGAGTACCTCGCATTATCCAGACTGCTATTCACATTCCTGACCAAGTTCACGGTCAACCTCCTGCACTGGCAGCCAAGAGGGCCTGCCTGGAGAGAGCTTCTCTTCTCCATGCCTGCAGGACTGTGACTCTCTACCTGACCTGGCCCTCTCTTAGCCTTCCTACCATAACAGGGCAAGGGAGGGGAATCAACCCAGGGGATATTCCCTTGTCAAGGTCATCCACGGAGCAAAGCACATCCCAGATTTGCATCTAGGAAACAATTTTGGGTAACAGACATATATATATATATTTTAGATATGTCAAAGGGGTAAAGCTCTTGAATTAAGATGGTTTCATCATTATCTATCTCATGAATCTCTACCTTCCCCAACGACTGTCCTTCCTCACAGATGCCTGAAGGGGCAGGCAGATAATTAGTGCTGGGGACCTCATTTGATAGTAGGGGAAACTGAGAGGTGAAAAGAGCTCCCTTCAGTTAGATAGCAACTCACCAGGAACTCCAGTTTCTCCCCTACTGCTTGGTATGGCCACCTCCTCCACCTCTTAGCCAGTCCTCCGACTTCTACATCTTAAAAATCTAGCTCAGGGGCCAGGCGCGGTGGCTCACACCTGTAATTCCAGCACTTTGGGAGGCTGAGGCGGGCGGATCACCTGAGGTCAGGAGTTCGAGACCAGCCTGACCAACATGGAGAAACCCCGTCTCTACTAAAAATACAAAAAAATTAGCCAGCTGTGGTGGCACGTGCCTGTAATCCCAGCTACTTGGGAGGCTGAGGCAGGAGAATCACTTGAACCTGGGAGGCGGAGGTTGTGGTGAGCTGAGATCGTTCCATTGCACTCCAGCCTGGGCAACAATAGCCAAACTCCATCTCAAAAAAAAAAAAAAAATCTAGCTCAGGTCTGACCCCGACTAAATGGACAATCTTCCATTGATTTCCCATCCCCTCAACCCCGGTTCAAGCCACCATCCACAGCATTTGGACTAGTCATTTGTACTTAAGTAACTGAGTTAGTATCATGAAATTTGGTCTTAGGATCAAAGCCACTCAAGGTTAGAGCTGGAGGGAACCTTGGAGATTAAGAGAAACTAAGGTTTGGAGAACCTACCTAAGGTTTCATAGCAAATATGTGACAAATCCAAGGCTTCAAGCCAAGTTTTCCAATGTGTCCCTCGTGCTTTCCTGACTACATCTGGAGTTTCTCTATTTCTTCTTCTCCTTCTCCTTCTTCTTCATTTTTTTTTTTTTTCGTGTGTGTGTCTTTTTTCCCCTATGTGATGCTTCCTTTCTGCCCTGTGACCCTCTCCCTCTGTCCTGTCTTATTAGAAAGAGGCTCTAGAGCTGGCTGCATAGTACCTGTTCTCTGGGACCTTGGTGTTGATCTAAGACTGGTTTAACTACCTAAAGAGAAGCAGAGACCCGAGGGGGCCTGCCATAACCCAACTCTGAAACATGACTTAATCCCAAGTAAGATCAGCTCTAACATTTGTTCAGAAGCAAAAATGATGGATTCTAAAGTTTGACTTCCCCAAGGTCATCTGGCTAAGAGGTGGCTGCAGCAGGGGGCAACAATAGGTCTTCAGGCCCCTGGGGCGGCAACCTGGCACTGCCCAAGAGCCCGCAGGCTCTGAAGGCCAACTGAGCCAGCGGCAAGCCTAGTCCCTGCCTCCCTGCTTGGAGCAGTGCGACTATACCGTTTTCTGTCTGCTCATTTGTGAGCTTGGTTCCCGTCCTAAATGTGGGGGTTCAAGGCAGACAAAGAGTGTGCAGTTGGCCACCCCGCTCGCCTTCAGGAAGTGTGTAGGACACCGTCGAGGCCCCCTAGCCATTGTAAACCAGGCGCTGAGGCTCGTGCCCAGTTGTACCCTTCCCGCGCAGCGCTCAGGAGCGACAAACCTGGAGGCTATTCGGTCTGCCACTGGGCTGTGCCGGGATTCGCGGACTTTCTCCTGAATAGCGCTCTCAGCTCGCGTCTTCCCCCTGCCACTCTCCCACGCCCCCAGAGTACCCACCGACCCCAGCAGGCCGGGTACATCCCTGCCGCGCCCATCCGGCCAGTGGCTCCAGGGGCCGGCCTGGTGTGTCTCCAGCTGGGCGCCTACCGCCTGCCCCAGCGCTAGTTCTGGCGTTGGGGGTAGAGAGGTAAAGAGGGGAGTTAGCGGGGCATCTCCCTCCCAGGGCTGAGCCGGCAAGCGCATCTTCTCCGCGAGTTCCTCACTGTCCAGCGAGCGCTGCCCAACTTCTGCGCCGGTGGGACCCGCTGCTCTGAGTCACTCTTGGCACAGAACACCAAGCACCCTCAGAAACCGAATTCACCACCTTTGGGAGGCTCCTGGGAGAAGGCAAGGAACCCAGGCGGGGCTCCCAGGGCTCTCGGGCTGGGACTGGGTTGTGTGTGTGTGGGGGGGCTTCACGGATACCCCTCCCAACCTGCTTCCTTTCCCTGACAGCAGCCATCTCCCCCAAGAGGGAGAGTCTTAGGCGTCCCGGAAGACCCTGCGGACTGTGCACCTCGAGGTACCAGCCTCTCCTGGGAGGAGTGGGGGGCCGCTGGTCAGCGGCTGGCAGAGGGGACCTGTTTGCTGGCCCGTTTGGAGGTGGGATGGAGTGGGGTTTGGAGACTGAGAAGCCCAAGAGAAGACACTGAGTTTCTCCCCACCCCACAACCCCACTTCCGAAAAAGAACCAGGTGGTGAGGAGGAATAAGGCGAAGTGTAAACACAAACAACCTCAAAAAGAAGCCAAGAAAAGCGAAGCCCAAAGAAGCAAGAGCAACACTGTTACAAAACTGTCTGGTTTTGTAACAATTTCCCCGCCGCCGGCCAATGAACAGCGTGGCGGCACGTCACGTGGTACCGTTTTATATAACACTTTGCTGAGACAAGACAGTTATTAGGCGGCGCGGGGCGGCCGGCATGGAGCTCCCGGAGGCGCGGCAGGGTCAGGAGCTCGGTGGCATGGCGGCGGTGGCTGCCCCGATTTCCTCCAGCTGCCACTCCTTGCTTCGTGTCCCCGGTCCCTAGACGCCTCGTCTCCTCCCGTGTCCCTCTTCCCATGGAGTCAGTACGGATCGAACAGATGCTGAGCTTGCCCGCTGAGGTCAGCAGCGACAACTTGGAGTCGGCGGAGCGAGGGGCATCAGCGGCCCAAGTAGACATGGGCCCCCACCCAAAGGTGGCTGCAGAGGGCCCCGCACCTCTACCGACGCGGGAGCCAGAGCAAGAGCAGTCTCCGGGGACCTCAACGCCGGAGAGCAAAGTCCTGCTCACGCAGGCAGACGCCTTGGCGTCCCGGGGGCGAATCCGTGAAGCCCTCGAGGTGTATAGACAGCTCTCCGAGCGGCAGCAGCTGGTGGCTGAGCAGCTGGAGCAGCTGGTGCGCTGCCTGGCGGAGAAAGTCCCGCAAGGCGAGGCGCTGGCGCCGGCGCCCCCGGACGAGGGTAGCACTGCAAGCGGCACCGTGGCGGCGGAAGAGACGGGGGCCGCCGCGGCTGCGGCGGCCACCGAGGTGTGGGACGGCTTTAAGTGCCGGAAATGTCATGGGTTTCTATCAGACCCCGTGTCCTTGTCGTGTGGCCACACCTTTTGTAAACTGTGCCTGGAACGTGGGCGGGCCGCCGACCGGCGCTGTGCGCTGTGCGGGGTCAAGCTCTCCGCCTTGATGGTGGCCACTGGGCGGGCGCGTGGAGCCCGGCGGGCTGGGCAGCAGCCGCCGCCGCCGCTGCGAGTCAACGTGGTGCTCAGCGGCCTCCTCGGCAAGTTGTTTCCAGGCCCAGCGCGAGCGTCGCAACTCCGGCACGAGGGCAACCGACTGTACCGCGAGCGCCAGGTGGAGGCGGCACTGCTCAAGTACAACGAGGCAGTTAAGTTGGGTGAGTCCAACGCGCTGCCGGGCCGGGGCTGGGGCTCGGTGGCTACATGAGGGAGCGGGAGAACAAACCCCGCAGCGAGAAGGGATTTGGACCAGGGCAGAAGAGGGGGCGGGGGACCCATGGACTGTGGCGGGGTGGGGGAGGGGTGATTCTGGGGCTGGGTCTCTGAGTTTGTTCTGTTTTCACTGCTTATCTGTGTTTCACTGTGTTTGTGTTGATCTCGGT
This sequence comes from Homo sapiens, assembly GCF_000001405.40. Lineage (NCBI taxonomy): Eukaryota > Metazoa > Chordata > Mammalia > Primates > Hominidae > Homo > Homo sapiens. The sequence continues at coordinate 118,975,823 of NC_000023.11, forward strand.
TGCTTTTTGTCTTTTCCTGCTACTTCTGTTAGCTTTTGTGTTCCTGTCTCTCAGTCCCCGTTCCTGTCTGTGTCTCCTTGCTTCTGGTTCTTTTTCTCCGTCTCTTCGTATCTTTGTCACTGTTTCTTTCTTTTTCGGTGTCACTGTCTCTGTTCCTCTGACTCTCCTTCTCCCGCTGCACTCCTGGTCTCCTCTTACACCTGCTCGCACCTTCCCAGCGAGGAGAGGAACTTCGCGCGCTCCTCGCACTTGCGCCCGGTCCTCTGGGCTGTAGCCAGCAGGAGATGTCCGGTCGGCGCCTGCGTCCGCCGCTCGCGCCGCCGGGTGTTGCCCCTTCCGGGGCCGCGGCTCCCTGTGGGGTGGGTCCGGCATGGAATTAGGTCAGGAGAGCACTGGTTGCATAAGGGCCGCGAGCGGCCCGGGTCGGGCGCCCCTCCCCCGCGCGAGCGGGCGGGATTGTGTAACCGCTGAGGTAACTGAAGTGGGCCACCACGCTCGCTTCGGAAACCATCCCACGAGCATGTGCGGGGGGAGGGGGAGCGCTTGCGCCCCGCTGCCCTGTGACTCATTGTCACCGCTTCCTATCACACGATCCTCGGCTGAAATAGATGCCCCCCCTTGCCCGCCCCGCCAACCCGTAGCCTGTGCCCTCGCCTCCAACCCCTTTAACCTGGCCAGCCCGGCGGGAGGCCGGCGCGGCAACTGCTTGGGGATCCCTGGGGACCGTGGGCTGGCTACGAATGGGTCACGCCTCTGTCCCGCTTTTCAGTGCCGCCTGGGAGGGTTGGGTGGGCTTTGCAGCTTCAAGGGTAACGTGGGCAGTCCCCCATCTCCAGCTAGACTAGGGCACCCGAATTTCCCCAGGGAGCCGCTCTCTGACCCACCACGCCTGGACCCAGGAAGTGGCTGCTGAGCCGCCAGCCGGTGTTGCCCAGCTCTGGCAGTTTGCCAGGAGCTCGGCCGTGGGGCGCGGTGTCTGGCGAAGCATGCCGGGGAGGAGGCAGCAGGGCTGGGCAGGCAGGGCCCTGGGATCCGAGGGTGTCCTGGACCTGACTCTGTGGAGTGGAGGAGGGGTGTGGGCCGGAGTCTCCACGTGTTTAATCTCCACTCAAGCTTGCAACAGGTAATGGGGGGAGGAGGAGGAGGAATGAGGACTGAAGGGGCAAGGCTGGCAGCCGGAGAAGGGGACCCTTCTAGCTCCTGTCTGTGCACAAGCAAGGCAGACTGTGAGCTGCCACCAGGCTGGAGTGTGCTGCAGAAGAAAAAAGACAGAAAAGACTAAACAATTTGCTAATGTCTTAAGAGCAAGTAATGGGCACGCAAGCAAGCCCTGAGCACACCCCTGGGGAAAAAAAAAACATCAAAGCCTGTTGCCACAGAGGAAGCTAGATCCCAGATCTTGGGGAAGAGCAGGGCAATATGAATGAGGCAGGTGGAGGTCACTTAACTCTAGATCTCTAAGGCAGATTCCATACCTTTTAGCCATCCCCCAGGGGCCAGGAAAGCCCCTTCCTGCCCTCACCCTTCTCCTCTGTTGCCACCACATTCCCCTGGAAGTTCTTCCTTGCATCTTTGTTAATCCCCTCAGAGAAGTCAGGGTGAAAATGTCAAGGCCAGCTTTACCCTTCTAAGAGGAAAGGAGGCTCTCTGTTCTGGAAGATGGCCATTGTGTCCGTATTATTCCAAGTACTGCACACACCTTCAGAAAAAGGAACCTGCTCCCCACATCCCAGCTTCAAAGCTTCAAAGTCTGACCAGTTATCAGTGACTGCCCAGCTAGCCGTGTGACCTTGAGAAAATGCCTTCCCTTCTCTGGGCTTGATTTTCCCATCTGAAGAATGGGTTGATTGAGCCAGATAATCTCTAATAGCCTGTCCAGCTCTGACATCTAGTAATTCAGAGTTTTTGGTGAGAGCCGGCCTCACCTTATTCCCAGAAACCTTGTCCAAGTTCATTTACATTTGGCCATTTGAAATGAGAGGATGGGACCATGTAAATGTATTTCCATTTTCTTCAAGAAATCTTCATATGTGCTGGGCTTTGTAGACAAAGGTGTTACTAATGTCATCAGTCATTCCCACCTGGAAAAGTAACTTGGATTTGTCTTCTTGGTGGTTCAGATAGGGGTCACATCTGCCCACCTCTCTCTCCTTCCTACCTGGCCTGTTTTCTTGTTGGTAATACTGCACTCATAAACCAGGCTGCCGGACACTAGCCGTGTGTAGCCACATCTCGCCTATGTCAAAGTGTCTAATGCACCACTGACACCACGGGGCCTCTAATGAACCACTTGTGAGCGGGGGCAAAAATGACTTTGCAGTTGGGGAACCTCAGGCCCAGAGTGGCTGGGGGTATAGAAGGCAGGACAATATTAGGACTAGAAATAGAGCCTAACCCTTTTGATCTCCAGTAGAAAAGTCCTAGAAAACTTATCATTTGCTCAAGATCCATACTCATACAGGACTTAACACCTGCTTGCGCTGGGGGCCATTAATAAAGGTTTTTCTTTCTTATTTTGACAGCTCCAAATGACCACTTGCTTTATAGCAATCGGTCTCAGATTTATTTCACCTTGGAGTCTCATGAGAATGCACTGCATGATGCAGAAATAGCATGTAAGCTCCGCCCGATGGGTTTTAAGGTGAGTGTGGGATGGAAGAGGTGGGAAGGGGTTGTACTGTAGACAGGTATTGGCAGGAAGGGCTGCCTCCCTGGAGCATAGGGGCACTAGAGCTCAAGCAGAACAGGAAGAAGACTTTGCAAAGGAGCCAGGGTAAAGATCCCTGGGCAAAGAGTGACTCAGGTCTGCAAGGGAGCTGGATTCTTCCCCAATTCAGTCTTCAACTCATGACCTTCAGAGCAGCCTGGGCATAGTGACTCTCTAGAATATGCACTTGGGAGCCAGACTGCCTGGGTTTATGTCCCAACTCTGCTAACTTTTATGACCTTTGTGGCCCTGGGCAAATGACTTAACTTCCCAGTACTTCATCTCCTCATCTGTTAAATGGGGGATATTCAAAGCAGCTACTAAAGAGGGCTGTTGTGAGGATTACATAAGCTAATAATGTAAGGTACTTAGAACAGTGTCTGGCATGTAGCACTATATAAACGTTCTCTTTCTTCCCTTCCTTCCTTCCTTCCTTCCTTTCTCTCTCTCTCTCTTTCTGTTTTCTTTCTTTTTTTTTTTTTTTTTTTTGAGACAGAGTTTCCCTCTCGCACCCAGGCTGGAGTGCAGTGGCGCAATCTCGGCTCACTGCAACCTCCGCCTCCTGGGTTCACGCCATTCTCCTGCCTCAGCCTCCTGAGTAGTTGGGACTACAGGCGCCCGCCACCACACCTGGCTAATTTTTTGTATTTTTTTTTGTAGAGACAGGTTTTCACCGTGTTAGCCAGGATGGTCTCGATCTCCTGACCTCATGATCCGCCCGCCTTGGCCTCCCAAAGTGCTGGGATTACAGGCGTGAGCCACCGCGCTGGCTTTTTTTTTTTGAGACGGAGTCTCACTCTGCCACTCACACTGGAGTGCAGTGGCGTGATCTCAGCTCACTGCAACCTCCGTCTCCCAGGTTCAAGTGAGTCTCCCACCTTAGCCTCCCGAGTAGCTGGGATCACAGGCGTGTGCCACCATGCCCGGCTAATTTTTTGTATTTTTAGTAGTGACGGGGTTTTGCCATGTTGGCTGGTCTCAAACTCCTGGCCTCAAGCAATCCACTTGCCTCAGTCTCCCAAAATGCTGGGATTACAGGTGTGAGCCACCGTGTCCAGCCTATATAAATGTTTTCTATCGCCATTTTTATCATTTTCCAGGGACATTAGAAAGAGGAAGGTGAGAGTGGTGTTGCTGCCCTGGTGCTCCTGAACCTCTACTGATAGGCTCCTTGGCAGCTTGGCCAGTTTTCTCTGAAGGGATCCTCACACTCACACAATGGTTGTGCCATTTCAAGTCCTTAATATAGTCAGTCAGCCTGCCAGTATCCCCAAGGATTTAGGTCACATGGGGGGTGAGAAGAAAAACGGCCTGGACACCTCTCAGGATGCCAGGATGCAAAGTGTCACTTTCTGTATCTTTGCCTGGCTTCAGGACTGGCCCTCAGCCACATGTCAGTACTTTGTTTAGAAGATTAGATTTGAGCCTGTGCTCTACTACTTGCAAACCATGGGGAGGTGGCTTCACTCTCTGAACCCCAAGTATCCTTGTTTGCAAAATGAAGCTATTGATATCTGCCCTGATTGCCTCGCAATGATGCAATGAGGGTCAAAAGTGAACGTGGCCAAGAGGACATTCTGCAAGCTATAAAGCTTCCTGGATGTAGTGCTCTGTCTCTACACAACCCAAGGATGCCTTCCTCAGAAAACCAATGTATCCAAGTTCAAGTCCATGATCCCTTATCTGAATCTTGTAAGACCAGAGGTGTTCAGAATCCAGAATGTTTTATATTTTGCAAGGACCATATATTAGGTCTCAGTGAGCTCTGGACAGCTTCCTGTAATCCAACACACTATTCAGCAGATTCCATGAAAATTCACACTCAGTGGGACAAATATTTTTAAACACTTTATATCAGTTTAGGTCAGGTTTTGCCATCTAATGAATTTTGATGTCAAGCTTATGAAAATAATGGATTATCAGAACTTTTTTGGATCTGGAAACCAGATAAAGCATGTGGACCTGTGTACTGTGCAATGAATGTCAGGTGAATCTTGTATGTTCTTTCTTGAGAAGGTTTTCATGAGTGATGATGGATTCATTTTTTTTTCTGAGAAGGTTTTCTTGAGTAATGATGGATTAGTATGGTTTTTTTTCCCCAAAGAACACATTTAGTGTTTAATACAAGTCACCAGTGTCTTAACCCAAAGGAGCTTTAGTGGGGGCACTTTCAGCCTCCCAGTAGTGCAAGTCAGGGAGCTGCCTAGGAGTAAGAGGACTTGCAACTCTTTCCACCTCCACCCTAAGCCTAGATCCTAGGGCTAAGGAACTTGATAGTGTGGTGAGAAGCAGAGCTGAGAAGCAGTGAAGCATTTTGGATGAAATGGGAAAAGTGACTTCTCCAGTGAAGGAAGAGTTGATGAAAGTATTAAATAGGAGTTTCATTTCCCCATAGTGATGAAGTGAGAGGTGGGGGCAGTGATGAGATAATTTATTTTCTTGGAGGTTAAGAGAAGACGAACTGATGCCTATAATTCAAAACCACCTCCCACCCTGATTTGCATATTTCCCAACATTTCTATGTAAAATGCCCCAAGTGTAGGGGTTTATCTGGCAGCCCTATTCTCTATTCCAGCCATCCAACCAGAGTGTGTGGTACTCAGCACATCCTGCAGGTGATACAGCTCTCAGTGGTGTGAGCTGGTTGCCCTGAGCAGGTAGAGTATATGGGTTGGCCGGGCATGGTGGCTTACTCCTGTAATCCCAGCACTTTGGGAGGCTGAGGCAGGTGGATAACTTGAGGTTAGGAGTTTGAGACCAGCCTGGCCAACATGGTGAAACCCCATCTCTACTAAAAATACAAAACTTAGCCAGGCATGGTGACGCATGCCTGTAGTCCCAGCTACTCAGGAGGCTGAGGCCGGAGAATCGCTTGAACCTAGGAGGTGGAGGTTGTAGTGAGCCGAGATCCACCACTGCACTCCAGCCTGGGTGACAGAGCAAGATTCTATCTCAAAAAAAAAAAAAAAAGAGTATATGGATTGCTACTTGATAATATGATTAGTGGGATCACACAGAGGCCTTTCCAGTCTCCCAACACTTCTCCCCTCTAGCTGCCCTGTGATATCATGCAAGCCTTTCCCAAACACCCTTGGTAAACACTGCTGGGAGAAGCAACAAGGGAGGCCATCAACATCCATGTATCAGCCAAGACAAGGCTTCAGAAGGAGCTGGGGGAATGCGGAAAGGTCTTCAAGAGGTTTGGAGCAGGGGCCACTGCTCAAGAAGGCAGCTTCAGGGCAGCCTCTGCAGCGAGGCCATAGCCTGAGGGCTCTGGGGCCTGCAAAGAGGCATGTTAGAAAGGGGGGCAGGGGAGTATCCAGCAGCCACAACCTGGATCACTTCATTCACTAAGTTAGGCTTAGTACTGCCAATGGAGGAGGCAAGGGAGCAGGCCACTGGGTGGAGGGACGTCCTAGATGACTCAAGTGAAATGCTCTTCAAGCCAAGTTGCTAGTGTCCACCTGTCTCAAGACACACACAGAGGGCAGCCCTCTCCCCCGCTACTCTTTTTTCTTCCTTCTTCCCCAGGATGTTCCTCTGCCCTCCCTAGAGTGTCTTTCCCAGAGCAGTTGGGCTTGGGCCCTGAGGAGCCATAAACTTCTTTATACTTTCTAAAGTATGTGGTGAGGGAGCAGAAGTGATCCAGGCCCCTAGGAGAGTAAGCTCAGCCCCTGGTTAGCCCTCTGAAGGGCAGTCTGCTTTGTGGAGAAGAGCATTCTGGGAGTCCTGAGACTGCAGTTCTAGTTCCAGCTTTGCCACTAGCGACCTTTGAGGTCTTGGAGAGGTCAGATCCCTTCTCCTGGGCCTCTTCTGAAAACTGATCAGTTAGTGTAGGTGCTCTTTCAAGCCACTACTGAGGACTGGTTCTCTGCTTGAGAGACTAGTTCAAACGAACGCATACCTGGGCAGGCCCTGAAAGCTGGTTAGCATGTGGTCAAATGGGGGTTCTTGCTACATTTGATGGTCACTCCGTACAATGGTGGGGCAGAGACAAGGTAGTATGGCAGAGTGGTTAAGAATACAGGCTTTGGTATCAGTCAGTCCCAGGTTCAAACCCTGATTCCACAATTTACCAGCTGTGTTACACTGGGCAAGTTAACGTTTTTGGGTTTCAGTTTTGTCTTCTTTATAATGGCATTAGAACAGTTGCCCGCATTTTAGGGCTGTAGATAAGAGAGTCCTTTTAAAATGTTTCACACAACAGTGAGTGCTGTGGGTTAGTTATTGTTAGAGCAGTAGTGTTAATAGGCTGAATAAAATGGGATTGAATGCTAATGTTTCCTTCCAGGCACATTTCAGAAAAGCCCAAGCCTTAGCCACCCTAGGCAAGGTGGAGGAGGCACTAAGGGAGTTTCTCTACTGTGTATCCCTTGATGGAAAGAACAAGAGAGCAAGATGTGAAGCCCAAAGAGTGAGTTGAAATGACATCAGGTCCAGCTGCCTACTGGACCCTCCCCTCTCTGTCTTATCTAGGAAGGGGAGTGAGGGTGCTGTCCTCCTTGGCATTTGGGGTCCTGAGTGGGTGGTTCCCTGGGTTAAGGGGACAAAAGGGAGATGGGAGTGTTAATTGATTGCCCAGAAACACCGTCCTTCTGGTGTGTACGATCAGTTTGGGCAGTTTCTACATTTTTGTAGGAGCCTGTGAGGAATGTTCTTGCTTCTTTGACTCAGGGTCTGGATTGTCAGTGGGAGAAAAACCAAAATCAAGTACATTAATATGGGGATTGAGGCTCACTGAGGACATTCTGGCTGTTGATGAGAGATCCAGGGCATGGGGCTACCTGCTGTTACATAACTTTTCTTTGGCTGAATCACAGTTTTCACCAGCCACACATGACAGCCAGCCCCTGGGAAGGGACGTTGGTGGTCCCCACCTCCCCTATCACCATACACAGAACTCCAACCTTCAGCTCCTTTGCTAGAAATAAAACACACTGCCTCACAAATGCTAGTCAGAGACCATTACAATATAATGCAAGCAGTCGTTCCAACTCTTGGGTCCCAGCAGAATGTGGTAGTTATAAAAGAAAAATGGTGTGAAATACTGAGAGCATTAGTGAAGGCTCAGCCATCTTCAATTCATGGACTTTGTTGCTTATTGTTCTACAGTTTACTCTGCTGGTGTCTGGGTAATCGGCCTGTAAGTTGGATTCTGACAGTTGGCGGTTGTCTCTGCTCTCCTTGTGCCCCACCCACTATTCACCGCGGAGCCTTACGGTTTCTGTCCCAGTGTGGTTTGGCAGAGCAGTGGATAAAGAAAGTGAGCAAGAGACAGAACTGGTTTCTGAAGGCTCTAGAAAGGAATAGTTAGCAAAATCAATGAAATAAGGGAACTGGCCCTGGATTTTCTGTCTCACAAAAGATCTCCTTTCTGGGAAGTTGCTTTGAATTGGTTTGAGTATGTGAAAAAGGTGTGCTTGAGAGGAGCACGGTTCGGGGAGAATTGCTTCAAGCTGTGGACCCTTCTCCAAATCTTAAGTGTAGTCCATGATGTAATGATAATAATAATAGCTAACATTCGTTGAGAATTTCTTCTGCATTATACACTGTGCTAGGCATTTTATGTGGAGTATATTATTTAAATCCCACTACATTCCTGAGGCTAGGTTTGGTTAGTTATCCTCAGGTTACAGGTGAGACAGATGAAGCTGGGGCTTGCTGACTTTCCCAAGGTCATGCAGCTGGTGATTGGTGGGAAAGTATTCAAACCCAAGTCTATCTGCTTCCAAAGCCTGGCCTCTTAGCTGCTCTGCCATCCTGCTTCCCATGAGGACATGGCCACAGCCTTAGCACTCACTGGTGAAGCTGGATCAATAGTAGCAATGGAACTTTCCAGTTCCAGGATGAACAAAGGCAGTTAGAAGAAACTTATCTTTGGGGACGGAGCGTGCAAAGGCCAGCAGAGGCAGGTCTCAGACCCAAGGAGGAATGGTTTCTTGACTCTTGTTTGTCCATTTCCCAGCTAGCCTGAGATGTTTTTGGTGTCATCAGTTGGGCTGACCTGTCTCTCCAGTCTGCTTTTATAGAGAAACTGTTGTCATTTCCACAGCTGCCTAATGGTTGGAGGCAAGGCATTGTGTGAAGCTCTGGAGACCCAAAGAGGCATAAGTCACAGTTTTAGTCTTCAAGGAACTTAACAATCTTGCATTTGTTAACATAAATGCCAGATGATGCAAGCGAGTGTATGCCCGTGATGAGTGTTACAGAGTTCTGAAGTGAGGGCGAGAATTTAGAGGCGAATTTCCACTGGGTGTGATGAGGCCATGGCGGCGATTCAGAACATCAAGAGTCCTCAGTTGTGTTTATTTACTAGATCATTCCAGTTTCAGGGCTAAAGATTTGACAGAGATGATGCAGGTTCAGTTGACATTTATAAGCTGCCTTCGAACTCACAGGCTGTGTTTCTTTTTAATGTTTGTTTTTACTGCAGATTCTTTTTCCCTCTTCTTGACCTATTTGGGCCTTTCTAAGGCTGAGGCTGAAGTGGAATTGACTTTCATTCATGTGGAATGATCATTCTCACTGAGAATTGACCCCAACTTTTGTTTTCCAATGCCATTGAGAAGGCCTAGAGAGAGATCTCAAGTAGTAAAATGAAGAAGGGAACTGCTGTTATTATTTCTGCTTTGTTTCCTTTGATTTCTCCCTTGGCCTTCTTTTCCTTCCCACCACCCTCTGCCCTTTCATCCTTGCACCTTGTGATGCTGTGTGGCTGCCACTGAAGAGTATTATGCTCTTTTTGGGAGAATTCCAAGGATACTGCCTCCTCAGAACTGGCTTGGTCCTGTTGAGTCACGCATTAGGGCTTCAGAGGACCAACCTTGGCTCCTGTGGAGGAGGGACCTCTGAAAGCTGGCATTTATGGCCCCGGGTGCTGTGAGTACCTCCCCATTTAACTCCTGTGCCAACTCATAACTGGAAAGTGGGTTTCTCAGAGCTGAAAGGAAACATAAGGATCAATCTGAGGACTTTGGGCCTGAATGCTAGGCCTCTCCCTGGGCCCTGGGGTGGATAAGTGTCTTAATTCAATTCCATCCAGTGTGATGAGCATTTATTGGGTATCTGTTATGTGCCCTCTAGAAGCTGGCCGTCTGGCAGGAGAGAAAGGCTTACATCTGTGACACATTTCTAGGATAACATAACGTGGTGTTGTTCAAGATGCTATATTATGGTGCACTCTCTACTACTGTGTAGAACAGGACTGGAATAGTGAGGGAAGGTAGCACTTGAGCTGAGCTTTGAAGGCTGAGTGGGGTTTGGCTTCATGGCAAGTGCTGGCATCTGAAGGAACATCATGAAGAGATTGCTGGGGGCCAGAGAATAAATCAAACTGGAGTTTGGTGTTCTGTCAAATTTTGTTGATCAATTAATACCCTAACTATGTACCCTCAGCACGGGACTGGAGCTTCCTTTAGTGGATCTCCAAACACTGCAGGAGCTGCTGGGTGGTAAGCACTGGAGCAGGTTTTAGAAGCAAAGTCACCTGCTCTCCTTGTGTTACATGTTTCAGTATATGGAAACACACACACACACACACACACACACACACACACACACACACACACACACAATCCTTGCTAGTACAGGGGAAACTTGGGGCAAGAATGTGGACAGTGAATGGTGCAAGCTACATTAGAACGCACGTCTACCCTCCCAGCTTATCCAATTGCAAGGGAAACCAGCAAGAGACTGGAACCTCCTTGCGCCTAGTACTTAAACTTAACCTAACATCCTCTGGGAGGCAAAGGCCAGCATAGGGGAGGCGAGGTTGGGAGAAGAGGGAGGAAGCTGGAGTTCTGTTTTTCCTAACAGTTAACTGCTCAGGTTCCCAGCTTTGAAGGGATTAAAGATCCAGGGGTGATGGTGGGGAGAGGAGGAAGCAAAATGGGTAGTGGAGAAAAGAAACAGTGAGGATCCTAGAAGACATTTGTAGACTTCTACCCACTGAGGTATTATGAACTTCAAATTCCCCAAGTGAGGTTTCTCTCCTGACTTTACCTCTCTGTCTCTTTCCTCCTAGATGAGTTTTAAAATCCCACTGCAGATATTTCTGCGGAGTGTTAGCACTAGCATGGTGGCTCTTAACCTTGGCTAGGCAACAGAGGCATCTGTAGTGCCTTCTCAAAATCCAGATTCCTGGGCCACACTCCAGACCTGGGGGAGATGGGAGTACAAAGTAGAGACCTAGATTTTTCATAAGTTCCCCAGTTGATTCTGATGCCCGCTGAAGCGAGGACCCCTGCCCTGGTGTGGTGTGTTAGGGACACTGGTCCAAGGCTTCCTCCCTGGAGTTCTGCCCTGCAAGCTGGCTCCCTCCCCCCTTCACCCTCCTCCCCTTCACCTGGGCACCTGTAGAAACTTAAGTAGTGAAGTCTTCTGTTTTATGTCACAGCTTCTCCTTAGTTTCTTTTCACCATCAGTCCCGGGGGATTCTCAGGAACATTCTCCCGATATCCTGAAGCTGTTGGCACCTCACCCTAGATTAAAGGAAAACGTAGAGTCAATGACTACTGAAGTTACCAGCCATAATCTACCAAGGTTGTTACAGGTAAAACTCAACTCACCCAGCTCGCTCGTGACGCTTCGTTTGGCTGTTTTGTGGGCAAACGTGGGGAGTGAGCCCTCCCTCTCCTATTTTGGTTCCTGAGAAAGAAGAAATTGAGTCACTAGTGGTTCTGTTCTTTGCAAAGAACCTCTTAAAGATGCAACTGTGAATTTCAGGCATGGTCCCAGAGTTTATTCATTACATTGAAAAAAAATTATGAAACAGGGTCTCTTTCTATCACCCAGGCTGGAGGGCAGTGATATGATCATGGCTCACTGCAGCCTCAGACTCCTGGTCTCAAGAGATCCTCCCACCTCAGCCTCCCGAGTAGCTGGGACTATAGGCACGTGCCACCATGCCTGGCTAAGTTTTTTTTTTTTTTTTTTTTTTTTTTTTGTAGAGACGGGGTTTCACCATTTTTGCCTAGGCTGGTCTCGAACTCCTGGCCTCAAGTGATCCTCCCACCTTGGCCTTCCAAAGTGCTAGGATACATTTTTTTCCAGTTCTTGGTTAGATCCAGCCGAGAGAGATTTTACAGAGCTAGAAAGGAATTGGCTCACTGCCCCTGGGCCATACCATTTGGGTGGGTTTATAGGCTTTGGGGATGAGTCTGGGAAGAGGGCCTAACAATCCCTCCTTTCGAGCTTTTGTTTGTTCAAGCTGCTGGCCTTTGAGTGCCAGCACTTATCCTGTGCAAAGACAACTCTGATCCTCAAATGGATGTAATTTCATATTCCTGCACTATGCCTTATACATAAGTAAGCTTCCAATACGTATTTGTAACAGAGAAGAGGAAAGAGATGTTGGAAAGAAAGTTGAGTTGAAGGACCTGGGAGGAAGACAGGTATTTGTACCTTTCTTTGAAAACCAGGAAACAGAACACAAGAGAGATGGGTTCCAGGCCCTGGCTTTCCCGGCAGAGGGTAAGTGGTCAGAAGTTGAGGATCAGAAGCGCAGACTCCAAGGCAGAGTTTAGCACTGAATGCCTGGGCATCTTTAGGGGGCAGTTTTCCCTCCATTCATGCCCGGTGTTCTTCTCCTGTGTGTAAGCCCTGGGCTCTCATAAAAGGACTGAAATGCAGGTGCGCCCAACTTTTCTTAAAAAATGGCAGAACTTAGAGGATCTCCTGAAATCACAGAACCCCCAGTGATTTCAATAATTAAGATCACTATTAAATGATTGAGAATGCTAATACTGAACCCAAATGCCTGGAGTGACTTCTAATTGCAGCTCCATCTGAAAAGAAGAAAAACAGCAACCTTGGCTTTCCAATGTCAACCAGCTGGGGAACAAGGATTGGATTTCCACCCAAACTTTGCTTTGCAAAGCAGTATACTCCTGAGTGGCCAATGCCTTGGGTTCATGGAAAGTCAAGGTTGTAGTATTGCTGTAGTGCTGGAGAAAACCCCAACTCCCAAGTTAGACACAGAGAAAACCCACATTATTTTTGTCCTCACCTCATTGTTTTCTCCCAGCTATATGCTCCCCTTTTTCACCTGTCTGCCAGTTTTTTTTTGGTAGGGTTAGAGGGAAACAACACGATGAGTATCTTGACCTATGGACTATGGGTTTAGATTAGAGAGGGGTTCTCCATGTAAATCTGCATAAACATGTTGTTATTGCACTTATTTCTAAATCCTTTTTCAAATATCCATCTCCTGGGAAAATATTCTTGAAAAGGCTAGAGACATTGTTGATTTTTTTTGCCAGGTGATTTTGTCTTTTTTTTTTTTTTTAATGCTTTTCACCCCAAATCTAGTAAAAGGAATAGTTTGTACCTTGTTCATTTGACCAGTGTAACATACAGACCTGGAGCATGAGGTAACTTGGCAGGCCTGTGAACAGACCTGTGCCAAAGCCCTACCAAAAGTCCTTTTGGAGCTGGAGTTTGGGGATCGCAGACGGCCGTGAATGGCAGTGAGGGCGAGAGGAACTATTGAGTGACAGGATCTGCCGTCACTGCCTGCCTTGGTTTTGCTAAAGTGGTTACTGGGGAAGGATTTTATAGGAAGGGGAACTGGTGCCTATCCCTGGCATTTCCCCTTTTTACACCTGCCCAAGGAGGCTCTCCTCCTACATACCTTCCTGTCCTTGCCTAAGGAAGTTCCCTAACTCCACCCAAGCTGGGAATGCCTTGGTTGCAGATACTGTGCAGAAAAGAAGTAGGAAATAATGCCTTATGACGGCCCCCAAGTTGAGCTCTGTGTCCACTATGAGTTCGGGGTGGGGATCAGGACTCTATAGTTTCCCTTTGTTCCTCTGGGTAGGAATATGAGAGGACAATATTAGTCCTAAGAAGATTCTGATATGTGGCCCTTTCTTCATCCAGGACAATCTGGAGCTCCCACATTGTTCTAGTCAGGAGGAAGCAGCAGCCAGGGGAGATGGCAGCAGTCTGATGGACCCAGCTAAAGTGAAGGGGGATGGTCAGCAGCACCACATGAAAGACCAGGAAGAAGAGGAGGAGAAGTGGGATGCTACCTCTCCAAAAGCTGCTTCCAGCAAGACTGGAAAATGCCAGGAAAAGAAAAGGAAACATTGCCAGATTGAATCCCAAGAAGAAACGGGGATGCCTAATAAAGCCTCCAAGCAAGGTACTGGCTCTACCCAGAGAGAAGGTAGCTTGGAGGAGATCCCCGGGCTCACCAATATATACAAGTTACTTACCTCTGTCTGGGGGCTCCTTAGGCTCTGGGTGTGGGGCCCAGCTCTGGCATTTACTAGCTGTGTGACCTCAGAGATTGCTATGAGGCTTCTGTGAGATCATGTACAGTGCCTAGCACACTGTAAAAAGTGTTCAATACTAATTATTAATATAATGGAAAGCCAAGGCATCAGGTCAAGCACAGTATCAACTAATGACATCCCATACCCATGGGGATGCCACTTCCTTCTAGGTCAGCCTCTTGCTACCCCCATCCCCATTCTAGGAATGCAGGATGAGGAAAGTGAGGTCAGGCCTCACCCTGCTCATTCCCAGTTGTGTTCCCATAGGTAGGCATGTGAGAAGCAGCAGCTGTGGCTTGCTATCTTTCCACGAGAGGTTGGCAGTGCCAAGATTCAGTTTTAGCTTTGAAGGCCTGGCTCAGTCCATTGAGTTGCTGTAGCTTCTGCTGTTGACAGAGGTGCATGTTGCATTTGAATGAAGTCCCCAGGGCTCCTGGACATTGTTTGACTTGCATTTCTCTTTCTGTTGGGCCTGCTGGAAACCTCTGAGAGCCTACTTCTGAGTGTCCCATTCTCAACGGCTCAGGTGTCCACTAAATCAACTCTCTGGGAGGTGGTGGTGAGAGTGGCAAACTGAAAAACGCATTGGATTATTTTGCCTCAGAAGTACTATCTATGAAACCGGGGTGGCTCCAGCGCTGACTTCTTGCTTTCTAAATCGCAGATCCTCCCACTGATCAGGGGGACAAACCTGCTCTCAGTTTACCACTTGCATCTTTCGACGCATCTGACCTTGAATGCGCTCTATGTATGAGGTACGTCCTGTGTACTATCATTTACTTCCTGATGTTTCTTCATCTCTGGTGTCTGGACCTTTCTGCTAGTGACCTACTGCTGGGTTGGTTAGCATGTAAAAAGCATAGCTCTAACGGAATGGAAATCACAACGTTGATTGTCACATGGGTCAGCTTGTGTCCCCTTCCCAGAGACTGCATTCCCTGCATTCCTGGCTCCTGACTTGGAAAAACCTGGAGAGTGGGAAGGGAACAGTCTATTCACAGGTCACAAACTGATGGCCCACTGGGCTGAATATGTCTGAATATGTCTTTTTTTTTTATGTCTTTTTTTTGGAGACAGAGTCTTGCTCTGTTGCCCAGGCTGGAGTGCAGTGGTGCGATTTCAGCTCACTGCAACCTCTGTCTCCCCAGTTCAAGCGATTCACGTGCCTCAGCCTCTTAAGTAGCTGGGATTACAGGCCTGTGCCACCACGCTTGGCTAAGTTTTGTATTTTTAGTAGAGACAGGGTTTCACAATGTTACCCAGGCTGGTCTCAAACTCCTGAGCTCAAGTGATCTGCCTGCCTGGGCCTCCCAAAGTCCTGGGATTACAGGCCACTGCACCCAGTCTGAATATGTCTTTTGTTTGGCCCTCATGGGGTTTGTTTTTCTTAAACGTGAATGTCTTGAGACAGGACATGTACTCTCCATTTGACCACGCCCCCGCCACCCACCTGCCTTATTCCAACCTGTGTGTCACAATTGCATTACATTCTTAGCCCCTAGAGATAATTTAAATTTTGGATCCCAGCACTAATCTCAGTTACATGGGCAAGAGCTCAAAGTTCAAGGACTACTGTCACCACCACAGACTATTCTTGGGAAGCCAAGTGGTGGGCCTGACTAGCTTTTGTTTTGTGTTGTGCCATGAATATTAGTGGTGGGCCTGAGATACTTAGCCAAGTATCTCCCCACCAAACAGTGCCACATCATCTCTACTTTCTCAGATCTCTGGAGAGGCAAATTATTCACATGCTCCCCCACCCCAAAAGAAAGAGGCTATGATTATGGTGTGTGTAACCATACACAATTTTTTAAAATTGCTTACATGTCTTTGATTTCACAGCTGTGACTTACTGGCTTAGAGGAGAGGCTCCCTGCTCTGTCATTTACTGGCTGTTGACCTGGATGGAGCAAGTGACATTCTCTGCTACTGTTTTCTTGTCAGTAAAATAGAGAACAGTGTACCTACTCCATAGGGTTGTCATGATTAATTGAGAAAAATCTGTTTAACACCTGGAATAGTGCCTGGCATATAATAGATACTCAGTAAATGTTAACTATTTTTTTTTCCTTGTAGACCAGAGGTCCAGAAGGAAACTTTGGGTCTATGGACCTCTGAGGATGTTCTATATATGGATTCTAATAGATGTATTAATGTCTCGAAGTTGTATGTTAAAGTATGTGGGTTTTCCAGGACAAGGTCCACATCCTTTAGCAGATTCACAAATGTGTCTGTTTTCCAAAAGAGCATTAAAAGGAGGCTGAGATATTTGCACAAAAATTAAGACGGTTGGCAGGCTGCTGTTCGTTGTGCTGGCGGGTCCTGCGGGGAGGGCTGTGGAGCTCCAGATGGACTAAAGAACAAACCAGCAATCCCGAGAGGGCCCACAGTCCCTCTGAAGGAAGCGGGTTGCTTCTGCAGGACCCAGGAGACACCCCAAATACTCTGGGAGGCAAATAGCCTCGGTCGAGTTCTCAAGTCCCTCTCACTCTCCTCCTGGAAACAGACTTGGAGCTGTTGGGGAGGGCACGGTGGAAGTGAGACTGGCCCTTCAGTTTGCATGGGAGCTGGGTGAGGCCTGTGACTGCTGTATTTCCCCAACTTCCCTGGTAACCTGCATGACTCAGCAAAGGCAGCCATAATCCTCCTAGGTACACAACTCCAGTGACCTGGGAATCTCACCCCCATCCCCCACAGCAGCTGCAGCAAGACCTGCCCAAGGAGAGTCTGAGCTCAGACATACCTAGCCCTGCCCCCACCCAATGGTCCTTCCCTACCAACCCTGGTAGTGGAAGACAAAGGGCATATAATCTTGGGAGTTCTAAGGCCCTGCCCACCGCTGGTCCCTCTCCACACTACCACAGCTGTTGTTTTCTGGAAAGCACCACCTCCTGGCAGGAGACCAACCAGCACAAAAATAGAGCATTAAACCACCAAAGCTAAGAAGCCTCATGGAGTCCATTGCACCCACCACCACCTCCACCAGAACAGGCACTGGTATCTATCTACTGAGAGACCCATAGATGGCTCACATCACAGGACTCTGCAGACAACCCCCAGTACCAGCCTGGAGCCGGGTAGACTGTATGGGTGGCTAGACCCAGAAGAGAGACAACAATCACTGCAGTTCAGCTCACAGGAAGCCACACCCATAGGAAAAGGGGGAGAGTACTACATCAAGGGAACACCCCGTGGGGCAAAAGAATCTGAACAACAGCCTTTAGCCCTAGACCTTCCCTCTGACAGAGCCTACCCAAATGAGAAGGAACCAGAAAACCAACCGTGGTAATATGACAAAACAAGGTTATTCTAACACCCCCCCCCAAAAACCACACTAGTTCACCAGCAATGGATCCAAACCAAGAAGAAATCCTTGATTTACCTGAATAAGAATTGAAGAGGTTAGTTATTAAGCTAATCAGGGGGATACCAGAGAAAGGCAAAGCCCAATGCAAGGAAATCCAAAAACTGGCACAAGAAGTGAAGGGAGAAATATTCATGGAAATAGGTAGCTTAAAGAAAAAACAATAAAAAATTCAGGAAACTTTGGACACTCTTTTAAAAATGCAAAATGCCCTGGAAAGTCTCAGCAATAGAATTGAACAAGTAGAAGAAAGAAATTCAGAGCTTGAAGACAAGGTCTTCAAATTAACCCAATCCAACAAAGACAAAGAAAAAAAGAATAAGAAAATATGAACAAAGCCTCCAAGAAGTCTGGGATTATGTTAAACCACCAAACCTAATAATAATCGGTGTACCTGTGGAAGAAGAAAATTCTAAAAGTCTGGAAAATGTATTTGGGGGAATAATCGAGGAAAACTTCCCCGGCCTTGTGAGAGACCTAGATAGCCAAACACAAGAAGCACAAAGAACACCTGGGAAATTCATCACAAGCAGATCCTCACCTAGGCACATTGTCATCAGATTATCCAAAGTTAAGATGAAGGAAAGAGTCTTAAGAACTGAGACAGAGCACCAGCTAACCTATAAAGGAAAACCTATCAGATTAAAAGCATATTTCTCAGCAGAAACCCTAAAAGCTAGAAGGGACTGGGGACCTATCTTCAGCCTCCTCAAGCAAAACAATTACCAGCCAAGAATTTTGTATCCAGTGAAACTAAGCATCACTTATGAAGGAAAGATAGACATTTTCAGACAAACAAATGCTGAGAGAATTTGCCATTAGCAAGCTACCACTACAAAAACTGCTAAAAGGAGCTCTAAATCTTGAAACAAATCCTGGAAACACAACAAAACAGAACCTCTTTAAGGCATAAATCACATAGGACCTATAAAACAAAAATACAAGTTAAAAAGCAAAAACAAAAACCAAAGTACACACGCAACAAAGAGCACAATGAATGCTACGGTACGGTACACCACATTTCAATACTAACAATGTAAATGGCCTAAATGCCCCACTTAAAAGATACAGAACCGCAGAATGGATAAGAACTCACCAACCATCTGCTGCCTTCAGGACACTCACCTAACACATAAAGACTCACATAAACTTGAAGTAAAGGGGTGAAAAAAAGGCGTTTCATGCAAATGGACACCCAAAATGAGCAGGGGTAGCTATTTTTATATCAGACAAAACAAATTTTTTTTTTTTTGAGACAGAGTCTCCCTCTGTCACCCAGGCTGGAGCGCAATGGTGTGATCTCAGCTCACTGCAACATTCGCCACCGGGTTCAAGCGATTCTCCTGCCTCAGCCTCCTGAGTAGCTGAGATTACAGGCACGTGCCACCATGCCCGGCTAATTTTTGTATTTTTAGTAGAGACTGGGTTTCACCATGTTGGTCAGGCTGGTCTTGAACTCCTGACATCATGATCCACCCACCTCGGCCTCCCAAAGTGCTGGGATTACAGGCATGAGTCACTGCACCCGGCCCAAAACAAACTCTAAAGCAACAGCAGTTAAAAGAGACAAAGAGGGACAGTATATAATGGTAAAAGGCCTTGTCCAACAGGAAAATATCACAATCCTAAACATATATGCACCTAACACTGGAAGTCCCAAATTTATAAAACAATTACGAATAGACCTAAGAAATGAGATAGACAGCAACACAATAATAGTGAGGGACTTCAGTACTCCACTGACAGCACTAGACAGGTCATCAAGACAGAAAGTCAACAAAGAAACAATGGATTTAAATTATGCCTTGGAACAAATGGACTTAACAGATACATACAGAACATTTTATCCAACAACTGCAGAATACACATTCTATTCAACAGTGCATGAAACTTTCTCCAAGATAGACCATATGATAGACCATAAAATGAGCCTCACTAAATTTAAGAGAACTGAAATTATATCAAGTACTCTCTGAGACCACAGTGGAATAAAACTGGAAATCAACTGTAAAAGGAACCTTCAAAACCATGCAAATAACATGGAAATTGAACAACCTGCTCCTGAATGAGCGTTGTGTCAAAAACAAGATCAAGATGGAAATTAAAAAATTCTTCAAACTGAATGACAATAATGACACAACCTATCAAAACCTCTGGGATACAGCAAAGGCAGTGCTAAGAGGATAGTTCATATCCCTGAGCACCTACATCAAAAAGTCTGAAAGAGTACAAACAGACAATCTAAGGTCACACCTCAAGGAACTAGAGAAACAAGAACAAACCAAACTCAAACCCAGCAGAATAAAGGAAATAACCAAGATCAGAGCAGAACTAAATTAAATTGAAACAACAACAACAATACAAAAGATAAATGAAACAAAAAATGTTCTTTGAAAAGATAAGTAAAATTGATAGACCATTAGCAAGATTTATCAAGGGAAGAAGAGAGAAAATTCAAAAAACCTCACTAAGAAATAAAACAGGAGATACCACAACTGACACCACTGAAATACAAAAGATTAGTCAAGGCTACTATGAACACCTTTATGCACTTAAACTAGAAAACCTAGAAGAGATGGATATATTCCTAGAAAAATACAATCCTCCTAGCTTAAATCAGGAAGGATGAGATACCATGAACAGACCAATAACAAGCAGCAAGATTGAAATGATAACTTAAAAATTGCTAACAACAACAAAAAGAAGTCCAGGACCAGACAGATTAACAGCAGAATTCTACCAGACATTCAAAGAAGAATTGGTGCCAATCATTTTGACACTATTCCACAAGATAAAGAGGGAACCCTCCCTAATTCATTCTATGAAGCCAGCATCACCCTAATAACAAAACCAGGAAAGGACAACCAAAAAAAGAAAACCACATTAAGGTATGTCCCTTGTATGCTGATTTTGCTGAGAGTGTTAATCATAAAGCGATGCTGGATTTTGTTTAATGATTTTTCTGCATCTATTGAGATGATCATGTGATTTTTGTTTTGATTTCTTTTCAGTATTATGTTGGTTGTGGGTTTGTCATAATACTGAACGGGGAAAAGTTGAAAGCATTCCCTCTGAGAACTGGAACAAGACAAGGATGCCCACTCTTACCACTCCTTTTCAACACAGTACTGGATGTCCTAGCCAGAACAATCAGACAAGAGAAAGAAATAAAGGGCATCCAAATCAGTAAAGAGGAACTCAGATTGTCACTGTTTGCTGATGATATGATCGTTTACCTTGAAAACCCTAAGGACTCCTCTAGAAAGCTCCTAGAACTGACAAAAGAATTCAGTAAGGTTTCTGGATACAAGATTAATGTACACAAATCAGGAGCTCTTCTATACACCAACAGTGACCAAGCAGAGAGTCAAATCAAGATCCCCTTTTACAATAGCTGCAAAAAAATAAAATATTTAGGAATATATCTAACCAAGGAGTCAAAAGACCTCTACAAGAAAACTACAAAACACAGGCCAGGTGCGGTGGCTCATGCCTGTAATCCCAGCACTTTGGGAGGCCAAGGCAGGCAGATCACGAGGTCAGGAGATCCAGACCATCCTGGCTACCACAAAGAAATCCTGTCTCTACTAAAAATACAAAAAATTAGCCGGGCGTGGTGGCATGCACCTGTAGTCCCAGCTACTCGGGAGGCTGAGGCAGGAGAATGGTGTGAACCCAGGAGGCGGAGCTTGCAGTGAGCAGAGATCACACCACTGCGCTCCAGCCTGGGCGACAGAGCTAGACTCCATCTCAAAAAAAAAAAAAAAAAGCAAAGAAAAGAAAACTACAAAACACTGCTGAAAGAAATTGGAGACAACACAAACAAATGGAAGCACATCCCATGCTCATGGATGGGTAGAATCAATACTGTGAAAACGACCATACTGCCAAAAGCAATCTACAAATTCAGTGCAATCCCCATCATTCTTCATAGAATTAGAAAAAAAACAATTCTAAAATTCATATGGACCCAAAAAAGAGCCTGCATAGCCAAAGCAAGACTAAGCAAAAAGAACAAATCTGGAGGCATCAAACTATCTGATTTCAAACTATACTATAAGGCCATAGTCACCAAAACAGCATGGTACTCGTATAAAAATAGGCACATAGACCAATGGAACAAAATAGAGAACCCAGAAATAAACCCAAATACTTACAGCCAACTGATCTTCAACAAAGCAAACAAAAACACAAAGTGGGGAAAGGACACCCTTTTCAACAAATGGTGCTGGGATAATTGGCTAGCCACATGTAGGAGAATGAAACTGAATCCTCATCTCTTTGTACAAAAATCAACTCAAGATGGATTAAGGACTTAAGCCTAAGACCTGAAACTATAAAAACTCTAGAAGATAACATTGGAAAAACCCTTCTAGACATTGGCTTAGGCAAGGATTTCATGACCGAGAACCGAAAAGCAAATGCAATAAAAACAAAGATAAATAGCTGGGACAGCTGGGACCTAACTAAACTAAAGGGCTTTTGCATGGCAAAAGGAACAGTCAGCAGAGTAAACAGACAGCCCACAGAGTGGGAGAAAATCTTCACTATCTGTACATCTGACAAAGGACTAATATCCAGAATCTACAACAAACTTAAACAAATCAGTAAGAAAAAAACAATCCCATCAAAATATGGGCTAAGGACATGAATAGATAATTCTCAAAAGAAGATACACAAATGGCCAACAAACATAAAGAAATGCTCAGCATCACTAATGATCAGGAAAATGCAAATCAAAACCACATTGAGATACCACCTTACTCCTGTAAGAATGGCCATAATAAAAAACTCAAAAAACAGTAGATGCTGGCATGGATGTGGTGAACAGGGAACACTTCTACACTGCTGGTGGGAATGTAAACTAGTACAACCACTGTGGAAAACTGTGGAGATTGCTTAAAGAACTAAAAGTAGAACTGCCATTTGATCCAGCAATCCCACTGGGTATCTACCCAGAGGAAAAGAAGCCATTATTCAAGAAAGATACTTGCACATGCATGTTTATGGCAACACATTCACAATTGCAAAATCGTGGAACCAACCCAAATGCCCATCAACGAGTGGATAAAGAAACTCTGGTATATATATACAATTGAATACTATGCAGCCATAAAAAGGAATAAGTTAACAGCATTTGCAGTGACCTGGATGAGATTGGAGACTATTTTAAGTGATGTAACTCAGGAATGGAAAACTAAACATTGTATGTTCTCACTGATATGTGGGAGCTAAGCTATAAGGATGCAAAGGCATAAGAATGATACAATGGACTTGGGGACTTGGGGGGAAAAGTGGGAAGGGGGTGAAGAATAAAAGACTACAAATACGGTGCAGTGTATAATGCTCGGGTGATGGTGCACCAAAATCTCAGAAATCACCACTAAAGAACCTACTCATGTAACCAAATACCTCCTGTACCCCAATAACTTACGGAAAAATAAAATAAATTAAAAACAGAAATTAAGAAGATTGACCCAAGAGAAAATATAACAAAAGTCTTTTTATTTATTTCATTTTTAAAAATAAAGTTAAATTCATTTTGTTTTTGAGACAGAGTCTCACTTTGTCACCCGGGCTGGAGTGCAGTGGTGTGATTTCATCTCACTGCATCCTCTGCCTCCCAGTTCAGGCAATTCAGCCTCCTGCCTGGCAAATTTTTGTATTTTTAGTAGAGATGAGGCTTCACCATGTTGGTCAGGCTGGTCTTGAACTCCTAACCTCAGGTGATCCACCCGCCTTGGCCTTCCAAGGTGCTGGGATTACAGGCGTGAGCCACTATGCCTGGCCCTAAAAAAGTATTTTCATACACTACATGGTGGGATCCAGCGAGCAGAAACTGCTCAGATATTTCCTCGCCCTTTATGAGCACATATGCTTCTCATATCGATCATGTGCATTTGTATTCTGAATGATCGTTGTTGGATGACTGAAAACGAGTAACACAGCCGTTACCTGAAATGTGGACCTTCTTTCTCTTAAAAAAAATTTTAGGTGCCAGATTTTCTCATAAGCTTTGGCAGACCTGATAACAAACAGCTCAGCAGGTGGAATGTTGAAGCACTCAAAGCAAGCCTCCCATGCTGTCAGGAGTTGGTGTGGGTGGAGTGGGCTAGGGTGGGAGGGGCTAAATGAGCAGGTTCCTTTCACTACTTCCCTCACCCCCTCATGATAGAATGGCAGGTGGGTTCTGGCAAAGCCAAGGTAGAAGATAGAGAAATCCTGCTTCCAGGCAGAGCAATGGGCTCCTGCAGGTAACACCGTTGTGGCTCTAAGCCCATGATGTGCGCTGTGGAGTAGACTTGACTTAGCCTGCTCAGAGACCAGGTCTTTGTTGTGCGTATCCTTCTTAACACTCCCTCCAACATCCAGGGGACAAGAAATCAAACATACAGACTCATCCTGTTTGTGTTTTCTCTGAAAACTAAGAATCCTGAGGTGTAAGTTCTTTTGTTCCTCTGCTTTCTCCCTTTCATCTTGTTTGTCCTTGAACTCAACAGGGGGCTTTGGAGGAGGTCTCAAAATTTGGTCCAAGAAATAAACACCAAGAGGATAAGACCCCCTTCCAGTTGGCTCACTCGAAATTTAAAAGCCATCATTTCCCTTATCCTGCCCCTCCGTTCTAAGTGAGACTTCAAAACAAAACAAAACAAAACCCTCTGTGCCTGGAGTAGCCATTGCATACACTGCTAAGTTATAGCTGGCCTCTCACTGCTTGATGGTGATAAGAAACCTACTAAATCTAGAAAGAACTTTGGATCTTGAGGTTCTGAAAACTGCAGCCATTGGTCAGAAGCATGTAGTTCCCTTTCCAACAGGGTTTGTCTATAAGTTAGACATTGGATGTTGACAGAGGCTATTTCAAACACATGCTTCAGCTTGAATTATGATAGCCTTGACAAAGCTTTTGATTCCACCTCTCCAGTGTTTTTCTTCTCTTTCTTGTTGTTAGGAATATGATTGGTTCTCTTATTACCCTCATGTGTCCTTGGGGGAGAGTGTCTGAGAGTAAAGAAAGTGTCTGAAACAATCTGTGGAGGTCATGAAATTAGACATTTGTACTACTTGTGCAAGATTTTAGTATGAAATCCAGTTTCATGGTGCTGCATTGGTAGAAAAACAAGTTAGAGTATGAATTTGTATACACGGATTCTAGAGAGAAAATTAGGAGAAGCAGGTTGTAAGTTCCACAGGGAAAAGGGTGAAAAGAGTGAATGGAACAATAATCGGAGGTGTGTAAGTGAGGACCATTCCAATCTCCAGGTCTCCCTTGCTGAACTGGGGGAGCTCTGTTGAGAGAAGTTACCCCCTAACTTCAACCCTTAAGAACTCTGCTCCTCAATCCTTAGTGGTTGCAAATTCTCCTTTGATATTTGCCTCGTGTGGTTACCTTAGCCATTGGGGGCCACCTCTGGGGCTGCTATGGAGCAGAACTTTTGGGGTGACAAAGACATTTTGAGATATGCAGTAAGAATGTTTGATATTTGAACCAGTTATCTAATGGCCCAGTGACCTCTTTGTCAATTCTAACAAGAAGCTTCATATTTAACCTAGTTTTAGCTACTCAAGTAGCTTGGTGTTAAGGATCTTGTCAGTTCACTCTCATTCTCTCTCTCTCTCTCTCTCTCTCTCTCTCTCTCTCTCTCTCTCTCTCTCTCTCTCTCTCTCTCACTGTCACTCTCTCTTCCTCCCTCCCTCTCTCTCCCTATTTCTCCCTCTCCTTCTCCCCTCCCTCCTCTCCTCCTCCTTTCCTCTTTGCTCTCATTTGATAGCAAAAGAAAACAATACAAGGATGTAACTGGTGGGAAAAGATAGCTATTTCCAGACAAGCCAAACATTTTATCTGGGCTGACATCAAACTGAAAGCATTTATTATTGCTATTGTTTACTCCATCACTGTAACAATGTAAAATGTTTTTTGTGTGAAAATCTGGCCCTGCTCTGATTTATAAATACCTCTTGGATGTGTTTTCTGAAATCGTTACCTAAAGTGGTAAAAAAATTCTAGTCAAGTTCTCTCTGTCTCTCTCTTTTTCAGAAGGAGGGAGAGAGGAGAGAGGGAGGGAGGAAAATGTGCATATGAGTGTGTGCATCTACATGTAGATGGATGATGTCTATTTGGATGCAGAAATACATGCACACATTTGTTGCCGCATCATAGAGTGAAGAAGAAAGATGGGCTTGAGAGTCAGATCTGACCTGACATCCCAAAGCCCTGCTACTTACCAGCTAGCTGTGTGATCTTAGGCAAGTTATTTTAACCTGTCTGGGTTTAAATTTTCTCAATAGTATAATGAAGCTAATCATAATTACCACCTCTTAATATACAAAGTTAAGTATTGACACACCAAGAAATACAGCCAGAAAAATATATTCCATCTGTTCCAGTCACTTTGGCTGTGCAGAGAAGCAGAGTAGCCCTAAATATAGAAATGAATTGAGTATTGAAAAGTGTAATGTATTCTAAGCATCTGAACCCTGAACTATTTCAAAGGAATAATTATGCAGCATCTGTGGCCGCATTTGTGTTTGCTACCACTCAGTCAGGGGCATTTTAATCACAGCTTTTGCTAAGAGATTGCTGTGTCCTTTTGTGTGTGTTTTATTCATCTGCTCACTAAATGTCAGTATTTATTGCAATTAATTAGCCAGCTATATCTTTGTTATTTTAGATAGATTACATTAGGTTACATTCTTAAATGAACAATAGGCCCAATTGCAAAATTCTCAGGAAAAATGGTTTTGCATATTAGTTGTAGATACAGATTCATCAATCATCTTCATCATTAGTACCATCAAATAATATAAGGCATTCAGATTCACAGGACTAAGTTACCAAGGAAATGAGATATTTTGGTTTGGCTGCTCTGATAATTAGATCACAGCAGTGGTTCCAAATCACACTTTTGAAAAACATTTTAAATTGTGAAATACACACAGTGGAAAAGTGCATAAAATATAAATATGTTCTCTTAACAAAATATTGTAGAGAAGATACTTATGTAACCCCTCTCAGTTCAAGAAGTAAAATATTGCCAGGACCCAAGAAGCTACCCATATGCCTCTTCCCAATCAGGACTATCCTCCCTACCCCAACCACTATCTTGACTTTTATCTTGTTTCTCTTTTTAGCTTTACTACCCGAATATGTGTATCTAGGCGATGCAATCTAGTTTTGCCTATGTAAAAGCTTTATATAAACTGAATTATCCAGAATTTATTATTTCAATCTGGCTTCTTTTACTCAGTATTAGGATTTATCCATGTTATTGCATATAGGTAAAGTTTGTTCACTTTCATTATTGTATAATATCCCATTATATGAATCCACCACAGTCTGTTTATCAGTTCTCTTATGGATGGATGTTTGGATTGTATCTAGTTAGGGGATATCATGGACAACATTGCTATAAACATTGTTTACATCTGCTGGTGCTTATAAGTGTTTGTTCATTTTCTGTTCGCTTCCTTCTCTTTTTCTTACTGACTTCTAGGGTGTCTATGTATGCTCTAGATACAAGTTCTTTGCTAGTCGTATGTGTTGCAGATACCTTCTCCTACTCTGGCTTGCCTTTTTGCCCTCTTAATGACATTTTTTGATGAACTTAAAAGCGCTTCTTCTTGTTTTTTTATTTTTTTTTTATTTTGAGATGGAGTCTCACTCTGTTGCCCAGGCTGGAGTGCAGTGGTGCAATCTCGGCTCACTGCAACCTCCACCTCCTGGGTTCAAGCGATTCTCCTGTCTCAGCCTCCCCAGTAGCTGGGATTACAGGCATGCACCACCACAGTCTGCTAATTTTTATGGGATTTTGCCATGTTGGCCAGGCTGGTCTTGAGCTCCTCACCCCAGATGATCCACCCGCCTCAGCCTCAGAGTGCTGGGGTTACAGGTGTGAGCCACTGCACCCAGCCAAAAGCTCTTCATTTTAATACAGTCAAAATTATCAATCTTTTCATTTATAGACAGGGTCAGAATTCATTTTTTTTACCTTCAGGTCATAAAGATATTCTCCTATTTTATCTTTATTTTCTTTTATTTGACTAATTAATTTATTTGAGACATGGGGTGTCAAACTCCTGGTCTCAAGCAATCCTCTTGCCTCAGCACCCCCGCCTCAAGTAGCTGGGATTAGAGGTGCCAGCCACTGTGCCTGGCTATTTCATCTTATGAACGTTTTATTGTTCTGCTTTTCACATTTATTTTTACAGCCCACATGGAATTGATTTTTGCGAATGATATGAGAGATGATCCAATTTCATTTCCCCCTATAGATAGCCAACTCTCCTAATACCATTTATTGAGAATGCTATTTATGTATTGAAAATCTTTCCCCCATCTGCTTTGAAGTGGCACATTTGTCATAAATCAAGAATCCACGTCTGGATCTGTTTCTGGGCTTTCTGTTCTGTTCCCCGAGTCTATTTGTCCTTGTGCTAGTCATATACTGTTTTAATCACTGCAGCTTTATATGTTCTGTAATCTGGTAGAGTGAGTCCTCCCACATCGTTGCTCTTCAGATGTATCTTGGCTCTTGGCCCTTTGCTTTTCCTTATAAAGTTTAGAAATCAACTTGTCAAGTTCTACAAAAATAAACAAATGAAATAACCCATTGAGGTTTTTTATTGGGACTTAGTTGTTTAATTTCTTTCAATGAGGTGTTTGTAGCTTTTTCCAATAGAGGTCTCCTACAACTGTTGTTAGATTTCTTCCTGGACACTTGATTTTTAAAAGGAGTTGCAAATGTTATCTTTAAGATGATGACATTTCTAATGTCTATTGCTGGTATATAGAACTATAATTGTGTGTGCACGTGTGTGTGTATTTATCTAGTAACTTTGTTAATTCCATTCTTATTCTAATAATCATTTGTAGATTCTTTTAGATTTTTCTAAGTTCACCATCATATCATTTGTGAATAATGACAGATTTGTTTTTTTCCTCTCCAGTTCTCATTTTTTTTCTTGCCTTAGTGCACTGAGACCTCCATAGTAAATAGTTTTTCTTTTTTAAATAACTTTGCTTTTTGGCCAATTTGATAACTAAAATTTATTAGTTTTAATTAATTTGTTAAACAAATTAACTACTTTTTAAACAGAATCATAAAATTCAAAAAGTACCAAAAAGTTGAATACATGAAAAGTCTCTCTCCTCCTCCAGACCTCCATTGGCTTGTTAAAAATATCCCATTTCTGCTGGTCTCCTTGACCTGCTGAATCTGGAACTTTAGCCAGTGGAGCTTCACAATGTATGGGTTTTTTTGCTCCACACGTAACTGATATTTGAAGACCAATACAGTAAGTTTGCCTATGCAGAGATTAATGGGATTGTGTAACACAGTGATCCTCAATCTTGGCTGTACATTAAAACCACTGGGAGGCTTAAAAAAAATTTCTGATGCCTGTCCTGTACACTGGGCCTACTGATCTGAATCTCTGTAGGTGCTGTAGTGGGCATCTAGAGTTTTCATAGGCTCCCCAGGTGACTGGGGGAGGCAGGAAGGAGGGCTTACAAAGGGGCATGAGGAAACATTTGGGAGGGATGGGTATGTTTCCTATCTTGATTGTGGCGATGGTTTCATAAGTGTGTACATATGTCAGAACTTATCAAATTGTACACTTTACGTCTGTTCCATTTATTTTATGTCAATTTTGCATCAGTAAAGCTGTTTAAAGATAAAGCTGTTCAGGTGATTCTGATGCACAGCAATGGTTGAGAATTATTGTTGTAATAGAAAAGGCACATGACTGAAGTGGAAGTTGGATAGACTTTCATCTGTCAACAGTTGGCTGTGCGCACTTAGACAAGTAACTTCAACCCCTGTGGACCTCAGGTTCATTCTAGTTAGTGGGTTCAGTTTCTTCTCAAGTACTTTTCAGCTGGCATGTTGCTTCTTCTACTCAGTCTGGCAGTGCTGGCCAGGCTGCTGGTGCACCTCCTGGCCACACGAGGGAGCCGTGCAGCTGGCAGCCTCTGACTCTCCACTGAACACTCTTGTGAGGTGAAAATAGGCTGGTCAGGCAGGGGTCTTTCCCTTCTTCCTGTGCTGCTCCTCTTGGTGAGTGCAAGCCCCACTCCTCAACGGTCATCTTCAGCTACCCTCACTCACTGATCTCGCTGCAGGTGAGCCTTTTTTTAAGCAAAGCAAATCCATTAATTTCTGAAGGTACAGAACAAATTTATAAAAGGATTCCCACATTGCTTTGAAAATATCCTGTTCTCCCCAAGCAATTAAAATAGTACCAAATTGAAGTATATGTATGTATATATATGTATGTACACATGTAAATGTATGTATATATGTGTGTATATGCATCAATATAGATCCATATCTAGTCTATATCAGTAAGCACACTAACAATACTATTCTCCTGCCCCTATGAAAATTATCTATATAAAAGGCAGTTATGTTTGTTAGAGGTACAATTTTGATATCCTTCAGGCATTAACATTGCTTAGACGAAAAGAGGAATCAAGGTTAGCAAACGGTTTTTTTCCATGGTAATATGATGTAAAGTGCTTAAATGGGTAAATGTGTAAGAGAGAGAATGTGTGTGCGTGTGTGTGTGTTTGTGTGTGTGTGTTTACATATACTCAGGTGAACAGGTTGGCTAAATATTTTCGGAATGGAATTTATCCAGACACTCTGTGCATTAATCTCTATTTTTCTTGGACCAGACAGGGCAAAAAATCTGAATTCCCCAGAAGAGATAGACTAGAATTGATGTTACAAAATGATCTAGCTATGCCCTAAACTTTAATAAATGTATTTTAATCCAGCTCAAAAATGAAAGGCAAATGTTTATCTGAAGTATAACAATAGCGACTTTTTAAAAAGAACTCCTCCCCCACCCTAAAATATTCTAAATAATGCTTTAAAAACTTAGCTTTGAGTCACTCTTTTATTTTTGGTCTTATTGCAGTTTTCTTCCATTTTGATTCCTAAATTTCAGATTATTCTATGAGCCAGTCACAACACCTTGCGGGCATACTTTTTGCTTAAAATGCCTAGAAAGATGCCTAGATCACAACGCAAAGTGTCCATTGTGCAAAGACGGTCTTTCACAGGTAAATCAATATTTCTTTCTTGTTTGGTTTAAATCAGTATTTCTTTCTTGTTTTGTTTAGTTTATTTGGAATTGGGCACTAAGACAGTGTTCAACTGGACCCCCAGCCACGGCACTGTGGTAGGGCACATTACTCCCTCAAACCATCTATTTCTCCTGTCTTCTTTTTTTTTTTTTTTTTTTTTGACTGAGTCTCCACTCTCCCACCCAGGCTGGAGTGCAGTGGCGTGATCGCGGGTCACTGCAACCTCCGCCTCCTGGGTTCCAGCAGTTCTCCTGCCTCAGCCTCCCAAGTAGCTGGGATTACAGGCGCATGCCACCACGCTCGGCTAATTTTTGTTTTGTTTTGTTTTGTTTTGTTTTGTTTTGTTGAGACGGAGTCTCGCTCTGTCGCCCAGGCTGGAGGGCAGTGACGTGATCTCCACTCACTGCAAGCTCCGCCTCCCGGGTTCATGCCATTCTCCTGCCTCAGCCTCCCCGAGTAGCTGGGACTACAGGCGCCCGCCACCACGCCTGGCTAATTTTTTGTATTTTTAGTAGAGACGGGGTTTCACCGTGTTAACCAGGATGATCTGGATCTCCTGACCTCATGATCCACCCGCCTCGGCCTCCCAAAGTGCTGGGATTACAGGCGTGAGCCACCACGCCCGGCCTAATTTTTGTATTTTTAGTAGAAATGGGGTTTCACCATATTGGTCAGGCTGGTCTCGAACTCCTGACCTCAGGTGATCCACCCACCTCAGCCTCCCAAAGTGCTGGGATTACAGGCATGAGCCACCACGCCCAGCCTATTTCTCCTGTCTTATAGCCACTGTCCCCCTCTCCATAAAGTCCTTCAGGAAAATGAGGCAACATGCAGCTTTTTATGCAGTGTAAGTAGGGAAATTAATTTGTGTTGGAAACGAAAGTATTAAATAGATGATAAACTTGGATCCTGGTTCTAATGTCATCGTGGCACCTGATACACTGTAATCTTGAGTAAATCTTTTGTCCCCTCTAGGATTGGACTAGGTAAGCCCTGATGTTCCCTTATCATCAGTGTTTATTCTGTGGCTTGAAGATAACAGCTCCAAAGGCCCCAGAAGAACCTCACAGAACTTCAGTGTGATCCTTGTCCAACCCATCAGGAGCCACTGTACCTGGAAGCCCTAGAGCTTTTGCAGACCGCAGCCCTCTAGGACTTCCAGGTTCTCTAAAACTAATCACACAAACTCCCACCTTTGTTTTTCAAGTGAACCTGAAGGAATTTCCTACAGATAAAGAAGACCTGAGAATCTATCTTGTTTTCCCTCCCTCAGGGACTTATCTGCCACATTTTACAATCGGTGTTAATGTTCCTTGACCCCTGTCATTCCTGAGGAGAGGTTGGAGATGCAAGGCTATCTCTAGGTGACTACAGGTCAAGAGAAGTCACATGTTGAGCTTTACCATCACCCCAGTATTTAAATTAAGGGAATGGAGTGAAATCATCATCACTGGTAGCCCTGAGGGTATGCGTTGGGATTGGGAGGAGGGTCAATGTCATACCTTTCCCTGGATAAAGTTGTAGGATTTGCAGGCCTGATTGTAGGTGAGAAGTCCTTGATCCTTATACTGAAATAATACATCTGTGTTGTTGTAGCACTGGAAAATTCAGATTAAGTGGAAAGAAGAAAAATCTACCCATATGCTCAGTACCTAGAGAAAACCACTGTTAGTTAACATTTTAGTATGTGCCTTTTCTGGCTTTTTGTTTTAGTATCAGCAGAGGAGTCACCTACTTTTTAGACTGACTACCTCCTCAGTCAATGCTTATCCCCCACAACTGGGACTGGGAAATGCAGTTGATTTTCCCATAGCCAGGCAATGGCAGTGACAGTGGCAGATAAGGCATCCTGGAGACAGATGCTATAGAGTTCAGGACTTGGGGTCTAGAAGATATTCTCATCTATCTCTGTTTATTCACATAGGGTCACACTTGCACCATTTTACATAGAATTAAATATTCCAATCATTTTCACTGCAGAATAGAGACACAGCCCATACTGAGAAAGGAACAAAATTGTTTGAAGCCAACAGTTTTATACTCAGGCGCTCCCCCTGCTGGGACTGTAGGGGTAGTTTCCATAGCAAGCAATTCTCTGCAGATGTTTTAACATCAGTTGTTTGATTCACACCGTTAAATACCCACTACCTAAACATCCCTGGGTATGCATCGGACAGGGGTGTTTGGGAGGAGAGTAACAGTGACAATTGAGCCTGAGTCCAGTTCTTGAAATCATGACTTTTAATCTCAGTGATACCTAGATGGTATATTAGAAAGGCAAATAGACAAATCAATATTTAGCTGTTTGTGTTTTTTTAAACTAAAATTAAAAGAGAAAAAATAGGTATATTTGGCAATATCCAGAAGCCAAGCATTGGGTTAGGCTGGGAGTGGGACAGGGCAGGAAAGGTTCAGTGATTGAAAATTGCTTTTTAGTTCCCTGAAACTTTTGGCCACTAACTTTGAGCATATCCCAGATGGAGACAATTTCTGTGAGCTTGTAAATACAATCATCAGAAAATGGAAAGGGAAGAATTCCCCCCACCCTACTTTTTGGACAAGAACATGATCTTGATTTCAGTGTTTCAGAAAAACTGTGAGAGTTTTAAAACTTCAATGCAGGTTTTACCCCCTTGTTAAAAATTTTTTTCTAATTATAAAGATAATCAATTGCATGTGTGTTTTTTTAAATGAAACTAACATCCAGAAAATACATATATTATGATGGTAACAGCTGCTAATTTGTGGGTCCAGATTACTCCAATATGTGGGTCATTTGACTTGTTCACTGATTACATCAGAAGTGTTTTGCTGATTGCTACGTATTACCTAATTGCATATTGTCTAATTGCCTCCCCCCATGTAGTGCTTGGCATCAAGAAAATACAGCAAAAATGTAATAATGGAGGAGCTCATAGCTAAATTCCTTCCAGAAGAACTGAAGGAACGAAGGAAGCTTTATGAAGAGGAAATGGAAGAACTTTCTAAGTATGTATATGCATATTTCTGTTTTGTTTCACTCATACCAGCTCAATGAGAGCTGAATGTGCACATTACTTCCCAGCTTCCGACTTAGTGATGTCATGCTAGCTGCTTGAAATTGGCTATGGTGAGAGTATTTACACCATGGAAATTGGCAAGTGCTACAAACCAGGGTTTCCGCTGCACCCAGAGAGCCAGTTGTTAAACATACCAGCATACCACTGAAGAAGCATAAGCGAAACCAGTGATGAGGGTACGCCCTGCCCCCAGTAACAGGGTATTGTTGGCAAGAGTAAATTGGAGTAGCATAAACAGGGGAACTTAACGAAATGTCCAAAAGATTGTTTTCAGATACATAAGGAGTTGCTATGAGGTTAAGAACTTTGGTGTCAACCAGAACCGGGCTTAAGACCCAGTTCTACCTCAAAGTGAGTCTACTTCACGACCCTAGGCAGGTCATTTAACCTTTCTGGGCCTTAGTTTCCTTATCTGTAGCTTGAGAATAATTTAATAACTTGAGTTCTTACCTCATGGACTTCTTTTTTTGAGATTGAGTCTCACTCTGTCACCCAAGCTGGAGTGCAGTGGTACGATCTTGGCTTACTGCAACCTCCGCCTTCCGGGTTCAAGCGATTCTCCTGCCTCAGCCACCCGAGTAGCTGAGATTACAGGCATGCACCACCATGCCCAGCGAATTTTTGTATTTTTTAGTAGAGACAGGGCTTCACCATGTTTGCCAGGCTGGTCTTGAACTCCTGAACTCAAGTGATCCTCCCACCTGGGCCTCCCAAGGTGCTGGGATTACAGGCGTGAGCCACCATGCCTGGCCACCTCATGGACTTCTTATGAAAATCAAATGAGTTTGTGCATAGTAAGCACTTAATTAATGGTAATAATACTAATACTTGTCAAGCGCTTTCTCTGCCGTGCACAGGTAATGTGAGAGGTGAAGGGGAGGGGCAGAGGCGTCATTGAGGCTCTCAGCACTCTGCCTGGCTGTAAGAACAGCTCCCTTAGCAGAAAAAGCAGGAGGCAATCACTAATTTCTGCCTCTCTTGCTTCTGCCCTCTCCTCCCTCCATCCGCAGTAGAATCCTAACAGCATTCCAGAGGCAAGGTTCCTGACAGCAAAAATGGTTCTGGTTTCATGCCCACTGTGTAGAGAACATTCGTAAACTCTGCCAGTGGCTTGTTTGAATGCACTCCTCACTTAGACTAATGCTTTTCTCAGAAACTAGAAATCGTTTTTTTTTTCTCATTAATTTACATTGGAACTACTCGGGGGATCTTTATCTTTATTTCTGATCTGTAAATTAGCATTGAGCCTCTCTGAGCCCTCATCTCAAATCTCATTTAAGGTCTTATTAACAAATACTGAGATGTATTAGGGCTTTCTATGTAAATGAATCCTGAACTTGATCCTTTTGAGATTTGGGCAGTTGGTCTTATATTTCTTGATAGGTTTAGGTTCAGATGTTCCTGTGTTGGATTTACTAGACAAATAAGACAAGGATCCCAGAAGAGCTGGCTCTGTTTTGGTTCCCCAACGGGTTGTGTGTGTGAATCTCTGGGGGTACTTATTGAAAGGCAGGGCCGGGCATGGTGGCTCATGCGTGTAATCCTAGTATTTTGGGAGGCAGAGGCCGGTGGATTGCTTGAGGTCAGGAGTTCAAGACCAGCCTGCCCAGCATGGTGAAACCCCATCTCTAATAAAATTACAAAAATTAGCCAGGCATGGTGGCATGCACCTGTAATCCCAGCTACTCAGGAGGCTGAGGCAAGAGAATTGCTTGAACCCGGGAGGCGGAGGTTGCAGTGAGCCAAGATTGCACCACTGCACTCCAGCCTGGGTGACAGAGTGAGACTCCGCTTAAAAAAAAAAAAAAAAAGAAAAAGAAAGACCCTTGGGTCCCAATTCCAGAGCTAATGCATCAGTATCTCTGGTAATGTGGTGTCCAAGTCATCTTGATTGAAGAGCCCCTGTTGATTCTGATGCAAAGAAGCATTTGAGCATCACTGGGCTGGATTATTCTTGCCTATCTCTTGGTCCTTCCTCCTTTCAGCTGTGCCTCCTTTGCAGACTCTTTGGGGTCCTTGCAAATTTGAGATGCCCTAGGGACCTTACAGAGAATTTCCCACCACCCTTCTGGAGAGCTGAGTCCACTTCTATCATCAGCAACCTTCCCCATGCAGCCTGAAAAACACCTGAAAAGATTGTTTTGAGTGGAGAGCATGAAAGTAAGAAAAAATATGAATTATAGCTATCATCCACAATATTAAGATACTAGAGAACTTCTTCAGCCAAATTAAAATGTGTAGAATGCCAATTTTAATTTCTTAGACCTTAGGCTAACCTCTGCATCAGATCATGGGACTCAGCCCACACTATCAATTGCATTTCAATATTTTTCTATTAGCCATCAAAACTTGATGTATCTTTGGCAAGTGACACTGTCAAAAAACAAACTTGGTGTCTCTGCCTTCCCCCAGGGGTATCACATGCTAACATTTGACCAATATTTTTGTGTTCTGTCCGATTGCTTTGAGATCCCTGTCATTTTCTCTTTCTGACAGCCTTAATAAGAATGTGCCTATTTTCGTGTGTACTATGGCCTATCCCACCGTTCCTTGTCCCCTGCACATCTTTGAGCCTTGTTACCGCCTGATGATTCGTAGATGCATTGAGACAGGCACGAGACAGTTTGGCATGTGCCTTGGAGATCCTGTCAAAGGGTAAGTGAGGAGCCATGCGAGCAAAGGGAGGTTGTGTAATGAGGGATTTCTGTTTTACTTTGGGGTACTCCCAGGAGACAGGGAGGCCTAGCTCATGAGGTTTAGCCAACTGAAGAATATGAGCATTTGTAAGGATCATTGTCCCTTTGGTGGTTAGTTTACCATGTGAGAGGCTGTCTATTTAAAGAACCCTAGAATTAATATTTGGTTAAACAGGTGGTATATGTTATAAAACTTGTAAGAATGTGGGCCTTGGAGTCAAACTGCCTGCTTTCATTATCTAGTTGCAGCCTTGGAGCAAGTTTGAGTTTGAGCAAGCTATTTAACCTTTCTGTATCCCAGTTTCCTTATTTGTAAAGTGGGTACAATAATAGTACCTACCTCATTGGGTTTGCTTGGAAGATTGGTGAGTTAATAATGTACATAAAATGCTGAGCACAGTTCCTGGCTTCCTTAGTCCATTTTGTGCTACTATAACAGAATGCCACAGACTAATAATTTATGAACAATCAAAATTTATTTCTCATGGTTCTGGAGGCTGGGAAGTCCTAGGTCAAGGTGCTGGCATCTGGCAAGGGCCTTCTTCCTTTATCATAACATAGTGGAAGGGCATAGCAGAAGGGCAACAGAGAGAGAGAGAAAGAAGGGGGTCAAACTTGCCCTTTTATATTAATAACAACCCTACTCTACTTTCACCATATCAGCATTAATGCATTCATGAGGGTGGAGGCCTAATCACCTCTTAAATGTCCCACCTCTTAATAATGTTACAATAGCAATTAAATTTCAAAATGGGTTGTAGAGGAGGCAAACATTCAAACCATAGCACTGGCACAGCACATAGTATGTGCTCAATAAATGGTAGCAGTTACACGAATACATTACGAATTTTTTTTCTTCACACAGGCACTGCCTGTTGTGTAATTGAAGCTGTAACCCAGGGACAGGAAAATAGGCAGAAGTCCCTTGAGCCACAGCATGGGGCTACAGAAATGGCTGGGTGCCAGCCCAGGGAAACAGAACTCATCAAGGATCTAGTCTCTCGACTCCATTCTCAATAAACAGGTTTGCAGAATATGGCTGCATCCTAGAGATCAGAAATGTTCAATTCTTTGCTGATGGCCGCTCAGTGGTTGACAGCATAGGCAAGAGGCGCTTCAGGGTGCTCCATCAGAGCCAGCGGGATGGCTACAACACAGCCGACATTGAATACATTGAAGACCAAAAGGTAAGGGTGGCCAGTGCCAAGAATCCCAAAGCCAGGCTATCCTTGTAACTTGATACACAAAGATAGTTGTGAAAGGATTTCTCAGAACCCTTGAGGGCCTTGGGATTTCACACCAAATTGCTGCAGCAACATTGAATGCTGCTGGATTGCTGTCCAGTTGCACTATGGCAGTGAGGGCGCCTACTGTCCTGGCTCTGCTTAGCTGCTGAGTTGCATTCATGCATAGGAAATGTTATCCTAGATCAACCCTGGGGCTCATTCAGCTTGGGAGTTAAGTCTCTGCCAAAGATTGCAAGGAATGGATCTGGGGTGGGTCTATACATATATATTTTATCTATCGATTTATGTATATTTTAAACTTTTTTCTTTTGAGACAATTATAGATCCACACATGCATTTGTATTTTAAAGTACGTAACCTGGCTAAGAGCCCTTCCCAATAATCCATCATCCCCTAAGGCAGAAAGATGACACATCTAGTTAATCCTTGGTTTTCTGAGGTAATGGGTGGAAGAAGAGGTAAATAATCCTATATTCATTTATATTTACATTTGTTACATAGTAGATTAATAAATATCTGATGACTGAGTAAATGTGTTTGACCAAGATAGTTACATGCTGAGACTGACATACTCCTGTGTCTTTTCCAGCAAGTAATGAGAAAACAGATGTAAAAATGAAAAGGGCAAAGGCATGGACCAGCATAACCTGGTTTAACCACATGCCTCCACTCAGGCCGGTTTGAATCTCTGGTTTTCTGCATGTTTTGCTGTTTCAGCTAATCTACCCAGCTGAACCTTTCTCCTTCCTCCATGGTCAGCAGTATCTACACACTGTCCAGCACTTGACTAAGGGGCATTTCACATCAAGCAAAGGAGAAAGCTGAATGGGTGAGCCTTCCCATAGGAAGGCAGGATGGATGCTCAAAGCGAATCAGGTGTCAAAAGTGACTCTGGGAATGATGGAGAGGGTACAGAATGTTTCACTTCCACTTTGATACTTTCAGGTTCAGGGAGAGGATTGTGCTGAGCTCATGGGATTACATAACTGTGTCTATCAGCAAGCATCATTGTGGTTTCATTCGCTCAAATTATCCCTAAAGAATCGGATACTCAATCACTTTGGTCCCATGCCGGAGAAAGACGCCGATCCTCAGGTATAGAAAAATGTCTATTTTTAAACGGGTTGTCCCACTAGAAGAGAGTGCCTAGTGTTTGTGATTAGATGGGTATGTGGCTGCCATTCAGCACATCGAATGCAGAGAGGAAGATGGATTTAATTTGGTGTTGTTTGGCTGCACAGTGAGCGTCATGAGTAAGACCAAAAAGATCCCAAGTTAGAATCGGGGTAACTAAAGTAAAGCAGTAGGAACTTGGATCCAAGGCAGGTTTTGAGAACTAAGTAAGATAAGAGAATGGGAACATAGATATCACCAACAGAAGAACCTTCCATGGGAGTCCAGATTCACACCATGGTAGTGTTAGGGTGACAAGTTACATGCAAAGGCCAGGACTTAAGAGAAGGGTATCCTGGGAGCTGAGACCAAAAGCTGCTGCTTTCAGGTAACTTCATAACCCTCTCCCTCATTGCTTTGGGAACTAGGGGATAGGGCCAGCTACCCTTATAAGATTACAACTGCAAGACCACAAAAACTTTTCGTGCCTCGGTCTATCTATGCTTCGCCCTGCAAGTCTAGACCCTTGCTATTGTCCTCACCAGGGCTGAACAGCTCTGTTCATCATTAAATACTGTTAGTTGAGTTATACTAGACAGTAGTTTGTTAGGTTCTACTGATCAGTGTTCTTCCTGGGGGATAGGCCTATTTGAAAGATCAAGCTGCAGATCAGAAGCTCCCTAGGAGAGTGGAGATGGTTAAGTTTCACTAAGCTTTGCTTGCCTGGAATAAATCAGGGAATACTGTCTTTCTAGGATAAGGCTGGAGATATCCTAACCACATATTTCCTCACGACCATCTCTTCCTATGCTCCAAGCTGGCTCTCCTACATTGATTCTTTACTTATGCTCATCCCCAACTCTGTCACAAAAGAAAAAATCTCAATATGCATATTCTGACCAAAAGTCTGGTCCTGCTTACCTCACTAGCAGTATGACCTTGGGAAGATTCCTTTCCCTTTCTCAACTTTTGTCCCATCTCTGACATGAGGAGGGTTCTAAAGCCCCCTCTTCCTCTTGCATTCTGAGGTTCTAAGACACCAGTCTGTTCCCTAAATGAAATGTCTTGCTTTCCTCAGACCACAAAGGTGGCTTCTTTCCCCCCCCATGCAAAGGCATCATGAGTTTTCAAGGGAGAAAGGCCAGTTAGTGCTTCCTGTGACCCAGCTCCTGGCTCTGGGCCACGATGAGTCAGGACTGCAGCATATACCTCTGAGCAAACTCACGATCAAGCTTAATGTTCCCCTTCACCTTCCGGGAAGCGTTCTCCCTTAGGCAAAAGATACAGATCAGCAATGGTAACGGGAAAACACAGATGCTACAGTGTGATTCATAAAGGCTAATGACAGAGAAAGTTGAAATCTTGGGTTTCACTTCCTTTTTTCTTAGTTCTGTTATTATGTTGCTTTGGCAGCAGCAGCACCAGCAAAAAAGAAAAACCCATACCCATCCCAGTTTGCTCCAGTCAATGCTGCATCCCCAGTGGTCCCACAAATAAGCATGTTCTGTCAGGAGGATGTTTCTTAGAAACTGCCACAAGTGTTAATACCAGCTTAAATATCTTTGTTGGTGATCCTTGGAAAGAAAGTTCAGAACATCAGTCTAATATTCAGAACTGATCATAGGAGGGAGAGCATATTGCCAGCTTCAGGGAGGGACAAAAAAGAATGCAAATGAAGTTAGAGGCACAAAGAAGCAAAGAAGGCAGTGAGATTTGGTGACGATCAGAGGAACCAATTTGGAGCCAAATAATTTCAGGTGTAGGCACTTTGACCAGAATGGTTCTCTATAGTCCTAAAACCAAACTTGTGAAAGTTGTGGGCAGAAAGCTCGTTTTAGGCTTAGAAGGAAATAAGTACCCAATGTCTAAAATATGTGCCAGGGAAGCTGCTTTGGGGAAGGATTTATGTGGAATGGGAAAGCTCTTTATTAAAAGGAAATCTAGGGGCAGAATATATTTCTTTCTTTCTTTCTTTCTTTTTTTTTTTTTTTTGAGACGGAGTCTTGCTCTGTCGCCCAGGCTGGAGTGCAGTGGCATATCTCAGCTCACTGCAAGCTCCGCCTCCCAGGTTCACGCCACTCTCCTGCCTCAGCCTCCGGAGTAGCTGGGACTACAGAAGCCCGCCACCGCGCCCGGCTAATTTTTTGTATTTTTAGTAGAGATGGGGTTTCGTCGTGTTAGCCAGGATGGTCTCGATCTCCTGACCTCGTGATCCACCCGCTGGCCTCCCAAAGTGCTGGGATTACAGGCGTGAGCCACTGTGCCCGGCCCTGGGGCAGAATATATTTCTAATGTGAATGTTTTCTAATTGGAATTTTTGCAAAGTGAGATTGTGATTCTTTGGGACTGTAAATCATAGCCTTTGGTTTCAGGGGAGAAGAGAGCTATGGCCCTGTATAGTGACATGGTATACATGGACTATTGCCTTCAGCCACATCAAGGAAATGAGGGGACTTAAAAGACATGCAAAGGTCAAGGGGTCATGGGAATCGAAGGCCTGAATGTTAAATGCATCAGTCCAAAGGACCTCAACAGAATATTAGAAGTGGAAGAGACTACATAGTAGATACCAGCTTGTAAAATCACATTGGCTAGGAGGCATGGTGTATCTGTTAGGATACTGGTTGGTTTGCTTTAACAAGAAACAAAAATGACTGGAGCTTAAACAAGATGGAGGGGCTAAGTCTTGGACAGTTAGGGCAGCTCTATTCCACAAGAGCATTCAGGCACCCAGGCTCCTTCATCACAAAACTCTACCATCCTTAAAATGTCTCCCTCATCCTCTTGATTGAGAAAGGCTGATCCTCACCACGTCCATG
Source organism: Homo sapiens (assembly GCF_000001405.40). Classification (NCBI taxonomy): domain Eukaryota; kingdom Metazoa; phylum Chordata; class Mammalia; order Primates; family Hominidae; genus Homo; species Homo sapiens. The sequence continues at coordinate 119,017,194 of NC_000023.11, forward strand.
TTCTAGCTAGGGGAAAGGGAGAGAAAGAGGAAGGCAGAGGGCATATGCTTCTTTCCCAGAGCATGACCAAGAGGTTACACATATCACTTCCCTTTACATCTCATTAGCCAGAACTTTGTCTCATGGCCTCACCTAGCTGCAAGGGAAGCTGAGAAATGCAGTCTTTTTTCTGGGTGGCTATATGCCCTGCTAAAATAAGGGGGAAAATAGATATAGGGTCAATTAGCAATCTGCCACATGGAGTTGTTCTACCTGGGGTCTTTACCTTGAGCATTTGGAACTCTGCAGACTGATGTTCTTGGATGGGAATAGGATGACTCCATTGTGTTTCTCTGTTGCAGATGAACCCGAATGGCCCAGCCTGGTGCTGGTGGATGTTAGCAGTTCTTCCCTTGGAAAGCCGAGCTCAGCTCCCCTTCCTAGCAATGAGGTCCTTAAAGGACAGACTGAATGGTATTCGACGAGTCCTGGCCTTCATATCCCGAAACCAAAACTAGTGAGTGGATTGCCGAAGAGGAGCTCCCACCTTCCCCACTGCCGTCGGGGGGAGTCTTCTTGTAAATATATCTAATTGCAATAATATCTTAACAGAAGGGGGTGTCAAACAGAGGCATCAGCCTGCTGTTGATCACAGAGAGAAATTGAGTAGAAAGACCAAAAGAATGTGACCTATTTGAAACTTTCTGTCTTAAGATGCTTCTTGACATGCTGCATAACTACATAAACAGCAGAGGTGTTTAAGAGCCCAGAAAAACATAATTTGATTTTAACATTAAAATTTCCAAAAGTTTAAAGTGGTTTTGCTTTAATATTCTTTCTTTCATAGATCAATGACTGTGTGGTTGAAATGTGAAAACAAAGATACTAATAATGTTGCTGTATAATTTCACTGACTTGAGGTCTCATTCCAAATGGTTCAGGTTTTATAGAGCATTGTGTAAAATAATGTTCATACTTCTTTCTGTTTTAATAATTTATTTTTTGCACTACTGTATCCTTTTTTCTACATGTATGTTTGTAACTATTTAAGCGTACATTGCTGAAAAGTCCATTGCTTTATTTATTGATGTGGTTTACCATGTACCTAGGGGGAAATAACAATACTAGAAGTGTGCAGTTTTTGCTTTTATCTTTTTTTTACTACAATGACACTAGTTCTTAGACCATTTCCGTATCTATCCAAATGGATGCTTAAAAGAAGTTCAGAATGATGCTAAGATCATCTGTCTTCAGAGTCCACTTTTTTTTTTCAGTTTGAACTAAACAATATAAAATACTTAAGGGATTTGGCCTAGATTATGGTATATGCCAAGGTAAAGTAAAATAATTCATTTTCTGTGTGTAATACAGAACAAAGCTGAAAGAATTATTTTTATTATAGGCATTTACTTCAGCAATCTAATTGTACGTGTATCTAATTTTTCCCCAGTGCAGTTAGGAATCGGATTTTGGGCAGGATCATAATTAACTCTTCAGAGGAAATGGTGTTCAGTTTAGCACATCACAGTCATGCCCAACTAGCCTCCATAACCCACCTCTCCCCGGGGTTCTGAGGATCAAGACCTGGACAGAAACACTTGATAAGGACTTTTTATTATTAAAATGTAAATAAGACAAATAGAGTAGAACCCTATAAAAATCTTTTTAAAGGAACCAGATGGCCGGGCACGGTGGCTCACGCCTGTAATCCCAGCACTTTGGGAGGCCGAGGCAGGCGGATCACTTGAGGTCAGGAGTTCGAGAGCAGCCTAACTAACATGATGAAACCCTGTCTCTACTAAAAATGGATACAAAATTAGCCAGGCTTGGTGGTGTATGCCTGTAATCCCAGCTACTTGGGAGGCTGAGGCAGGAGAATCACATGAACCTGGGAGATGGAGGTTGCAGTGAGCCGAGATTGCACCACTGCACTCCAGCCTGGGCAACGAGCAAACCTGCGTCTCAAAAAAAAAAAAAAAAAAAAAAAAAGGGAACCAGATAATCTATTATTTTACCTAAGTACTGCCTTTGCTTCTAGTTGCATGGGTGAAATATTTCAATGTATGGGGAGAATATAGGGTGAGGAGTAAGAGTAAGCCCTGATTTAGCTTGCTTAGTGCTAGTTTGAGTCCTTCAGTGGCAGGACAGCCTGTAAAGTACCACAAGTATGGGAGTGTTATAATGGCAGAGTGAAACGATTAGAGCAGGGAGGAAGTGAATTGTGCCATTAGTACCTTCATGCAAATTATACCATGTGATTTTGGACAGTGAATGATTTTTGCATCATTCATTCACAGCCCATCACTCTGTTAAGGTGAGAGTGTAATTCTTACTTCTCCCATCACCACCTGTAGCTAGAAACAGGAAAGGGAGAATGAGATGATCCAGACAACATAAAAAAGATGCATGTAAGCAGAAACCAGATGGTCTTTTCTGCACTCACTTAATGGACATTATGTTGCCAGAGTGTTGTGTTTATCAGATTTGATGTTTGGAGCTAGTCTGGGCAGGTGAAGAACAGAAATAGGCGGAAGTATAGGCATTATTTCTGCGCAAGCAAACTCCACAAAGCTCAGGGAGCAGAAAAGACTCCCCCTCCCACCTGGTTCCCAGACCATGTGGTCATAACACAATCCTAATAGTTTCTGGTTATCTAGTGTAAATGCAACAAAGAAAAAGGCCCTAAGCTTCTCTACTTATTAGATATATTATTTTTGGCAATTGATTTAACTTTTGCCAACCCTCAGTTTTCTAATCTATGAAATGATAGTGATAAGTTCTGCATATAGGGTTGTTACGAAAATTAAATGAGATAATGTGTAAATCAATTAGCACAGTGTCTCACACCTAGAATGCACTCAAGAAATAATAGCTACTATTAGATTAGTCATAGTTATAGAATATCATCAAGGGCCTACATTTGTATAAAACACTGCCTTTACACACAATATCCACTTGAAACCCCTTTAAACTTAGTTGGGGGAATACATACCACTGATTTTTGGACCCATAATTTGATGATTTACAGATAATTCTTTTGGGAATTAAATGTGTGTGAAAGTGAAATAACTGGAGAACAAATGAGGGTCAGAGATAGGGATCAATCCTATACCAGAAATTTTTTTCCTGCTTCAATAAGGGCTAGAAGGTAGTGCCCTATGTAGGTCTAGGATTTCTTTCTTCCTTCCTTCCTTCCTTTCTTTTTCTTTTGTTCCCTCCCTCCCTCCCTCTCTCTCTCTTTCCCTCCCTTCCTTCCTTCCTTTCTTTTTCCTTTCCTTTCCTTTCCTTTCTTTCTTTTGTGTGTGTGTGTGTGTGTGCGAGTCTGAGTCTCACTCTGTCACCCAGGCTGGAGTGCAGTGGCTCGATCTCAGTTCACTGCAACCTCCGCCTCCCAGGTTCAAGTGATTCCCTTGTCTCAGCCCCCCAAGTAGCTGGGATTACAGGCACGCACCACCACGCCTGGCTAATTTTTGTAGTTTTAGTAGAGATGGGGTTTCACCATGTTGGTCAAGCTAGTCTCGAACTCCTGACCTCAGGTGATCCATCTGCCTGGGCCTCCCAAAGTGCTGGGATTACGGGCGTGGGTGTGAGCCACCGCACCCAGCCTAGGATTTCTGATAGAATGGAAGCCTTAAGTTCTAGCTCCATTAGAATAACCAACTTTTCACTCCCTGTTCTCCAAAATGTATTGAGAACCTTACCCATCCCAGATGATGAGAGTTTACAATCTGTGACTTCTGTTCTTAGTTGATAGTATTTCTTTATGTTGCCCAAAGTAACAGATTCAACAAAAAATGTACTGAGATCCCCATGTACCAGGTACTGAGCCAAGTGATCTCACATACCTGAGCTCATTACATCATTTATTTCTCATACCAACCCTGCGAGAGCAGTTATTATCCCCATATTATGAATGAGAAAACTGAGCCTCCACTATGTTAAATATTTTGTCTAGTTGCAAGGCAGGATGCAAGGCTAAGCTTTGGCTTTCTTTGGGATGTACCTTAACGAGGTAATCAATTGGTCTTGAACATTTTTACACTGGGAAATTGGTTTTGCTGCACAGCTTGGGAATGAAGGGTATACAGAAGAAAGACATAAGGCTAAATCTAGGCCAGAAAAATAAGACTTCCCCCACAGTAGATAGTGCCACTTATTTAGTTAGTTTTTCTGTCTATCATGACTGACCCAGTCTTTGCCTAGTAGGTTATATTTTGTATGTATGTATGTATGTATGTATGTCTTTGTGTGTGTATGTGTGTGTGTGTATGTGTGTGTGTATATATATATATATATATATATATATATATATATATATATACACTAGGTAGCAAGCAGACATCATATCTTTCTGCTTTGTACTGTACTACTGCTGCTAGCAAATAACCAGCAAAATGTAGAAAATGAAAAACCAATTTTCTGTAGACAACCTGGAGAAAAGAGTGCCTGCCCCTGACTTAGCGGGGCAGAGAATGACAATTTTTAAAGTTTGCCTTTTCTGAAGGTTGCTTTTAGCCCAGTGCTGCCTCAGCAGCAAGGGGCAAGCAGAGTCATTGCGCATGTGGCGCTTCCAGCTCTACCTGTGGAGCTGGCCTGGGCTCAGATAATCCCCTGTGACTGGCCATTGGAGCGGCGGAGCTCCTGAGGCTAGTTCACAGCACCCAGAGGTCTCTTACAGTCAACAGATTGCATACTGTTGACAGACTGCAATCCGTCTGTGTTCCCCACACCAACTCCATTTCCAAGATGGGAATTTTATTCAGGAACTCATTTTTGAGTTCCCAACATGTTGACTTCGCATCCATTTCTGCTCACCAAGGCAGAACCATAGCAGTGGTGTGTGACAAAGATGCAAATGGAGGGCAGCCCAAACAATGGAAAAGAGAAGATTTTCAGCCCATTCTTGGGGCTAAGTGAGGTTTTGATTTATGGTAGAAGACAGTTCTAAAAAGCAGCTGGCAGCATGGGCTTCAATTTGTGGCCCTTCTGAGTTCAAACAGAAGGAAGGAAAAGGAGCCACATAAAGTGTACACATTCAATTCATCTTAGAATGATAGCTCCCACCTTATTACACTGTACAACTATTTAATAATCTGGGTTACACACATCCAGAGGTGAAATAAAGAAATTTTCACTTACAAATGTGTATTTCCAAACATGCTAAGTTAACCTCCAGAGAGAAGTGCCTGTAATCTCTGTTCCTGGTGTCACTTTAAAGCTTTTGCTTCATGACTGTAGCTGTTGTTTAAAATGTTTTTGCAGCAAACGCGATTTAACAGAAGTTTACAAAGCAACACTGTAGCTAATGCATAATTTTAAAAGTTGACTAACATTTATCTATTGTTAAAGCAACACTAATAATGGAATAAAAGGAAAGCAAATAGGCCAATGTGGCACCATAGGCTTATTTTAGGTAAATTAGTTCCATCATCTTATGCAGTTGTAAGTAATGCCAGGATTAAAATATCAAGCAAGCCACGTAAACAGTGGCAAATGTGTGTGTGTTTTCCATTTGTTTGGTAAGCAGCCATTTTACTCTTGCACTGTAATGAACTGAAGGGAAATATAAGATAATGCTTTTTTCCCCCCATATTGCTATTCAACTACCTCTATATGCTTGATTTCTTTTTAGGATTCCCATCCTCCAAATCTGTACAAAAACGTTTCAGCTCATCTGTGTTGTAATAACAATGTGATACAGACAGTTTGTGTGAAAGTTGTTTGTTCATTAAAAAATGTTTCCTATTGCCTCACTTTGTGTCCAACAAAACTGTATTCCTACCTTAGGAAAAGAATTATCCAACTAGCTTCAGTATCACTTCGGTGGAAGCTGAATAGAAAGGAATGCTTCAGGAACATCTATTTGTTCTTGTTCCTATTGGTTGTAATACCAGAAGATCCTTTAAAGAAATATACTTGCATTCAGACAGCAAACTCCCATGTATGTGACAGCGAGGCAGGTGTGAACTGATTAATGTGACTGATGTGTTCTGAAAAACTGGCCATAAAGTGTTTCAAAATGCACCAGAAAAGCTTGTTACATAAAGAATTATGTTGAAGCATTTTGTCAATATCTGCCCCTACTTTATATGTAAATCCAAGCATTCACATATTGGGTTTGCTTAAAGCACAACACACTGCCTACTATTTTCTTTGGCATCATAAAATGTTCAAGAAAACAAATAACACGTTTTTATTTTAAACAAGCAGTTTATTAACAATAGGCTAAAAGCTAAGGCCCCAAACATGAACCTTTTAACAGGAAAATTGGTAACATTTGTGACAATAAGTGATACTGACCAAGCTGATCCCAGCAGAAGAGCTTCAGCAACATCCCATCTTCTCTACAGTACTGATTTTAGTCTTATGCTATTGATAACTTTTAAATGAGTTCTTACCGTTGAGGGAAGAAGGACACAAGAATGGGACAATTAAAAATGAAATGATAGAAAATTCCACTTGAGCTTGATCTTATTCTGTGTAACAGGACCTTGGGGGATATAGAAAAAAATCAGAACTCCTGTCCATCTAGGCCCCAGAGGAAAGACTTGGCTCTGTTAGACTTCATCCTTCTGTGCCCAGTCTGCCACTCGCTGGTTCTTAAGAGATAGAGTACACTTAAAGGCACAAGCCAGTCCTTCCAAGACAGTCCTGCCCAGAATCCCTGCATAATTTTTCTCTGGAGAACCGAATTGAGCCATCTTAAAAGAAGCTTCTGTTTGCAGTTGTACCCCAGGCCTTTGTTAGAACCAAAGCCAACACTTACTGCATCCTCTCTTCTGGGATCCACTCTGGCTTTTTTTTTTTTTTTTTTTTTTTTTGAGACGGAGTCTTGCTCTGCCGCCCAGGCTGGAGTACAGTGGCGCAATCGGCTCACTGCAAGCTCCGCCTCCCAGGTTCACACCATTCTTCTGCCTCGGCCTCCCGAGTAGCTGGGGCTACAGGCACCCGCCACCATGCCCTGCTAATTTTTTTGTATTTTTAGTAGAGACGGGTTTTCACCATGTTAGCCAGGATGGTCTCGATCTCCTTACCTCATGATCCACCCACCTCGGCCTCCCAAAGTGCTGGGATCACAGGTGTGAGCCACCACGCCTGGCCCACTCTGGCTCTTTTGAGTTCTCCAGGGCCAAAGATGCCTCCCTAGAAGATAACACCAGTTGAAAAACGAGATATGAACAAGAGAAAGGAAGGAAAAATGCCCTAGACTCCCAGAAGCCTAAACTTTTCCGTGTTCTCTTATGTTTTATGATTTCTTCATTCCCAGGAGGGCCTGAGGTGGGATGGGAAGGGGCTGGTGTCAGTACTCCCCATATTGACTTCTTCAGGTAATGTAGATTTCCTAGCCAGACTTGTCTGTGGTCAGCTCAATGCAGAGGTATGTTCTGGTCAAGGTAGAGAAGTGTAAGTTCTGAGGAGCCCTGCCTCTGTATCTCTGAGGCCCCTTCTCCCACCCTTTACAGTTTTTGGTTACTGATTTTCCCATTTCAACCTATACTCACATTGACTGGTCATACACGTTTCCTGTCCACTTACACACATATATTATCAAATGTCATCGTTGCATTACAAAGACCTGAAAAAATTCTACTCCATTTATTGAAGTACGGCCTCCCAAATTGCACCCCTTTGCAGAATACTTCCTACCTTCTAGTAAGTCAATATCAACAATTTCTGGACACTACAAATGCTGCAAAGGGCCGAAATAGCCCACTTGCCCTAAATCCAGTTTTGCTACAGAAATCTTGCTTCTCTTGGATTTTAGAAGGGCATTATGGTGATATTCGATACAGTCATGGGAACAGGGGAGATCATTGCACCTTTGGCCTATCAGGATGTCTGTTGCCACTGGTAGAAGGCAACTCTACAGTCTCAGGACTGTGTGTTTCTTCTGCGAGCTGAAATGAACACTCTCATAAGAAGATAGTTGTTATTAGGGAAGGGGGAGCAGTATGTCCACAAATGGAGTTAAGCCCTTCTGCTTAAGCAGTCTACAGTGATGAGCTCCCATTGGACAGAGAAAAGGATGGGGAGAGGAAAAGAAGGAAAAGAGAGGAATGAAGGCAGAGAAGGGTTAAATGGCTAATTATGAGAGTCGAAGTGGTTACCTTTTCATCTCCTGGCCGGAACATCATGTATCCTCTTCCCATATTAACTGTGGACTTGATCTTCCATCCTGATTTGGGAAGTCACTTATGCCCAAACTAAGACTGCAGTCATGTCTTCAGAAAATATGAGCCATGTTCTTGCACCTTGTAGGCTGATCCCAGAAAGGACAGACAGTGTATCAGCAGCTCCTCATTGAGCTGGTCACTGATCCAAAGGCCAAGCCAGTGTCCATTGAGTGTTCATTACGTGCCATGTTTGTTTCTAGAATTTTTAACATTCTTCTTAGAAATAATAATCTGTGGCCAGGCGCGGTGACTCACGCCTATAATCCCAGCACTTTGGGAGGCTGAGGCGGGTGGATCACCTGAGGTCAGGAGTTTGAGACCAGCTTGGTCAACGCGGTGAAACCCCTTCTCTACTAAAAAAAATAAAAATAAAAAAATAAAAATTGCCGGGCGTAGTAGCCCGCACCTGTAATCCCAGCTACTCAGGAGGCTGAGCCAGGAGAATCGCTGGAACCCAGGAGGCAGAGGTTGCAGTGAGCTGAGATTGTGCCACTGCACTCCAGCCTGGGTGACAGAGCGAGACTATGTCTCAAAAAGAAAAAGAAATAATAATCTGTGAAGTAGAGCTCTTCACAATAATCTGAAGTAGAGCTCACTATAATATGTGAAGTAGACATCTTGTTATATACTTGTTATAGGCAAGTAAACTATGGCACAGGGTGGTTTTGTTACTTACCAATGGTCATGCTGATTAAGATCTGGGCCAGAGCCCGCATGGATTCCAAAGCCCACAATCTTACCCACTGTTACGGGCCGCCCATTGTGTAGTGCCACAGACCCAAGAGAACAACTCAGTTCATAAATGCAAATCGAAACTACGATGAGATACCATCTCACACCAGTCAGAATGGTAATTATTAAAAAGTCAAGAAACAACAGATGCTGGTGAGGCTGTGGAGAAATAGGAATACTTATACACTGTTGGTGAGAATGTAAGTTAGTTCAACTATTGCAGAAAACAGTGTGGTGATATCTCAAAGATCTAGAACCAGAAATACCATTTGGCCCAGCAATCCCATTACTGGGTATATACCCAAAGCAATATAAATCATTTTATTACAAAGATACATGCACACATATGTTCACTGCAGCACTATTCACAGTAGCAAAGACACGGAATCAACCCAAATGGACATCAATGATAGACTGGATAAACAAAATGTGGTACATACACATCATGGAATACTATACAGCCATAAAAAGGAACAAGATCATGTCCTTTGCAGGGACATGCATGGAGCTGGAAGCCATTATCCTTGGCAAACTAACACAGGAACATTGCGTCTTCTCACTCTTAAGTGGGAGCTGAACAATGAGAACAATGAGACACAGGGTGGGGAACACCACACACTGGGGCCTGTCAGAGGGGTGGTGGGAGGGAGAGCATCAGGATAAATAGCTAATGCATGTGGGGCTTAATACCTAGGTGTCAGGATAAATAGCTAATGCATATGGGGCTTAATTCCTAGGTGATGGTTTGACAGGTGCAGCAAACCACCACAGCACGTTTACCTATGTAACAAACCTGCACATCCTGCACATGTATCCCAGAACTTAAAATTAAATTTTAAAAAAATGTCTGGTGGAGAACGTCCAGTAATGTTGACAGCAAAACAACAGCAACCATTTATTGAATGTGAACTAATGTGCTGTGCACTGTGCTAAGCATTACCTTATTTAGTTCTGAAGTCGGTGCTATTATTACCCAGCTTTTACACGGCAGCTCAGAAAAATAAAGTGACTTGTTCAAGGTCATGTGGTTAGGAAGCAGGGAGGCTGGGCTTGGGATCCAGGCTGTCTGCCCCACAGCTGTTGTTCTTACTCACTCTGTGAGTTAGGGTGCCTCTCATAAAGCCCACCATTCTCCTCACTTCTCGGGCCTTGATTCCTGTGCCTTATCATATTCTAACTCTAGTCCCTCCAAACCTGCCTCCTCTTCTGTCTTTGGGGTCCTCCTCCATGAAGGCCTCTCTCCCTAATGACTACAAGCTCTGGGGCCCCTTGATTATCAACACAGCTTGCCCAACTTGTTCTTCTCCCTACTCACCTCTGTGGCCGATTTGATTTATTTTTGCATTAAAGAAAAAATAGGAGTATAGATTTGGAGATTCAAAAGGCAAAATAAAAGATAAACGTTGAAAGCTACATACATACAGATGTATGTTCTAGAGTCATACATCCCAGTGTGTCCGGAATTGGTGGGTTTGGTCTCACTGACTTCAAGAATGAAGCCATGGATCCTCGCAGTGAGTATTACAGTTCTTAAAGATGGTGTGTCCGGAGTTTGTTCCTTCAGATGTTCAGATGTGTCCGGAGTTTCTTCCTTCTGGTGGGTTCGTGGTCTCGCTGACTTCAGGGGTGAAGCTGCAGACCTTCGTGGTGAGTGTTACAGCTCATAAACGTGGCAGGGACCCAAAGAGTGAGCAGCAGCAAGATTTATTGCCAGGTGCAAAAGAACAAAGCTTCCACATCCTGGAAAGGGACCCCAGCAGGTTGTCCCTGCTGGCTAGGGCAGCCTGCTTTTATTCCCTTATCTGACCCCCACCCACATCCTGGTCCATTTTACAGAGAGCTGATTGGTCCGTTTTGACAGGGTGCTAACTGGTGTGTTTACAAACCTTGAGGTAGACACAGAGTGCTGATTGGTGGATTTACAATCCTTTAGCTAGACACAAAAGTTCACCAAGTCCCCACTAGATTAGCTAGACACAGAGCACTGATTGGTGCATTTACAAACCTTGAGCTAGACACAGAGTGCTGACTGGTGCATTTACAAACCTTGAGCTAGACACAAAGTGCTGATTGGTGCATTTATGAACCTTTAGCGAGACAGAGAGTTCCGATTGGTGCGTTTACAATCCTTTAGCTAGACACAAAAGTTCTCCAAGTCCCCACCAGATTAGCTAGACACAGAGTGCTGACTGGTGCGTTTATAAACCTTTAGCTAGACACAGAGTGCTGATTGGTGCGTTTACAAACCTCTAGCTAGACACAGAGTGCTGATTGGTGTATTTACAATCCTTTAGCTAGACAGAAAAGTTCTCCAAGTCCCCACCAGAGGCAGAAGCCCAGCCAGCTTCACCTTTCAGTGGCCCTCGCCGCCGCGGGACTTTGCAGCACCTAGCCCTGGCACTCCGGCAGCCCAGAGGGAGCTCGTCCCCGATCAAGCCCAACAGGTGCCGGCGCCCACCTGGAACCCACGCTGGCCCGTGAGCGTGAGCGCTGCGTGTAGCCTGCTCCCCTCTACGCCTCTCCCTCCACACCTCCCCGCAAGCAGAGGGAGCCAGCTCCGGCATCGGCCAGCCCCAGAGAGGGGCCCCCACAGCGCAGTGGAGGGCTGAAGGGCTCCTCAAACGCCGCTGAGGCCGAGGAGGTGCCCGAGAGTGAGTGAGGGCTGCTAGCACTTTGTCACCTCTCACCAGTGCTGAGGGAGGCCTTAAGAAATCATTCAGCCCAGCTAAATCTCCTGCTTTCAGCCACTATTATTTTTCCCATTTTGCAGATAAGAGAACTATGGTTGCACAACAGTGTTCAAGATCACTCCATGAGTTAGTGGCCAAATGAGACAAGAGCCTAAAATGTAATGCACACTCAACACACTAGAAGAAGCTCACAGCTGGCCCTCCCCACCCCGAGTGTTCTGATGTGTGGCTTCTTGGACATGGAACTTTCATTGGGAAGAACAAAGAATTTTTTAAAGAGCTACAGCCTATTTGGAAAGTCCCCTTTAGGGACTGTTCTCTCTCTGACCCTCCCTGACCCAAACTTCTCTTTAGATTGCTTCCCTGTTCTAGGAACCTTTCTCTCACACAATCTGTTACTTAGGAGAAATCTTCCACTCCATTCACAGAAGTTTGGGTTTCATGAAAGTGAGGCAGACTGCTTTTGGCTGAAAAAGAGGAACCTCATGCCTGCCAACTCACACACCCTGTGCCCCCAGTCATTCAGGTGATCATGGAAGGAGTTGGAATGGCTATCACAGTTATGAGAGGTGACAGCGTGCTGGCAGTCCTCAGAGCCCTCGCTTGCTCTTGGCACCTCCTCTGCCTGGGCTCCCACTTTGGCGGCATTTGAGGAGCTCTTCAGCCCACCACTGCACTGTGGGAGCCCCTTTCTGGGCTGGCCAAGGCTGGAGGCCACTCCCTCAGCTTGCAGGGAGGTGTGGAGGGAGAGGCACCAGCGGGAACCGGGGCTGCGTGCGGAGCTTGCACGCCAGCTGGAGTTCCCGGTGGGCGTGGGCTTGGGGGGCCCCGCACTCAGAGCAGCTGGCCAGCCCTGCTGGCCCCAGGCAATGAGGGACTTAGCACCTGGGCCAGTGGCTGCGGAGGGTGTACTAGGTCCCCCAGCAGTGCCAGCCCACCGGTGCTGTGCTTGATTTCTCACCAAGCCTTAGCTGCTTTCCCGCAGGGCAGGGCTCAGGAACTGCAGCCCACCATGCCTGAGCCTTCCACCCACTCCATGGGCTCATGTGCGGCCTGAGCCTCCCCGATGAGCACCACCCCCTGCTCCACTGGCGCCCAGTCCCATCGACCACCCAAGGGCTGAGGAGTGCAAGTGCATGGCGCGGGACTGGCAGGCAGCTCCACCTGCAGCCCCGGTGTAGGATCCACTAGGTGAAGCCAGCTGGGCTCCTGAGTCTGGTGGGGATATGGAGAGTCTTTATGTCTAGCTCAGGGATTGTAAACACACCAATCAGCACCCTGTGTTTAGCTCAAGGTTTGTGAGTGCACCAATCGACACTCTGTATCTAGCTGCACTGGTGAGGCCTTGCAGAACCTTTGTGTCTAGCTCAGGGATTGTAAATACACCAATCGGCACTCTGTATCTAGCTCAAGGTTTGTGGATACACCAATCAGCACCCTGTGTTTAGCTCAAAGTTTGTGAGTGCACCAATCGACACTCTGTATCTAGCTGCTCTGGTGGGGCCTTGGAGAACCTGTGTGTCGAACCTCTGTATCTAACTAATCTGATGGGGACCTGGAGAACCTTTGTATCTAGCTCAGGGATTGTAAATGCACCAATCAGCGCCCTGTCAAAACAGGCCACTGGGCTCTACCAATCAGCAGGATGTGGGTGGGGCCAGATAAGAGAATAAAAGCAGGCTGCGGAGCCAACAGTGGCAACGTGCTAGGGTCTTCTTCCACGCTGTGGAAGCTTTGTTCTTTCACTCTTTGCAATAAATCTTGCTACTGCTCACTCTTTGGGTCCACACTGTTTTTATGAGCTGTAACACTCACCACGAAGATCTGCAGCTTCACTCCTGAGCCCAGCGAGACCATGAGCCCACCGGGAGGAACGAACAACTCCAGACGCTCTGCCTTAAGAGCTGTAACACTCACTGCGAAGGTCTGCAGCTTCACTCCTGAGCCAGTGAGACCATGGACCCACCAGAAAGAAGAAACTCCGAACACATCTGAACATCAGAAGGAACAAACTCCAGATGTGCCACCTTAAGAGCTGTAACACTCACCGTGAGGGTCCGCAGCTTCATTCTTGAAGTCAGTGAGACCAAGAACCCACCAATTCCGGACACAGTTACGACTAAAATCAGACTTTGGGATCCTGATCCAGCATAGACAGCCCTTCAGCCTGCAGTGCTTTCCACTGCATTTATTAATTCATTAATCCATCCATCAAATATTACTACAGTGCAGTGGTTGAGATCACAGACCCTAGAGTTAGACTGTTTACCTTAGAATCTTGCCCCCACCACTTACTATCTATGTGATAAAGAAACTGTTCCTGTTTCCACATCTGCAAAACAATTGTGTCTACTTCATAGTTCAGGTCATCAAAATATTTCCTGTAATTTTCCCACCCAAAATAGACATACATTATCTTTTTAAACAGGAAGACAAGAAGCAAGAGATTTCAGGACTGGGGTCACAGGTTCAACAATCCCATCCAAGTGCCTGGTCTATCTTTCCTGAATGTTTTTAAAGCCCCATGGTGAAGTAGATTCACAAAAGCAGCAAGTCAATCCAGTCCTTTCTGCTGGGGACCAGATGCCTTAAAGGGAGGGTTTTTTGTTGGCTAACAGGTCTAAACCCACAGATGAAGGAATTTTTAAAGGGAGAAAGGGGGAATTCTAGTGCTCACGCCTACCTCAAGGTTCAAATGTGAGGATGTTCACTTACAGAAACTGCCAGGAAAATAGAGGCTCAGCTATCATGGTAATTCTTAGTCCAGGCCCTAAAAGGGCATTAACATCTCTAATTTATTCATTTATTAATGGAACAAACATTTGCAGGACACATATCATATGCTAGGCATTGGGCTATAGAGAGGAATACAACACTATCCCTGCCCTTGAGAAGTTTGCAGCCAAAGGAAGAAAACACGGACTTATTCATTACACAGGGCATGGTGGTGGTACCTCACAGGAAAGGCACCTAATGTTGCCTGGGGAGGTGTTCAGGGAGGGCTTTGGGAGGAGGTGATGCAGGAGCTGAACTCAGAAGAATGAGATGCTTTCCACGTAAGAGAGTAGAGAAGGGTCGAAGCAGATGAGAGAGTAGAGAAGGGCTGAAGAGCACTCCAGGCAGACGCAACAACTCATGAAAAACATCTGATGATCCATAGAGAGAGAATTGACCAGTCGTGTGGAATGTTATGAGCAGTTCAGCCTGGTAACGAACAGGGCTTAAGGTATGCAAGTTCCTGACAGGGGAGCAGGGCCTGGTTTCTCACGGTTTTGTTTCATTCCAATTAAAATCTGGTCTCCAAGGGGGTCTCCAAGGAGGTCTGTGCAGCAGGCTTTTGAGTGAGGGGGAGAGGGTTGGCCTATGAGAGCCCAGCTTCCTGGCCAAGTCGGTTTAATGGGTAGCCACCAAGGGAGTCCCCTTGGCACAGCCTGATGCTGGGTGCTGGGCTCAGGAAGCCCCTTAGGGTTTGCACAAGAGGAAGAGAAGTGGTAGTTGGTGATACAGACAATTTTTGAGGAGTGATTGGAGTGTTCAGAAGTGGGGGCCAGGCACAGTGGCTCACACCTGCAATCCCAGCACTTTGGGAGGCTGAGGCAGGCAGATCACTTGAGGTCAGGAGTTCGAAACCAGCCTGGCCAACATGGCGAAACCCCGTCTCTACTAAAAATACAAAAATTAGCTGGGCATGGTGGCATGCGCCTGTGATCCCAACTACTTGGGAGGCAGAGGCAGGAGAATTGCTTGAACCTGGGAGGCAGAGGTTGCAGTGAGCTGAGATTGTGCCATTGCACTCTAGCCTGGGAAACAAGAGCAAAACTCCGTGTCAAAAAAAAAAAAAAACCATAGAAGTGGGGAGACTGGCTGGGAAGGGAGGAGGAAAGCAAGCAGTTGGCATGACTAGAATCGAGGATTATGATTTATATGACCTGGAGGCTTTGGGATAACGGACCCAGATGAATCTCTTCACCTTGATCAACCAAAGACAAACCAGGGCTCTGGCATACTAGAACTGGCTCATACTAGCTCATGAGAGCTGATCATTAAGACTTCAAAAATTTTGAAAGCCAGCTGTTAAACACAGCCATTATTTAAAAAAAAATTATCTAAACTTACAATTAAGTAACATTAAAAACAAAGTAATAAATACTCAAAACCTATTGCTTCCTAATTATTTTACTACTTTTAATGTTATCTGTGCTCTTGAAGGTATTTAGGTCTACTGCATCTGTGTGGTGGCAATGCTACTATAGAATGGTGTGCCGCTAAGCAGCTCTTCCCAACTCCACGTTCAGTGATGTCAGGGTGGTAGCTGAAATCGGCAAGGTGGGAGTATTTACATCACACTAGAAATGAAGGCACGCCTCACAGAGAACTGGTTGTTACATTTTTCCAGCACACCACTGCCTCTGGGCATGCTTCCTTTCTCTGTCTTTATGCTTACTTCCAATGCCAATAGGGCTGTTTTCAGGAAAAAGGAACCCCCGCAACTAATTCACATGGATATGTAAATTGCTAAGAGTCCAGATTTCTGGTCTTGGTTTTTAGGTAATTTATTTGCACTTTAACAGAGATCTGCCAGAGACACCATCCATAATGGTGTGGTTGAGAGATATGTTATTGAAATGTGCGTAATAAACAACACTCTCCTACATTTTTGCTTACGGCCATCCCTCCAGCTCACCCCCTTCAAACCACAAGATAGAAATTATTTCCCCTGCCTAGGATTTCAGTGGAATAAAGCAGTTGAATCCCTCATCATTCATCCCACTAAGGCCATGACAAGATGGACTGAGAGGTCCCCAGCCCAGGAACTCCCAGCTAGAGAAGTTTCTGTGCACCACCACGACACAGGGGTAAATAACAACAACAACAACAGCAGCAGCAGCAGCAGCAGCAGCAGCAGCAGCAGCAAATATGTATTTACAGCTTCCTATATAACAGGCAAAGTACTTTTTAACACAACAGTCCAATAGGTCAAGTACTACTATCATCCCCATTTTATAGAAGAGGAAACCAAGGCTCAGAGAGGTTAAGGAACTTGTTTGAAGACACACAGCAATGGAGCAGTGGAGGGGGATCTGAATGTGGGCAGGCTGCTTCCAGAGCACTCCTTCTTCGTGTTAGAGAACTTTCTCCCATTAAAGTTGTCCTCGTGGCTCTTCCCATGTTGGGAGAAAAGCTGAGTGTTGGGAGAGAAGCTGAGGCAGGGCTTGCATGTCTGGTAGACTTGCTGGCCCCTTGCTTCTAGCACTCCCATTATCTCAAGTAGCCATATATTTCTCATTCACTTGATACACTGTTTCCTTTCAACCCCCACATCCTCACCAACTGTTTCTTTGATCACCAATAAATAGGGTGAGCTCCCAGAGCTCGGGGCCTTTGCAGCCTCCATACTCACGATGGCCCCCTGGTCCCACTTTCAATCTCAAACTTTTTCTCATTCCTTTGACTCCACCAGACTTTGTTGCCCCCATGACCTGGTGTTGGGTCTGATCACCCCAACATTCCCATAGCTCAGCCCAGACTCATTGCTGCTCTCTCTGACCAGCCCATTTCCTCTCCCTGTCCATTGTGGGCCAGCACACCTGGAAACTTTGATTGGTTGCTGAACTTGACTGTTATAAATGAGAAAATTACAGAAGCTGAGAAAGTCCCAGGCCATTTTCATTTTACGATCTTTCTAATGTATTAAAGCAGACAAATGAACAAACAAAAAATGAGGAAATGTCAAAGAAAAAGTTAGAAAATATGTGGAAATATCATGCCTGTAATCCCAGCACTTTGAGAGGCTGAGGTGGGTGGACCACTTGAGCTCAGGAGTTCGAGACCAGCCTGGGCAACATGGTGAAACCCTGTCTCTGTAAAAAATACAGCAACAAAAAAAAATTGGCCAGGCATTGTGGCACGTGCCTGTGGTCCCAGCTACTCGGGAGGCTGAGGTGGGAGGATAGCTTGAGCCCAGGAAGTGGAGGTTGCTATGAGCTGAGATTGCACCACTGCACTACAGTCTGCATGAGAGAGTGAGATCTTGCCTCAAAAACAAATAATAATAAAGATAACAAAAGAGAATTTGTGAAAATACATTCACACATTTAATACACAGCAACTTAATGCAATATAAATTTGCTATTTATAAGATAAACGGAGAGTTGTTCAATAGGGATATTTTTGGTTTTGCAAGATAAAAAAGTTCTAGAGATCTGTTGCACAACAATGTGAATATAGTTAATGCAACTGAACTGTATATTTAAAGATGGCTAAGATGGCAAGTTTAATGTTACATGGTTTTTACCATAATTAAAAAAAATCTTTTTGTGAGTATTAAAAAAAATGAGGAAATGCCAAAGATAAGGCTGCAAATATTGTGGTAACACATTTGCGCATTTAATCACAGAGCAGTTTAATACAGTATAACTTTGCTCTTTGCAAGATAAATCTAGGATTTATATAAAAATTAATTTGTCCTGCATTATATGCAGTGTGGTCTGGAAAGGAAACACAAGCTTAAATGTGTTTGTTTTGTTTTTTTTAGACAGGATCTCACTCTGTCACCTGGGCTGGGGTGCAGTGGTGTCATCTCGGCTCACTGCAACCTCCTCTGTGCGGGCTCAAGCAATCCTCCAGCTTCAGCCTCCCAAGTAGCTGAGACTACAGGCGTGTGCCACCACACCCAGCTAATTTCTGTATTTTTCATAGAGATAGGGTCTTGCCATGTTGCCTAGCCTGGTCTCAAACTCCTGAACTCAAGCGATCCACCCACCTCAGCCTCCCAAAGTGCTGGAATTATGGGCGTGAGCCACCACGCCTGGCCACAAGGTTAAATTTGTATGATGAATGTTGTCTCTGTTCAGTCCTGTCCATAAATCTCTGAATGTATGAAAGATAGCCTTTTTTTTGTGAGATAACCTCATAGAGGCCCTTCAAGAATGTAAGGCCGGCTTGGTGTGGTGGTTCACACCTGTAATCCCAGAACTTTGGGAGGCTGAGTAGGGCAGATCATGAGGTAAGGAGTTCAAGACCAGCCTGACCAATATGGTGAAACCTTGTCTCTACTAAAAATACCAAAATTAGCCAGGCATGGTGGCGCATGCCTGTAGTCCCAGCTACTCGGGAGGCTGAAGTAGGAGAATGGCTTGAACCCGGGAGGTGGAGGTTGCAGTGGGCCAAGATTGCACCACTGCACTCCAGCCTGGGCGACAGAGGGAGACTCCGTCTCAAAAAACAAACAAAAAAAAAAGAATGTAAGGCCTTGATCAAATGGCTTTTCCAGCTGCCCTCTACACATTTCACCCAACACAGGGCTTGTTGCAGCAAAAGGCCTGCCACGAGTACTGTCTGCTGCACTTGGCATCACAGCGCCAGCTCTCACTGTAGCTCATAGAGGGGCAGCACAAGCATGAAAGTATTGCTGTATCTCAGTGATTACCACCACACACAGATAGTGGAACACTATCTGCTCTCCAGAAAAAGGCACGCACACACACACACACACAATTTTTGCATGCACTTTGCATACAGTCTACAGACCTCCCCTGAATCAATGTGTACTCTGGTATAAGGCTTTCTACACACTAAAGTCCACAGTCCTTAATAGGAAGTTCTAAGCCATAACTGTTTGAGACTATCAAGGTTGCATTAACATGAGAGCCCCATAATATTTCAATATTTGTTGGTGGCTAAGTATATTAGGACAACACGCTAAATTTGGACTTATCCCAAACTCCCACTTTCCCAGTCTGACAAGTTTGGGGACTGCCCTCTCCACCCCTTCTGACTTAGTCTCCCAGGCATGCTGGCTATCTAGCTATAGCCTAGAATTGACTCAGCAAATAAGCAAATGTAAATACTCACTGAATCTTTCTGGGGCCATTCTGTGGAAACAGAAATATATTTAAGTTTTTCTGCCTTTGAGAAAACACTGTAGGGCATATCCCTGGGCAGATATATTTGGTGGCTCTTAGACCCCCTGACATACACCCCCAGGCCATCCTCATCTATTTGCTTTCTGGCTTCTGATCTGGGCCCTTCCTGGGAATAGTTTTTCTCTGACCCTAGAGTCTAGACCAAAGCCAATTGGACATTCACTTCCTGGTGTTTTTTTTTTCTTTTTTTTTTCACATTTGTCTGGTAGTTTCTGTCCTGGCTTCCCCATACTTGGGCTCTCCTATCTTGGATTCATAATTATATTTCTAGCCACTTTTTCTTTCTGACTCCTTTAGCTCTTCTTTTCTTTCTTTTTTTTTACAATTATATTCGTATAAATTTAAGGAGGACAAATGCAGTTTCATTATGTGGCTACATTGCATAGTGTTGATGTTTAGGCTTTTAGTGTATCCATTACACATATAGTGTACATTCTACCCATTAAGTAATTTTTTTTTTTTTTGAGATGGCGTCTTGCTCTGTCGCCCAGACTGGAGTGCAGTGACACTATCTGCGCTCACTGGCAAGCTCCACCTCCCAGGTTCACGGCATTCTCCTGCCTCAGCCTCCCGAGTAGCTGGGACTACAGGCACCCACCACCACACCCGGCTAATTTTTTGTATTTTTAGTAGAGACGGGGGTTTCACCATGTTAGCCAGGATGGTCTCAATCTCCTGACCTCGTGATCCGCCCACCTCACCCTCCCAAAGTACTGGGATTACAGGCGTGAGCCACTGCGCCCAGCCCCCATTAAGTAATTTCTTATCCCTCACCCCTCTTCCACCCTCCCACCCTTCTGCCTCTCCAGTGATTATTACACATTCTATGTCCATGTGAATGCATTATTTAGCTCCCACTTGTAAGTGAGAACATGCAGTATTTGACTTTTTGTTTCTGAGTTGTTTCACTTAATGGCTTCCAGGTCCATTCATTTTGCTGCAAAATTCATAATTCCATTCTTTTTATGGCTGAATAATATTCCATTGTGTATATATATCACATTTCCTTTATCCAATCATCCATTGATGGACACTTAGTTTGATTCCGTAACTTTACTATTATGAATAGTGCTGTGATAAACGTGAGTATAGGTGTCTTTTGGCTATAATTATTTCTTTTCCTTTGGGTAGTTTCCCAGTGGGATTGCTGGATCAAATATAGTTTTATTGTTAATTCTTTGAGGCCTTTCATTACGGTGGGGTTTTTTTGTTCTCCCTTTCCCCTCAAGTAGCCTCTGAACATTACATGCCTAATCATCCTCTCCCTGGCTCAGCTGATGGTCCTAGCATCTCCCACTGATGGGCTTTTTCTTATTCTCCTGAAGAGTTTCATATGGCTTCACAAGATACAACTGCATTTTGATCATGATTCTCATTGATTTCTGCTTTGCAGAAAACAAACAGACAAAAACCTCACAACTCAGGAAGCCACGTTGATATATTTTTTAAAAGTCTAGTTCTGACTATTTTTCTATTCTCCATTGGCTTTTACTATTCAAAACCCCTCGCTTGCCAGCAGTAGCATTACACCTATCCCCACCTCTCTTAGCTGTGGGGCTAAAGGATAGAACATTCTATTTGGCTAAAGAGAAAAGGTAATCAGACTGAGCCCAGAGATGTACACATAGGGGCTCATAAACAAAACAACCTCGTTTCACTCTTTTACAGCAGAATTTTAGCTAGGTCACTTCTACTAACAGCCATCTATTGGGGGAAAATTAATGACTATCAATTTACAAAACAGGATTATGGAAAACTTTTAAATGAGAGCTAGATAGAGAAACTCTTGGGTTAACGCTCCTCAGTGACCTAGAAGTATATCGAAAAAACAAAATAGTGCATTTCTGATAATGAAACATGACAACCGTACCTAACCTTTTTAAATTAACAGTGGTGCATATATACTGTGATCTTTTCAAGGGCAGCAGGACCACATTTGAATCATTTTCTCCATAGGTTATCTTGAGGAACATGATAGTCAAATGTCCCTAGGCATCTCCACCCATCTGGGCTTTGGGTCATGAATTGATACTTATACAGGAACTAGCTGCCATTAGGTGGAGCAATTTGAAGTCTAATAGGCCATCTAGAAGGATATCAGATCAGGAGGTTTAAGAACTCCAGATGTTTTAATTTAGGTGAGTGCAGCCACAAGGCTGCTAGGACATTAACAAAGAACTGATTGATAGAGAAGAAAAAGTAGCTGGTATTAGATAATGGTATTAGATAAAAGTAGCTGGTATTAGATGATGGGAGGGGCCTGACGTCTGGTTGCCAAGGCACCTAACTCTTCACTCGATAGTCCCCCAAGCACAGGATTCATGGCTTTTGTGGCCCCATCCCTTGGGCGTAGAGCATAATCCTTAGCTGACCTTTGAAAAATGCAACCTCAGGCTTGCCCGGCTTCTGGTACTTCCAACTCTTCTTTGCCATTATTATAAACACAATTATCAGTCTTTGAGGGGAGGCTGATCTTTTAGTTCAGATTTCCAGAGTTCAGATTGGCAGGTGTCCTTTGTCATCTCATAAAGGAATTAAAGTGACCTGAGAAAATGTCCTCTGGGTAAGATCAATGCCACCTGTACTCTGTCCTTGCCCAAACTCTTTCATCAGAGCTCTCATGTGCATCAGCCCTTCCCCACTCCCTTCAAGCCTGTACAGCCTGGGCATGACAATAAATTTGGTCCTTTAGCAATAGCATGTACAACTCCCAGGTTATTGTCTATCCTTTTTGAGAACTCAATAGGATTATTATTATTTGAGACAGAGTGTTACCCTTGTTGTCCAGTGGGAGTGCAATGGTGCGATCTCGGCTCACTGCAACCTCTGCCTCCGGGGTTCAAGCGATTCTCCTGCCTCCTGAGTAGCTGGGATTACAGGTGACCATCGCCACGCCCAGCTAATTTTTGTATTTTTAGTAGAGATGGGGTTTCAGCATGTTGGCCAGGCTTGTCTCGAACTCCTGACCTCAGGTGATCGACCTGCTTTGGCCTCCCAAAGTGCTGGGATTACAGGTGTGAGCCACCATGCCTGGCCAGGATTATTTGATTGGAAATGTGAAAATAAGAAACAAAACAAAAATACCCCAGGAGACAAATTATATTTGTCTAAGGTAGAAGGCTTCGAAGTATTCCCCACTGTGAAAGAAAACATTATACTTAAAATATACCCAATTCTTCATTGAATAGTTGATTTAACTTTTTTTTAATTTAACTTTTTATTGGGGGAAAAAAGGTCAGTAGAGCAAAGGTTTCTATAGCAACCTGGCAGCCGCACCTCTGGTAACCTATGAAATAATTAAGTTGAGAGGTGCAACTAGGTCAGAGAAGAGCTTTATGGGAATCGGCTGACCAATGAGTATATAATTGGAATAAGTGAAGATCACAGCCCACTCACCCAGGAGGAAGCAAGTAGGTCTTTATAAAGGCCCGAGGCTGCATCACTCTTCCCTATTATCAGGAGGGCCTTCACCTGGGGTGAGAGACAAGGCGTGTGCATGTTGTGCCTATGTTTTCAGGATGGGAAGTGGTGGGGAAGTGCATTAAAGAATGAAAAAAACAAAACCTAAGAAAACAGAAAGCTTAACAGAAACATGTTGTTCCTATGTTTTCAGGATGGGAAGCGGTGGGGGAATGCATTAAAGAAGGAAAAAAAACCCACAAAACCTGAGAAAACAGAAAGCTTAAGGTTTGAGTTAGAAGTCTGGCACTACCCAGACTAGACGATCCCTGCTGCTCCTGCTAATCTGGTAAGAGTGGGCAGGCCTCTTTTTGATGGGGGAGAAGGGTCGGCGGGGAGGCCTATTGTTATTCCCCTATAACCGGCTGGACTTGGGAGTAAAGCGATATGTGGACAAGAAAACAGGAAGACCAGGATGGGCATGCTGGCAGTTACAAAAAACCTAGGCTTGGGAACCTGAAGGTTTGCCAACATTAGGAAGGCTGAGCTATCCGAGAGACACATTCCTTTCAGTCCTCATTCTTCCCTATCCTGCAACCTATTCCAACCACTGTAAGTTCCCATTATGCCTACAAGTGGCAGATAAAAAACTGGTACTTAATACAGAGACTGCTGGAAATGAATACCCACCATTAGGCTCTTTTATCTCAGCAACACCTCTGCAAACCGGATGCAAATAGATTAATCAACCCAGTTTCATTTAATGTGGGAATTGCAGAGCATCATACAAGGCAACTGTTTTCTTTTGCATCTGCTGAAGAGCACGAGGGTTGATTTAGAAAAAAATTGTTTCCAGCCTGGGTCACACATTGAAGGAGAGAGAGATGGATTCTCTTTTCTCAGCATCCTGTGGGAGGAAAGCCTGTCGCCTGATCCACATCAGTCCTATCATAGGGGTCAGGGTCCCCATTCTCACCAATCATGCAAATGCCAAAAGACCAGTCTGGGATGCTGCCCAACTTCTTGACCCTGAAAATTGCTTTCTTGTCAACATCATTGCTGTCTCAGAACGCACCTCTGACCTCCCCAATCCCCAAACAGCACACCCAGGTGGCTTATTCGTTACCTTTGATCACATTTGTCTGAGAGAAGGTAGGAGTGCAGGACTGAAGAATGTGTAACTCTGGGGGAGTAGTGGTGAGAGAGGTCAGTTGGGGATAACAACCAGAGCTACAGCACTCATGCGTTGGCTCTAATACTGAAGTCCAGGGTCATTTCCAGCTTGCTGAGTGACCTTCAGTCCTCTATGAGTCACAGCTGCAGCTGAGTCATAGGCAGTGGGAGACAAGCTATGTTTTCCGCTTCTAGGCCTTCTTCCTCATCCCCTCCCATACTCTTCCCAGCTGATTGAGGAAGGAGCTGTGTCTTCTATTATTATTATGACATTTGATGGCTTCGGAGTCATACAGATTTGTCATTTACCACCTGTAGATTACATCCTCTGTCTGAGGTTTAATTTCCTCATCTACAATGAGGAGATAAAATGGTGCTTTATAATATGTCACAGGATTATCGTGAAGTTTAAAGAAGATAAATCATGTAAAAAATGTCTCAAAGTCCCTGTCACACAGTAAGTGCTCGAAGAGTGTGAATCATTATTAAATTACTCCCCCAAATCATTTTGGAAGTTAAATTAGTTGATGAAATCTAATCTTGGAGTCACTGCTATATAGAGGTAAATAGAAGGTTATCTCCACTGTAAATCACTAAATTGGCCATGTGTGTTTAAAATCCATTTATTATGAGTTTGATTAGTGATAATTATCTCCCCAGAACCTCATCACCCTGGAAGAGGAGGCAGTGATCTAATCTAATTTCTGCATCCTAAAAGCTGAGGATCAACCCTCAGCACATGTTGACCCAATCGAAGGCCACATATCCCAAAAAGCTAGGCATGAAACAACACATGGGCTTCTCTCTGAGCTTCCCTAATGCTTGGTAAGGAGTGTATAAATGCATTAACTACCTTCTACCATGAATGTAGTGACTATCTTCTATTAACTACCTTGTTAGACTTCTGTTAGGGTCTATCCCAGGGTTCTCTGTGTTCATACTAACGGAATGATTTGTGCAGCCCATATAGAAGATGATGTCATTGTTCATCACTGTCAGTATAACTTGACCTTTGACCACTTGGGTGCTCCCTGGGTTCTTCTGCACACTTGACCTTTTAGGCATCCCTTGGATGCCCTAACATCATACTCAGCTCTCAATGGAACTGACCAGCTCTCAAATTGAAGGCTATTTTGCGAGGTTCGTTCTCTGGAAACAGCACATTAATCAATATATTCTTTTTTTAGACAGAGTCTCGCTCTATCGCCAAGGGTGGAGTGCAGTGGCACAATCTTGGCTCACTCCAACCTCTGCCTCCCAGGTTGAAGCGATTCTCCTGCCTCAGTCTCTGGAGTAGCTGGGACTACCAGCGCATACCACCATGCCTGGCTAATTTTTGTATTTTTAGTAGAGATGGGGTTTCACCATATTGATCAGACTGGTCTTGAACTCCTGACCTCATGATCCACCCGCCTCGGCCTCCCAAAGTGCTGGGATTACAGGCGTGAGCCACTGTGCCTGGCCTAGTCAAGATGTTTTCTAACAAATTTCTTTATGTTTAATTTGTTTTTTTTGTTTTTCCCTCAAAAGAAAGGAAACTCTGGAAGTGAGCTTCTATGAAATGTTACTAAGTCTTTCCATGACAGATACAGAGATCTAATTTCAGGGCAGTGAGTGCTTTTAATATCCCCCCCAAATCAGTGAAGACCAATTCACCACATAACTTTTCAATCTCAGATTGTAGTCATAGGAAATAGAAAGGCTTCCAGCCTCCAGAGGAAACTTTTTTCCCCCAGAAACAAAGCTTCAGTAATGGCACACACACACAAAACCAAAGGCAAGATCTGTGCGGATATTTTAATTGTTCTAGACACAGTCATCAAAGAACTATCATGTGGGCACCCCTGAAGCACCCCCATGTGTTCCAAATGCAAAGAGTAGAGTCACTTAAATGTTGACAATAAGGTGTGGCCTTGACAGCCTCATTGGGCATACTAATGACATACAGCCTGTGCCAACCTTCTCCAACAGGTTATTCCAGGGTTCCTGTTGTACTTTACCCCTCACAACAGACTACTGCTATGGGGAGAAATGTGCTGCAGTGCTGGTGAGGAGCCTGTATTTTCCTCTGATAACCTCATGGACATTTAATCCAATAATTTATGGGAAAACATTTCTGTTTCCTGAAGTTTGGAGTAGTAGAAGTCAGATAGAGTGGACTTTTCAGCAATAAGGGGGTTATGGAATTGTCGTGGAATGATATTTAACTTTGGAAGGGCTCGTATGTCCACATTTTTAACAAGTGAATAAACTAAGTTCTAGAGAGGTTTTGTCATTTACCCAAGGCCATTATGTTTATTTAGTGGCAGAATCAGGACTAGAATCCAGGACCCCTGATACCCAATTCAGTGCCCTTTCCAGGACAGCATGCAACTTTCCACTGTAATATCATTTGTTTTACCTTAAATAATAACAGCTAATACTTATTGATTACTCCCTATTTGCCAGAATTGCACTAAGCACAAAACAAATGCTAGGAGGTAGGAACTTTTATTTTCTCCACTTTATAGATGAAGAGATGGAGGTTTAGAGAGGCCAAGTAACTGGACCAAAATTACACATCACACTGCACAACTCTTTTAATGTTTAACTTACTAAGCTAACCAATCCAATCCAAGAAGACCACTCAGACTAGAGAAGATACTTACATTGACCAGAATCTATAAGGCAGAATGTCAGAAATCTGCGTACATTTTTAAAAATTTTTATCCTGAAAAGATAACTTCCTGTGTTAACACAAGTCTATTTCTGGGAGATTCTTCCCCCTTCTGAATGCTCTCATTGACATTCACCACTATGTTTAGGATTGGGAACAGGATGAGCCTTTACAAATGTGCACAAGTTGGAATTAAGAGTGGGCAGGTAGAGATTTGAGAATTGAAATATACATATTTTTTTAGACAGTCTTACTCTGTCGCCCAGGCCGGAGTGCAGTGGCATGATCTTGACTCACTGCAACCTCCACTTCCCAGGTTCAAGTGACTCTCATGCCTCAGCATCCTGAGTAACTGGGATTACAGAAGCGTGCCACCACGTCTGAATAATTCTTTTTTGTATTTTTCGTAGAGATGGGGTTTCACCATGTTGGCCAGGCTGGTCTCAAACTCCTGGCCTCAAGCAATCCTCCCACCTTGGCCTCCCAGAGTACTAGGATTACAGGTGTAAGCCACCAAACCTGGCTGAGAATTAAAATATTGATCAAACAGATTGAGTATTCTGAGCTGCTCAGAAAAGATACATTTATTTATTCCATTTGTCATTTCCAACTCTTCATGAATCTTCTTCTGTCGATTTTTGGTAGAATAAAGCCACTTAAATAAAAGCTACTTGAGGTAATAAAGATATCTTCTGTTTTATTCTCTTTTTTCCCCCACAAGATTTCTTCATATGCATTTCCCACTCTGCTCCTCTGCAACTGAGCACCAGGTGTCCTTTATATCACTCAGGTAACCATAAAACAACACTTTGAAGCCACTCATTTATTCCCACAAATGGACAGAAAAACACAAGAGAAACTATGCTAGAATGTACAGGTTATGAGAACCTGTGTGGTTATTTAGCAAATGTCTTCTTCAGTTTCCATTCAAATCACTTGGGTCTCTATGATTTCCACAAGACTATGTCTTGGTCTGTTTTCTGTTGCTGTAACAGAATGCCATAGACTGGGTAATTTATAAAGAAATTTATTTAGCTCACAGTTCTGAAGGCTGGGAAATCTAAGATGCCAAAGCCTTACTGGCATCTGGTGAGAGCCTTCTTGCTGCATTGTAACATGGTGGAGGGTATCACATGGAGAGAGGTCAAAAGAGTCAGAGAGACTTTGCTTTTATAACAAAGCCACTCCTGAGATAATGAACCCACTTCCATGATAACAACATTAATTCATTCATGAGGCCAGAGCTGACATTAATCCATTCATGAAGGTAGAGAAATTAAGTTTCCAACACACGAACTTTAGGGGGTACATTCAAACAATAGCACTGTCCAAACATTCCACTCTTCATTGGAAGTAGAGTTTGAACTAATAGAGTTAGTAATTTGGAGAGTTGGATTATAGTGTCAGCCATCCGCTCAGAAACTCAGTTTCCCCAAGGTTTAATACCCACTTTTTCAACATACACAGTGATTATAAAGACATCATAAGAAAATATGTGAATGTTCTTTGAAAAGTTACAAGTTATACAAATGCAAATTATCATTTGTGATGGCTAATTTTGTGTGTCAACCAGACTAGGCCTAGATATTTGGTCAAACATTATTCTGGGTGTGTCTATGAGGGTATTTCTGGATGAGATTAACATTTGAGGAGCTGCGTGGCGGCTCACACCTGTAATCCCAGTACTTTGGGAGGCTGAGGTGGGAGGATTGCTTGAGCTCAAGAGTTGAAGCCCAGCCTGGGCAAAATAGTGAGACCCCCATCTCTACAAATAATAATAATAATAAAATAGCCAGGCATGGTGGTGCGTTCCTGTAATCTGAAATGAGAGGATCACTTGAGCCCAGGAAGCAGAGGCTTCAGTGAGCCATGATTGTGCCACTTCACTCCAGCCTGGGCGACAGAGTGAGAACCTGTCTCAAAAAAGAAAGCAACACAAAAAAAACCAAAACTCCATTATAATCAATATACTGAGTAAAGCAGATTGTCCTCTCTAATGTGGGTGGGGATGGGCCTCATGAATTAGTTGAAGGCCTGAATAGAACAAAAAAGGCTGACCCTCCTTCTAGTAACTGGGAACTCCTCCTGCCTGACATTCTTCAAACTGGCTCTTCTTTGAGTCACGAGCCTGCCAGCCTTTGGACTGGAACTACACTGTTGGTTCTTCTGGGTTTCAGTCATTCTGACTCAGACTGGAACTACATTATCATCTTCTCTGGGCCTTCACCTTGCCAACTCATCCTGCAGATCTTGGGATGTGTCTGTCTCCATAATCATGTGGGCCGATTTCTAATAATTTCTCTCTCTCTCTCTCTCTCTCCTCTCTCTCTCTTCTTTTTTTTTTTTTTTTTTTTTTTTGAGACGGAGTCTTGCTCTGTCGCCCAGGCTGGAGTGCAGTGGCACCATCTCTGCTCACTGCAAGCTCCGTCTCACGGGTTCAAGCGATTCTCCTGCCTCAGCCTCCCGAGTAGCTGGGACTACAGGCGCCCACCACCACACCCGGCTAATTTTTTGTATTTTTAGTAGAGACAGGGTTTCCCCGTGTTAGCCAGGATGATCTCAATTTCCTGACCTCATGATCCACTCGCCTCGGCCTCCCAAAGTGCTGGGATTACAGGCGTGAGCCACTGTGCCCGGCCTCTCTCTTTTCTTGCTCTTTAGCTCTAACCTCTCACTTTTGCTCCAAACTTAGAGTTCATTTATGCAATAAATATTTATTGAATGTTTGTTTTAGGTGCTGTAGATGAGGTGCTAAATAAGATAAACAAGGTCTCTGTTCTCATAGAGCTTACATTCTAATGGAGAAGAAAGAGAAAATAAACAAAACAGTAAATACAGAAGAAAATATCCAGCAATGATGAATTATTTGATGAAAATCAAGCAGAGATATGTGATAGTGATTGAATTGAGTAAATAGGCTAATTTAGATTAAGTGATCAGGCCTTCCTGAGGTGATGACTTTTAAAGGAAGAACTGAATGGCAGAAAAGAGCCAACCATGGGAAGATATGGGGGGAAAGAGAAAAGAGCTGCAGCAAGACTCTATGGTTGTGTTGAACTTGGTGTGTTCAAGAAATAGAAACAGAGATAGGCTAGAGCATAGTGAATAAGAAATTAGTACAACATGATGTCACAGACATAGGCAGAAACCATATCATATAAAGCATGTAGGGC
This sequence comes from Homo sapiens, assembly GCF_000001405.40. Taxonomy (NCBI): domain Eukaryota; kingdom Metazoa; phylum Chordata; class Mammalia; order Primates; family Hominidae; genus Homo; species Homo sapiens. The sequence goes on from NC_000023.11 coordinate 119,047,095, forward strand.
ATGATAGATTTATGTGCCAGAAGAAGCCATTGATAAATTTTAGGTAAAAGAGTACCATGATCTGATTTATGTCTTTAAAACATCACTTGAGCTGGGCGTGGTGGTGCTCACCTGTAGTCCCAGCTACTCAGCAGCTGAGGTGGGAGGATCACTTGAGTTTAAGACTGGCCTGGACAGCACAGCAAGACCTTTTCTGAAGGAAGGAAGGAAGGAAAGAAAGAAAGAGAGAGAGAAAGAAAGAAAGAAAGAAAGAAAGAAAGAAAGAAAGAAAGAAAGAAAGAAAGAAAGAAAGAAAAGAGAGAGAGAGAGAGAGAGAGAGGGAGGGAGGGAGGGAGGGAGGGAGGGAGGGAGGCAAGCAGGCAGGCCGGGCGTGGTGGCTCATGCCTGTAATGCCGGCACTTTGGGAGGCCAAAATGGGCAGGTCACCTGAAGTCAGTAGTTTGAGACCAGCCTGACCAATATGGTGAAACCCCGTCTCTACTAAAAATAGAAAAATTAGCTGGGCATGGTGGTGCACACCTATAATTCCAGCTATTTGGGAGGCTGAGGCAGTAGAATCAATTGAACCCAGGAAGTGAAGGTTGCAGTGAGCAGCGATCACACCACTGTGCTCCAGCCTGGGCAACAAAGTGAGACTTTGTCCCAAAAGAAAGGAAGAAAGAGAGAAAGAGAGAAAGAGAAAGAAAGAAAGGAAGGAAGGAAGGAAGAAAGGAAGGAAGGAAGGAAGGAAGGAAGAAAGAAAGAAAGAAAGAAAGAAAGAGAAAGAAAGAAAGAAAGAAAGAAAGAAAGATCACTCTGGTCACTGTATAGAGAATAAGGTGTGTGTGTGTGTATGTGTTTGTATTCATCTGGCAAAGAAATAATAGAATACATTTTAATAATAGAATAACCTTAGGCTTGGCCTAAGGTGGTGGTGATTGAGATGGATGGATTTGGGATATGTTTTGGAGCTACAGCAAATACTACGTCTTAAGATATTGCAGGTGAGTGGTAAAAGAATAAAAACAATTAAACATGAACTTTAGGTTTTTGACTTGAGCAACTAAGAACTGAAGTGGGAAACACTGTCACTGGAGGTGGGAAAGAATCAAGAGTACCGTTTGGGATATGTTAAATTTAAGATGCCATAGAAGTGGAGAGCTGGATATACGTCTGGAGTTCTTGGAAAAAGTCAGGCCTGGAGATGAAAATAAAGGCGTCAACATCATTGACAATATTTAAAGCCATGGGACTGGATAGGATTGCTAGAGAGAGAGGGGATGAAGAGCAAGAGTCCCCGGGCAGAGCCTTGGTCATTCTAAGACTTAAAGATTAAGCAGAGGGGTAGGATGCAGCAAAGGAAACTTAGAAGAGATTGGTGAAATAGGAAGAAAAATCCATCGAGTGGTTCCCCAGAAGTCTAGAGAGGAAAGTGTTTCATGAAGGGGAGTGTGGTAAAGCATCTTGAATGTTGCTAAAAAGCAAAGGAAACACATAGAGAAATGGACACTAGATTTTGCAACATATCAGATCTATGTTCAAAAGATCACTCTAATAACAGCATGGAGAAAGGGTTTGGGTGGGCAGGAGGTGGTGGCAAGAATGGTAACAAGGTGATAACAGTTAAATGATCATTGTTAATGCAACTACAAGAGAAAGATCACAAGGACCTTGACTGAGGCAGTGATAGTGATGGTGGAGAGGAGGAGATACACACAGAAAATCAGTCAACTAAATTCAACTTATATCACAGTCAAACCTTAGAAGACATCAAATAATATAAAAGCAAAAAGCCTCATCCAAAGGACAGCAACTTCAAAAATTAAAGGAACATTATCCCACACAGATAAGAAAGAACCAGTGCAAGAAATCTGGCAACTCAAAAAGCCAGAGTGTCTTCTTAACTCCAAACAATGCAACAGCTTTCCAGCAATGGTTGTTAACCAGATTGAAATGGCTGGAATGACAGAAATAAAATTCAGAATGTGTATGGCGTTAAAGATCATTGAGATTCAGGAGAAAGTTGAAACCCAGTCCAAGGAAACTAAGGAATTCAGTAAAATGATACAAGAGCTGAAAGGTGAAATCACCTCTTTAAGAAAGAACTAAACCAATCTGATAGAGTTGAAAAACTCACTATAAGAATCTCGTAATACAATCAGAAATATTAGCAGCAGAATAGACTAAGCTGAAGAAAGAATCTCAGAGCTTGAATACAGGTTCTTCAAATCAACTAGTCAGACAAAAACAAAAAGAATGAAAAAGAATGAATAAAACTTTTGAGAAATGTGGGATTACGTACAGACCAAACCTATGGCTCATTGGCATCCCTGAAAGAGAGGGAGAGAGAGTAAGCAACTTGGGAAACATATTTGAGGATATTGTCCAAGAAAAATTTCCCAACCTCCCTAGAGAGGATTTTTGCCTGAACAAAACTGATACCAAAACCTGGCAGAGACATAATGAAAAAAGAAAACTTCAGGACATTTGCTCATGTAACAAACCTGCACATGTAACCCCTGAACCTAAAATAAAAGCTGAAAAAAAAAAACAATGTGGTAACAGAGCAAAGATAGACAAATAGTCCAATGAAACAATAGAGAATCCAAGAAATAACCACACGTATATGAAACTTGATAAATGAAATAAAAGGAATGGCAAATGTTAAAAAAGAAAGAAAGTAGATTCGTAGTTTCCTAGGGCTGGGGGTAGGGGGAGATGGTGGTAGGGCAGGTAAAGGATAATGGGTATTGATGGCTAATGCCTGTAATTTTCTTTAAGGGGAACAAAAATGAAAATTAGGCTGGGCGCAGTGGCTCATGCCTGTAATCCCAGCACTTTGGGAGGCCGAGGTGGGCGGATCACTTGAGGTCAGGAGTTCGAGACCAGCCTGGCCAACATGGTGAAACCCTGTCTCTACTAAAATACAAAAATTAGCTGGATATGGTGGTGTGCACCTCTAATCCCAGCTACTCAGGAGGCTGAGGCAGGAAAATCACTTGAACCTGAAAGGCAGAGGTTGTAGTGAGCTGAGATCACGCCACTACACTCCAGCCTGGGTGACAGAGCGAGACTCCCTCTCAAAAAAAAGAAAAAGAAAAATTAGATTTTGCACTTTTTTTTTTTTTTGAGATGGAGTCTTGCTCTGTCACCCAGGATGGAGTGCAGTGGCGCGATCTCGGCTCACTGCAAACTCCGCCTCCCAGGTTCACGCCATTCTCCTGCCTCAGCCTCCCGAGTAGTTGGGACTACAGGCGCCCGCCACCACACCCGGCTAATTTTTTGTATTATTTAGCAGAGACGGGGTTTCACCGTGTTAGCCAGGATGGTCTCGATCTCCTGACCTCGTGATCCACCCGCCTCGGTCTCCCAAAGTGCTGGGATTACAGGCGTGAGCCCCCGTGCCCGGCCAGATTTTATGCTTCTTAAAAATGTATTGAGGTCTTTAATTTCTCTCAACAATGTTTTGTAGTTTTCAGTATAAAATTAGATTGTGGTGAAGAATGTACAACTCTGTGACTATACTATAAAACATTGACTTGTCCACTTACAATAGGTGACTTGTATGATATGTGAATTATATGTCAATAAAGATGTCAAAAAATAAAAAAGGCCTTCATACCTCCTCCTGCTTGCCTTGTCTCTCACCTCTGTTCTACCTATATTGTGGCCTTCAGCCATATCTCAGTAAATTCCATTCCCCAATTAGCATCCATACTTTTCTGCCTCTGTGCATTTGTTTGACCTCAACTAATTCCCTCTTATTTCTTCCTGTGGAAATCTCATCCATCCTCCAAGACTCATTTCCATTCCTTTGTCACTGACCAGATATTCTAACTTGTATTGTAGTTATTGGTTGTTGTCTTATGCCCATAATTAAGCTGGAATCCCTTGAGGTCACAGTTCATGTCTGTTTTGCTACATTCCTGCAGAACCTAGTTCAGCAATAATTAGGAACTGAAATGAATTCACCTTGAACTAAGAGTGCTCCACAATAAGATTTTCCTTTAGCTCTTTTAAAACTTTGAAATACTATGATTTTTAGTTATTTAGCCTCAACAGTTTTTATAGCCATCTCTGAATTCCTGCTGAGTTTTTAGCCCTTTGTTAGCCATATGGTCATGGAATGCTGAGAGTTCTTATCCTTCACTACTCTTTAATTCGATATATGTATGACATGAAATATATGTATACATGCACATATGGTACATATATACATAAATATATAAAGATAAATATAAACACATACATATTGAGAGAGAGAGAATATATTATATGCCAGATACTGGGAAGATATCAAGACATAAAAGTCATAAAGAGTTAAGAGTTCATAGTCTTTGCAGGTGGAAATGAAGGTGGGCATATACAGACATAATAAAACTTCTAGATTTAGAAGTGCACAGAGGAAATAGCACTATCTTGCAGTGAGGGACTACTGAGTGCCAGTGCTGTTCTCCTCAACCTACCTCAACTCTGCAAAGTATCTAAGTCTTTTTAACTGCCCGAGTGTCATTTGAGGCCATGTCTAATTTACAGATTGGCTTGCTTAATTTTCAACCATATTGCTTTTCAAGTGTCTTATTTTTTTTTCTTATTATGTATTAACTTGTCCTTAAACAGATTTTGTTTATTGACCTATTTTAGAATTTTTGTTGTCCCTTTTCTAAAATTTGAAAACTAATATGTTGAAGCCTGTAATTTCTCAATGTAAAAGATATCTAGCCATTTAATCAAGTTTTACCACATTTCATCAATAACTCAAAGAAATAGACAATATCCATTTTATTATCACTGGCTTCATCTAATCAGGCTTAAGAATGCTTTCACCAATGGGTGAATATGGGCCACAGATGCTCTTAGGAGTAAAGTGAACCAAAACACTGATTTCCTAATTCAAGAGTTATCCAACACTTTTAATAGTCACATTTAATTACTTTCTTAAAGCTACAATAAATAAAAATTTTAAAAAATAATAAAATAGTTTGAAGTAACCACAGCTTTCCTTATATTCCTGCAATTCTTCTTCTTCTTCTTTTTTTTTTTTTTTTTTTTTTTTGGTTTACTTGGTGTCAACATAAGTGTCTGGGAAAAGAACTCAAGTGAAGAACCTCAGTCAAAAGACATACATCCCATCCTTGTGCCAGGTGGAAAGCCAACCTCTGAAATGCCAAAGGGATCGGTCTTCTGATTAATGGAGGGTTTGATAGAATGTATAGTTTATTACATTTTTGGCCCTTAAAATTTTTACCCAAAATGGGTGAATCCACTTTCATGCCTGAGTCCTAACACTAATGCTCTTAGAAGAGGAGGTCCTCAGGGTCATCATTCTGGGCCGTCTTCATCCGGAACCAAAAATGGCTCCTGAGATTGGATTTACTGTCTCCTGAGTCCAAATAGTCCTAGATTTGATTTCAAAACATCCCATCAGCCTCTTCATATTCTCCCAGCCTGTGGCTTGCCTTTTCATTCACTTAATAGAATCTTTTGAAGAGCAGTTTTTAATAGTAATGAAGTCAAACATATCAATTTTTTCTTTCACGGATTAGCCTTTTGGTGTTATATCTAAAAATACATTGCCAAACTCCAAATCATAAAGTTTTCTCCTACGTTTTCTTCTGGACCTTTTGTAGTTTTGCATTTTCCATTTAGCTCTATGATTCATTTTGGGTTAATTTTGTGTAAGGTGCAAAGCGTGTGTTGAGATTCTCTTTTTGTATATGGATGCCCAATTGTTTCAGCACCATTTATTAAAACACCCAATTAATTTTTGTAGAGTGACTGGATTAATTTTGAAATTGCTGGTCTTGGTTATACATTGTGCTCCTGTTTTCTTTACATGAATGGTAAAAATTTTGAAGTTCTTAATCATTGCAAGATGGCCTCAGCGGGTTTCTTGGGTGACGAGCCAGTACATTGTGATCCATAAAATCTTTTTGGAATATAAATACTGATATTTATATACTATATTATTTTATATTTATATTTGTTGGATATTCAGCTTGTTGAAGTAACAAGAGAAAATTATTTATATTTGTTAACAAGAGAAAATTATTTATATTTGTTGGATATTCAGCTTGCTGAAATAACAAGAGAAAATTAGGTGACATTTTAAGAAGAATTTAAGACCTAGTGATTGGAAGACTTGGAAGCTTGTGTCAATCCAGGAAATATCACTTATTTTAAGAAACCTGAGTGTCCCTCACACCTAAATGAATTCCAAATGGGTCAAGGATTTTACAACAAAATCATGAAGAAATAGAAGAAAACACAGGATAATTTTTATATTTAATTTTGCAGTTGAGAAGGCCTTTTTAAGTATGACAGAAATCCAGAAGCCATAAAAGGAAACATTGATAAATTTGAACTCATATAAGTAAAACAACTTCTGCATTTCGAAATACACTATAAACAAAGAACAATGTAAAAAATAAAAATGACAGACTGGGAATAATACTTGTTACATGTATCACAGACAAAAGGATAATTTTCTTATTATACATAAAGAACTCCTACAAATTGACACAACAACAACAACAAAAGCCATCAATTCAATTCAAGTTTGCAAAGGAATAAATAAAAAGTTCATAGGAAATATAAGAGCTGCATCAGCTCATGAAAAGATGCCCATCAATAGTAGTAACAAAAGAAATGCAAAATAAAACCACACCCAGATACCATTTTTACCTGTTATGTTGGCAAAGACACAAAGTTTAATTACACCTTGTGTGATCCAAGGTGTGGGAAAATAAGTACCCTCATGCATTGCTGGCAAGAGTGTAAACTGACAATACTATCAAGCTGGAGAGTGATTTGGCAATGTCTATTAAAATCAAAAATGCACTTACCCTTCTCACACACACACATACATCAATATTCACTCATTGCATCATTATTCATAATAGCAAAAAATTGAAAACTATGTCCTTCAATTAAGACTGATTCTACAAAATACGATACATACATACAATAGAATACTATGCAGCCTTTAAAAAATGAGACAGCTCTCTGTAGTTTGATACTGAAGGATCTCCAAGATGTAGTGTTAAGGGAAAAACAAAGCACACAACAGTGTCTAGTATGCAACATTTCTAAGAAAAACATGTTATAGACTGTGTAAGTGTGGAACGTCTCTTAATGCACACAAGGAAATCAGTAACCTTGTTTGTCTCAGGAGGATGGTTTAAGGGAGAAGCAGGAGGAAGTCTTGCTTTTCACTGATTGTCTTTCTGTGCATGTATTAATATTTTAAAAATAAGATAATTTTTAAAACTGAAGTGATAGTTTTCAATGTCGTTTTAGAAGCCCCTTAGGTTCTTACCCTCAGGATGCCAACGCCAAAGATCTGGCTCCTCAAGTAGTGCCCCACAGGCTGGTTAATAGCTCCACAGAGGGAGATTTTAGAACTTGGTGCTCTTTTCTATATATATATCCAGCCTGTGATGGACTCTTAAATAAGAAAGGTCCAACAGTGCACATTGTTGTTTCTGTGGTTAGCTCATACTTAGCATGACACTGGAAAAACATCCATGGGAATGGGAGTGGAAGCTTCAAATGCACTTTTCAGATCTATGTGAGAAATTTCTGAGTGTGAATACCTTTCTCAAATTAATAGGTTAAGTGTTTCATGTGTTCATATGTTTATATACATATAAAAATAAACCTACAAAAAACACACAAAAGGGTTAACAACAACAACTTCTGGATGATGGGATCATAAGCTGTTTTTCTTTTTTTTTTTTAATTTTTGTAATTTTTTTTGTTTTTTGTTTTTTTGTTTTTTTGAGACAGGGTCTTACTCTGTCACCCAGGTTGGAGTGCAGTGGCATGATCTCGGCTCACTGCAATCTCAACCTCCCAGGCACAAGTGTTCCTCCCATCTCAGCCTCCCAAGTAGCTGGGGTTACAGGCACGTGCCACCACATCTGGCTAATTTTTGTATTTTTTTTAGAGATACGGTCTCCCCATGTTGTCCAGGCTGGTCTCAAACTCCTGGGCTGAAGCGATCTGCCCACCTCGGCCTCTCAAAATGCTGGGATTACAGACATGAGCCACAGTGGCCGGCCATACACTAATTTTCTTTGTATTATTTAATCATGTGCAGTTTTAAATTTTCTACATTGAACATGGATTGATTGTGTAATTAAAGAAAATCTCTCTTCCTTTGAGCATTATTGTCCATAAAATATTACCTTGTCTAATTTATGCTCTACGTCATTAAAAATGAGCAATCAAGAAATCCCTATTGTGTTAACGTACTAAGAAAAAGATGAGTGTGACAGAAGAATGGTACAAGACCCCTCTGTTCAGGCATAAATCTTATTCTAAGGTCATCTACTTTCTGTTCATGGAAGAAGGAGCATGGCCTGCTCACTGGTTAAAGGTGACCCTGGTATATTAAGATGAGAAAAACTGGTGAGCAAGCCAGGAAAAGCAAGTGCACATCTCAGAAGAGTCAGGGCCAGGCCTGAGAAAACTATGAAGTAGGCCCACAAGTGACCCCAGCTCTGTATGATTCCATTTTGCTCTTCTATAGCATCCCCATTTCTGGCCCCTTTCAAGAGGGTGGAAGTGAGAAGATGGAAAAAGTGAAGGTGTTACTGGGAAGTGCAGGAATCCTTGGTTCTTGTCTAATTTGGGAGAAAGAATTTGTCCAAGGGACAATTAGTAATGCAAGCCAAAGGTTTATTAAAGAGATAAGAGTACAACCCAAGAGAGGAGCCAGTTAACTTGGCTGCAAAACAGCTCTGGGCTGGTCTGGCTGGAAAGCAGCAGCAGCAGCAAGGTTTATTTAAACAGACAGTACACTCTGAAGCACGAGTCAGAGCAGGCTGCTCAAAAGAATGGGCTAGCAGCAGCTGGTGCTGGGGGACTCTAAGAGAATCTTACTTGATTATTCATGAAGGGGCATAACGGGGTGTCACTTGCAATCATGTTTTAGGTGGTACCCTTGGGTACACATGCTGGATGATGGTACATGTTAGCATGCATGACACATGTATCATTAGTATTTAAAATCCCCACTCAAGGGTCTGTTTTTTACTATTATAATGAGCAAAAGGGTACTCTAGGGCAAGCTATTGGAGGAGTGTGCATGCACATCTGCCTGGGAAGTCCCTATCATGGTTATCTCCAACTAGGGCCTGATAAGTCTCCTTCAGGGCTGGAGGAGCCCAACCACAAGGCCAGAAGTAGCCAGTGTAGCCCATCTTTTTTGCTGTCAGTGGGCAGCGTCTCTGCGACTTCTTTTCCCAGGGGCTCCTTTGCCTGTTCGTTCCTGGTTATCTGCCTACTCTAACAAAGGGACTTTGTGGAGGGTTAGGAATGGAGGTAAAGTGACAGAAGACTCTCTTGCCTGGCATGAATAAGGGGTTTGCCGCAGCTTTATCTCTCACATGTAGAAGTGGCTTCTAAGGGTAAGCATGAGACACAGGAGCCAAACAGGGAGGACAATGGAGAGAAATTCCAAATCCATTGCTCAAATAAGCTTTGTTAGAGGCAGGCAGATGGAAATCCTGCAGCTCTGTATTCCATGACATGAATAGTTTATTGTAAAGATTAAAATATTCCTAATGACTGAGGCAAAATGCCGGTTGGATTTGTCAAGTTGTATGACAAGCTTGCTTCTGTTTCTGGAAAAAAAAAATTGTCACAGAAGCTGACTGAGCTGTGGCCAAAAAGAGATAAAGTGTAATAATTTACCCCTCAGCCATTACTTCTTGTTTTAAATTTCTTGGTGGGAAAAAATTCATTATGTCCGCTATGAAGAAGAGAACAATCCTGGAGGGCTTCTATTTTTCAAAAGGCTTGAGAATTCTTCAAATGAAACTGCAGCACCTATACGTTCATAAACTTCAAGTAGTTTTAACATAACATTGTCTTTGTTATCATGTCAATCTTAGCTCACCAAATCTAGAAGCACTTGCTGTGTAACTTTCCCGTGTTAATGATCCTAACAGGTTTTTCAGTACTTCTAAGGCTATTAGGTCTCTACTGCTCAGCGCTTCACTTGGAAAGAAAGTATGGATTTGATGGAGTAGGAAAGATACACGTTGCCAAGTTACAGTTTCCCATCTAGATTGTGTCACCCAGAGCAACTCATCAAGGGACAAGATTATGGGAGAAAAAGAAAACATGGGAAACAATGTTAAGTAATTGAAAAAGTTCCATAGCCAGAGACTGGAGTCCTTCAGTACTGGTTTCCATTATTAACTCGTTCGACGAGATGAAGATAATGGGACTGAACATTTTACTAAGAACACTGTAAGTATTTCAAAAGCGTCTAAAATCATGGCACACAGACAGTCTCCATATTGTTATTCTCTATGTTAGTGAGTGGGTTGCTCCTGAGCAAGTAGAAATTTAAATTTAAAGTTTCTGAGATAATTGGCACAGGAGTATGAATTTGAGTTTGTTATTGTGGGTCTGTGATTCATTCATAATTAAAGAAATATGATCATCTGTAAAATGTGGCTAAAAAAAGAAAAAAGAAATATTTTATTAAATTTTAGAAAAAATGTTGCCAGCATGTTTTTCATTGAAAAGATAATGTATCAAAAAGCTAAAAACATTTTCTAAAAGAAAATATGGCCGGGTGGCGTGGCTCAAGCCTGTAATCCCAACACTTTGGGAGGTCGAGGTGGGTGGATCACCTGAGGTCAGGAGTTTGAGACCAGCCTGGCCAGCATGATGAAACCCCATCTCTACTAAAAATACAAAAATTAGCTGGGTGTGGTGGCAGTAGCCTGTAATCCCAGCTACTCGGGAGACTTAGGCAAGAGAATTGCTTGAAACCAGGAGGCAGAAGTTGCAGTGAGTTGAGATCATGCCACTGCACTCCAGCCTGGGTGACAGAGCAAGACTCCGTCTCAAAAAAAAAAAAAAAAAAAAAGAAACAAAATATGTTTAATAGTTGTAATCAGAGTCAACTTGCTTTAAAATTTTAAAATCTAATACAGTTCAAATTGAGTATTTTTGCTTATTAAACACAGAAATGCCAATTCATATACAGAATTATTCTTTTAGTTTTACTGTTTGTTTATTTACTTATTTATTTCATTTGAATCAGGGTTTCACTCTGTTGCCCAGGCTGGAGTGCAGTGGCCCGATCGTAGCTCACTGCAACCTTGAACTCCTGGGCTCAGGTGATCCTCCTGCCTCAGCCTCCCGAGTAGCTGGGACTAGAGCCATGCACCACCCTGCCCAGCTAACTTTTTTTTTTTTTTTTTTTTTTTGGCAGAGATGAGGTCTTGCTATGTTACCCAGGCTGGTTTGGAACTCCTGGCCTCAAGCTATCCTTTCGTGTTGACCTCCCAAATTGTGAGGATTATAAGTTTGAGCCACCACACCCAGCCTCAGTTTCACAGTTTAATTATTTCTGAAACTGTGGTTCAAATATTTGAAATTATTATTTTTAAAAGATTGGGTAAGAGTTTAACTTTTGTTTTACAAGGGATATATATGTATATATACATATTTGGTTTGGAGACAGGGTCTCACTCTGTCACCCAGGCTTGAGTAAAGTGGCATGATCACAGCTCACTGCAGCTTTAACCTCCCAGGCTCAGATGACCCTCCTGTCTCAGCCTCCTGAATAACTGGGAACACAGGCATGCGCCACAATGCCTGGTTAATTAAAAATATATATGTATTTGTAGAGACAGGGTCTCACTATGTTGCCCAGGCTGCTCTCAAACTTCTGGGCTCAAGTGATCCTCCAGCCTCAGCCTCCCAAAATGTTGGGATTACAGGGATGAGCTACTGTGCCTGGTCTACAAGGGATATTTTAATAGGTATATTTAAGAAAAAGACTTGGACATTTAGTATGTAAGCATTATCCTTCAATGTAGAGTAGTTATAAAAAATAAAACTAAAATATTTCTATGCAGGAACACCTTGTCAACAGTCATTTCATAACTACTTTTTATTTTCTGCAGCATATATTATTTTGGTGCTAGTAACATTGATGAGATGTGACTGTGATAAGCATGAAGAAAAAACAAATGGGACAATATTAGAAACTGAAAACCAAACGAAAACACTACTACTGGTATTGTATTGAAAACAAATCACATGAAATAAAATAAATTGAATAGCCAAACTTAAGATCTACATGCATAAAAAGAGAAATAAATTAACATTATTTTTATAACAAAAGAAATGAAATCTATAAAATATGCAAATAGCTTTATCTTTTAGGTTCAATAAACACTTATTTATACTTCCTATATGATATGCTTTTCCACATACATTATATTGTGTTTCCTTGATAACATTTTTACTGATTTTAAAAAGTAGACTGGGCACAGTGGCTCGTGCCTGTAATTCCAGCACTTTGGGAGGCTGAGGCAGGAGGATTGCCTGAGGCCAGGAGTTCAAGACCAGCCTGGGAAACATAGTGAGACCCCCATCTCCACAAAAAATTAAAAAATCAGTTAAGTGTAGTGGCGTGCCTCTGTAGTCCTAGCTACTCATGAGGCTGAAGTGGGAGGATCACTTGAGCCCAGGAGGTGGAGGTTGCAGTGATCTGAGATGGTGCCACTGCACTCCAGCCTGGGCAACAGAGCAAGACCCTGTCTTTAAAAAAAGCAATGTATGTGCATGCATGGAGTCAAGATATATATGGGAACTCTCTGTACTTTCTGCTCAATTTTTCGGTGAACCTAAAACTTCTCTAAAAAATAAACTCTATTAAAAAAGGCAATATATACTTATTGTAGAAAATTAAATTTACAAAGGTATAAAGAAGAAACTTAACATAACCCACAATCTTACCACCCAGAGACCACTATTGCCTTTTCTCTTTTAGTTTTTTCTGTGCATATATATTTATAACCATTTAAAAAATAAAATAATAATCATGCTGCAGATGTAAAGTAATTTAAGCATCCTATACCTACAGAAATAGCAAAATGTTAACACCAGAAATTAATGTGCCTTTCAGCAATAAAAAAAAGAATATATTTTGTTAACCGTATGGTCAAATAAAAATTTATTTTCACAATTGGTGGACACGCAAAGCAGTTGAAATAGTCTGAAAAAAAACTTGGACATATATAATTAAAGTGACAAACACATCTCTTTTTTCTCTCTCTCATCAGGATCTAAGCCAAGAAACTAAAAATAAAAACATGAATCAAGAATGATCCCAACAACCATGCTGGAAACTAAATATTTCATTTTTGTTTCACTAAAGATGTGTCATTAGTGTAACTAAGGAAAATTATACTCTAATTGGAAACACAACATGAAAAATTATACTGTATTGAATCCTGCACACAATAAATTGAAAAATGAAACCATGAAAAAATGCACAGAAAAAAGCAAATGCGACATTATACATAAAAATAAGAATATGACACACTGAAAACTATAAAGTATTGATGAAATTGAAGAAGACATAAATAAATAAAAAGATATCCTGTGTTCATAGGTTGGAAGAATTAATATTATTAAAAAGTACAGACTACCCAAAGAAATCTACAGCTTTAATGCAATCCTTGTCAAAATTCAAGTGACAAGGGTCACAGAAATGGAAAAAAAATCCTAAAATTTGTATGGAACCTCAAAATACCCCAAATAGCCAAAGCAATCTTGACCAAAAGCAACAAAGCTGGAAGCATCACACTACTTGATTTCAAAATATACTACAAACTACAGTAATCAAAACAGCATAGTACTGGCATAAAAATAGACATTTAGACAAACGGAACAGAATAGATAGCCCCCAGATAAGTCAACACATTTATAGTCAATTGATCTTTGAAAAAGTGCCAAGAGCACACAATGAGGAAAGGACAGTTTCTTCAATAAAGTGCACTGGAAAACTGGATATCCACATGTCTCCTTTGAAAAAGAATGAAATTACACCGTTTTCTCACACCATATACAAAAATAAAAGAGATTAAAGACTGAAATGTAAGACCTGAAATTTAAAACTACTAGAAGAAAACATAGGGGAAATAACTTCTTGACATCAGTCAGGGCAATGATTTTTGGACTATGACTTCCAAATCATAGGCAACAAAAGCAAAAATAGATGATTGGGATTGCATCAAACTAAAAAACTTCTGCACAGCCAAGGAAACAATCAACAGAGTGAAAAGACAACCTACAGAGTGGAAAAAAAAATTTGCAAGCCATGCATCTGATAAGGGGTTAATATCCAAAATATATAAGGAACTCAAACACTCAATGGTAAGAAAACAAATAACTCAATAAAAAATGAGCAAGGGACCTAATAGACATTTCTGAAAAGAAGACACCAATATGGCCAACAAGTATATAAAAAAATGCTCAACAGGCTTAATCATCAGGGAAATACAAATTAACACTACAATGAGATCACTTCACACGTGTTAGAATGGCTATTATCAGAAATATGAAAGAAAAGTGCTGGCGAGGATCTGAAGAGAAAGGAACCCTTGTCTATTGTTTGTGGGAATGTAAATTGGTACAGCCATTGGGGAAAACAGTGTAGAGTTTCCTTAAAAAATTAAAAATAGAACTACCATATGATCTAGCAATCTCACTTTTGGGTATATATTCAAAAGAAATGAAATCAGTATGTCAAAGAGATATCTGCAATCCCGTGTTCGTCACAGCATTATTCACAATAGCTAAGATGTGAAATTAACCTGTGTCCATTGATGAATGAATGGATAAAGCAAATGTGGTATATATACACAATGGAATACTATTCAGCCTTAAGAAAGAATGAGATCCTGTCATTTGTGATAATGTGGATGAACCTGGAGGACATTATGCTAAATGAAAGAAGCCAGACAGGTACAGAAAGACCAATACTGCATGGTCTCACTTATATGTGAAACCCAAAAAAGTTGAACTCATAGAGGCAGAGAGTAGAATGATGGTGGCCAGGGGCTGGGAGTGAGGGCAGTGGAAATATGTTGGTAAAAAGGAACAAAGTTTCAGTTATGTAGGATGAATAAATTCTGGAAATCTACTGTACAGCATGGTGACTACAGTTACAGTATTGTATACTTGAAAATGCTAAGAGACTAAATCTTAAGTATTCTTACCACCACAAAATAATAAGTGAGTTGATGGGTACGTTAGTTAGCTTGATTTAATCGTTTCACAATATGTATATATATATATATATATTACAACATCATGTTGTATACTGAAAATATATACAATTATTTTATTTGTCAATTATACCTTAATAAAGCTGAGGAATAAGTGAGTATATAACTATGTACCTATCAGAATGGCTAAAATAAGAAATAATGATAACAATGCATGCTGGTGAGGATGAATATTTGGCACTTGTGAAAGGTGGGGGTTTGCTAATGGTGATAGTTCAGGAATTTTCCCTGGAGACTCTTCAAATCAGAGGTAGCAGGCCTTTATACACATGTAATTCTATGATTTTTCCATATGTGGGAAAATTTATATTTGGCTAAATGTGCAGCCAGCTGCTTGGCAACATTTCCCAGGAGAGCTGGGATTGCAGTAAAAAGTGACCATTTCTGGCACTGTTTTTGGAACACCCTAGATTGGCTTCAATGGTTTCAAAGGAACATTTTTGCACAATTTCCTCAAAATTAATTATCCCAATTCATTTTATACCAAAGATAATTTAAGGCAGGAAATGCCCCCTGAAAATCCTTCTATCTAAATTGTATTTTATCCCCAGTTCTTCCTCCACAAAACCGTCTTAGACTCACTTGGCCCACAGTGAGCTCTTCCTGTGAGAATTCCTCCTGTATTTATGATACAAGTTCAGGTGGCCTTTCAGAGGCCATGTAATTTAGCACATTCTTCTGGGTCTATGTTCTTGCTCCGTTTGTCAGCGATTGGCTCTCTCCCCAATCAGGCTGTCTACTCCTTGAGAATAAGGTTGGTGTCAGATAACCTTAGTCATACTCCTCCCCCAGCCCTCTCAGTGGGTTAGCATAGTTTAGAACCAAACGTGTGTTCAAAAACATGCAATTGAGAATGGGCGTGGGGATGACATAAAGTCTGTGTCCCTGTAAAGCGCTTAAAAAATGGCTTCAAGAGCTCCTTGCACAAACACCAATTGCAATTTTCTCCTGGATGCTAAAACCATGTGTACATTATGTTGGGCTCTGTATTTAACCAGCCTGAAGTCTAGACTTATCTTCCCTGGGCCCTCAGCCAGAGATTACAGAGAAAAAGCAGCCTTGGGTGAATGTCTTGTTTGGAAGCGGAAAGACCTTGTTCAAGTGTTGGTGTAGGAACAGCAGCAGACAGGAGCTGAGCTACCTCCCTACCACCCCTCACTGGGGAGTGATCAGTAAAAAAGGAAATTTCTATGCACAGTAGATTGTGAGATTGTGCTCTATTGGCAGCTGCTGAGTAGTAGTGCTGAGATAGAAACCAAGGCAGGTTGGATCCACAAGCTGTGCTCTCAACCACTAGGTTACACTGTCTCTGACGATGGTCCCCTGTTAATGAACATACTTGCTGTTTCTGGTTTTCAAACATTTGCAGTACTCTTCCTTCGTTCATTGAGCAGGGACTCTCTCTCTCTCTTCTTATCTGTCCTATCTATCTTTTATCTGTCTATCTATCTACCTATCTATCTATCTATCTATCTATCTATCTGTCTTTTTTTTTTTGAGATGTAGTCTTGCTCTGTTGCCCAGGCTGGAGTGCAATGGTGCGATCTCTACTCACTGCAAACTCCACCTCCCGAGTTCAAGCAATTCTCCTGCCCCAGCCTCTCGAGTAGCTGGTATCACAGGCGCGCATCACCACACCTGGCTAGTTTTGTATTTTTCAGTAGAGACAGGGTTTTACCATGTTGGCCAGGCTGGTCTCGAACTCCTGACCTCGGGTGATCCACCTGCTTCGGCCTCCCAAAGTTCTGGGATTACAGGCATGAATCACTGCTCCCAGCATTTTTCTTTCTTTTATCTGTCTATCGTGTTCCCTGTTATATCCCCGGTGCCTGACAATGGTTGCTAAGGAAAAGTTGCTGAAAGAAGTCCCTCTTGTATCCCTACAGTGCTCTGTGATTGCCTCTGTCATTTTACTTACCATGCTGTGTTGTATGAGGTGGGGCTGCACTTATTTCAGACATTTCTTTGTTTCATGGAATTTTTTAAATGAACCCTAGTAGGAGGGATGCATCCATACCCCTCAATCATTTTAGTGATATTGTCAATGTCTTTTGGCCAAAGATCACTAGGCACACACATGTTGATCAACCTGGGTTTATTACTTGTTGAAGTGAGGGGGCATGTACACCGTGAAGAACTGTGAGGCATCTCAAGAACAGTATGTTAGAAAAGATTTGTTATAGGATTTGGGCATTGGCTAGATGACTGGGGGAAGGTCAAAAAAAGCTATGGTTTGCCCTATATTGGATGCTGTCAGACAGTAGAACAATTCTGTGATCAAGTATTTCAATAAGTTTTAGCTAGAGGGAGGGTAGAGTAGAGGGAAGCTACAGCTCTAGTTAGTAAAGAGTAGCAGTCATTCATTTTAGCTGGGAGAGGGATGTTTTGTCATTTCTGTGGTTTGGACAGTGTTCACATTTTGTCTGGTTTCAGCCATTACAGAGTTATCTTGCTTCTGCCTTGATCCATCATAGTCACAGAGTTGCCTTGTCTGATATTGGCATTCTGTGGATTTATGTTCAACAGAACAACAAGACCTAGTTTGGTGTTGCTGCTAGTGCTAGGCCAGCTCCTAGCAACAGCAAGGCCTAGCTGATGGTACTAGTCCAACTCCTGGATGGTAGGAGATGCTTTTCTCTTTCTCATATGAGTATTTTACCAGAAGGGCATGTGCAGGGAGCTACCTTAAGTGCATTTCAAATAGGCTCCTGAATACCTCCATCCATCCCACAGGTGTTCTACCTCCAAAGCCCTGTTCTCTGACCCCACTGCATTGCTCTGTTTCCATCTATCCAACCCCTGCTCTATTTCTGGGCCAAGTCCTACCTCTTCTACGAAGACATCTCTGACCACTCCACACCAAAATACTTTCTCACTACTCTGATCTCGGTGCCTTTACTGTTTGATCTGTTTCTTTGACATTTTCTGGTTATATCAAGACTCTCCGGCTCACTACCATATCCTAAGGCCTAACACTACATATGGTCTAGTGAAGCGGTAGCATGTACTGCTATTTAACCTTTAATGCATAGGTTTTGTCCCCCCAGCTGAACTCCAAGCTACTCGAGGGCAGGAATTATATGCTGAGGACCCATATGTTGCTTATGTGCCAGGCTTTGTTCTAAGATTTTACATATATTAGTTCATTTAACACTCACAACAAGCCTATGTGATAAGTGCTCTTATTATCTACATTTTTCGTATTTTAAAAAACCCACTGAAGTTCAGGGAGGCTAAATAACTACCCAAGATCACGCAGGTACTAAGTGGCAGAGCTTGGGTTAAAATCCAGGCAGTTCAGCCCCCGAGTTTGACAAATTCTTTGTTTTATATTCACAGCAGGGACATCTGGAATTAAAACGTACCATCCTCTGGAGAAAGTCATCCTTATTCATTTTTTCCCTGGACCTGAGGTGCCTCTCAAGGAGTTGGAGAAATCAGAATCTCCCTAATAGAGATGAGCTCAAGGGTAAAAAAAAAAAAATGTGATGGATAAGATCTAAGCTTACTACACAGATAAATGACTGCATATTACCCGCATACCAAAGCACTTTTTCCTTTACAAAACCCTTGCCTGCAAATTCCTTCAAAGAGAAAGCACCCTAATGCATTTCAAATAAGCTCTCTGTATGCAACATTTCCCTTTTCAGCCCTCCCGCATCTCTCCCCACCCGCTCCAACTGTCAGTGGAGTGGCTTGAGTGGGAACTGCTATAGGTTTTTAGAACTTATGGTAGTGAATGTGTGTCCTTTTAACTTCCAGAAGACTCTGGAGGTCAGTGGGCTGGTGAGGCAACCTGTTGCCAAACAGTGCCAAATGGTCATTTGAAGCTAAACCAGCCCAGAGGATGAGCTGTGGGCTGTACTGCAAAGGGAGTTGTTTGGTTGTTGGCATGGGGCTTCCTGAACTAGACCTGTCAAAGAGCCCATGGAGCTATCTTGAAATGTTCTTTAGTTACAGTCCTTTACAGTAGCTCCTTCAATTGCCCCATCGATAGCCCTGCCATGAGAAACAAGAACCCCTTCTGCAAGCCATTTGGAATATAGAGGAAGGGGAAATCATTATCTATCTATCTATCTATCTATCTATCTATCTATCTATCTATCTATCTGGCCAAGAGTGGCCTGATTTTTGTTCTCATTTCTTTGAACTGAGGTCCACTCCGTTATAACCTTGCTTTGTTCTTTCCCAGTCCTAGACTGCCATAGATAGTGGGCTTGCAGCTTTGTATGGAGGCATTCATTGGGCACCAGTGCACTGACAGTCTCTGAAGAATTATTAGGTCAGCTGGTTCCAAAGCATTTCAGGCTGATTAAGGCCCTGGAAGAATCTTTTTCCTAGCCCCTTCTGTTACCTCTTCCGTGCCTTCCCCTCCAGTTCACTCAGAGGCTGGTTCATGACCAGTTGCAAAAAGCAGGGTAGTAGCGCATACGAATCTTCTCTCTAAATCCTCTTCAGATGTATTTCACTTATAATACGTGTTCTTGAAAATATGCATTAATAAAATTGTGTTTGCTTGAATAGAGAAGCTACCATCACTGTGTGGATTAGAATGGCATTGGTGTAAAAATCTATGAAGATAATACATGCCAAGTTAGATCAATGCAGTTTGGTAGGTGGTATCTCCTTAGATCCTCACAATGCCACCCTTATCCTCCGGTTACAAGTAAGGAAACTGAGGAAGAGTGATTCCCAGAAAAAGAAGAGGAAGACAAGATAAAGAGGTAAAAGATAAGAGAAGAAAAGTACGGGAAGTTTTGGGCAGAAGGTAAGAGGATATTGGTAGAGCTTTGTGGGGGTGGGTTAGGAGAGGTGAGGGGAAGCTTTTAGGTAAGGACAGATGTCCTTATTGTGAATCTGGAAGGGCACAGAAAAGAAACCAAAACTTAAACATTTCTGGAGGCACTGCCTGGGCCACCCTCCTGGAATGAGAAGATCTGAGGTCAGAGTAGCTAAAAAAAAAAAAAAAAAAAAATCCTTCTATAAATTATGCCTTCTCTTGGAGCGAAGTGCGACCTCTACTCTGAAACAGAGTCATACAGCACCACTCAGTGGCAGTCTCTCGGTAGTGCACCGAGAGTGTCTGCAGCAGCCACCCGGACCCAATGAATCAGAACCTTGAAAGACAGAGGAGAGGCGGTTATGTTATTTTATTTAATCCCCACGAGGTTTTGATGTGATGCCACATTTGAGAATTTCAGGCCAAACTTGTGCTTTCTCTATGATATGAAGACTTTTTAATTTAATCCCCATGAGATTCTGATGTGCTGCCACATTTGAGAATTTCTGGCCACACTTGTGGTTTCTCTATGACATGAAGGCTTTTTCTGATGCCAATCAGTGTGGCAGGAGGCACCTGGGCAAAGCAGAACCTAGACCCTCTCTTTGCTCTTTGCATTCTCTTCTCAGGAGTTTCCTTCTTTCTCATCAACTATCACTTCTCAGTGCATGATTATGTATTAGGTGCTGTGGTGATATAGCATGGCACAAGACAAACAAGATGTCTGTTCTCATGGAGCTTACAGGGAGAAAGACAGCAAATCTATACTTACAGATGGTGATAGGTTCTATGAAGGTAGTAGACAGATATGGCAGTGAGACAGAAAATAACTGAGGTCAGAGAAGGCCTCTTTGAGGAGTTGACATTGAAGCCAAGACTTGAAGGTTGAGAAGAAGCCAGCCATGGGAAGAGTAGAAGCAAGGTCTTGCACACCAAGGAGCACAGCTTGGCAAGAGGACTGCAGGCTAGATTTCGGCCCACCCTACACCTCAGCTGGATACCTTTGTGTAGAGAACAATCTGCACGATCTTACATGAGAGTAGGGGGTAAGGGGATTGTTCCAGCAGATGGAATTTCATGTGTAGGCAAGAACATGTATTCTAGAAATTATGAGAACAGTGCCAGGAAAAGACTAGATCACAAAGGGTCTTATGGGGTAAGATAAGGAGTTTGTATCTTATTTAATTCACAAGAAGCCAGTGAAGGTTTTTAAACAGGATGACTGAAAGATATGAATTATATTCTTTAAAAAACTCTCTAGTTGTGCAGAGAATCCACTGGAAGGGGAAAAACCAGTTAGGAGGCTATTGAGTAGTCAAATCAGAAATGCTAAAGGTTTGCATTAGAATGAGAGTATTAATAGTTGAAGAGATGAGAAGTGGACAGATTTGAGAGACGTTTAGGAGGTAAGCCGACAGATGGAATGGATGTAGAAAAGAATTAAAGAGGGCAACCAGGTTTCCGATGAAAGCATCTTGGTGGGTAGAAGTGCCATTTCCTAAGAGGAAAGAACAAGCAGAGAGGAGGAGCAAATCCAGAATGACATTTTAGCTACTTCAAGTTGGAGAGATCTGTGAGATACTCAAGTGGAGATGCCAAGTCAAATTTGTTATAAACTTGGAAGAGGGGTTTGAGACACAGATATCAATTTGGAAATTATAATCATTGGGTTATCTTCAAGGCCTTGAAACAAAGATTAGATCACTGAGGGAAGGGAGTATAGAAAGGCAAAGTCCCAGAACAGAGCCCAGAGAAACTCTAGTTTGGGGGAATGAGGTAAAGAGTGGCCAAAGAGGAGAAAACTCAGAAAACTGTAATGCCACAGAAATCCTGAAAGGGGCTGTTTAAGGAAGAGTAATGTGGGTAGCTGCTGCTGAAGGATCAAGAAAACTGAGAATAGAAAGAGACTGATGGCTTTGACCACATGGTGGTCATTGCAGACCATAGTCGGAGCAAGGGCACCAAACTGGAAAAATAAGAAGTGGTGGTCAGAGTGTGGAATTCTTAAGATTTTTTAATCTTGAGATTTTGGGAGTGATGTATATTTTCATTAAGAAAGGTCTAGGATCCTTGGCATGGTCCTGAGAGTAAGTGGATGAGGTAGGGTAGATGGCAAATTATTGGAAATGTAGAAGCTGAGAAACAGAAACGTTTGTGTGTTCAATGGCAAAATTGTCAAAGATTTAGGGTGGAGGGAAAGTGTAGTGAAACTGTGGTTGCCAAGCAGTCTTGAGCGTGCTCATGACCACAAATTTTTAGTGAATTTAGTCAACCAACTTTCAATATTTTTATCTGCTTCATTTAGTGGCAAGGAAAAAGTAATATAGTGCAATTCAACTAGAGTTTGGGGTTTTGCCTAGTAGATATGATAGACAGCTAAGAGGAGAAAGGGAATGGAGTGAGTGAGTAGGTATCAGTTTCCTATTGCTGCTGTAACAAATCACCACAAACTTTGTGGCTTAAAATACAGACTTAAAATATTAGAGTTGCAGAGGTCAGAAGTGTCATTGAGCTGAAATCAAGGTGTGGGCAGAGCTGTATTCCTTCTGGAGACTCTAGAGGAGAATCTGTTTCTTTGACTTTTCCAGCTTCTACAGCCTGCCCACTTTCACTGGCTTATAGTTTCCTTCCTCCATCTTTAAAGCCAGCAACATCAGGCCAAGTCTTTCTCATGCTGCCATCTCTTTGGTTCTCTCTTCTAATTCCCTCTCCCACTTTTAAGGATGCTTGTGACTGCATTGGGCCTATCTGACTAATCCAGAATAATCTCCCTATCCTAAAGTCAACTGATTAGCAACACTAACTCCATCTGCAACCTTAATTCCCCTCTGCCAGGTAACCTAACAGACCCACAGGGTTCTGGGGATTAGGACATGGGCATCTTTGGGGAGGCCAGCATTCTGCCTGTGATAATAGCAACACATAATGGATGGAATTTAAACTGGGTAAGTAGGCAAATGAAGAAGATGGTAGGAAGGTAGAGTGAAAAAGTGGCTAGGTCAGCAGATTGGGGAAATAATCTGATGGGATTGAAACATTGTAGCAGTAGAGAAGAAATTTTCTAAATGGTGCCATTTCTGGTAATGGAAAAGGCTAGTGTAGGACCATGGGGGTAAGTATCTGATGTAAGTTTGTAGAAAAGATCAGATGAGGAGGTCACGGAAGTGGAATTCCAGGTCATGGGATAAGTCATCCCTGTGGATGTTAAAGTCACGAAGAATGATGAACAAACTTCAGTGTAGGAAAGAAGACTGATGATGCAAGAAAGGCATAAACCCCACAAGCTAGATAAGCCTGTAAGTGAAAAGGAGCCTGTGGTGGTGCAGACTTGCCCAGAATCAGAAGGATGGAGCCCTGACATGCAACTCCACTCCCAGGGGCTGAGCTCAAAGTTACAGAGTCTGTGCAATGACCCCCTTGGGATGTGGAAGTCAAAGTCAAATCCCAAGAGAGACCAGCATTCCAGACTGTCCCTCGCCCCTCCCGTGGCTTCCATGAGAAGCAGGAAGTGCTGGGCTTGAGGACCGTGGGCTCTACCTGGCCTGGAAGGAGATGGCACTCCTGTGCCAGAGTAGGCACAAAGTAGGCACCCGCAGCCTACTCTGGCTGTGACACAGTAGACTAGGAGGCAAGCAAGGGACCAAGTCACTCCCTGTATGTCAAGGGTGGGGGAAGGGTCTCCCATGAGGGGTGAGATCCCTCATTGTCCCCAGCCTCACAGCAGAATCACACTAGGTTGCAAGAGCAGAAATCTCACAAGAGGCCAGGGAGACGATCCCAAGAGAGAAAGGAAGAGGGGATAGCAAGGCCCTTTGCAGACAGTCAAGCCCTAGGCAGATAGAAGAGAAAAACACCATTCATGGTGATAGTGATTCCAAAGCCGTTTGATTCATTTAGCAAACATTTATCAAACACCGACCTGGTGCAGAGCCCTGTGGCAGGCACCGTGGGTGTTAACAAACTTGAGACAGGCCTGGACATTCACCCTAAAGGGCCTGTGCTTTCTTGGAGGAGCTAAACCATGTCCACACATACCACTGTCATTAAGGATAGTGTCTGGTGAGGGTGGTGGGGTACAGATATAGAAAAGTAGGCTGCCTGGAGGCGGTGAGTTTTGAGCCAGGCTGTAAAGGAGATCTTTGGGCTGGTCTTCCAGGGGTGTTCCCTGTCATCCCAACATTAAGTGGAAACCTCTGAGGGTTGTTGTGGCTTTAGGTCTCTCCCACTGGCCCACCTTGACCTTGATGGTGGGTCTGCAAATGGAAAGGACTTGGCCACTTCTGTTGACTGACAGAGGGAGGTGGGGTGGGGAAAGAGAGCACCTTTCCCTAAGAAAATCTGAAATCCTGGGTTGTGCCAACTACCTGGCTTGGCAAAGATCAGATGTCATGGGTGGGATAGCTGGAGATAAAGGAAAGGTAGCAACTACACACCAGAGATAAGGGAATGTGACATCCTGGATGGGTCTACATCTGCAGACAACAGGCTCAGGCAGATAACCAAGGCTATGGAGATTGTTCCACGGACTTCTGGCTCACATACTTGCCATGAAGAGAGCCCCAATGCGGGAGCTAGGAGGACACTCTCCCTCAGTTTCACTTCAGGTAGTTTCACTTCACTTATTGAAAGCACATCTGCTCAGCTTTTTCCTTTCTCTTCTGTTTGCTGGTGCTAACTAGTTTCCCCTCCCAGGGACTTGAAAACAACTGGTAAGATAGCTTACTGCCACTGCAACAGAACCATCTCCTCCAGGATCTGCCTCACTCCTTGACAACAACTTGCTCCATAACAAGCCCAGTGCCCAGTTCTATCTCCCTGCAGAAAGAAGCAGCTACTGCTGTGTACTTTTTGCCCTAGAGACTACAAGATTGACAGCAGTCATCACATTGTGTTTCACACTCACTGATAAGTGGACAAGGCAACTAAAGAGGAAATGATTTAGTATAAACTGGAGTCTCTGCAAATATAGGAACGTTGACACTCTATGCAGCTGGGAAAGCTCAGCTTCCAGAGGTCTTAGCTAACCTCCACCCCAAAGAGGGGCACAGGAACGATGGGGGAAGAGGCACTAGGATGTAAACCATGAGCAGTCTGTCATCTTTGGATTTCATCAGTCAAACAAGCAAGAGGTACAAATGACAGTTGTAAGGAGGCATGGCATTGGTACATGTAACGCACTCAATAAATTTGGTAAATGAATAAATAAATGGTTTAATGAATAAGGTTGATCATTTTAGGTAGGAGGTGAAGAAGATCAGAGGGCACTGACCAGGCAAATACAGAAAATAATGGTGGTACAGGCTGGGCGCAGTGGCTCACGCCTGTAATCCCAGCACTTTGGGAGGCCGAGGCGGGCGGATCACGAGGTCAGGAGATTGAGACCAACCTGGCTAACACAGTGAAACCCCATCTCTACTAAAAATACAAAAAAATTAGCCGGGCATGGTGGCGGGCGCCTGTAGTCCCAGCTACTCAAGAGGCTGAGGCAGGAGAATGGTGTGAACCCGGGAGGTGGAGCTTGCAATGAGCCGAGATCATGCCACTGCACTCCAGCCTGGGCGACAAAGTGAGACTCTGTCTCAAAAAAAACAAAATGGTGGTACAAAGAGGAGTATGTGTCCTATGGAAGGCAGGAAACCTACTTAGTGATAGTAATTACATAATAGTCTTGATATTGCTTCTGGACCTTGCAGAACCTAAAATGTTTCGTCTCTGCCCTTTACAGAAGAAGTTTCCCCAATCCAGGGTGCCTCCACATTGGATCACTATAGTGCTGCTAATAATCGTAAAATTAAAAGGACAGGACTTGTGTGGACCTAAAGGCTAGCCCTGGACACTAAGGCCTCAAAGAAAAGATAGAGTTCTGGATTCTGAGTTGTCCTAGAGCTTAAGGGCCTTGATATTCATTGGATGCAGAGCATGTCAATCTGATGTTTTCAGCAAATGAGCTTAGAGCTCACTGAGAGCCCCTCCTTGACCCTTCCTGTCCCGCCCCCTGTCACTTACCAACCCGAATCTTTCCCGCCTTGTCTAAGTCCTCTCAGGCCAACCTCAGCGGGAGGCTCCTGGGATCGGCTCCCTGCCCTTCCCACCTTAGGGTGTCCTCAGAGACAGACTTTTATTCCCTCAGTAAGGAGACAGACTCTTATTCTCTCAGCAGCCCAGCCCCTCACCTCCCCTCAGCCACAGCCACATCAGTGGCCACCGTCTTCACCGTTGTCACCTCAGCCTAGTCGCCACTCCAGTTGAGGCACTGACTGGCGTCATGTCTGCCACAGGGGATCAAGACCTGATCCAAGAGGACCAGGAGGCTCCAGTGAACCAGGAGGGAGCGCAGGCCGAGGCCGTAGGTGACCGGGAGGGCGGTGACTCTGGCCCCGACAGTGGCAACACTGTGGCCGGAGTCGCAGGGCCCATGAGAGGCCTCGGGGAGGAGGAGGGTGAGCAGGCGGCAGGCTTGGCCGCAGCCCCCGGGGGTGGGAACGCCGAGGAAGACTCAGAGATCAGGATAGTAGTGGAGATGGTGGAGGAGGAGGAGGATGAGGAGGAGGAAGAGGAGGAGGAGGAGGAAGAGAGGAACGAGGCGGACAACTTCGACTTGGTCGCGGCCGCCCGTCGCTACCCCATAAGAGGCTTTCGCATGGAGTTTCTGGACATGGTCCACTCCCTTCTCCTCCGCATCTATCACAACGACCACATCCTGATCAGGATGCGTGGCGGCCGCCTGATGCGGAGGCGCCGCACTGCGGCGCCCAGTGGCTCAGAAGAGCCCCGGCTGTTGCTGGTGCATGAGAGGCTGGGCGTGGGGGCCGCGGGTCCTGAGGGCGAGGGCCTGGGCCTGCTCCAGGAGGCCGCGTTGGTCCCAGAGCCTGAGGTGCCAGCAGACCTGGCCGAGATGGCCAGGGAGCCTGCAGAAGAGCCCGCAGAGGAGGCCTCAGAGAAGCCCACAGAGGAGGCCGCAGAAGAGCCCGCAGAGGAGGCCTCAGAGAAGCCCACAGAGGAGGCCGCAGAGGAGGAGCTCGCAGAGGAGGCCGCAGAGGAACCGGCCAAAGAGGAACCGGCTGCAGAGGAGGAGTCCGCAGAGGAACCGGCCACAGAGGAGGCTGCTGCCCCTGAGGGTGAGGAACAGGCTATCTGCAGTGGCGGGGAGACAGGGACCCGTGCACCCAAGGGTTCCAGGCAGGGCCGCGGTGTGCGCACAGCTGGTGAAGCAGGTGGTGAAGTGGGGGTCGGGCCTCGGGTGGTGAAGTGGGGGTCAGGGCCCTCCTGAAACTTAAGGCCAAATGTGTACCAATGAGTCGAAGCCCAATTCTCTAACGACATCTATGATTTTTGAGAAAACATGCCGCCCTCTACCAACCTGTGTTTGATAGAAGATCTGAGATCATCAATGCCATTTGGGGGGCCCACAGATGAATGGCCAGGTAGATAGGGGTTCAGGAGGGAGCTCGGCAGGAAACAAGGGACAACGGAAAGAAAAGAACAGGCAAATGGCAGGCATCCTTTTTTGTTCATGGCTTTTCAAAGTGTAAAGATTCTTAGAAAGTTGATCCCCAAATGATGAAGTGATACAGGGGCCCTTGGTAAAAATGAAACATTCAGGGGGGTGAGGAACCAATGAGCTTCACCATAGAATTTGTCTTTTGAGGCAACAAATATTTTCCCAGCAAAGTTCTGATCAAAACACTTAGAATGAGATCAGACACCATGATTCTGATCTCTTCTCCAAAGAACTAGAAATAATCGGCAGCTTTGGGTGGGAGATTTACTGGAAAAAAGGGAAATAGTGTCACTGTGGAAATGATCAAGCAGCAGCAACGTGAGGGCCATGGCACTGTTGTGAAAACCAGTAGGAAGGTGCCCAGCTATTCCTTTCTTAGTTAAGTCTATCCTCCTGCTTCTCCTGAGGGTGGAGTACTGGGTGCCGCTGCTGGTTATAAATTGGGCTATATTTTCTGTGAATGTCTGGTCCCAACATCTGTATTATTCTTCGCTAAAGAAGTCACTAAATATCAGCATGAAAAGTGGGATGAAGAGGCCCAAGATGCTGCAGGCAAGGAAGAGAAAGAAGAGAAAGAGAAGGATGCTGAAAACAAGGTGAAGAACTCCAAAGGGACCTAGACGCAGCAGAGGGGAAGCTGAGAAAATCCAGGTATCGGTGTATAGCTTTGAGAATCACTCAACTATTCCTGGCATTTACCTGTTGCTGACAGTTTTATTTTAAAATAAAATTCCCAGTAAATTAATTAAGAAAAGGTTTTAGTTTAAAAATTCAATTTAGCTTACTTAAAATGTTACTAGAATATTCATGTACGTAGTAATATGAACTGCAGTGTGTTCTGAAATACACTTCATGGCTACTCATTTGTTCATGTTGAGGTCTTTTGTCCTCTAGCTGCAGGACTACTAACAAGTGGCAAATGTATCAGACCTACTACCTAAGATCAATATTTGTGTAGAAAACAGTTGCCAGACGCAGCATCTAACTTGCTTGGGCCACACATTGGTTGGGACTTCATTACTTAGCCACAGAAATGCAGGCTCCCATAGTAACTAGGAGACAACTCAATGCCTTTTACAAAGTGACTACTAACAAATAGCAAAAAGCTAAGAATTTCAAGTAGGACCACATTTAATGACTAATACCTAAATATTTGTTTAGCTATATATCTTTGTATTTTATGTGACAAATGAAAAGAATGTGTGTAATTAAGTCTTAAGGCATATCTGTCTTTGAGTATATTTAAATGGTTAACATTTTTTCTTTTTTCTTTTTTTTTTTTTTTGCATTTTCACAGCTGTATTATTTCATAACAGCTTCTTTCCCATATGGTAGATATGGAAACCAAGGGTCTGGGAGAGTAAGGGAGTATCATTTGTGGAACTAGCACAGGCTGTTAAAGCTTGAGAGATTTATTTAAATCCCAGAATTGCCTCTCATGTAAAAACAACAACAAGAAGCTTTTCTGGTGCTAGGGAGACAAGGTTGGTGTGATCATTTGGCTGTAACCATCAGTTTCACAAGCACCCTGATATCCAAGCTTGCGAGTTACAAAAGGAAAAGGTGTTCTTCTCTACTTGTTTAAGATATAGCACACAAATGTTGCAGATATACACAGAGCTGGCCATTTTCTTCTATTTAGAAAGTCACTGGTGCTGGCTAACGTACCATTGTTTATTTTTTTCTCATTTCATTCTGTAGTTGGGAAGAATAGAAAGAAGATGAAGAAAGAAGACTCTGTTGTTCATTGTTTTTATTTTATTTTATTCAGATGCCTGTGAGAATTTTAACACATATCATTCCAAAGTTCATTACCTTAAAAGTGATATCTAGTGACATCTAACTTTTATCTTTCACAAATGTATTTGACAGTGTTTGTTCAAGTTAGAAATAAAAGTTTGTTTTAAATGAATAAATTGAAACATGGGGAGATTTTTCAATAAATAATTCTGACTCAAATCTCTCTTTTACCTCTTTGTTTTGGCCCACCATACCTTCATTGAAAGGTATTACTTTCCACCATTTAGTAAGACTGTTTTAAATTCTTTTACTGCAGCCAAAAGTCAATTAAAATGTCAAGTTTAAAACCATTTTTGCAAAGAGAGAGATGGGGCTCAAGTCTTTAGAGCTGTACTGTCTACTACCTTAGTCACTAGTAACGTTGTGGCTGCTGAGCACTTGTAATATGGCTAGTCTGTTTGATATGTGCTGTAAGTGTGAAAATAATATTGCATATCTTACTAATGATTTTCATACTGATTACATGTTGAGATGATAATACTTGAATTAAAATGAAATGTTAAAGTTTTTGTTGGTTTCTTTTTATTTTCAAATGTGGCTACTAGAACATTTAGAATTACCCATGTAGATCACATTACATGTCTATTGGACAATACTGCTCTAGAGCATGGTTTTGAAGAAAACTTCATGGATGGCCCAGGTTGCCTGGAAGCCACATGGTATTGCTGAGCTTGGGCCCAGACTTTGATTTGGAGCAGTGGTTCTCAAAGTTTGGTCCCCAAACAGCATCATCAGCATTACCTGGGAATTCTCAGACTCCACCCAAGACCTACGGAATCCGAAAATCTGGGGTGGGGTCAGCAATCTGTGTTTTAACAGGCCCCCCAGGGGCTTCTGATGAACACTAAGGTTTGAGAACCAGTGGTTTCAAGCAACAGAGGAAGAAGCCGAGCACCTCCTGTCGAGCCAGGGTTAATTCACTGGCTCGGGGCTGTTTCAGGTAAACTGAAAGGGACAGCAAGGGATGGGCTGGGGAGGAGACTAGAATTCACAGGGGCTGAGGCCTAGAGAGGAAAAATGCATAAAGGAAAAAGTCGGGTCCAAAAGGATACAAACATGATACCATGCATATGACTTCTAAGAAAACATACAAATGATCACCATAAATTGATTATGGGTACATATAGAGAGACTAAAAGATGTGCTTGTAAGAGATGCATACAAGTGTAGCATACAGAAAGGTGTGCATTCGAAAGAAGCACATTTGAGATGGTGGTTACCTCTCAGGGAAAGAAAGGGAGGGGCATTCTAGCAGAGAAGGCTCCACAGCAGGCATCAACTATATTTGTAATGTTACATTTCTTAAGCTGAATAGTAGATATATTGATGTTTATAGTAACATTTTCTACAATTTTGTGTAGGTCTGAAATATTTCTAAAGCAGGAGGAGGAAGGGGAGCAGTTCTTCCCACACCACTGGGGCAGGACTTACAGGAGTCTGAGAATTCTAGAACCCAACCTGGCCTTTGAGGTCATTATGAAGGTACATTTGTCATGGAAGGAGATAAACCATTAAATAAAACATGCTGTATTCGTTTATTTAAACATTTCAAATATTTAGACATATGGTATGTGGATCCCAAGTTGAACTCTTGTTCTAAACCCTGAAAATGTTACAGGTGAGCCAGGCTCATTATCTGGCCTATAACCCCTTTCCCTTCCTCCCTCCATGCCACTTTGTTACCTGAGCACAGTAGGGCCCCTTGCTTCTGAAAAGCGCTTGTTGCAGTAGCCCATCTTGCTATCGGACTTGGACTTTGTCCCTGACCCAGGCTACAGTGCAACCACCAATCACCTTGTCTCTTCTGCTCGTCCCCCAACCACACCCCCTCTTTATTCTCCAGGTGTCCAAACGTAAAACCTCTTCAGTGGCCCTTCTCCCCCATACCAAATATCAATGCTCACCTGAAAGCCATCAGCTTGGTCAGGCACACCTGCGTGGACGCCCCTTATTCTCAGCACCACCTTTTAAGAACATTTTACTTTGGCCGGGCGCAGTGGCTCACGCCTGTAATCCCAGCACTTTGGGAGGCCGTTAGACGAGCAGATCACAAGGTCAGGAGATTGAGACCATCCTGGCTAACACGGTGAAACCCCATCTCTACTAAAACTACAAAAAAAATTAACCGGGCTTGGTGGCGGGCGCCTGTAGTCCCAGCTACTCGGGAGGCTGAGGCAGGAGAAAGGCGTGAACCTGCGAGTTGGAGCTTGCAGTAAGCCGAGATCGCGCCACTGCACTCCAGCCTGGGCGACAGAGTGAGACTCCGTCTCAAAAAAAAAGAACGTTTTACTTCTCTGACAACCTTCAGCTCTGAGTTGTCAATATCCTATTTGATTTCCCGCCCCATGTCACAGACAGAGATGGACTACAGAATAGGCTTTATTGAATTTATTTGCTTTGCATATATCTTAAATCAAAAAAGTTAAAGAAGTAGAAAAGTTGTCAGAATATGCCTTTAGGCATTTAAAAAGAACTTAATCTCTTCATTTAAAAACAGAACTTTGTTGTTAACTGTGGAAAAGAAATTGTTATTGGAGAGTTCTCAGAGTGAGAATAGCTGAATACAGGTTCACTGTGAAAAAAAGGAAGGGAGGTGTAACAGCTGTGTTGTTAACTGTGGAAAAGAAATTGTTATTGGAGAGTTCTCAGAGTGACAATAACTGAATACAGGTTCACTGTAAAAAAGGGAAGGGAGGTGTAACAGCTAATCTACCAGGAGTACCCAGATAAAGGGCATCTACCTTAATATATTGTTCACTATGGGAATACAAAGGAAATAAAATTCACTCAATCAAAATAGCATTATCAAAATGGCAAAGGCACAGTATCAGGAAAAATAGATGTTATATAGAGAAAATGCAAAATTTAGCATGTAATTGTACTGTGTCACATTATACCAGCATCAACAAAACCCAGCACCAAGTGTTTAGCTCTGACACCTCACTACCTCTCTGGATTTTTTTGCATGGGGCAGCACCCCACTCAGAATATAAAGGCACAGTCAGATGTCCAGGCCTGCATTTCTGTTTAAGCAAAGCAGCACAGTGTAACAGAGGCAGACACAGTGATAACTACTCAGAAGTCACTTCTGGGTCTCCTAGAAAAATGAGCTAGGTTTACTGCCCAGACATCCAAAGGGAGCTCTCCCTTAGTGTTTGGTGGGTTTGGGGGATGGAATGAAGAGAAAGACAGAGAAAGGAAGATTTAACTAACTTCTAGTGAACCTAGATGAGATTCTAGGGTGGTCTGCATCTCAGAAAGCCAGCCAATTAAGGAACTGGCTCTGGGGGTAAAGGTGCCTACATCTTCATCCTCAGCCGAGGAGTTATTAATGGAGGCTGTGCTACAAAAGAAAAAGACCGTGTGGCAAGATGGGAAGGGAGGCATCAACATTTGCTGGGCCACTTGCCCCCTCCCCTCACAGCTGACCATCCCTCTCATCCTCTTTCTCACTCTCCCTTTTTGGTCTTCCCTCTTCTCCGTGGCTGGGGGATGAGTGGGTCACTGGAAGGTAGGGTCTCTCCAGCCTAGTAACTTTTGAGGTGTGTGCCTCTAGGAATGAGAGGGGAAAAGCTGATTTACTCACTTAAAGCTTCCAGGTAGCGGAAAGTTCATTTCTCTGTGGCTTTGGGATTGCACTCTTGCTTTGGGCTAAAACCTTGTGAAGCAAAGACAGCTGAGGGGAAAGGACAAGAAGCTACATGGAGTTCTCCACCTTAATGCTGGAACCAGAGAGGAAGGAGCTCCAGTGGCTCCAGATGTGCATCAAGGCAGTAAGCTTGCCATCTGCCTGATGGAAAGTACAGCTTTTGGCATCTGTAGAACTCTAATTTCAATAGGGTCTTCAGTGCTTAACAGGATATATGTGATAGGCAGTGATTTCTGTGCGATCAGAGAGGGTCACAGTAGTATTGGGACAAGAAGCAAAACATTGATGGACTAACCCTCCAGAGGAGTAAGATAATTCCCAAGAAGCATTCTGCGTCATAGGGAGGTGCTCGCTACAGCCAGGCCTGTGACAGGTCGACGTGGGGTATGTCCAAAGAGGGAGCTTTGTGTAAGTGCTCTGCATGTTACTATCACCCAAGGAGAAAGCATCAGGGGCCCCCAGGGACACAGGGAAGATGTTTCAAGGGGTGATAGGCTGATTGGAGAACTGGCTGTGCAGAAATTTTCTTGGAGACCCAGAATTTTCACTTCCACCGCCTCTTTTAGGATCCCTTGCAAAGCTTAGAGCAACAACCAAATAATTGCGGCATCTATCTAGGCTCATAAAACCTAAAGGCCAATCTTTAGGTCAAATCATCTGAATGTTTCCATTAGAATTACTTTATTTGGTTGAGGGAAATGACAATTTTCTAGTTGCTCCAACAAAATGTTTTTGCTTTCTCCCTTCTAAAGCACATTGTCCAAAGTTAAAGATTTTGCAATTTTACAGCAGTGCAAATGTTTTCGATAGTTTTAATAGAGGAAATGCTGGGTTTCTGGGTGCTGGCAGTGACTACGTGGAAGGTTAAGCATTCATGGCATTTATTTCATTCAAATAATTATGTTTTAATTTGCATTTCTAAGGCTATTTTGCTTAATAAATTCTTATTTTGCTTAATAAATTCTTAGTTTGCTTAATACTTATTTTGCTTAATACAAGTGGTCACAGTAAAAAGATCACTACATAGAATTAATACAGCTATTAGCAATTATCATTTAAAACGCTGATGCTTGGCCGGGCGCGGTGGCTCACGCCTGTAATCCCAGCTTTTGGGAGGCTGAGGCGGGCGGATCACGAGGTCAGGAGATCAAGACCATCCTGGCCAACATGGTGAAACCCCGTCTCTACTAAAAATACGAAAACAAAATTAGCCGGGCGTGATGGCGGGCGCCTGTAGTCCCAGCTAGTCGGGAGACTGAGGCGGGAGAGTGGCGTGAACCCGGGAGGCGGAGCTTGCAGTGAGCGGAGATCGCGCCACTGCACTCCAATCTGGGTAACAGAGCGAGACTCTGTCTCAAAAAAAAAAAAAAAAAAAAAAACTAAATAAAATAAATGCTGATGCTCCACACAAGAGCTCTTTATTGCGTGATTTCTGCCATGTGGCTCCATGCTTTGGCTTTCTTCCTGGCCAGTGAGAACCAGACAGGCTCAATTGGCTCAACTGGGTTCTGGAACTTGGCTGGGAGAGTTGAAGATCGTTTGGTTTCTTTTTCCATGGCAGGAACTTGCAGTATCTTCTGAGCTTCAAATCCAACTGGAACCACAGCAAATAACACACAAGCAATAAGGAACCCCAGCGATATTGGGGTATGTTGTTTATGGAATGCCATATAATGTTTCCTCCTTTCAGGTTTCCTCTGATCCCCCTGCTCTAGTGCTTTCTAAACTCTTCTCCCTTTGGTGCCAGACTTCTAAAAGTTAGGACCTGTGTGATGCCATGGGTAGTATGTCAAAGGGGTAAAATCAACTTGGCTATGGCCACAGGGCCCTGGGCATGGGAAGGCCTGGGAGGTAATACCTATGGCTGTAACTGCCAATCTTCAGGTGGTTATTACTGGATTGTCTTACATCTTTGAACTGAGACCAGAGGGAAACATATTGTATCTACTTAGTTTCTAAAATTTCAGATAAGGTAATGTTATTTGTGTTTGCCAATCCACGATTTCATGTGAAATGAATTGATTGATGACTTAATAGATGCACCCAGTAAAAGTTGATGATAAATAATATTGTACCAACCCAACTACCCCAGCCAAGGAGACTACCTCCCTATTCCTAATTCCACTCCCTCCCTCATCCTGCTTATGGTCAATTGACTTAGTGACTTAGAATCAACCAGTGGTTCTCAATCCTGGCTACACATTAGAATCACCTAGGGCTCTTTTAAAAACACCAAAGCCCATGCCGTTTCCTGAAGCAAATGAATTAGAATCTCTAAGGATGGAGCCAGGACCATCTGTAATTTTTTAAAAAGCTCACCAGGTGATTCTGATGCACAGTGACAGTTGTGATTCACTTGATAGGAGTATAGTGCCCATGAGGCCATTAAAAGCTGTGAGCAAGTCAACTGCTGCTATTTCATGGCCAGAAAATGGGTTCCTGAATTCCTGGTCTAATTTCTTCATGAGCGGGATTAAGGGAGAGGACAAAGATGGTTCAATAAAAATCCATCATCCACTCCCCTGCTCCTGCTGAAAAAATTCTCTCTAGCACACAATTCTTTCTGGTGAGATCACATTCTATTATATCCCAGCAGAGTATTCCTCTCAGCTGTCAACATTTCCTCACCACTTACACATCCCTGCTCAGAATACAGAGAAGCTTAAACAAGCCTTCTAAATAATTAAAAACAATTGAATACCATTGGGCCTTTAGAGTGAATTATTTTCAACAGTTTCATTGGAGATGTAGAAAGTGAGAAAATACCGCTTTGCTATGAACTGGAAAGTGACTTGGTACTTTCCTCTTGCATACCCAGCCAGAAGAATGTTTCAGTGAGTGACCACAGTTTTGTGCCTAGACAGCTTCTTTGATGAGGCAAAAGACTGGAAGACCCTCTGAAAGTTATACACTGGACTTGTATTAGTCAAAATAATTAGATTTTCCTAAAATAAGCTAATATTTGTATCTAATTAAAGAGCCACGCGAGAAATCATTAAGCTGACTTAAGGTAAGAGACAAGTATTATCTGAGCTTGAAATTGCAAAAGTTTTACAACATTCTGTCGGGGCTGTTTTTTGAGAGGTCAGAATGTATGCTTTTACCTGATTTTGTAGGCTTAGGTGGCTTCATCTGTGCTGTCTTCTCCTGTTTATGGACACTGGAAGTGAACATCTTTTTAGGTTGGTTTTCATTTGCAGAGCCAGCTCCCTTTAATACAAAAATGAAAACAGAAAGCTTGTAAGTTCTGACATTAAAATGGCAGATTGCTTATTCAGAGGACCATAGAGTGCAAGCCCTGTCCTGGGTACTATGAGTTTAACAGTATCCAAAAGGAAAGAGATTAGAAATATAGAGATAGATAAGGAGAGAAATAGCATTGAGCCTTTTGGCTTAAAATTTAGGTTCACAAAACCTAAGCTGGCTCAAGTTTACCACCTTTCAGACCAGAAAGAAAGAGCTGTCTAATTTTACAAATAGTGAAAGCAGGTTAACAAGATAATTATTTAACTTGAGAACAACCTTTTCCTTAGCACTTTACCAGCACTTAACAGCAAGCTAACAGAACATGGTAGTTGCAAACAAATCTGATCAATTCACTGAAGTGAGTTCCATAAGATTTCTACTTTTCAAAACTAGCTGACATATGACTTGAAGCATTTCTCACATTAGAAAGTAATATAACTGTAGGTCTTTCCAAAATTCTGCAGTTTATTCTTTTCAAATTAACCTCTTCATAATTGGTCTAAATTAATGAGTTTATATACACTAATGTATCCCTCCTGACAAAAGCTTTAACCAGGCTGAGAGCAGTGGCCTATAATCCCAACACTTTGTGAGGCTCAGGCAGGAGGATCACTTGAGCCCAGGAGTTCAAGACCAGCCTGGGCAACACAGTGAGACCCATCTCTACAAAAAATTTTAAAAATTACCTGGGCATGGTGGCGCACACCTATAGTGCCTATAGTCGCAGCTACTATGGCGGGGATGAAGGGGAAGGATCGTTTGAGCCTGGGAGGTTGACACTACAGTGAGCTGTGATTGCACCACTGCACTCCAGCCAGGAAGACAGAGTGAGAACCTGTCTCAAAAAAAAAAAAAAAAAAAAAAAAAAAAAGCTTTAATAAAGGTGGGCTTTACCCCTCTATGTTCCTGTCCCCATGTAAATACTAATGATGAAAAAGAAAAGACCTTTAAAGCAAAGAGTTAAACACCTCCTCGCACAGTCCTTCAACAAATTTAGTAAGCACTTAAAAGTATAGGAGCTTAGACATATCTCTTGATATATGAATTTGGTATGTTTCCTTGAGTCAGTTTTCTGCAGGTTTGATAAGAGGGGAGAAAGGCATCATCCCATCATCTCTTATCCACATGTGGTAGTTAGCCTAGTTTACCACATCACATTTTATAACTTACAGGTAGGTGCCACACCAAACCAAATCAATATGTAGAAATCCAAACATCAAACACAGAAAGGGAACTTGTTGTGTACTGATACAGAAAAGTGCCCAGAAATAAAATGTTAAATGAAAAAAACAGTATTTAAGTTTGATTCCATTTATAAAAATATATATACATATTGATAGGTATAAAATATCTGTAAAGATAGTCACTCAACTCTTACCCCAGTGATTACCTTTAGGTATTTTTTTAAGCTATGAGGATGCAAAGGCATAAGAATGATACAATGGACTTTGGGGACTCTGAGGGAAAGGGTGGGAAGGGGATGAGGGATAAAATACTATGAACTGGGTTACAGTGCACCAAAATCTCACAAATCACCACCAGATAACTTACTCATGTAAACAAATACCACCTGTTCCCCCCAAACCTATGGAAATAAAAAATTAAAAATAAAATAAAATGACTTACTCCTTATTTCTCAACCAATTTCGTGGAGCCTTGCTTTAGAATATTGAGGGCAGGATTTGTTTTGCAGATTCTCTCTATGTTCATGACTTTGCACAACACCCCCGCACACACACTTTTGAGACAGGGTCTCACTCTGTCACCCAGGCTAGAGTGTAGTGGCGTGATCTTGACTCACTACAGCCTCCATGCCTGGGCTCCAAGTGATCCTCCCACCTCAGCTTCCTGAGTAGCTGGGATGTCAGCACATGACACCACACCCAGCTGTGTTTTTGTATTTTTAGTAAAGATGGAGTTTCAGCATGTTGCCTAAGTTGGTCTTGAACTCCTGAGCTCAAGCAATCCACCTGCCTTGGCCTCCTAGAGTGCTGGGATTATAAACAAGAGCCACCGCACCTGGCCTGCACAAACCCTTTAAGAGCATAAAAGCAGGGCACGTTTGTATAAATACAAAGCAAGTCTTTTTCCCTGAAGAGTCCTCCTGCCTTGATTAATGTTCCCAAAGAGAGGGGGAGCTGCATGTTGGCAAAGTTCCCAATAGAAACCTAATCAGTGATTCCAGCAACCTTTTTGGAGTGTTTTATTGGCTACCCCAGGTCCTACCTCATATTTAGGCTCCTTAGTCTCAGCATCGGCTCCAGCATTGCTCTTAGTTTTCAGCTCTTTCACAGAAATGTGGGCCTTGAAACTCTTCTGCTTCTGCTTTGCCATAGTTATCCAAACCGGCTCTGAGACAGCATAATCTGACTGTTGACCAGCAGGCTTTCCTGAGAAAGAAATGAAAGGAGTTAGAACTGAAGCAAGGCAGGCAGGGTCTTGAGCCTGGTTGGGGCTTACCCACAATAATATCCCAAATGGGACCCTTGTTAATTGCCAAAGGAAAATAAACAGATATCAAACAGAGAAGGCCCCCCTTTTTTGGGCCCTCCCTATAGCTTGGCAAGGCAGGAGTTCCTTGGGTAGTAAAGAAGCTGTACTTAAAAGTGGGCCCTTCCCTTGTCCATCCCTGGTGCCATCTGCAAATCAGAGTAGGACAACGCTTGCCAGGTGGGCTGGGAAAATCCCAAGGATGCCAGAGGCTCAGGCCATTGATGCCATTCCTCTAACTCCTAGAAAAATCTTTGAAAAATCTTTGAAAAATCCTAGAAAAGTATTTGTTACTTCATAGTCCCTCACACAAGTGTGTGGTTACATAAGTGTGGTTACAGGAATATAAAAGATTTTTCCAAGGATGGAGTGTGAAGGTCCAAAGGTTTTGGGAGACATTCGTGCCCAAAAGATCGCCTAGCTCTAAATTCTTAGATATTTCAGATGAGCGAAGAGACATTTATGGCAAATTAAGATTTCAGGCTGAGAGACTGAACATAGTGCTCTACGAATGAGTTGGCTTTAAAAATCCACATGGTGTTAGGGAGGGGCTTAATACATGTAAAAGTATTTTGAGAAAAGCATAAAATTCCATCCAAATGTAAGGTGTGCAGAGGGTGAGGAAGAGGGAATGGGGAAATGGTCATGTGTCTACTATGGAATGTAGATGGATGTCCAGAGGGGGATCCCATTAGGAAAGGGAAGGCTCAAAATTAACTACCTCCAAATCTATTAAATCTAGAATGGGGCACTATTTTGCTCCCAAACTCATAAACCAGCCCTATCAAAGCCACAATTCAGTAAAAGACTAGAATAGACTTTAATGCCCATTCAAGGCTTTGCTTTCCAGTTGTTTCCACTTGATATCTGCTTGCCATCTGGAGAGATAAAAGCCTTACCTGGGGTCTTGCAAGCAGGTTGCTTCTTGGCCATGCTTTCAGATTTGGGCCTGCTCTGTTGCTTATCTGCAACGTAAGATATTTTGGTGAGGTTCCCTGCAGCATCCAGGAGCCCCTGGGAAGTGCTTCTGATTTTATGTCCCCTGCCTACAGAGGATGAAATTGGGCCCGAGGGCACTGAAGCAAGCTGGGTGAAGTTATCTTGTTTCTCACTCTTATACTTCTGCGAGGGAGGGGCTCTTTTCAGTCGAACTCCAAAAAGCTTTTCAACATCATCCTGATTGGATA
Organism: Homo sapiens; assembly: GCF_000001405.40. NCBI lineage: Eukaryota > Metazoa > Chordata > Mammalia > Primates > Hominidae > Homo > Homo sapiens. The sequence continues at coordinate 119,086,834 of NC_000023.11, forward strand.
GGTTTGCATGCTGGTTATTATTACCATCACCACTCTCAAGATCTTCTTTCTTAGAGTAAATGCCCCCAGAAGTGGATGTTTGCCTGACAGGAGCAATGGTGAACTTCCCAGGTTTGGTAGCAGGGGCTGGAATGCTCTTTATGGGGTTTTTGGAACCTTGGCTGAATTTCTTGGTTTTGATTGCAAAAGCTTCATCTCTTCCTAGGAACCAATTGTCAGAATTGCTCTCAAAAACAGATCGCCTAGCAGCAGCATTCACAGAACTTGAATGAACCTGTTGCTGGAAAGGACTACTTGAAGGCAGGTGCTTCTCACCGCTGCTCTGCTTTACAGGTACATTCACTGGGCCCTTTGATGACATCTGTGGCTGGAATTTAGACCTATCTGAGGCTTGGGAAGAATGTTTGGGAGGCAGCTGCTTTTTAGAATTCCTCCACTCTTTAGGAGAACTGGCAGAAACAGGGGAGACTTTTTGCTCATACTCAGGTTTCCTCAAGGCCTGGGAAAGCTGCCTGGGAGACAGCTGCTCTTTAAAACTGCTGCACTTCCCAGGAGCTCTCTCTGAATAAGAGAAAACTTTCTGTGGGTCTTCAGGCCTCCCCAAGGACTGTAAAGGGTGCTTCATAGGTAGCATCTTTGAAGAAATGCCTCCCTTAGGATTAGCACTCCCTGAATCTGAGAAAACTTGGTGCTTGACTTCAGGCTTTGATAAAGATTTGGAAGGAAGATTGGGAGGCAGAGGTGCCACATCACTGCCCCTCTTAAGAGCAGAGCTCTCTGAAAAGATTTGCTGTGCCATAAATTTCACGAATGACTGGGTCGGACGCCTGGGAATCGGTGATTTGTTAGAAGTGCCTTCAACAGCCATTTTCTCTAGTCGTGAGGTCATTTCCTGAACTTTAGACCTCTTTAAGAACTGGGTAGCATATTGGGGAGGCAATGGACTCCCAGAAATGTCTGCCTCAATAGCAGCCCGCTCGAAATTTGAGGACAGTTGCTGGACTTTATTTCCCACAGTCAACTGGGAAAGATGTCTGGGAAGCAGCTGCTCCTTAGAAATGTCCTCTTCAACAGTAGTGCTTTCTGGATGTGCAGAGAGTTGATACAGTTCCTCAAATTTAGGGGTCACCCATGGCGGGGAAGTGTATTTGGAAGGTGTTGGTGCCACAGGACTGCTCCATTCTGCAGAAGTACTCATTGAGTCCAGGAACTTAGGCCTCTCCGAGGGCTGGGAAAGGCATCTGGGAGGCAGCGGTTCCACATAAGTGCCTTCCTCAACAGCTGTGCTTTCTGAGATTTGCCGGATTTGAGGATCTGTCAAGGACTGAGGAGAATATCTGGGGAGTAGTGGCTCCACAGAAATGACTCTCTCAACAGCAATGTCCTCTGAACCTGAGAACATGTTTTGTTGAACTTTAGGATTCATCAAGGGCTGGCAAAGAAGTTTAGGAGGCAGAGGCTTCATAGAAATGCTCTCTTCAACAGCCATGCTCTTTGGAGATGAGGAAACTTCTTGCTCCACTTTAGGGTTCACCCATGGCTGGAAAGGGTGTCTTGGAGGGATTGGCTCCACGGAATCGCTCTGTTTTATAGAAGTGCCCACTGAACTGGTGGGGACTTGTTGCTGAACAGTAGGATTCATAATGGGCTGAGAAGGGCATCTGGAAGGCAGCTGCTGCATAAAATCATTCTGCTCTTCAGGAGTATTATTTGAAGCAGAGGAGACTTCTTGTTGGTTTTTGGGCTTTCCCAAGGCCTGAGCAGGGTGTCTGAGAGGCAGGTCTTCCTCTGAGCTGCTGCAATCATCAGAAGTGTTGTACTTTTCAACATAACTGCTTGATTCTGTGAAGACTTCTGCATCTTCAGGCTCCTCTAAAGCCTGGGAGAGGCATCTGAGGTCCAGCTCCTCCTCAGAGCTGCTCAAGTCCTCAACAAAACTTTTTGATTCTGAGAAGACTTCTTGTTCATCTTCAAACTTCCCCAAGGACTGGGAAGAGTGACCATGAGCCAGTTCTTCAGAACCATCCCCCTCCTCAGGAATATTCTCTGAATCTGAGGAGACTTCTTCAGCATCAGGCTTCCTTGAGGACTGAAAAAGGCTTCTGGGAGGCAGAGTCTTGGCATAAACATCTCCTTTGGCTGTAGTACTTGTCATACCCAAAACACTTGCTGTAAAGGTCTGGTGAACATTTCCAGAAGGCTTTTCTTTGCAGATAGTTTGAACATCCTGGGCTGACTCCATTTTGGATTGGGCCTTTTGTAAATCAAAGCTGAAAGCTTCTTGATCTTCTAACTGGATATGAGAAGGATTCATAAACACCTGAGCCTCTGCTGCTACTGAGAGAATGGCCTCCTCTTGGGTTGTAGAAAGGCTTTCCACCATCAGTGAGAGAGAAGCTCTGGCTTCTGTCTTCTCAGCTCCAGAAGCTGCATCTTCATGGTATGGTTGTGGATCACTAACCATGGAATTGTCCATGTTTTCAGGTATGGGCTGTGCTGCTGATGCTTTTCTGGATCCGAAATCTATGCCAGCATTTCTCCTTCCCATGTCATCTTTATCTGAAAGCAACCCCTGAGGGGTAGTGGTTTCTGGTTGTGAAGTTGTAGGCTGCTCCATGTTGTCCTTCTCTAAGGACAAGTGCGAGAAAGGGACATTCCTGGCAGTCTTATTGGTAGGTGAAGACCCAGCTCTATCGCCCAGGCCATACCCTTCACTGGATTGTTTAAGGCTTCTTCCTTTGAATTCACACCCACTCAATCCTGAAACACTTGCTCCTTTTCTTCTCCATCTTCTTCCATATGCTGCTGACATTGGATAGCCCTGACTCCGAGAAGCATCAGTGTTTGGAGCCTGGTCTGTTGTCTTCTTATCATACATCTCAGTTTTGTTGTTCTGTTTCTGGCTTGAGGAATCTGCACCAAACAGAAATAAGGAAAGGAGAAATATGTGTGACTTTCACTTCCTAAAATAAGAATACTGTGCCCTGGCCCAGTGGTACCTATTTGCTACTAAATTTCCTAGTATGAGGAAGCAGCTATTTGGAAGACAGAGGGCAACATGGTCACTATTAGGTTTCTGCAGTTGGATATTTTTAAGCCAAAGAGAAATCCTAGTTCTAGAAACTGACTCCAGGGTTGGCTTATCACCTTTTTACCAATAGTCTGGTCCACCATTCAGTGTGAGACACATCAGAAGGCAAATTTTGAACCTGTAACAATGACTACCTGTGGGGAAACTGACTGGGGAAGGAGGAATTGAATTTTTTACTTTCTAATTAGCATTTCTATTTTCTACATAATATTTATCTGAACTACCTGAAATTTCATATCATGTGCATGTATTGCTTTTTTTTTTTTTTTGAGACAGAATCTCGTTCTGTCGCCCAGGCTGGAGTGAAATTGAAAATTAAATTGAAAATTAATTATGGTTCTATTTTACACTCTACCCAAAGACAAATTTCACACTTTGAATTCATACATCATACCAGGCTGCAGTGGCGCGATCTCGGCTCACTGCAACCTCTGACTCCTGGGTTCAAGCAATTCTCCTGCCTCAGCCTCCTGAGTAGCTGGGATTACAGACACATGCCACCACGTCCAGATAACTTTTGTATTTTTAGTAGAGACGGGGTTTCCCCATGTTGGTCAGGCTGGTCTGGAACTCCTGACCTTGTGATCCACCTGCCTCGGCCTCCCAAAGTGCTGGGATTACAGGCATGAGCCACCGTGCTTGGCCATGTTGCTTTTTTTTTTTTAAGAAGGGGTCAATAGGAGTTATCTGGGAGGCAAGATTATGGCCCCCTTTTCTTCTTTTTTTCTACCCTCTTACATTAAAACAATCCTAGTTGTTTTTATTTCCAAGATGCAGATTGGAGGCATTGTTAGCATGTCTCTCCCACTTGGAAAGACAAATAGCATGTAGATATTCATGCTGTGAGCTTTTTCCAAGAAGCAACACAGGAACTTAACAGAAAGAGTGAAAGAAACCACAGACCCTTTGAAAGAAGTGATGGGCAGCAGCCTACACTGTGAACCAGATGGAAAACTCCCCATAGGAGACAGTGAACCTGCGCACACACCCAGCACATCACTACTACAGTCAGCATCTGAGAAAGCCATCACACAAAGATACTCTGCAACCAAGGAACTCATACAGAGTCTTCAAAACTGAAAGCACCCAGAGCTGAAGCCAGGTGACAATAAACTATAATAATCCATTAAAAAGTGGGCAAAGGATATGAATAAACAATTCTCAAAAGAAGATATACAAATGGACAACAAACATATGAAAAATGCTCAATGTCACTAATCACGAGGGAAATGCAAATTGAAACACAACGCGATATCATCTTACCTCAGCCAGAATGGCCATTATTACAAAGTCAAAAAACAATAGATGTTGGGATGAATGTGATAAAAAGAGCATACTTATACACCGCTGCTGGGAATGTAAATTAGTGCAACCTCTGTGGAAAACAGTATGGAAATTTCCCAAAGAACTAAAAATAGATCTATGATTCAATCCAGCAATCCCACTACTGAGTATCTACCCAAAGGAAAAGAAGTCATTATATCAAAAAGACACCTGCACACATATGTTTATTGAAGCACAATTCACAATTGCAAGGATATGGAATCAACCTAAGTGCCCATCAACCTATGAGTAGATAAAGAAAATGTCAAGCACATGCTAGTAGTTGTACAGATTACTCCTCTCCTTTCTTCTAGTACTTTTCTAAGGAACTCACTTTGATCCCCAGATGGAAGGGTCCCTCGCTGCCTTTCTTCCCTCACTATCTGCTGCATCCCTAGCTCCATCTAGGGGTTTCATACCCAGCATACGGCGCTGAGAATAGCTGACTGTGCTCCAAACCACTTTCATGATATGGAAAATCAACTAAAGAAAATGTGATACTACTCAGGCATAACAAAGAATGAAATAATGTCTTTTGTAGCAACCTGGATGAAACTGGAGGCCAATATTCTAAGTGAAGTAACCCAGGAATCGAAAACCAAATACCACATGTTCTCCCTTATAAATGGGAGCTAAGCTATGGGTATGCAAAGGCATACAGAGTGGTATATTAGACACTGAAGACTCAGAAAGTGGGAAGGGTAGGAGGGGGTGAGGAATGAAAAACTACATAATGGGTACAATGTACATTACTCTAATGACAGGTGCACTAAAATCCTAGACTTCACCACTATACAATCCATCTGTGTAACCAAAAACCACTTGTACCCCTAAAGCTATTGAAATAAAAACATTTTTTTAAACCGATCATATGTAATACACATGCAAAGAAATTCTTGGAATGCCTTAAGAATTGCATTGGTCCACAGGCTTCAGGTCAAGCACAAGGTAGTAGTTGTACAGATTACTCCTCTCCTTTCTTCTAGTTCTAAGGAACTCACTTTGATCCCCAGATGGAAGGGCCCCTTGTGCCTTTCTTCCCTCACTATCTGCTGCATCCTTAGCTCCATCCAGTAGTTTCATATCCAGCATACAGCGCTGATAATAGCTGACTATGCTCCAAACCACTTCCATGATATGGAAAATCAACTAAAGTATCTGCCACCATGGATACTGACTCAGTTCTATCCTCTGTGTGTAAAAGAGACAACTATTAAAAAATAAAGCTCAAAGGCTGGGTGCAGTGGCTCACGCCTGCAATCCCAGCACTTTGGGAGGCCAAGGTGGGCAGATCACAAGGTCAGGAGATTGAGATCATCCTGGCTAACACGGTGAAACTCCCTCTCTACTAAAAATACAAAAAATTAGCCAAGCGTGGCGGCGGGCGCCTGTAGTCCCAGCTACTAGGGAGGCTGAGGCAGGAGAATTGCTTGAACTAGGGAGGTGGAGGTTGCAGTGAGCCGAGATCATGCCACTGCACTCCAGCCTGGGTGACAGAGTGAGACTCCGTCTTAAATAAATAAATAAATAAATAAATAAATAAATAAATAAATAAAAATAAAGCTCAAAAAGACAAAAGAGTACTCATTTAATCTTCCTTTTTCTTTTTTTTTCTGGAGGGTTTTGTGGTTTTCTTAGTATTCATGGGAAAACGTGTTTAGGAATGTCCTGTCTTTGGACCCACATGTGAAATCCTTTGTGGCAAAAACGTAACATAACTATTCAACTTAATTTGAGGAACTGGAATTTTTTTATCAAATACTGCTAGAAATCAGCTTGCCATCAACTGGAGCCAACATCCACATATGCACCCACATAAACACACAGAGAGATTTTCACTCTGGTGATATTTGTTGTTTGGGGATTTGATAGGTGTTGGCTGCCAAGGACATCTGTCTGCAGCTGCATAAACCCTCTTTGTCCAAGGATGTGGGCAATAGTATCATTATTAACACAGACATTTTCTCTCTACAGGAAGAGAAAGGCAACTTTAAAAAAATGATTTTTTGGCCAATTCTATTATTCCTTTCTGGTTCTGCTGCTGAGGAAGAATGCTGAAGGGGAAATCAGTGGTTGTCCTCTCATATCTGGGCTCACTGAGGAACTCAGCATGTACGTTAGCCTCGGAGAGGATGAAACAAATTCACAAACAAAACACCTCTCTTGTTGGAAATTCATTTACATAAAATAAGAATCCAGGTATGATCCTTTACCTGAACCCCACACAAGTGGCAATTGTATTACTTTGGCAGTTTAGATGGAGAAGCCTGGACAACATTTTCTGCATATAAAATTGAAAGCTCTCTGAAGACCAAGGGCAGCAGTCTTGGGTAGTTCTTGGGTATAGCTCCTATCAACATAGCACTGTGCAATGAAGTCTGTCATACATGTTTCTGGGTGAGGGTGAAGATATGCTAACCTGCACTGTCCATTCCCAGCTTCTTTTCGTTGATTTCTTTTGGTTTGGTTATGCTCTTTTCTTCTTCAGAAACCAATGGAAGGTTTGGCTCCTCCTCCTTTGGTTCCACCTGAAACAGGAAAAGAAAGAGCTTGAATCCTACTGAAGTGCTTTCCAACCACGCCTGCATGGTTGCCAAAGAAAAAGCATCAGGAAAAAAGTTCTTGATGCTGGGCACGTAACAGTACCTTTAAAGATGGACGTTATTTCAATGGAGATATTTCCAGGGATTTCTTAATGGAATTGTTTCCACCAAGAGATCCTTGGGGATCATTTTACCTACTGGAAGTGGTTCATCCAGGTTTGGAGTTTCTAATGTCTGAGTGACACACTGCAGGGATCCCTCTAAAATACCCTGGAAATGACTGAACCACACTGGAAGGCCACGAATCTGAAAACGGGGTCATTGGGCCTGACAACAATCATGCCCTCGGCCATATTGGGATTCTCCGATTTGCTTCACCAGACCTGTGAGTCAAATTCAAATCCTTTTTGGCTTCTTTTCAGGGAATGTAATGAAAGCATGAATTATCTCTTTCCAGATCAAAAGAAGAAAAAGAATTGGGGTTTTGTTGGGAGGGAAAGGAGAAAAAGCTGAAAGGTTCAGCCCTTACACTGGATGGGCTGAAGTTGGTTTAGTATAAATAAGGTTTTCTGATAATTACAATACAGCTCTGGAAATGTCAGCATAGCACTGCACTGAACAGTGTCCGGAATTTGCTTAGTGTAAGCCTTTATGGCATGCATGTAAAGACAAACATGTAACTCTTTACACTCCCACTCAAAGTGCCTGTGCAAACAGACACAGCTCATAATAATTTATTTTTGAGTAAACGTGGTCAGATTGGCCTGGATTCAAAATCTCTTCATCATTTACTTGCTGCGTGACCTTGGGCAAGTTATTCTCTGAATCACTGTGTCTACATCAATAAATAAGGGACCAGGAGAAACCTCCTGTGGGACTTGTAGATCTAAGAAATTACAGAGCAGGGAGAAAGTGGTAGTAGTCCCTGTGTCATAAATGATCCTGGATCTTTTTTATGTTCATCCACATGTCAGAGAGAGAGTCACAGGGAAGAAGTGGATGCTCTGGCCTTCTCAGAGGGTAATGCCCGGGCTTTTTCTCAACTAGGCTATACAGAAAGAAGAAAGTTAGAAGGGTCATACTGCTTCCCTCAGCCAACCTTCTCCATCTCCCAGGTTTGTGGTGAGGTATTCAGGGGATAATGCATGTATAGGGTTTGGCACCTAGTAATTGGTCACCCCTTCTTTGACACCAAACTAACAAGGTACTCTCAAGGCCACCAGAGGGCTTCCCTCTGCCGCCCTGCTCCTCCACCTGTTCTTTCAACTCGTATTTTGTCTAAAACCTAAAGTGAAATTGAGATGCCTAAGCTAGAGGCAAGATGGTGGGATGAAAAAAGTGTTGAGCTGGAAGTCAGAAGACTGGATTCTGGCCCTAGCTCTGCTATCACCTGGGTGTTTGACTTTGGGTAAGTATCTGAAATTATTTGTGCTTTAATGCCCTTCTCTGTAAAATGTTTGTACTATACAATCTTTTAGTCACTTCACCTCTGATTTACAGTCTCTTCCTTTCAGCCCAGAATCACTGGCGAATTCAGTTTTTGATCAAAGTGAGTTTTATAGACAACTGACACATCGTTTTAAACACTAAACACTAACATTTTTTAACTTTTTTTTTTTAAACGGAGTTTTGCTCTTGTCCAGGCTATAGTGCAATGACACAATCTCGGCTCACCACAACCTCCACCTCCCGGGTTCAAGCAATTCTCCTGCCTCAGCCTCCAGAGTAGCTGGGATTACAGGGATGTGCTACCACACCTGGTTAATTTTGTATTTTTAGTAGAGACGGGGTTTCTGCATGTTGGTCAGGCTGGTCTCACACTCCTGACCTCAGGTGATCCGCCCGCCTTGGCCTCCCAAAGTGCTGGGATTACAGGCATGAACCATTGCACCCAGCCCTAATCCTTAACTTTTACTAAAAGCCTTTTCCAAAAGCATTATTTCTCTATCTTTTTAAACAGGGATCACGGAAAATAATCTACTTTTTCTAGATGACTTGGACAAATAATAAAATTATCTATTACATTGGACTATGATATAGTGTGGCCCTGAAGGACATATTGAGGTGGGCAAGGTTCTTGAGCCCCTATATTAAATGGCCCCAGATTGTTTCTGTCATTCTGTCTGCTACCAGCTGTCACTTCTCTTTGCTGTCAGGTCTGAGTCTAATCTGTGGCCATGTTTTTAACACAGTAGGTCTGCTTCCTGGAAAGTCATGTGGCATCTATTTGGAGATCTTTGGATGGGTTAACAACTAAGTTCTGGATGTTTAGGGTTGCTGAAAGCTTGATCTCCAAATAAGTGGAATAGTGCTGCAATTTGTGACTCATGGGTCTCATCTGATTAATAACTGAAAGAATCCTGATCTGGGCTAGGGTTGAATATTCTCTACAAATAGGGCTGAGTGAACTCCCAGATGTTAGCCCAATAAGCAGTTTATGGGGGTTTAAATCATTTACTGTTTCTGCTTCCTTTTAGTCCCTTCTAATATAAGTTCCACATGGATAGGAAACCACACCCAGCAGATGCAAGCTTGCTCACCCCTCTGGGGGTGTCAAGCTTAGGACAGCACCCTTGACCTTGCCAAGCTTACTTAGGGCATGAGTCTCCTACACCATACTATTTCCCTAGTAGTAGTTTGCAAAGGTTGGAACTCATCTTTTCTTATACAGGAGTTTAGTGCCCTGTCTCTTGAAGGACTTACAATCACTTGAAGGTTCTTCTTTTGTTTGCGGGGATTTAAAGTCATTTTGTGGCGAGCAGCTGAAGAATCCAAACAGCCCTGGGTGGTGGCTGGGGTGCTGAAACCAATGGGCAGCTGGGTGCTACTGGTAGAGGCAAGTGTGGCAAATGCAGTCAAGGACTGTGAGCAATCAGGTCCAGATGATAACTCAGAGAAGCTCTGGGGAAGGTGGGAGAAAATAGACGAGTCAACCCGTATGCTGTTACTGGTCTCAAAAGTTGGATATTCTTCCGGCTGAAGAATTCCCAAAGAAGAAATCCTTCATGAACTATTGTCCCCTTTCCTACATTTCCTGTCAATGGGCTTATTCATTAGAGGTAAGCTCCATAATTTTACTGGTTTTCTTGCAGATGAAAACAAGAAACAGGAAGAAGTTTGGGTTACTCCTCTGCTTAGAAAGCTTTCAGGGGCACCCCATTGTCCTTGGGATGGGAACACAACCACTTAATTGAGTTTGCAAAGTCAGAGAGATTGCATGTTCTCTTGTCCTAGATCCCCTTCTTATCAACAGGACATCTGGCTGGGGTGAGAGGAACAATTGGTATCAGTGAAACCCAGCAGAGCTCTGGGATTTCTATATTGGAGGGTTGGGTGGAGGGAGGAAAATCAGGTTGGAAGAGGGCCTGTCTGCAAGGTGCATTTTCATAGACAGCACACTACCTTTTATTTATATTGACAGTTCATGGGTGCAAGACTGATGGGAGGACCCTCAGGAACTGAATGCTCTAACCTCCAGTGGGATAGTGATGGAGCCTGTAACCCTGTCCTCATTATGGCTGGCCTCCATATCTCCATACTATTTGGTTCTGGGACACCTAGTTGAATTCCTCTGTAGGATCTTCAAAATAGTCTCCTCTGGGCTTCTGGACATAGCATTTTCCATATCTCAAAGAGCCTCCCCAGAGCTCTTTCCATTTCTAAGAAGATTTCGATTTCTGTTAGCAGAAGGCCCTTTGAAGATCAGCTGATAAACTGTCTCTGCTAGATACTAGTAGCAAACCATATATTATAATTTAGCAAGTAGACAGAATCTCCCATTGTGTTTACCCACTAAGTTCTCTTCAGGCTAGTTTTGCAAAGTGCCAGGTATCCCCTTGGTACTTGCAGCTTTCACATGCCTTCATGGTTCCCACCACCATTGTATGTTGATGCAGTGATAACCTTAGCTACTATCTTGGTTATGAAGATGGCACTGTCATTCCAGTGCATGGGGACTTAACGCAGTGCTAATGAGTCAGGCTGATGACAAATCCTGCAGACCATTCAGTTTTGGATTCAGGGAGAAGACAGAGAAATAGTACAGTTGACTTTTGTGGGATCAATCACACAAAAGTAGGATTGATCCCAAGATTTCCTTTACTTCTTTGTGCAACTTTCATCTATGAATTTATATACTGCCTCTTCCTGATATCATCTAGTTAGATTATGTTATCTACTGGAAATATAAATTTGATATCAGTGTATAGACTAAAAGCTCTTCTTTTATTGTTCTGAACATCTTTCATACCTCAGAGTGGTGTCATAGTTCTGGTCTTTTGGGGCTGGAGGATAACATCTATGCTCCCACTAACCTCACATGATCTGTCTTCCTTTTATCCCTGACCACATTACCAGCCATTTCCTGCTCCAGACACACTGCTGGTCTGCTGTTCTTCAAGCACTTCAGGCATGCTCTCCCCTTGGGGCCATTGTGCCTGCTGTTCCCTCTGCTAGGCATGCTCTTCCCCCATGTCCATGTGGCTAGCTCCCCTACTTTTTTCAGGTTTTGATTCAAAAGCCACCTTTTCATGGCCTGGTGTGGTGGGCTCACGCCTGTAATCTCAGCACTTTGGGAGGCTGAGGTACGCAGATCAACTGAGGTCAGGAGTTTGAGGCCAGCTTGGCCAACATGATGAAACTCTGTCTCTACAAAAAATACAAAACTTAGCCGGGTGTGGTGGCAGATGCCTGTAATCCCAGCTACTTGGGAGGCTGAGGCAGGAGAATCACTTCAACCTGGGAGGCGGAGGTTTCAGTGAGCTGAGATCACCCCACTGCACTCCAGCCTGGGCGACAAAGCGAGAGACTCCGTCAAAAAAAAAAAAAAAAAAAAAAGGCACCTTTTCAGTGATGTCTTCCCTGGCCAATCTATTTAAAATGTTTGAGCCACTTCATATCCCCTTCCTTACATTGTTTTTCTCCCTGTCACTGTTCTCACTGTCTGACATACAATATGTTTTCCTTATTTAGCTTGCTTATTGTCCATGTCCCCCATTACAATATAAACTCCATGAAGAAGGGTTTTTATCTGTTCTATGTACTACTGTATTGGGGATACAGTACCTCCAACTGTGCTTGTAGTAGTTGCACAAGCACTACATGGTAGTTGCTCAAAACATGTTTTTTGAACTGGTGACTTGATTACGTTAAAGGCTTCCACCAGAAGTTGCCTTTCTGAGATGTCATCAGAGCAAGCTCCTCTGTTCTCTGTATTATTTTAGTTATTCTTTCTGAGGCCTCACTAGCTCCAGCCAAAGGTAAAAGGAGAAAAACAAGGAGGTCTATGAATCTGGAAACCCTAAAAGAACACCGTACAACTTGCTTTGCATGAAAGCCAACTTATGATGCCCACATGGCAAGTAAGTACATATTTAATAAATATAAAGAACTTTCAATTCAGTTGGCATCCCAAACCTTGTGGTATAAACACTAAAGATACTTAATTTACTTTAGTGAAACTCATTCTATAGCATAACAGAAAAATCAGGCTCAGCAAAAATCTGGCAATTTCTAGATTGGGTATGTGCAGGACAGAGTTTATCTGTTTCCAATCACAGCCGAAGCCAAGAGTCCATCAAACTTAATAACAGCCACTGATCTCCCTGTGTTAGCTTGACTCTCACTAAGGAATCTATAGACATCAGTCTAAACACAGACCCACATCCATTCTCAAACCGGGGCTAAAAATTAAAGAGCAAAACGATCAAGCATTCTCCTCATCTGACTATGGAGCTCAAGCTCAGACATGTGATTTAAAACAGTCTTAACAGGATCTCTGTTGTTAGGTTTAGAGTATGTTATGTGGGTATAGATTATATGTATATGTTATGACTTCCCTTAACTCACCAGTGAATTAAATAAACTATACACTCTCTGGAACTCTACACAGTATTTCTCAATGTATGGTCTGGAATCCCCCAGCACCAAAATCACCTGGAATGAGTGTTGAAAAAGCACATTTCGGGGACATATCAAGACCTAATGAGTAAGAAGATCAGGGGAAAGGCTTTAGAATAGCTTTAACAGGGTTTCCAAATGAGTCTTCCAGGAGCCAAAGTTGAGAACCAATGCCTAGTCCTCTAGCATGAAGAGAACGGCTCCCATTTTCAAATATGAGTACAGCAAGTTCAGGAATAATCCCATCAGTTGCCTTAGAACAGGAGTCAGAAATATATGGATTCCTTTTGGGAAGTGTGGCTCCTTCTTAGGCCTTCTTAGGTCCTCTTTCCCTCAGTCCTATTGGTTAGCAGCAACTTAGAAGAGTTACCACAGGCCAGGCATGGCGGCTCACACCTGTAATCCTAGCAGATCGCGAGGTCAGGAGATCGAGACCATCATGGCTAACATGGTGAAACCCCGTCTCTACTAAAAACACACACACAAAAAAAAATAGCCGGGCATGGTGGTGCACACCTGTAGTCCCAGCTACTCGGGGGACTGAGGCAGGAGAGTTGCTTGAACCCGGGAGGTGGAGGTTGCAGTGAGCCGAAATTGTGCCACCGCACTCCAGCCTGGGCAACAGAGCAAGACTGTCTTTAAAAAAAAAAAAAAAAAAAAAAAAAGCTACCACAGAAGCCAACCACAGGATTTTATGAGTTGCCCAAGAAAAGCAAATAGAATCCCTTCCTGGCAGAATTCTGAAAGAAAAACGAGTGGAGAAAGTGGGACACCTTTCTCTACTTTTCCATCCTCACTCCCCTCCAACCCTACTTCTCCTTCCACGCACTCTGACAGCCAACATACCCTGTCTGAACCCAATCTGCATATTATTTTTTCGTTCGTATAAATCTAAGGGGTAGAAGCGTAGCTTATTACATGGATATATTGGATATATCACATAGAGGTGAAGTCTGAGCTTTTATTTTTACTGTAACCATCACCCAAATAATATACCTTGTACCCATTAAGTAATTTGTCATCCCTCACCCTCCTCCCTCACTCCCACTCTTCCAAATCTCCAATGTTTATTTCCCACACTCTATGTCCACCGTGTACACATTATTTAGCTCCCACTTATAAAGGAGAACATTTGGTCCATTATGTATATTATTAAGTACAGCTGAGATGTTTTCATTTCTTCTCCTGTGTTTTAGAGAGAGTTTAGCACAGATATCTTCAGATTAATATCTGGAATTAAATGGGCTCCTTGTGCCTCAACATCTGGGAGATGTGCCCGGCCTGGTACCTACTAATCCAGAATCTTCTTAGAGAAGGAACCTGGGTTGGACCTTGGGCCAGGGGAAAGGATTCTTCAGCACTGGTTAGTAGAGAGCTGGACACTCTTTTGCTGTTAGCTGGGATAAGGGCTGCTCTTTGGAAAATAATAACACATTTTCACTTCTTTTTTCCCTTCTGTCAAGTTTCTAGACCCAGTGCAAAGGAGTTTAGTCAATAATGCACATTTTGGTAGTCCTTTTTAATGATTTCTTTTTCTGTTGTATGATGCTAGGGTTTTCCCCTTTTGAGCAGGGATAGAGAGAAGGTTGACTGTCTTCCTGGAACAAAGGAAAGCTCTGATTGTAATGTCTTAAATAAGGGGATTACCAGGTGGCTGTCTAGGCCCAGATTTCATCAAGCATTTGGCCCATAAAGCTGTCACTCTTGAGAAAAAATACATTCTGAAACTGACACTGGGATGTTGGAGAGTTGGGTTCTATGTGAGTCAAAAGCTAAAAGCATGTGTCTATCTCCACAAGAAGAAGCGACTCTTGGTGGGAAATGTGGTTCTTGGTGGGAGACTTCTGCACCAAGAGGTACTGGCACAGAGTGTGAGACCCAATAATGGCTGTAGGGATTTTAATTCTCTGGGTGTGGCAAAGTGGCTTCTGTGCCCATTCCTGAGAGTTCCTGCACAGCTGCTGCTTCATTCAAAATCTATGTTACTTAAAAGCTGTTGTGGTCAATATTTTTGCCAACTTGAAAGTTCTTAGAGATGGAATTTCTGGTATTCCCTGCAGCCCCCTTCTATCACAATCTCTTCAATTTCTTAACTAGTATAGAGAATAAGAACATGGACTTTGAAACCAAATAGGCCTGAATATGACATCCTAGCTATACCACTTATTGGCTGTCTGACCTTGAGCAAGTTCCCTAGCCCTTTTGAGCCTCAGTTTTCATGTCTGTAAAATGGGAATAATCATAATACATACTTTGGTTTGTTGTTGTAAAGATTAAATAAAATTATACAAGGAAAGTGTTTAACACAGTGCCCGTTACATAAGAAAGTCTTGATAAATGTTAGCTGTCGTTGCTATTGCTGGGCATTGGTTATAAAAAGAGGACTGCTAGAAGCCACATAGTTCAGTGAAAAGTGCTATGGATTTGGTCAGGAGTCCTGGGATCAAGCCCCAGCTCTATCTTTGATTGGCTCTGTGGCCTTGGCCAAGTCACTTCACCTCTCTGAACCTCAATTTTTTTTGATCTTTAATGAGAATCTTTCCTATCTGCTTTACAGAGTTATTGAGAGAATCAAATGTAACTATATAAGGAAAATCACTTTGAAAGTTGTAAATTTGTATACAATCATGGGAGGGAGCATTATGTTCTCCTTTGATGTATTAGCGGATTTTAAAACTAAAATTTTATTTCATTTTAGAGACAGAGTCTCACTACATTGCCCAGGTGGAAGTACAGTGGCTACACACAGGCATGATCATAGTGCACTACAGCCTGGAGTTCCTAACCTCAAGTGATCCTCCTGCCTCAGCCTCCCGAGTATCTGGGACTACAGGCATATGCAGCAGAAGATTGCTTTAAAAAAAAAAAAGATGGCTCTGGGCTTCGGAGACTTATTTGTATACAATGCTGGGGAATTATGGTGTAAGCCATCCAGGTAAAGCATGAGATATTATAAAAAGAGGCATACTTGTAGCACTCAAAATTAACTCTTTATTAGCCAATTCAGTGGAATAACTTAACCCCCAAATGTTAAATGCCAGCATTTATCCTGCAATGTGACTGAGGCCAGGGAATTTAATCAGCCCAAACTTTAAGCTTTAAGAATTTTACCCTGACAATGTATATTGATAGCTTATCTTCACAGGTGTGGGACAAAGGACAAAACTCAAACTCATCCGTCTGCTCACCTGAGACAAATGCATATTTGATTGCTTCTTCTGATGTAAAAATGCAGATTCACTGAGGAAGATGAAGGCATAAGTGACTATTCCTCTACCCCCTCTCACATGTAAATTGTGTATTCAGTGAAAGGCTGATCAAAGACTCAAAAAAATGCAACCATTTGTCTCTTATCTTCCCACACCTTTTAAAAATGTGGTCATCTTTCCCCAATATCCGCCTTTTCCCCCTTTAGACATTGAAGCCCTCAAAATTATCTTTGGAGAAAGGCACAGACCTGCCTCCCAGGTGCACATCCTTAACCATGGCAAAATAAAATTTCGAAATTGTTTCTGACCTGTCTTAGGTACTTTTCTGGTTTACAAACTCAACAACAAAAAGATAAATAACCCAATTAACAAATGGGCAAAGGAGAAATAGATATTTCTCCAAAGAAGATACACAAATGGCTAACAAGCACATGAAAAGATACTTAACATCATTATTTACTAGAGAAATGCAAATCAAAACCACAATGAGATACTATTTCACACCCACTAGCATGACTATAATTTTTTTAAAACAGGAACCTAACAAGTGTTAGCCAGGATGTGGAGAGATTGGAACCCTCATACATTGCTAGTGGGGATGTAATGTAAAGTGGTATTGCTGTTGGGGAAAACAGTTTGGTAGTTCCTCAAAAACTTAAACATAGAGTTACCATATGACCCAGCAATTCCACTCCTAGGTATATACCCAAAAGAATTGAAAACAGGTGTTCAAACAAAAATTTGTACAAGAATGTTCATAATAGCACTATACACAATAACCAAAAGGTAGATAGGACACAAGTGTCTATCAATGGATGAATGGCTAAACAAAATGTGGTACATCCATATAATGAAGTATTATTTAGTCATAAATAGAAATGAAGTACTGATAAATGTCACGACATGGATGAACCTCAAACACATTATGCTAAGTGAAAGAAGCCAGCACAAAAGCCACATATTGTATGATTCCATTTACGTGAAATATCCAGAGTAGGCAAGTACAGAGATAGAAAGCAGAATAGTTGTTGTCAGGGGCTGATGGGAGATACGAATGGTGAATGACTGCTTAATAGGAACGGGGTTTCCATTTTGGAGAACCAAACAGGTTCTGGACCTTGATAGTGGTGATGATTGTACAACATTGTGAATGTATGTACTGTCACTGAATTGTATACTTTAAAATGGTTAAAATGGTAAATTTTATGTGATCTGTATTTTACTACAATAAAAAATGTTATCTAATTCAATCCTTCCACTAGTTCAGATTATACATCCCAATTCATCTGATTTAGTGGCATTCTGCAGAAAATACTTGTAGTCATAGCCCAGATCCATAAAACAATAAGCATCCATCCACCTACTACCAGTCTGTGCTTTAACTTTGGTTTTAACCTAATTTCTTTGTTGACATATCTAACTGAGGGCTGCTTCACTTCATAGGATCTTTTAACATCAAAATAGAGTTTTGTTCTGACTGGCCAATTCTCTTCCCTATAAATTAGGTTTCTGTTTACTTTTTATTTCCAAAGGTTAATCATTCTAAACTCTACCTCACTCTCAGAGCCTTTTCAAGTTCACCAACAACCAATTCAATTAAACACACATTAGTTTGAGAATGGAAGTGTTGATATGAGCACACACTATTATACGCTGATTGATATTATCTGGTTGACAAACCTAGACATATGAAATAGACACATCGCCCTCTCACGTGTCAACTGATTTTTCACATGGATATGTGTCTATCAAATAATACTATATGTCCTAACCTCTGATTTTTTTGGATTTCTAAGTGTAGAGTCTATGCTTCAGTAAAAGTCTGTATTTTTATCTTCATGAAATAACTCAAAACATCTGCAAACTATTATTTTTTCGAAAATACTATCTTCCCTTGCTTATACATTAAAATGGTGATTATTTGGTTTGTAGAATTGGATGGAAAACCACCATGCAAATCAAAAGCCAAGAATGTCAGGTCCTTCCCCAATCATCCCCCTAGTGTTGAGCTCCAGCGGGAGAATAGATGATACAAGAAGAAGTTATGCCTCTGATCTGTGAGGCCCCTCAACCTGTCCCTTAATATATACTCACCTGAGTCGCTGTCAAACTCTTATGTGGTAAAGCCTTCTTTTGTGGATTCTTAGGTGACTCATCATCGAGAGAGATTTCTACCAAGTTCTTAGAAATTATTTCAGGTTGGATAACAGGTGGGATGATGCTGAGTCGGCGTCGGCGCGATGGTGGGTTCTGTCAAGAGGGAGAATAGAAGGAACAATTTAAAACCTGTGCTCTCTTCCTCAAATTAGTGGTTTTCTCTTATTCTTTAATAAGAGTAAGGAATCCAAAGTTGGTTGAAGGACTAAGAATCCAAAGTGAAAAAAATAAGCCCAGGGAAGAATTTCCTACCTCCCCGTCTTCATTCCTAGTACCTACTCAAACCAAAGACTACTAGCCTTGATTTCCCCTCTGGGGTGCTGCACACTTTTGCCAATCCCCAAACAAAGACAGAAACTTCAAATTGCTTGTTCGTGCAAGATCAGAATCCTGATGTTATCTCCTTACTGATGTTAAATACAAATCTCATTTAGTTCTGATCTTTGTTTTAATGTCTGAATTTGACTTTGGAAGTCCAGTTCTCATAGAGGCGAGTCTTTTGAGTTATGACCTGGAATTGGCATCCAAACTGCACTCTTTGCTCCTATTATTCAAGGAATTATTTGGATTGAATCTTGACTGTGTTAGTTGCTTATCTTAATCATGTCAATAATGATTTTCTGGGATTTTAAAGAAAATCTACAGAATTTAAAAATCTATAGATTTTAAAGAAAATCTATGGAATGGTTTCCTAAAGGGACAAAAATTTATCATTTGGGCTTTCCTTGGGATTCAGCAGACAATTTAGTTGATTCCATTTTGAAGAAAATGGTACACTTGACTTTGAGACACTGGTCCCTGCCATGGTCCTCTTGATGTGGGTCAGAATCCCTGCTTTTTATCTTTAACAAATACTGGCCAAGAATCTGCAATGCATTACACCCCATTCCAGGAAATGGGCCTACAACAATAAACAAAACAAATTCTTGTGGTCATGAAGCTGACATACTTGCTTCTGTTGTAGACTCTGCTCAGCTCAGGGCAGATAGCCTTCAGACACTGTAGCCAAAGAAGGAACCACAGTGAAGCTTACAAAGGTTGTGCTCCTGGGGTGCTCCTGGCCAGTGTCTCCAGTGCTTCCTTATTACTACCAGGCCCCATTGGGAGCTCTTGGGGAGAGGCCATATCAACCAATTCCAAGCCCAGCTTTAATAATAATAATTACAATAATGACAACTAACTTTTACTAAGAGCTTACAATGTGCTAAGCAGAGAGTGCTCTCCATAGATACATCTCACTGAAGCCTCACAACAATTCTTTGAAGCATTTGCTATTGTGGGCTCCATTTTACGGACGGGGAAAACAAAATTTGAGAGATGATGTAACCTGCCCTAATTCTTTCAGTGGCAGAGCAAGCATTTGAAAGGTCTGTCCAGCTTGATAGCCCTTGTTCTTGATCACTGTGAACTCGTGTCTCCTAATTATAAGAGCCAGAAAAGGGAGAGCCCATACTGAAGCCCAAGTTCAAGACGTTTAAAGGCAACAACCAGAACATATGGTGTGCCTGCTTCCTTAAGAAGGGCTGAGGGACAGTCAAGCCCGTGAGCAGTAAGAAAAACTGTTTTGAAGTCTCAGTTTCTTAAATGACTAAATTCAATTTGATTCAACAACAGCAAGATGCTAATAATCTGCCATTGTATCTTTTTAACTATTTGTGCTCAAATAAAGGGAACAGAAAATGTCTTGGAGAGTAATGTAGGCATCCACATTCCTAACACTTCAGATAGGACATTAGGTGAAAATCTGGCAGGAAATAAAATTGGCTCAGTGTCAGTATTTCTGACATAACTGTATACCTGGATTTCTTCTTTAACAATCTCCTCGTTGTTCTGAATGTCACTTAATCCATTAGAATCCTGCCCCTTCAAGGGAATTGACCCCACTGGCCAATTTCATGCTTGCCCCAGCTTTTATGTAGCACTGGGTGTCAGGACCCTTGACTTAATGCTATCAACCATCCTTCCATTGGGGTTGTCATTTTGGTACTTAAGGGAAATTTCCCATGCAAAGGTCAGGTTGGTTGTTGATAACTTAGGTCCTATTAATACCCTATGTTGTCTTCAGCCTTGTTTTCCAGGGTATCAACTAAGGGATCAGGCCAAAAGTGTGAGGTATAGGCCCAAGCCAAACATTTAAGAAAGCTTGCCTTTAGGCTATTGTGGCCTTCCCCAACCACTTCCTTGTGAGAAGTAATGCCCCTAGAATATTTTCCTTTAATTTTCACAAAAAATAATTTTTTTAAAAAAATGGAATATCTCTGCTATATGAGTCTCTCTGTTGCTGGGACTTAGAGAGGAGGGGAAAGAAGGAGGAGTCCAAGAAACCAGTTTCCTCTTTCTGAATGTGAGAACCCTGTTGCCACTTGGTCATGGTCATGAGGCTGCAGGGAGTGTAACTATGGAGGTGAGTGAAAGCTAGTGTTGATGTTTAAAACTGAAGATTGAATACTTCATGGAAGTGACTTTTCCTGCTGTAGTACAAGAGGGAAATAGTCTTCTGACCCTAGGGGCTGCTTAACAACTTTAGGGTCAACACCATTAGTGTCTATCTCAGTGTTTTCTCCTCTATAGCTAAAGGATCCAGAAGAAAGGAAACCAGAGTGAGAGATGTGGGGTCTTAACAGACATGTCAGAAATAAGCCCCACTTACCTTTTGCCAAATGGAAAATAATCATCTCTCCAATGGAGAAGGGTCTCCTCCTTGTTCTCTTCCCACTTACACAGGGACCTTTGGGCATAATTCCACCCACAGGCTGAGACGGGGAAGGCAGCTGTTAAGGGTTGTCTCCTTGACAATATCTTCAGCTCCCCCTGAAGCATTTCTGGATCAGAGCTATACTCTGACTGAGCAATGGATCCCTACCATAAGTTTAGGATTAGCTGGAGGCAAGATGCTACATACATGCTACATTATGTAGGTGCTAAGGTGTACCCTTCTTTCTGTCCAGGCAGGTATAAAGAAGTTGAGCATCTTGGGGTAATGGAAAGATCATGGGGTTTGAGTTTAATACACCTGGGTCAGATTTCCAAGTCTACAATTTACTACCAGGGTGGGCTTGAGCAATATCTTTAACTTCTCTGAGTCTTCATTCAATCCTCACAAGCAACCCTTTGAGGTAGATGTTAATATTATACCCACTGTAGATGAGGAAAAGAAGGCCCAGAGAAGTTAATCAACTAGCCCAGGGGTCACACAGCCAGTAAGTAGCAGAGTAGGAATTCAAGCATAGATCTGTCTTTCTGACTCAGCTGCCCATGCGCTGAACAATTCCACTTTGTTACCTCAGTGATCTTGGGGCCAGCAACCCAGACTGCACTTGTAGGCACATTTTGAAGCACAGCTCCTGACATGGCTCCAGACACAACTCCAGGAACCTTACTCCTAGGTTTAGGCAGAGTTCTGGAAATATGGGATCTCTGTGTAAGAGAGAGAGAAAAAAACTTGAGGATTGGTATGCCAGCACATAAACAGTGGAATGTTGCTGCCAAAATAATTATTCTTATGGTGTGTTAAGAGAAGTGAATATAGGCCAGGCACGGTGGCTCGCGCATGTAATCCCAGCACTTTGAGAGGCCAAGGCGGGAGGGTTGCTTGGGCCCAGGAGTTTGAGACCAGCCTGGGCAACATGGTGAAACCCTGTCTCCACAAAAAGTACCAAAAAATCATCCAGGCGTTACAGGCCTGTAGTGCCAGCTACTCGGGAAGCTGAGCCTGGGAAGTTGAGTCTGCAGTGAGCCATGATCATGCCACTGCACTCCAGCCTAGGTGACAGAGTGAGACCTGTCTCAAAAAAAAAAAAAAAGAAGTGAATATGGCAATACTAATCAACACTGTGTGCCAGGTAATAGGCACATTATATATTTATACATTCTGTCACTCAAGGCTTACAACAGCCCTGTGGGGGTAGGATCAGCTGAGAAGCAGAACCAAGTTCCCACTCCTTTTAATTTTGGCAGGGTTAGAGTAGGGAACAGAAGAGAAGTAGTCCAATTAGACACTGATGCTCGAGTCCACTATTACCTGCTGAGGTCTGCCTCTCTGGGGATCCATAGAAGGAAACATTTTACTTGCTGATCTTTCAGGCTCAGGACCCAACATGAAGATGCTATCATGGGATAGGGCTTTGCTCCCCATGCTGCTCTTGGCCCTGGACAGAAAGGAAAGGTCTTGTAAAAGCAACCCAAGGGCCATGGGAACTGAAGACAAATGTATATTCATAATATGGCCTACCATAGATACCTCAGAAGGAGAGCAGGGATGCATATGTGCTGACATAGAAAGTGGTTCATGAGATAGTAAGTGAAAAAGATAATAGTATGGTCCCATTTAATATATACACACATATATAGTTCATATTCAAAGAAAAAAGTCTAGAAGGATATCCACAAATTGTTAGAGGTGGTTCCCTCTGAGGAATGGCGCACTAGGGACAGGAATGAAATTTTCATTTTCTACTTCATGTCCTTCTGTATAATTTTAATTTTTACATTATGAGCATATATCCTTTTTACATAACAGTCTTACTGAGATATAGTTTACATGCCATACATTTTGCCCATTTAAAGTATATAATTCAATAGTGGCAATTCCGGGGAATGGGAGGAAAGGCCATGAGTTTTGTTATTATTACAGTGAGAATTATAAAAGATCTTTCACATCCAAATTTCTCTCGTGTTTTTGTTTTGATTTAAAAAAAATCAAAGATCTTCACAGATACACAAGGCTTTAATTCATCAGATCCTTTCCTCTTTCACACAAGAGCTCTACAATATATCTATCCTATTTTCAAAGTCATCCTATGTACCACCTGCACCTCCCTTCCCCAAGCTTGCTAAATCCAGATGAAAATACCTTCTGATTGGGAATGGTGCCAGGTTGATGATAATTACATGTTAAGAAAAATCAGAAGAAAGATAAAAACAAATGAAAGGCTAAAGACATGAAAGACTCCTTTTTGGAGTGTGGTAATGTATTTTACCTTTAAAAAATTTCAACCAAAGACATCACAGGAAGAGCAAACTACAGACCAATATCTCTTATGAATATAGACACAAAAATCCTCAATAACACACTCACGAACTGAATCCAACAGCATATAAAAAGAATTGTATACCATGACAAAGTAGGATTTACAAGGAATGATTGGCTTAATGTATGAAAATCAGTGAATGCCAAACACTGTATCAATAGAATAAAAACAAAAACTATATGACCATTTCAATAGATGCAGAAAAAACATTTGTAAAATTCAACACCCTTCCATGATAAATGCACTCAATCTTGATAGAAGATATCTGTGACAAACCACGGCTAACATCATGGTGAAGGCTGGATATATTCCCCCTAAGATCAGGAACAAGACAAGGATGACTGCTTTTATCATTTCTATTCGACACTGTATGGGAGATTATAGACCGGGAAATTAGGTAAGAAAATGAAATTAATGCCATCCAGAATGGAAAGGAAGAAGTGAAATTATCTCTATTCACAGATGACATAATTTTGTGTATAAAACTCTTAATGAATACGCTAAAAATGACTAGAATATATGAATTCATCAAAGTTGAAGGATGCAAGTGTATTTCTATACACTTGCAATGAACAATCTGAAAATGAAATTAAGAAAACACTTCCCTTTACAATAGCAACAAAAGAATAAAAACTTAAAAGTCAATTTAACAAAAGATGCGCAAAACTCATAATCTGAAAACTATAAGACACTGATGAGAAAAAATGCCAAAGTCCTGAATAAATGAAAGGAAATCCCATGTTCATTCATTGGAAGACTTAAACTTGTTAAGATGGCAGTACTTCACAAAATGATCTACAGATTCAATGCAATAGCTATTGAATTTCATGCTGGCTTTTTTTTTTTTTCCAGAAAATTGATCTTAAAATTCATAGTGAAATGCAAGGGACCACAAATAGCCAAAATAATCTTGAACAAGAAGAACAAAGTTGGATAACTTATACTTCAATTTCAAAGCTTACTATAAAACTACAGTAATCAAGACAGTGTAGCACTAGCATAAAGATAGACATATAGATCAATGAAATAGAGTTGAGAGTTCAGAAATGAACCTATACATCTATGGTTGATTTTCAGCAAGGGTGCCAAGACTATTCAATGAAAAAAGAATAGTCTCTTCAACATATGGTGCTGGAGCAACTGGGTATCCACATGCAAAAGAATTAAGTTGGACCTTTATCTCACAACATATATAAAAATACTATAAAGACACATGCACATGTATGTTTATTGCAGCACTATTCACAATAGCAAAGACTTGGAACCAACCCAAGTGCCTATCAGTGATAGACTGGATAAAGAAAATGTGGCACATATACACCATGGAATACTATGCAGCCATAAAAAATGATGAGCTCATGCCCTTTGCAGGGACATGGATGAAGCTGGAAACCATCATTCTCAGCAAACTAACACAGGAATAGAAAACCAAACACCGCATGTTGTCACTCATAAGTGGGAGCTGAACAATGAGAACACATCGACATGGGGGGTGGTACATCACACACTGGGGCCTGTTGTGGGGTGGGGGGCTAGGGGAGGGATAGCATTAGGAGAAATACCTAATGTAGATGATGGGTTGATGTGTACAGCAAACCACCATGGCACATGTATACCTATGTAACAAACCTGCACTTTCTGCACATGTATCCCAGAACTTAAAGTGTAATTTTAAAAATTAACTCAAAATGGATTAAAGGCCTAAATATGAGAGCTAAAACTATAAAATTCTTAGAAAAAACATAGGAGTAAATCTTTGTGATCTTGGATTTGGCAATGGATTTTTAGATATGACACCAGAAGCTCAAGTAACAAAAGAAAAAATAAATAGATAAATAGTGATATGGTTTGGCTCTGTGTCCCCACCCAAATTTCATGTCAAATTGTAATCCCCACATGTCGAGGGAGGAACTTGGTGGAAGGTGATTGGGTCATGGGGGCAGTTTCCCCCATGCTGTTCTCGTGATAGTGAGTGTGTTCTCATGAGAGCCGATGGCTTAAAAGTGTGTGGCATCCCCGCTTGCACTCTCTCTCTACTGCCACCATGTAAGACGTGCCTTGCTTCCCCTTTATCCTCTGCCATGATTGAACTGTGAGTCAATTAAACCTCTTTTCTTTATAAATTACCCAGTCTCAGGTAGTTCTTTATAGCAGTGAGAATGGACTAATACAAATGGATTTCATAAAAATTAAAAATGTTCGTGCATCAAAGGTTACTAGGAAGAAAATGAAAAGATG
The DNA here is from genome assembly GCF_000001405.40 of Homo sapiens. Lineage (NCBI taxonomy): Eukaryota > Metazoa > Chordata > Mammalia > Primates > Hominidae > Homo > Homo sapiens. The sequence continues at coordinate 119,112,323 of NC_000023.11, forward strand.
ACCTACGTAATGGAAGAATATATTTGCAAATTATATATCTGATAAGTCTTGGATCTGAAACATATAAAGAACTCTTTCTTACTAATAGGAATTCTTTTTATTGAATTCTTAAGGAATTCAATAATAAAAATTTAAATAACCCAATTAGAAAATAAAAAAAGATGTGAATAGACATTTCTCCAAACAAGAAAGATATACAAATATATTTTCCAAAGATATATAAATGGCCAACAAGTACATGAAAAGATGCTCAACATCACCAGTTGGCAGGGAAATACAACTCAAAACCATAATGAGATGCCATTTCACACCCACTAGAATGGCTAGAATGAAAAATTCAATTCAGATAATAACACGCATTGGCAAGGTTGTGGAGAAATTGGAACACCCATACACTGCTGGTGGTGCCCCCATACATTGCTGGTGTTAAAGTGGTCCAGCCACTTTGGAAAACAGTCTAGCAGTGCCTCAAAAGGTTAAATATATAACGGCCATTTGACCCAACAATTCCACTCCTAGGTATATATCCCAGAGAAATAAAAACATATATCTGCCCCAAAACTTATACACAAATGTTCACAGCAGTATTATTCACAATAGCCAAAAGGTGGAAACAACCCAAATATCCATTAACTGATGAATGGATAAAATGTGGTATAGTCATGCAATGGACAGTCAGTAGCAAAAAGGATGAAATTCTGATACATGCTACAACATGAATGAACCTTGAAAACATTATAATGAGTACAAGAAGTCAATAAGAAAAGACCAGCTTCCACTCATGTGAAATGTCCAGAATAGGTAAATCCACAGAGACAGAAAGCAGATTAATGATTTCTAGGGCCTGGCGGGCGTTGGGGGAAGGTTGAATAGGGAGGACTGGTCAATGGGTACAGGAGTTTATTTTTGAGGTGATGAAAAAGTTCCAAAATTTATTATGATGATGATTGTACAACTCTGTGGATTTACAAAAAACGTTGAATTTTACCGTTTAAGTGGTTTAATTGTATAATATATGAATTATATCTCAATAAAACTGCTACCAAAAAAGAAATCAAGTTCTTGATGCATGATTTTAAATAAATGACCCTTGAAAACATAGTAAGTGAAAGGAAGCCAGTCAAAAATAGCCACATATTGTATAATTCATTCATGGGAAATGTTCCCAATAGGCAAATCCATAGAGGCAGAAAGCAGATCAGTGGTTTGAAAGAGGATAGGGGAATGGAGAATGACTGCTACTGGGCGCAGGGTTTCTTTTTAGGGTGACAAAATGTCCTAAAATTGGGTAATAGTGATAGCTGCACATGCTAAAAGGTAGAACTTTGTAGTATGTGAATTATATTTCAAGAAAGCTGTTATATAGAAACATAAAAATTTTAAATGATAAAAGTTATTCCTGTTAGGTAGGAGAAAATGTGTATGTTTATATAAAAGATGAGATTAGACACGAAAAAATAAAGGAAGAAAAGAAGAAAAAAGCAAGTAAGCTGATACATGCTACAACATGAATGACTCTTGAAAACATGCTAAGTGAAAACATACTAAGTGAAACAACCTTTGTATGATTCCACTTACATGAAATATCCAGAATAAGAAAATTTATAGAGGCAGAAAGTAGATTAGTGGTTATTTAGGGGGGAACCTGTTAATTGGTACAGGGTTTCTTTTAGGGAGGGGTAGCAATGTTTAAAAACAGATAAAATAAACTTTAAAATGTTTAAATGCCCTTTTTGTACTTATTATCTTTATTACAAAACAATACATTTATGTTAGCACTTAAAAAAAATCTTCAAATGGTAACTAGAGTAGCAGCTTGGGCATTGTGGGGCTAGCACCTGCCCTGTCATTATGAGCCTGTGGGGACTTCATATGGATATATTTGATAATGACACACTATAAGGACAATCTCATGTTATGGGGATTAAAACAGAACCCGCTCTAAGATGGCTTGTGGGCCAACAGGAGAGGAGAGGAGAGAGATGTCTGCTGCTTTTTACTAAACTCCTACTTACCTTTTCCCTATAAAACTCTGCTATCCAGGTGGCCCTGGTGTTGGAAGCAACGTAGTCTGCTTTATAAAACAGCAGTCCAGCAGAAAATTACTGTGACTCTCTAGATAAACACTTAATGGATATATATATGATTGATCCAGCATTGAGAATGTAATGTTTCCAGACATCTCTATATACACGCATACGCTCAGTATGCACATATAACACGCTTTCATTCACTGCTGCTCTATGATCTACTGGCTCAAATCAGGTTCAGAACCAGTGTAGCATCTGTGACTACCTTGCCTCCTCTGCTTTTTGCAGAAAAAGTGAGAGGAAATCTTGGGCTATGAGTGGGCTTAGAAATGTCTCTCATTTCCATGCTGTGCATTAACCAAAGTGAAATGGTTGAATTGGCTCTATAGTGCCAAGCCCTCCCTGATCAAAAGATTAAATTAGCACCAGTTGTGGCCAAGTCTGTCAGAAATGAAAACTCTTGTCCACTTAACATATCTTGTGCTCATTGATCTGTTCCCTGGAGGCGAAAATAAAAATAAAAATAAAAACTCCCAAACAAAATCTCAGCCTTAATTAAGGGCAGTGAAGTATATTATTACAACAGCACTCATTAAGAAATCAAATGAAGGAACGGGATTTGTCCATTCCATCAGATACGGCTTAATACAGTCTTGGAAATAGATGCTGGTCCTATGGTACAGGCCAGGGGAAGGCTGGTCATAAGTTTCGTTATGACTAATTGCTTCAGTGAATGAAAAAAGCTGATCTCCCTTCTCCGGAGTGACATTTTCCAGGGTTTCTTCCCCTAGCACATTAAGCAGAAGACTGAGACCAGGGGTGATCTTCAGGCCCCCTAAGTTATATTATTTGAATTTCCTTGCACACAAAAAAATCCCCCCCTTCTCTCTCTCTCTCTCTCTCAGGTTCACATGTGCACACACTTCTGGAAAGGAAGGAACAAGTAAAAGGGAGAAATGTAGAACTTTAGCAGAGATAGTAAACCTGAATGCCCCTCCCTGACCTCCCCCTGGGTTTTAGCAGGGCTAGTCTTAGTCTTACTGAACACTGCAAGGCAATGGGCTATAATAGTATTACTTGTGAGGTACTACATAAGCCCCTCTTTCAAAACCGTCTGCCCTACTCCCAGCAAGACTACTTGAAATTCCTTACACTGGATGCACTCATGAAGGTTGTTCTTAAGGAGCCATATATGATAACTATCAGGCCATTATGTTATAGAATGTATTGGGGGAGATATTGGGGACAGTATAACATGTCAGCTAACTGCCTCATTCCCTCAAGGCTTTGCCTGGTTGGAGCGGGCAGCAGGACTGGTGAGCTCTGTGGGGAGTCCAGATAAGTCTGGCATTTAAGGCCAGAAGAACAGGCCTAAGCAGAACTTCATAGAGGGGGATCTGATTGATCCAGAGACAGCTGGGAATCCTAGGTGTCCAGATAGCACAATAGGATGTGGAAATTTGGGCACTGCAGATGAATATCTGAACAGCGGTGGCAGTGGTAGCTGGAAACAGTCTTCCCCATGCCCCCTGTGACTATAGCATTTCCCCTAGTCTCCTGAAATGGAGGGAGAAAGGGATCTGGGCTGTTTGCTTGCATGTGTGTTTTTACAGCAACACAGTGATCTCATGCTCATGACCCACCCCACTCCCAGCTAGATAGCTTTACTATAGGAGGCTTTCATCACTTGTTATGAGATCTTGGCTAGATCGGTAGTCTGAGAGCCAGGCAAGCAAACCAGACCAAGCCTCCTGAATGACGTAGGCCCTTCTTACCAGATCAAACAGGCCTTCAGCTCCTCATTGGCTGCAGGCCCCACATCTCAAGTTATTTTAGTTGCGACAGGCAGGGCTTCCCTGAATATCTGCACCCTCTTATTCAGTGCTCTCGGGAAGTGGGGTATGCATTTGCCATGCTCCAACCCACTGAGATGTGCAGCTCAGACAACAAACATGCATATGCACACAGAGAAAAGCACCACCCCCCTCCCCCGGACATGACTGCATTGGCAATGGCTGCAAGCCTGGCCCCCACAGGTGGGGACTCTTGGTGTCCCTGGTGATTTGGCTGCCGAAAGGTGACCTAGATCCAACTGCCTGCCTCTTCCCCTGTCCCCATCACTCTCCACCGCATCTGAGCTCACCTGGCCTTAGTTGGTTGATTTTCCCGAACGGGCTGCAGAGAAGAGATGTTAATGTTGCTGCTGGACAAGCTCAGTTCTAGCATTTCTTCTTCCTGGGTATCTTCGGCTTCTTTTTCCTTCTTCTTAACAAAAAAGCTCTTAAGGGCTTTAAATTTGCATTTCTTCTTTCCTGGAAGTGAAAAATGAAAATGAGGCAGAGTGTGATGGTAGAAGGGAAGACAGGAGAGGAAAAAGAGCCTTCATGAGAGGAAAGAGGACCATGATCCCACCCAGGTGTCCTGCAGAGCTTGGACTCAACCCCAATGCTGACAGCACCCTTCAACATTCATTTGATTAGTCGTCCCCTTAATAACTCAGTAACAAAGTGTCTGAGTTACTGGTAAAAGCAGAAGCCCAGGCCACAGCTTGTCATCTCTGGGCAGCTGCTATTCAGGCCAAACTCACTAGGAATTCACTTGCCTCTCAATTTCAGCTATTAACATATACACCTCTTTCTTTGTCCTAAGAAGTTCATTCATGTGAAGCAATGATTGAGGCAATGAAAGCACTTAGTACTCCCCTGACTCTACCCCAGTGGCTGGAGTCATTGCAATCCAATAGGAGAGCCAAGCTCCCACATGTGAAAAACACTTCAGAACCCTTAGAAATCCAAGTCTAAGTGGCAGTTGATACTTCCTAGCCTGCGTGCTCAAAGGATGCAGACCCAAAGAGTGAGTGCGGTTGGTTAGTGCAGTCCAGGAACACTTCCTTGAGGAAGGAATTTATGAGCAAGGGAGATGGCCGGGAATCAGAAAGAAGAAAGGGCTGCCCAGGCAAAGAAGCTGCCTGTGTAAAAGGCATGTCAAAATCAGATACCAAAGAGTTTTTCAAGGAGTGTGTGTGTGTGTGTGTGTGTGATGATGATCATTGTGTGTGTTCTTCAAGTCTTGCCAATTGGTTTGGATTATCTACAGGGCTGCTGCCCTTTGCACATGCAGATAAATGAGAGTTTGCTCTATCTATAATAATTACCAGGGCAGCAGTGAGGAGTGTGAGTTTTAAATGCCCTTAAGGTGCTGTCTGTTTGGGCTTTACTTTTTTTTTTTTTTTTTGAGACAGAGCCTCACTCTATCACCCAGGCTGGAGTGTGATGGCATGATCACGGCCCACTGCAACTTCCACCTCCTGGGCTCAAGCCATCCTCGCACCTTGCACCTTGCACCTCAGTCCCACCCCAGTAGCTGGGACTATAAGCACGCACCACCACACGTGGCTAATTTTTGGATTTTTTGTAGAGACGACGCTCTAGAAACTAGAGTTGAGTTCTAGAACTAGAGTTGAGTTCTAGTCTCAAACGCGAACTCTTGGGCTCAAGTGATCCACCCGCCTTGGCCTCCCAAAGTGCTACAATTACAGGCATGAGCCACCACGCCGGGCCTCTTTAGTTTCTTAATAAGCACATATGTCTTTATTGTGCTTATTAAGAAACTAAAGGGGAGAAGGGGGAGAGGGCTCGTGCTGCATTCTTCAAAGGGAAGGAATTAGCTCTTATTGATTTCACATGCAACAAGTGCCAACTAAGTTGTCTCATTCCAAGTCTCAACTGTCTGGTCTCCAGAAGGTCTCATCAGCACAGCAATTCTGTGCTGGCAATGAAGGGTCCAGACAAGGGAGTTGCCAATGCAGCAGCCATCATGAAAGGCTTAATGGTGTAATGGAAAGCACCATCCAAGAGTCAGAAAATTCTGGAATCCTAGGCTTGAATTCACTATCAATTAGCTCTGTGACCTGGAGTAGGTCACTCAACCTCTCTGGGACTCAGCAGGAAAATTAAAGAATTGCACCTGATCAGCATCTCCCAAAGTGTGTTCAGAGGGATGCTCATAAGATTTGTTGTATGAGAAAGGGATCCGTAGTCCAGTCAATCTGGAAAATTCTGGATTAGACAAAGTTCAGTAGCCTGCTTTTCAACAAAACTTTTCTGAAACTTCAAAATGGTTATGTATATGGTGAAGTTCCAAGAAACCAGGCAACAATATTATCTCCCAATGTATGTAAGCGGAATGTCTGGCAAAAAACACTTTGAGAAATGCTGAACTAGAGTTCCTTTAGCTTTGAAATGCTATGACTTATTTGTGCACCGATTACTCCTGAGCCTGCCAGGGTAAAGGTTCCTAAACTTCAAGGCCTGCCTTAAGTCCAGTTTCCCACCAATCAGTGAAACTCATGCTTCTCTCTATCTTCTGAACACCTAAAACTTGGCTGTTAGCATCAAAAGTTTTGCATCTGAATGTTCTTAGCCTCCTCACTCATTCATTCGTTCATTCATCTATTCAACAAATATTTATTAAGGTCAAGTACTTACCATGTTCTGGGTATCCGTGAGAAAGAAAGAAGTTATAGCTCCCTATGTCTTAGCTACCGCCCCTACATCAAGGCTGTAGGCAAGCCCTCCTTAGCATCCCCCTTAGCAACTAGCACAGTGCAAGGCATGCAGTAACAGCTGTGTCCACTGGGGAGCGCAGAATACCAACACAGCTTGTCACTTCCTTTGACTTGAGACCACTGAACAGAGTCATCCTTCAGCATACGATAATTTAAACACTGGCCCTTATAAGGAGTTGATGCAAATTATAGATGACATAGGTAAAGAGCTTAGCATATGATCTGGCATGTAGTAAGTGTTCAATAAATGTGAGCTAGTGTTAGGGACTCAGTAATTACTTGTTTATCAGGGCTGGATTCAATTCTATCTCATTAGAAGCAGCCCCATATCTATAACTGAATAGTGAACTGTACAATATGCATAATTGGAGGCAGAAGCCAGCATGGAGTAGAGCAACGAAAGATTATAGAACTGTTTGCTTGATAATTGCTGCTTAAGTAATTTCTGTTTTGGATGACTTGGGCAATTTCTTATCTACTAGAATTTGCCTATATAGGGGCATGGTTGGGAAAACTTGGCAATTCTACCTAAAGAGAGAAAGAATAAAAAATGAAAATGAAATAGGAAACGTATATTTTCTGCAAGATCCCTTTTAAAAGTGTTTTCAGAAAAAAATAATTTCTACAATAATAAAATATTTAAGGCTGGGCATGGTGGCTCACACCTGTAATCCCAGCACTTTGGGAAGCCAAGGCAGGAGGATTGCTTGAGCTCAGGAGTTCGAGACCAGCCTGATCAACATAGCCAGACCTCATCTGTATTGAAAATAAAAAAGGCCGGGCGCGGTGGCTCACGCCTGTAATCCCAGCACTTTGGGAGGCCGAGGCGGGCGGATCACGAGGTCAGGAGGTGGAGACCATTCTGGCTAACACGGTGAAACCCCGTCTCTACTAAAAATACAAAAAATTAGCTGGGCGCGGTGGCAGGTGCCTGTAGTCCCAGCTACTCGGGAGGCTGAGGCAGGAGAATGGCACGAACCCGGGAGGCAGAGCTTGCAGTGAGCCCAGATCCAGCCATTACACTCCAGCCTGGGTGACAGAGTGAGACTCCATCTCAAAAAAAAAAAAAAAAAAAAGAAAGAAAGAAAAGAAAAGAAAAATTAGCTGGGGGTGGTGGTTAGTGCCTGCACTCCCAGCTACTCAGGAGGCTGAAACAGGGGGATTGCTTGAGCCCAGGAGGTTGAAGCTGCAGTGAGCTATGACAATGCCACTGTACTCTCCCCTGGGCAAGGAAGTGAGATCCTTCTACCTCTGCCTCCCAAGGTGCCAGGATTACAGGTATGAGCTACTGTGCCCAGACGATTTATTGATTCTTGACAGGTGGATCTCATTCTGGCCTTCTGAAAGGGGAACAACTTTATGCTCAGAAGATTTAGAAACACAGCAATTGTTGCCCCTCTTGCTTCAAAATCCCATAGTGGAAGAGAGGAAAGCAAAGCTAGGATTCCCTAGCAATTCCTGAGTTGCAAACCTGCTTCTAATAATCCAGCAAAGACAGGGAGAAGAGAGTCAGCAGCTAATAGCCATTTGTGACACAATCTATAAACACTGACTAACTGGATAAAAACATGTCTAATAAACTATTTAGGCTGTAATAATGAATTCAACAAACAATCATTGTATGAGCAGAAAAATTGTACATTAACACATTTTTATGTTCCTAAATTAACAAAATGACTAGTGACTTTGGAACTGTAACAGGTGCTGAAAGTTAAGTATGCATATAGTCCAATTTCCCCCCAATTTTCCATTCTTTTCTGGGCAGAAACAACTTATTTTCCCGCAAAGATTCAAAAATAGCTAAAGCAATGGGTGTCTCTTTTAACCATGGACCCTAGAAGAAAAAGAATGTTTCCATTCCATCCTGTAGTGTGGCTCTGAGTGTGGTGGTGGTATAGCTTTGTTAGCAGGGAGCTGGGGAGACACGGAGAGATGGTAACTGCCAAATATGGTAGGTTGGCTGCTGTTGCTCTAGGTCAGTGGCTTGAAAGCTGGATACGGCCTTTGTGACAACCCATTGCCAGACATACAATGTCAGTAGCAAGGGTCTATGTCTTCAGCCTGCTTTCCATTAGGAGACCGCCCTATCCCTAACTGTATCCAACACCCCCCACCCCCACTATCCCATGAATGAAGACGAGCCCTGGTCTCAGCCCTGGGAGTGAGATACAAAGCTGGGTACTGTCCATGTGCTATGTTGCTTTTGAAACCCTAATGGAATCTGAGATGGTTGCCATATATTCAAGTCTATAAATTTGGCCTTTGAAGCTTTCTTTTTTAAAGTGTGGTGGGGGCACCTTTCAATCACCAGCAGCTAAGCCCTCCACAGGCTGTTTTTCAAAATCTAGGAAAAGCACAAAGAGTAGAGAGATCTAGACAGCAGGTATGGGTAAAAACTCACATTTGTACCCAGCAATGTTTATATGGGTCACCTATACACTGGATAACTTATGCCATCACAGGGTACAGCAGTTGCAGTCAGTGAGCTGACAGCTGAGAGCTGACAGCTGTCTGGACTTCTATAACAAAGCCACTGATTTCCCTGTCTCAGCCCAAAGACTATGCATTCCCAAGCAGCAAGTAACTTTCAACATACTCATCCAGTCATGGTCTGCAGTGTGTCACATGCCAGAAAACAGCTCATTGAAGGCTGTTTTTTCTCCAGGGAAGAAAACACAGCTAAATCTAATGAGAAATGGTTGCCTCTAAGTTGTATATTTGCTTATCCACAATGCATACAGGCAGCCCATCTGAATTGAAATGAATGAGCTTTTAAAATACATCGCATAATGATGACTTTGTTCTTTTGCATTGCTGCTTGGAAAGAAATTTATTTTTTTAGTTTTTATTTATTATTTTTTTTTTTTGAGACGGAGTCTCGCACTGTCACCCAGGCTAGAGTGCAGTGATGCAATCTCGGCTCACTGCAACCTCCACCTCCCGGGTTCACGCCATTCTTCTGCCTCAGCCTCCCAAGAAGCTGGGACTACAGGCATCCGCCACCACGCCCAGCTAATTTTTTGTATTTTTAATAGAGACAGGGTTTCACCGTGTTAGACAGGATGGTCTCCTGACCTCGTGATCTGCCCGCCTAGGCCTCCCAACGTGCTGGGATTACAGGCGTGAGCCAGCGCGCCCGGCATTTTTTTTTTTTTTTTTTTTTTGAGATGGAGTCTTGCTCTGTAGCCCAGGCTGGAGTACAGTGGCGCGATCTCAGCTTGCTGCAACTTCCACCTCCCAGTTTCAAGTGATTCTTTTGCCTCAGCCTCCCGAGTAGCTGGAACTACAGACGCCTGCAACCACACCTGGCTAATTTTTAAAAATATTTTTAGTAGAGACAGGGTTTCACCGTGTTGACCAGGCTGGTCTTGAACTCCTGACCTCAAGTGATCCAGCCACCTCGGCCTCCCAAAGTGCTGAGATTACAGGCGTGAGCCACCACGCCCAGCTGGAAAGAAAACATTTCTAACTAAACTTTCTTCCCTTTAACCTCCCAACAGCCACCTTATTCTCTGGCCAGCCCTGACTAGTTCTAAAACTTCTAAAACTGTACTCAAATATTTGGTCTTACAAAAAACAAACTTGAGAACAGAGAAAAGGCATTTCGTTGCTACCACTCTTCATCAAGATATCCTGTGCTGCCACCTTCTTTTATAGGCATCTGTTTAGTTCATATCCAAAAAGTCAATTGGTTTGGTAGTTGGGTTTGCTTTGGTGAGAAGGCCTTTCACTCATTTATTCATTCATTCATTCATTAAATATTTTGGAGTGCCTAATCTCTTTCTCTCTTTTTCTCTCTGTCTCTCTCTCTCTCTGAGACACAATACTAAACAGTGATAACACAGAGATGAAGAAGACCCAAGCACTGCCATTAAGAATCTGTGATCAGGCTCTCAGCATCCCCTGCCCCACATCATGTGTGAAGCCAGGCCCCCAGGAAGCCACAAGGAGGTTTCCCTCTGTTCTTCCAGACAAAGTTTTCTGTACCATACACCACTAAAGAAAACTCAGCAAAAGAATGGAAGAACAACCCAAAGAACTGTTCAATTCAATTCTGTCTTTACACTCAATGTCTCACATTGCATCTTATGATTTCCTTTTTATTGTGTGTGTGTGTGTAAAGCTTATCATTGTTTAGTGACATTTGCCTCCCTTTCTAATTATTCCATGCATGATCACCTATCACTCATAGATTGTGCCACAATTTAGGCAATGGATACACGAGTAAGTTTTGCCAAAGAGAATTTTTGTAAATTTAATCCTATTTAACAGAAGCCTGTGGAGGCATCTTTTGTTTCTACCTCCTTTTACTCCTCAACAAATTAATCTCTTTCTTAGATCTGAATTACTATCTACAGCAAAACCTCAGCTGAATTTGTCAGATCATGGTCTGTTCTGATTGGTTTTTTCTGATGAAGCAGAAAAAGCCTTAGTAAGTAAAACCTGGTAACCATTTTCAAAGAAGATTGCAGGACCTCAGGCAAATCTTTGACTATCAGAGTTGGAGGTGCCAAAGAAGAAATTAGAAAACTGAAAAGTAAACGTGACTGAGTCTAATGATCTGAACTTGTTTTCTTGTGCCTTGCTTCTTTGTCCTAGGAGCTAAATAAACACAGTAAACAAATCTAATTCTGGTTATCAAAGTTTTATTGGGTTACTTACCCTCATCACCGGCCTCCAGAACATCCAGACTGTCAGAAATTTCACTTAGTGATTCAGCCATTGTAGGATGACTAAAATAAAATACAAAGCAAAAAAGCAAAATATCATCATTTGATATTCAGGGCGTAATGCAATCCTTTCACCCTACCCCTTATCCTTCAGTTATATTCTTAAAATAGCCTAGAAAAAATATACAAATGGAATTGCCATTACAGAGAATTATCCTTCCTTTAAAAAAGACAATGATTCCAAATGATTCCATTTACATAAAATGTCCAGAATAGGCAAATACGTAGACACAGAGAATGTCTTGCTCAGGGCTGGGAGGATGTTTTTTGTTTTGTTTTGTTTTGGTGGGGGGGGCGTTGGTAAAGTGTACAAGATTTCTTTTTTGTTTTGTTTTTTTGTTTGCTTGTTTTTTGTTTTTTGTTTTTTTACAGGATCTTGCTCTGTTACTCAGGCTGGAGTGCAGTGGTGTGATCGCAGCTTACTGCAGCCTCAACCTCCCAGGCTCAGGCAAAACTCTCACCTCAGTCTCCCAAGTAGTTGGGACTACAGGCGCATGCCACAACACCCAACTAATTTTTGAATTTTTAGTACGGACAGGGTCTTGCTATGTTGAACTAGAACTCCTGAGCTCAAGCAATTCTCCTGCCTTGGCGTCCCAAAGTCCTGGGATTACAGGCATGAGCCACTGTGCCCAGATAAGGTTTCTTTTTGAGATGATGAAAATGTTCTAAAATTGATCGTGGTGATGGTTGCACAAATCTGTGACTGTATTTAAAACCATTGAATTGTATACTTTAAATAGGTGACTTGTATAGTATGTGAATTATAGCTCAATAAAGCTGTTACCAAAAAAAGACAAATGCAAAAAACCTGATCTATTGTTTTGTGGGTTGGGGCCCATTAACTCTGGATGCCTATTACTATTCACGGGTGTGCCCAGGGAGACAAAATTGTTTTGATAAACACACAGAGCCATAAAGAAAAGACTGAAACATCTGACTACATGAAAATTTCAGGCCGGGTACAGTGGCTCAAGCCTGTAATCCCAGCACTTTGGGAGGCAAAGGCAGGAGGATCACTTGAGCCCAGGAGTTTTGAGTTGAGGCTGGGCAATATGGCAAAACCTCATCTCTACAAAAATTTTTTTTAATAGCTGGGCATTGTGGCATGTGCCTGTAGTCCCAGCTACTAGGGAGGCTGAGGCGGGAGGATCACTTGAACCCAGGAGATTGAGGCCGTAGTCAGCCATGATCATGCCACTGCACTGTAGCCTGAGTGACAGAGCAGGACCCTGTCTCAAAAAAAAAAAAAAGTGAAACTTATGGAGAAGAAATAAGTCAATAAAAGAATGACAAACTAGAAAACAATACTAGCAACAAATATAACAGATACAGGGGCCAAATTTCTTAATTTATAAAGAGCTCATATAAATCAATAAAAGACAAACAACTTGGTCTAAAAGGGACAAAGACTACAAAGCAGTTAGCAGAAAAAGAAATACAAATAATCACATATGAAGAGGCTCCATCCCACTGACAATTAAAGAGATAGAAATAAACATATCAAATAAGTATTGTCATCTATCAGATTGTCAAAATCCTTAATTTGGATGATATTACATTGCTGACGAAGGTGGGAAAAAATAGGGACTCTCATGCACTCTGGAGTGAGTAGTTCTAACTCTCTAAAGAGCAATTTGGCAATACCTATCAAAATTTAAAATGCACATACCTTTTGATCCAGGAACATCACTTCTCGAACATTACCTTATAGATAAATAGTCACACTTGCACACAATAATATACATACAAGAATGTGTATCACAGCATTGTTTCCAATAGTTAAAAACGGGAAACAACCAAAGTGATCATGAAAAGGATAGTTCTCCCATGACTCACTCCATGTCATGCTTCTAAGGAAGCATGTCGGTTGATAATCAAACTTTTAGAAATCAATGCTGACATTATTTTTAGAGACAGCGCCTTGCTCTGTTGCCCAGGCTGGAGTGCAGTGGTGCAATCATAGTTCACTGCAGCCTCAACCTCCTTGGCTGAAGAGATCCTCCCACCTCAGCCTTCATAGCAGCTGGGAGTACAGGCGTGCTCCACCATGCCCAGCTAATACATATATATATATATATATATATTTTTTTTTTTTTTTTTTTGGAGAGATGGGGTCTCACTCTGTGCCCAGGCTAGTCTTGAACTCAAGTGATTCCCCTGCCTTGGCCTCCCAAAGTGCTGGGATTACAGGCATGAGCCACTGTGCCTGTCCCAATGCTTTCATTCTTGATGAAAGTTTGTGTGGGGGGTGGGGGTGGGGTGGGAGGGAGATCTGAGGAGCACCACAACCCAGAGAAAGGGTGCTATAGTCATCTGTGCCAGAAGGCCATAGAAAGGCAAGCAGAGACTTTGTGCCTATGATAACTCTCCTTGAGGTCTTGATGTAACTGAATGAACTATTGTAAAGTGGGGTTAAGTAGATTCTGGAATCCCCTTGCCACTCCAGATCTGCTCTTTTCCCAGACATAGCTATGCTGCCATTGCTGTTTCATGGGTGGGCTTCAGGCCCATCCTGTCCTGCTTTCTAGCTGTAAACCCCTGATGTATCTCCAGAGGTGGGGGGCCGGGGGGCGGGGCTGGTGACCACAGGCTCTAAGGCTAAGGAGAACTTGAGAGTTCACATAGCCAGAGTGACTGAAGCCTTGGAGTGCAAAAGGTTCCAAATCACCATGAGAACTGACAGGGCTGTGGTGTCAAGATTGCTTCAGACCCACTTACTGAGATGCCCTGTGGTTCCCCACAATTCCCCCTCACTGCCACAGGTAATAAACCCAATTTGTTCAACGACAGGTATGTTCCTGGCTGAAAGGTATTGATATTTTAAGTCACTCAACTTTTATGAGTTAATATTACAATTCTGCCTAAAGATGACTTGAGTCCCAGGCCCACACAGTGATCAATAATTACCCCGCTCACACACACATGGAGACACATGCACACACACACCCTCTCCACTCCAATAACCATACCGCCTTTCTTATCATATGCAGACCATCAGGAGAGCCCACATCAATGGATTTACACACCAATGCATTGTCCCAGAATGAATGGCTTTACCCTTGGCATTCCTGTCTCTGCTAGTTTTCCAAGATCTGGAGATCTGGCAGGAGCAAAGAGGAAGGAAAATTCAACATCTGACTGGACACAGTGGCTCACACCTGTAATCCCAACAATTTGGAAGGCCAAGGTGGGTGGATTGCTTGAGCCCAGGGCTTTGAGACCAGCCTGGGCAACATGGCAAAACCCCATCTCTAGAAAAAATACAAAACAAATTAGCTGAATGTGGTGGTGCATGCCTGTAGTCCCAGCTACTCAGGAAGCTGAGGTGAGAGGATCACTTGAGCCTGGGAGGTCGAGGGTACAGTGAGCCAAGATCATGCCACTGCACTCCAGCCAGGGTGACAGGGTGAGAACCTGTCTCAAAAAAAAAAAAAAATATTCAAAAGCTCTTAGGAAATTCAGAGGGAGAACAGGAGGAGTTTGTGTCATTGGTAAGTTCCTGGCCATCTTAATAAACACAGCAGCACCCCCACCCCTGCCACTTTAGAAGCCTTTTTAGACATTGGGGAAATAAACTATCTTAGAGAAGCCTGTGGGAAAAAAAGCCCGTTAACCACAATGTGGGGCCATGGTAGGCTAACATTGTCATTGACCTACCACTGTCAAGTGTAGAAGATAGAAAGGGAAAAAAAAAACACTAAAGAGAAAAATATGAAAGATGAGGGAGAACAAAGAAAGAGGGCATCTTGGCTACATCTGAACTTTTAGAGCACTAATAGAATCATTGCATTTAACCCTTGAGCTTAGACTGTCCTGTCTGAAATTCTTTGTAGCATACTTGCCTTATTTCCCTAACCAAATCCTAAAAGCCCTGAGGCTTTTAGCAGGCACTCTGTTGACAACACCACCATCAACCAATCCAGCTGGACATGTGGAACTGTCTCCTCTCCTAAACAACCCAGCAACTACAGCAAAACACAAATCTCCCCTTGAGTTCAAATTCTCTTCCTGTTACCATCCCATTCCTCTGCATCTCTTTAAAGTAAAATTCTTTAAAGAGTTATCTATACTTACTGCCTTTATGTCCTCACTTTCTATTCTCGTGAGCTCTCCAATCAGGCTTCCAAACTGAACTGCTTCCAAGCCAGTCCACCAACACTGCGCTTGCTGAATCCACCAGTTCCTTTAACTTTCAGCAGCATCTGACGTGATTGGCCACGCCCTTCTTTTTGAATAATTTTATCACTTGTCTTCTGGAACACCACACTCCCTTAATTTTCCTCCTACCTTATTGGCTGTTCCTTCTGGGTCGCCTTTGCTGGATCTCTCTCCTCTCCCTGATTTTGAAATGTAGCACTGCAGGGCTCTGTCCTTGGCTCTCTTCTTTGTCTACAATCACTTCCTAGAACCTCACCATTAAATAGAAAAGTTAACCTGAGCAGAATTGCAAGCCACGTATTTTCAATTTTCTAGTAGCTACATTTTTAACAAGAAAAAAGAAACAGGTGAGACTGCTTTTAATAATATATTTTATTTAACCCAATATAACCACCATATTATGATTATTTCAACATATAGTCACTACAAAAATAATATTAATAGTATATTTTACATTATTTTTGTTCACAGTAAGCTGCCACATCAGCTGCATCAGCCTCCTGCTCCAAATCCCCAGTGGCTTCCCATCAAGCTGAGAGTAAAATCCCAGCCCCTTACCATGGGCCTTATGTGATGCAAGCCCACCCCCATGCTCCACTGATCACCAAACCCGCTACCCCCCTACTTCATCCCTTCACCTAGCCTCACTGGCCCTCCTGGTAATGCCCCCTTTCAATCTCAGGATCTTTGCATTTGCTGCTTTCTCTGCCTGGAGGACTCTTTCCCCACATAGTTGCATGGCTGGCTTTCTTGCATCATTCAAGCATCCAATGTTACTTCCCCCAGAGAGCACGTCCATGATCATCCTAGTTAAAATGCTCCCACTCTCTCTCCATCCCATTATTCTTTTTTTATTTATTTTTTATTTTTCATTTATTTTTTGAGATGGAGTTTCACTCTTTATGCCCAGGCTGGAGTGCAATGGCGCAATCTTGGCTCACTGCAACCTCCGCCACCCGGGTTCAAGTAACTCTCCTGCCTCAGCCTCCCAAGTAGCTGGGATTACAGACGTGACACACCACTCCCTGCTAATTGTGTATTTTTAGTAGAGACGGGGTTTCTCCATGTTGGTCAGGCTGGTCTCAAACTCCCGACCTCAGGTGATCTGCCCACCTCGGCCCCCCAAAGTGCTGGGATTACTGGCGTGAGCCACTGTGCCAGGCCAATTATTCTTTATTAACATCTTCATAGCCCTCACTGCTGCCTAAAATTATATTCTATGTTAATTACTAGTTTTTTGTCTATCTCCTCAACTAGAATGTAAATTCCATAAGGTCAGGGGCCTTGTCTATTTTGATCATCATTGAATCTCCCAGGACCCAGAATAGTGCCTAGAATGAAAGAGGCAAAAGATTTACTGTTGGATCAGATGTGGTGTGTCAGGGGAATAGCAGGCACTCAATAAACGTTTGTTGAATGAATGCATAAATTCAATAAAAGAAAAAAAATTCTTCAATTTTTTATTGAAAAATTCAATAAAATCCACCTTTGTGGATTTCACTCTGAGCTTGATGGCAAGTCACTGGGGGGTTTGGAGCAGGGGGCTGATGCAGCTGATGTGGCAGCTTAGTGTGAACAAAAATAATGTAAAATATATCATTAATATTATTTTTATAGTGATTATATGTTGAAATAGTCATAATATGGTGGTTATATTGGGTTAAGTAAAATATATTATTAAAATAAAAAGTGGTTCCTATCAAAGAACCACCTTTGTGGTCAGAAATTTCTTCAGACACAGAGGCATGCTATACGGGGCAGAGGAAGACTTGTCCTAGCAGAAGAACCCCCTTGTTTTCCAGTTTAGCAAGACCTGTCTTCCCTCCCAGCCCTGGGTTATTCACCTGTACAGAATCAAGCACTCTTGGACCCCTCTTTCCCTTGATACACAGATCCCATTCCTAGATATCCTAGCCACGTGAACCGTGAGTGTGGAGCCCCATTCAGCTGGGCTAGGTCTGGACCCTCATGGAGAAAGATGTTTCAATAAAAGAAACGCTGCCTCTTCCTACTTTCCAGCCACCACCTTTTCTGTCCTTTTTCCCCCACAAGCTGATCTTATTAAATAATTTCCTTCCCAAGTGTCTCCTTTTAGAGGCATCACTGTATATTTCTTTCACGTGCCTCATTATGGCTAATAAAAATTTAAAATAAATTTGTCCCTTAATCATACCATGATTCATTGGTAGTGACCTTGGGGCTGCCTCCTCTGAGCTATACGTTTATTTATGATATTTAGAAAAAGCTACAGTCACCTCACAATCTCAAAAAAGGCACAGTGTTCTCTCTGAAATATAACCATGAGCCTCCCCGCTTAAACTTGTCCACCAGCTTCCTGCTGCCTGCAAGATAAAAGCCAAGTTCTTAACACTCAAGGCCCTCTGCAATCTGGTGTTCTCTGCCCACTGGAGGGGGTCCAGTCTCCCAGCAGCCCACCCCTGACTCACAGCCCCATGCTCTGACCTCCCAGAATCACCATGTTCTTTTGTTTTCTCTGTGTTCCACACAGGTTGTGCACTTGGCTTGGAACATCGTCTCTCTAATTCCCACATCCTTGAAATTACACATATGCTTCAAGACCCAGCTCAAAGGTACCGGCCACCCATGCCCCATGCTCTCAGACCTTTGCGCATACCTGTTGTCATAGTTGATATCACCTTGAGAACAGTGACCATGTTTTGATTATCTGAGTATTACCAGCACCTAGCACAATACCAGGCACGCAGGACGTGCTCACTATATATTTTTGTGGATGGATGAATGCAGGGGGTGGAGAGGGTCTTGCAGTGGCAAACAGAAATCAGTGGGAAAAGTGGTCTTTTTTAAACATATGGGGACACATTGAGACACACTTTCAGTAAAAGACCCTTCTGCATGAAGTCCCATGAAAAAGCTGGCAAACCGAATGAGGGAAGAGGAACTATATGTTTTTATCCAGTAAATTATGAGAGGCTTTCGGAACCACTTCCAAGGACCAAACATAGTCATGTAATAATGGTTATCAGGAAACCTGGCAGAGCAGAGGTATCGAGTCTCGTTATCAAGTCATTATTAAAGTGCTTTGTTTGCTTCTCTAGGCCAACCCCAGATGCTTAGGCCCCAGAGCTGCCTTTTCCTTCTGAAACTGGCTCATTTGAGGGTTGAACAAGGGTTTTGGGGGAAAAAGAGGGGAAAAAAGGGGAAAAGGCCCTTCTTCCAAGGTTGTTGAATTTTTTTAAACCACAGCCTGATTTGGCTTCAGGGATTCAGAAGACTTTTCCTGACAGCTCTGTTGCCCTCCCGGAATGGAGAATGCTAATGGAAAGCAGCTGGCCTCATGTTGTTGGTTTTCTTTAAACAATGTAATAGGATGAAATGTATTTCACAGAGTCTGCGGTAAACAGAATTCTAAGATGACCCACAAGATTCCCACCCCCTGGTATGCATGTCCTGTAAATCCCCTCTCCTTCAGTGTGGGTGGACCTAACCTAATCAGGTGGGCCTCTGAAAAGGAGGGTTTACATGCTCTCACTTATACGTGGGAGCTAAACATTGCGTGCGCATGGACATAAAGATGGGAACGACAGACACTGGGCACTGGGGACTACTAGAGGGGAGAGGATGGGAGGGAGCAGCGTTGAAAAACTACCTATAGGGTACTATGCTCACTTCCTGGGTGATGGGATCAATCATACCCAAAACCTCAGTAACATGCAATTTACCCATGTAACAAACCTACCCATGTACCCCCGAACCTAAAATAAAAGTTGAAAAAATAAACAAAACACACATTTGAACATGAGTAAATAAAAGGAGGATTTAGAGATCAGATAATAGAAGCCAGAGAGATCAAAGCTGCAGCAGATGCTGTCCTGTTGGCCTTGGAGTAACCAACTGCCATGTTGTCGAGGGCCACATGGCAGGGCATGGCAGGACATGACATGTGGCCTCTAGTAGCTGAGAGAACCCCTTAGCTAACAGCCATCAAGAAACCAGGGACCTCAGGCAGGGCACAGTGGCTCACGCCTATAATCCCAGCACTTTGGGAGGCCGAGGCAAAGGATCACTTGAGCTCAGGAGTTTGATACCAGCCTGGGCAACACAGGAAGACCCGTCTCTACTAAAAATACAAAACGTAGCCAGGCATGGTGGTGCACACCTGTAGTCCCAGTTAAGGCTGAGGTGGGAGGATTGATTGCGCCCATGAGGTTGAGGCTGCAGTGAGCTGTGATTGCTCCACTCTAGCCTGGGTGACAGAGTGAGACCCTGCCTCAGAGGGGGAACAAAAGGAAATCAGGAACCTCAGCCCTATAGCCTCAAAAAACTGAATTCTGCCAACAACCATTCAGTTTAAAAGATAACCCTGTACCTCAGAGGAGACCTCAGCCCTGACGGCGATTGAGCCTTGTGAGACCCTGAGCAGAGGACTCAGCTAAGCCCAGTCTGGACTCTTGACTCATAGAAACTGAGAGATGGTATATTTGTGTTGTCATAAGACAGTATTTTTTTTGTCATTTGTAACATAGCAATAGAAGACTAATAGAGTCCTAGAGGCTCTAGCTCTAATTGCAGATGAAGCCAAAACTGGGGTAGGTTTGGAGCCATGTAAGCTGCAACACAGACCTGGTATAGAAGCACACGAGGGGATTATATGCTCCCTTCCCCCAGCACACCCCACTGCAAGCACTTCTTTACGAAGAACTTAAGTTGCTACTCTCTCAAGCAAATTGTCAGCTGGACTGATTAGACCCTGCCAAAATGTTAGAACATGCAAAATCCCCTTAAAGGCTCAGCTTGTTTGAGATGGCTTTCCCTACCCTCAGGACAATGTCTTTAACCCCTTTCAAACTATTTTATTTGAGACAGGGTTTCACTCTGTTGCCCAGGCTAGAGTGGAATGGCATAATCATAGTTCACTGTAACCTTGAACTCCTGAGCTCAAGCAAGCCTCCTGCCTGAGCCTCTTGAGTAGCTAGGACTTACAGGCATGTGCCACCATACCCAGCTAATTTTTTAAAAAACTTTTCTTGTTGGGGGGGTCTTGCTATGTTGCCCAGGCTGGTCTCAAACTACTGGGCTCAAGCAACCCTCCTGCCTCTGCCTCCCAAAGTGCTGGGATTACAGGCATGAGCCACTGCACCCAGCCTTTCAAACTATTGCTGTACTTTGTGCCCTCAACCAAGAGTATGTGCATCCACCAAGCAGTGGCTAAAGAGCCCTGGAGTTGAACATTCTGAGGTGTGGTAAGGGGAGAGAGTGGTGGTGATTGGATTCTTCTAGAGGGAGCGTCTGATGCCAGGACGCCAACTCATTGAGGAACGAGGAACCACCCAAAATGAAAGTATCAGAAAGGGCCCCTATACCCCTTAATTGCAAAATAAAGTATCCTCCAGGGGAAAGGAGGCTATAATCACCCCACAGCTTCCTCTTTTCTTGCAGGAGGTTGGCAGGAGGGCATCAGAGGTCCAGCCAGCTCCTGAAATGCAGCCCTTGGACACTCCGTAATGAAGATGGCTGCCCTTCAGATCACACAATGAGCTCCAGAAGTCCTACTCCACGAGTCCACCAGTAGTCAGTATGATTCCATTGTGGAAAGTCACCCCACTGATTGGCAGAGTTCATTTGGTGGGGTAGGGGTTTGATACCAGGTTCCACCCAGGATACAACTACGTCCATGCACAAATCAGGGCTGTGGGATATAGACGGAATGATTGGCATTTGCCCAGCAGGGGCCAAGAGCAGCAGCATTTCTCAGCAAGCCCAGGGCCAGCTAGCTAGCCTTGAACTTCTGTTTGTTTGTGCTCCTAGGAGCAGGTGTGAGCACCCTCACGGGAACCTGGGTAGAGGAGGAGAACAATCTTTTTTTCTTTTTCTTTTCTTTCTTTTTTTTTTTTTTTAAATACTGTGTCTCGCTCTGTCGCCAGGCTGGAGTGCAGTGGTGGAGGAGAACAATCTTGATGGCCATTTATGCTGGCTCTGAGAGCCCTGGGTGGGTATCTACCCAAAGCAGAAACTGATGCATGGCTTTGGTGGCACATTATTATATTTTTTAATTTGGAAATTTTGTATTGATACATTATGTTTGTACATATTTATGGGGTACATGTCATACTTTGTTACATGCATAGAACATATAATCATCAAGTCGGTATTTAGTAGATATTCATCACCTCAAATATTTGTGTTGGGAACATTTCAAGACCTCTTTTGTGGCTATTTTGAAATATACAATATATTATTAATTATAGTCATTCTACTCTGCTATGGAACATTAGAACTGATTCTTTCTATCTAACTGTATGTTTGTATTAACCAACCTCTCTTCATTCACCCCTGCCACCCATACACCCTTCCCAGTCTCTGGTAACTATCATTCTACTCTCTACCGCCATGAGATCAACTTTTTCATCTTCCACATATGAATGAGAACATGTATTATTTGCCTTTCTGTGCCTGCCTTATTTCACTTAACATAACATCCTCCAGGCTCATTCACATTGCTGTGAATGACAGGATTTAATTCTTTTACATAGCCAAGTAGTACTCCATTGTGTATATATACTGCATTTCCTTTATCCATTCATCTATTGATGGACAGTTAGATTAATTTCACATCTTCACTACTGCGATGGCACACTACTTAAAATGACATCTTCAGCAAATTCGGCAAAGTCAACCCTCCAAATGTCCATGGATGTCAGCAGCAAGACATACCAGGGAGAGAAGATCATCTTTCTACATTCCACACCCTCACCTGTGGGTATTTGAACATCTGGATCATCAAACAGATGCCCAAATAGGCTCTAGGGGATGCCTGCCTCAGATACTTGCTGCAGGACAATTGTCACTGAGGCCTTTCTTACACACTAGAAGGCCAAAGAATAATGGAATCCACCCTCTCCACCTCGCCATCACGAGGAAGCCCATTTCAGAAATACCTCTGAGCACCCTGATTGTCATCCAGTGAACATGCAAAGAACTTGGCCTAAAAGGTCCTTTCTGAGATCTCTCTAGTGGCCTAGAAGCCTAGCAGACAGGGAGTCCTATTCCATCTTACAATCCACAAATCCTGTGATCAAAGGCTCTGTTCTTGTGCAGTGAGGGGCAATTAATATTATGCAATTAATCCAACTAATGAAATTGCTGAGTCCTCAGTCTGTGCCAGGCAGGCACTGTGAAAAATTATTTTATGTGCATTATCTAATTGAGTCCTCACAAGAGTTCTATGTAGTAGGCATTGTTATTTTGTTTTTATTCTTTTCACACCCACTTCCCAGATGAGGAAACTGAGTCTTGCTGAAATTAGGCAGTCTGTGCAAGGTCATACACGTTGTGAGTAATAGAGTTAGGACTCAAACCCAGTTCTGGATTTTAAAGCCCATGATTCGACCACTACACTCTTCTCCTTCCTCACTTGGCAAAATCTGGTCAATTTGAAATGCCCACTCACTGCTGCCCTAGAGAATCTTCCTTACTGGTCTATTACATGACCCGAAAATAGAATAGTTCACCAGGCCATTAGCAGCCCCCAACACCTTTGCAGATATTTGCTGACATTTTAACAATGCACAGAGTCCTGCCAAAAATGACCCACTAGATACATATATTGTGATGAGGGATCTTAAGGGAGATAGGTCTGCAGCATGGGGACCCTTGGGTGGTCAGACTGAAGTGCTGTTCCAGCATTGGGGAGGAGGGGCAGGAAAGCATGAGAACACTGGGAGACTCAAGAGAAAAGTCAGAATTGAGGGGCCCTAAGGATGGACTTCACAGCTTTGAGTGTGTGTTGGGTGCCAAGAGCTCTGCCCCCAAATGCTCTGCTAGTTCTCAAGCCCATCCCAGCAGAATGTGTCTAAGGCTTTTGATCTTGTTGTTGAGTTACTGCAGTAGCTGTTATTACTGCTTCCAGTGGTCAATAATAACACCAGTTGAGGGAGGAGGTAAAAATCTCCAAAGAGGAAAAAAAAGTAAAAGTAGAAGAAGGCCAGGTGCAGTGGCTCACGCCTGTAATCCCAGCACTTTGGGAGGCCGAGGCGGGCGGATCACCTGAGGTCAAGAGATTGAAACCATCCTGGCCAACATGTTGAAACCCCGTCTCTACTAAAAATACAAAAATTAGCTGGTTATGGTGGCGGGTGACTGTAATCCCAGCTACTCGGGAGGCTGAGGCAGAGAATAGCTTGAACCTGGGAGGCAGAGGTTGCAATGAGCCGAGATTGCGCCACTGCACTCCAACCTGGTGACAGAGCAAGATTCCATCTAAAACAAACAAACAAAAAAAAAGTAGAAGAAAGGGGGTTGCTAGTGGAGGATGTGAATTTTACATAGCTCATTGGATTCTGTGGGATTTGATATAGATATCTCCTGCTCTTAGAATTCAAAAGCCGTCAAGGAGTGGAGACACCAGGAGTCATTTTCTGGCCAGGGGAGGTAGGGGAGATAAGGGAGAAAGAACAACCAGTCCTCTGCAATGTGTCCCCAGCCCAAGCTGAACTATCTGTGTCCTTTGTGCAGGCACATTGTAACTTTCTGGTTTCATCTTGCAGCCTTTTGGCCCACAGGGTGGAGGTTGGGGAAAGCAATCTCAGCATCACCCCATGGTTATGAGAAATAGCCTTTTGGTCTCCCAGTTCTGGAGGGATATAGAAGTCTCTGAGTGAATTTCATCTTAGCAGGAAGGGAATGGGCATAAGGAGGGGTGATGCTGATGTCTTTGTCCCCAGAGGGCACATACCCACAGAAATAACAATGCCATGGCCAGGTGCAGTGGCTCATGCCTGCAATCCCAGCACTTTGGGAGGCTGAGGCCAGAGGATCACTTGAGCCCAGGAGTTCAAGAGCAGCCTGGGCAACATGGCAAGACCCCATCTCTACAAAAAAAAATTTCTGAAACTTTAGAAAATTTCTAAAAATATTTTAGAAAAGAAATAACGCCTCCAAGAATCTGAGATCACTGGACATTCTCAGTCAAGGTGACATCTGAGAATTTAGGACCTCAGATTTCTTTAACCCTGATCCCATGTACAGCCCTGCAGCTCAGCAGAGGCAGCTCCCTACCTGGAGTTGTGGGAAGAGTTATCCGAAGGTTCTCTAGCCCCAAATCTTTCCTTTTACCCCAGCCATGGCATCACCCTCTCTTTCTACCTGGCCTAAAATATCCACCATCAGAATCCTTCCCCTTGAACCAGACAGCAAAGTCAGAACATTATTTCCCAGAGCCTGTCTCATTAGTAACCCCAAGGTCTTTATGCACAGCTACTATGTGCTTAGACCTGTTTCAGGTGCTATGTAGGCAATGACAAAATAAAATCGTTAACATTTACTTGACAATGAATATGTGCAAATGCTGTTTGAAGTGCTTCGGATACATCATCTCATTTAATCCTCAGAACAATCCTATGAGGTAGGTACTAGTTATTTTCACTTCTCTCCCATTTTGTAGATGAGGAAACAGAAAGGCTAAGTAACTGCCCAGGGGCACATGACAAGTTCGAATTCTGAAGGTAGGATTTGAATCTAGGCAATCTGACTCCAGAGCCAATAAGTGCTACAGAAAATGACCAATTCCCTGATGACAAAGAGAAAGAATACACATGAAACAATTGAGAATAGAACTACATTAGGAATTACAAAGCCCGCGTCCTGAAATCTGCTGTTCCAAAAAGTTGTCCTTGCAGCCTTGCCCGAGTCATAGCCCCTCTTTGGACCTCAGTTCTCACATTTGTAAAATAAGATGAGGCAAAATTATCATGTGTTAGGACAAGGATTCTCAGGGTTAAACTCTAGGGCAAGCTTGTCCAACCCATGGCTCCTGTGCCGCATGCGGCCCAGGATGGCTTTGAATGTGGCCCAACACAAATTCATCAACTTTCTTAAAACATTATGAGATTTTTTTTACAATTTTTTTAAGCTCATCAGCTGTAGTTAGTGTATTTTATGTGTGACCCAAGACAATTCTTCTTCCAATGTGGCCCAGGGAAGCCAAAACATGGGCCACCCCTGCTCTAGGGCACTGGCTACATGTGGAAGGAGTCTGCAGGCCCCAAGAGTTGTGGAACAAAAAGCTGGAGTGTACTTTGCTTACATGTGTGGTACAGGGGGCTAGATGCCAGAAATGAGGCAGAGGGGTAAGATCAAGTCAGAAAAGGGTGTCCATAACACATGGCAAAGCTGAGAATGGCAAGGAACAGCAAAGCAAGGCTAGTATGCTGAGATTTAGATGTAAATGAGGTCAAAGAACAAGGGAAGGTGAAACTGAAGGGGAACAACATAGGAGGCCGTCAAGCTACAGAAGGGACCAGAAGGTGCTTTTATGGGTGGCTCCATCTACAGCAGAAAGGACTAAAAGGGACATTTCCATGCAGGCTGAAGTCACCATGAAAGACTCAATAGAGAAGGCAGAAGTTTGGTTTGGTTTGGTTGTTTTTTTTTTTTTTTTTTTTTTTTTGAGATGGTGTCTCGCTCTGTCACCCAGGCTGGAGTGCAATGGTGCAATCTTGGCTCACTGCAAACTCCGCCTCCCGGGTTCAAGCAATTCTCATGCCTCAGCTTCCCGAGTAGCTGGGATTACAGGTGACCACCACCATGCCCGGCTAATTTTTGTATTTTTAGTAGAGACGGGGTTTCCCCATGTTGGCCAGGCTGGTCTCGAACTCCTGACCTCAGGTGATCTGTCCGCCTTGGCCTCCAAAAGTGCTAGGATTACAGGCATGAGCCACTGCGCCAGGCCGAGAAGGCGGAACTTAAGATACGCCAGGTGCTAGGCAGAAAAGTTTGCTGACAGCTTGAGCACTGAGGCACTGAGAGTCAGCACAGATGAGTTACAGATGAGGACAGAGAGGGCAGGTGACATCCACAAACCCTAGTGAGCAGGAAGGAGTAAATGATGTGCCCAGGCTCTTCTTCCTAGAGTGTACTACCTGGAAGGAAAAGAAAAGTGGCAGTGAACCCCAGGAGAGCAGAAATCTGTTGGGCTTCTCTAAACTTCAGGCACAAGAATCCCTAGTCAGAATGACCTAGGAAAAAGAAAAAGCCACACTGGAGTAGCATCTGTCCTCACAGTGCCCGGGAGAAGCTCCTAAATGGGGGTGGCAGGTGGTTGGCCCCTGACCCAGCTGGACACTGCCCCGTTGTCCACTTGAGCATGAGAGAAAAGCATACCCCAGCATGTGAGGAATAAATGAGATGCATAGAAAGTAGCACAGTGCCTGGCACAAAGAAAGTGCTCAATAAATAGTGAGGTTTACAAAACTCCCATGACAGATAAAGGCAAACTGTGAGCACAGGGTTTAAGGAGGAAGGCTGTAAGTCAAGAGCATGGGTAACGATCACTGATTCCTTGGCACTCACTCACAGGGATGCTGCTTCTTCAGAGGGAGTGGGGCCCAGGGACCTGCAAGTCCAGAACCTTCCAGGTGACTCCTGGGAGGTGAGGGCTCCAAATACCTAGCTTTAAGGAAACCCTGCTGTAAATCACCTTGGGTACAGGGCATGGCTGAAACAGAAAACCTGAATTGGGAAGCCATAAGAAATGGATGGCAGCTAGAGAGTGGATTAATAGACATTGGAGCCTCAGGAAAGTGGGAAGGTGGGAGGGGAGTGGATGGTGAGAAATTACCTATTGGGTACAATGTATACTATTCGGGTGTTGGGTGCACTAGAAGCCTAAACTTCACCAAGTATCCACACTATATCACTCATATAAAGCTCTTGGCAAGAGGCATAACACACAGTAAGCACTCGATACATGTTCACTGTTATTGGTATTACTCTCCCTTCTGCACAAGAAGGCTGTCCTCCCCGTGGTGGTAATGACCTGTGTTCCCTGCTCTTCATCAGTTTCCCTAAAGTAGGGGATGAGATGTTCTGCAGTTACCCACAATATATCCATGTAACACAACTGCACTTGTACCTCCTACATCTATAAAAATAATAAATAATAAAAAGAAATGGATGGTAGGACAGGGCAAGTGTGGTGAAGAAAAAGCAATTTGAATGATATCTAGAGAGAATCGTGACCACAGATGAAGGTATTTTTCTTCTAATAAACACCTCTAAGATGTGAGTCTCCAATGAGGCCTCTAGCAATTTTTGGACAGTTCAAACCCCAGCTCTGCAATTAACTAGCTGTGAGGCCTGGGGCACATGGAGTCCTTTCTTGGAGCCTCCGTTTACTCCCCTAAGGAGTAAGGGGTTGAACTAGACTTGAAGTCTAGGGTTATTTTTAGCTCAGGCATTCTTGGATTCTATTATTTCCTGAGATGATCTTTCAAAGTTCCCAGTTCATCCTAGAGTAGCCAGATTTTGCAGAGGCTCACTATAAGCCCTCCCTGAGTGGGCCAATGGTGGCCCAGCCTTCACAGCAAGACTTTCAGAAGCCTGTCAATATTGCAGAAAACTGTCTTACTTTCAGATTGTTTAGAAACCAAAGCTATATTTCCCATTTAAAAAATGCACAGGCCGGGTGTGGTGGCTCACACCTGTAATCCCAGCACCCTGGGAGGCCGAGGCAGGTGGATTAACTGAGGTCAGGAGTTCGAGATCAGCCTGGCCGACATGGTGAAACCCCATCTCTACTAAAAATACAAAACTTAGCCGGGTGTGGTGGCATGCGGCTGTAATCCCAGCTATTCAGGAGGCTGAGGCAGGAGAATTGCTTGAACCCGGGAGGTAGAGATTGCAGTGAGCTGAGATTGCGCCACTGCACTCCAGCCTGAGCGACGACAGAACAAGACTCTTTCTTAAAAAAAAAAAAAAAAAAAAAAGCACAGGTTGCAGATTTAACTAAAAATTCCCTACTCATTATTTCCTCCACTTCTAAAGAGAACTACCTCATCCCAAAGAGTTTCCTCCTTCCTCTAACTCTGAAGAAGCAAACAGAAGCCATTTCTGTATAAAATAAGTCTCAGGATCATTGATGTTTGGCTTCTGGGGCCACAAGGACAAAAGAAACAAACATTCTTCACGTGTGAAGTTAAAATTATGTCCTTCAAAAATAGGGCATGGCTGGGCATGGTGGCACATGCCTGTAGTCCCAGCTACTGGAGATGCTAAGGCAAGAGGATCACCTGAGCCCAGGAGTTCAAGGCCAGCCTGGACAACACAGCAAGACCCCATTTTTAAAAAGGGTTTTGGAGGTTTAGTGGGGATATTCCCCCTCCTCTTTCCGTTAACAGGTTTCTGGATACCCCTCCAACTATCACAAATGAACAGTGAACTAATGCAGAAACCTTTGTTAATATGCTTGATGGCAAACTCTAGAGAGGAAGCTTTCCCTGATCTACTGGGTTCTAGTGCAAATCTGAGGAGGCAGACGCGCCCGTGCTCCCAGGACCCTTTCCTTTCTCCCATGGGCTCAGAAGACTCTCCCTTTGACTTACTTCACTCTCCATTTTCCCAGGACAGTTGGGCTTATGGAAAGGGAAGATCTAAATGCAGTAAGGAAGAAGTACCATGATCCTTAGTTCATAGGATGGGCTAGTTAGTACTTAGCTCATGAAGTTCACAGGCCAGGAAATAAGAAATAAAGACCTTGTTAATGTAAAAATGCAACATGACTTTATCGACCTTCTGTAGCAATATTTTTCTGAAATACACTGCCTCCTGTGCTGTTGCTCTTTTCTTACTCATATCTGGACTTTCCCAGGTCCATATCTCTTCTTTTCCTGTTCTCTTGTTTCTATTTCTCATTTTGAACATCTCCCTTATATGTTATAGTAGATAACTGAATTACATTGTTCTAAGTTTTTGTGTTTGTAGCAAGAAATATGGTTCAAAATGTTCAAATTAGATGGGTAAAATATTTTGTTTCTACTTTTAGAAGTTCAAGCAAGTTGATTTAACAATATGGGGCCCTTTGTTAATTTTTTCCCCTGGGGCCTTGGCCTCATTAGATGAAACTCTCCCTCTTCCTATCAGGCTGGGGAATTTTTGAGGACCAGAACCTCAGACTAATGCAGATCTTGACAAGCTGAGTGGCCTAAGGTAAGTCATATAATCCCTTCATGCCTCAGTTTCCTGATTTATAAAATGAACATGATAATAGAAGGGTCTGGGGACAGAAGTTAGGAGATGAAGGAAGTAGGTGGAATGAAAGAAGTATGAACATCATAAGTCATCTTTGTGTAGTGCTCTTGACTCTCTGATCCAGTAGTTTCTAAGCAGATATGCTTTTGTCACAGAAAGAGAAATCTGGCACATTGACCTTCTGAGTAGGAAGCATAACATAATTGTGAAAGGGTTAGGCTATGACGCTGGACAAATCTAGGTTTGAATCCTAGCTCTTGTCAATTACTAGGTGTGTGATCTTGGGCAAGACACTGAACTGCTGAAAACCTAAATTTCCTTAGCTGATAAGTGGGGCTTAGTACTTTCATCATAGGCTAACTGTGAAGATTCATTCATTTAATAATTGTTCATTGAGCTCCTGATATGTGCTAAGAAGAGCCCAGAGCAGTGCTCAATAAAGAGAAGGGCCCTGCTCTCACAGACAGCTTGGTGAACTAACTCACTGTGTTTGTCCATTTTGAATTGCTACAAGGGAATTGAGGCTGGGTAATTTAAAAAGAAAAGACTTTGATTCGGCTTATCATTCTGCAGCCTGTACAAGACTACCAGCATCTGCTTCTGGTGAGGACCTCAGGAAGCTTCTAATCATGGCAGAAGTGGAGCTGGTTTGTGGAGATTACATGGTGAAAGAAAGGAAGGAGGTGGGCACAGTGCCTCACACCTGTAATCCCAGCACCTTGGGAGGCCGAGGTGGGTGAATCACCTGAGGTCAGGAGTTCAAGACCAGCCTGGCCAACATGGTGAAACCCCATCTCTACTAAAAATACAAAATTAACTGGGCGTGGTGGTGCATGCCTGTAATCCCAGCTACAGGAGGCTGAGGCAGGAGAATCACTTGAACCCAGGAGGCAGAGGTTGCAGTGAGCCGAGATCATGCCACTGCACTCCAGCCTGGGCAGCAAAGTGAGACTCCATCTCAAAAAAAAAAAAAAAAAAAAAAAGAGGAAAGAGAGGGGAGGAGGTGCCAGGCTCTTTTTAACAAACAGATCTCATGTGAAATAATAGAGTGAGAACTCACTCATTACCACTGGTAGGGCACCAAGCCATTCATGCGGGATCCATTCCCATGACCCACACACCTCCCACTAGGCTTCACCTTCAACACTGGGGATCAGGTTTCGACATGGGACTTGGAGGGGACAAGTATCTAAACTATATCACTCATATAAAGCTCTTGGCATGAGGCATAACACACAGTAAGCACTCAATACATGTTCACTATTATTGGTATTACTCTGTCTTCTCCACCAGAAGGTTTTCCTCCCCATGGTGCTAATGACCTGTGTTCCCTGCTCTTCATCAGTTTCCCAAAAGTGGGGGATGAGACTTTCTGCAGTTACCCATACTCTCTCCATCAGCCTCCCAGTAACCAGCAGGTTTGTCCAATGGTTACCTGCATTGGGGGCTGGGGCCCATGGGTGTGTGAGGGCAAAGCCAACTGG
Source organism: Homo sapiens (assembly GCF_000001405.40). Lineage (NCBI taxonomy): Eukaryota > Metazoa > Chordata > Mammalia > Primates > Hominidae > Homo > Homo sapiens. The sequence continues at coordinate 119,143,299 of NC_000023.11, forward strand.
ATCCAACCTGTGCCCTTGGCCCATTAGCCACCATTGGATCAATAGGCCACAGATACGGCTTGAGTTTCAATCCCAGACTCCTGGGAAACCAGCTGTCCCCAGAAAGCCTCTCTCTGGGTTCACAGAATGGAGTGACTTCTTTGAGGCAAGTATCAAGCCCAGGTGAGGCTGCTCAGGCTCCTCCTTAACTGTATTTGTGACCACCCAGGCCCTGTGCTTTTTATATTTCACCCGAGGCTATTCTTAAACAGTTCAGACTGCTCTTTTGGACACTGTAGTGGCACAGCAAGGAAAATCCTCCCCCTTTCCTCTTCTCCAGAAAGGACTAAATGGCTTTCCTATACCAACAGCAGAAACTTTCATTTCCTTTGGCTGTCCCAGAAGAACAGAAATGGGATCATGACTACCTAATTGGTTAATGGTCACTCTTTGTTTGTCAACATAAGGTGACAAGGGAACTCATATTTACTGAGGGCAACCTATGTGTGCCTGCCAGTTACCTAATTTAATCTTTGTGACAACACCATGAGGTAGGAATCATCTCCATTTTACAAATGAGAAAATTAAGGCTCAGAAAGGTTAAGGCATTCACCCATGGCCACATGGCTAGTAAGTAGCATTGTGAGGATTCAAACCCATATTTGACTCCAAAGCCCCATGCACTTTCTACTATATGGTACCAAAATATTTTCCACGTGTGTACATATGTATCTGTCAGTCCAGACACTCTGCCTAAGTGGCTGAACCGTTGGGAAGTATGGCCTTTGATGGCACACTATAAGCTGCTCTTCTTTCCACTTGGACCACATGACTTGCTCCTTCATTAGGAGCCTGGGAGGCAGGTTTGCCCATATAGTGCTCTGGCTTCCCAGCCCCAAATGCCAAGCTTCAATGCATCCTTAAAATGGTGCCTGGGCTGTCCTGCCATACACTGGTCAGGTGACCAACAGAGCAGGGCCTAACATCGTGAGGAACTCCCGGTTTCCTGCTGCTCTCTGGTACAACCTTCCCAATTCAGACACTTACATTCCAAATTTAAGACAGTTTTACCAAGGCAGGACTTTTGTACTGAATCTGGATGAAAGCACAGCTGTGTAATGTGCAAACTTTTGGCACAAACCTTATGCTTCCAGAGGGACTTGTACTCTTCAGAGCACAACCCAACAATGCTGTAGCATAGACAGCTAGGGGAGAAGCACTACTATGATTACCATTTTATTATTCCCACTTTACAGATGTGGCCAAAGAGGCATGGGGACATGACTAGAGGAATCCTGTGAGGGCTGAGAGTTGGAGCTCTGCCTCTGAAGTGGCCTTTAAATAGTATTCCAGGGGAGGTCTTCTTTTTAAGCCCTGCACAAGCCCCACTTACATGATGACAATTACTATAGTTATCACAAATCTCTAGCAATAATTGCTAACATCTCTCAAATTCTTACTGTGCTAGATACTGCTACATGTTTTATTTCTCATGCATAATTTAATTTGATACTCACCATCCTGAAAAGTAGGTACCATTGTTACTTCTTGTTTTACAGATGAGAAAACTGAGGCTCAGAAGGCCTAGATGACATACTCAAGACCATAAAGCTAGAAAGTGGTAGACTGTGGACATGAACCAAGGACTATGCTCCACTAGACCATAGTGCCTCTAACACTGAATCCAATAGGAAAGCCACTAGCCACATGTGGTTGTTTAATTTTAAATTACTTGCGATAAAATAAAATTAAATACTCAGTTCTTCAGTTATGCTAGCCACCCTGCAAGGGCTCAGTAGCCACACGTGGCTAGTGGCTATCTCATTGGACACCACAGATAGAGGTCATTTCCATTATCACAGAAACTTCGAGTGAACAGTGCTGGTCTAAACGCTCTTAAGGTGGGTCCTCCTCAGACTTCTACTTTGGGAAACTGTTATTAGTTTAAGGTAGAGTCTCATAATCTCGGCATGATTGACATTTGGGGCTGCAAAATTCTTTGGTAGGAGGTAGGGAGTGGCTCTTCCTGCTCATCCTTGGATGTTTAGCCGCGTCCCTGGGCCTCTAACCACTAGATGTCAGTAGCATACCTTGGCCCCGGTTTTGACAACCAAAAATGTCTCCAGACATTGCCCAATGTCCCCTGGGGAGCAAAATTATCCCCCACATGCCCCTGCCACCCTCCAGTTGAGGGTCAAGGTAAGTACTATACATGCATTTGAAGTAATAGCATGCAACAGGGGCCTGCAACCCCCAAGCCACAGACCACTACCAGTCTGTAGCCTGTTAGGAACCGGGCCACACAGCAGGAGGTGAGTGGCAGGTGAGGTGAGCACATCCAGCTGTTAAGAGAACAAGTACTTACCTTGACTCAGAAGTACTGGGTCAAGGCAGTACTATATATGCATTTGAAGTAATCAAATGGCAAGCCTTCACTAACTTAACTTGGCCTTCTGAAAGCAAGCCAATTCACTAAAACTAATTTCTTCTAGTGAATTATAAAGTTTATAGCAATTTGAATTGAATGGGCTGTTTTAATAGCTCTTGAAGATTTCATGAAAGAGTAAAACCGTTTAAAGCAGTAGAAGGAGAGTAAAGATGCCAAGAGGGATTACTATAATACATTGTAGGATTCATTCCTCAAATTTGCTATCCACTGACTATAACTATGGAATTGTGAAGGAAGCATAAGAAGCAGATTGGTTTAAAAAGCTAAAAGAATGCTAAAGTAGAAAATCATTAGGAAATGACAAGGGCAATCACATCGCATTTTACATTTTGGTTACTAATTTCCAGAAATAACACACAACAAAAAATTATGGTATATGAGAAACTGATGAAAGAATTCTAAAAATGCTAAAGTTGACACAACTGAAAATGCACTTTCAAAGGATTCAAAAGAAGCTAGTGCACAAAAAATAAGTATATGAGGTGATGGGTATGTTAGTTACCTTGATTTAATCATTCCACAATGTATACATATATCAAAACATCAGGTTGTACACCATAAATATACACAAATATTCCATTGTCAATCAAGAAAATACATAAATTTCTTTAAAGAAACAAATTTAAGCATTCCCATATAATATGCTGAAATTTTGGCTCCTGATGAAATAATATACTTTTCCAGATTGTTCATATATTCCCAAGGAAACCAAACCTCCCTACAACAAGTGGAACATCCCTTAGAATGCTGCTAAAGACCAAATGAAACCTGTCAACTACATCTTTAGAGACATCTCCAAAAGCTTTAAAACCATTTTCTCCTAAATGAATTTTTGCAAAGATTTAAATACTTTATGTTGTAAATAACTGAAAGAAAAAACTTTAGGTGAACTGGTAAATACGGCAAATAATTTATTCAAGAAATTGCCCAAGAGCCAGTTTCCCCCTAACTCCTTACAGAGGGTGAGGCTGGGGGCCTGGGAGAGTATCTCCTCCCTCTGACCCCTACACTGGTACCTGCCACTCCATTGGCACCCATCAATTCTCCTATCGCTCTCATGAATGAAAAGTGCAACTGAGTGAATGCAAGTTAGCAAAATGCGACACCCAGACTGAGCCCCTTGCCAGGAAATTAGAGTTAACAATCTTTCTTCTAAAACTAGGGGGAAAGAAAAAAAAAACAGGAAAGAAGGGAGGGAGAGAAGGAAGTGAAGTGCCACAGGGATCTCTAATGACCACATTAAACACGTCTAATTACAGTGAGGAGTGGAAGTTGGGTCTGATCTGGCAGGCTAAGCTGCAGCTACACATTTCTGGTGCTTTCAAATGGCCTAAATTTGCCTTCCCTAACTGGAAGGTGACATAGAGCCAAATTTCATGTTCATCATTGTTCTCTCCGTGCAGCTAGGTATGCCGCAAGGTCTCGGGTTCCGGAGAACTGGTTGCAGATGCTATGGGAAGATGGGTCCAGGTTGGTAGAGGACACTTCAGGGTTGGCTGTCCTCTAGCATCTGGATTCCAGGGGGCTGCTCAGGGCCAAGAAAGAATGCATGGATCCTCAGAATACCAGCAACTGGACCTCATTACAAGTCAATATTTGTGGCTTCTAATCTCAAATTGTAACCCACACTGCTTCCAGGGTCATCAGGGAAGTTTTGCAGCCAAGGGGAGCAGGCTGACACATAATTTACAATAGTAATTCCCTGGTCAGGTGTCAAGTACCTGTTGCAGAAGCTCTCAGCCTCACTTTCCTGAATCCTGTTCTTGGAGTAGGAGAAGCTGACTAGCATGATGTGAGGGGCCCACTATCCTGGCCAGATCCCCAAGATTACCAGCAATCACTGCAGTGCCACAAAAGCATCCAGGTCCTGTTGAAATACACATTATCAGGAGTTAATCATTAATGTCTACTAACCTATCATCACAGGTCAGTTGGCTAAGAGCTAGCCCTGGGCCACAAGATGGCAATGTGTTAGCCAAGAGGAAGTCCACGGCCTAGAAGGCCAGAGGCCTGGAGAAGACAGGCTTGGAGAGAAGGGCAAAGTTCAGGCCCAGAACGCCTGGGGTGGAAGGGGTACTGAAATCGGAAATGGGTTGTAACAGGAGAGACTGGGGTTGCTAAAAACAAAGTTGCCCTGGGCTAGGCACGGTGGTTCATGCCCGTAATCCCAGGCCAAGGTGAGAGGATCACTTGAGCCCAGGAGTTTGAGACCAGTCTGGGCAACATAGCAAGACCCTGTCTCTATAAAAAGATTTTTTTAAAATTAGCCAGGCCATGGTGGTAGACACCTGTAGTCCCATCTACTTGGGAGGCTGAGGCAGGAGGATCACTTGAGCCCAGGAGTTCAAGGCTGCAGGGAGCTATGATTGTTCCACTGCACTCCAGCCTGGGTGACAGAGTGAGAGACCCTGTTCAAAAACAACAACAACAAAAAGTTGCCTGAGCTCACCATTTTGCCTTAGGCTGAATTGACCTCTGCAGCAGTCCCAGAGAGAGGCCACAGTATCCCACAATGTATGCTTTTGGTCTACTACTCAGATGACAATCTTTCCTCTATCTGAGCTAGACAGCTCTGTGCTGGGAGTCAGGGTACTCAGGAGTCTAATCTTTGTATTGCCACTGACTGTATGACCCAAAGAGAATAGCTAAAAACCTCTGGGGCCCACTTTGTTTACTCTTAAAGTGAAGACATTGTCACCCACCCCACAATTACAGGGTCTTGTCAGATTTTAAAAGTTCTTTTGCTTTGCCTTCATCTCCTTCTATACTTGTGCAATATGGTATCACATAATTTAAGCCTACTGCTATTTTCTCCCTTCTTCCAAAAAGTGTATTCACCAATCTCTTGATAATTCTCCTGTAAACTGCTGTCCTTCTATCTCTATGAAAATAGTAACAGAACTTAATAACTAGTTATCTTGAACAAGATCTATATCTACAGTAACTAGTTTGGAATTTAAAAACCCAAACTGGGTTTTTAAACTAGAGACTCATTTGATTAGAGCAAAGTGCCAATGAGGCTCTTGGCATGGAGTCAAGGCCCACAAGAATATGGATGGCTGCTCTGAACATACCCATTTCCACCACTGGCCAGACATTTCAAACATCTCCACGATGAGAAATGTATATATTTATACATAAAATCTAGACTGCAATTGTATGTGGGAGAGGAGACTGTGAACCAATCCTGTGTTTCTGCCCAAATTTGAATTTCAAGGCCTATTGGGCTTCCTTGAGAAAGTGCAACCCTGCTGATTTGGCCAAGTTGTGATCCTATGAAACCTCCTTGTGTTGGGGGGAGGTGGGGGTGTTAGGGGGATGGAGGGTGCGAGAGTGCCCAAGGTTTACGGGGGAGCAGTGAGTGTTTGAGCCAGCACCATTTCCCTCCCAGTCTTCCTCTCCCACAACACCTGGAGCCTAGGAAAAAGCTCAAAGAAGAGGACCCGACAGTTCCTCCATGTGCTCGCTTCCAAGTGCTCCTACTCTCATTTACATTCTCTCCTACTGAGCTTATGTCCCCATCCTCTACCTCTTGCAAACTGCTGTTTACTGGCCTGGTCACCCCCTAAGAAGGCAAGCTCCTTAAGTGCATCTTCGTTCAGTCAACAAGATTCTTTCAACAAATACTTGTGCCAGACACTGTGCTTGCTTGGCTCCAGGAGGGGAAAGGAAAAGTTTCTCCCAGAGGGAGAAACTAGCTTTGTGCCGAATTGTCAGGGCCAAATGAACCCATGCAACGCTCAGTGATTGGAGACTTGCAATGAGTGAGGTGGGTTTCTGGCTGTGATTCCAAGTTGGAATAGTTAAGGGAAAAGAAGAGTGTTCACTCCATGATTGAAAATTGGCAATAATCATGTACACTCACATACCCACTAATTAACCATATGACTAAATCTATTTTGGTTAATATCTTCTTCCTTTTGGAATTGCTTGCAATACGTAAACATATGCACATACAACATCCAAAAACAACACTGTGGACACATAATAAGAATATACTGCTTGAATATAATACCCCATCAAGTAACTGGGAGACTGCATATTGTACAGCTTGGAATAAGTTTAGAAAATTAAGACAACTCGGAAAATTTAAGGTGATTCTTCTCTACTCATCCATGTTTCCCTCTCTCTTTCCATCCCTCTCTCGGCCTTCCTCTCGTCTCTCTTCCACTTCTTGGCCCCAGTCCCCCATCTCCCTTATCTCCCTACAAGATCATTTATTGTCAGTCATGCTAGCTGCTTGCTGGCTGCTTACTAGTGCCAAAACATCATGTTCTGATATAATTGAACCACATTATTTGACGGAATTATTGCTGTCAGTTATTTGAATGGTGTTACTAATCAATGAAATGAGCCTTGTAAAATCCAGGTTTGTGTGGTGCTTTACTTTGAGATGATGTTGGCTAGGTTTCTTGACACATAGAGAAGCTATAGCTTTGTCCAGTCTCTCTCCCTGGTCTGTCTGTTATATAAACATCACCCTTGTGCAGCTCTCCCTTCTCAGACTTGAGTCATTTCTTACAAACTCTGTCAAAGTCAAGGCTGTAGGAGTGCCACAAAGTACCCCTGCACCAAGTGGTAGGGAATCGCGGTGTGCAGGGCAGGAAGCCCCGGGAATAACTAGGTATTTCCAGGTCAGTCACTGCAGCTGGGCCAAGCTCCCCCTTGGTGCTTCCCTCCTTCTTGCCTTTGTAAGTCAACCAAAGACAACTGCAACAGCCTTGGGAATACGCTCGACTTCCAATCCTGGCCCCTCGGTCCCTGGGGCCCAGGTGAGCCAGGTAGGGGTGCCGGCCAGGAAGGAGAGAAGCGTGAAAGGCAGAGAAGCCTCGAGGCGTCCAGCCGGCCCTCATTTCCCCGCGTAGAGTTGACCTGTCTCTGTGTCCCCCGACCTGCCGAGTCCCAGAAGCTGGGTTGAGGACTCTCCCGCTGCTGAGCTTTCCCACTCACACGCACACGCACACCTGCGCGAGCTCTCCCAGGAGGGCACCGCCCCCAACCAGCGGGGTGCACAGGGGAATGATGTTGCAAGTTCGAGCCCAGAGGTGTCTCGCTGTCCCCCGCCCACCCCCGGGTCATTCCTCGCCGCCCGTTTTTGCGGCGAGAGCACCATTTGGGCGGTTAGGAGCCCCTGCAAGGCCGGCTGGCGTTCTGCCACCCTCCACTCTGTGGTGTCTAGGGGGAGTAGGTCGGCTGCGCCCGCCACTTACTCTGAAATCTTGAGGCAAGCATGAAAGCTAGCCATGGTGCTGCTGAGGGAGCCGCTGGCCGGTTACGTGCCTTGCCTGCTGGGGTGCATGGGAGCCCGCGCTGTGGGCATGCCCTTAGAGGCTGCCACGTGGGGGCAGCTCGGCACTTCAAGCGCCCACCCGCACGCAGCCCCAGACCCACAGGCCGAAGCAATAACCAGCCAGATAAAGTTTCTTCTCCAAGGCCTCTCGCTGTCTTCTGATCTCAGTCCAAAAAGGGCTGGGCTTGTTCCTTACATGGTTAGGAACTGTTAACTCCCCTTTTCCCTCTGTCTCCATCTTCCCGCCACAACAGCATCCTTAGAGCAAAATACCAGATGCTCTTTCTTAGCCTCTCTGTATCCCTGCAGAGCTGAGCGTGAGAAGTAATTTGGAGATGAAACCCTAAGGAAAGAGTAGAGGCTTTTATCCGAGCAGGAAAGGACACTCAAGGGCTTTGGGAAGGCGATGTAAATAAATCGCTTTCTGGCATTTTAGATGGTGTGGGATGGAGGGAGAGGGGAGCAGAGGGGAGAAGAGAGAGGTCAGGGAAGAAAGAAAATTTAAGTAGCAAGGCTGCAAGCATTCCCATCTAGATGTGAACACTGTTTTTGAGGTGTTCTAAGCTGTTCTTGTTCAGTCTTAAGGAAAACTATTTACTCCCTAAGCCAGTCTGGGGCCATGAACCAAAAAAGCAAGAATTTCCTTAAATTTGTGAAATCTTTTCTGCCCTCGAGATGAAAGTCCCTACCAAAGGTTGTGTGTACACGGGGAACCCCAATTATAACATGGCTTACATTACATGGATTCAGAGATGTTGCAGATCAGATTGTGTCCACAGAAAACCAAAAGAACTGGAGACAGAGACAACGAGCAAAAGTGTGACCTAATGTTGACTGCCTGGAAGACCCAGTAGGGCACCTTTCCCAATCTCAGTCCCATAAAGAGGTGTGTGTCCCTACCTTGGCCTCTGAGATGCACAGATCTGAAATATTTTGATTTTTTAAAAGTGCCTAGTGGGAGTGCGACACGCAAAACAAATGCAGATGCAGGCTTTTGGCTTTTTAAAATGACTTTTGAGGAATCAAGAGTTTCAAAAGATTGTGATTTCTCCTGTGCATGTATTCATGAGGGGCATTAAACACTGTCTAGCTGGGCCTAATCTGACAGGCTTTCCAAATTGGGTTTGTCCAAATAAGAATAAGAAGAAAGAAGAAATTTAGCTGGGGTCCCTTCAGGGGGTCTTCGCAAGTCTGGTAGCGGAGGCCTGTTTTTCCTTTCAGTCTGAAATAGGCAACACCCTGCTTCTGGAATTTCACTGGGTGGGTAGGCTGGGGTCTCTGGACAGGGCAGTACATGTGACCCTCTCTTATTAACTTTGGGGAAAAGGAACATAACTGAGCAAGAACTAGATTTATGTTGCAGATGCTAAAGTCTGACCTGTGGCTAGAATTTCTAGCTAGAATTCCTTTCTAAGTCAAATTTGTGGTTAGTTCTCCATTATTCATATGTGGCTTTGCTTACCCACTTAGTACATTTCCTGTAATTGTGTTTTTAATCAAAGAATAACTTCTGGAATACCTACACCGGTTGTAATGTCAGCAGGCTGTTAAGAAAGACCAATTTTAATATTGGCCAGAAAAGAAGCTAATTAGAAAGGCAAATCTATATCATTCCCTTCCCACCCAAAAAGAACACACTTTGAAAAACATGAGCTTTGGTGTTTGGATAATGCATGCTTTGTGATTCTCTGCCTAACTCCTTCCTTCCATTACTTCAAATAATCAGAAGTAGAGAGTCCACAGAAAATCCATCTTATAACCCCCAAACTGCATTGATGGCTCCTTCTACTGAAATCTCATATCACCTGTGGTCAAGGCTCTGGGGTCAGAGTTGTGTTCAAATTCTGACTCTGGTTAAGTTTCTGAGGTGCGGTAACTGCATTGTGATTGTGTAGGAAAATGTCTTTGTTCTTAGGAGATACATGCTGAAGTATTTAGAAAGGAAGTGTAATGATATCTGCAATTTATGCTCAATTAGGTCAGAAAAAATGCATAGGAGTGAGTTTGTGTGTGTGTGTGTGTAGTGAGAGAGAGAGAATGATGAAGCAAATGTGGTAAAATGTTAATAGTTGGTGAATGTAGGTGAGGCATATACGGGTCTTCATTACAGTATTCTTCAACTTACCTGTAATTCTGAAGTGTTTTCAAAATAAAAAGTTGGGAATGAGATGTTAGCTCTGCCTGCCTTTACCAACTGCCTTACAGCAAATTATTTACTCTCTTAAACCTGAGTTCCCTTGGCTCAAAAGTAGAGATATTAATAGAACCCATCTCAAAGGGTTGTTATGAGGATTAAAATGAGATAATAAGTGTGATGCCTTTAGCATAGTGCCTGTCCCTTAGGAAGGTCTCAATAACTGATAGGAATTGCTATTATCATACCATTCCATTCCACATCTTATTATATACTGTCTTTTGTTGTCCTCGTGGTGTTTCAAATGCACATAACTTTTCTCCTTAACTTAGATTAGAAGTCTCCAGAGGAAAAAAACACATTTCTTACATTTTCTTTTCTTTTCTTTCTTTCTTTTTTTTTTTTGAGATGGAGTTTCACTCTGTCACCCAGGTGGAGTGCAGTGGTGTGATCTCCACTCACTGCAACCTCTGCCTCCAGGGTTCAAGTGATTCTTGTGCCTCAGCCTCCCAAGTAACTGGGATTACAGGCATGCACCACCACACCCGGCTAATTTTTGTATTTTTTGTTGGGACGGAGTTTCACCATGTTGGCCAGGCTGGTCTCGAACTCCTGGCCTCAAGTGATCCACCTGCCTTAGCCTCCCAAAGTGCACATTTTTTTCTTATATCTGCCCATGGTACAGTGCTGAGTGAATCATAGGTAGTGAATAAAACACCTTGTTGAGGGACTTTGTGGTTACTGTTCTGAGGGATCTGTGGTCATAGCATTGACTTGAAAATGACCACATGCCCAAAAGCCAGTCATTAGGACAGACCAGTAGAAGAAAATGTTAGAATAACACGGTGGGAGCTGGATAAGGCTGGATAAGAAGACAGGACTACAAAAACAAAAACAACTATTTGGGGAATAGTTTTTTTTTTTTTTAAGCTCTGGGTTTTGGAAAGTGTTCATCCTTTGTAAATCCCAAGAGGGCATACATTCCATTACTTGGCATTCCGGATGCGTATAACCTCTACTAAGAAAGTTGGGCACATTCTTAAGATGCTGGCCCAATAACGTAGATTTCCAGGTGCAGCATAGCTCAGCCACTTGCTTCCAGCAAAAGATAAAGTACAAACACCATGAGTGAATCCCCCCAAACCGCAGTTCCTAGATAAATGCCTCCATTGCTTTGGGGGGAATCTGATCTTCCTAGCTCTAAGAATGATTCCAGTGAGTCTAAAACATGCAGGATAAATTTAACTGAAACCTTCAGGGCTGATTCAGAAACTCTACCAGGCTTTTTAAACATGCGGCTCTGGAAAAATCTCTATAATCGGCCAGGTGCAGCAGCTCATGCCTGTAACCCCAGCACTTTGGGAGGCTGAGGCGGGTGGATCACTTGAGGTCAGGAGTTCGAGACCAGACTGGCCAACATGGTGAAACCCGCTTTCTACTAAAAGTACAAAAAATTAGCCAGGCATGGTGGCTGGCACCTGTAGTCCCAGGTGCTTGGGAGGCTGAGGCATGAGAATCTCTTGAACCTGGGAGGCGGAGGTTGCAGTGAGCAGAGATTGCACTCCTGCACTCCAGCCTGGGTGACAGAGCAAGACTCCGTCTGGAAAAAAAAAAAAGAAAAGAAAAGAAAAGAAAAAAGGAAAATCTCTATAATCAGTAGATCCAGAAACGGAGAATAGTGAAACGTCCTTACTTCTGAACAGGGGCAAACCATTCCAGAAGGTCGCTCTCAGTCTCTGTCTCTCCTCCCCTTCCTTTGGCTCATGTCTCCCTGCTTTCTCTTTCCCAATCCCCTCAGCCCACCTCCTGAGGCTCACTGAATGAGCTCCCACTAAAGGCTGGCAAAGGTGTGGGTGGGTTTAAGGGTGAGAAATGAGAGAGACAAAGCGGTTTAGTGTCTAAATCCATGTGACCCTGCTGATTAGAGCATCTCAGATGGAGTGACATCTCACGAAGCCCAGGAGGCTGAGTTAGAGATCTGAGTTATGGCTTCTATGGAGCCATTTCACCAGGCTTCTCAGAGTGCCTTGAGAATATCTGCCCTCACAACGCTCTAGGGAGGCTGGGGGCAAGTGGGACCACCAGATCCAGAGTTGTCCTTAAGGGAGCTAGGCTGGAGGAAAGTACACTTGGCAGGGCAGGGACCTCCCCCAGCCCTCCCCCAACATTTGTAAACAGGCCAAGTCTGACATAAATTCACATTATGGGCAAAAAAGTAGGGTGGAGGAGAGCCAACAAGATACTATGGTGGGTTAGGGGGAGGAGAGGATGCCTTCTAGGGAGGAATGCTTACATAATGATGCTTATATAGGCATTTGCTAATGGCAGTTATCAGTCCTGACTACTTCTTCCTCCCCCTCTTCCCATTCCTCCTCCTCTCCCATCAGGCAGTATTCAGAGTCATTGGACATCTCTTGGCTGGGGTTGGAGTAGTGGGGGAGGACAACCAGAAAAGTCACCATGACTCACCACACTCCTGGCTCGTTCTTGTAGTGGAGGAGATTTAGAGGAAGTCTGTATAGTATAGAATGTCTACAGTACAGTTTTATTACTTTCGGGCTATATATCCAATAACACAACACAAACTTGGCTCTAGGTGTGGTCCTAGGGGATCTGCCTGACTGAGCAGAGATGAGTGGAGTTTGTAACTAGACATTGCGCAATGTTTCTAAACACACACCTGTCCATCCACCTGCCCGCTTGTTTGCCTGTATTTCAGATTGTCCCCTTCAGGAGTGGAAACTGGAACTCAGATGGGGTCAATGATGCTATCAGTAAAGGTGCAAGGATGTGGAAGGCCCTTGCCAGTTTCTTGCTGGATGCCTTCATCTCCTTTCTCCCGGCTGCACAAAACTCTAAAATAATTCGCTCCACTCCCTCCAGCTCTCTGGTCCTCAGGAGCCTGAAAATGGAACAGTGCTCAGGAAGGAGGAGGAACCCAATTTTTTTCCCTCACCTCCAGCCATGGCCAAAGTCACAGTCTCCAACCTGAAAATCCCCAGCAGGGAGAAAACACACACATTTATCACTCACACTTCACTTAGCCCAGAGCTTGGAGGGGTGAGACACTGCCCCCACATGCAGCCTTATCCAAAGCCTGCACGCATCCCCTCCCCTCAACATCAGCCAAGGGAGCAAGGGCCCAGCCAGGTATGCCACCCCCATTGGAGGAGGGACACTTGCTTGGCATAGTAAATGGCATTTTTACCATCTAGCCAGGCAGAGAATTCTTCTGCCTTCCTTGGCCAGGCAGCTGAGAGGAAAGCAACCCCCTGGGACTGGAATCAGTGATTCACACTGGCTTACCCAAACAGCCTCCTGCTGTCATTTTCTTTCCTTCCTTCCTTCCTTAATATCCTGGAGAAGGAGTTTTCAGTACTTCCTCCTGGGCTGCTGACATCCTGAGCTGAGTGACTGGTCAATGGGAAAAGCAGAGGCATGTAGCCAGGGTACCTGGCCTCCAAGAACTTCCCCAAAAGACAAAGAAAAAAAATGGCTGGAAAATTCTAATGGTAGACAAGGTATAAAATGATGAAACATGAAAACCCATCTCTACCCTTCACCACCACCATGTCCCTACCTACTTCTTGGTTTCCTTCCAGGAAACAAAAGAGCCGTGTGTGTGCGTGTGTGTGTGTGTGTGTGTGTACCTACATGTATGTATATATACACACACATATGTATATATACATATGTATGTACATACATACGCATATGTGTGCATATAAATGTATGTATATGTTAAGTGTATGTGTATATATAAGTTATCACTATACATATATATTTGTTATCACTATACATATACATATATAAGTTATCACTATATATATATATATATATATATATATATATATATATATATATATATATATCTTTGCTATCTTAGCAATCTCTTCCTCACAGGCCAAGGTGTTCCTCATACTTTGATAACTGCAGCCTCTCGAATGATCCTTGGGAAGGAAAATTTGAGAACAGATACATTGGCTTCTCTCTTATACTCAGCCCCAAAGTCTCTGTCCTGCTTCCTTAGCATCTCAGAGCCTTGCTGTGTGCCTGGTGACAACAGCTGGTAATAGTAATCAAGCCAAAGAATCGATGCATTATTTGTCTCAAAACACAAAGAGCCTAGGCCTGCGGAGAGGGTACCCAAAAGTGGTGTTAATGGCAGGAGGTTCGAGTATCATGCTGAGTACAGTGCAGAGGCTATTTGAGTTGAAGTGGGGTGGGGGAAAGAAAGGTGTAGATTTTCAGGCCACCCCCTACATGCCACCTACTCAATTACTGAATTGAACTGCCCTGCTGAATTACTGCCATCCTCAAGATGACTTAGCATTTATACTTCAATGTTCACCTACACAAGGGACCCAAGAAAAGGGGATAAACAGAGGAACAGAAAGGGCTTTTCTTTTTAAATTAAACTTTTTATTTTGAGGTAGGTTCACATGCAGTTAGTTCACATGTAAATTGTAAGTTATCACAAGTTGTAAGAGAGATCCCACATACCCTTTACCCAGTTTCCCCCAATGGTAACATATCATTAATATAAAACTTAGTATAATATTAAAACCAGAATATTAACATCAATACAGTCAAGATGCAGAACGTTCCATCACTACAGGGATCCCTCATGTTGCCCTTTTATAGCCACACCTATTTCCCTCATTCCTTTTCTTTAACCCCTGGAAGTCACTTATCTTCATTTCTATACTTCCTTCATTTTCATTTGACATGTTATATAATGGAATCATGTAATATGTAAAGTTTTGGGATTGGCTTTTTTTAACTTAACATAATTCTCTGGAGATTAATCCACATCATTCTATGTATCAATACTTCATTCTTATTTTGTCATTGAGTGTCCATGGTATGGATGTATCACAGTGTGCTTAACCATTCACCAATGAGGCACAGCTGAGTTCTTTACAGCCAGTCTCCATCCAGATGGGAGATATATTTCCTTGAAAATTCATGAAAAGAATGTCAAACCTCCCGGTATCCAAGGTGAAAGCAGAGCCCAAGAGCACACATAGCAGCTATGTGCCCACAGACTGCTGAGGCTCAAAACCTGACAGTTCACCCAAAGCTCTGGGCCCTGCTTCTGCCCAGCAGGGCACTGAGGCTAATGGGTGCTTTCATAAAGGGGTATGGGAGGGAGGCAGGCGTCTTATTCAGAAACTTGAATCTGGACTTCAAAGCAACTAAAGAAATGAAATGGCAACCGAATCCCAGGGGAGTGGGGGAGCAGAACTTCTGCCAAATCTGAAATCTCTTGCATTTTTTTTTCTGACCTTTTGGGCAAGATGGGGGAGGAGGAGTCACTCCTAAATGACTTCCTACAGGGCCTATAGGGAGATATATGGTTTCTCTCAGCAGTGGTTACCTCTGGAATGAGAATTCAGGGTGGGCAGGATCTTTCCTTTTTAAATTAATGTAGTTATGAACCAGATCGTTTTTTCCCACAATGAGTATATATTCTACTTTTGTCATCATAGAAACAACTAATTTTAAAAAGTCATGGTAGGGTGTGGCATGGGGGAATGAAAACAACTGATTGGCTGCAAAGGTGTTCTGAATGGAGGGTCCCAGTTGAAAAATGTCTTGGGCATTCCTTCACTCCTGCTTTTATTTATTTATTTATTTATTTTACTTTTTACTTTTTTGTGATTAAAATAAAACTTTTTAATGAGATATTTTGCATTTGCATTTTCTCACAAGTCTTTAAAATGGTTATTTTACATGTAATTTTTTATTTTTAAGTCTTGGGGGTACTTAGTAGGTGTATATATTCATAGGGTACATGACATATTTTGATACAGGCAGGCAATACCATCACATCATGGAGAATGGGGTATCCATTCCCTCAAGCATTTATCCTTTGGTTACTAAATCCAATTATATTCTTGTTATTTTAAAATGTCAATTAAATTATTATTGACTATAGTTGCCCTGTTGTGCTATCAAATACTAGGTCTTATTCATTCTTTCTATTTTTTTGGTACCCATTAACCACCCCCACCTCTCCCCCAGCTCCTCACTACTCTTCCTAACATCTGGTAACCATCCTTCTACTCTCTATGTCCCTGACTTTGTTTTGATTTTTAGATCCCACAAATAAGTGGGAACATGTGATTTATTTGTCTATCTGTTTATCTATCTATCTATCTATCTATCTATCTATCTATCTAGTTATTTATTTATTTTAGAAACAAGATCTTGCTCTGTTTCCCAGGCTACAGTGTAGTGGTGCAAACTTAACTCACTGCAGCCTCAACCTCCTGGGTTGAAGCAATCCTCCCACCTCAGCCTCCAGAGTAGCCAGGCCTACAGGTGCACGCCACCACATCCAGCTAATTTTCTTTTTTGAAATGTTTTGTAGAGACAAGGTCTTGTGATGGTGCCCAGGCTGGTCTCGAGCTCCTGGCCTCAAGCAATCTTCTCGCCTAAGCTTCCCAAATTGCTAGTGCTACAATTTGGACCACCGTGTGTAGCCCCACCCCATTTAATTTTGGGGGCACCCACTCTTTAATGCCCTCCTCCAACCCCCAGCTTAGTCTCAGTAGACTGAACATAGCTTCAGGACCTCAGACACCGTGCCCCCTGTCCCCTCCAAACACAATGTTTTATCTGGACTCTGCTCCCACATGCAGGAAACTGCTTTCTGATGCATGATGATGAAAAGCATATATGGGTCAATCAGAATCAGTCAGATTATGAAAACCCTGTTGGAGCCAATGTGAAAAATCTCCAGAAACACAGTACCATCAACCCGTGGGGAAAGACATAAGGACCTCAGGAAATTCTTTCATTTTTTTCTAATGCTGATAATGAATATTTCAGCCACAGCAGTAGGTTTCTCAGTTAGGACAGTTTGACTGGACAATGGCCAGGACCATCTATGACAGTAAGATTCTGACCCACAACCTCTACATCCACCAGCCAGGAAACCAAACCACAGTCTCTCAGCAATCACTCCAGAGCAGTCAGGACATGGTCAATCTCACATCCCAGATTTACTATCTTTGCCACTGTCCCTTCCACTTCCAACTCAGGAATAACCAGAGAAAGTGAAATAGGTCCCGCACACCAATCATGTAGGATGCCTTGTTTCTAGTTAAACTGGTCCAGTTTTCCCTTGCCAACAGCCTCCAATCAGGGCATATGTTTAGCCTTCCCTTTTTTCACTATAAAGCTTTGCCACCCCCTGCCTGCCTTTGAGTCTCTGCCAACCCAAATTGTGGTGGCTGACCCCTTTGCTATAGCAAGCTCCGGATAAATACCCTCTTTTGTTCTTGTTTGGGTGATCTTTGTTTATTCTACAATGTCCTACCACATAGCTGGGTTCTTGCTCCAGCCTGCTACCTGCCACTGGCCAGGGCTGCCCACAATGTCCACACTGGCACACTTGAACTGTTCCAACCACATTGAAATCGAGCACTTTCATGATTAAGTACTGTCCCCACAGTTGCTACCGCCTTTTGGCAACTTGGTAGCTTGGTGTAGTGATAAAAAATATTAATATTGAAGCCAGAAACTCCAGCATTTATTAGCTGCATGACTTCAGGCATGTTACTTACCCTCATTACCACATCTGTCAGGTGGAGGGAATAATGTCCTCTGGATCTCTTTTGTAGAACTGTTGCTGCATCTTGGAGGGAGGCAGCCTTGACCTAGAGAGGTATCTAAATGTTTGGGTCCCGGTCCCTCAAAGCAGTGGTTTTAGCCAAGCGCTCACTGCTAAGCAGTGGGATAAGAAGGGAAAACTTAACAATCCTCAAAGCCTTCATGTGGGAAGTATGGATCAGGCTTTGGCCCAAGTCACTGAGAGGTTATCATACCTGGCTTTTCCTGCTCTTCTGGCCCACGGCCAGGGAAAAGAATGCCTGTCCTTCTGATGGGCTTGCAAAAAGATTTATTGAGGAATGAATGAAAAGGTCCAAGAGTCTTTGTTTTCTTCTTATTTAGCCACACATCGGGGCTTTTGGAAAGCCACTTAATCTTCCTGAGTCTCAGTTTCCCCATCTGTAAAATAGTAAAATAACCTCCACCCTTCCTGAATGACTAGATCATTATGAAGATGTGATGGAATAATGTATGTGAAGGTATGTTTAATTTTTTTAAGTGTTATACAGTTGCAAGTAACGATTCTTAGGGGACATATATTTACAATGGAAGTCTTGGCAAAGAGAGGCCAAATGAGGAAGGCGAAGGTTCTTCACGTTTTGGAGCTGGGCTCCAAGTTCAACCCCAAGGGCCCTGCCCCTTGCAAAGGACTCTCCCTGACTCCTCGTGATCCTAGAGTGCCCCAGAAGTGGCTTTTCCATGTCAATGAGCCCTCATTCTTTTCAGAGAATGCTCAGAAATGAAAACCCTCTCTTGCGTCTCTCATACACAGCACTTAACAGTCTACAGGCCTTCCTCCTATCCTGGCTCCTCACAGAAGCCAGGTTTTAAAGCTGGGTTGTTTGGTGACATCTCTGTTCTAGAACATGCTGCCTGTATGGCCTTAGGCAAATTACGTACTCTCTGTAACCCAGTTTCCCCATTTGTAAAATAAACATGAAAATGAAGTAGTACCTACTTCACGGTATTGTTGGGAAGATTAAGTGAGCTGATATGTGTAAACACTTAACAGTGCCTGGCACTTAGTAGGTGCTTGATAAAGGTTAGTTACTGTTATTTTCGGGCAGGGCAGGGTATGCTATCCCCATTTTAGTCAACTGTAGAACTAGGATCAAAACTGGGACCCTTATTCTAAGAAAAGTCATTTTTTTTTTGTCACTCTATCGCCCAGGCTGGAGTGCAGTGGTGCAATCACAGCTCACTGCAGCCTTGACCTCCTAGACTCAAGCAATCCCTCCACCTCAGCCTCCCAAGTAGCTGGGATCACAGACACATGCCACCATGTCAGGCTAATTTTTTGTAGAGACGGGGTTTCACCATGTTGTCCAGGCTGGTCTTGAACTCTTAGGCTCAGGCGATCCACCCACCTCGACTTCCCAAAGTGCTGGGATTAGAGGCTTGAGTCACTGTGCCCAGCCTTAAGAAAAGTCATTCTATAAAACTGAGAGCACTCAAGGAATACAAGAAAATATTAATATTTGCAAACCATACATCAGATAAGGGATTCATATTAGAATATATGAAGAAAACATCAACAACAAAACAACTCAGTTAAAAAACAGGCAAAAAACCTGAATAGTCATTTCCCCAAAGAATAGACAAATGAAAAGATAACAATCACTAATCATCAGGGAAATGCAAATGAAAACCACAATGAGATATTACTCAGACCCATTAAGATGGATACTTTTTTTTTTTTTTTGAGACAGAGTCTCCCTCTTTCGCCCAGGCCAGACTGCAGTGGTGTTATCTCGGCTCACTGCAAGCTCCGCCTCCCAGGTTCACGCCATTCTCCTGCCTCAGCCTCCCGAATAGCTGGGACTACAGGCGTCCGCCACCACGCCCGGCTAATTTTTTGTAATTTTAGTAGAGACGGGGCTTCACCGTGTTAGCCAGGATGGTCTCGATCTCCTGACCTCGTGATCCACCTGCCTCGGCCTCCCAAAGTGCTGGGATTACAGGCATGAGCCACTGCGCCGAGCCCTGGATACCATTTCAAAAATGGAAAATATTAAGTATTGGTGAGGATGTGGAAAAATTGGAACTCTTGTACACTGTTAGTGGGAATGCAAAATGGTGCAACTACTATCAAGAGCAATACAGTGGTTCCTCACAAAATTAAATAGAGAATTACTTCACAATCCAGAATTCTAATTCTGGCCATATACTCTAAAGAATTGAGGCCAGGTGCGGCGGCTCACGCCTGTGGTCCCAGCACTTTGGGAGGCCGAGGCAGGCAGATCACGAGGTCAGGAGATTAAGACCATCCTGGCTAACATGGTGAAACCCCATCTCTACTAAAAATTAAAAAAAAAATAGCTGGGCGTGGTGGTGGGCACCTGTAGTCCCAGCTACTCGGGAGGCTGACGCAGGAGAATGGAGTGAACCCAGGAGGCGGAACTTGCAGTGAGCCGAGATCGTGCCAGTGCACTCCAGCCTGGGCGACAGAGAGACTCTGTCTCAAAAAAAAAAAAAGAAAACAAAAACAAAAACAAAAGAAAACAAAACAAAAAAAAATAGAATGGAAAGCAGGGACTTGAAGAGATATTTGTGCACCCATGTTCACAGCATTATTCACAATAGCAACTGAAATGTTCATCAATGGATAAATGGATAAACAAATGTGGTATATACACATGATAGAATATTATTCAGTCTTGGGAAGGAAATTCTGACACGTACTACAAAATCAATGAACGTTGAAAGCATGCTAAGTGAAATAAGCCAGTCACAAAAAGACAAATATTGTATGAATCCACTTGTTTGAGGTACCTAGAGTGCTCAAATTCATAGACACAGCAAGTAGAATGGTGGTTGCTAGGGGTTGTAGGGGTCAGGGGGAATGTGGAGTTACCATTTAATGTTACAGTTTCAGTTTTGTGAGATGAAATGAGTTCCATAGATGGATGGCAATGATGGTAGCTCAATAATGTGAATGTAGTTAATGCCACTAAATTGTACACTTTTAAATGGTTCAGATGGTAAACACTATATGTATTTTACCACAGGCTTAAATTTGTTTAAATTTTAAAATTAGTACAGTGGCTGGAGAGGATATAGAGACATGGTATAAAAGAAAGATCAGAATTGGGAAAATGCTACTAGAGGAATAGTGCCAGACCTTTTCCCAGCATGCCACAGTTCCCATTATCTAGTTAGGCTCTTTCCAGCCTAATGATTTCTGCTCAATTTCAGAAGGACTTTTCCCTTTGGAATCCAAGAAAGTAGGAAATGAGGTTTACTTATATGTTAATACACTACATATGTTCAAAGAAGGAAAACAACTCTTTTCTTTCCTAAGTAGCAATTGCTCCTCAAACAGTATGACATTTTCAAAAGGAACTTGATCAAGAACATCACCACTCCTATTCAACATAGTGTTGGAAGTTCTGGCCAGGGTAATTAGGCAGGAGAAGGAAATAAAGGGTATTCAATTAGGAAAAGAGGAAGCCAAATTGTCCCTGTTTGCAGATGACATGATTGTATATCTAGAAAACCCCACTGTCTCAGCCCAAAATCTCCTTAAGCTGATAAGCAACTTCAGCAAAGTCTCAGGATACAAAATCAATGTACAAAAATCGCAAGCATTCTTATACACCAATAGCAGACAAACAGAGAGCCAAATCATGAGTGAACTCCCATTCACAATTGCTTTAAAGAGAATAAAATACCTAGGAATCCAACTTACAAGGGACGTGGAGGACCTTCTCAAGGAGAACTACAAACCACTACTCAATGAAATAAAAGAGGATACAAACAAATGGAAGAACATTCCATGCTCATGGGTAGGAAGAATCAATATCGTGAAAATGGCCATACTGCCCAAGGTAATTTATAGATTCAATGCCATCCCCATCAAGCTACCAATGACTTTCTTCACAGAATTGGAAAAAACTACTTTAAAGTTCATATGGAACCAAAAAAGAGCCCACATCGCCAAGTCAATCCTAAGCCAAAAAAACAAAGCTGGAGGCATCATGCTACCTGTCTTCAAACTATACTACAAGGCTACAGTAACCAAAAGAGCATGGTACTGGTACCAAAACAGAGATATAGATCAATGGAACAGAACAGAGCCCTCAGACATAACGCCGCATATCTACAACTATCTGATCTTTGACAAACCAGAGAAAAACAAGCAATGGGGAAAGGATTCCCTATTTAATAAATGGTGCTGGGAAAACTGGCTAGCCATATGTAGAAAGCTGAAACTGGATCCCTTCCTTATACCTTATACAAAAATTCATTCAAGATGGATTAAAGACTTAAATGTTAGACCTAAAACCATAAAAACCCTAGAAGAAAACCTAGGCATTACCATTCAGGACATAGGCTTGGGCAAGGACTTCATGTCTAAAATACCAAAAGCAATGGCAACAAAAGCCAAAATTGACAAATGGGATCTAATTAAACTAAAGAGCTTCTACACAGCAAAAGAAACTACCATCAGAGTGAACAGGCAACCTACAAAATGGGAGAAAATTTTCGCAACCTACTCATCTGACAAAGGGCTAATATCCAGAATCTACAATGAACTCAAACAAATTTACAAGAAAAAAACAAACAACCCCATCAAAAAGTGGGCGAAGGACATGAACAGACACTTCTCAAAAGAAGACATTTATGCAGCCAAAAAACACATGAAACAATGCTCACCATCACTGGCCATCAGAGAAATGCAAATCAAAACCACAATGAGATACCATCTCACACCAGTTAGAATGGCAATCATTAAAAAGTCAGGAAACAACAGGTGCTGGAGAGGATGTGGAGAAATAGGAACACTTTTACACTGTTGGTGGGACTGTAAACCAGTTCAACCATTGTGGAAGTCAGTGTGGCGATTCCTCAGGGATCTAGAACTAGAAATACCATTTGACCCAGCCATCCCATTACTGGGTATATACCCAAAGGACTATAAATCATGCTGCTATAAAGACACATGCACACGTATGTTTATTGTGGCACTACTCACAATAGCAAAGACTTGGAACCAACCCAAATGTCCAACAATGATAGACTGGATTAAGAAAATGTGGCACATATACACCATGGAATACTATGCAGCCATAAAAAATGATGAGTTCATGTCCTTTGTAGGGACATGGATGAAATTGGAAATCATCATTCTCAGTAAACTATTGCAAGGACAAAAAACCAAACACCGCATGTTCTCACTCATAGGTGGGAATTGAACAATGAGAACACATGGACACAGGAAGGGGAACATCACACTCTGGGGACTGTTGTGGGGTGGGGGGAGGTGGGGAGAGATAGCATTAGGAGATATACCTAATGCTAAATGACGAGTTAATGGGTGCAGCACACCAGCATGGCACATGTATACACGTGTAACTAACCTGCACAATGTGCACATGTACCCTAAAACTTAAAGTATAATAATAATAAAATAAAAAAAGAAAAAAAAAGAATACATATAGGATAATTACAATTTTCTAAAACATCCTCTCTGTGGAAAAAAGATTGGAAGAAAAAATGTCAAAAATGTTATGTGATTGTCCTTAGGCTGCTGAAAGATGGGTTTCAAATATTTTAATTTTTCATTCTATTTTAAAATTTTCCTATAATGAAATGTATTACTTTTGGAATGGAAAAAATGCTTTAAAACCGCCCCCCCCCAAAAAAAAGACAAAAAACAGATTTCTCCATGTACCTGATACAAAATGATCAGTAGTCATTTGAAAAACATGACTGAACACTTACTCCGTTACAATGTTCTGGCGCATTTTACATGGGAAATAAAGTATTGTGTTTTGATTAAAAAAAAAAAAAAAAGCTTCCCATAGCTTTTAAGGTTAAGACCAAACTTCTCAGCGGACTCCTTAAAGGTCTGTCATGATCTGGCCTTGGAAGCCTGCTGACTTTGCCAGCCTCAGCTATCACCCTGCTTTTCCTTGATCCTCTGTTCTACCACATTGGTCTTCTTGCAGGCCCTCCATGCAGCCTTTGCACATACAGTTCCCTCTGCCAGAAATACCCTTCCTTCCACTCTTTGCCTAGTTAAAGTCTACTCATCCCTCAGGTCTCAGCAAAATCTTCACTGCCTCGAGGAAACCCTCCCTGATCTCCTGAAAAGTCAGAACATCCCTATTATGTGTTCTCATAGCATTTACCTCTCCTTTCTAGAATTTTTCACAATTGTATTTTAACATTCATTTCTTGATAATGTACTTAATGTCTTACTCGCCAACTAGTCTATACGTTCCATGGGGGCCAGGACCATGTGTGGTTTCGTTCATCAGTAGGGCCAGCACAGTGCCTGGCCATAGTAGAGTGCTTAATAAATATTTGTTGAATGAATTAAAGAATTAATGGCAAACAAAAGGAAATAATTTTTAAGATGAAACTGATAGACAGTCAAGTTTCCAAAGTACAGAGATATCTGATCTTAAAAATCCCTAATAAAAGTATTGGGGTGTTTCTCTGTGTCTTGAAGCTCCTCAAAGCCCCTTCTCTTGAAATGATTATATTCTGATTAAATGGGACAGGTTCATAGGAACTGTATCTATTTCCCTCCCTCCATATCCCAACTTACCTGCCAGTTTTATAGCTCTTGAGTGCACCAGCTCCATGCATCAGAGGCACATTCTGCTGATGCCCATCCAGCCCTGTTCGCCACTCCCTTAACCCAGTAGGCATAATGCATGATCCAGAATCAGTGTAGCTACAGCAAGAGGATGGCAGTTCCTCTGAGCTCCCCACTAAGGGCTAACAAGGCTAGAGGCCAGGGATGGATGGCGAAGTCCTGGGTACCTGGAATGCAAAAAGCTCAGGGTGACGGGCAAAGCCTCAGGGCTGGGGAGGAGGGAAAGAAGCACCCAGTTACCCACTCTGGAGTCGAGTCAAAGAATACATACCTGCTGCTATCCACCTATCCCCTAAGCCCTGTCTAACTGGAGTCAGGAAGGAACTGTCAACAGATTCCAGATGGGAGTCAGGAAGATATTTTTCCTCCAGAACTTGGCACTTCTGTTCATCTGCAGAGATTAATACAGACTAGCAGAAAGGATTGCCTCCTGATTTATGAGGACTCTATGACAAGGTAGTCTGGGAGCCAGGAGAGGTGGGATTCCAACCCCCACGTCCTTATGTCTGGAGAGCCACATTTTTGTGGGAGGAAATGCAAAGTCAATTAATTTTTGACACCATGTAAAAAACTGGTATTTCCTGACCCAACACCAGGGCAGCTAGAAGTTTATAAATGAAGACTCTATGGTTCCTTTGTTTGAAAATATGTAAGTTGTTGTTGGAATAAAGCAGCTTTAGTTCTTTATTGGAAATATTCTGTGTTGGGTAAATAGAAGCCAGAAGCATGTTCCACTGACGGTATGACTTCAGCATGGGCAGGCTAATGAAATGTACACTGTCAGCCTGGGCTGCAGAGGCACATGGCAAGAGCAAGCTGCACATTGTTGCCAGAGTCAAAGGAAGCCCACAGAGTAGGTGGAATCAAAACAAAACTTCCCAAACTTTGCTGACGTGTGCCTTGGACAAGGTGGCTTTGTGACTGTGCCTGGCCTGATTCTTCTCTGTGCTTGACCTCTCAGTCAGCACCTCTAGGACTTTGCTCATGCTGGTCTTCAGCCTCTCCTGCCCCACTAACTGGGATGTCAGGGACCCTAACCTGGGCAGGTCCCCACTTTTCTTTTGCTATGTTTCTTCATCTAGGAAATGAGAAGTTTGGACCAGAATCTAGTAACCAGATGTTCTCTCTGGTGCCTCCAATTCCTCACCCCATCTGTCTCTCTTCCTTCTAGGTGGGTAAACAGCTAACATCTCCTCCAGGAAGCCTTGCCACCTTATAAATTCTATCTGGCCCTACACTGCATAATCACACTCAAGTCATTTCATGGGTGCACAAGCCAGATAGGTCTTTGGATACGGGAACCATGCTTTCTAGTTCTTTTGTCTCACACCCCATCTTCAACATGTAGTGGAGTTTTCTTTGTAAAACTAGTATGCAATCCAGGCTGCTGACTGACTAGCTGAGTAATCAGGTGGTTACTTACCAAAGATAAAAGAAAATTAGAAGAATTTTTGAAAGAAAAGCAATAAAAATGAGAGTTAAATGGCATCAAGTATGGTTGAGAACAGGGATTCTAGAGTCAGTCAGCTGCAGGCTTAAAACCCAGCTTTACTGAGTACTAACTCTGGGTTCTTGAGCAAGTCACTCACATTCCACGTGCCTTAGTTTTCTCATCTATAAAAACAGGGATAATAATAGTCCTACCTTAGGGCTGTTACCAAGTTTCAGTGAGATCTTGCATGAAAAGTCTGCAGCATAGTGCCTGACATATAAGAAATGCTCCAAGAAATGTTAACTCTTTTATGTTCATGATGGTGATGTGAACCCATCCCAGGAGGGCCGATCTCAAGGCAGAATGTCCACAGGATTGGCCCACTGTTTCTTCCTCCCTACTCCTAAAAAAGTAGATGTGATTTCCAGAATCTTGAATAAATGCTCGGTTGCCTTTGGAATATCCACACTTGACTTCAAGGAGTCAGGAAGTGGTGATCCGAGGTCCTCTTTTACTTGTCCTCACAATTTAAGGAAATGTCTTTAGGAAACATGGAAATTCAAGGGTACATATGTGGCCTGTTACAAATGGCGGACATAGGAGAATTAGGGAGGGGAAAATATAGATTTGGGGATATCAGCAAACTCTATTCTTAGAAGTGTAATAAAAGCGCAAAAGGACACATAAGGAGGGAATTCACACAGAATCCAGAAATCCCTCCTCAGAAACACCTCAAAGCTGGGCCTCTCTCTTGTTATCAAGCTGCTATTGGACATCTCCACCTGGATGTCCCATGGGCATTTCAAACTCAACTTGTCCAAAGTTGAGCTCCTTCTCTCCTCTTTATTCATAATCTCCTAAGCCTCTCTTTACCACCCAATTTGCCAAATTAAGAAATAGAAGGTCATCCTCAGCACTGCCTTCTGTCTCAGCACATGACTGTCAACTAATCCACAAGCTGTGTGGATCTGAATTCCTAAATAGCTCTCTAATGCACTTATGGCTTGTCTTCCGCCCCAATTTATCAACTCTCCTTGGACTGGAACAATATTCTTCTCAATATCTCCTTTGCTATTACTCAGTTAATTTCATCCCCCTGCCATGTACAAAACCACCAGAGGGAACACTGTAAAAGTCAAATCTGCCCAGGTCAATTTATTGCTTTCAAAACACCTCCCTGTCTTCCCAGAGCCTTTGCAGTGAAGTGAAAATACTTGGAGAGACACAAGCCCTGGCCACAGCTAAATTGTCTCCAACACTCTTTCTTCTCATGGGGGCCTCAGATAGTTTACATCAACAAGAGGAGGGACAGATTATAGGTCTATGAGCTGCCCTAATTCATTATTGGCATGCCATGCTATTTTACTCTTGTATGCCACCTCTATCCAAAAAGTGCTCCCCTTCCCCTCCTTTGACCTGGTGAATCTTACTCAGTTTTCAAATTTTACTCAAACCTCACCTCCTCTTTGTATGTCCTCCCTTCACTACAGCCTCTCCTTTGCATGCTAATGTTCCATATAAGACCTTGAACACGCTCCTCGTACTGTAATTGTCTGCTCAAACTGAGGCCCTTCCTGGGCAGGGACCATATTTTATTGATCTCTATCTTTAGCACTCAACACAAGACTGAGACCAAAGAAGGCATTTGAAAAGGTTTGTGGAATGAACTCATGGCCTCACTAAGTCCCTATTCCCTATAACAACAGGTCAGTGTCTAATGAGAGCTCCCAGACTTTGGCAGGGATGGAATCTGAGAAATTTCAAGGGACTTGAGTTCTGGCCTTGGCTGGTACTCAATGTGAATGACTTTTTGTTCCGGGCCCAACTGTTCCATCTCCACTCCCCTGAGAAGAAGCACAAAGAGAAACAGGGCAGTGGCACTATCATAGTCTTGATCCTCTAGTCACATAATTCCTCTGCCCTTTTCAAATCCTCCCTCCATCCCTCAAGGTCTAGTTTGGACCTTTTCCATGAAGAAAAAACATTCTCACCCGAGCCCAGGAAGGGATTCCTTCTCCTCTGAATTCCTGTAAAGTTCATTGCCTGGGCAAGTCTGAGACATTGAGGCTCAGAAAGAGAAGTGACTTGCCATAGACCCCAAGTCTCCTGGGGAATGTGATCAAAACAGATTCCTGTGCCAGACCCTAGACCTATGAAATCAGAATAAGGATCTGGGGGACATCTTTTGAAAAGTACTAAACTATCTCATGCCAGATCTATGTTGTGTCTCCTCAACTGGCTTACCAGGGGCTGATGGCAGAGGCTCTTTCTTCTTAGTTCTCTGTGTCCTCCATGGCCTCATATTTGTGTCCTCCACAGTTATCTGTGTCCTCCATAGCCCCAAACTACAAAGGTTTTTTCATTGACTAACCCCTGGGCTGCTTCCCCATGAGAAAATTAAAATGAATAAAGAAACCCAACTTAAAGTTAGTCTCAGGGCACCAAGGAAAAGCTGGCCTTGGCAGTGGCAGCCTTCCTCGGATGCTGCTTTCTGTCTGATTTTCTAAGTGCCAAGGTTATC
Organism: Homo sapiens; assembly: GCF_000001405.40. Classification (NCBI taxonomy): domain Eukaryota; kingdom Metazoa; phylum Chordata; class Mammalia; order Primates; family Hominidae; genus Homo; species Homo sapiens. The sequence goes on from NC_000023.11 coordinate 119,171,331, forward strand.
CTTAACCAAAATTATTCCACATTGGAAGATTATGTTTCTTAGGATGATAAAGGGTCATTTACTTGGACCCCCTCAGACATTTTTCTCAACTCTGTTTTGGGAAGAAAAATGAACATTCCAAAACAAAACAAACAAATGAACGCACCAATGCATGAATACCTGGACATACACTGAGATCACAGTCATTTTTTTTTTTTTTGAGACAAGGTCTCGCTGTAACCGTAGGGTGCAGGGGCGCAATCGCGGCTCACTGCAGCCTCAAACTCCCCAGAGCTCAAGCGATTCTCATGCCTCAGCCTCCTGAGTAGCTGGAACTACAGGCATGTGCCAACATGCCTGGCTAATTTTTGTATTTTTTTGTAGAGACTGGATTTTGCCATGTTTCCCAGTCGTGTCTCTAACTTCTAAGCTCACGTGATCCTCCCACCTTGGCCTCTCAAAGTGCTGGAATTACAGGCATGAGCCACGGCGCCCGGCTTGAGGCCACAGTTTTATACTTTGTTGATTTCTATCCCTAGCCTGGGCAATGATTCCAGATAATCAAGAAGATGAACCACCTCACGAAGGTTCGTTACAGTCACTAGGCTGAGCTCATTAAGGCAGGAAGGTAGCCTCAGATATTGTGGTAACTCTTCTGACAAGGAGGGTGACAAAATAGGCTTTCTGTTTGAGCCTCAGTTTCTCAGAAATTCCTACTAAGCCCCTTCCCCAGGATTCTGATCAGTTAAGGTTCTACTTGGCTGAGAAGGCCAGAGTTATCTAGACCTCAGGCCTAGGTCCCCACTGACTCCACTGACCCTACCTCTGGGAAGAAAAGTGGCCTACATCCTTGTCACCCATCAGAAAATAGACACAGGATCAGCCCCAGCCTGACCCCAAAGATTCTTTCTCATACTAAAAAGCCATTGCCCTGTCCCTGGGCCTTTGGGCACAGTTGGATAGGCAGGAACCCTGGTTAGAAGAAGAAAGGGAGCTCACTCATTCACTTTTGTCACTAGTCATCCCATGCACAGAGACGTGGCCAGCAAGTCCTCTCTAGAGTCCATTAACACTCGTGTGCATCCAGAGCTTCTCTGGTCACCCCTCTGGGAGTAGAGGGGTGACCAGGCAAGCTCCCCTGAGAAGGATGCCTAGGAGTTGAATATACTCAGGCAAGACAATTACCTCAAGTCTCCAAAAACGTACAAGATGTTTCCTGGGACGCCAGAGGGTTAGTGTGAGGAAGGTTATGTTCGGTTGTTAATTTCCAAGGGCAAGTGCAGAGTGAGAAACAAGAGATAAGACCTGAAATGTCAGGCACCAGGTAGACACTACAGTGGAGGCAGGATTGAAAAACAAGGGTGTGGGCAAAGTGAGAAAGCCCAATTACATTAGGGATGGCAGAAGTGGGAGTAGGGGTAGGAAATTGAGGCATAACTATAGGTCTCAAGGACATGAACAGATTATTCTGAGTTAAAGCTCCAGGTCCTGGATGGATACTAAGGTTTTCTAGTGGGGCCTCAACAAGACCTTGCCCTCAGGGAGTCTGAAGTGTAGCAGGGCCTTTCTGTACTTAAAGAAGAAACTGCAGTACCTCCCAGCCTTGGGTCGCCAAAGGCCACCAAATTGTTGAAGCTAGAAAAAGTCATTGGCATGATAGTAGGCCCTCCTCTGTGTAGGAAGGTGTCACTAGTCAAAACTTCTGCATTGGTTTTGAGTTGTTTTTGCTACATGTGAGATGGACTGGCCCTGACTTGCCACATTCTCTCATGGAGTTTGCAGTGTAGCTAAAGAAATATATTTGCCAAATCAGGCTCACTTCATTATCAAGGGTTTCCTGACTGATGCACTATGTTCCTAAAAACTGATATAACTTGACCGCCAATCCCTGAAGGCACCTAAGGAAAGAAACATTCCAGTTTCACCCTGGCCTATGTAGCTTGATAAGCACTAAGCTCTACAGTTTTCTGGGCTTTATTCTTGTTAGCTGAAATCAGTGGAGGCCCAAGGGCCCATGAATCATATGAACTTTCTGACTTTCTGATACCTTTTGAATCTCTACAATTCCATGAAAAGGACAATAAACCCTTATAATCCTGGGGGAAGGAAGGGGAGCCATTCCATCGTCTTTCACTCTGGGATATTTTTAACAAGAATAAGAACTACTGAGCTAGGCTTGGTGGCTCACACCTGTAATCCAAGCTACTCAGGAAGCTGAGGGAGGAGGATCGCTTGAGCCAAGGAGTTAAAGGCTGCAGTGAGCTATGATTGCATCACTGTACTCCAGCTCTGGACAGCAGAGCAAGACCCCATCTCTAGAAATAAATACATAAATAAAGAATTTCCATCCAATGGAGCGTTATTCTTCATGCAAGGCAGTATGTAGAAGTGCTTTACCTACATTACCTGAACTAATTCTTACAACAGCCCTAGGGCAGAGGTGCTAGAAGTAGGTCCACTTCACAGAAAGGTTTAATGACTTGCCTAAGGTCACACAGCTAATCTGAGGCAGAACCCAGATTTAAACTCAGGTCTATTGAATCTTAAAGCCCATGCTCTTAATCACTGCACCTGTGTTTCTCAAAGCAGGATTTCGGTAAACATGAGCAGATTCCCAGGCCCCACCCCAGATCTGTTGACTCAGAATCCTGAAAGGTGGGGCCTGGGAATCCACATGTTTAACACCGCACCAGGGGCTCTTCTACATTCAGAAGTTTTAGGGCCCTGGTGACACTATATGGCCTCCTGCGTTTGCCATACAGTACAGGCAAGAATGGGTAAAGCTTCCATGCCAGGCCTGACATTTCTCAGCACTTTTCCCAGCAAATCTGCCACCTGGGAATGGTCACTGAAAATCTTTTAGCAGGACCAGGACATCCGAGCCCCTTCATCTAGAACAGGGACTCTTAGCCCTTATGGGATCATATACTTCTTTGGGAATTTGTTGAAAGCTCTGGGTCTCTCCTCTTTCCCACACAGGCACATACACACAGAGGCCCACACTACTTTGGTGGCCTCCACTGAAAATATACACACATAACCCTTTGCATATATTTTCAGGGAGTATATATATCTTCTGAGGCCCCTTCATGAGCCACTCTGCAGCTCAAGGACCCCACATCACAGAGGCCTCTGACCTAGAAATGTGAACACAGACTAGGTCCAGTGGGCATGTTGTTTTTAAATCCTTTCTATGTTAGAGATGCATACTGGAGTATTACAGATGATGTGATCTGTTGTCTGAGATTTGTTTGCAAATACACCCAGCTATGAGGGGATGACAGGCATGGGGAGCAGCAAGATAGCTCCAGCAAGAATGCCCATAAGTTGCTCTTTGTTGAAGCTGGGAGATGGGTACATGGGAATTCATTCCACTGGTCTCTCTACTGTTTGTGTGTGCTTAGCAATGTCCATAATCAAAAGTTATATAAAAAAATTAGGGTGAGTGACTTGGTATGTGAAATGTGAATTATATCTCTGTCAAAAGACAAAATTGCAACAAATACAGTTTAAAGATATGAATTGGCTTTAATTGTGATTCTAGAATCTAGCAGCACCTCATTCTATAAAATAGAATAAGTGTTCACATGAACTGAGCAGGGGAGTTTGGTTTTATAGACAGAAAAGGGCCGAGGAGAGCAGAAACAGAGAACAAAAAGCAAATTCCAAAGTTACTTTCCTTGTAAAGGTTAAAGCAGAGGGGACTTATCATGCTGGCTAAAACTGGCTTGTGGTATTTGGCTATTCTCTCTCACTCTTTTGATTTCTCAGAAGATCAGATAAACAACTTAGTTTCAGCTTGGTGAAATGCAACCTTGGCATGAGTGACTGTTTTGGTTTGGTCTGTTGGGTCTAGCGCAGGAGCTCAGTCCAAATCAATGGGCTCCTATAAATTTTATTTAATATCTTCATAAGACTGCTTTTAAAAACAATTAACCTCCTTATCTGATCCACCTAAATCTGCCAGTGGACACATGTACTAAAGGCCAAGAGAGAACTATTTAATTTCCTGCTTGCTGTTCTTTAAAGTCATAACAGTTAATCAAAACCTCTTGATCTTGCTAAGATGGCAGAACCACACCAAGCAGGCCTCATTAGGGAATTGAGAAGACCAGTTGCTGTATATGAAGGACTACATGTACAAGGACTACTCTGCTAATAGCACAATAATGATAATCATCATTTACATTCCAAGGTCAGAGCACTTTATGAAGAGACATGAAACTGAGAGTTACCAATACCCTCTCCAGAAGCAAAAAAAAAAAAAAAAAAAATAGCAGAGATCCCATTAACAGGCCTAATTCCCTGCTGTTTAAAGCTTGGAATAAAAAAGATGTTTCCTGAGTGGATTTCAAAGTTCTTAAAGCTAGCAATTTGTGAGGTTTCTTAGCAAGGTCTCATAATAATCAAACAGGTTTTCTATGCAGGAGGATATGGGGGTGGAGGGTGAAGAGTGACATCCCTACCTGTGTGCAAACATTTGCAAAGAGGCTCCCTCCTCTCCCTTCTTGTCCTGAAATGCTGAAGGGACCTTCCCCCCATAAGCTCCCCATACAAAAAAAAAAAAAAACTGTGGTTCTTGCTTGGGAGGTAAATAAACCTATAGCCATCTGCAGAGTTGACTTAACCACATCTCCATTTTTTTATAGCATATGTTCCTCTACCACTGCAACTTCTTTATAAAATGGGGATGACAATGGTCCCTGCCTCAGAGGGTTGATGTGAGGTTTAAATGAGATTTTCCGGGTGAATACCTCAGAATGAGGCCTGGGCACACCACAAACTCTCAATAAATGTTAGTTATTCTTATTCATGTTGTTGTTTTCTTTGGCTCACTGCAGTACAAGCCAAGCCATTCCTTAGATATAGCAGAGTGATAGCCAATAGCATCCATCTGGCCCCTTCCTCTCTAGTGGACTTACATAGGACCAGGCTGCTAAAACTATCCAGGGGGCAGTAGGTAGGGAGGAGGAAGTAGAAGGGAGGTGGAGATAAGAAGACAGTGGAGTCTCCGCTGGGCTTAGAAAGACCTAGAAGTCTGCTCTGTCCGGTCGCACACACTGGTGTAGGTTGCCCATCCTCTTTCTTTTCTTTAATCTGCGTTAGTGATATCTCCATGCCTTCTTTTTTCCCTTTATGACTGTCCTTGATGTGCATTTCCCCAAATTTCATCTGGATGTGTGCTAGGCCAGAAGGAAATGACCACAGAGTGTGATACCTGCCTCTAATCTTCACTCAGGGCTGGCCATCAATTTGCCACTCCCACTAGTGTGATGATGTTACCCCTAATTGAGTGCACTGAATCAGTGCTTCACCATTCAAATGGTAATTGTTCCCTCTCTCAGATTCTCCAAATGGAAGTCCTACTTTAGCACCATGTTAGCAGCAAATGGAGAAGTGGTAGCCATCCTTCCCAAAACCTACTCCTTCTCTATTCCCTTGTTTCAATTAGTTTTGTTTACAATAACTTTGGTTATTTCTTTAAACAATTTTTCTATGCAGAAGGCCATGAAGGCATTTTAACCAGCCCAACCCTCTAAAGGATGCTCTCTGAAGTCCAGCCAGTCTACAACACTGTGAGGGGAGCCCTGTAATCTGCTCTTCAGAATATACCCTGATCCTTATTTTGAAATTCTGTAAGTGGTACTTAATAAGGATGCCAGCTGAGTAGCACCAAACAAATAAGACCAAAAGAAACCTCCACAACTCCTGGTAAATAAGCAACACAGAACATCTGATTTTACCTAAATCGAATCTTGAGTGTCTCTTGGATGAAATTTTTAAAATAAAAAATAAAAGTGAATCCTTATTTAGTGGATATAACAAAAACCATAAGAAGAGAGTAACCAGCATGCTCAGAACAAGTCCAACTACCCCCACAAAACAGACTCCACTGCCATTGGTCACAGTCACATTCCTCTGGGACCCTGGAGACTACATATGCAAAGAGCCACAGGTTTTGGGGGCCTGGTGAGCAAGGGTCAACAGATGACAAATTGTGTGGGGCCCAGAGCCCAAAGAGCCAGTTAATATCTCTCCAACAATGGCCCTTCTGGAGGACACTGGCCCCATTTTTCTCTTGGTCCCATTGTTCTGCCCAGGACCCAGGGTTTCAAGGGCAGGCTCCAGCTGCCTTTGATGACAAGACTAGGTTGTGAGAAACCACAGATGGGAAATGGTGGCATATGCACTCTGGGTCACACTTACAGAGGCCATTAGAGCAGGGACATTCAGCACCCAGCCATCTGGCCACTGCAGGAGGAGAGCAGGACCCTGCCTTTTGAACAACTCTCCAAGGAGCCCCTCTGTCACCAACTTATCACTGTGCAGTCCTGTGATCCTCCGGATCTCTCTTTTTTTTTTTTTTTATACTTTAAGTTTTAGGGTACATGTGCACAACGTGCAGGTTTGTTACATATGTATACATGTGCCATGTTGGTGTGCTGCACCCATTAACTCGTCATTTAACATTAGGTATATCTCCTAATGCTATCCCTCCCCCTTTCCCCCTCCCCCCACCCCACAACAGGCCCCAGTGTGTGATGTTCCCCTTCCTGTGTCCATGTGTTCTCATTGTTCAATTCCCACCACTTTTTTTTTTTTTTTTTTGAGACGGAGTCTCGCTCTGTCGCCCAGCACAACAGGCCCCGGTGTGTGATGTTTCCCTTCCTGTGTCCATGTGTTCTGATTGTTCAATTCCCACCTCTTTTTTTTTTTTTTTTTTTTTTTTGAGATGGAGTCTCGCTCTGTCGCCCAGGCTGGAGTGCAGTGGCACGATCTAGTCTCACTGCAAGCTCCGCCTCCCGGGTTCACGCCATTCTTCTGCCTCAGCCTCCCGAGTAGCTGGGACTACAGGCACCCGCCACCTCGCCCGGCTAATTTTTTGCATTTTTAGTAGAGACGGGGTTTCACCATGTTAGCCAGGATGGTCTCGATCTCCTGACCTCGTGATCCGCCCACCTCGGACTCCCTAAGAACTGGGATTACAGGTGTGAGCCACCGCGCCCGGCCTGAATCTCTTTTTATATCACTGCCTCTCCATCCCCAGCCTGGTGCCAGATGCCAAGGCAATAGCCACGCTTGTGGGGCCAAACCAGGAACCCATGTGTTAACAAAGCAGCTGGTTCTTCCATGCAATCTGGATCCAGCTGTAAATATGGCAGTCATGAGGAAGGGCACAGAGCTGGTGAAGAAATGCAGCAAGTCCACTTTTCCTTAGGCATGTGGAAATCATATGCTTTGCTGAGTGCTGTGACACTTTTTTTTCTTTTGAGACAGGGTATCACTCTGTCACCCAGACTGGAGTGCAGATCTCAGCTCACCACAACCTCCACCTCCCAGGCTCAAGCGATTCTCCTGCCTCAGCCTAACGAGTAGCCTGGGATTACAGGCTTGTGCCACTATCGCCCGGCCAATTTTTTGTATTTTTAGTAGAGATGGGGTTTCACCATGTTAGCCAGGCTGGTCTTAAACTCCTGACCTCAAATAATCCACCCCCCTCAGCCTCCCAAAATGCTGGGATTACAGGAGTGAGCCACCGCACCTAGCCTGCTGTGATGAATTTTTAAAACAATTTTAGATTGGGTTCACTCTGATTGCCAAATCTCTACTGCTAACTGCTGTGCACACAGGGAGATCACACCGGTTTTTGTTATGAATGTAAGTCAGGAATGGATTGAAAAGTCATAGATGTGCTGTAATAAACTCTCAGACTGGAATACAAAAATATTTTAATTCCCTTGGAGCCAGACCTGAACCTCAATGAACTAGAAACTTCTTGACCAGTGACTTCAAATAACCAGCAACTTTCTCCTGGCTTGCCTCAACCCCTTATAGGAAAATGAGCTATCTCTTTTTATATCACAAGAGAGTGGAAAAAAAATTGAAGTGGAGAATATTTTGAGCACATCACATTCAGCCCAGTCTCTATTTCTCTATCTGTGGCACTTGGTCATTTGTTGTCAAATTTGAGTGGGCACCAGAATCATCTGGAGTGCTTGCTTAACAAAAAGAGTCTCAAGCTCACCTTCAGTCATTCAACTGGAACATCAACTAATATCCAGAAAATACCTGCTATATGCCAGGCACCATGGTAGGTACCAGGGATCCAACACTGAAGAAGAAAGAGTCCCTGTCCACAAGAAGCTTACAATTTAGTGAAAAAAACAGGCAAGAAAGAAAGAAGGTAATAGCAGGCATCTATGAGTGCTATGAAGTAGACAAAACATGGAGGTGATAAGGAGAGACTAGGGTGGGGTTATGGTTTTAGATAGGGTGACCAGGACAGACTTCTTTGAGGAGGTGACATTCTGCTGAGGCCTGAATGGATAGAAGGAGCCAGCCATGGAAAAGGCATTATATCAGAAGGACGAGCAAGTGCAGAGATCTTGCTGTGATAAAAATGTGTTTGGTCCATTCAAGTGCAGAAGGACAGACAGGGCCAGGTGCAGTGACTCACACCTGTAATCTTAGCACTTTGGGAGGCCGAGGCGGAAGGATCACTTGATCCCAAGAGTTTGACACCAGCCTGGGCAACAAAGTGAGAACTCATCTCCAAAAAATATGAGCAAAATTAACCGGGCATGGCGGAGCATGCTTCTAGTCCCTTCTACTTGGTAGACTGAGGTGGGAGGATCGCTTGAGCCCAGGGAGGGTTCCAGCCTGGACAACAGAGTGACAGAGGGAGACCCTCTCTAAAAAAGTAAATAAAAAAATAAAAATAAAAAACACAGAAAGAAAGCCGACAGAGGTCCAAGAAGCTGAATATTGAACAATTGCCCTCCTCCTCCAGGTGATTCTGAGATAGAGGCCCAGTTGAAAATCCCTAGAATAGACAGTCATTCAGAACCCTGACCCTGAGGCTTGAAACATCATCCCAATCAGCAAAACTGTGCTGTGCTATTTAACGAAAAGGAAAAGATTTCCCAGAATTGTGACTGGTACACAGTAGTATCTGATGAATGAATGGCAGCCAGCACCAAAAATCTCCTGATGCTCGATGAGCTCATTTTCAAAGAAACAGAATTTTTCTCAAACAAAGCTTCAAAAGAAGTGAGATAAAAAAACTTTCTCAAAAGCCAAAATTGACAAATGGGATGTAACTAAACTAAAGAGTTACTGCACAGCAAAAGAAACTACCATCGGAGTGAACAGGCAACCTACAAAACGGGAGAAAATTTTTACAATCTACCCATCTGACAAAGGGCCAATATCCAGAATCTACAAAGAACTTAAACAAATTTACAAGAAAAAATCAAACAACCCCATCAAAAAGTGGGCAAAGGATATGAAGAGACACTTCTCAAAAGAAGACATTTATGCAGCCAACAGACACATGAAAAAATGCTCATCATCACTGGCCATCAGATAAATACAAATCAAAACCACAATGAGATACCATCTCACACCAGTTAGAATGGTGATCATTAAAAAGTCAGGAAACAACAGGTACTGGAAAGGATGTGGAGAAATAGGAACAGTTTTGCACTGTTGGTGGGACTGTAAACTAGTTCAACCATTGTGGAAGACAGTGTGGCGATTCCTCAAGGATCTAGAGCTAGAAACACCATTTGACCCAGCCATCCCATTACTGGGTATATACCCAAAGGATTATAAATCATGCTGCTATAAAGACACATGCACACGTATGTTTATTGCAGCACTATTCACAATAGCAAAGACTTGGAACCAACCCAAATGTCCAACAATTATAGACTGGATTAAGAAAATGTGGCACACATACACAAGAAATACTATGCAGCCATAAAAAAGGATGAGTTCATGTCCTTTGTAGGGACGTGGATGAAGCTGGAAACCATCATTCTGAGCAAACTATCGCAAGGACAGAAAACCAAACACCGCATGTTCTCACTCATAGGTGGGAATTGAACAATGAGAACACTTGGACACAGGATGGGGAACATCACCCACTGGGGTCTGTTGTGGGGTGGGGGGAGGGGGGAGGGATAGCATTAGGAGATATGCCTAATGTAAATGACGAGTTAATGGGTGCAGCACACCAACACGGCACGTGTATACATATGTAACCAACCTGCACGTTGTGCACATGTACCCTAGAACTTAAAGTATAATAAAAAATAAAAAAATAAAAATCTGTTTCTTCTTGCCCACTAGTTACCCAAGAAAGCATTGTGAGAATCTCCCACTTTCTGAGCAGCCATGTCCAGGGTAGTCACTGCATTCTGAGGTAGGAGCTCAGCCTCACTGTGGAGCCCTGTGGGCTTACAAGAATAAGAACTGATTGAATCAGCTGAGCTCACTACTGGGATCAACCAGCTGTGGCCACAGCCAACTGGGTTCCTTGGAAGGCCCACATCAGAATTTGTTGATGCCAGGTGCCACCTACAGGCTGCTGGGAGCCTGGCCTATTCACTCAGGAATCCCGGCCAGGGTTGCTATGGGGCCTGCCCAAGCCTCCTGGAACCTCTGCATGATCCCATTGAGTAATGAGGGTCTGGGTCATGTTTTGGGGCCTCTCCCCTGTCCCTTCATGCATCTCTCCCAACACCTCTTACCTCAGGCAGCCAGAACCACGTGGGGCAACTTTAACCTGGACCAGTGGTGGTACCTGGTGCCACACCTAGACAGGTTTATAAAATCTACACTCCAGATCTCTTCCTCTCCCTCCTGCTTCCTTTGCCAAACGAAGCCTTCCTGTGGAGGCTTCTACTTCTGGGAAGATGGAATAAATGTACTACTTTTCCCCATTCTTCCCACTAAGTACAAATAAGAATGCTAGACTGTATATACATTACGTACATTATATACTTTTTAAAAGAGAAAGAAAAAGAAGAAGATTCAAAGGTGGAGACAGGGGCCAGACATGTGGGGTCACACCTGTAATCCTAGCATTTTGGGAGGCCAAGGCAGGAGAACCCCTTGAGCCCACGAGTTCCAGACCAGCCTGAGAAACAAAGGGAGACTCTGTCTCCATACACAGATAAAATAAAATAAAATAATGAAATAAAATAAAATAAAACAGAGACAGAAAGCCCAGAGAGGTCCAAGAAGCTGCATTTTCAACAAGTGCCCTCCTCCTCCAGGTGATTCTGAGATACAGGCCAGGTTGAAAATCCCTAGAATAGACAGTCATTCAGAACCCTGATCCTGAGGCTTGAAACATCACCCCAATCAGCAAACCTGTGCTAAGTGCTATTTGCTGAAAAGGGAAAGATTTCCCAGAATTATGACTGGTACACAGTAATATCTGATGAATGAATGGCAGCCAGCACCAAAAATCTCCTGATGCAGAATCCCATCAAGCTTATTCAAAATGTATATGAAGAGCCAGCGGAACTTATGAATAGACAAAACAATTTCGATAAAGAACAAACTGGGAGGAATCATTCTATCTGATTTCAGGACTTGCTACATAGCTACAGTAATCAATACAATGTGGTATTAGCAGGGGGGTGGACACATTGATTAATGAATAAAATAGAGAAGCCAGAACTAGACCCACACAAATATGCCCAATCGATTGTTGACAAAGGTGCAAAAGAAATTTAATGTAGAAAAGATGGCCTTTTCAACAAATGGCATTGGAACAAATGGGCATCAATAGGCCAAAAAAGATAAAATAACGCAAAATGGATGATGGATTTAAATATAACATGTAAAACTAGAAGGCTTTTAGAAAAAAAACAGGAGGAAATTTTCAGGATCCAGGTGTAGGCAAAAGTTCTCAGATGTGACACCAAAAGCACAATCCATGAAAGGAAAAATTGATAAGTTGGACTTTATCAAAATAAAACCTTTTTCTCTGTGAAAGACCCTGTTAAGAGGATGAAAAGACTAGGAGAAAATATCCAATAAAGGACTAGTATCTAGAATATATAAAGAATTCTCAAACTTAACAGTAGAAAAACAATCCAATTAGAAAATGACCAAATGACACGAACATATACACATATACAGATGGCAAACTAGTATATGAAAATGAGTTCAATATTGCTAGACATTAGGGAAATAAAAAATAAAACCACAATGAGATACCTATCAGAAAGGTTAAAATGAAAAAAAAATAGTGACAACACAAATGCTGGTGAGGATTTGGAGAAACTGGATCATTCATACATTGCTGGTGGGGGTGACAAATGATACAGCCACTCTGGAAAACATCTTGGCCATTTGTGCTTTCTAGGGGGAGGGGAGAGTTTAAGGGAATTTTTATTATACAAGTAGTTCCTCACAGTGATTTGAAAAAGTATGAGACCATATGAAGAAAGTTTAGTAATTTCAGATTTACTTTGTAAAAGCATGCTGACAAATATTAAATGTTATACTTGCAACATTTATATATATATAAACATCTATATATCTGTAGAGATATATACATATCTCTACATACATAGAGATACATAGAGATGTTTATATATATATAAACATCTATATATCTGTAGAGATAGGGTCTCGCTATGTTGCCCAGGATGGTTTCAAACCTGTGGCCTCAAGAAATCCTCCTGCCTCGGCCTCCCAAAGTGCTGGGATTACAGGTGTGAGTCACCATGCCTGATCAAATGTTATACTTGCATTTTGAACGCTGTAATATGAAATTGAAACACAAAACATCCAATGTTAAACACTGATCTCCCCTGCCTGACTTGGATTTAGATATTGAGTATTTTGTATTTTATAGAAAGGAACTTTCAAAGTTTTGTTAATGTATGTACTTATAGTATATATCATTATTCCTCACCAAAATTGTCATGAAATTTAAAAGACTGGTATTAAAAGTTTTTTTTTTTTTTGAATATTTTAAAACCAGTTTGGATTAACCTTCAGATTTTCAGGGCATGATCGATATGCAAATAGAGAACCCAAGAATGGGTTTTAGGACATTTAGGGTAAGTTTGTTTACAGTTGTGACAAAAATACCTTCAACTTTTAGATATGAAAAAAAAATACCCTAAGCAAACATAAAAGTAGTTGGGTCAAGTTACTTTTTAATACAAATAATACATTGTGTCAATCAATTTTTAAATCAAATTCTCAAAAGCATTTAGAAAACATTTGTATTTTATAATTGTCAAACAATGCATTTATGTAGTGGAAGAAGATACAAGTAAAGCTTATAAAATCAAAAACTCTCAAACTTTTCCAATTTCCAGGATAAGAAATTTGCAAATTAAGAAATTACTGATTTGTTGGAAAATATGCCTTAGTTTTACTCTCAACTGCTTGACATACAATTAACTGCTTGACATACCATTAACTGCTTTACATACATTAACTGCTTGACATACAATTTAATACTTAAAAAGACTGTATCTAAGCTATTTAATAATATTCATAGAGTATTACTTCTCTGGACAGACGTGTTTCATACAACAGTTTTCAACTGTTAAGAGGAATTCACTTGATAATTTTAATCATAATTTAAGATTGATTAAGGAATTAATTTATTCAGTAATTTAGATGCAATAAACACCAATAAAAGGAATAATCCAGTAATTGCTCATTGTGCAATTCTGCCCATTAATACTGAGCTGAGAATTTGATAGATATTTCACTCAGTTGAATTACGTGTTTCTATGTGAGATATTGATCAACAAAAAAAATAGGTACACAATGTTAAGCTTTTTCCTTTTTCTTTTTTTGTTTTAACAGCAGGTCAATGATTTAGGGAGTTGGTTAGTACAATCTACGAACATAGCAGAAAAGTACAAAATGTCACATAACACCAATGCCAGTACTTGTCCCATTATGGTTTTAAATAAGGGTATTATTCATTTTTATGTTGTTTTCTTCTTTAAAACGTAAAACAAAACCATTAACTTGAATTTGAGGTATACACACAATACATACACAATTGTACGCAAAATACTTTTTTTCTTTTTTTTTCTTTTTTTAATTATTATACTTTAAGTTCTGGGGTACATGTGCAGAACGTGCAGTTTTGTTACATAGGTATACATGTGCCATGGTGGTTTGCTGCACCCATCAACCCGTCACCTACATTAGGTATTTCTCCTAACGCTGTCCCTCCCCTAGCCCCCCAACCCCCAAGAGGCCCTGGTGTGTGATGTTCCCCTCCCTGTGTCCATGTGTTCTCAATGTTCAACTCCCACTTATGAGTGAGAACATGTGGTGTTTGGTTTTCTGTTCCTGTGTTACTCTGCTGAGAATGATGGTTTCCAGCTTCATCCACGTCCCTACAAAGGACATGAACTCATCATTTTTATGGCTGCATAGCATTCCATGGTGTGTATGTGCCACGTTTTCTTTATCCAATCTATCACTGATGGACATTTCGGTTGGTTCCAAGTCTTTGCTATTGTGAATAGTGCCACAATAAACATACGTGTGCATATGTCTTTACAGTAGCATGATTTATAATCCTTTGGGTATATACCCAGTAATGGGATGGCTTGATCAGATGGTATTTCTAGTTCTAGATCCTTGAGGAATCGCCACACTGTCTTCCACAATGGTTGAACTAATTTACAGTCCCACCAACAGTGTAAAACTGTTCCTATTTCTCCACATCCTCTCCAGCATCTGTTGTTCCCTGACTTTTTAATGATAACCATTCTAACTGGCGTGAGATGGTATCTCATTGTAGTTTTGATTTGCATTTCTCTAATGACCAGTGATAATGAGCAAAATACTTTTCATAAGTAGCATTACATTTTAAAATATTGGAAATGCTATCTGTACTGATTTGCATTTTGACTTAATAGAACAAGAAGAGAACAACATTCAACTAAAGAAGGCTATACTGATAATAAAGCTCTTAAAATTCAAAATGTCTTCCTCTCCCTTTGTATTTACCACAGGCTACACAATGTCCTGAGAGGATTCATTATGAGAAAAATGTCAATCACAGCTTTAATAACTTACTTTTGAGGGAACTAATGAGAAAGCAAATTGGAAGGTGAGACTTATCTGCTTTCAAGTAAGTAGTCTTAATTTTTCTTCTTATAGAAAAAGCTTAAATAGGTTTATTATTAAATATATTTAAACTATTAATTTTTGCAGCTTTCATAAAGGTCAGCACTTCGTATATACCAAGTCTATGAGAAGACGTCAGCAAAAATCATTTGATCTTAAACGGTGACATCATCCGTTCAAATCCTACCTTTAATAGAAGTTAGCTTCAAAAAACTGGGAGATTTCCGCTACAGTCATGCATTCTTTAACATCTTGTTAATTAGCAAAAATCAGCAATCCAGTTTTTCTTAAGTCCTCATGTGCTAACATTTTACAGTGTTCTTCTCTAGTTACAGAAATCCTGTCTGTACCGTCCACACAACTATTACAAACTCCGTGTTAGTATAGTAAACATTCCAGAAAGAAAGAAGAGACTCTTGACCACCAATATTCCACAGTAAGAAACGTGTATTATTAATCACTGTCTCCTTTACATTACTTCCTGTTGTACGGGAGTTATGTACAACTTCACTCACAGAAAATTTGAAAAGAATGATAGTTTTCCCTGCGTTATCCAGTCCCACGATAATAACTTTGTGCTCCTGGTGACTGAACAGTCTCCATGTTTGGTGAATTCCCACTCTCGGGCAGCAAACCCCCCTCCAATCCCCCTGGACTGCCTGACCGCCCCTGTCTCAAGCTGAGTGGGAGGAGAGAGCCGCACCAGAGTCTCCGCCTCTGCTGCTGGGGCTCCTGCTCTCCTGGCTCAAGGATATAGCCATCTTGTTGTCAGCCATGAGCCTCGAGGGCCACCATCCTCCCCAAAGTGCTCTGGGCAGCTCCACGTAGGCCATTTCTTTAAAAAGTTCAACATTCTTCCTAAATCATACAACTACTATATGATCCAGCAATTACACTTCTTGGACATCTCTCCCAGAAAAATGAAAACTTATGTTCACATACAAGCCTGCACACTAATGTTCATAGCAGCTTTATTCATAATAGCTCAGAATGAGACAAGAGAAAAAGGTCTGGAGGCAGGCAACCTAAGGCCGTTTCACCCTGAATTCCTATAACAAAATTGAAAGGAAAGCCCTAACTTTCCATACCTAAGTAAAAAAGGACCAGAGGCTACTCCTTTTGCAAACCCCCACCGGCAGATGGGAAATTGAAAGTACCTCTGATTGTTTGCTTTTTGCGGCCAAGTCTTTGTTTGCATAGAAGTGCAACTTTGTAACTTCTCTTTAGCCTCTGATTGGTTGCTTTCCACAACCAATGAGATGTTTGCATAAGAGTGTGACCTTCGTAACTTCACTTCAGCCTCTGATTGGTTGGGGAAAGCTTTCTGCAACCAATCAGACTGATTGTGGGCCACCACTTCATTTACATGAGGTAAACACCAAGTGGCCAATGAGAAACCTCTAGAGGGTATTTGGCCCTGAGAAGATTCTATATCTGGGGCCCTTGAACCGCTGCTCCACAGCTCCCACACTGGAGTGTACTTTCTTTCTTTCGTTCTTTTTTTTTTTTTTTTTTTTTTTTGAGACAGAGTTTTGCTCTTGTCACCCAGGCTGGAGTGCAATGGCATGATCTCGGCTCACTGCAACCTCTGCCTCCCAGGTTCAAGCGATTCTCCTGCCTCAGCCTCCCAAGTAGCAGCGATTACAGGCACCTGCCACCATGCCCAGCCAATTTTCGTGTTTTTTGTTTTGTTTTTTGTTTTTTATTTTTAGTAGAGATTGGGTTTTACCATGTTGGCCAGGCTGGTCTCGAACTCCTGACCTCAGGTGATCCACCCGCCTCCGCCTCCCAAAGTGCTGGGTGGGATTATAGGCGTGAGCCACGGTGTCCGGCCCTGTGGAGTGTACTTTCATTTTCAATAAATCTCTGCTTTCATTGCTTCATTCTTTCCTTGTTTTGCTGTGTGTTTTGTCCAATTTTTTGTTCAAAATGCCAAAAACCTGGACAACTTGCAGTCGAGACCCTCTACCGGTAACAAAAACTGAAATCAGCCCAGATGGTCTCAAACAGGTGAATGGTTAAGCAAACTGACACATCCATACCATAGACTACCCACTACTCAGCAATTTAAAAATAAAATGAAATGTATGGATACATGCAACAACCTGGATGAATTTCCATGGAGTTATGTTGTGTGGAAAAGGCCAATCCCAAAAGGTTACATACTGTATGGTTCTATTTTTGTAACATTCTTGAAATGACAAAATTATAGAAATTGATATACACCTACTATATACCCACAAAAATTAAAAATTAAAAAGATATACAGAAATGGAGAACAGTAGTTGGCAGACGTTAAGGAGGGGATTGGTGTGGGAGGAAAGTAGGTGTAGTTATAAAAGGGCAGCATGAGAGATCCTTGTAGTGATGGGATGTTCTGCATCTTGATTGTATTAACATCAATATCCTACTTATCATAGTGTACTATAGTTTTGCATGATTTTATCATTGGGGAAAACTGAGTAAAGAATACGTGGAACCTTTCCGTATTATTTCTGACAACTGCATGTGAATCTATCTCAAAATAAAAGTTTAATTTAAAAAGAAATGGCCTTTCTGTTTATCCTCTTCTCTTGGACTCTGCTATGATAATTCTTGCTGAGGTGTCAGTGGGTAGTAAAGGCACTGATATTATCCCACCTCTCACTTACATCTCAACAGGGGCTTTCTGGAAATTGTAGAAGGCCAACATTTTGTAGAAAAAACTACCTTTAAATTAAAATCAAGATACCTTGAGGCCTGGTCTTAACATGCTTTGCGACACTGGGCAAACTGCTTAGCCTCTCTGAGATTCTATTTCATCTGTAAATAAAATAAAATAAAAAATCTTTGAGGGTTAAGTGAAAACACTTGGTAAATCTTGGTAAATTATAAAACACTACACAAAAGGAAGGTCTTCTTCCCTCTCTTCCTCCTTTCCTGTCCTCATTAATTCAGCTCAAGGAAGCGATCGTGTCCTAGGTCTTCTTGTATCCCTACGGCTTAGCTTAAGTCTGTGCTCTAGGAGGTGTTTCATAAATGATGGTTAATGCTGATAATGGCAGAATGCTTAAAGCAAGGGTTTGGCTCTAACAGATTAAAGGTGGTTCAGCTCCTAGTGGTGAGAATTTGAAGAGCCCTTCATAGCATCCCAAGTAGACAGTGCCCTGCCCTGGGCAAAACTTTACTCACAGACATCAAGGGAAGGAAAGTCAGAGCCCATGGAACTGGCCAGCTGCCATTTTGGGGAACCAGAGAGGTAATGGCTAGAAGCAAAAAGCTTCTCACTTTGACCAAGAACTTTCCTACCCATTATCTTCTTTGCTCCTCACCATCCTCCTGAGGCAGGCATAGCATAGATCAACCCCATTCTACAATTTGCAAACACTGAAGCTAAACAGGACTGTGACTTGCTCAAGGTTGACACAGCGAATGAATCAGTAACACAGCTGGGGACAGACTCGTGGGCCAGATATTTTCCACAGCACAGATGGTTACCAAATGGAAAAGCTAAGACAAAGAAAATGCAGGCCTTCCCCACCCCAACTCAGAGCTTCTCCCCAGAGAATTGTGGCTAGGCTTCCCAGCCCTCTCCACACAATCTCCCATCTAAAGAAGCTGCTGTTGCTGCAGGCCTGGCAGTGTTGGGATGCTGCCTGAGACGGCTTCCCTCCTTCCAAGCTCTGAGCTTACAGTGACCTATTTAAAGGCAGAGAAATCAGTCTGGGGTTAGGGCCTCTCCCGAGCAGGCAGTGCCTCTCACAGATGGCTCTCCAGAGCCTTCCCAGGCACTTCTTCCAACTTCTCCTCGGTGATGACAGCTGGGGGTGGGGTGGGCAGGGAAGCTCACTTCTCATCTGTCCCTGAAAGCCCAGAATGTCCTAAGAGGCTTCCCAGGGTCTAAAGAGAACCAAGTTAGGGCCTCCCTGGAAGGCAGGCTAAGGAAAGGTAACAGCTCCCCTCCCTGTGCCCTGGCCAGGGTCTGGATGCTTTTCCCAGGGGCCCTATCTCTCCACTGCTGCCTCCACCGAAGCTCCAGGATGAAACTGAAAGGGAAATGTGAAAATGCAAATGCTCCTTGGGAGGGGAAGTGTCAGAAGCCATTTGCTTGGATTAGTTCATCCATTTGTAGGTTGCCAACTTGGAAAGCAGAGAGGACCGCTGAGGCCAGGACGAGACGAATGGCAGAGGAGCAGGGTTTGAGGTTGCAGTGAGGGCTCCTGAGCATCCAGCCTTTCAGTCAGCAAGCCATTCAGCAATCCCTTACTGAGTGCCTGCCCTGTGTCTGGCCCTGTGCTGTGTCCCAGGGGCCACTGTTTCTGCCCTCCTATTGCCCTCAGTCTAGAATGAAGGGACAGAACTCCCAGAGGAGACATGAGGCAAGAAGTATGAAGACAAGAGCATATGCTCAGGCCAGTCTGTTTTGGCTTCCAGTCATCTTGTGGGACCTTCAGCAACTGGCCTAACCATTCATTTGTTCGTGCATTCATTCACATTAACCATTCCTTCTCTGAATAAGTACTCATGGAGTGCTTACTATGTGCTGGGCACTGGAGATACAGCGGTGCCCTTCTGGAGCTTACAGCCTAATGGGGGAAAAGACAAAGGAAGGGAGTGGGGAGGAGGTGGCGCTCCTTTAGATAGGGTGTTAAAAGAGACCTCTCATTACCATGAAGTCACACTTTAAGAGTTACCCCTTAAAGATCCACAGATGCTTTCCAGCGAGCGCTGCCAAACCTGAAATCGAACAGCATCCTGAAGAAACTGCCAACATTTTGCAGACATACAAGACTCAAAAATGGGTCCCTAGCACCTCGTAAAAACCTTCCCCCTTACAAGGCCTCTCACCAGCATACAGGGAGGTTTGAGTAGGGAAGGAGAAAGGGCGTTGGAATGACGCTCTTGAACATCCAGCTGTTCGGTCAGTGTGTCATTTAGTACTGGCTTACTCCCTATAGGTCCAAAAATTTCCTCCCTGTCTTAAAGGCACAGTAACTTAGGACCAGTCAGCTTTACTTTCCTTCATTCATGTGTTCAAGAAGAATCTACTAAACATCCACAAAGAGCTGACACTTCTCTGGAGTCTGGAGATTCAGGGGTGAACTAGATAGCCATGGCCTCTCTGGGAGTTTACAGTCTAGTCCATAGGAGAGACAGAGATTAATTAATTGCATGAATAATTAATAACAATTGTGCTAAGTGCTTTAAAAGAGACTATAATAGGGAGAACCTCATTCAATGGAGGAGTCAGCGAAGGTGTACCTGAGGAGGTGACTTCTGCAGCTGAGGCCTGAGGGATAAGCGGGATTAGGCCAGGTGAGGAGGTAGGAGAGGAGGAAGTGTTGTCTTACAGACATGTGGAGGAATGTGGAATCCCAGAAGCCAGATAGTGTGGTACTTTGAAAGAACACACAGGTTGAGGCTGAGTGAGGTAGGAAGAGAGGCTCAAGATGAGTTCTGGGAAATAGGCAAGGAGGGACCAGACAGGCAGAGCCTCACATGCCTTGATAAGGATTTGGGTTTCATCATAAGAAATTTGGGGAGCCACTGAAGGGCTTTGGGCAAGAGGCCAAATCAAGTTTGCACTGAGGGGAGGGGGGGCAGCCATAGTCAAAGTGCAGAGACAGCTGGAAGGCTGCCACAGTCATCCAGGTGGGAGATGATGACAGGAGCTTTGATTCGTGTGGCCTGGTAAAAATGGAGAGCAATGGACAGAGTCCAGACATATTTAGGAAACGGAATCAACAGGACATTGTGATGGATTGCCTATGGAGCTTCAGTGAAGGGAGGCTTCATTCCCATTCTCTAGAGTGGGGCTGAGGACACATAGGAGAAAATCTTCAAAACCAAGGGCTTGGTAAAGACTTGGATGGATGTCACGGGCATTATGCTGAGTGAAAAAAGCTGACCTTCAGGCTGGGCACAGTGGCTCATACCTGTAATCCCAGCACTTTGGGAGGCCGAGGCGGGTGGATCATGAGGTCAGGAGACCAAGACCATCCTGGCCAACACAGTGAAACACCGTCTCTACTAAAAATACAAAAAGTTAGCTGGGTGTGGTGACATGCACAGTAGTCCCAGCTACTCGGGAGGCTGAGGCAGGAGAATCGCTTGAACCTGGGAGGTGGAGGTTGTAGTGAGCTGAGATCATGCCACTGCACTCCAGCCTGGGCGACTGGGCAACAGAGTGAGACTCCGTAAAAAAAGAAAAAAAAAAAAGCTGACCTCCAAAGGTTGCATATGATATGATTCCATTTATATAACATTCTTGAAGTGATAAAATTGTAGAGATGGAGAACAGATTAGTGGTTATCAGATAAGTGGTATTCCTACCAGGTGAAGGGAATTAAGTGAATGTGATCACGCCACTGCACTCCAGCCTGGGTAAAAGAGTGAGACTCTGTCTCAAAGAAAAAAAAAAAAAAAGAGGAAAATAAAAGAAAGCATTCAATAAAATGAAGCTACTATTAAAACCAGGTACTGCCCCCTGTTTTCAGGAAGCCTCCAATTCAGCCCTGTGGACAGGGAAATAAGGGAACCTGTGCCTAGGGTGACATTCATGAGTCCGGGAGACTCATATTGTATTAAATAGAGGAGGTGGGAAAAGAACGGAGAGGGTAAGGGAAAACATGAGGACATTTTAAAGAAAAAACTAGGAGTACTTAGGCAAATTAGAAGTTGAGGTTACAGAAGGAATACCTTAAAAGTCTTTGAAAGACAAGCCTGCATTTATTAATGTGTTCACAGGTTATTAACTCTTTAACTGAAAGTCTGAGGAGTAAATGTCAGGGAAACTTCAGCATTGGGAGCCCCCTTAATGGCATGTCAGTGGAAATAACTGTGTCCTACTAGGGACATGTTACTTCTTTAATAATTCTCTCCTGACCAAAACTCATCTTTTAAAAAAATAGGCTATTTTTAGATATATAGAATAGTTTTAGGTATATAGTAATATATAGGAATAATACATATAACTATAGAATAGTTTCCCCATAGATTTTCTGTCCTTTAGCTTAAGGCCAGACTCCCTTTACAATCCTAATCTTACCTAAGAGTAGATTTTCATAGGGGGAGACTACGACATCTCTCAGGTGACAGAAGAAGGGAACAGGGAATATGGGTAAGAAGAGGGAGAAGTCTTCTCTTTCCTGTGTAAGTCTGCCAGGCCTGTGTGGACAACTTATCATGTCAGGGTGTATCCTTCACCCTTCTTATTCATTGCTGAGAGCTCAGTTCAGTAGGACAGAGCAAGCAGGCCCATGATGATGATGAGGAGGAGGAAGAGAAAGATGACATGAGCTACCATGTTTCAGGTACCTACCATGTGCCAGAAACTATGCATGCATTTTCTCTAATTTTCACAACAAATCTTACAAAGAAGGTAGTACTGTTAGCACCTTTTAAAAGATGTAAAAACAGCTTCAGATAGGTCAAAAAGTTTGGCAGAGCCGGGTTAAGAACCCAGGTCTAGTCTTGTCCCAGATGTCCACTTTGAAGGAGACCATAATAGGGAGGACTTCATCTGATGGAAGAGTCAGGAAAGGCCTTACCGAAGAAGTGTCCAAAGGCCTCTTCTCCAGACACCCTCTCCTTCCTTAAGAGTCAGCCAGCACTTGCTCACACATGGCTGTTAGGCTCCCATTTCCCTGGTGACAGGCAGTAAGATGAAGATCAGATAAAGAGCCAGAGGATGATCAGAACCCCAATTTGGTCACGTGTTTGGATTCAAATCTTCTGTTCCATCAAGTTGGGCACCCCCCACCCCACCCAAAAACCGAGGAGGCCTAAAATCTGCACAGTGTAATTTCAGAGTGCCTACCCCTCCTCTCATTTGCTGTACCTGAACTTGCAGCCTTCCTTTAGCCTAGCCCTCTTTTCTCCCATGTGGGGTAGGGACCCACTAGGTCCTCTAAGCTGTCAACATGCAAACCTCTCCAGGAGAGGCCATGGTGGCCTCATAGTGAATTCCAAGTGAATCCCAAGTAGGATGGAAGCTTCTGATGGATGTGGAGATAAAGAGAGATTAATGAGTTAGAAGGGAGAAAGACCATCATAGAATGAGGGGAGAACTGAAGAATGATGTTGGGGAAGGAGTGAAATTGAATATACTAACTTTGTGAATGTTTCAGAAGAGAAAACCAGTGTCTCCTAAGGTAGCCAAACAGGCTTAAAGTCTTGATGCGAAGAAAACCAATAAATGAAACCTGGCACTGAAAAAATGACAAGAAAGAAGAACATTAAGTTAATTGTAGTTGACTCTGGGTTATGGGAATATGGATATATGTACATGTATATACATATATATGTGTGTGTGTGTGTACACACATTACTACAATATAGTACAGTAATATGTACATAAAGAAAGAGATGCGTTCCCTGGCATCCAGGAGCTGCCCTGGTACCATCAGCTAGGTCTTGGTGTTGGTGGTAGCTGTCCTTGCACTTACAGCTGGACCATGGTGATCTCCTATTGAGCATGAACAATCTCACAGAACGGCAACATCAGACAAGGCCACTCTGTGACAACGATCAACGAAGGCAAAAACCAGACCACACCATAATTATGTCTTAACAAAGACTAAACATGAACATTGCCCAAGCCACATAAAGAATCAAATGTCCCCCTCTCCTGGCTAATAAGAGTGATTGCTGCTTCTTCGTTGCTTCTTTGCCAATTGCAGCTTTAGCCTCACTAGCTTGCCCTCTCTCTGGATACTCTCTAAATAAGAATACCTAGTCACAGAATTGGCCCCGCTTCCTGATAGCATCCAATCTAGAGCCAACACCAGCTTCCTTAAATCCTCCAAAAATCACAGGACACAAGCCCAAGTCCTATAAGTGCTTTCTAACACTCTCTTCTTGAGATGGCCATGGTTTCCCATAGTGTGTATTATTCCTTGCTGCTGGAGAGTATGGAGTATGTGTGCTTGATAGACAGATAGATAGATTAGATAGATAGAGAGATAGATAGATAGGTGAATAGATAGATGTATTTCACACATGCATATTTTTTTTTCTACATGATTTGGTCTCAGCTTTAAACTCTTCATTTGGCATGAAAATGGAGCCTTGGTTTGACTTCTGAAAAACAGAATGAAGTCATTAGCAAAGACAAGGGATCAACCCAGGTTCCCACCAATGGTGGATTGGATAAAGAAAATGTGGTACATGTACACTATGGAATACTGTGCGGCCATAAAAATAATGAAATCCTGTCCTTTGCAGCAACATGGATGGAGCTGAAGACCGTTATCCTAAGCAAACCAACACAGAAATAGAAAACCAAATACCACATATTCTCACTTACAAGTGGGAGCTAAGCATTGGGTACACATGGATATAAAGATGGGAACAACGGACACTGGGGAATAAAAGGAGCGGGGAAGGGAGGTGGGTAAGGGTTGAAAAACTACATATTGGGTACTATGCTCACTATCTGGGTGGCAGGTTCAATTGTACTCCAAACCTCAGCATCTTACAATATACCTTTGTAACAAACCTGCGCATGTACCCCTTGAATCTAAAATAAAAGTTGAAAAAAAAAAAACAGAGTGAAGTCTCATTAATTGAAAGAGCCGTAACTCACAATACTTGATGAGTACTATAACAGGCAGCTGAGGTTTACCTTTGCCCCAACTATAAAAAATGAACAGCAAGCTATGAAAATTAATCATCTGAATAAAAGTGACTGTGAGACAGTTCAGCTAGTTTAAAAGTAGAATCAATTTGCATGCTAATTATGTGCTAATTACGTTATTCATTAACAAAGGTCAAGGGAACCTCTACTTAGTTACATCCTGTTAGGTGTTAGTTGAGGTTACTGTTTTACTTGAAAACAAAAAGTCTATAAATCAGACTTCTTATTAAATCAGACCCCTTATTTCAGGGGGCCTTTATCTACTAAATTATTTTGAAACAGCAAGGCCAGCTACCCATCACATACCATCAGGGGTCCCCGGTTGATTCATGGAGCAAAGTCACATTGAGTGAATACAGTTATTCCGGCCATTTCAGCAAAGTAATTTGCCATCTTGTCTCAGTCTATTTGTGCTGCTATAACAAAATACTTGAGACCTGGTAATTTATAAAGAACAGAAATGTATTTTCTCACAGTTCTGGAGGCTGGTAAGTCCAAGATCATGACACCAGCGTGGTGTCTGGTAAGGGCATCTTCCCATGGTGTCCTCACAATGTGGAAAAGGCAAACGCCGTGTCCTCACATGGCAGAAGGGTAAAAGGGGCAAAAGGCAGCTAGGGCTCTCCCTTAAAGCTTTCTTTTTTTATTTTTAAAGATGGGGTCTCACCTTATCACCCAGGCTGGAGTGTGGCGTGATCATAGCTCACTGCATCCTGGGCTCAAGCAATCCTCATAACTCAGCCCTCCCAAGTAGCTGGAACTATAGGCATGAGACACCATGTACGGCTAATTTGTTTTATTTTATTTTTTGTAGAAATGGTGTCTCACTATGTTGCCCAGGCTGGTCTTGAATTTCTGGCCTCAAGTGATCCTCCTGCCTCATACTCCCAAAGCACTAGAATTAGAGGTGTGAGCCACCACACCCACCTAGACCCTTCAACATCTTTTATAACGTCCCTAATCCCATTCACCTCCCAAAGACCCCACCTCATAATATTATCACATTGGGGATTAAGTTTCAATGCATAAATTTTGGGGGACACATTCAGACCATTGCACACATCTCTTCACCATTCAGGGCATTTCGGGGGCGCATTCTTCACTCCTCCCTAGTCCATGGTTTCTCAACTTTGGCATTATTATTTTGGTGCAGATAATTCTTTGTTGTGGAGGATGGCTTTTCTGCCAATTACAGCTTCAGCCTCACTAGCTTGCCCTCTCTCTAGATAAGATTTATTGAAATACCTAGTCATAGAATTGACCCTGCTTCCTGATAGCATCCAATCTACAGCAAAGCCTAGTTTCCCTAAACCCTCCCAAAATCACAGAACACAAGATGTATATTTTACTGTACTATATTATATTCATATATACACACACATTTACATATACGTTTGTATATATATACATCCATATTCCCATAACCCTGAGTCAATTACAGTTAACTTAATGTTCTTCTTTTTTCATCTTTTTTTCAGTGCCGGGTTTTCATTTATCTAAAGGTCTGTCCCCACAACATTAATATTCATTACAGGATACTTAGCAGCATCCCTAGCCCTCTACCCATTAGATACTAGTAGCACAACCCTCTCCTAGTCACAATAATTAAAATAGCCCCCAGATTTTGCCAAATGCCCCTCGGGTGCAAAATAACCCAGTTGAGAATCACTGTTAGAATCCCCCAGTTTTACTGAGTGGCTTGCACTTCTAATCTCTTTTGACCACCCCCCAACCAGCAATCCCCCATATGGTTTGTCTGTATCCCCACCCAAATCTCACCTTGAATCAATTGTAATTATGCTCACATGTCAAGGGCGGGGCCAGGTGGAGATAATTGAATCATGGGAGTGGTTTCCCCCATACTGTTCTCATGGTAGTGAATAAGTCTCACAAGATCTGATGGTTTTATAAATGGGAGTTCCCTTGCACAAGCTCTCTCTTGCCTACCACTATGTAAGACGTGACTTTGCTCATCATTGGCCTTCCAACATTATTGTGAGGCCTCCCCAGCCATGTGGAACTGTGAGTCCATTAAAATCTTTTTCCTTTATAAATTACCCAGTCTCAGGTATGTCTTTATTAGCAGCATGAGAACGGACTAATACAACCCACCCCCCACCCTCACACACACACACACACACACACACACACACACACACTTACTTAAAATAGATAACAGAGAGTCATCTGGAGTCTTGACCCTAGGCTTATTGCTGCCTCCACACAGATGCAAGGGCAGCATACAACCAAGGCACAGTTGGAGAGATGAGGCTTAGATAACCCCCCAGTCAGCCTCCTGGAATAAAGGAGGATTTCCAGGTGTCTGTCTGTCACTGGCCCCTTTGCCTTTGAGGGGACTCCAGTGGTTCCCCTTGTTTAACCACCTTTCCCCTCTACAATTATAGGAGGGACCCCTTGCCTCCCAACTGTTTAAGTGCTCAGTGCTAGAAACCTACTCTGTGTTGGCCCTGGGTTAAAAAGATAGGTAAGGCAAACAAGTGACAGACAATCCCAATACAGTTTGGCCAGGGATCTGAGAGAGAGAAAAGCCCCAGGAGACTGTGGGATCCCCAAGAAGGGGGCCTGGCCTAGCCTGGAAAGTCAGGGAAGGGGACCTGGAGGAGGTGGCATTTAAGCCAAGTTAGGAAAGAAGAATGAGAATGAGCAAGGCAAAGACTGCACTGGGCTGAGCTGGTCTGGGATAGGGCCAGAGAGGGGTTTAGAACAGATGGATGTGTGTGGAGGGCAGTGGTAACTCCAAGTTGTTGGGTACTGCCCTAGCTTGAACAGGAGCAATGAGAGATGGAGCAGAGTGATAGGCAGGGGCTTGCTCAAAAAAAGCCTTGTATGCCAAGGTCAGAATGACATTCTTTATACTGAAGAGTTGTAGGTCTTGAAGAACTCCTAGAAATGTTACTGGATAAACTCCGCTTGGTCATAGTGCATTATTCTTTTTATAAGTTGCTGAATCCCATCTGATAATATATTGTTGAGGATTTCTGAGTCTATATTCGTTAGAGATATTGGTCTGTAATTTGATTAATTGACTGACTGATGGACTGCTTGATTGATTGGTTTTTGGACTAGCTTTGTCTGTTTTTGGTATTAGGGTGATGCTGGCCTCATAAGGTAAGTTCTATTTTCTGAAATAAATTATGTAGAACTGCTGTTATTTTCTATTTAAATATTTGTTAAAATTTACCAATGAAGCCATCTGGGCCTGGGCTTTTCTTTGTGGAATGTCTTAAATAACTAATCCAATTTCTTTAATAATTATAGAGTTATTCAGGCTATTTAATTCATTTTGGGTAGTTTTAGTAGTTTGTGGTTTTCAAGGAATTGATCCATTCCATTTCATCTTTGTTTTTTTTTTTTATTGTTTGTTTGTTTGTTTGTTTTTTGAGACAGTCTGTCTCTGTTGCCCAGGCTGGAGTGCAGCAGCGCGATCTTGGCTCACTGCAAACTCCACTTCCTGGGTTCAACCAATCCTCGTGCCTCAGCCTCTTGAGTAGCTGGGATTGCAGACATGCACCACCACACCCGGCTAGTTTTTGTATTTTTTGTAGAGACAGGGTTTCACCATGTTGGCCAAGCTGGTCTCGAACTCCTGGCCTCAAGTGATCTACCTGCCTCAGCCTCCCAAAGTGTTGGGATTACAGGCGAGAGCCACCACGCCAGGCCCCATTTTGTCTTAATTGTCAAATTTATGTGTACAGTTGTTGGAAGTACTTCCTTATTATTCCTCTAAGGTCTTCAGTGCCTGTGTTGGCATCCCCTGTTTCATTCCTGGTACTGATCATTTGTGTCTTTCTTTTTTTCTTTGTCAGTGTTGCTAGAGATTTGTTATTTTCATTGATCTTTTCAAAGAATCTGTTTTTGGTTTCATTGTTTTTTCTGTTGTTTTTCTATTTTCAATTTCATTGATGTCTGCTCCTTATTATTTCCTTCTTTTGGTTTGCTTTGGGTTTATTTTACTCTGTAGGTTTTTCAGGTAGAAGCTTAGATTATTGATTTGAGATCTTTCTTCTTATATAAGCCTTTAATGCCATTGTAGGGGCAGAAAGGGGGTGATTCCTTTTCTCCCCATTTATAAAAGGTCATAGCCAACACCCCATAACAAAAAACAAGTTAACAAGAGAAAAACATAACAAATTTATTATGTGCACATGTGTGCATGGAAGTCATACAAAACATGAACTCAAAGAGGGACCAGATGGTTGAGGCTTAAATGCTCTCTTCATAGGGGAATGGGAAATGGATGAACAAATAGGCCCAATGCTCAGACAATGGTTTGTAAATGATTCTCCTTGGAAAGATGAGAGGCAGAACTGCACAGGAACCAAAGTTGTCTTATTATGCAAATAAAGTCTCTCAGATAATCTCTGGGAGCCGTTCTTAGAATCCATGAAGGTTTGTCTGGGCATGGTGATGACTCCCAGTCTCTTCTCTTCTCCAGTGGTTGATCTTTCCTGGTTATTTCATGAGATCCCTAGGGTGGAGGTCTTAAGACAATTGCATTTCTTTTGGAAAAAAATCTTTCTTAGGCAGATAAGGAAATTCCAGAGAGAGAGAGAGAGAGAGTCCTTCCCTGTGCTTGGGGGAAAAGGATCAGAAAAACAAGGAAGTGGGGGATGGCGAGCGGGGGTTGTTCAGAGAGAGACCTTGGCTATGAGGCTTATTTCTGAGGCCTTTCAATTTTCAAAGCAGTCAGCATGCCAAAGAGCTATGTTTTGGGGGATTTTTTTCTGCACCCCAACACTACAAATTTCCATCTCAGCTTTGCATTAACCACAACCCACAAAATTGATATGTTGTATTTTCATCTTCATTCAAAATATCTTCTAATTTTCCTTGAATCTTTCTCTTTGACCCATGGGTTACTTAGAATTATGTGGTTTACTTTCCAAGTATTTGGAGATTTTCTTTTTATCTCTCTGTTATTGATTTCTAGCTTGATTCCATTGCAGTCAAAGAACATATTCTGTAATTTCAATTCTTTTTAAAAAATTTATTTAAATTTTTTTATTTTTTATTTTATTTTTATGTTGTTGTTGTTGTTGTTGAAATGGAGTCTTGCTCTGTTGCCCAGGCTGGAGTGCATTGGCGCAATCTCGGCTCACTGCAACCTCTGCCTCCTGGGTTCAAGTGATTCTCCTGCCTCAGCCTCCCAAGTAGCTGGGATTACAGGCATGTGCCACCATGCCCAGCTAATTTTTGTATTTTTGGTAGAGAAGGAATTTCACCATGTTGGCCAGGCTGGTCTCGAACTCCGGACCTCAGGTGATCTGCCCGCCTTGGCCTCCCAAAGTGCTGGGATTACAGGTGTGAGCCACTGCGCCCGGCCTAAAAAATTTTTTAAAGATGGGATTTCGCTATGTTGCCCAGGGTGGACTCGAATTCCTGGGCTCAAGCGATCCTCCTGCCTCAGCCTCCCAAGTAGCTGGGACAAGTAGCTGGGACTATAGGCATGTGTCATCACACCTGGTTCTTAACTCTTACATTTGCTGAGACTTATTTTATCACTGCTATGGTTTGGATGTTTGTCCCTTCCAAAATTCATGTTGAAATTTAATTGCCATTGTAACAATATTAAAAGGTAAAACTTTTAAGAGGTAATGAGATCCCAAGGCCTCTCCCCTCATGATGGAATTAATGCCCTTATGAAAGGGCAGGTTTGGCCTCCTCTTGCCTCCTTCCTCTTTGTTCTTCTGCTATGTAAGTAATAGCATTCCTCCCCTCCAGAGGATGCAGCATTCAAGGCACCATTGCGGGATCAGGTCCTTGCCAGACACCAAACCTGCCAGTGCCTTGATCTTGGACTTCCTAGTATCCAGAACTCTGAGAAATAAACTTCTGTTTATTACCCAGTCTCAGATATTCTGTTATAACAGCACAGAACAGCCTACAACGATGACTCAGGCTATGACTTATCTTGGTGAATGTCCCATGTGCACTTGAAAAGAATGTATATTTTGCTGTAGTGAGTAGAGTGTCGTTTCAATGTCAATTAGATCTTACTTGGTTGATGATGTTGAGTTCATCTATAACACTTGCTGACTTTGTCTTAGTCATGTACATTTTTACCAGATTTAGGGAAATAAAGTGCAGCCCTCACTTGATACCCGCTGCTCTGGGGATTGAATGGGGGATGGTGAAATCTGATTTAAGGGGTGCCAGTACAAAAGGTCTCCCTGACTTCAAGTTTCTCTTACACACAGGTGCAAAATTTGATGATGTTCACCAACCTAAAGCTTCTTCTCCAGCAGGAGGCCCCTGAGATTAGATACATTTCTCTGATTAAGTCTTTTCCATCCACACAGCAGGATATTTAGATAGGTTGGCCTGCAAGAGAGTTTTGTTGTTGTTGTTGTTGTTGTTTGTTTTTGAGACAATGTCTCGCTCTGTCGCCCAGGCTGGAACACAGTGGCGCAATCTCGGATCCCTGCAACCTCCGCCTCCCAGGTTCAAGCGATTCTCCTGCCTCAGTCTCCCGAGTAGCTGGGATTACAGGTGCACGCCATCATGCCCGGCTAATTTTTGTATTTTTGTAGAGACGGGGTTTCACCATGTTGGCCAGGCTGGCCTTGAACTCCTGACCTCAGGTGATCCACCCTCCTCGGCCTCCCAAAGTGCTGGGATTACAGGCGTGAGCCACCACACCCAGCCTGCAAGAGAGTTTTGATGGGAGGTGGGGCACAAGCAGGGGAAGCACTACATTGGAGTTTCTATTACATTTGTCTCTATCACAGCTTTGCCTTGAGCCAGTCCCTGGCTCTGTGAGCCTGTAGGAGCCTGGCATGAAGGACCTCAGAATGCTGGCAGCTCCCATAGCACACATGAAAGTAAAGGAAACCTTGATGTTCCTTGACTGATGTGGTCCAGGGGCTTTCCCAGGGTTGGTCCTGCCCAGCCCCATGCCCATGCTCATATGAGCACAGTTCCTGTGGGTTGGGCAGACCAGAAGATAATCCATCTGAAAGATGGCATCTTCCTTTCTTTCTTCTCTGGGGCAGTGCCAGTAAGAGCCACCATTCCCTACTCACATGTATTTGCTCCAGCACCAAGGAGCACACTGCCCTCTCCTCCCACCAGCGCCTACACATGGGCCTTGTACACCCCCAAACATGCACCTCCAGTCACAGTTTTCCCTCTGAGCAGTGGGGTGGGAGTGAAGGCATAAGAAATTGGGTAGGGGGTTGTGTGGAGAACCCCATATTCTCTTAGCTATATTTTCCCACTCTTCCTCTCTCTTCCTTCCTCCCAAATTATGGCTGGAACACAGGTAGGGACTTCCAAGGGGGCTGTGTGGGTGGGGTTAGGTGCAGAAGAAAAAGTAGTCAAAGAGAGTAGTTCTTAATGATCAATGGATCCCAGAGCCTTTGGGAAATTTGATAAAATAGTTTTGGGCTTTCTTCCTAGAAAAACAATGCCCTTGGGATGGACCCACAGTTATTCCTGCAGTTTTAGGAGTGTTTGTAACCTCCTGAGGAGCAGTCCTTGGGGCCCACTTTAAGAAACTCTGGATTACAGGAAGTGGCAACCTATCTGTCCCTCTTCCCCTTCAGATGGGAGAAAGCCTCCTTTCTCTCTAACTCACAAAGCATCCCCTCTATCCTCTTGAATGACCAAGATTACTTCTTATTTTTATATTCAAAGACAATAGCCAGATAGTAAAGCTGTAGCACTAGCTATTAACCTAGAACTTAATCACCAAAGAATGATTCTCTTAGTTTCACATTTGATCTCATTGATTTGTGCTTCCAGTCCCTAGCCATTTGGGCTGTTTGTGGGGGTTGATTTTTCTGGATATCATTATGTCTACAGAGAGAGTGTGATACTAGGGTATCTTGGGTGACTGCAGATTTATGCAAAGTGAGATATAGGGAGTAAAGGGTGAAAAGGGTGCCACACGCTTGAACTTGGTTGCAGCACCAAGGGAACTTTAAAAACTTACATGAATATTGGGCTTGGAAGGTTTGGTGGGGTGTCTGAATCCCTGTTAATTTTTATTTACCCCAAAAAGTAAATAAAAATTATTTATATAGTACAGCCCAAGATCAAAACGCATCTTGCATCATTTTATGATGTTACTTACTTTGTACTTTTAAACTGCTCAATCTCAGACTCTCTCAACCAACAAAATTATTTTGATTATTTTATTAGGCAAAAAAAAATTGACTTGGCCATCCTCCTCTATCTCATCTGTCAGTCTGGTAAGCGTTTTTTCTGGGAGATCCCAAGGACTGTGGCTAAGTCAACTTGATTTGCACTTATTTTTTCCCACTGCCATGTCCAAATCATTCAGCACTGTCGTCCTAGACATGAGGCTGCCGCTCAGGCCCAGACTCCCAAATAGTTGTATGCAAGTAACCCCAGCTGCTGAGGCTGGGAGGTACTTCTGAAGGTAACAGAAGAATCCATCTTCCTGCAGATTTATTGAATACGGTGTCAGCTTCCTTCCCATCTATTTCCAACATATGCAGACTTCTGTGCTCTGGTGACTCTAAAGGATAAACAAAGACTGTGGTCAAGTTGAGGGGAGCAGTTAAATATTGTGATGCCCTGAAATGCTTGAAACATATTTCCTGCATCTTAGGGTACTGACCTCAGATCCTAGAGCTAGATAAAATGCAATGGGATCTGTTTTATAGAGTGGTACAGTAAATAAAACCATTTCAGGACAAAAGTGAAAACCATACCATCCTATATCTCATTCAGCTATGCAATTTTCCTTTTAAAATTTTTTATTTTTATTTTTTACTTTTTAAATTATTAGGGTATTTCTACATTTCAAAACTCAAAAAGTACAAAAGACATTCAGGGAAAAACCTCCTTCCTATGTCTGTTCCCACCCAAGTTCCCTTACCAGAGGCAAGCACTATTATTAGTTCCTTCTATATCCTTCCATTGATAGTCTATGTATTTTTCTGTTTTATTACCTCCTCTCAAAGTTTGGATTGGGATTTTTGGGCAGCATTTCTAGTTTGTTTCTGCTAGAAGTGTTTGTGCTTCACTTGTAATAATAGGTCACAGGACAGGTCACAGCCTGCTCTGCAAGACTTAGCATCTCATGTACTGCATTTTAAGCATTTTTATTCCATCCCACAAGAACTAATGCTTTGCATCCTTCTCTAATCTCTGTGAGGGACCCCAAGACGAGTAAAGCCTTTATCACTGCCCTAAGGATCTTCTTTGTTAGTTGGGGAGACAAGACTACCCATCTGAAACAAATGACAGGAGCAGATGGAGTGCATTGCTGATTCATGGGACTGGTTTTTTGAAAACTTTAAATGCCAGGAGGAAGTTTGGCTTTGATACTGTTGGTCTTTTAACCTGGTGGTTAAATGTTTTTGGAGTCAGAGTAAATCTTGGCTCCAATGCCAGCTCTGGTGCTTAATCAATTCTCTTAAGCTCTCTGAGCCCCAGTTTCTTCCTCTGTGATATATAAGAGTATCATTTACTACCATGGATTGGAGGAGATGATGAAGATGCAGCACCTGGCATGAAATGGGTGCTCAATAAGTGGGTTGATTGTGCTTTTTGCCGGAGAAACTACATGAAATTTGGGGCCATTAGGACACCATGCATGCATGTGCATTTGTGTCCATTTGTGTGTGGGTGAGGGGAGGAGGGGTATTGACAATTAAGTCTATGAGCTCTAAGGCACATGAGCAAGACAGAGGCAGGGAGAAGGAACAGATGGAAACTCTGCTGATGCATGGTAGCTGATGCTGAATCCATGGGGCTGAGCTTCCCAGTTGATTGCTAAGGCAGGAATGGGATGGGGTATCTTTAACAGCTTCTGAGCATGATCATGACATGCCAAAAGTAATGTCTGAAAGGATTCATCTGGGAGTGGTGTGGAGGCTGATATGCTAAGAAGCAGAAATAGAGGCAGGGAGTCCAGTAAGGACTGTCATCAAGGTGATAGATTCTCAAAACTGATGCTTTGTTGGGTATGAAGGAAATGGATGAGTTAAAGGTGACCATAGAGTTTCCAGCCAGAGGAAATGGATCTATGACACTGCCTTTAAGAGAAAGAACAAGAGAGGGGAGCTCAGTTTGGAGGGGAAAGAAAGGGCAGTATGTGTCCTGGGGACAGCAAGGCAACTAAATGAAACACAACACTCCACTGGAGCAGGTAGCTTGAGACTGATCCCTGCAAATAGAAGGAATGCAACTGGAAAGGTTTCATATCTTAGGGGGATCCTAAGATTGGCCAGCTCCCCAATTTCCTTATCCCTCTAGCATTCTCAACAGAAGAAATCTGCCTTAAAGGAGAGAGGGAGAAGCAGAATGTGACTATGTTGACTTGAGATTAGGGACTGTCTAGATTGCCATGGTGACCAGGACAAGAAACGTGATGCTTTTACCATCAAGCATATCTTCCAGCTGTATTCCGTTATACTTCCTGCTAACGAAGGTTCTGAGCAGCTCTGTTTGCCCCGTAGTCTGAATTGAGCAAGGAATAGACCTGGGGCTGCACCCTGACAGGCTGTGGAGATAGATTCGAAGGCCTCAGCTACTCCGCACTGCACTAACCCTGAGGTCTGTCCCATGATTGCATCATCTCAGATCTGCCTGGTCACTGAAGCCTAGACTGGGTGACAAAGTGATAACCTTTGTGATACCAACTTTTCAAGTGCTCATTATTCTGGGTACATTCCTAACTCCCCTGTCCTGGTGGCCTCTTCTCTTGTGCTTGTTGCCTAGAAGATGATGTAGGCAAAACTGCTCAGAGGACAACATAGAGAGCTCATTACTGGAGCATGACATTCAGATAAAAAAGACTACATATTTTCCAGAATAGGCAAATTCATAGAGATGGAAAGCAGATTAGTGGTTGCCCGGGTCCAGGAGAGGAAGAAATGAAGAGTGACAGCTAATAGGTACAGGCTTTTCTTTTGGGGTGATGAAAACATTCTGAAATTGGATAGTGATGGTGGTGGTTGGCCAACACTGTGAATATACAAAAAATAAATAAATTATGCACTTTAAAGGAGTGAATTTTATATGTGAATTATAGCTCAATAAAGCTGTTATATAAAAAAAAAATCAGGTAGATTTCTGCATCTGTGTCTCATACAAAGCCCTTAAATATGTATACACACTGGAGGTAGCTGCATTTTCACTGTCAAATTGCTCTTAAGAGTTGATATTACTATATTGATATTTAGCAATAGCTTTTAAGTTTTCTAAATCCTCTTTTGCTCAAACTAAGAAAGCCTGAGATGGGGTAAAGGAATGTGGATGGAGGGCTATTTTCTCTAATGAGGAGGCTATAGGGTGAAAAAAAGAAGGTTTCAACCAAATCTACCAAAACAAAACCAAAAGCCCAACAAACTCCATGAAAGTGGTTGGTACACACATTTCAGAGAACCTAGGGTTTTTCGTTGGCCTTGGCAGTAATTCTGAGGAGCATTGACATAAGGACGAACTGTGTTCCCCTTATTTTCCTGAGATTCTAGGCATAAGCATGTCTTTCCTTAACATCTGGCAGACATTTAATTCACCTCCCCATTTTGAATGAGCTATTGTGTCCAGAATTGGTGGGTTCTTGGTCTCACTGACTTCAAGAATGAAGCCGCGGACCCTAGCGGTGAGTGTTACAGCTCTTAAGGTGGTGCGTCTGGAGTCTGTCCCTTCTGATGTTCAGATGTGTTCGGAGTTTCTTCCTATTGGTGGGTTCCTGGTCTCGCTGGCTCAGGAGTGAAGCTGCAGACCTTCGCAGTGAGTGTTACAGCTCTTAAGGTAGCGCGTCTGGAGTTCTTCATTCCTCCTGGTGGGCTCATGGTCTTGCTGGGCTCAGGAGTGAAGCTGCAGATCTTCGCAGCGAGTGTTACAGCTCATAAAAGCAGCATGGACCCAAAGACTGAGCAGTAGCAAGATTTATTGCAAACAGCGAAAGAACAAAGCTTCCACAGTGTGGAAGGGGACTGGAGGGGGTTGCCACTGCTAGCTCAGGCAGCCTGCTTTTATTCTCTTATCTGGCCCCACCCACATCCTGCTGATTGGTAGAGCCGAGTGGCCTGTTTTGTCACGGCGCTGATTGGTGCATTTACAATTCCTGAGCTAGATACAAAGGTTCTCCACATCCCCATCAGATTAGTTAGATACAGAGTTTCCACACACAGGTTCTCCACGGACCCACCAGAGCAGCTAGATACAGAGTGTCAATTGGTGCATTCACAAACCTTGAGCTAAACACAGGGTGCTGATTGGTGTGTTTACAAACCTTGAGCTAGATACAGAGTGCCGACTGGTGTATTTACAATCCCTGAGCTAGACATAAAGGTTCTCCACGTCCCCAACAGAGCAGCTAGCTACAGAGTGTCGATTGGTGCACTCACAAACCTTGAGCTAAACACAGGGTGCTGATTGGTGTATTTACAATCCCTGAGCTAGACATAAAGGTTCTCCAAGGCCCCACCAGAGCAGCTAGATACAGAGTGTCCATTGGTGCACTCACAAACCTTGAGCTAGGCACAGGGTGCTGATTGGTGTGTTTACAATCCCTGAGCTAGATATACTCTCCACATCCCCACCAGACTCAGGAGCCCAGCTGGCTTCACCTAGTGGATCCCGCACCAGGGCTGCAAGTGGAGCTGCCTGCCAGTCCTGCGCGGTGCGCTCGCATTCCTCAGCCCTTGGGTGGTCGATGGGACTGGGCGCTGCGGAGCAGGGGGTGGTGCTCATTGGGGAGGATCGGGCGGCACAGGAACTCAAGGAGTGGGTGGGAGGCTCAGGCATGGCGGGCTGCAGGTCCCGAGCCCTGCCTCGCGGGAAGGCAGCTAAGGCTCAGTGAGAAATCGAGGGCAGCGCCAGTGGGCTGGCACTGCTGGGGGACCCAGTACACCCTCCACAGCCACTGGCCCGGGTCCTAAGTCCCTCATTGCCCGGGGCCGGCAGGGCCGGCCAGCTGCTCCGAGCGCGGGGCCTGCCCAGCCCACGCCCACGGGGAACTCCAGCTGGCCCGCAAGTGCTGCGTGCAGCCCCACGTCCTGCTGGCACCTCTCCCTCCACACCTCCTTGCAAGCTGAGGGAGCCGGCTCCAGCCTTGGCCAGCCCAGAAACGGAATCCCACAGTGCAGTGGCGGGTTAAGGGATCCTCAAGTGCCGCCAAAGTGGGATCCCAGGCAGAGGAGGCGCGGAGAGTGAACGAAGGCTGTGAGGACTGCCAGCACGCTGTCACCTCAGTGGCGCACACCTGTGGTCACAGCTACTTGGGAGGTTGAGGTGGGAAGATCATTTTGTGACCAGAATTGGTGGGTTTTTGGTCTCACTGACTTCAAGAATGAAGCTACGGACCCTCGCGGGGAGTGTTACACCTCTTAAGGTGGCACATCTGGAGTCTGTCCCTTCTGATGTTCAGATGTGTTCAGAGTTTCTTCCTTCTGGTGGGTTCGCGGTCTCGCTGGCTCAGGAGGGAAGCTGCAGACCTTCACCGTGAGTGTTACAGCTCTTAAGGTGGCGCGTCTGGAGTCTGTCCCTTCTGATGTTCACATGTGTTCGGAGTTTCTTCCTTCTGGTGGGTTCTTGGTCTCACTGGCTCAGCAGTGAAGCTGCAGACCTTCATGGTGAGTGTTACAGCTCTTAAGGTAGTACGTCTGGAGTTGTTCATTCCTCCTGGTGGGCTCGGGGTCTTGCTGGACTCAGGAGTGAAGCCGCAGATCTTCACGGTGAGTGTTACAGCTCATAAAAGCAGCATGGATACAAAGAGTGAGGAGTAGCAAGATTTATTGCAAAGAGCAAAAAAACAAAGCTTCCACAGTGTTGAAGGGGATCGGAGCAGGTTGCCACTGCTGGCTCGGGCAGCCTGCTTTTATTCTCTTATCTGGCCCCACCCACATCCTGCTGATTGGTAGAGCCGAGTGGCCTGTTTTGTCAGGGTGCTGATTGGTGCGTTTACAATCCCTGAGCTAGATACAAAGGTTCTCCACGTCCCCATCAGATTAGTTAGATACAGAGTTTCCACACACAGGTTCTCCACAGCCCCACCAGAGCAGCTAGATACAGAGTGTCAATTGGTGCATTCACAAACCTTGAGCTAAACACAGGGTGCTGATTGGTGTGTTTACAAACCTTGAGCTAGATACAGAGTGCCCATTGGTGTATTTACAATCCCTGAGCTAGACATAAAGGTTCTCCACATCCCCACCAGAGCAGCTAGCTACAGAGTGTCGATTGGTGCACTCACAAACCTTGAGCTAAACACAGGGTGCTGATTGGTGTGTTTACAAACCTTGAGCTAGATACAGAGTGCCGATTGGTGTATTTACAATCCCTGAGTTAGACATAAAGGTTCTCCACGTCCCCACCAGAGCAGCTAGCTACAGAGTGTCGATTGGTGCACTCACAAACCTTGAGCTAAACACAGGGTGCTGATTGGTGTATTTACAATCCCTGAGCTAGACATAAAGGTTCTCCAAGGCCCCACCAGAGCAGCTAGATAGAGTGTCGATTGGTGCATTCACAAACTTTGAGCTAGGCACAGGGTGCTGATTGGTGTGTTTACAAACCTTGAGCTAGATACAGAGTGCCGATTGGTGTATTTACAATCCCTGAGCTAGACATAAAGGTTCTCCACGTCCCCACCAGAGCAGCTAGCTACAGAGTGTCGATTGGTGCACTCACAAACCTTGAGCTAGGCACAGGGTGCTGATTGGTGTGTTTACAATCCCTGAGCTAGACATAAAGGTTCTCCAAGGCCCCACCAGAGCAGCTAGATACAGAGTGTCCATTGGTGCACTCACAAACCTTGAGCTAGGCACAGGGTGCTGATTGGTGTGTTTACAATCCCTGAGCTAGACATAAAGGTTCTCCAAGGCCCCACCAGAGCAGCTAGATACAGAGTGTCCATTGGTGCACTCACAAACCTTGACCTAGACACAGGGTGCTGATTGGTGTGTTTACAATCTCTGAGCTAGATATAAAGACTCTCCACGTCCCCACCAGACTCAGGAGCCCAGCTGGCTTCACCTAGTGGAACCCGCACCAGGGCTGCAGGTGGAGCTGCCTGCCAGTCCCACGCCATGCGCTTG
The DNA here is from genome assembly GCF_000001405.40 of Homo sapiens. Taxonomy (NCBI): domain Eukaryota; kingdom Metazoa; phylum Chordata; class Mammalia; order Primates; family Hominidae; genus Homo; species Homo sapiens. Next base: position 119,210,880 of record NC_000023.11, read on the forward strand.
CATTCCTCAGCCCTTGGGTGATCGATGGGACTGGGCGCCATGGAGCAGGGGGTGGTGCTCTTTGGGGAGGCTCGGGCCGCACAGGAGCCCATGGAGTGGGTGGGAGGCTGAGGCATGGCGGGCTGCAGGTCCAGAGCCCTGCCCCACGGGAAGGCAGCTAAGGCTCGGTGAGAAATCGAGCGCAGCGCCAGTGGGCTGGCACTGCTGGGGGACCCAGTACACCCTCCGCAGCCACTGGCCCGGGTGCTAAGTCTCTCATTGCCCGCGGCCAGCAGGGCTGGCCGGCTGCTCCGAGTGCAGGGCCCGCCAAACCCACGCCCACGGGGAACTCCAGCTGGCCCGCAAGCGCCGCAGGCAGCTCCGGTTCCTGCTCGCGCCTCTCCCTCCACACCTTCCTGCAAGCTGAGGGAGTGGGCTCCAGCCTTGGCCAGCCCAGAAAGGGGCTCCCACAGTGCAGCAGCAGGCCGAAGGGCTCCTCAAGTGCCGCCAAAGTGGGAGCCCAGGCAGAGGAGGTGCCGAGAGCGAGCGAGGGCTGTGAGGACTGCCAGCACGCTGTCACTTCTCACTATCAAGGGTGTTCTCAATATGCAATCCAGCACACATCTTCATGTACACTGTGGTGAATACGTCCCCTCAGAGCTAAATGAAATTCAGTTCAACAATTGTTTATCTAGTGCCTACCATGCACAAGGCACCATAGAAGAACAAAACAGCTCTTCAGGCTCTCTTCTCCTCCTGGCTGTGTAATTGCTCTCCAGAGTGGGTGCCAAATTACTCCAGGGAAAGAGAAAGGTGTGATGAGCACACACCAAAATCAGGCTTCACTCCTGTCCAAGGTTAGCTCTGCTTCTGGGTCAGGCTGGGAGTCCTGAAACACTTCTGTGGGATAGTCATAGTGGGATAATAGTTCATAGCTGTGCTTGGACACTCTCATGAATTGATATTAATTTATACCCATGAGATGTGTCTGGCAAATCATTTTGACACTGCTGTCAACACTGAGGGCTGTCTGCCTCATGAACCTAGAGAACTAATGCAGTGCTGTATTTGCAAAGCCGCCAGGCCCTAAACAGGGCTCTGCCACAAACTCAATGTGTGACCTTGGCTAAATCAGCCATCCCCCATTTCTAGTACATTCTCCTTTCTAAAATGAGGGAAAGGAGTGTGACTAATTTTTATCAAAGGCTCTTTCCAGTTTGGCCATCTTATAGTTTATGTAACCATAGGTAAAGAAGTGTATCAACTTAAAAGAGCAGAGATAGGAGGAGGTTAATGCTGAGACCAGGATTGAGAATCAGTGGGATACTTCCCGAGGCCAAGAAAAAAGAGGTAGGAAGCAAGAAGGTATGGCCTGTTCAGTTTGAAGTTTATATGGGCTGATTTCCATGGAGAAACAGGCGGGTGATCTCTTGGGTTTTGTGCTAGCCCTTGATAAAGAAGAAAGCCAGTGGAGATGGGAATTGTTTTAGTGACTGGTTAAGAACCTTTCTTAAGTTCATAATGATTACAATAACCCCAATGAGGCTGACCTTAGAAGTTGTCTGCGTTTAGGACGAAATGATTCCTTTGTCCCTCATCAAATGCCTCTTTTCCCAGCTTACTATTTACAAACCAAACCAAAAAAAAAAAAAAACAACCCACACTCAACCAACAAATCTCAGTAATTATATTAACATTGATAGGGTATGCTTACTATGGGCCAGGCTCTGTGCTAAGAACTTTATTTCCTTCCAATATCTCATTTAATCCTCCCAACAACTCTGAGATAGGGACTATTACTGCCCTTTTTCTGCAGTTGAGGAAATTGAGGCACCAGTCTGTGCTCAGAGCGTTTGTGGAAACTAAGGGGGATACCAGAAAGTAGAGGCATGGGACAGTACATTCCCTAAATCTGGAATAGTTCTATTAACAAAAATCATGTCAGTTACCCAGGATAAAGTCATTGAAAGGATTTGCAGGAGCCAAGGGAGAGCACAGATTGCTTGCTAGTGGAAACTTTTAATTTTCTAGCTTAAGGACAAATTTTCAGTTTTTAGACTGTCCCCTAAAAAACACAGCCATGACTTATCTCACAATTTATGTAGTGTGCCTTTAACAGTTTTATCGTGTTTCCTACGATTACCATCTTTCACTCTCTGGAAAGCAGAGGGGTGGTATGTGACCTTCTGTCTCCGTACCTTCCTCAAATGCCCGGCTTTGCCTTCAACATGAAAAAAATGGACACCTTCCCTGGGGGAAGAGGACATCTATTTCCAAAAATGGAAGGAAGAATCTAACTCTGCACCCCCCGGCCTCCCGCCTCCACTGCCCTAGCCCTAGCCCCAAGCATGGTCACAGCAGATTGCTCATTCTTCAAACGTATCATGTTCTTTCCATCTCTGTGCCTTTGGACAGGCTGTTCTCAAAGCCTCTCAATCTCTTCCCTTCTCTGTCAAACAAATACGAATTCAGCCAAGATCCATCTTGTGAACCCCACTGCCCACGCACCCCATCCCCCGACTTCCAGAAGAGTGGATTTCTTTGCCTTTCCTCGGGCACCAAGGAGAGCATTCGGGTATGGCATGATACAGTCAGTACATGCAGGGCAAACCAGCAATTAGGCTACTCTCTTCAACTGTGTATCCTCTCCAACACACACATATACCACATGTACACATCTTACAGAGTACAATAGAGTATTGCAGTTAAGTGAGTGAACTCGAGATCCGGACAACCTAGATTTAAGTCCCAGCTTTGTCACTAACTAAATGAATGACCCTTGAGAAAGTGCCTGAACCACTCTGTGACTCAGTCATCTCAACTGTAAAATGGAGATAATAATAAGACTCCTCTCAAAGAGTCATTTTAAGGACTAAATGAGATTAAATATATGAAGTGCACAGCACAGTGTCTGACATATAGCAACTGCTCCATCAGTGGTACCCAGTATTATTATTGCACAGAGCTTGGTGCATAGAGGATGGCAAATACATATTTGAGTGGGTATCTGAACACAGTAAGTCTTTAGGGGATTAACTTAGGGAGAGGTCAGGGACAGTTGGGCTACTCAAGGAAGCTGTTTTCTCCTGACCTCATTACTCTCTCACTGCACCCTGTTTTTTCCTTCACTGCATTTATCACAATGTACAATTATTACATGTGTTTGATTACTTATTTGATGTTGATGTTTCCCAATAAACTAAGTTTCATGACGCCAGAGTCCATGTATGTTTTAACCACCACCATGTCTCCTGTACCTAGAACAGTGCCAGGAAGATGGTAGGTGCTCAATTAAAGAATTAAAAAATAAATGAAACTGAGTTAAAGAATAAATGAAAGAAGAATTCAGGAGTGATGTGGTGGATGTAGGTGTGGTGGATCCTTTTGAAATACCTTGTGTTTTTCAAAATGGCCTGAACTGATGTGATGGATGTAGGTGGGCCTGAAGGATAAGTAAGAGTTGAGTTGGTAGGCAAGAAAGCTTCTAAATGGAAGGGAATCCTGGGAAACTCCAGCACTTGGTGGTGGAAGATGCAGCGAACAGGGTGCAATAAGTAGATCCCTTGGTCTGGAAGAACAAGAGACTGTTTCTGTAGTGTAGTTTACATAGGGGAGTAGTGAGAAGACTGGTAGGGGGTTGTAGTGAATGGCTTTGAATGCCAGGCTATCAGGGATTCATTCTATTAGCTTAGGCTTTGGCCTCTATTAGCATGCAAATATTCCTGGGAAAAAATTATATATTCTCAGCCAAGTATAAGTGTGTATAAATTAGTTTACTTGCTCTTTGCCTTAGAAAAAAATTTGCCAGAGGGGAAAGCGATAGCAGGAGGCCACTGGAAAGAGAAAATAGTGCCCCGAGATAATCAAAAGCATATAAAGGGGAAGGGGAAGACAAACCTTACTTATCTCCAGGGTTGTGATGGTCCAGAACCTGAACCTCAAACTTTCTATAGTTTGTTTCATCACAAAATGACTCTTCTTTATTAAAAGTGCAGGCAAGGAATACGGGTGTTAAGGAGGTTTTTAATCACTGAATAAATCTGTTACCTGTTTATAGGTCTGATGAGTGTTTGAAATTTGTTTATCTTGATTATCTAATTTATTATCTATGGTTTCCTGTGTCATTAAAAAAATCTTTGTAAACATCGTTTCTGATGGCTGCATGACATTCTATCATATGGTTGTCCCATAATGTAACTATTCTCTTAATGGTTCTCCTCTAGTTATTCACAAGGCTGACATGAATAATATCTTTGTACCACAATCTTTATCTGTACTACCACTATTTCCTTAAGAAAAATTGCTAGACATGACATTTTTAGTACAAAAGACCCAAAATTTCTTAAGGTTCTTTCATCTTGCCAAACTGCCACCCAGAAAGGCCAGAGCAATTTTTCCTCCTCACCAGTACATGAAAGAGCTTTATAATGTTGAGGGTCATGATTTTTAAAACATCTTTGCTGCCAGGCACAGAAAGACAAATACCACATGTTCTGACTTATGTGTGGAATCTAAAACAATCTAACTCATAAGAGGCAAGAATAGAATGGTGGTTACCAGAGGCTGGGGGTGGCGGTGGGGGTTGAGAATGGGGAGATGTTTGTCAAAAGATACAAAGTTGCAGTTATGTAACTGACCTAAGGCTTCTTCCTGCCCAGTGCAAAAACAAAATAAATTCAAGACATTACAGTAAAGAAAGAGTTTAATTGACCAGAGGCGGAAGTGTTGGAGGTTAGGGGTTTTTCAAAGATAATTTCGTGGGCAGGGGGCTAGGGATGGGGAGTGCAGTTTAGTTGGATCAGAGATTAAATCATAGGGAGTCGAAGCTGTCTTCTTGCCCTGAGTTGCTTCTGGGTAGGACCACAGGAGTGGTTGACAGGTCCAGGTGGAACTATCGGTGGCAGACATGCAACGAACCTGAAAAAGTATTTCAAAAGGCCAATCTTAAGTTCTGCAATAGGGATGTCATCTGCAGCAGTAATTGGGAAAGTTGCATATCTTGTGACCCCGGGAATAATGGTGGGTAATTGTTTACGTCTGCACCTTAGCAGAATTCAGGCTCCTCTTATCCTCTTAGCCTGGTGGTCTGTCCTTAGCTTTACAAAGGCTATGAGTTATGGTGAAAAACTATTATCATTTAAGCTATAAACTAAATGCCTCCCAAAGTTAGCTTGGCTTAAGCCTGGGATTAATTAAAAGCAGCTTGAAGGCTAAAGGCAAAAGGGAGGTTGGCCAGATCAGATCTCCAGTCCCCCACCACGTTGCCATAATTTTCTCACTGATATATTTTTTGCAAAGGAGGTTTCAGTTGGGAGAAATAAATGGTAACTTATTTCAGTAAATGATGTGATTGTTTTTTCCCAGATTGCAAATCATCCCTGTACCACTTATTGAATAATCCTTCCCTTTCCCATTGAATTGTGATCTTTCCTTTACCTTATAAATTCATATATATGTATGTATACACTTGTACATATACACACATATTTTTGCTTTATTTTGTTTGTAGGCTCTCTATCTGACCCATTGATCTGCCTCTTCTTGCAGCACTATCACTGCTTTAAATGTTGCAGTTTTATAATACATTTTGATAGCATTACTCCTCTGCCTCAAACTTTTCTTAGCTATTTAACTTAGTTCACATTTCCAGACAAATATTACAATCATTTTGTTAGGAGGGCCGGTTCCTGCCCAGAGCCTACCTAAGTTACATGTTTTGGGTGCTGCCTAATTCATCTACTTTGATCATGAGACATACTCATCCTCATAATGAGAAATGCAAAAGCCCAAATAAGCCAGGCTCTAATTCTACCTTTGGCTTTCACACCGTCTTTGGCTCCTAAAGGGAAGTATCAAAAGAGGGAAAATATTTTGTCCACACTGAAGAGCTGAAATGAAAAGGAATCATTTACCATGCCAATCGTATTTTTTTTATTTTATCACAGAACAATTGGAATGTAAATCAATCATTTTCAAAGTATATCTTTCCCTCTGCCTGAAGTGGAATTACTCTCTAAAGTGACAAACATTAGTATCTTATCTATGTATTTATTTTTGTTTCATTACTAACATCATGGAATTACATTTACAAATGCTCTCAGCTTTGTCTCTGTGTCTATGGAAACATGAATTACTTAGCCTTTTGGAGCCTCAGTTCGCTCATATGGAAAATGACAATAATGACTCCATTGTGCAAAATGCCTGGCTCACTGTTGACCATCAGTAAATGTTGGCTATATTATATAATTATGACAGGTAGTAGAGCATTTTGGTTCAGAGTACAGCCTCTGGAGCCAGGCTTCTTTGGTTCAAATCTTATCTTCATCAGTAAATGATTTTCTGATCTTGGATAAGTTAGCTAAACTGAATGTGCCTTGATTTCTTCTTCTGTAAAATGTGTTAATAAAATTACTTGCTTTATTGGTTGTAAGAAATGAGTTCACTCTGTCAATGAAGAGTCAAACTGTAAAATATTTGAAGAGATGTATTCTGAGCCAAATATGAGTGGCCAATGGCCCATGACACAAGCCCCAGGAGATCCTGAGAACATGTGCCCAAGGTGGTTGGGCTACAGCTTGGTTTTATACATTTTAAGGAGACATATCAATTAATACAGGTAAGATGTACATTGGTTCTATCTGGAAAAGTGGAGACATCTGGAAGCAGGGGCAGAGGTGAGGGGGTTGCTTCTAAGTCATAGACGGATTCAAAGATTTTCTGATTGCCAATTGGTTGAAAGAGTTATTATCTAAAGACTTGAACTCAATGGAAAGGAATGTCTAGGTTACTATAAGGGATTGTGGAGACCAAGGTTTTGTCATGTAGATGGAGCCTCCAGGTAGCAGGCTTCAGAGAGAATAGATTGTAAATGTTTCTTATCAAACTTAAAGAGTCTGTTCTATCAGTCTTCTTTTTTTTTTTTTTTTTTTGACAGAGTTTCGCTCTTGTCTCCCAGGCTGGAGTGCAGTGGCACAATCTTTTGGCTCACTGAAACCTCCGCCTCCCGGGTTCAAGTGATTCTCCTGCCTCAGCCTCCCAAGTAGCTGGGATTACAGGCATGCTCCACCATACCCAGCTAATTTTTTGTATTTAGTAGAGATGAGATTTCACCATGTTGGTCAGGCTGGTCTCGAACTCCTGACCTCAGGTGATCCACCTGCCTTGGCCTCCCAAAGTGCTGGGATTACAGGCGTGAGCCACTGCGCCTGGCCTCTAACAGTCTTAATGTCTCTGTATTGATATTAATGCTGGTCAGCTGTGCCTGAATTCCAAAATGGAGAAGGTTATAATGAAGCATGTCTGACATCCACTTCCCATCATGGCCTGAACTAGTTTTTCAAGTTGGCTTTGGAATTCACTTAGCCGAGGGGAGAGTCCATCAGTTCGTTGGGGGGTTAGAATTTTATTTTTGGTTTACAACTCTATCAAACATGTAGAACAGTTTCTGGCATATATGAGGCACTCAATTAATTTTAGCTATTCTTGTTGACAGTATCCTTGGTGATAGTGTTATTGGCGATCTTAATCCTTATTATTTGGGCAACGACACAATCAAGAACATATTACCTCATAGCACCATCTAGTGCTTATTTTGGAAAATGCCAAATCCCTTTCCCTTGAACAACAGTCATTTGGTGAGGAGAATTTTTAAAATTCCAATTTTAGGAATACAAAAGGAGTTTGGAAATATCATGATTTCAAATTTTCTCCAGCCTATCTGGGCTTTTATTTATAAATGTCAGGGATCTTGGTTGCAAAAGACAGAAACTGACTCTGGCTGAATTTAGCAAATTATTGGGCATTTCACAGAATCAACAGAAAGGCAGGTAAACCAGGATAAAGAAATGATCAGGAATCATGGGAGGACCTCAGTCAAGATTTGCCATAGGACCAGCTTGGTTGGTATGTCACTACTGGCAACAACCACCTTCACTGCCTCTACACACCACCACCACAAAACACTGCTACATCTGGACTCTACTGATCTGACATTCTGGTCTGCTAGATGCAGTTTCTATGAATGAATTCAAAATGGCCACTTTTTGTATAAACCTCTCAAGATCCAAAGTCTTCAGTAAGAGCCTGGGTCCCCTATGGACTCCCTGACCACTCAGGGCTTGTGGAGAGGGAATATGTGCTTCCCTTAGTTTCCACAGTAAGAGGCCTCAGCCTTGTTTTCCAGGCTCACAATGGAGGAATACCTCAAAAAAGAAGAGAGTTTGGACATCCACATCAAGTAGGGTTACTGGATAAAATACAGGAGACACAGTTAAGTTGGAATTTCAGAAAAACAATGAACACATTTTTAGTATGAGCATGCCAATATTACATGCAGCATACTTATAGCAAAAACTTGAAAAGATGAAAATGCCCGGTTTAAGTGTGGAGGGTACAGTGAGACGAGTACTCTTGCATATTACTGGTTGGTATGCCCATTAATATACTCAAGTGGATTAAAAATATTCACAACTGCTGACCCTCAAATACTGTTTTTAGGAATCTTCATAGCCTATGACCCAAGAGCTGAATTTTAAGGAGTGTATCCTAAGAAAATGATCAGAAATAGGCAAAATAATTTGTATGCAGAGTGCTCATTGCAGTTACTGTTCATAAAGAAAAATTGGAAATAAATCTAAATATGCAAGATAAGAGAATGGCCAAATAAATTGTGGCAAATACATATGATAGCATCTTATACAGTCATTAAAAATATGTTCATGAAGAATTCTAGATACGTGGAAAACTGACAAAGAAATGTTCAGAGATAAGAGCAGGGCAGATAATAGCATATACAACTCACTAACTGTAATCTTAGGCTACTTAACCTCTCTCTACCTCAGTTTACTCCTCCGTAAAATGGCATAATAATAGTAATAAGAATGGAACTTGGAATAGTGCTTTGCACATACCAAGTGTTATGTGTTGGCTGGAGTGTGTGTGTGTATATGCAAGTTTGAGGAGGGGGCAGAGGAGACAGAGATGGCAGTCAAGGGACTTTTGCAATAATTGCAGCAACCTAAGTCAGTGTTTCCATGTCTCAGTCTCTAGTTTCATGGTTGCTGAGAGTCAGTTTATGGTGGCAGTGGTAGTGGCTCAGCTTCCCTGGGCTGCAGGTATGGTGTTCTATTCTTTTGTTTTGTTTTGTTTTAATTCATCATTGTCTTTATTTTATAGTAGGAAAACTAAGGCATTTCATGAAAAATGAAGTCAATTGTACAATGCATAATACAGTCAAAGATCTTGACACAGAATTGGTGTCTTAACTATCATTTCTCACCTTTAATCAATAAACATTCCTCTTTAAAGACAATGAAAAATTACTTATGTTAAATATAGAAAAAATAAACATCATTAATTAAACACTACATCTGTAACCTCTTTACATTCATTAACACTCAGGAGTAAAAACAATAATGATTTTTGCTATGGCTTCGTGTTTCTTTAAAACATTAACTAAAATAGATTTCTAATTTGGGAAACATAACTAATGCTATTTGGTTTTTAAAAGAATTGTATCTTAATCATCAAGCTAAAGACATAGCAAGAAAACAATGACATGGTCACTTGAAGGGTGTCTCAGTCTAATTTTCACCATCTAATAAGACACCCTTAAAGTAATTCCAACAGAAAGTCTAAGAAATTCATCGATCAACTTCCTAAGCACATCAGGGAAGGTGCTAAAACAGTGGACATCAAGAACAACAGCAGCAGAACATCTTATTTAAACTTTTGAGATAATAAAACAATACAGAAGTGGGAACCCTTGTGAAATTTTTTTTCTTGTTTTGGTTAACAAGATCATTAATACTTTACAAACCTCATACATGTGGCACACTGTAAGGTTTAAAGAATAAAATAAGGGCCTTTCTGCCCATGGACGCCGCCGAAGAAGCATCGTTAAAGTCTCTCTTCTCCCTTCCGTCATGTCTAAGTCAAAGTCTCCTAAAGAGCCTGAACAGCAGAGGAAGCTCTTCATCGGAGGGTTGAGCTTTGAAACAACCGATGAGAGCCTGAGGAGCCATTGTGAGCAATGGGGAATGCTCACGGACTGTGTGGTAATGAGAGATCCAAACTTCAAGCACTCCAGGGGTTGTGGGTTTGTCACATATGCCACTGTGGAGGAGGTGGATGCAGCCATGAATGCAAGGCCACACAAGGTGGATGGAAGAGTTGTGGAACCAAAGAGAGCTGTCTCAAGAGAAGATTCTCAAAGACCAGGTGCCCACTTAACTGTGAAAAAGATATTTGTTGGTGGCATTAAAGAAGATACTGAAGAACATCACTTAAGAGATTATTTTGAACAGTGAAAAATTGAAGTGACTGAAATCATGACTGACCAAGGCAGTGGCAAGAAAAGGGGCTTTGCCTTTGTAACCTTTGACGACCATGACTCTGTGGATAAGCTTGTCATTCAGAAATACCATACTGTGAATGGCCACAACTGTGAGGTTAGGAAAGCCCTGTCAAAGCAAGAGATGGCGACTGGCTTCATCCAGCCAAAGAGGACAAAGTGGTTCTGGAAACTTTGGTGGTGGTCTTGGACGTGGTTTCAGTGGGAATGACAACTTTGGTCATAGAAGAAACTTCAGTGATCGTGGTGGTTTTGGTGGCGGCTGTGGTGGTGGTGGTGGATATGGTGGCGTGGGGATGGCTATAATGGATTTGGTAATGATGGAAGCAATTTTGCAGGTGGTGGAAGCTACAGTGATTTTGGCAATTACAACAATCAGTCTTCAAATTTTGGACCCATGAAGGGAGGAAATTTTGGAGGCAGAAGCTCTGGCCCCTATGATGGTGGAGGCCAATACTTTGCCAAACCATGAAACCAAGGTGGCTATGGCGGTTCCAGTAGCAGCAGTAGCTGTGGCAGTGGCAGAAGATTTAAATTAGGAAACAAAGCTTAGCAGGAGAGGAGAGCCAGAGAAGTGCCAGGGAAGCTACAGGTTACAACAGATTTGTGAACTCAGCCAAGCACAGTGGTGGCAGGGCCTAGCTGCTACAATGAAGACATGTTTTAGACAAATACTCATGTATATGGGCAAAAAACTCGAGAACTGTATTTGCGACTAATTGTATAACAGGTTATTTTAGTTTCTGTTCTGCGGAAAGTATAAAGCATTCTAACAAAGGGTTTTAAATGTAGATTTTTTTTTGCACCCATGCTGTTGATTGCTAAATATAACAGTCTGATCGTGATGCTGAATAAAGGTCTTTTTCTAAAAAAATAAATAAATAAAATAAGCAAGAGAGCTCCCTGAAATTAGAAACACTGCATTATAATAAACCCCCCCCCTTTTTTTTGAGATGGAATCTCCCTCTGTCGCCCAGGCTGGAGTGCAGTGGTGCAATTTCGGCTTATTGCAACCTCCGTCTCGCGGATTCAAGCGATTCTCCCGCCTCAGCCTCCCTAGTAGCTGGGATTACAGGCGTGTGCCATGACGCCCGGCTAATTTCTGTATTTTTAGTAGAGACGGGGTTTCACCATGTTGGCCAGGGTGGTCTCGAACTCTTGATCTCAAGTGATCCACCCGCCTCGGCCTCCCAAAGTACTAGGATTACAGGCGTGAGCCACCGCACCCAGCCGTATAACTTTTATAGGCACACACTTCCTTAAGTTTCAAGCAAGTTGAAATTCAACCCTTATTATTCACAAGGACTTCAAATAGACCAGTTTACAAACAAGCATGAGCACCCTACAAACGGCTCTTACTACGGAGTTCTTAGGATAAACGTGTTTATACTTTGAACAGTCACGTGAGTATCATAAAGATGGCGATTGTATATCACTTTCCAGTGAAATTGCTTGCCTTCCTTTATGATTTCTTCAGTCTTTTTTTCAGCAGACAAAAGATTTTCTAAAAAGTCTGAATATTCTAAGTATAGCTCATCACCTGGTAAAAGCTAGAGCATCCCATCAGCAGTTAACAAGGTGATCGGCAGCCATCTTTCCAGTCCTTCTAATGCACGATCCAAACAAAATTTGTGCAAATCAGAGAGAGGCAAAATTTTCAAGTCTTCTCATTTCGTAGAACTGTGGGGGTGCCAGCCAAATTTCTTTTGATAAGAAACTTTCAGTTGCCTTTGATGGAGATGACCACTGGCAGCCCACCACCTCCGCCAAGTCGGAGTAGACTGGCGGCGGCTCGCGCAGGCAGCATAGGAAGAAGGCCGCGTCCAAGAGGCGAGTTGCGAGGCGCGAGAAAGGGGTGAGCCAGACGCTCCAGTGGTGCAGCGCCCAGATATCGGGCGTGCAGTCGAGGTGCGCGCACAGCCGCAGGAAATGGCGCGGGTCCCGGGCGCAAGCGGGCGCAGCAGGCGGCCAGGCCCGGCTGCGGCTGGAGGGCGAGGCGGGGCTCTGGCGCGGGGCCGGGCGGGGAGGTCCTGGGCGTTGTTCTATTCTTGAAGCCAATCATCCTAGCGGAGGCTTCCTGATGACCCACTTTTCTGTCTGAGGGCAGAGGTCACAGTACCCCTAATGGGCCTATTTAGTGATAGAGTCCTGGTAGTCATTCCTACAGCCCGAGGCTATAGCCTGTTCTTCCAGCCTTTCCACTGATTTTTGTAAGCTCTTAATTCCCTGTGTCCCATCCTTTTCTCCTCTAAATAACTAAGCAGTTTCTGTTTCTCACCACTGAACAGCGACTAATACAAGGATGAAATTAAAAGTTCTGTTTAGGACATGTAAATATTCTGATACCTATTGATGTCAAGTATGCCTAATGTATACAGAATCTGGAGTACAGGGGTAAGACCAGGGTAAAAAGTTTATTTTATGCTTTTTTCTCCTTCCTTTTGTCTTTCATACAAAGTTTAAATATGTGAGTCTTAAGTATATGAAAAACATTAGGACTGAATGAAATCACCTGAGCAGAGAACGAGACCAGATGCTGGCCCAGGACGTATCTGGGGCACACTCCAACATTTAAAAGTTTGGCAAAGGAGGTGAAAATGGTATGGGCAGCTGAGAAGGAGTAGTGAATAAGAAAGGAGAAAAACCATCAAAGGATGTGGGATGTATCCCAGAAACTAAGTAAGGAAAGTATTTCAGGGTGTAGTGATCAACTCCATCAAATGTTGTACTGTGTGTACAAAGTGCTCTGAGTGTACTTTGTACTCTGAGAGACAGAGTCCAAAGACAAAGTTACAAAAGTGTCCATGGAATCAGAACATAAACAAGAATGGCATTGAAGGAGTGATGCAGGCAAAAGCCCAGTAGAATGAGTAGAAGAGAGAATGGGAGGCAAGAATGTGGAGATGATACATATAGACAACCCTTTGTAGAAGTTTGGATACACAGGGAACAGAAAATGCAGGGGAGTAGCTACTAGGAAGATTTGGGGTTAGGGGAAGGTTTTTGGTTTTGGTTTTGGTTTTTTGTTGTTGTTTTATTTTGTTTCGTTTTGTTTTTTTTTTTTGAGACAGAGTTTCTCTCCCATTGCCCAGGCTGTAGCGCAGTGGCACACTCTCGCTTCACTACAACCTCCACCTACCGGGCTCAAGCGATCCTCCTGCCTCAGCCTCCCAAGTAGCTGGGATTACAGGCAGGTGCCACCACACCCAGCTAATTTTTATATTTTTAGTTGAGAACAGGCTTTCACCACGTTGGCCAGGCTGGTCTCAAATTCCTGACCTCAAGTGATCTGCCCGCCTTGGCCTCCCAAAGTGCTGGGATTACAGGCGTGAGCCACGGGGCCTGGCCCCAGGGAAGGTGTTTTAAAAGAGAAGAAACACTAAAGCATGTTTATCTGCTCATAAGTACGATCAAGGAGAGAAGAAGATAAACTGTGAGAGCCAGGGTTTTGAGAATTAGGCAAATAAATGCAGAGTTCAAGGGGAAGGCCCTTGATAGGAGTAAAGACATTCTCTGCACAGTACCAAGAAGGAAAACAGAGAATACAGCTGCAGGTAGGGTTTGTTGGGTTTGATGGCAGGGAGATGATAGTTTACATCTAATTGTTTCTATTTTCTTAAAGAAATGAAATGCAATATCATCAGCTGAAAGTAAGAATAGAGAGGGGACACTGAAGGTTTGTAGACAGTGAAAATGGTGTCATAGAGTCCTCACAGGGAATGACAGTGGGAGAGAAAATCGAGCACAACTGTGTAGTATAATTCTTGTACAGCATAATTCACTTGTAAATTTTAGTGAAATTTTTTCAGGTGAGCTCTTCCTCATTCATTATCCCCAGGTAGCCACTGACCTGCTTTCTGTCACTATATGTTAGATTGCATTTTCTGGACATTTACATAGATGGAATCATATACTTTTTGTCCCAAATTATTTCATGTTTAATATGTTGTTGTGGATGTTTTAATGTTGTTGTGGATGTTATTGTCTCTTTCTTCATTTTGATTTCTGATTGTTCATTGCTATTGAATATTTAGAATACAGAAATAAAATTGATATTTATATATCAATCTTGTATCCTTTAGCCTTGCTAACTTACTCATTAGTTCTAGTAGCTTCTTTGTAGAATTCGTTGGATTTTCTACATAGATGATCATGTCATCTGTGAATAAAACAGTTTTGATTCTTTTCCATAGTTTTTTTTTCAAGTGAGACCAGCAAGTAGAGTACTGTGCTTTCTACTACAATATTCAGTTGTTTATGTGCAGCTAGGGAATGGGGGAACAGTTGGGTTTAATCACAGCTGGGCTTTTGAAAAGGTCTAGTGTATGACCAAGAGAGAGTGGCTAATGTGGGGTAGAGGAAAAGGTGGTTGGAGGTGAAGAAAGTCAAGGAAGTGGAAGGTCATGGTGTGGGATGGGTCATCCACATTGATGTTAAAGTCACGAAAAATGATGGACCAGCATCAGCTTGGGGAGGACAACTGAGTCTGGAGGGAAAGGCTTCCTCAGTAGAATTTACACACCCTCTGTTATGGGCTTCTGGGGAGTCATGGGTGCGGGTGTGCAGACCAGGACATGGATCCTGGACACTCTGGGACACTGCCTCCCAACCACAATATGTGCCTAGGCTTGGGCATATAGCTGATCCACACTCCCCTCCTCCCCACCCTCAGAGACCTTCACTCTCAGTTCAGCTCAAAGCTCTCAATAACCTAGAGACTTTTTAGAAACAAAGTCCTCTCTACTTTCTTCCTGGCATAAGTAAAGTTCAGATCTCCTTGTCACAAAGCCCTGGCCATCCTCTGTGGCAAGAGTAAAAGAGAGAAAGACAAATTTTGTTTAGCGATGAACTTATAGCAGAAAAAAACAGAAGACAATTCATTTTCAATTAGATTATCTTACCATACCAAAAAAAGAAAAATCAAGGAAAGGATAATTCCCACATATTAACCCTAGATATTAACCCTAGATATTTCTGCTTGGTGGGAAAGTGGGATCGCTCCTGTATACATGCAAAGGGATGGAGAGAGAGAGAGAGAGTGTGAGTGTGTGTGTGTGTGTGTGTGTGTGTGTGTGTGTGTGTGTGTGTGTGGTTTGGGGCACATACAAGCACAAGGGAATAGGGGAATATCTTTGACACCTTACTGCCTGCCACTTCTTTGTTGGTCTCTCCTATTTTATTTAAGTCTTCTGTCCCTACCCTCATATTTTCCTCAGGCTAAAGAGGATATCCACTGTGTGTTCTATGGAGCAAAATTCTCTCTACTTCCATCCCTATTCACCAGTTAGCTCTCTTTGAGGTGACAATGGATATGAAAGGGTTAATAAGATTCGAAAGAACGTACTATTGCTTTAGCAAACCACTGTGTTTCCTAGGCAACATAATGCCTGTATTTCTCTTGTTTCTTCCTGTTTCCAAAAGCCCCTATGGAGGGAATGGTAAAAATATTAGCCTTGGCCAACACTCAAGCCCTTGCTGTTTCCCTCTCTCTCCCCATTCTGCTCCCCTCACAGTTGACCTTGCCTCCTACTTCATGGAAAGCATTGAAGCTGTCAGGTTTGAATTCCCTCTCCCTCTCCTCTTAAAGGAGAAGCTATGATCCTTCCACCTGTTCTTTCGATTTCATCCTCTCTTGTCTCATTCCATGCCACAGGTTTGATTAATATCCACTCTGGGCGGGGTGAGGTGGCTCACACCTGTAATCCCTGAACTTTGGGAGGCTGAGGTGGGTGGATCGCTTGAGGTCAAGAGTTCAAGACCAGCCTGGCCAACATAGCGAAATTCCATCTCTATTAAAAAATTTGCAAAAATTAGCCAGGCGTGGTGGCGGGTGCCTGTAATCCCAGCTACTCTGGAGGCTGAGGCATGAGAATCGCTTGAACCCGGGAGACGGAGGTTGCAGTGAGCCGAGATCCCACCACTGCACTCCAGCCTGGGCAACAAGAGCAAAACTCCATCTCAAAAAAAAAAAAAAAGTACCCACTCTGTCCTGTATTTTCAACCTCTAAGCCTTACTACCTATCTTGCTGCAACTGAAGTCTATGATAGTTTTCAGAAGAACGAAAATCAAACCAGGGAATCCAATTCCCTCTTTTCCCTACCTCCTCTGCCTTAGTCAAGCTTCTCAAACTTCTTTTTTGAGAGATAGATCTCCTCAATCCTCATGTTCCACTCACTCCCTAGGCCACTGGAACCAGACTTCCACCCTTCTCATGCCACAATAAAAAGAGTCTGGCATAGGTAACCCAGGACTTCCTAACTGCCTAGTCCAACTTACACCTTAGTTTTCATCTTTCTTGATCCATTTACAGCCCTTGGCATTGTAAACCTCTCCCTCCTGGAAACCCTCTCTCCTCCCTTTGCTTCTATCGGACCACATTATTCTGCCATTTTCCTACCACTTGTGGTTTTTATTCTCAATCTCCTTGGTGGGTTTCTCTTCCTCTACTTATTCCTACAATGTTAATCTTCCCAAGACTCTATCTTGGCCCTCTTTTTCTCTCTGCAACCTGCCTATAAATGTCAGGCCAGTCATATGAGTAAGTAATGCGAGTCTGGTTGATGTGTGACAATGTAGTATATGCCAGAAATCACAAAGAAATGTGATCTTGCCCTGTTTTTATTTTGAAATAGTAACCCTGTTATCTTTCATTTTCCACTTTTGATAGAGTCATAGGTACAAAAAAATTTTGATTATCCACTTAATTCTGCTTTAACAAAAACAGAGCAAATGTGATAAAAGACAGCTGATACTTATTCTCAGCATTGGGGATACAGCAGGGAGAAGTGGGGCTTCTTTAGGTGTACCTGCTAAAGGAGGCAGCTGCTAATCAGAGATATAATGCCAGATCTTCTCTCTCTCTCTCTCTCTTTTTTTTTTTTTTTTTTTTGAGACAAAGTCTTGCTCTGTTGGCTAGGCTGGGGTTTAAGTGATTCTCGTGCCACACCCAGCTAATTTTTGTATTTTTAGTAAAGACAGGGTTTCATGATGTTGGCCAGGCTGGTTTCGAACTCCTGGCCTCAAGTGATCTTCCCACCTTGGCCTCCCAAAGTGATCTTCTCATTTTTTACGAGAACATTTTTATGTCAGAAATACAGGTTTTATGTAAAAATCTGTTGGTTAACTGCTTACATCTAATATTTTAAAAATTAAAATAATGTGAGGGTCAAATAAACATGTGCTTGAGCCAGCTGTAGTCACCAAGGCTAACAATTTTCAACCTTGGCTTAGAACATTGTGCAATGAGCCTTGAAAAGAGAGAGACCTCTGCCCTATATTCTCCTTGGGATCTAATTCAATGCCAGTGGTTTCAGCTACCACCCATAGGCTGTTACCTCCTGTCTTTACCCCTCCAGTCTAGACCTCCATCCTGAGCCCCAAACCCAAATATCCAACTGGACATATTACTGGATATCCCCACCAGAATGCTCCTTATGCCCGTGCTTTTCAAACATTAATGTGCATGTGAATCATCTGGAAGACTTGTTAAAATGGAGATTCTGATTCAGTATGTCTGGCATACTGCCCAAGATCGTGCATTCCCAACAAGCTCCCAGTGGATGCCAAAGCTTCTGGTTTATGAACCACACTTTAAAACACAATCCCCATTTGCATACAATGTCCTTTTTGCAAGTTTGCTCCTCCTGCTACTTATCTTCTCTTGATGAATGATACGCCATCCACCCATGCAAAAATTGGGGGCATAAGTCAGATGTAGAAGGAATGGGAGAAATAGAGGAGGAATCCAAAGCTCTGTCTCATCCACCTCCTTAATATTTATCATATCTACCCTTGCATTTATGTCCTCACTATCCCAACATTGATTTAAGCCTTCATTTTCTCCTGCGGTAAGGCTGGTGTCCCTGCTCTAGTCTCCACCCCTCCAATTGCAACCTCCATGCTCCTACGAGCATGACACTTTGAAAAAGCAAAATGATCTCATGTAAAGCATGGGCTCTGGGGCCGGAGTGCTGAGTTTAAATCCCAGCACTGCCTCTTACTAATTGTGTGACTTTGGACAAGTAGCTTAACCTATCTATGTATTGGTTTTTTTCATCTATGAAAAGAGGATGATAATAGACCCTCACTTGTGAGATAAATAAGATTTGAAAGCAGGAAGGGGAATGACCCATTAGAATATCTGGGGAAGAGCATTCCAGACAAATGGAATCACATGTAAAGTGTTCATAGCACTCAGTAAATACACATTAGCTGTGACACTGGCCACATCATTCCTAGCTTCATTATGGTTGGAGTGTTGAGGGTAAGGAGAAAGTAGAAAGAGATAAAGCTGGACAAGTAATCTGAGGCCAGATCATGGAAGGTTGAGTTGCCTGGGAAAGAGACTCTGTGATGGAGTTTACTATGTAGAAAATTGACTCAATAGTGCTCTTGGGATCTACACCTGAAATGTAAGACAAGGGAGTAGGATCGGGTGGAGGGAGAAGCTGAGCTTCAGTGCAGTCACAATGCAGCTTCCATGAATCCCACAGGGAGCTCTGAGCCTGGTATGACTCCTCGGAGTTGTCCTTAGATGGGGAAAGGGAGACAGGCCTTTATATCCCTGTATTGGCCATTCATTACCTGCAGGCTGCACTAAGAAGGATCTGTGACTTTGGGCTAGAAAGCTCTCTTTAGCCCAGCGCAATCTCAGGAAGAGGATTTCATTGCAAGCTGTCAGTCACCAACACTTTCAGCAGTTGGGGACCTGGGAGAATGAGTGCGTGAGTCCTGAAGTGGGGGTGGGAAGTGAAATCTGGGTAGGTATCACACCACAGTTGGGTAAATCATGCCAAGGACTCTGGACTTGATTTCACTGACAATGGGGAGTCATTAGAAGGTTTTCCTAGAATGGGACATGCTGTTTTGCACCTCTGTACCTTTGTTCAGAATGCTTTTTTTTTTTTTTTTTTTGAGACAGGGTCTCGCTCTGTTGCCCAGGCTGGAGTGCAGTGGCATGATCATGGCTCACTGCAGCTTTGACCTCCTGGGCTCAGGTGATCCTCCCAGGTAGCTGGGACTACAGGCATGTACTACCACACCCGGCTAAATTTTTGCATTTTTTGTAGAGACAGGGTCTCGCAATGTTGCCCAGGCTGGTCTCAAACTCCTGGGCTCAAGCAGTCCACCAACCTCAGCCTCCCAAAGCACTGGGATTACAGGCGTGAGCCACTGCACCCGGCCCCAGATTGCTTCTTCTATCTCAGTGTTTCTGACCTGGATTGGAATCACTTGGGGTGCTTGTTCACATGTTAGAATGCAGGTCAAATAGCTTAATGGTAAACAGCCAAGGTTGGAAGCAGACTCACTATATTTGAATTCTGACATTCCACTTACTAGCTGTGAGACAGTGGACAAGTTCCTTAACTTTTCTGTACCTGTTTCCTCAGCCGTGAAATGGGATAATATAACCAACTGCCTTTTAGGAAGAGTACTCGAGTTAATCCACAAAAGGGCTTAGAACATTGCCTAGCAAGTAATAAGTGCTCAAACAATGTCAGCTATTTCTAAAGATTCTCAGGCTTTCCCTTAGACCTATTGGATTAGAATCTTTGAGGGCTGGTCCTAGGAATGGACATTTCAATAAGTGCCCTCCCCCTCTCCAGATTATTCTGATCCTCACTAAAGTTTGACAACTACTGGTTCCCCAGAAAATTTATCCCCTTCCTTGTCCACTTGGTGAATTTTTTTTCTTTTTCTCTTTTTTTTTTTTTACTGATAGGCTTAACTGGTGCCATGAAAATTTTTAAGACTCAGCTCAATGTCATTTCCTGTATGAAACCTTCCTAGATTACACCTCCCACCATCCCTTGCCAACCTCCCCCTTACCATGTGGAGACCTCAACCGCAGCATCTGTAACCTTTTGACTGTCTGTCTCCCCTTGCTAGACTGTGAGCTCCTTCTTTGAGGGAAAGGACTTTGCATCCGTAGGCTCACCACAGAGTTTAGCATGGAGCTAGAGCTCAATCAAGGTTGGTTGAGTGGATGTAGATGGGCAGGTTCCTTTGGGGTCTCTTTAAAATCTCAGCATGAAGTCTCCAGTCTCTGAAATTGGGAATGTGGATCCATATACTATCACTCAAGACATAGTTGGCAACTGTAGAATTTTGTTTTCTAGTCTTTAAATTTTTAAACTTTTTATTGCTTGTTACAATAATAAAAAGAGTTTATATTCACTGGATAAAGAAGATAGCAAAAATTACCTATAATCTCACAACCCAGAGATAACTCTTAGGTGCATTTCCTTCAGATTTTTTTTTCTGTGCATGGGTATTTAACATAATGGGCTTCCATATTCAAACTCAATTCCACAAATATTTATTGAGCACCTACTACATGCCAGGCACTATTCTAAGCACAAGGAATACAACAGTGAAGAATATAGACAAAAGCCTCTGTTCTTGTGCGCCTTATGTTCAAGTTGGAAGAGATAAAAAAAATGAGAAGTGATACTGTATATAAGGAAGCAGTAAATGCAATGGGGGAAAATGAAGCAGGGAAGGAGGATGAGGAGTAGGAAGAAGGTGGTGTGAGATTTGAAAGTAGCGAGGGAATGACCCATGAGAATGTCTGGGGAAGGGCATTCCAGACAAATGGAATGACAAGTACAGAGGCCCTGAATTGGAAATATGGCTGCTTGTTCAAAGGGCAGCAAGGAGGCCACTGTAGCTGTAGTAGAGTGACCAGGGAAGAAAGTGGTGAGATCCTAATGTCTTAAAGGTAAGGGTGGGTAGAGTACCGCAGATCCTGTAGGGCCTTGTAGGTGCTATAAGGACTTGAGCTTTTACTCTGAGTGAGATGGGGAGCATCTTTGGATACTTAGGCTGTTTCCAGTTTTTTGCTATCATGTATCATGCTTTGTGATTCTTCTACTCAAATCTCTGTTCACATCTCTGAACACTTCCCTAGGGGAAATTCCTGGAAGTTAAATTTCTTGGCCACAGGCTAGGAATAGTTTGAGGCTTTTATTGCATATTGCCAAAGGACTTTCTAGAAAGCCTAGACCCTTTTACAATATAATTAAGTTCAACAAATATTTATTGCATGCCTACTATGTGCCAGACATGGTCTAGGGGCTTGAAATACATTGGTGAACAAAATGAATCTTGCATTCTAGCAATTTCACTCTTGCCAATTGTGTCAGAGTGCTTGTTTTACTCTGTGCTTGCCAACACCAAGTATTACCATTCTTAAAAAGCTCCAAGAAACAAGAGAAAAAAGAACACTCCAGTCATTTGAATGATGAGAAATGGTGCATTGTTTTTATGTTCCTTTGGATTTATTTGCTTCCTTACTAGGCTGAATTATTTCCCAAACATTTTCTAGCTAATCAGCCAATTGTTCTATTTTTCTCTGAAAGCTCTTTAAAACCTTTGAAAATAATTAAAAGGAGACAGAAAGTTTGAAAACACTAAAAGACTTAACATGTATCTTGGGAAATAAGTAGTCCTTGGGTCAAGTACATCGGCTTTAGGAATTGACTTGGAGCCAAAGAGCATATTAAGGCAACTCTCATGTTCTGAAGGGGGCTTTTTATTCAGGAGCACTCTTGCTTATTTCCAGATAACTTGAGAACTGCCACCCTGGAGGAGACCATTCCACTCAGCATTGATTCTGACATGAGCCTGAATGATGGGATGCTTTTCTTCAACAATCTCTACATCCCAGTGTTAGCTAATAGCCCACTTTATTGAACATCAAATCTGGTTTGCAAGCATTTATATTTTTAAACTGTATCACTTCTTGAGGTCTTAAGTTGCACAAGTTTTCTACCCTCCTTGTGAAGCAGGACTTCCTTTAATCCATTATCCTCCAAGGGGACACAGAGGTGTAGCAGAAGAGACACTGGACTACGATAAATGAGAATTATTAATCCTCCCCATCCCTCCATGAAAACACTTTCCCCAGATTTAATAGCGGTTACCTTTGAGGAAAGAGAATCAAGAGTGAGGAGAGGGACTTCAGTTGTCTTCTATATCTTCCCATAGTTTGAATTTTCTAACTTTAGACAAATATTACTTTGAAAAAACATTCCAGCAGGGGTTATCTGGGTGGGGAGCTAATGGCTTGGTTTTTGTTTTGTTTTTTTACTCTGTGTCTCTCTTTATTGGAAAAAAATGATAAAACTTTTATTATATAAAATTTCCCCCAGTTTTATAAAACAAAATGTGTGTGTGTGTGTGTGTGTGTGTGTGTGTGTGTGTGTATGTTGCATGTCTGCAAGAATATAAGCCAAACTGCTAATGTATGGGCCTGATTTAAGTACTGTTTGGGGAACTTGGAGAGGGAGAAAGGAGTTTCATTTTTTACTTTATACACTCACGTATTGTTTAAGTTTGTTATAGTGAACATGTATTATCATTCTACATTTTTTTTCAGAAAATAAATAATAAACCATTTTCCCCCCTGAGGTTAAAAGTGACACATGCCCATTGTGGAAAATGTAGAAAGGTATAAGGAAGAAACTAACAATCACAACAGTTAACATTTTAGCATATTTCTTTCCACGCTTTGTTTTATGAATTTTTTGACATAGTTGAGTTCATACTGTATATAGTTTTGTATCCTGTTTTTCCCTCAAGATTAAAACACAAGCGTTTTGCCATGTCATGATTTTTGGTAAAAGAATTTACCAAAACAGTTTTAGTTAAAAGAAGGTAGATTTATTAGATAAAGTAGGAAAATATGTTGTCAGAGAGACAAAGGGCAGCCTGCAAGAGAGAAGCCAACTGCCAGGAGACAAAGGCTTGCTGGAAATTTTATAGGATGGCGTTTATGCTGTCTGTTGAAGAGGTCTTTGTGTAATATTGATAATGCCAAGGTCGCAATGAGCTAACTTACAGGTGTCTGGTGATAGCTGGGCATGGGAAGATTGTGAATTATTTGCGCAGGAAGGCTGCATCTTGGTCATGAAGAAAGGGAGATTTGTAGCTTATTTGCTTTTTCTTTTTGCTATTTCATGCTCCCACCAGCCTGATTCCCTTTCCCTAATTAGGACTCCAGAATGATGATATTTGAATGGCCTTTTAATGGTTTTGTCACAATTCAAGTGAATTAATTCGCCATTTTATTTGAAGTCGGACATTTAGGTTGTTTCCAGTTTTTCTGTATTAAAAATGAATCTCTGCTGAGCATCTTAGTAATGAAATATTTGTCTGCGTTTCTGTCTCCTTGGGATGGATTCCTGAAAATGGAATTACTAGGTCAAAGAGCAGATTTCTAGAAGTGGGATTAATGGATAGAAAATATTTTTATGGATAATAAAAGGTTATACCCAACAGCGTATGTGAGTCTCACCACTCTCTCGCCAATAGTGTGTTATCCTTTTTTTTTTCCCTTTTATCTTTCCTGTAGAAAAGTAGTAGGTGACAGCGGCATCTCCATGCTTTTCTTTTTGTTACTAATGAGACTGAACATTTTTCATATGCTTATTCACCACTGGCATGCTCTCTTTTGTGAACTACCTGTTCCTATTTTTTCCCATTTATTGACTAGAATCTTATACATTTTCTTATCAATCCAAATGATCTCTCAAATAAATATTAACCCTTTGTCATATTAGTTGCAAATGAAAATATTTTATAAGTTTATTAGCTTTCTAAATTTTCTTGGCCATACATGTTAAAAGAGATAGATTCTAACTATAGACAAGTGCCCTCAGTTTGAGCCTGTTTCTCCATGATTAAATTGAAGAGTTTTGACAAAAGATTTGGAGGGGCTGTTTCAGCTAATCCCAAATTTAGCTCTGAGAAAAATGCCTGGGCCCGATACAAAGATTGTTTGGCTCATTGCACTTTATAATGATTTAAGAAGATGTGGGGGGCAGGGATGGAAGCAGTTTTTGCCAGAAATTTTTAGAATTCTGAGGTAGGAAGCCAATCTTTACTCAAGTCTCTTGCGTGTTGGGAGGAGGAGTAAGTTATGTGCAAGCCAACAGAACACTTGGTGGAAAAGTACTGCTCTGGGCTGCAGATGTGTGCACGGCTTGGTTTTAATTATTTGTTTCCCTCTCTATCCTTTCTTCTCCTCCCCTCCCCCCGCCACCAGAAAAAGGGCCAGATTAGGACGAGGCAACCCCTTCCTCCGTGGAGGTCTGCTTCTGTGCAGCCTGTTAGCACATCAAAGGCCGGATGAAATACCTAGGAAAGGAAGGGACCAGGCCTAGGATCCTTCCAAACTCCCGCCTTTGTCTGGGCTCCAGCTCAGGGTTATTGTGACTGCCAAGGGTAGCCTGACAGACTCCAAATAGAAGAACGCTGCCAAACAAAGAAACTTTCACATTATTCTGAGGGGGGAAAAAAGAGCAACAAGAGAACGTTGCTTGTTAATGCCTGGTGACTGAGCAAATCAGTAATTGCAAAAGGGTTTTTCGGAGAACAAACCCAAAGTTAACTGGGCGATCAGATTCGTTTCCCCAGATAATAGGGAGAGTTGTGCACTGACTTTAGCAATCCCGGGGGTGTCGGTCCCACAGCATCTGGGGGAGAATTGGGGAAGGGCCATCAAGGAGAGCGAATGGGGGTTCCCAAGGTGAAAATGAGTCGTGTAGGGCTCTAACATAGAAAATGGAGTTCGAAGAATGAGTTTCCTGTCTCCTAAGACAGCTTGGAGGGCCCGGGAACGGCAGGGGGAAGATGAGGGGCTTCAGAATGGGAGGCAGGGAAAAGCCTGCAGCAACAGAAAGGGAGTCGGTGTCTGGCGCGCATCAGGTGGCGGAGGGGCGCTCGCACAGAGCCCGGCAATGCCGAGGCCCTCCCAACGGGTCGGTCTGCGAGGAGCAAAAAAGGGGTTCAGAGGAGGGCAGCGCGTGCGTCGCGCTCAGCTATAGGATGGCGCGAGGATGGCGTGAGGCTGGGCTGGGGCCTCCCAGGTAGAACTGAGGGGGGCACCGCGCGGCCGCGGGGGAGCGGCGCCGGACTCTAGAGGCTTTGGAGGGGGCCTGAGGGCTGCGGGGCGGGACCGAGCAGGGCGGGGCGCTTAGGTGGCCTCGGGGGAGGCGGGGCTTGGAGGCTCCGCCCCTCAGGCCCCGCCTCCTCCCCGGCTAGTCTTTGGCCGCCGCCGAACCCCGCGCGCCACTCGCTCGCTCAGAGGGAGGAGAAAGTGGCGAGTTCCGGATCCCTGCCTAGCGCGGCCCAACCTTTACTCCAGAGATCATGGCTGCCGAGGATGTGGTGGCGACTGGCGCCGACCCAAGCGATCTGGAGAGCGGCGGGCTGCTGCATGAGATTTTCACGTCGCCGCTCAACCTGCTGCTGCTTGGCCTCTGCATCTTCCTGCTCTACAAGATCGTGCGCGGGGACCAGCCGGCGGCCAGCGGCGACAGCGACGACGACGAGCCGCCCCCTCTGCCCCGCCTCAAGCGGCGCGACTTCACCCCCGCCGAGCTGCGGCGCTTCGACGGCGTCCAGGACCCGCGCATACTCATGGCCATCAACGGCAAGGTGTTCGATGTGACCAAAGGCCGCAAATTCTACGGGCCCGGTACGCGGCCGGCGAGGGGGGCTTGGAGACAAAAGAAGGGGGCCCCGGCACGGGGCTGGGCGGGAGAGAGGCGAGGCGGGAGCGGGGCGCCCCTGAGTGGAGGGAGGAATGGCGGCGAGCTAGGGTAGGCGGGTAGGCGGGCAGGCGGAGAGCCGGGAGGCTCCCGGGGCGGGCAGGGAACAAGAGGCGCTCTAGAGGGGCTGCGGGCCAGTCAGGGACGCGGATCCCCGGCCCGCGCTGACAGCGCTGGGAGGGGGTTAGAGAAAGAAGGCTGAGGCGCTTAAGCCGGGGGTGGGTGGGACCACGAAGCTCGAAGGCGTTGAGGGGGGACACATCAAAGCCCAGGCTGTTGGGGTAGTTTTCGAAGGTCCTGGGCTTGGGGATTCCTGGAAGGAGGAGGGGGTAGTGTCGGGTTCTAGGAAGGAAATGAGGGTGTTCCGAGGGAGGCATGGGGGAGGGCGAGAGTGAGAAAAGGTCCAGACCTAGAGAAGACGGGAAGGCCAATGACACCGGGAGTAGGTTTGAAATATGAGGGTGTGGGAGAAAACGCCGAGACGGGATTAGCAGCAGGTAAAAGCTTTGTGCCCGGTGGATAGTGATGTGTGTGTGCACTCGTGGTGTGTGCATGCGCGGTGTGTGCGTGTTTAGTGTATGTGATTTATCAGGGGTGTGTGTGTGTGGTGTGTGCATGCGCGCTTGAAATGGGTCATGCGTCAGGTATGTGTGTGGCATGTGTTTGGTCTGTGTGCGCTTGTGCTGTGTGTGGCAGATGGGGAAAGGCTGGAAGGTGAACAAGGAGGAAGGGGGCTGTTTGAGGGAGGAATAAAGGCTGAATATGGTGGACAATGGTAACGTGGCAAGCTTTTAAGGTAATATGGTATTTAGTCTATAGCAGGAGAGAAAGGATTAGAAGCCAAGAAAAATTAAAATGGAGGGAGGGAGAAGTGGGAGGATACCAAGAAACAAAAGGAGTAGAGCTAAGAAGACTGCTGGGTGGGGGGATATCAGGAAAAGCCAACCAGAGGGAAATGAAGAATGGATGACTGCTGCACTGCTGAGCTGTTGGAGAAGGCAGGCCTGATGGGTTCCTTAGAGGCGAGGTTTTTGCAAACCTGGTTGCGTATCAGAATCACCTGATGCATCTGAGGAAAAATACAGATTCCCAGTCTAACCGCCAGAGCTGCAAATGAGTCTCGGGTGGTCCGGGAGTCTGTATTTTAATATGCTTCCCAGGCGAATTTGAAAAGCAGCCAGGCTTGCAAAGTCCTGCTTTATAGAATACTTGGAGATGAGGAAGAAGAGGTTTTGGCTCCTCCAATATGGACTCCTCTAAACACAGGGAGCTTAGAGGATGTCCACATGGACGGTGCTCATTCCACACTGGCCTGAGAGAGGGAAGAGTACAGAAGGCAGTACACAAACTCAGGCATTCATTTTAGTCTCCCAGTCCAACTGATCAAAATCAGATGTGTTAAGGTTAAGGAGCTCAGTTTTTTCTTGCAGACATTTATTTATTATAAAAAATAAATTTTATTTATTTTTTAGAGACAGGGTCTCCCTCCTGTGTTGCCCAGGCTGGTCTCGAACTCCTGGGCGCAAGCAGTCCTTCCACCTCCATTTCCCAAAGTGCTGGGATTACAGGCATGAGCCACTGCACCGGGCCTGTGGATATTTTAGAATACCTGCTTTCTATAGGCATGTAACTGTCAAAATCATTTGAAAACCACATACATTATTTGTCACTTAGAGTAGCACACATAGTTGCTTTATCAATAAACATAATCATGTAAATACCTGTTAATATTGAGCTCAATATTAAAGGAGTGAAAACATGTGCATGAGGCATCATCATGACTGTAGTTTGCAGAGTCATTGAGAGGATGTCAGCCTGTGCACAGAGCACAAAACTGGGAGTCAGGCAACCTGCGTTCTAGTCCTGATTGGGTCATGACTAGCTGTGTGACCTTGTGCAAAGCATTGTTCTCTCAGAGCCTTAGTTTTCCCTCTGAAAAGTGATAAAGATGGCCTATTGTGAGATCTCTGTCTCTATCTTGCACTGTCATTCAGTGAGCCCATGACTACGTGACATCTTGGTAGAAAGTGATGCTTCATGTTGTAAAGGATTCCTAAAAATTAGTCATTCTAGTGCCTGTTAATTCTGTGCAAGGCACTGTTGTAGATGTGGGAATATAGCAGTGAGCAAAACAGACACAAATCTCTGCCTATGGAGCTTACGTTCTAGTGAATATATGTTGCACTGAATAATATGTATTTTTAAAAGACTTTTAATGTTCCCACTAGAGAACATTTAATTGTTTAAATGTTTAAATATTCTATGAGGTTTAAATATTCTATGTTTAAATATTCTATGAGGTTTGCTTGGTAAAGACTCACTCTACCAAGCCAATGACCATAATTTCTGAAATGGTAAGGTTCAAACCATTGCATTTGCCTATTCTCAAGCACTAGGTGCTGCCATTTCCACTAGGGGTGTACATTTATGAAAAATGTGGGCTTTTTTTTACCTTCTTTAGTGAATGTGGCAGCATGTAATGATGATTAAAAATAAGCATTTTTCTTTGGAATTTTACTTGCATTTAAAAGTTGTAAAATTTGTAAAAAATTTCTGAGTGTATTGAGGTTTCAGGTGAACAGGCCATATTGAAACTTGATCTATTCTCATACTTGGTTCCCTACAAACATTTTAATGTCAGGGCTGCTATTCAATCTGCCTTGGGGGAAACAACACATTGTTTAAAGTACACTGGATTCTCTTCATTTAGTTGTGCAATATTTAAATAAGTCTAAATATCCACTTTGTGTACCCACAGAATGATTCTCTGCTCTCTTAGACAAAAGTTCAGTATAATATCACAAATAATCACATTTTATAGAGTTGTTTTATAGAGTTGTTTTGCAGTATTGATTCAGCCTCTTTTCCATGAAAATTTTAGTATTTTCACAGTCTTCTCAAGCCCACCAAAAAACAGATAATGAAGACTGATCTCTGTGTTATCTATTTATTGACAGTGAAGGTTATGTAATGTGGATAGATTTTTAAACCACCGATACTGTTATAAAATGGTTCTTCTGCAGATGCCATGAGTTAATGTTTAATTGAGCCTTGGAACCAAAGATCTCTATAAGATACCTTTGTTTCATTAAAACATATCAGAATATATTCATAAGGAAATGTGTTTTCATGTACACATCAGTGCTTATTATCTTAAGAAACCATAACTCTCACTGGTGTAGCCCCAAGTGCCTAGAACTGTCAGGCTCCCAGTTCAATGTTCTTGTATGATTCCCTACTACCACTACCCCAAGAGATCACTAACCACGTATGACTTTTTTACTAGCTATTTGGAAACCACAGGAGACTGACGCAAATGTATAGCAGTTTGATTTACTTTTAGTTATTTAAAAGTTAAATGACAACAGGTCTTTCTGTGTCTCCTACATAATGTTCAGAATATCAGCATTACTATGGTTTCCTAATGGAATTTGATATTCAAAAATGGGGCTATGTTGATGAATAGGGAAGCCATTTTCTGTGTATAAATCACAGAGAAATTGACTGTCTAATAAAGAATTGATCTTTGGTTTTGTTTTTGAAGAGGGGCCGTATGGGGTCTTTGCTGGAAGAGATGCATCCAGGGGCCTTGCCACATTTTGCCTGGATAAGGAAGCACTGAAGGATGAGTACGATGACCTTTCTGACCTCACTGCTGCCCAGCAGGAGACTCTGAGTGACTGGGAGTCTCAGTTCACTTGTAAGCATTTTTAAAATTGTGTCTGGGTCAAATTTCTACCAGTAATGGGGATTCGTGGCAGGACAATAGTTATTACTAAGCAGCCTGAAACTTGGGTGCATTTTGATAGGCTCCTTAATCTTGGACGCATCAAGTTCATGGCTTGAAGTAATTGTAGCAGTG
Source organism: Homo sapiens (assembly GCF_000001405.40). Lineage (NCBI taxonomy): Eukaryota > Metazoa > Chordata > Mammalia > Primates > Hominidae > Homo > Homo sapiens. The sequence continues at coordinate 119,240,627 of NC_000023.11, forward strand.
CTGAGTCACTTGCTATGATTGCATACCAATTTTTAGCCAGTTCTCTATGGAAACTTGGGTTTCTGGTTTTGATTTTAAAATTTTTGAGAGATTTGCTAGATTCCAAATGAGGATTTGGTGCTTGGTGTGTCAGGGAAAGGACAGTGTCCATCTTGGCTACAGAAAGGGATTTTCATAAGCCCTCTCTTGTAGAGCTTGCCGTTTAAAAGCAGCCCACATCTCTGTTGAAGAATGGGAGACTTGTATTCTGTGAAACAGCTTCTCTTTGAATCTAATTGAACCTAACTATAGGCCTCATCTACAAATGATGCTTATAATGTGCCCAGCAGCAATGGTGTCTGCATTTTTAAAAAGAAAGTAAAAAGGAGATGCTTGTTTCTGGCTTATGCTATGGGCTGAGGTCTTTGGGGAGAAATAGGAATGAGGGGTTAAGTTCAGATTTTGAGAATTCAGGAATTGGTTTCTGTCAAATCTAACTGTTTAATTGTCACTCTAGCAATATTTCACTGCCAAGAATTTGAATAAGAGTCTTTCCCAGCTTTTATGAAACAGTATATAAAGACCATGAGCATTATTTGAAGATTTTTCATTTAAAATGTAGTTTTCTATGTGTGTTCTCTATAATCAGTTAAATATTACATGTTCTCTTGGCTATATCCAACCATTTTCTTTGAAAATAATGCTGACTTCAGAGAGAGTTCTGGATTAATAATTAGCCAGATGTGTCTCTGCCTTTGAGTTTTGGTCTCAAGCAGGCTACATATAACTTCCAAGTCTAGAGGCAAGTTTTTATACTTTGGAAAACATAGTTCAGTTACCTAATAGAGTCCCTAATTTTTGGCATCATAAGGATGCCTTTGTAATTAGTTTTCTATATGAAACCAGTGAATTGTAGTGTCTAACTTACAAAGCTCTATTTTCTAGGGCTTGCCTTCATCAGTGGGAGAAAAAGTGTGATTTTTTTTTTCCACTTTAAGGCTAGCCCCAGATGCTGTTGTGACACCTCAGCTACACTTAAAGTTGGTGTGGATTCCCCTTAAGGCAGGTTTCCCAGGAGCCACCTGGCTTTTATTTGTCTCACACAGTTCCAATTGTTCCCAACGGTTATTTCACACAAAAGCAGCTTTAGTTACCTGGTTAGACAGGTTGGTTACTCCTCTAATTCCTACTCATATTCAGGAAGAGGAGACTCTTGGCTTTGGACATTCAGATGATCGACCCTGCATTAGTTTGGCTACAGTGATGAGGTGGTTTGCTGATGCCATCTCTTCTCAAGTCTTTTGCATTCTGGTTTGCACCCTTACATCTGTTTTCTCCAACACCTCCAGTCATCTCCTGGCTCCTTTACCACTTCCTTTAACCACCCATAGGTTTTTCTCTGTGCTGGGAAAAACGTTCTGTCTCTTGCTCTCCTCTTCATCTATGAGACTATTATTCCTTCCTTTCACTGTCAAACAAACTTCTTACAAGTTTTTATTCCTAACCACTACTTCATTTCCTCTCTATACCTTCTTCCTCCCTACAATATGGCTTCTATCCCCACAATTGGATTGAACTCTCTTTCTGAAAGATTTTCAGGGAAACCTTTTTTTTTTTTCTTGCCAATCCTGACTTCACTTGTCCATTCCATGTTTTAGATCTCCTGTCATGTGAGCCTCCAGAATGGCTCCCTCCACAGAGTTCCCATTTTGGTCCATGGGAGCTCCAATTTTCACTTAATTAATTCATGCTTCCAGTTTTCTTTCAAAGTACTTCTCATCTGTCCCTTTCCATTCCCCTGGACACCACCCTGCTCCTGGCGCTGGTTCCTTTGCATCTGGATCTGCACTCTGCCTCTGGATCGCCCTGTTCCCAGTCTCTCCTTACTGAAATCTGCCCTATACACCACATTGATAATATCGTTGTTAAAGCACTATTTTACTGTGTCATTCCTTCGCTTATAAACCTTCAGTGCCCTTTGCCACCTATAAGTCCAAACTCAGGCTGGCTTTTCAGATCTTTCATAATATTTCCCCACACTACTTAGCCAATCTTATCTCCTACTAACTTCTAAATGTTAACTCTACTCCTGCCAACTTGGTCTCTTCATTGCTTCCCAGATACGTTGTCTCACCTGTATGCATTTGTACATGGCGTTTGCATTTTCTGGAACTCCCTCCCTAAATCCTTCTATACATTTTTCCAAAATATATCCTCCTTCCATGAAGTATTCTGTAACCCTTCTGATGAACTCATCACTTGCCCTTGTTCTTCTAAACATTCCTTACACACAAACAATTCATTTTGACGTTACCTTGCACACTCATTGCCAGACGTTGCCACCTGTTTTATATGTCTGTCTTCTGAACAAAACAAATTCCCTGTTGGCAAGGACGGTGGTATAAACCACCTTTGTATCCTTCAAGAAGCCCAACACATTGCTGAGTATATTGCAGGCCTCTAATAAATGCTTTAAATTGAAACGTGGTAATGATGTTTTAGAAAGAATGAGAATGACCATTTGTGTTTTCTTCTCTACCTCCAGTCAAGTATCATCACGTGGGCAAACTGCTGAAGGAGGGGGAGGAGCCCACTGTGTACTCAGATGAGGAAGAACCAAAAGATGAGAGTGCCCGGAAAAATGATTAAAGCATTCAGTGGAAGTATATCTATTTTTGTATTTTGCAAAATCATTTGTAACAGTCCACTCTGTCTTTAAAACATAGTGATTACAATATTTAGAAAGTTTTGAGCACTTGCTATAAGTTTTTTAATTAACATCACTAGTGACACTAATAAAATTAACTTCTTAGAATGCATGATGTGTTTGTGTGTCACAAATCCAGAAAGTGAACTGCAGTGCTGTAATACACATGTTAATACTGTTTTTCTTCTATCTGTAGTTAGTACAGGATGAATTTAAATGTGTTTTTCCTGAGAGACAAGGAAGACTTGGGTATTTCCCAAAACAGGTAAAAATCTTAAATGTGCACCAAGAGCAAAGGATCAACTTTTAGTCATGATGTTCTGTAAAGACAACAAATCCCTTTTTTTTTCTCAATTGACTTAACTGCATGATTTCTGTTTTATCTACCTCTAAAGCAAATCTGCAGTGTTCCAAAGACTTTGGTATGGATTAAGCGCTGTCCAGTAACAAAATGAAATCTCAAAACAGAGCTCAGCTGCAAAAAAGCATATTTTCTGTGTTTCTGGACTGCACTGTTGTCCTTGCCCTCACATAGACACTCAGACACCCTCACAAACACAGTAGTCTATAGTTAGGATTAAAATAGGATCTGAACATTCAAAAGAAAGCTTTGGAAAAAAAGAGCTGGCTGGCCTAAAAACCTAAATATATGATGAAGATTGTAGGACTGTCTTCCCAAGCCCCATGTTCATGGTGGGGCAATGGTTATTTGGTTATTTTACTCAATTGGTTACTCTCATTTGAAATGAGGGAGGGACATACAGAATAGGAACAGGTGTTTGCTCTCCTAAGAGCCTTCATGCACACCCCTGAACCACGAGGAAACAGTACAGTCGCTAGTCAAGTGGTTTTTAAAGTAAAGTATATTCATAAGGTAACAGTTATTCTGTTGTTATAAAACTATACCCACTGCAAAAGTAGTAGTCAAGTGTCTAGGTCTTTGATATTGCTCTTTTGGTTAACACTAAGCTTAAGTAGACTATACAGTTGTATGAATTTGTAAAAGTATATGAACACCTAGTGAGATTTCAAACTTGTAATTGTGGTTAAATAGTCATTGTATTTTCTTGTGAACTGTGTTTTATGATTTTACCTCAAATCAGAAAACAAAATGATGTGCTTTGGTCAGTTAATAAAAATGGTTTTACCCACTATAGTGTGGTGACTTATTTAAATTTTTTTAAAAACCTTATTCTAGGGAATCTGATTCAGACATTTTACTTTGGCTTAAAATTCAGTTTCATTTTTGAGTGCAGAGTTTTTGTATTCCAAAAGAAACAAGGGGCAAAATTTCATGGAGACCCCACACCAAAAACCAAATACCAGCTTGTCCTGTTTAAGAAATAGTGAATTGAATTGCTTTTTTTGTGACTTGTCAAAGTTTTGCCTAAATCAGAACTTTCTAAACTGTAAATGGCAGACCTCCACCTTGAAGTCTATAGCAAGGTTCTTAAGAAGTAAGGTTACTGAAGGCATTGTCATTGCCAAGTGCTAAGGAAGGGTTTGGGTTTTTTTGTGTTAATGTATTGTCTGATCAGGAAAGTATCAGGAATCCTTACAGTAGCAAAGTTAATTCACCTCGTGTCAAAAGAAGCATAACAGATTTGCATATGCAGTCAGTTGTATAAACAAAGACAACCTATTAGTGTTTTGTCATTTTAATGTTAACATTGGCAGAGTTTTCTTATAAGAGATATACTTCCTGAACCAAAGAAATTTCCATTTTTCATGTTATCAAACCACATTGCAGGTACTTGTGAGTTTTTTTTAATGTGCTCTTTTTTTTTCCCACTTGGTTTCATTCACCAAATGTTTGAGTGCCTGTTTTGTGCCATGTAACCTGTTATGCCTTATGCTTTGGAGAAGGAGTGGGGGAGAGAAGTTGGGCCCACCTTCGCAGCCTGAAATCTCATGTGCATGTGAAGATTAGGCTACTCATTTTGCAAAGTTAAACAGGCTTGTCTGCTGCCAAGAGGAAAATATCCAGAGCAAGCTTGTCCAACCCATGGCCCACGGGCTGCATGCGGCCCAGGAAAGCTTTGAATGTAGCTCAACACAAATTTGTAAACTTTCTTAAAACATGAGGTTTTTTTTGCAATTTTTTTTTTTTTTTTAGCTCATCAGCTCTCGTTAGTGTTAGTGTATTTTATGTGTGGCCTAAGACAGTTCTTCCAATGTGGCCCAGGGAAGCGAAGAGATTAGGCACCCCTGATTTAGAGCCTCACTAAAGTTTCACTCCCAATAACCTGATTCTCTTCCATTCAGAGCTGAATCAACATTGTGTTGGTTACTTGGAAAGGAATATTGCTGTAAGGCAGGACTTTGATCTAAAAACTTCTCAAATCCAGCTAGCATATACATAAGCCATATTCATGTAAAAGGCACCATTCAAGAAGATGGTGGTGTCGGGGGGAGGGGGGGTAGTTGTTACAACCACCACATGTCCAGTGAAGGAGGGAGGTGTTAGGTTAACATCTGGCTTGCTCCCCACCTGCTGTCATCCTACCAGCTGCAGAGACAGTTTGTTCTCAACTAGCGTCTGTGGTTCATAAGCAGCATTTACTACGTGTTTTCAGTATCTGCATATCTGGCTTCCCTGCATAATGTAACATTCACCTTACTTCAGAGGGCCAAATTTATGCAAATCCTAGATCAAGAACAAGCATCAATACATTTCTTGCTGTTTCAGAAAGAGCTCTTTGAACCTGACGGACGCTTTCAGCTCTAAAGTGCCCAGATTTTACTCCAAGGTAGTCTGCCTTTGTTATGATACTTAGAGGCAGTTTGCTGTATATTTCACATGAAAATACAGTTAACTCTTGAATGGTCAAAGACTGATTATTGAGGCCCCTACCTTCTCTGACTAGACTGTCCATCCCAAACCCATAATTGTTTTTGCACATTGTATAACTTGAACACTTCCACCCAGGGCTGAAGGAATTAGGTGAAATTCCATGGAGTCAATTTTGCTACCTCTTATTAGCACTGATAAAATGTGCTAAAGGGAGGATCATCTTAAATCTAAATAACATTATTTCGGTTTGTCCAAAATGAAAATAAAACTATGGTCTTTAGTCCCATGAACTCTGACAATGTCAGTTTCCACAAAATGGGAAAAGTTGCATAGAAATGATATTAAAATTAGGCATCTATATTTCCACAGAAAATGTTATTGTGGATGTGCAACATGCTAGCCAATACATGTGATAAATGAACAAAGAATATTCACTATGATAATTTTATTTTTAATATATCTGACAAATATGTATTCTCTAACAATGCAAATGAGAAAAGAGATCAGCAACATTAGTGCAAAGCAGCATACTGTAAGTAGGAACTTTCCCCCAAAGGTGGACTTATCAGCATTTATTTAAAAATGACTATTTTAAACAATTTTGCAACAAGTAAAAATAAGTTTATTTGATTCTTATTTTCAAAATTACCAGGTTACATGGCTTTCTACCTGAGAAATTTAAACAAATTGAAAGCACATTGACATATTTTTAGTTTTTTTGCATAACTACCAACAACTCATAAGAAAAACATGAAAATACCTTAAGACAAAGTTTAAAGCTCAGGCCCTTAATAGGACATAGAAAAAGATATGAGAAAACACTTTTGCACCACTTAGCACAACAAACAATAGCAGTGTTAATTAAGAAGGTGGTTACAATATTTTAGTTGTATTTTACTCCTTACTAAGCCATTCAATTAAAAAGTACAGGATAAGTTATCTTCCTCATTTAGGGCCTACCCACCAAAAAGGTTGACTCTTTATAAGACATATACAAGTCTAGGGTTATACAAAATGTAAACATAAAACCAGTATTTTTACTTTCTTCTAAGTCCCAGGATGGTATTTAGCAAAAAAAAAAAAAAAAAAAAGACAAAAATGTTATATAGAAATAGCACCGGTTCTATTACACATAAAAATTGCACATGCTGTATTCTGCAATTTATTTTTATGTCTGACTACTGAGCAGCAAACTGTTTTCATGTCTAAAAACTCTGCAAAGAAAAATCAAGTGACAGAACACAGTGAGATTTTTTTCAAAAGCATAGCTGCTTCTCATTACAAACTCATAATATTCTTTGTTTTAATGGCATGACACATGAAAAATTAAGAGGCAGGTTTTCGTCAAAGAAAAATAATACCTGGTTACTGAAAGTTGCCTGACAAAATACAAGCTGTTAGCAGTTCAAAAGGCTACTCTGGACAACAGTACTTTGAACATTAACATTCAAGGCACTTGCCCCATAAGCAATGTTTTTCAGATTTGACAAGCCAAATCTAGTTTTGATGGAAGAGTCACTGGCTTGAAAGTGGAATTGAACACAAGGGAGCCAACAAATCATCCACTGGTTATTATCTTATTAATAATAAACATCATCTGCTATGGTACATTCATTTCTGACTTCTTGCATGTACTAACATAGCTCTATGATTAGAAGAGATCGATGAAACAACTTGTGGCTCTTCCTTCAGATAAATAAGCTTTTGTAGCCCTTTCACATACCCGTTTGCTCAAAAGGCTGGTTATATGCACACATTGTGATATTCTGGGCAACCACAATGACTGGCATTCTACCTGGCTCTATCAGCTGGTACTTTTCTACAGAATGTCAAATTAAGAGTGTTTGAATGAATCATGTCACATCAAAGTGTTGCCCTTTACTGCTTCTGTGGATTAAAAATGACTTTTTCCTGTTGCTGACAGTCTCTAATCTCATTAATGTCTTCAATTACCAGGTCAGGCATAGTTTTGTTGGAGAAAAAAAAGGTAATCGATTGCCCCTGAGGTCCTAAATGCAAGGTAAGGCAGAATGAATCAGCGGAGCTTTCTATAAAACATGCACTGCACTAAGATGTAAGTCTTTAAGAATCCATAAAATATTTCAATTTAAAAACATTTATGAAGTCAAAAACTAGTAGGTAAAAAGATCAATTGCTTATGTTGAGAGTTTACAAATCCTACACATATACATTTTTCCCTAGCTACAAAACTATAGGCTTTTCTCTTTACTCTTTTTGAAAACTTGATGGCATCACTGAGGATTGAGAAGAGAGGCACTTGTTACTGTTTAATAAAGTTCAGTTTGGGGGATATTCAGTGACTTTACAAACTGATGTAATCCAGCCCTGAGTGAAAGGGTTACATAACCTGAAGTGGAATAGTCACAGCATCTTTTTTCAAGTGACATCATTGGTGCCCCACAATTTTTCAATATTTCCTTTTGCAAATTCCAGTGGTTATATTACTTCAATCTTGCTGTTTTTCTAAAATGGAAAGACATGGGGTTCTTAAAAAAAAAACAACAACTCTGCTAATGGGTTTAAATACTATCCATTTAAACCTCAAAGGACAATCTGGACCACTTTTAGATTCTTCTTCCAAGACTTTGTCTTGAAAAAGACAACTCTTTGAGTATTTAAACATAGTAATAAGATTAATTTTCTCCTGGTGGGTGCTCATGCAACTCTTTAATGTCATGAAGAAGTCTATGTTCTAACTGTCGTCTCTTTTATCTACAATTATTTCTAAATAAAAGTCAGGAAAGTTTGTTGCTGCACGTGGTGTTTCTGACCAAATCAAAGAACATGTAAAAGGATCATTATTCATTCACTGCTGTCGTCTTTGGAGATAAATGACACTAAATGATGATGTTATGACACCTAAGGAGCCATAGAGGGCCATCTCAACCCCTCTCAATGTTAATCTGCTCCTTCACTGGCGTAGAAGTAAAGTTTTAGCTGAACCATAGAAATGTCTATCCTTGGATCAAGCAGCATTTAAAAGCTTGAGCAGGGTCAAATACAAATTATTATTTCTCTTGCCAAAGTTGAAAGCATAGGTCAAAATGACTCCAGGTGTATTGACAAGCTTTGGGAAATATAAAACACACAGGTTCTGAAGTTTTTAATGCTGCTGTCTTCCTGTGTAGTTGTTAATTACATGGCTACATTTGGTTTTAAATTTTCTTCTTGTAACATGTTTATTGTGAAAAAGGATACTCCTGATCTAAGTGGTCATCAAAACATTTAAAATTTAAAGAACCAGTGCAGTTATTTCCTGAATAGCTTCCATAGTCAATATACTCCTGACCATTATGTCTATTATAGTAATAATCAGAATTGAACTTCAAATAGTTATAATTACATCCTCTAAATCTTGAATTCTGGTTATATTCTGACTTCCAAGGAGTCCCTCTTCTTCCGTGAAAATTACCAAAATAGAAAGACCTAGCACTTCTTGATGACATTACGGGCACCTGAGAGGGCCCATAGTTCACTTTCTGGTCCAATGTACTATCACTAAACCTCTTTAGATAACTGGAACTGGGTTCCTGGTAGTAGCCTTCATCAAACAAGTATCTGGGGGCTAGTTGTCCCTTCATTTGTCCATTGTTGTTTTCATGTCTAATGAAATGACTTTCACCCCTAGGCCATGAACATATCCATCTCGGTTCATACTCAGACTTCCTACCTGGTGTCCTAAACTTGTAATTAGAGTATTTTTCCTCACCATCACGCTTCCACTTTGAAAAAAAGGTCTGCTGACTCGACCTTGTATTTTGTTTGCGAGTGATCATTTTGTCAGTGTCAAGAGGTTCTTTTTCTGAGAAACTATTAAATGTGGCCACAGATTTCTCTTTCTCCTCTTTGTTTATACTAAGGGTTTCACTGAAGCATTCAGAATCACTACTAATTTCCTCTAAGAAATCTGTCAACTGTAAACCTAAGCCTATTGACTCATGGGGTGGGGACACTTGGCTTTTCCTTGTGGATTTGGAATCTTCAATATGATAACTATGAGTCTTTTCCAACAGACAGCTGTTTCCATCAGTTGGGGACAGCTGACCACCAGCTTTATGGGCTGTCTCCTGGCAATGAGTTTCAAACCCATTAGTACATTCTTTGGCATAATCTACTTTTCCTCGTTTACGCTCAGGATCCTGAGTACAAATCTTTGATGAGTAATTATTTTCTTGAACCTGTTCTTTCCTTTCCAGGTTTTCTACTTGGCTCGAATTGATTGAGTGATGCCTACACTTTCTCAAATTAATCTGAAATCCATCTCCCTTAGCTTGGACATCCCTCTGCCACTGACATGTGCCTGCTACCTGACTTGTTTCTAGGCAGATACGAGTATATTGTGGAGGTTCATAATAATTGAAAAGATAGTCAAAAAATGCATCTGTTTCATGGATCTTAGGTTTCCTGCCTTGGCCTCTCCCAGATAATCTGGAACAGGATTCACTAGAACCGTGGTGGTCTTCATTTTCAAGAGACTGGCCTTCAATTATCGTAATCTCCAAGGAGTTATGCTTAAAAAACAAACTGTATTCATATTCCTCATCATCTAATAATATTCCAGCTCTCTGTTTTCTAGGGGAATACCTTAAATTTTCTTCCCCAAGGCAGTGGGAAGATTTCTGTAAGTGATCCCTAGTTGTTTTCTTCATTTTTTGTTTTTGTTTATTGTCTGACTTGGCAACCTGACATTTTGACATTTCCTCTTGATTTTGAAGGTACAGAGTGTTTAGCTGTTCTTCCAGAGTTTTCAATGTGTTCCCTGGAGAATCATTAGCTTTGGTGCCAATAATGTCGACTTCCTGTGGGTTAAACTGTATGGATCCCTTCAAAGAAAAAGATTAAAAATCTCTCATGAAAAACTAAACAGATTAAAAAATTCCAAAGAAAAATTGTGCTTTCTGACATTGTTCTGAAGAGACTTCCAATACCTGGGATAGATCCAAATTAGGAACAATATTGCACTGAGGAAATAGAAGGCAAAATTAAATGTCTTAGTCTAATATGAACTGTTTTGAGTAGGTCTATGCCCATGCTTATGTGAGAAGGCACCACACTTTACATAGCCTTCAAAGCACATGACTCTTTTTTCACTTGTTTGAAAATCAATAAGCCTGATGTTCCAGGTATTGTGCTAGGAGCTGGAGATACAAAGAGGAATAAGAAATTATCTATAGCCCTCCCAGAAAAATCCCAGTACAAGAAAAGACTGACAGGTGAATCGTATATCTAAAAGGGTCCACTAGCTTAAAAGATAAACTGTCTTTCTTTTCATACCAGCCTCTTACTGTGGACTGCAGGTAAGGCTGTCTCCGAGTTTCCTCCCCATTCCCCTGTGCTCAGTAAGAAGCAAGGTAGCAAGTAGCAAATGTGGCCGTGATCGTGGTTCTATCTGCAATCATGTCTGCAGTGCTATCTGCTCTCCATAACTGCACAGCAGGTGAAAGGTGCTGCCCACAGGCCCCACCCTGCTGGAGGCTTTGTACTGTGCTCTCACTGACACCTGACACACATCAGAGCACAGTGCCTACACACTACCTGGGATTAGAACCTGGGACTGCATAATGGGTATTAGTATTTACGAGGCCAAGAATCAGACACCACACACATTGAAAAAGATAGATTCTTTAGGAGTCACCCTCAGAGGTCATTAAGGAAAATGAAAAGAGATCCAGCTAGCCTTATTATCAATAAAAATGTGACATTTTTCTGATCCTAATTTCACTAAGTTTGATTGTCCACACTAATGAGAAAGAGGTCAAGATTGCAAATATACATAAAAGTAACTCTGTGTAATCCTAATGGCATTTACTATTCATATTTTAAAACACTGAATATGGATTTTTAAATGAACACTTTGGTAGCTTTTCTGGCTTTTAATCCAGGACATCTGCAGAATCTGGCTATCTTTAGGAGGTCAGGAAGGGGGAGAAACACCTTCCAAAAATGAAACTCTCCAAACATAACAATTGCTCTGTGAGGTGAGAAATTTCTTATCAAATAGTTTAAGACTAGATTATCACGAGCTTGTTACAAGGCTCAAGACTCTACCAAACCTACTGCAGATGAGTGGAAAAGTAAAGTTAATAACACCTGACACCCACCCCCCATCCGTTTCTTCCCTCTGGCATTTTTCTGTTACATCCATTAGGAACTTAGAAAAGTAGAAGCATTAGCTAAATGCTCTGGGTAATACTGTCCTGAAGTTTAGAGACACAAAGAGAGAGAGAATGAGAGAGAGAAAGAGAGAGAGAGTCAAATGGAAGGTTGGGACGCAACTCCTTTAGAGAATGTGGATATCCCTTTTGTAAATCTATCGGATTGTTAGAGGTCAGCCTATTTAAAATAAGCCCCAGTGGATGCAATGAGTCTTCCATGGAGTGAATTTTCAATAGGCCACTGCTCAAATGCAAAGGTAATGTCTCAGAAAGGTGAGTACCTACCAAACTTGAAGAACAATTCGGCAATAGCCTTCCTGAAATTTTCCTCAGGAGTACCCTTAGGAACCGAAGTGCCTCAACTCACCTCTGAGCCACTAGGTACTTCCTCTCCTCCCACTCCTCTGAAGAGTCTGGCTCTTGAGGTGCCTCAGCTTTGGCTTTGGGCTTCTGTTTCCTGTGCCGGTGTCTGTCTCTTTCCTTCAGGGCTTGTCTCCTTACCCTGGCCTTCTTCCTCTTTACTCGGACTTTTTGCTCATCATCTTTTCTTTTTCTGGACAATGATTAAGATTAAACCACTCAGAAGGTATTTATTAGGCATTTGATTTCCTCCCTCCCTCCCACTGCCAAGGAAGAACAGATCATCTCAGCTTCCAGGAATCCACCACTGTTAACCCCAGTGCCTAACATAGACAATTATAATAAAAAAACAAAACAAAACAAAACACTGTTAAGCACCAGTCAAGGGGAAAGACACATCATTTTCTTAGTCAAATAGAAGCTGTAAAGGAGGCCTTCTGCAGAGATAGAGTATCAAATAAAGAAGGCTACAGAATTCAAAGGAGGGGCCTTTAGCCCCCACATTCTCAAACCACAAGCAGGGATCACAGAATCCAGCTTTCATGGAGACTATTTCATTTTTCTTGTGAATAAAACCTATGAGTTGGTTTCAAACAGACAAAGGTGAGTCAAAATACTCAGAAAATCTTCAGGGTAAGAACTGGTCCTTGGTACATATTACTTAACACAGCACACTATCAGAAAAACATACTGGCTTAGAAGAATATGGGCTTTTTTTCTGCTGTTTTCTGAAAATTAAAACTGTCTTGGTTAGGCCCTTATGGGAACGTGGGGAAAGGGAAAGAAGGGACAATTACCTAAGTCAGAACTTAGCCAAAACTCAGAGGATTATCTAAATTGGATGTTTAGCCTGGATTTGGGGGGGACTAGTTATATTTACTAGGCTCAAGCTCTGGCCAAGTTTCACAGACATGACCTCAAGTAATTCCTATCACTCCACTAGCCAAAAAAGTAAGGGACACATGGAAGGGTATTCTTTATCTCCTTTTTTTTTGAGACAGAGTCTTGCTCTGTCACCCAGGTTAGAGTGCAGTGGCACGATCATAGCTCACTGTAGCCTCAGACTCCTGGGCTTAAGTGATTCTCCCGCCTCACCCTCTCGAGTAGCTGGGACTACAGGCGTGTGCCACCACGCCTGGCTAATTTTTTTTTTTTTAATTTTTGTAGAGACAGGGTTTCCCCGTGTTGCCCAGGCTGGTCTTGAACTCCTGGCCTCAAGTGATCCTCCCACCTCAGCCTCCCAAAGTGCTGGGATTACAGGCGTGAGCCTGCTTATCTCCTTTTCTGAATGGCTACAATTTATATGAAAGAATAAAAGAATAAACATGCATGAGGAAGGGCCAGGAAGTAAAATTAATTTTCAAAGCTCTGTAGTTTTGGCTCAACTGTACTCGACTGGCAACCTTTGGCAATCCAATAGCCCCTTCTAGACTCAAACTCCTGAACTGGACGTCAACGATAAGCTCAAAGAAATAAATACAAAGAGGCCGAGTGCGGTGGCTCACACCTGTAATCCCAGTATTTTGGGAGGCCACAGTGGGCAGATCACCTGAGGTCAGGAGTTCGAGACCAGCCTGGCCAACATGGCGAACGAGAAAAATACTCCCAATCAATCCATGCCTTCTTGCATACAAGTTAGCTTGGTTATTGAACATTTTAAGAAGAAATTCCATCCCAGCACTAAATTCTTAAAAATTTTAAATTAGTAGGCTAGGTAATTTTGATAATATTTGGTAAACTGGTAAAATTCTTAACTTGGCAGGCTAGGATTTTCACTATAAAAGTTTCTTGTCCCTTTTTAAAAAAATCATTTCTTTCCAGACATCTTAATCTAGCTAGTTCCATCATTCCTCATTATTTGTCCTCCCTGACAAACATATTTTTTTTTGAAGTCTCTTGTTTTCAACAGTTTTGCCATTTTGGTTTTGTAACAGCACAGCTGAAAGACTGTAGCTTTCAGTGGCGTTTTCCAATCTGCTCCAATTCTTGCCCCCCATCTCAATGTTATCTACCAAGTCTGGCTGTTCATCCAAAAGGATTAATCCATAAATCAAAGAAAAAAAATCTTTGTTAAAGTTGGTCCACACACCTTTCAGCTACTTCCTCTTCTCTTTTCTTTTCTTTTTTCCTTTCTTCTTCTAGTTCTTGTAATTTTAGCCTTTCCTGATTTCTCCTCCTTATAGCTCCTTCGCTGAAGTGCTTGGTCGTATCAGACGTAACCTGCTCCAAAACAATTCAAAGTTTCATTAGAAAAGTTTGCCAGCTGGCTGGGTACGTCCCAGGTCAGAGAGATAAAACTAAGATGGTACATGGTAATTCAAAATCAATTGAATTCAAAACGTCCTCACTGCATCCCAGTATTCATATTCCTACTGCTTCTCAGCCACCAGCCAAACAGTGCTCGTAGGCTTGAGGATTTTCTTTGGCAGAACCCTTGAATAAGTATATCAAATCATCACCTTAACTTTACACAATTTTACTTGTCAGTCGTACCTCAATAAAGCTGTTTAAAAAAAAAAAAAACCTGAGGAGCTTACTTTACATATGGTCATAGACACCATCACAGTGCCATCGTAGGCACAGGCTGAGAAATGTCAATATATTACTTCTGGTTCGTTAAAAAGATCAAATGAGCTAATGTATTTTTTTAATCATCAGAAACAAAAATAATCAGAAGTGTGTGTGGTGCAGGGGGAGCAAAGATGCACAAAAACTAACCTGATGAGAGAGAAGATCTATCATGATTAGTAAACAACTTTTCAAATCTTGAAATAAAGTGAAAATTAGATTGAGATACTACAGAATAGTATAAAATAGGTTAAAATTTTTGGTTAACCAAATCACAAGAAAATTATAACCAGACACTGGACAGCGGGAAGTGGTCTCTCATCTTGTGGTAATGTTTTATTTATTATTTATTTATTTATTTATTTTTGTTTATTTGTTTGTTTTTTGAGATAGCTTCTTGCTCTATCGCCCAGGCTGGAGTGCAGTGGCATGATCTTGGCTCACTGCTACCTCTGCTTCCCGGCTCAAGCGATCTTCCAGCCTCAGCCTCCCAAGTAGCTGGGACCACAGGCAAGAGCCACCACACCTGGCTCATTTTGTACTTTTTGTAGAGATGAGGTTTTGCTATGTTGTCTCAGAGCTCAAAATGATCCGTCTGCCTCGGCCTCCCAAAGTGCCAGGATTACAGGTGCAAGCTACCGCACCCAGCCTAATTTTTTATTTTTTAAGCTGAGCAGTGGTACATGGGTGGTCATGACAGTATTTGCTATATCATTTGCCTGACTGAATAGCTCATAATTTAAAAATATACATTTTAACTTAGCTAGCTACATATACACACATGCACATACACACATGCACACACACACACACACACACACACACACACACACACTCATACACTGGAAGCAGAAAGTCCAAATTCATGCTAAAGACTGATTTACAGAAAAAGGAGAGTTTAGTTGCATCTTTTCCACTGCTGGGTTAAAACTTCAAGAAGGAGATGACGAAAGTATGTAGACATCAATGAGATGACATGATGGAGTAGACAGGCTGATTTTGAAAGTAAAGAATCCAAGTTTGTTAGGATTATGTTTAGCAGTTTATCTGAGTCTCACTCTTCCATCCAGGCCTGCGTGCAGTGGTGTAATCTCGGCTCACTGCAACCTCCACCTCCCAGGTTCAAGCGATTCTCATGCCTCAGCCTCCCAAGTAGCTGTGATTAAAGGTGTGTGCCACCACGCCTGGCTAATTTTTCTATTTTTAGTAGAGACAGGGTTTTGCCGTGTTGGCCAGGCCAGTCTCGAACTCCTGACCTCAAGCAATCCACCCGCCTCAGCCTCCCAAAATGCTGGGATTACAGGCGTGAGCCACCACACCTGGCCTCCATGTGGTTTCAAACTGCATGTATTCCTCTCTTCCTCTCTCTCAGCAACTTGTCAAATATAATAAGCATATGAGATAATTCCATAGGGGCCATGAAGAATTCTTTAATGCCCTCAAGTAGTTGAGACAGAACCTCAGATTATAAGAACCATCACTTTAAAGTCATAGCTGGCAGCATGCCTGATAGCACAAGAATGAGTGTTCAAATCAGGATTTTTTTCTTCCTAAACATCCATTTATTAAAAATAATAAAAGTCTTTATATATTAGTTATTGATCAGAGCCTGGTAGGGTCTAAGAAAATTTATTCTAGATGCTTCCTTCCAGCTTTTATTCAGGATCACCTGAACAGTGGAAAATAAAAGAAACTCTGGCTACTTCTTACCTTAATGTTACATGCCAGAGCTTTCCCATCATTTCCTTTAAGCATCAGTTTCATTCTTCAAAGGGACTCCATGGCTTTTACAAAGTCAGTTGCCTCTTGTTACTGTATGAATGCCTCAAATGTCTGTAAGCCAAAGCTAAAACCCCCAAAGCTCCTGTCAGTCATCACTTCTCTGTAGGGGCCAAGCATAAGGATATCCACATTCTTGATCTTCCCAAAACTTTCAAAGACTACCCAAAGGATCTCTTCATATGGCTTCTCTTTGCTAGAACATTTAGGTGCAAACCATTTACAGGGCAACTCTTCAAAACATATGGAATCTGGGCTCTTCTCCTGCTCTTCAGCCCCATCACTCAACGAGGGCTCTTTTTCCTTGGGGAAGTGCTCCCATTCTCCCTGGGCATCTGTAGCCACTACTTTTAAGTGTTTTTTCAAACCATTTAGCTTGATAATCTTCCCATGTAACTTTGCCTTCAGGATCTGAACCAAACTTCGGGTTTCAGCCTCACCCTCCAATTGAATGAAGTCCTTTGTACTCTTGGAGAGCTGAACTGTGGTGAACTGGTCAGGGCAAATCAGGCTCTTCAGCTGGTCAAGAACTTCCCAGTTAGAGAAGGGCCTTACAGGTTCTAGACTCCCTGGAAGCAATATGTTGATCAACAATTTTGCTATGGGCTTGAGGTAGAGGTGCTGAGCTGCACAGAGCTCTGTTGCCTCAGAGTTATCATACACCACTGTGACTGTCATGTTGTCCTCAGACCACCTTAGAGAACGAAAGAGAAAATTTTGATACAGATGGAGTAATACACAGATTTGGATTGTGAAATGGTGCTGGCATTGCTGGACTTAGAACAAATTGATAAGGAAAGCTATACTACAAGCAGAATTAAAATAATATCTTCTGATTCCCGGAACTAATAAGTTATTTCAGCAGGGCTTCAGAATATAAGGTTAATACAAAAAAGACAATAGCCTTCCTATATAGCAGCAACGAACAAGTAGAACTTGAAATTTAAAACTCAATACCATTTACATTAGCACACAAAACAATGAGATACTTAGTTAGAAATCTAACAAAATATGTACAAGATCTATACAAGGAAAAGAAAAACTAAATATGTGGTCCACGAATAAGAAGACTCAAGATGTCAGTTCTTGCCAACTTGATCAATAGATTCAATGCAATCCCAATCAAAATCCCAGTGAGTTATTTTGTAGATATTGGCAAACTGATTCTAAAGTTTATATGGAGAGGCAAAAGATCCAGAATAGCTAACTCAATATTGAAGAAGAACAAAGTTGGAGAACTGACACTATCCAAAATCAAGACTTACTATAAAGCTATAGTAATCAAGATAATGGTTTGGTAAAAGAAAAGACGTATACATCAATAGAACAGAATAAAAAGCCCAGATAGGCCCACATAAATACAGTCAACTGATCTTTAAAAAAGAGGAGCAAAGACAATTTAACAGAGCAAAGATAGCCTTTTCAAAAAATGGTGCTGGAACATTTAAACATCCACAAGACCTTGCGTATTGCAATGACTTTTTAGATGTAACACCAAAGGCACATTCTAGAAAAGAAATAATTGATAAGCTGGATTTCATTAAAATTTAAAATTTCTTCTCTGCAAAACACACTGTCAAGAGAATAAAAAGATAAGCCACAGACCGGCAGAAAATATTTGCAAAAGATATGTCAGATAAAGAACGGTTATCCAAAATATACAAAGAACTCTTAAAGCTCAACAATAAGAGTACAGTCTGATTTAAAAATGGGCCAAAGCCCTAACAGACACCTTCCCCAAAGAAGAAATATCAGATAGCAAAAAGGCATATGAAAAGATGCTTCACATCATACGTCATCAGGAAAATGCAAATTAAAACAACAGTGAGATACCACCACACACCTATTAGAATGGCCAAAATCCAGAACCCTGACCACACCAAATGAGGTCTCCTTAAGGAAGAAGCATCACAATGAGCATGTGGTACAACAGAAACTCTCATTCATTGCTGGTGGGAATGCAAAATGGTACAGTCATTACAGAAGACAATTTGGCAGTTTCTCACAAAACTAAACATACTTTTGCCATATGATCTAGCGATGCGCACTCCTTGTTATTTCTCCAAAGGAACTGAAAATTTATGTCCAAACAAAAACTTGCATATAATGTTTATAGCAGCTTTATTCATAATTGTCAAAACCTGGAAGGAACCAAGATGTTCTTCAGTAGGTGAATGGATAAATAAACTGTGGTACATCCAGACAATGGATTATTATTCAGCCCCAAAAAGAAATAAGCTATCAAGCCATGAAAATACGTGGAAGAAACTTAAGTGCATATTCCTAAGTGAAAGAAGCCAATCTGAAAAGGTGACATACTATATGATTCCTATTATATAACATTTTGGAAAAGACAAAACTATGGAAACAGTAAAAAGATCAGTGGCTGCCATGAACTAGAGGGGAGGGAAGGATGAATAGGCTGAGCACAGAGGATTTTTAGGGCAGTTGGAGCTATGCTGCATGATACTGTAATGATGGATACATGTCATTATACATTTGTCCAAAACCACAGAATGTTCAACACCAAGATTGAACCCTAATGTAAACTATGGACTTTGGGTTATGATAATGTGTCAATGTAGGTTCACTGATTGTCACACCTATAACCACTCTGGTGGGAGACGTTAATCATGGGGAAAGCTGGGCATGTGTAGGAGCAGGAGTATATGGGACCTCTCTACCTTCTGCTCAATTTTTTTCTTTTTTCTTTTTTTTTTTTTTTTTTTTTTTTTGTTCTGAGAGGGAGTCTCGCTCTGTCGCCTAGGCTGGAGTGCAGTGGCGTGATCTTAGCTCACTGCAACCTCCGCCTCCCAGGTTCCAGTGATTCTCCTGCCTCAGCCTCCTGAGTAGCTTGGATTACAGGTGTGCACCACCACGGCCGGCTAATTTTGTGTTTTTAGTAGAGACAGGGTTTCACCATGTTGGCCAGGCTGGTCTCAAACTCCTGACCTCAGGTGATCTACCCACCTCAGCCTCCCAAAGTGCTGGGATTACAGGCGTGAGCCACCACGCCAGGTCCCTTATGCTCAATTTTCTTGTGAACCTAAAACTTCTCTAAAAAATAAAGCCTATTAAAAATAATAATATCTGTTCTATAAGGGAATAATAATAATAATATGTAATATTTACTTAATAATATTTAATGTTTTTTAGAGTTTTCAAAGAGTATATACTGTGTCTCAGTTTCCTTAACCATAAAATAGAGATAATAAGATTTGGGGGAGAATTAAATGAGTGTGTACAGGTGAAATCCTTAGAATGTGCCTGGCACACAGGAAGTTCTCAATAAACATAAGTTATAATATTATCTATTAGTGGTAGTAGTCTTACTTTATCTCATTTGATTTATGAAGCAACCCGTGAGTAGGTATTTGCCTGCCTGTTTTACAGATGGGGAAATTCAGACAGTTTCAGGAAAATTAAATGACTTGCCCATACATTGAGAAGCCAAGATTTTCTAAATCTCTAATCTATTGTACAATTGATCTTAAATGTAAAGTTCCATTAAAAATCTGCTGGGGATGGTACACAAACAGGGCAAGGGTGGCACATTAATGAACATGCACCGAACATACATAGAACTTATAGTTCTAACCCATGCACCTGACTTAGCATCCCTTGTCCACGTTGGTTTCCAAGTCTAAAATGGACATATCTACTCTTGTTCCTCCAGTCTGTTGACTTTAACTAAATTGATCTCTAAGTTAAAGTTAAGAAGAGACAGCCTTTTCTAATGAGTGACAAAGTGAATTTGCCCTCTACTTGGGGACTGGAAAAACCCCAAAACATGAGTGCTTCCTGTTTACTTCATATTAACAAACTCTTTGAAGCAGTACTAAGGTGAACAAGATCACTAATGCTGGGAATTAGAGATTTAAGCTTCTATTTGCTTACTTTAAATAGCACTTCCTAATAAAGGAGTTTTTTTCTGAGCAGATATATTCAGACTCTATGTCACCAGAATTTCTCATTAACGTCAACTTTAGGGAAATTTAGAGCCAAACATATATGGCCAGATGACAGAAATTCTAACACAAAATTTACTGCGAAATCTTGGCTAACTTTATAGGTACAGAATTATTTAATAACTACCCTTAAAGGACAATCCAAGTTAACTTCCTTTAGAAGGCAAGGTTTGTAGAGACTGATTTTATAAAAGGTCATCAAAAGCAGTATCTAAGATACTATGTTCTAGAAACCCTTATGACAGCAACACTGAAATGGGATGATATGAGAAGAAACATGTTTTCTTTCTCCAAAAGCATTATCTATGTAGCAAAATGGAAAAAATCCAGTTAGTTTGCTGCAATTTGCAATAAGAGTCAACACTAAGCCCCCTCTAGGAGAAAAATTAATGTGATATTCAATTAAGATATACTGAACTCTAAAATTTATTTATAACCATTAGGTATTTATTTATACAACCTAATATAAAGCAATAGTTTTTTTAAAAAAATTCCAGAAAATATTCACCCAAAACAGAATTACTCTCTTCAAAGTAATCAGGTTTGTCAAGCTCTCCACTTGCTCCAGCAATACTGCCTTTGTTTAAAACACTGTAGAATGCTTCTCTTGGATTGATTTCAAAGCCTGGGTTACATTATTTTAAGTAGCTTCATGGAGGCCAATTTCTAAATTCCTTTATCATGGATTTGATATTTAGAAATTATCACAAATTATGTATAATCAAGAATGTTGGATAAAATGGATGACTATAAGAACAAACTGATTTTCCCAAGAAGACCCAATTGTTTTTGAAAAAAAAAAAAACAAAAAACTGACCTCCTTTAAAATCCTCACAACTTAAATTCCTGTTTCCCAAGGACAAAAATGACAAGAAACTGAGGCATTTGTTCTTCTCATATCTTTCATAGTGGTTCACAGGCTTTAGATCTTAAAATTGAATGTCAATAAATATTTCATCTTAAATTACTCTCCCAAAATAGAGGGCTAATTCTCTAATCTTACTTTTAAAAAATATTGAGGACCTAGTATGACCAAGAAGTAAGCTTTTTATATACGGCATGGCTTCATTGCTATAGAAGTGTCATTGGCAACTTCTTCTAAGTCATTAAAAATTAACTAGCATAGTGACTGGTACATAGGTGCACAACAACCAACTCCCATTGTGATGCTTCTTCCTTAAGGAGACCTCAAGTCAAAAGCTAATAAAATATATAGGAGAAGAAGGAGGAGGAAGAGGAGGAGGAGAAGGAAGGGAACAGAGGGAGGGAGTAATTTTATTTTTGGATATTTAGTGAGTACAAGTGCAGATTTCTTACATGCATATATTGTGCAGTGGTGAAATCTGGGCTTTTAGTGCACCCATCACCTGAATAGTGCACATTGTACCCAAAGGGTAATTTTTCAATCCTCACCTCCCTCCCACCCTTCCACCTTTTGGAGGTAGGGAGGGAGGTAGGGAGCCAGACAGTGGATCTGTATTTACTGACAAAAAAGGATGCCTGTGATAGTTTTTAGGGAAAAAATAAAAAGCAAGTGACAGAATAATAAAGTAACATATGATATTGCTCTTATAAAAGTAATATAAACACACATGGCCATGCACACAGACATAATATATAATGTCTGGAAGAATATACATCAAATTGTTAACAATATTTCCCCTAGAAAATGGATTGGGACTATAGGAGAAGAATAAACTTTCCCTTTTTATTAAATACTTTGTACATTTCCTTTTTAAAAATTTATTTTTATATATTTAGAGAGTACAAGTGCAATTTCTTACATGCATGTATTGTGCAGTGGTGAAATCTGGGCTTTTAGTGCACCCATCACCTGAATAGTGTACATTGTACCCAGTGGGTAATTTTTCAATCCTCACCTCCCTCCCACCCTCCCAGCTTTTGGAGTCTCCAATCTATTATTTTACTCTATATGCCCATGTTGTACATTTCTTAATGCTTCAGTTTTTTAATGTTTACAATAAGAATGTATTAATTTTGTACTTTGTTTAACTAAAAAGAGGAACTTCAGATGATAATAACAAGCTACTAAAAGGAAGCAATTTATAACCGCTGACACCAACTTGTCCAGAAAAGGGTAAAAAAAACAGATTAATACAATAGCAACTCCCTTCACCCACCAAAAGCACCCCTCTGTCTGCCATCTCTGTAAATGCCTATAGGCATTTGAACCCATAGTCAAAGTTTGTGTGAGTCACGATGGAAGCCTGGGAGATCAGAACAGGACTTTGAATATCACAGGCTCACTTGGCAATTGCAATACTAGCTACACAATGGGCTGCAGAACCTATCTTTTAGAACTGCTTTATTGAGGCAAAATTAATATATAATAAACTACAGATTTCATAACATAAACTACACATGTATCAAAACTGTATGTTTTGATAAATTTTGACATATGTATACACACCTATGAAACTATCACTGCAATCAAGGTAGTCAAAATACCCATTGTCCCTCCACATTTCCTCCCTACCCTCATCAATCACTGATCTAGCTGCAAAATATTTTGTTTTGAGACAGGGGTTTGTTCTGTCCCCCAGGCTAGACTGTAGTTGTGCAATCAAGGCTCACTGCAGCCTCGACTTCCTGGGCGTTAAGCCATCCTCCCACCTCAGCCTTCTGAGTAGCTGGAACTACAGGCACGTGCCACCACGTCTAGCTAATTTTTTATTTTTTGTAGAGATGGGTCTCCCTATGTTGCTGAGGCTGGTCTCAAACTCCTGGGTTGAAGCAATCCTCTCACCTCTCTCTCCTCAGCTTCCCAAAGTGCTGGAATTACAGGCGTGAACCACCACTCCTGGCTTAGCTGCAGCGTTTAACTCATAAATGATAATTTATAACACAGCAAAAGCAAACAGATGTTTTTGGAAAATACTCAACTAGTCCAGGCATGGTGGCTCACGCCTGTAATCCTGGCACTTTGGGAGGCTGAGGCAGATGGATCACCTGAGGTCAGGAGTTTGAGATCAGCCTGGCCAACGTGGTGAAACCCCGTCTCTACTAAAAATACAAAAATTAGCTGGGCGTGGTGGCGGGCGCCTGTAATGCCAGCTACTCGGGAGGCTGAGGCAGGAGAATCACTTGAACCTGGGAGGCGGAGGTTTCAGTGAGCCGAGATTGTGCCACTGCACTCCAGCTTGGGAGTCAGAGCGAGACTCTGTCTCAAAAAAAAAAAAAGGATTGTCATTTTCTCCCCTACACAATCCTTGTTTTTAACCCTGTTTAAGCCAAATACACAAAAACATAATCTATGCTTAGTTATTATACTGTAGATATAGTTATGTATTTTATGCATATTTATATATTCATCAAAATATACATACCAAAATGTGTGGAATCACTAAGATCAAATTATTAGGCTTTGACTTAAAACTGACTCTTTAGAACAACTTAATTTGTCTCTAATTTCCCTTTTAATTAGCCTGTGCTTCAATTGACCGTAATGGTAGAATTCATTAATAACTTTCCCATCATTTTCACCAATCACTATTATATGCATAGATTAATTTATTAAACAAAGTTTCAGGAGCCTAGATAAACCAAGCCTTAATGGCAAGAAATGCCATAATCATGACCTTCACAAATTATCAAAAAGTCAAATTTTAATAAATATTTCTAGTATTCCCATATTCTATTGTGTTCACCATAACCTCCCCAATCCTCCCCACCCACATGCACATATCTTTCCTTTAGCCTTATGATTAAAAGCAACACTACTGAGATGACTTATTCTTTAATATCTTTGCATAGGAAAATGGGAGCTCCTCTAACCTTAAAAAATTATAGTTATTTAATAATGTTTACACAGTGTGCATTCTAGCAGTATCTTGTGTACGTAGCTTCACTAAAACATTTCACTCAACATGTTCCCAATGCCAAAACATTTCTAGGAGATTCTCAGAGAACACGGTCACCTCATCTTCCTTGCCTCTATATCTCGTAGCAAAGTTGATTGAATAACAGTAGGATAAGGGAATAGAGAAAAGGAAATAGACTGGAGATGTTGTCACAAGCCTAAAATGTTTATTTTAACCAGCAGTGAAACCTCAGTAAATTCTGCACAGTCTGCATCCTAAGACATTCCAATATCTTCTCCTGTTTCAGGAGATACTGGAGAGATTCACCTAATATATCTCAGGATTTTTAGATCAGAAATATAACTTGAAACTTTAAAAGCACTTGAGTAATCAGCAAAGTAGCCACCTATTCATTCTCTCTTGCTTGTTCTCACTCTCATAAATATTTGCTGTCATAGTATTAGAAAGGCCATTTGAATGAGGTACTTAAAAAAAAAGTGGAAAAAATAGGACCATCTATGCAATCAATATCCTCTTTCAAAGTAGCTCTTTGCTGCCTTTCTTTTTTCTCCAGGCTTTTGAATTTTAAGGTTAGTCATTTTGAAAACATTTAAGATGTATGCAATTATACAACATATTTATGGAAATAGCAGGGAAGCCAGAATTTATTTGGGTCAAATTAACCTAGCCAATTTTCAATTTTCTGGCTACTACAGAATCCCAGTATATCTTGACCAAATAAAAACATTCCATGGTTCTTCAGTCAAGATGCCACGCATGGACGTTCAAGTATTCTGACACGCCATTAGCCCAACAACATTTTAAAACTGAGGCTGACCATATGCTCTGATCTTGAATAATTTAAAAATCACATCATTAAAATGAGTGGCACTCAGTTTTGCAATAATAAGAATATAGCCAATATATGGCCCGACAAATGACCGAATTCCAAAATTAAAATGGTCTGGGCTTATGGGGGCACTGGGGGCTTTCTGGGCAGAATGGAAGGGATTTTTGGAGATGCACAGCCATTTGGCAATGATAAATTTGCAACAATGAAATATTAGAGTCCTACTGAGAGAGAATCTCTTCTACCACCATTCAAAGAAAATCAGCTCGAAGGTAGAATTTAGTATGTGGAATTTTGATCCTGAGATGAAGAAAGCTGGATTCACATTAATTTAACTCTGAGCAACTTAATTTCCTGTTTTCTTTTCCTTGTGTTAAAACATCATCCTAAAGTTTCCGTATGTGGTAATGTTTGTGGAAGCAAAGTGTTCTGAGTGTTTCTGAGGCTAATAGAAAATAAATTAGCCTGAAGAAAAGTCTTGTGTTGGCCTTTCTGTGCAAATGCATTCACATAACTAACTCTAAGCTAGTGTGTATAGGAGTCATTCCAAGATAACAAGGGAAGAAGCTATTTTTAAAAACCTGCACAGAGCAGTCAGCAGACCTATCTGACCAGTCCTTTGGTCTTTTGCCCCTTCTTCTGCACCAGGAACATTTTTATTGAAGAACACCTCTCTCCAGACACCTCCAGCCAGGAATGCTGCTTTATACCTTGGATTAATAAACAATGCTACTGAAGAAGACTCACTGCTTTCTCTTCTCATGAAAAAAAAAAAAAGCTATCAGGGAATTAAAGGAATGTGGCTGAGTATCTTCCATACTTTTGCCTCCATCATTGAATAATCAGTATTATTTGTGGGAAATGCGTATCATGAGGTTGCCAGTGTTTTGCTTCTCAGTTGTATTTCCACAATCTGAAAATTACCAGCAAAATTCCTGCCCACCAGTCGCCACCTACAGGTCAAAAGCAACCTTCACACGGGACCCTGCTTTGCACTATTACACAGTTTTTGAGAGTAACAGTACTTCCCAACCTTTTAAAAATCCCAAGGTAAACTTATTTGAATACAAGTCCCACAGAATAGGATATTATCCAATACCTCGTGCTGAAAATGTGATCAAGGGAAGAAAGACTGGAGAAGCCACAATTCACTTGAACTCTTCACAGTGGACCAAAATGAAGTTATGGCATCCTAACCAGGGAATAGTGCCAGAGAGAAAAAGGTACAAAGTCAAAAGCGAATGAAATTATTTTAAAATTAAGACAACTGTATATTAACAATATTCAGCATGAACAGCATGTAAGATTTACACCATTGTATATACCATCATGATCTGATTTTTGCACCTGTTTTATTAGCAATTCCAGATATTGATATGGTCAACACAATTCCTCATTTTTCATGCCTATAGAGAGTTTCTCTCGAAATTCTGTACAATTACAATGTGTCAATAAAAATTAAATGTTGTTAAAAAAGAAATTCTATATAGAGAAAAATTCTATAGAAACTCTATACTTACTATATATTTAGTTGGATATTCTCCCTGGGGATTTGTGTCTTCAATTATTTTTGAAAGAGCATAACTCTTTCCAAAAGAGTACTGCCACTACTCTACACTACTATTATGAGAACAAGTGCTACCATGGAAATCTTTGTGTAAATTTATTTATTTATTTATTTATTTATTTATTTATTTATTTATTTATTTTGTGACAGAGTCTCACTCTGTTTCACAGGCTGGAGTGCAGGGGCATGATCTCAGCTCACTGCAGCCTCTGCCTCCCGGGTTCAGGTGATTCTCATGCCTCAGTCTCCAGAGTAGCTGGGATTACAGGCACATGCCACCACGCTCGGGTAATTTTTGTATTTTTTTGGTGGAGATGAGGTTTCGCCATGTTGGCCAGGCTTGTCTCGAACTCCTGACTTCAAGTGATTCGCCCGCCTTGGCCTCCCAAAGTGCTGGGATTACAGGTGTGAACCACCGTTCCAGGTCTTATGTAAATATTTTTTAAAAGCCAATTTATTAGGCCATCAGCATTATTAACATACTTGATTCCCCTGCAGTCCTGATCACACTGGATCATTATCATTTTTATTTCTGTTACCTTTATTAGTATAAAATGACAACTTAAAGCAGCTTTAATTTGCATTTAATTTTATGTAGGCTGTAGTTCCAGCCAACTTTTATATTGATATTCAACTGCCTATTCAATGTCTCCAGTTGAATGTATCATTGGCATCTCAACCTAACAAGTGCATCAGAGCCCTTAATTTGCATCTCCTAAACCTGTCCTCCACATCACACTTGCTCCCCTGATTCCCAGTGATTCCCAGCTCCCTAAGTAGAGCCACCCTGCACCCAGGCGCTTAGGCTCAAAACCTAGGAGTTAATCCTTCCAAAAGTCTTTTTGACTCCACCTTTACCACAAATCCCAAATTCATCTCCATCTTCGCTGCTACCCCCCAGTCCAGGCCACTGTGATCTCTCACCTGGATTACTGCAACAGCCTCCTAACTGGTCCTTCTTCTTCCATCCTTGCCCCTACAGAGTCTACTCTACACAACAGCCAATGTCATATTTTTAAAAACCTAAATCAGATCATGTCACTCCTCTGTTCAAAACCCTCCAGCAGCATCTCATCATGTTTTGAATGAAATCCAAACTACTTACCTTCAAAACATGGCCCCCGCCCACCTCTTTCAACTCAGCTTTTTACCCTTCTCCCTATTACCCTTGTTCTCTCCATCTCACCCCACTGGCCTTTTTACTGCCCCTCAAATGCATCAGGTTCACTCCTCAGGCCTTTGCTCTTGTGGTTCCCTCTACCTGAAGGGTTCTCCTTCAAGATTTTCTCATGGCTGGCTCCTTCACTTTGCTCTCATTTGACTTGAATGTCACCTCCTCAGAGAAGCCTGCCCTAAACACTCTCTGAAATAGCACTGCTATCACCCCTGTGACTTGGTAGCCTATCATACCATTTTATTTTCACTGTAACACAGAAACCATCTGATCATCCTGTGTCATTGTTAACATTTTATTTTTAATCTGCATCTGTCTGGTTCACCATTATATCTTTAGAGCCTAGAACAGTACCTAACATATAGTAGGAACTTAATAATGCTAAATCTTATGTAAAACAGAGACTTTGTGCAATAACTACATTTAAAAGATGTTACTTCCGGCTGGGCACAGTGGCTCATGCCTGTAATCCCAGCACTTTGGGAGGCCGAGGTGGGTGGATCACAAGGTCAGGAGTTCGAGACCAGCCTGGCCAACATGGTGAAACCCCGTCTCTACTAAAAATACAAAAAGTAGCCGGGCGTGGTGGTGCACGCCTGTAATTCCAGCTACTCAGGAGGCTGAGGCAGGAGAATTACTTGAACCCAGGAGGCAGAGGTTGCAGTGAGCCAAGATCGCACCACTGCACTCCAGCATGGGTGACAGACTGAGACTCTGTCTCAAAAAAAAAAAAGTATTACTTCCCTACTTAAAATACTAATAACAGCACCTAAAGACCCACAGTGAAATGATAATGCAGACTTGCTTGTTCTTTTGGACTCCTAGACCTATTAACATTAATCAGTGAACATTGAGATTAATTTAAGTGTACCTACCAAGCACCTTTAAGACAGTTTGGGGACCACAGTGAAGAGTCACCCTCAAACAACTGAGTCTAGAAAGGGAAAGAAATTGAGACAATTAACTGGAATCTAAGGAAGAAAATGGTGAATGTCAGGAGAGACATTTGGTACTTTGGGCTACAGACAAGCAATAATGGTTTTAACATTCTTTCACATGAGTGTTAAAATTCCTGAGAATAGGCTACAGTCATGTTTAAGTGTGTCAGTATTGCTCCCTTCAAGAGTGTTGGGACATGCATAAAAATAGTTGTAGCTGTCACAATAACTAGCATAGGGAGGACACCACTGCCATTTTGTAAGCAAGGGGCCAGCGATGCTAACTGCCCTGAAGTTCCTAAACAGACCTGCACAACAAAGAACTCCGCACCTCAAATGCCAACACAGAGTGGCTTATACCTGCCCATCTAAAACGTATGGACCACTTTCTGGGACTCCAGATTAATATTTTTAACATGCTATCTTTTAGGTAGTCACTTCGGGGTTTTTTCCCCCCCCCGCAATTTTTTTTAAATCTTTTTGACCCAGATCCTATACACATCAACTATTCAGCAAACAGAAAACCTGAGTGCAAGCAAAGGATGAAGAACAGCAAGGCCCACCAGAATGTCTCTTTGGGGCCCTAGCACAGCGGGCTTTCAGCCCCAGGCCCAAAGAAAGCTACTATCTATGGATAATGCTCCACAATGAGGTACACAGCATTCCTGTGTGTTAAGATTATTCACCCTTCACAGAGACAGTTTCACTGCATGTCTGACAATTTCCTAATTACACAATAAGACAAGAAGCTAATCCTGAGTGTGAAACTTCCCAAGTGGGGGCTTGTTTCCCTTGAGCAGTGGCCCAGGGCCTACAGGATTAGGCAGGTACTAAGCACGGGGGCTGGGGACTGGGTAGGACCATGGGAAAGCAGAGCACCTGCCCCTTGCTAAAGAAGTCAGTTCTGCACAGCTTTGCCCTCCACAAGTGAAATGCAGACCAGACCTTCCAGCATTTCAAGATAAGCTGGAAATCCTGATCCTTACTGAGTTCTTTTGCTTTTTCAACATTGACCACTAATTCAATTGCTTTTTCAAATCCTGTGCAGGCCGCAGCACACTCATCTAAGGCTGAGTTTGACCCAGGGCCCCTAGCGTGTTCCTTCTGCACACTGGACCCAGGAATGTATTTGGTTGCACATGTCTGCTACTCTGTAGGGGTTCAGGAAATCCAAAAACAATGTCTAAATGTGCTACCATTGGGTAAGGTTCTCAAGAATGAGAAATGAGAATGAGGATGAGAGAGGCACATGCTGGTCACACCAGGTGACTGATACTGCCTTTGCCATGCTCTTCCTTGCCCCAAAATTCTCAACATCCCCCACTTCTTACTGCTTCAGGTAACAGTTTCCCTTCAAAGGTCTCCAAAACATGATCCTACCCACCTTGCCAGCCCTATTTTCACCACACCCGTGTGTCCATCCCCCATTCTAGTTGGGCCAGTCTTCCTTGAGTTCCTTTAAAGATGTTGATCCCCTCAGCCAAATATCCCATCTCCTCATCTAAAGCCTACTCACCCTTCAAAACCTTGCTCCATTTCACCTCTTTTATGCAACCTTCTCTGTGACAGTAAAAACCAAAATGCTTTTGAGCTCCAGGTCTGGTGTCAAGCAGATCTGGGTTCAAATCCCGCCTCTGCCACTGACCAGCTTGGTGACATCCTTGGGCATGCTACCTAACCTCTTTGAGCTTCAGAAGATGATAATAGTGCCTACCTTACAGGTGGGATTAAATAAAATGATGTGGCCAGGTGCAGTGGCTCACGCCTGTAATCCCAGCACTTTGGGAGGCTGAGGCAGGTGAATCATTTGAGGTCAGGAGTTCGAGACCACCCTGGCCAACATGGTGAAACCCCATCTCTACCAACAACACAAAAATTAGCAGGGTGTAGTGGCGTGCACCTTTAATCCCAGCTACTCGGGAGGCTGAGGCAGGAGAATCATTTGAACCCAGGAGATGGAGGCTGCAGTAAGCCGAGATCATGCACTGCACTCCAGCCTGGGTAACAAGAGTGAAACTCTGTCTCAAAATAAATAAATTAATTAAAATGATCCAAGTAAAGTACTTAACTTCCAGTAAGTGTTCAGTAAATTTTCATTATTATTATGACTACCAAATTTTCACTGACCTTCCTCTTCTTCTGCAAGTGCTCCAGCCCTTGCGCTGTCTCTTCTGAGCAAAGGGCAACTAGATTCCATGATGTCCACATTTGCTCTGTGCCCCAGGCATTAGCCTGCCTCAGCCCACAGCTTGGTTTTATAGCTTCTTAAAGTGCCAGAAGCATGTTGGATACAACATAGAACCCACAGACCCAAGTGTACACTGAATCAGAGAGTTGGACAACTACCAGCGCCCTGGCTCTGAAATAACTCAGCAAAAGTCTCTCTCTCTCTAGCAAAGGTAGGAATGCATGCTGGGAAGATAAACTGCTTCACTGTTTGGAATAAGTCTCTCTCTCACACACGCATCACCACCACCACCACCACCACCACCACCACCACCATTATCATCTCCATGTTCTCTAACCTCTGTACCTCGCCTTTCTTACTGTGGGTAGAGATGACACATAAAGCCAGCAAAGGCCACTCTCTTCACGTAAGTGTATGATGGGAACTTGGACAAACAGGCTGCACTGCAGGTATACTCTTTGGCTGGAACAAAATGGAAAGCCACTACAAAAGCCAAGGTGGACTCTGCAGGCCCTGTCCCCCTCCTGCCCAATGTTACTCCACCTCAAGTCAGCCCCATCCATCCTGATGTGTGTGGCAGCTGGGATCCTCCGGGCACCTTTGCCAGCAGGCCTATTCCACTAGTCACTTTCCTCTGTGCTCCACAAGGGTTGAAGGAAAAATCCCTTCATGGAAGTTACTCCATGCTTCAAGTTACTCCATTCTTTGAAGGCCTCCCCCAGCCTCTCTCCCCTCCCCCCGCCTCTCTCCCCTCCTCCCAAAAAACCAGAGCACAGAAAAATGTAACTGCTGGAATGTCACATGCTTCAAAAGGCAAACAAACAAAAAACCAGAATTTGAGAGGTCCCAACATATTTTTCCAAAAAATGGTTTTCTTAGCATGAAGAACGAGCCCTACCGATTGCACTGCACAAGTTTACACTCTCAACAGCATGAAGTTCCAAGGTTAGATCAGACATAGGCCGGAAAACAGGGCGAAATGGGCATGATCTTTGAGATCATATTCTCAATCTAGAAAAGACACCAAGAAGAGGCCCAAAGGGTAACCAGTTTCCCATACTGGAACCCAGCGTTCCAATACACGTTTGTTACCCCTCGGAGTTAGCAGCACTAGAAAGTTCTGCCTCCTGTAATGGTCGACTTTAAATAAAAACACAAAAAGCAGGAGACCAAAAGGCGGCACGGGTCCCAAGGACCACGACTATGATTTCCCCTGAGTGCGGGTATGGCATGCATATCCTACAGCATGGGCCTCCCCAACTTGATTCTTCCCCTCGCCTCTCGGCCCACCAACCCAAGCTCAGGATCTTGCATCCCGAAAGCGTTGTGGGTGAGCAAGCCACAGTCAGATTAAAACGGTCTTAATCCACCCCGCCGGAAACCTCAAGCCGAGACTCAGAATCTCTTGAGAAGTCCCTAAAGCCAAGGACGAGGGTCATCAGGGGGCGGCAGCGGCAGAGCCCTGCTAATGATGGGCACTTGGCGTACCGGTCGAGCAGGAGAGGGCACCTTCAGTTCCCATTAGCGGGATGTCACTGCCAACGTGCCTCAGGGGAATGCCTCGACCTTCGCCCAACAGCGGCCTGGGTGAGCCCTCGAGTGGGTTCCGGTGCGCTCCCTGGCTCAGCGGGGTCTCGAGTGAGGGGAGAGTGGACCTGGAAGAGCCTAGGCGTTACTCTGGAAAACGTGACTCTGCTGGGGCAAGCGGGGAACTCGGGTCTCTTGCGCAGCCCCTCCCCAGTCCCTACCGAAGGCCCAGCGTGGCTGCCTCCTCTGAGGACAGAGCCGAGGGCATTTACCGGGAGCTTCAGGAACCGTTCGTCTCTACTCCAGGATCCGGTAGGATAACGGGACTGCCGCCGCCGTCCCTGCCGCTGCCGCCAACGTCTATGCCGCCGTCGTCGCCTCCCTCTAACCGCCGCAGTCGCAACCGTCAGCGGTCCCAGTCACCCCGTGCGACTGTCGCTCGCGAGGCCAGCTGTTGAATGGCTCGCGTCGAGCTCACCGCGCGCAGAAGCGTCCTCGCTAAGAGGGCAACGCTGGCGCGCGACCCGGTGCCAACGCCCCGTGACCTCCTCGATCCCCTGAGGCTCTGGCGAGCTCACCGCGGCTGCCTAGTAGCTCGCGACTGCGGGTTCGTCTGCCCGCGCGCGGGCTGCCCTCAGAGCTCTGCCGCCCTGGCGGCTCGCCCTGAACTTGCAGGCAAGACCAGTGGCAATGATGGACTCTTCCCGCCCCCTGATTCCCCCAGGGCCAATCGCCTTCTCCTGAGGAGCCCTTCAAGTAACCCCGCCCCTCTCCTGCTGCAAAGGCCGAGCCAAAGTTTACCCCAAGGCGCCGCTACTCCCGAAGATTTCGAGGCTTTGATCATGCTACTCCCCCGTCAACCCCTACGAAGTTACAGTGATTTAGAGGCTGAAACTCACTTGGCCTACTAACCCCCACGCGACCTATTTCCTTTGAAAAAACGAGTATACAACTAACGAGAGAGGTGATGTTGTTCACCTCATCCCTGAAGTGGGACTGCTGAGAAGTGGCCACGCGCTCGGCCAAATTTACACATCAGGGAGTGAGGAAGAACCACAAAGGCCATCGACTGACTATCCTCGCATTGTTTTTTTCTGTTTCTGGGGCCTGCTTTCGGAGGCTGGCCAACTTCCAGCGACCAGGACTCACTGGCTCCGTGTACCACCGTTCGGGTCTCCGACTTCCTGGCTTGAGAGTGAGCGAAACCGGTCCCCTGGTAACTTCTGCACGTTTGAGGACATGCAAAGTCAGTCTTGTTCCTCCTGCCCATGGTGGTCCAACAATTTGAACACAATTCCAGCCACGTTCCTCCAGGCTCTGTTGCTCTAAAGACCTGGGTTCAAGGCTCGTCTCTGAATTTAATTCCTTTATATCTTTTGAAAGTGGAAGGCAGGAACTGAGTCTATCCTTTACACCCCACCCCACCCCAGAGTATAGACCCTTCAGCACAGAGGAGACCAGGATGGCCAAGTCCCTTATATAGACTTCTCTGGTGGAGCTCCCTCAGGTAGCATTCACTTTCTTGACTTCCATATCACAAGGCCCATTCTATAGAATATAGTTTTAATATATAATTAAAACTACAGAATATAGCTTAATATAGTTATAATATTTTGAATATTTTTATGCTTCAAAATAAAATCAAATATAACCATATTTTGTATCATTTAATCTCTTAAGTTATATTCCATCCAATATAAAACAAATCTGTGTACACTGATGCAGTATACATAATCATTTCAGTTAAATAAATTGACCTGAAAATTTAATAGCTATTCCTTATTGTGTTAGGTACCATGAAAAGGGTTTTACATATACAAACTGTATAAAGGTATTTAGTACTAATTAAAAAACTGTGACCGAAATTCCATTTTTTGTCCCCATTTTTTAAATGAAGAAACCGAGGCATAGAAAGTTTAAGCTACAGCCCTACATGAGCGATTAAATAACGAGAGCTGAGATTCTAATCTGAGCAATTTAGTTCTAGATGCTATGCTGCTGATCATTACGTTGATTTGTATTTTAGGTTATCCAATGCTCCAAATGGGATATATTAAAGTAATAACAATGGGAAAATTGCTTCTCTTGTCATCTAAAGCTTTTTGTTGTTGTTGTTGAATCTTAATGATTTTGTGCTTTAATTACTTTAGTGAAATATTTTCTTTTCTAATGCATAGACTATTGGGGAAAAGTAAAACAGAATTCAGCTTATCAATAAATGATATTCCTGTTAGTGTATTTCCGGGACTTTTGTTTCAAACAATATACATGAAGAATGCATGCCATTCATTTCATTTTGGGGCATAAGCAACAACAATTAAAAATAAAAACAAAAATAGAAATAATACCAAGAAAACTGACTTGAAAACCTATTACTACCAATGTCTGGGAAAAAAAATCATGGTTCAAAATCTAGTTATTCCCACTTATTAGCTTTATAACACAGCTTGGGCAAGTGACTTAATTTTCTAGGCCACTATTTTTTCATTTGCACAATGAGAATAATTCTTTGCAATGTCGTTTTGAACATTGGTATTTGGAACACCTAACCCAGAGACTGGCACATTGTGAGCATTTAATAAATGTCAGTGACATAATGCTTCAATCTCATCTTTTAATGAAAAGGCTTTCCTGGAGTGAGACCAAACCCTTGAATATACCAGTTACAAGAAGAGATTATCAGAAAAATTAGTCTTTTTTTAAAGATTTGCACAAAATATTTAGCAACAGAACTACCCTGTTATGCTATCATTTGATATATATTTTCAAAATATAATGTCACTCTAAGTGACATAATCAGTAAACATAGCACAGATAAACCTAAAAAAATTCCTAATCCTAGTTGTTACTCTTATAATAATCCTTTATTACTTAAATTATAATTAGAAAAGCCTTAACAAAACTAAAATTCTTAAAACATCTACATTTTAATGTAAGTTAAATACATCATAAGTGTAAGACACCATTAAAATTTAGAAAAATAAAACCTAAAGAGCAGTAAGCAATATGGCTTAGAATTCCCTCTAGCATTGCAAAATAAAAATAAAAGGGGCTTAAGCAGTTTCTTTTATTTGATGTGGCTTTCTCTTGAAGAATATAAATTTGATAGCAGATACCCAATTATCTTATTAAGGTCCATATCCATACACAGGGCAGAAAATTATCATTAATTTTCAACCGAAGTGACAACAGAATCCAAATATTAGAAAGAAAACAAATTTTTAACTTTTGCTGCCATAAATCCTTTATAACCCCCAATCAGTAATGCCTGTTTACTATCAAGTTTTAAGGTGAATAAAAAAAATCCAAGCAGATTATTCAAGTGTTCAATAATTTGAAATGCTGCCATTCTATTCTAGACCTTTGGAAATCAACGTGAGAAATGAATCAGGTTGCAAGGGATTCACCTACTGTAAGCTTCCTTCTGAGTCTGGACAAAATAAGAGTTATGTTATGTAGCATTGGAAAAGTGTCATGTAGCATTGATTTACTATGTTACTGATAGCACTGAAAAAAAAATCAACTTACCTTACCCGAGAAACAGCAAAAAGTGCAGTCTCCAAATGTTGTACTTTGGTTTTTTGTTAGTTTGTTTGTTTGTTTATTTTTGAGACACAGTATAGCTTAGTCACCCAGGCTGGAGTGTAGTGGTGCGATCTCAGCTCACTGCAACCTCCGCCTCCCAAGTTCAAGCAATTCTCCTGTCTCAGCCTCCTGAGTAGCTGGGATTACAGGCCACCATGCCCAGCTAATTTCTTTCTTTCTTTTTTTTTTTTTTTTTTTTTTTTTTAGTAGAGACAGGGCTTCACCATGTTGGCCAGGCTGGTCTCAAACTCCTGGTCTCAAGTGGTTCGCATGCCTTGGCCTCCCAAAGTGCTGGGGTTACAGGCATGAGACACTGTGCCTGGCCTGTTGTCTTTTGGATAAAATCATTAGCCGTGGGTACAACCTGAAAGCACAGAGTTGTATTGAAAGGCAGCCATGAAGCCCACTCAATTCATTTGACTCTCTTGCCTGTTAAAACTATTTGTGGAAATTTCTGCCCAGCGTGGTGGCTCACTCCCAGCACTTTGGGAGACCGAAGTGGGCGGATCACTTGAGGTCAGGAGTTCGAGACCAGCCTGGCCACCATGGCGAAACCCTGTCTCTACCAAAAAATACAAAAATTAGCCAGGCATTGTGGCACATGCTTGTGGTCCCAGCTACTCGGGTGGTCTCAGCTACTCAGGAGGCTGAGGCAGGAGAATCACTTGAACCCAGGAGGCAGAGGTTGCAGTGAACTGAGATCATGCCCCTGCCTCACTCTGGATGACAGAGTGAGAATCTATCTCATTAAAAAAAAAAAAAAAAGGCCAGGCGCGGTGGTTCACACCTGTAATACCAGCACTTTGGGAGGCCGAGGTGGATAGATCACTTGAGGTCAGGAGTTGGACACCAGCCTGGCCAACATGGTGAAACTCCGTCTCTACTAAAAAACACAAAAATTAGTCAGGCATGGTGGCACGCGCCTGTAATTCCAGCTACTCGGGAGGCTGAGGCAGGAGAATCACTTGAACCCAGGAGGTGGGGGTTGCAGTGAACCCAGATCGCGTGACTGCACTACAGCCTGAGCGACAGAGCAAGATTCCGTCTCAGAAAAAAACAAAAGAAAAGAAAAGACTTTTGTGGAAATTTTAGTTTACTTTAATATATTTATGTCACTGTGGAATGTAACTCTGTTACCTTTATATTTAAAAATTGGTTGAATCAATGAATATAGCAGAAACTAGTAGAAAATGTATTATTTTGAAACAAGGCAGCTCATTTATTTGAGCTTTCAATTCTTTTGGATATATACCCACAAGTGAAATTGCTGGATCATATGATAGCTCTGGGGGTTTTTGTGTGTGTGTTTTGTTGTTGTTGTTGTTGTTTGTTTGCTTGTTGGAAACCTCCATACTGTTTTCTATGGCAGTTGTACTATTTTTACATTCCCCTAACAGTACACAAAAGTTCTAATTTCTCCACATCCCTGCCAATGCTTATTTTCTGTTTATTTTTATAGCAGCCATTCTAATCAACGTAAGGTGATTTGTTCCTTATTTTTAGCCCAGGTATATACCCAATTATCTTACACAGTGTTTCATAGTATGAAAAATCCACTATCAATAAACAATTTGTTTGAGCCTGATCTTCAGTTATTTCAAACAATACTGCAGTGAACATCCATGTATGAATATCTTTATATATATGTTGGATACCTTTTGAAAGATAATTGTGAGGACAAAGGATATGTATATTTTTGTAGCTTTTTATTGTGATATAATTTCAGACTTACAGAGAAGTTGCAGGAACACACGTATTTCCCCAATTGTTAACAGTTTGTCGGTTTGTTTTATCATATTTTCTCTATATATGCATATTACCTTTTTTCTGAACCATGTGGGAGTAAATTTTAGCTATGAGGTCCATTTAACTTTAAATACTTCAGTATGTATTTCTTAGAACAAAATATTTCTCTTTCTGTCCTAGATGCATTTATGAAAAAAGAAAAAAATCTCTTTTTTTTTTTTTTTTCCTTTGAGACAGAGTTTCACTCTTGTTGCCCAGGCTGGAGTTCAAGGGCGCAATCTCAGCTCACCACAACCTCTGCCTCCCAGGTTCAAGTGATTCTCTTGCCTCAATCTCCCGAGTAGCTGGGATTACAGGGATGTGCCACCATGACCAGCTAATTTTGTATTTTTAGTACAGACGGGGTTTCTCCATGTTGGTCAGGCTGGTCTCGAACTCCCGACCTCAGGTGATCCTCCCACCTCGGCCTCCCAAAGTGTTGGGATTATAGGCGTGAGCCACTGTGTCCGGCCGAAAAAATCTCCTTACATAAGCACAGTGCAAATATTAACATCAGGAAGTTAATATCATAAAGTTCTATTATCTACCCTACAGGCCTTACTCATAATACTCCAATTGTGCAGATAATGTTCTTTGTAGCAAAAAAATTGGGGGGAGGGGGTCTGAGATGTAATTCAGCATCATATATTGCATTTTTCATTTATATCTAGCCTTCTTTCATCTTGAAACTGTTCTTCAGACTGTCTTTGACTTTCATGATTATGGCATTCTTTTCATTATTTTTAAATTACTACTACTACTATTATTATCATTTTAAACCAATCCTAAACTTATAGAAAAGTTGGAAGTGTAATACAGGTTGTTCTGGTTTTTTTTTCCTGAACCCTTTGAAAGTGATTTGCCACCCCAATGTCCCATTTCCCCTGAATAATTTAGTGTGTACCTTTTTATATTTTTAATGACAAGGATACTTTCCTGTCTAACCATGAATGAATCAACCATCAAAAATCAGGAAATTAACATTAATAGATTACTAACATTGAATCCCCAGGTACTATTTAAGTTTCATCAGATGTCTCAAAATGGTCTATTACAGCAAAAGGATCCAGTTCAGAATCGTGCAGTGCTTTTAATTGTCATGTGTCCTTCATCTCCTTCAGTCTGGAAGAGTTCCTTGGTCTTCTGTTGACTTTTAAGACTCAGGCACTTTTGGAGACTATGGGCCAGTTAATTTGGGAAATATCCCTCAATTTGAGTTTACCTGATGTTTCCCAATGATTAAATTTAGGTTACTTATTTTTGGCAGGGCTATCACAGAAGTGACGCTAGGCTCTAATTGCATTCTGTCAAGTGGAGCATAATTTCAACGTGTCCTATTACTACTCATGATGGTCATTTTGATCTCTTGACTAAGGTGGTAAGTGCTAGGCTTCTCCACTGTGAAGTTATTCTTTGTAATTAGTACATACCTTCTGGGGAAGTACGTTGAAACTGTGTAAATATTCCATTCCTCATCAAACTTTCAATTTATTCATTTATTTGTTTATACCAGTATAGACTTACGGTTTCCTATTTTATTCAATGGATTATAGTCCATTATTATCATTGTTTACTTTGATGCTCAAATTGTCCTAGATTTGGCCACTGGGAGCCCCTTTAAGCTGGTTTCCATGTCCCTTTGACATGACCCCATCATTTTTCGAGCACCTCCTTAGTTTCTGGCACAAAATATTCCAGGCTCATCTTGTACTTTGCCTTCTGTAGTCCCAAAATCAGCCTGGAGAAGCCCTGATTCCTTTTAGTGGAAATGGTATCTAGAAGCCAAATCTGAGCAGCAGGTGTATATATTGTTGTTGGTGTGTTGCTGCTCCCTGAGCCTCTCAGAGTCCTCACTTATATACACTTACACACACACACACATTTTTATCTATCTATCTATCCATCTGTCATTTATCTAACCATGAGTTTACTCTGATATATCCAATCCAACACCACAGGGTTCATTCTAATTTTCTTTCTTTCTGCATTAGTAATAATTTATGACAATGAGAAGATAGCTTACATCATTCTTAATATATTTACTCATTTTTATCAATACTCCTCTATGTAACTGTGCCGGGAGGTTTCTAAGATAGCCCTCGGTGATCCCTGCCTCCTGGTATTCAACCACTTGTGGAATCACCTCCCCTGGAGTGTGAGTTGGATTTAGTGAATCACTTCTAATGACAGAATACAGCAAAAGTTATGGGATGTTACTTCCGAGATTAGGTTATAAGATGACTCTGGCTTCTAGTCTCTCTCTTCCTCCCTCCCCTTGCCCTACCCACTCCTCCCTTTCTCTCTCTCTCTCCCCCTCCCATCCTCCCTCTCAGTAGCTGAGGGAAGCTAGATGCCCTTATGGAGAGACCCACATGGCAAGGAGCTGAGAGAGCCTTCTGGCCACAGCCATTGAGCAACTGAGGTCTTCAGTCAACGCCCCTTGAAGAAATAAATCCTACCAACAACCACATGAGTGTGCTTGGAAGCAGAGCCTCCCTCAGTTGAAGCTTCAGATTTTAGCTTTGTGAGAGACTCTGAGCCAGAGACACCCAGCTAAGCCATGCCCAGATTCCTGCCACATAAAAACTGAGATAATAGATGTGTATTGTGTTAAGCTGCTGAGTTTTGGGGGTAAATTGTCACACAGAAAAAGATACTAACACTTGGCTGGGTGCGGTGGCTCATGCCTGTAATCCTAACACTTTGGGAGGCCGAGGCAGGTGGATCACTTGAGCTCAGGAGTTTGAGACCAGCCTGGGTAACATGGTGAAACCCTGTCTCTACCAAAAATACAATAATTAGCCGGGCATGGTGGTGTGTGCCTGTGGTCCCAGCTACTCAGGAGGGTGAGGTGGGAGGATCGCTTGAGTCTGGGAGGCAGAAGATGCACTGAGCCGAGATCATCATACCACTGCACTCCAGCCTGGGTGACAGAGACTCCATCTCAGAAAAAAAATTTAAAAAAAAGCAAAGAAATAAATACTGAAAAAGTAATCAATCTCCCATGTCCATTGCCACCCCTCCCTGACAGCTCTGTTCTCCCTGCCTGGGTGCCTCTGATTCTCCATAACCAGCCTCCCTGCCTCATGGATT
Source organism: Homo sapiens (assembly GCF_000001405.40). NCBI lineage: Eukaryota > Metazoa > Chordata > Mammalia > Primates > Hominidae > Homo > Homo sapiens. Next base: position 119,281,486 of record NC_000023.11, read on the forward strand.
CCCTCTGCAGCCTGCTCAGACTCTGGCTCCCTACATCACCTCTCCCCCATGTGTATGACCTCCTCGTTCCACTCAGGCTCCAACAGCCCATGCCATGCCACTCCATCATGCGGATGTCCTTGTTAGCCCTCTGAGGCTCTGACTTCCCACACCAGGCTGCCCCTCCACAGGGATGCCTTCACCAACTTGCTTGACTCTGATCCCTCATAGCAGCCTGTCTTCTACACACAAACCCCTTGCCAAATTGCCCTCCAAAAATCTTGTATCAATTTACACTTAGTTTATCTCTGTCTGCCTCTCCTTTTTTTTCTTTTTCTTTTCTTTCTTTTTTTTTTTTTTTTTTTTGAGACCGAGTCTTGCTCTGTCTCCCAGGCTGGAGTGCAGTGGCACAATCTCAGCTCACTACAACCTCCGCCTCACGGGTTCAAGCAATTCTCCCGCCTCAGCCTCCCAAGTAGGTGGGATTACAGGCATGCACCAGCACGCCTGGCTAATTTTCGTATTTTTAGTAGAGACGGGGTTTCACCATATTGGCCAAGCTGCTTTCGAACTCCTGACCTCAGGTGATCCGCCCGCCTCAGCCTCCCAAAGTGCTGGGATTACAGGCATGAGCCACCGTGCCCGGCCTCCCTCTCCATTTTCTTTCTTCTCTCACAGGGTGCTGGTTGGCTTTTCCTTCACTGTTTCTAGGTTTCCTCCCAATGAAATGTCAAATGGTCCAATTCTTCTTAAAAAAAAATCGGCCCGGGGCAGTGGCTCACGCCTATAATCTCAGCACTTCGGGAGGCCGAGGTGGGTGGATTACCTGAGGTCAGGAGTTCGAGACCAGCCTGGCCAACGTGGTGAAACCTCATCTCTACTAAAAATACAAAAAAAAAAAAAAAAAAAACCCGGCTGTGGTGGCGGGCACCTGTAATCCCAGCTCCTCAGGAGGCTGAGGCTGGAGAATTACTTGAAGCCGGGAGGCAGAGGTTGCAGTGAGCTGAGATTGCGCCATTGCACTCCAGCCTAGGTGACAAGAGCAAAACTCCATCTCAAATAAATAAATAAATAAATAAATAAATAAATAAACAAACAAACAAACAGTTGGGTTTATCTGAACTGGCATATCTAAATAGGGAGCATTTCCACCTTCAAAATGCAAATCTTCTCTTTCACTCTCACTGACAGTTAGGGACTTATATCCTTGGTCAGTGAGTTGTAATATAGAGAACTATAAAGAGGAAAAAAAGGAAGTATTTATAGGAATATGCTTTCCAACAGCTTGTGACAAGGATGGGCATTTAAACTGTAGACATACAGGAACTTTTCCAAAAAGGGTTCCTTTGCTCTTTGTTAAGTTCCAGATGCATAAAAATCTAACTGAGAAGGGGTCATTTCTTTCTTAGCCCATTTTTTAGCTTTCAGGTTACAGTATGTGGTCATACGTGTATTTATTCTACCTGGAGCTCAAGCTAGTCTGGCTTTATGTCTCTCTGTCCCTTAGGGTAATATTTATACTTAACGTTTATAAGGTACTTTATGTGACTCTCTTAATTCATCCAGTCCATATAATAGCATTAGGAGTTTGCTATTTCTGCCCCTGTTTAACATATGAGGGAAAACTGAACCCCTAAAAGGGGGCGATTTACCCAAGGTCACATAGCCAGTTAGTAACAAAACTGGGGCTGAAACTCAAGTCTTCTGACTCCAGCCCCAAGAATCTTTTTTTTTTTGGAGACAGAATCTCTCTGTCATTTAGGCTGGAGTACAGTGGCACGATCTCAGCTCACTGCAACCCCCACCTCCCAGGTTCAAGAGATTCTCCTGCCTCAGCCTCCAAGTAGCTGGGATTACAGGTGGTACCTGCCACCACGCCCAGTTAATTTTTATATTTTTAGTAGAGACAGGGTTTCACCATCTTGGCCAGGCTGGTCTCGAACTTCTTACCTCAAGTGATCCGCCCGCCTCGGCCTCCCAAAGTGCTGGGATTACAGGTGTGAGCAACCAAACCCAGTCCAGAAATCTTTCCACTTTATTCTACTGCCTCTCTGGGTTCTTCTCTTTCAAAGAAGTATTCTTGAAAGCTTAAGTTCCCCTTCCAAGTTGGAGCCTGAATATATTGAAACCCCTGCCCAAGCTGCCTGGTAGACTATATTTAGCCAGGCCAAATCAGCTCTTTAGAAGTGAATTGTGCTTGAATTTCCCTGCAGCTCTTTATTGCATCATCAAAAATTTTTTTAAAGTCTTGGGGATATTAAGATTATTACTCTTACTGAAAAAATTAACATAGCAATAAACTGATATATTAAGCAAAAAAATCCAACACCTTCATCACTATGTTGAGAACTGGTTTTGCTGTTAAGTGGTTAGGATTAATTTAAGAAGATAAAACAGATGCCACTGAAATAAATTAAATGTCCTCCAAAGAAGACTGGTTAAATAAATAGCAGTACAAGGAAATACTCTATAGGTGTTTGAAAAGAATGAGGCAGATCAGGCCGGGCGCAGTGGCTCACTCCTGTAATCCCAGCACCTTAGGAAGCTGAGGCAGGCAGATCACTTGAGGTCAGGAGTTTGAGACCAGCCTGGCCAACATGGTGAAACCTCATCTCTACCAAAAATATAAAAAATTTGCCGGGTGTGGTGGTGCACACCTGTAATCCCAGCTACTTGGGAGGCTGAGGCAGGAGAATTGCTTGAACCTGGGAGGCGGAGGTTGCAGTGAGCCGATATTGTGCCACTGCACTCCAGCCTGGGCGACAGAGAGAGACTCTGTCTCAAAAAAAATAAAAGAATGATACAGATCGATATGTGTTGATAAGGAGTGCTCTCCTAGCTACATTGTTAAGTAAATACAAATACAAATAAAAAACAGTGTGAACAGTATCCTGTCATTTGTAAAATACATTCATATATACACATATATATATACATGAATTTGTATGTGGATAGAATAATAGAATTTCTCCAGAGGAATACACACAAAAAATGAAATAGTGGATACTTCTGTAGAGAGTAAATGGGTGACAAAGGTGGGGAAGAAATATACTTTTCACTGTCTCTTTACATCATTTTTTTCGTACCATTTGCATTTTTGCCAAAGGCCTGTATTGCCTATTAAAAATAATTTTAGTTGTATAGTGCTTTACAATTTTAAAATATTGTTTAATATATAATTTTATTGAATATATATGCAATCCAAAGTAGTAAGTATTATGCCTTTCTCATAGAGATCTTCAAACTGGTTCCAATCTCCACCCTACTTTTCAGCTTTCCCTCTCTTCACTCGCTGCATGCTCCAGCCACATCTTAGAGAAGATTGATCTCCACTTTCCCTCTCTCCTTGCCAGCATGGCTCCAGCTCCACTCTCTTACTCGCTTCTAATTAATGTAACTAGGCATTGTGTTCTATAATTACAGGGCTTGTCAGTGAAATCAATAGTTACCTCCCATATGACAATGACATTTTAGCTTCATCAATCTCCTTGGAGCCCAGTAGCTTCTCTGAGCCAACAAAACCCCCAAGATTATTAACATATCCCTTTGCTCTCACTCATCTTCATGCATGTGTATAAATCAGCAGATTCTCAATCCACAATTTCATACACCCTGCCGATGATTATTTGGTGATAAAATGACAATCAAATTTATATTTTAATGGCTTTATTGAGGTGTAATTTACATACCACAAAATCCACTATTGTACATGTACAGTTCTATGATTTTTAGTAAATATAAAGAGTTGTGCAACCTCAAAGGCATAGTTTTTCATGATAATCTTAAGAATCTAACTTAAAATAACCTAGATTATAATAGGTTTCTGACATACTCAGTTTCTTTCCTCTGACTTCAACTCTCAAGTGTGTTCCCTGCCTTACTTTTCAATGGAAGACACCTAATTATATTGTTTCCTTAAAATTACAGCATGTGAGACTTGGAAGGGCCCTTAGAAATCAACTACAGATAGGAAACTTAGATCCAGATAGGACATATGATTTGCCCAGAGACATATAACAGGTTAATGGCAGAGTCAGAACTAAAACCCAGGAATTTTTTTTTTTGTCGCCCAGGATGGAGTGCAGTGGTACAATCTCTGCTCACTGCAACCTCTGCCTCCTGGGTTCAAGCGATTCTCCTGCCTCAGCCTCCAGAGTAGCTGGGATTATAGGCGCGCACCACCACACTCGGCTAATTTTTGTATTTTTAGTAGAGATGGGGTTTCACCATGTTGGCCAGGCTCATCTCAAACTCCTGACCCCAAGCGATCTGCCTGCCCCAGCCTCCCAAAATGCCAGGATGACAGGCGTGAGCCACCAAGACCGGCCAAACCCAGGATTCTTATTACAAACCCAATCAACTCCCTATGACAACACCGAGCCTCTTCTCTCAAGCATTGCTAATGTCCTGGAAATCAGTGAATCAACCATCATTAATCAATTTGCCTGGCTAAATCTGAAGATTTGATGATGGGAAAAGGGCTTGGCTTGAGGGTGGGTCTAGAGAACAGGTAGGAGATATAAACTCTTTTCCTTTACATTCCTTCTGGATGAATTTCTTTCTTAGTATTTAGGACAACTAACGGAGAAGATAGGTTCCTTTCTGTCTAAAGAAGGATCTTATGATTATCTGTCAATAGTACCTATCATTATTATTACTCTTATTATTATTGTATTTTCTCCAGCGTATGTTAGCAAGATGTGAAGGTGGTATGAAACTGTAGCCAAGAAACCACATAGGCACCGCTTCCTGCTTTTGCCTAAAACTGTGCTAAAATTAGCCCCTAATCCCCACGGATTTGAGCCAGGGAAAGCAATGTAGCTTCTCATCTTGTTTTTCTAGCAATCAGTAAGTTGCTAGACAGTTGTAAGTTAAACAACTGATGATAAAGAGAGAAATAAATTGTATATATTTGTGTGATGAGAACTAAAAATGCTCTCTGTCACCAACTATAGTGTTACTTGGTGTCACCATAGTAGGAGGGACCAGGCCAACAATTTTGAGATGCTGAATATGGCATTCTGAACTTAACGAGAAAACTCCAAAATACTCAGATTGACATGGAATCACCATCAACTACTTTTAAATTTTTTATTAGAACCTTACCTCCCTTTTGAGTACAACACCAGAAAAAAAAGAAAGAAAGAAAGAAATCATATCTCCCCCTTAAAAACCATCTTCCCCCACCCCCAGTAATTCCTATTCTAAGAATATATCCTAAGAAAAAGCAGAGATTCATGTACAAAGAAATTCATCACTGTTTTTTCCTTTTTTTTTTTTTTTTTAGAGACAAAGTCCCACTCTGTCGCCCAGGCTGTGGTGCAGTGGAGTGATCGCTGTGATCTCAAACTCCTGGGCTCAGATCCTCCTGCCTCAGCCTCCTGAGTAGCTGGAACTACAGGCACACGTCACCATGCCTAGCCAGTTAAAAAAAAATTGGGGGTAGCAACAGGGTCTTGCTATGTTACCCACACTGGTCTCAAACTCCAAGCCTTAAGTAATCCTCCCACCTCAGCCTCCCAAAGTGTTGGGATTACAGGCATGAGCCACCACACCTGGCCCCCATCACAATTTTTATAAGAGTAAAACATTGGAAATAATTTAAAACAATTGAGGGTGCTTAAATGAAATACAATAACTCCATAAAAGGGAATTGTATGCAGCCATGAAAAATCACCATCTCAAAAAAATCTTTTCAAAAATTTTTATCATTTGTAACAGTTTTCTGAGATAATAATTTGTATACCATAAAATTCACTAATTTAAAGTGTAAAATTCACTAATTTAAAGTGTAAAATTCAAAGGTTTTCAGTACATTTACAGAGTTATTAAACTATCACCACAATCTAATTTCAGAACATTTTTATCGCCCCAAAAGAGTGTTCGTACCCCTTAGCAGTCACTCCTCACACTCTCAACCTATAAATTGATAAGAAAAATGCAAATGATCCAAAAGAAGATTGGACAAAGGAAAGTAAGTCACAGAAGGAGACATGCAAATGAATATAAATATTAAAATATATTTATATTTACAAGTGATAAAGGAAATGGAAATAAACACAGTGAGATACCATTTTTCCATTTACTATTTTCATCAGCAAAAATGAGAAACACTGGTAACATCCGCTACTGGTAAGCATCAGGGAAACAGGCGTTCTCATACATAGTTGTTAAGAGTATTGGCCGGGTACAGTGGTTCATTCCTGTAATCCCAGCACTTTGGGAGGCCGAGGCGAACAGATCAGTTGAGGCCAGGAGTTTGAGACCAGCCTGGCCAACATGGTGAAACCCCATCTCTACCAACAATACAAAAATTAGCCAGGCATGGTGGCACACGCCCATAATCCCAGCTACTTGGAAGGCTGAGGCAGGAGAATCTCTTGAACCTGGGAGGCAGAGGTTGCAGTGAGCTGAGATCGCACAACTGCACTCCAGCCTGGGCAACAGAGTAAGACCCTGCTACACACACAAAAAAAGACTATGAATTGTTAAAACCTTTTTGGAAAATAATCCAGCACCATTTAACTTTTTTAAAGCACATACCATTGGGGCCAGGAACCCCACTTCGGGAATTTATCCTATAGAAATTAAAATACCAGAATGTAAAGATAGATGTACAAAACCATAGGAATAGCGAGTTACAGAGCCATGTGTGTAGTATGATAGCATCTTTATGCCAGTAACTGTTCTTCACATAAAAAATGCATGCCTGCTTTCAGTCCTCCCAGAAACCCTATGACTGCAGACAATATTCTTACTCTCCAGAGGGGAAACTGGGGCTCAGAGAAATGAAGCAATGTACTTTAGGTCTTACACAGTTACCAAATGGCAGAGCTAGCATTCCAATCCAGGTCCATCTGGTCCCCCAAACCAAGATATCTGCCAAGGATGATAACTTTCTGGTTAGAGTACCTGAAACTCCCTCAGTAGAGGTGGGACTAATCTTTCAGGATGTCATTTTTAAGAGTGCAAAGTGAATTCACGTCTCAATGAAAGGGATAGAAGTTTGTAATGCTGGAATTTGGTGAGAGAATAGTTAGTAGTGGAAAAGGGTTGTGGGGAACATGAAAAACTCAATAATTAAAATTCATTTATTCATTTATCTAACAAATATTTATTAGCATTTACTATGTAACAGGTACTGTTTAAAGCATTGAAGGATTTATCAATGAATAAAACAGAAAAATCCCTTCCCTTGGAAATTTACATGGGGGGAGGGGGCTGAAGCAGACAATAAACAAATTACATATGAAAATAACATATGAGATGGCGAATAGTGTTATAAAGGGATATCCTTTCAAGTTCACATAGTTGTTAACGGAATTTGCTTCCTTGCAGCTGTAGAATTCATGAAAATTTGCTTCTTTCAGGCTAACAAGAGAGAGTAGATCTGTGATCTCTAGACTTCGTTTTAAAGAGCTCACCTGATTAGGTCAGGCTTGCCCTGGGTAATTTTCCATTTGATTAACTCAAAGTTAACTTCTAACTAAGGACCTTAATTACATCTACAAAAATTTCTTTACCTTTACCACATAACAATCTAATCACCAGAGTGACATCCGTCATATTCACAGGTTTCACCCTCACTCAAAGGAAGGGGATTATTCATGGTATGTACACCAGGGGGCAGGAATCACGGGAGCAGATGTCAATTGGGCAGTTGGATATATGAGTCTGGAGCTCAGGGCTGAGGTCTGAATTGGAGATGTACGTTATGATGTCATCAACACATAGATGGTATTTAAAGCTATGAGATTGTATGAGATTTAAAGCCTCCAAAAAAAGTAATATTGATAGATAAGAGATCTGAGGTATGAGCCCTGGAGAACACGAATGTTTAGAGGTTGGGAAGATGAAAAGGAAACAACAGTGGAGACAGACAAGAAGGAGCTAGTGAGGTAGGAGGCAAACCAGGAGAGTATCTTGTCCTGGAAGCCAGGTGAAGAAGGTGTTTCAAGGAGGAGGGAGTGATCAACTATGTCAAGTGCTCCTGCTTGGTCATGTAAGATGATGACAGGATAGTCCATTGAATTTAGTAACATGACAGTGGTCCTGACAAAAGCAGCTTACGTGGAGTGGTTGGGGTGATAGCCTCATTTGAATTTGTTCAAGAGAGAAAGAGGAGAGAGAAATTGGAGTTGGCAAGTGTAGACAATTCTTTCAAAGAACTTGGCTGTAGACAGGAGTGGAGAAATGGGTGCATTAGCTAGAACAGAAAGTGGGGTCAAGGCCGGGTGTGGTGGCTCACACCTGTAATCCCAGTATTTTGGGAGGCCGAGGTGGGCAGATCACCTGAGGTCGGGAGTTGAAGACCAGCCTGACCAACATGGAGAAACCCCGTCTCTACTAAAAATACAAAATTAGTTGGGCATGGTGGTGCACGCCTGTAATCCCAGCTACTTGGGAGGCTGAGGCAGGAGAATCGCTTGAACCCGGGAGGTGGAGGTTGTGGTGAGCCGAGATCGTGCCACTGCACTCCAGCCTGGGCAACAAGAGCAAAACTCCATCTCAAAAAAAAAAAAAAGTGGGGTCAAGAGAATTTTTTATTATGGAAGAAAAACATGCCTATATGCCGATGGGAATTGCCCAATAAGAAGGAAAGTTCGATTATGTGTATGGAGGAGAGGGCTTGCTGGAACAATGACCTTGAAGTAGTAAGAAAGAATGAGATCCAGAGTACAGGTGGAAGGGTTGTACAGATAGGTCATCTACAGAAATGTGATGGAAGGCAGAATATAGGCAAAAATGCAGGCAGATGGGTAGATGTGTTTTGAGGGTCTGTGGCAATTGTCCTCTGATACTCTGATTTTTAGGGCAAACCGAAAGTGTCTCCTGCATTCTCCCACACTGCCTGGAGTGTCAGCATGAGATTACTTTCAGGTGTTCCCGCAAAACAGGCACATTTTATGTACCACTTGTACCACTTAAGAGGGGATTTTAGTAGCTTTGTGTTTAACATTTATTAGAAGAAGGTAACTAGTACACCTAATGCATGATTTTTCAGATATAATTGCAATTTTAAAATGTAAACAAAAGAAAAGTGTTAGCTAAAGTACAGAAGAGGTTGAAGGGATATAGCAAAACTTTTAGTCAGTTGTGAATAACTGACCCTTGAGAGAATGTCTTAAGGTACTGGATCTGCTGGAGTCCCTCTTTAAGAGCAGACATCTCTGAGATAACACATTTAGTCAGCTTCATTCCTGAAATTCTACTGTGAATGAAACTGAGACATATCAGGACTGAAAGGAATCCCCCAGGGTCTGCTAGTTTACATTCAAGGATAAAGAACTCTATACCACTGAAGACTGAGACAGTTTCTTTCATCCTGAGGGGCCTCTGACTAAAAGCAAAACAAAAATACAACAAATTGAAAAGGCAAAATTTCTTATATAACCACACAGTGAATATAAACAGAAAGCCTAGAGCCATGCATTATGGGAGATGCCACAGGGAAAGGAGTCTGTAGATGATTGAGAAAAAGGGTTTCTCCAGGTAGAGAGATAGGAAATTGTGGTAGACAGAATAATGAATCCTCGAAGATGTCTATGTCTTAAACCCCTGGAAGCTGTGAATATGTTACCTTACATGGCAAAAAGGACTTTGCAGATGGGATTAGTTAAGGATCCTGAGATGGGAAGATTATCCCGGATTATCCAGATGGGCCCAGTGTAATCACAGGGGTCCCTGTAAGAGGGAGGCAGGAGGATCAAAGTCAGGGAAGATGTGATGACAGAAGCAAAGGTTGCAGTGATGTGCTCTGTAGATGGAGAATACAGTCACAAGCAAGAAATTCAGACGGCCTCTGGAAATGGCAAGAAAACAAATTCTCCCTTAGGGCTTCTAGAAGGAACACAGTCCTGCTGTGATATGGTTTGGCTCTGTGTCTCTACTCAAATCTCATGTTGAATTGTAATCCCCAGTGTTGGGGGAGGGACCTGGTGGGAGGTGATTGGATCATGGGGGTGGATTCCCCCCCTGCTGTTCTCATGGTAGTGAGTTCTCACGAGATCTGGTTGTTTAAAACTGTGTAGCACCTCCCCCTTCACTCTCTCTCCTGTCACCATGTGAAGGTGTGCTTGCTTCCCCTTCATATTTTGCCATGATTATAAGTTTCCTGAGGCCTACCCAGCCATGGCTCCTGTATAGCCTGCAGAACTGTGAGTCAATTAAATCTCTTTTCTTTATAAAGTCTCAGGTAGTTTTTTTATAGCAATGTGAGAATGGACTAATACATACTGACAGCTTGATTGTAAAACTTTTGGCCTCTAGAACTGTCAGATAGTAAGTCTGCATTATTTTAAGCCACTAAATTTGTGTTAGTTTATTAGAGTGGCAATAGGAAATTAATACAGACATGATGGAAACTTAGAATGCCAGGTTTGAAAAGGCTTTCTGGCAAAGCCTCCTGTCTGGCCTGTTGATTCCTGGAAGATGGGAGTGAAACAGATCCGAATTCATAGCATATTTTCTTTATTGTTCTTGTGGCTCTTGGCATATGTTTCTCTGTATTAATATTAGTTATCTTCCCATTAGATGTACGCTACTTGTGGGCAGATTCAGTTAGCATATAGCACAGGACCTTGCCCATCTAACAGGCAAGCAGCAATGATGCTTTGCAATTGCATAATTTTAGCTGGAGTTTCTAAAAGGCTTTCACATATGACCCTACAGGCATCAACATAAACTGAAAATAGAAGGGCAGGAATTATAGAAGGTGTCACAGATTGGAGAGAGGAAGTTCCCAGAAGAGACTGTAAAAGAGACACTTGGAGTGAGAAAGAGAGGAAAGGGGACAAATGCCAAGGAAAGGAAATGAGTTTTCCTTACCCAGGAAAAATTGGCGAAGGCTCACAACCTTTGACTCTTATCTTGAAAGCAAGCCAGGAGGCCTATGCAGGAGTGAGAGAAGCCACAAATCACTACATGGCCCGTGGAAGTAGAGCAGGTTGGATCCCAGCTGAGGGTCCCATCCAGCATCCTGACCCCCACTCCTATCCTAGCCAGTCTGACTGGCAGGAATGCAAAAGGGATGTTTCCTGCCTGCCTCAAGAGTTTGGTAACTCTTCCATTAGGTAGCTGGTTAGATCTGGAGGAGAAAGCTACATAACCCACTTGGGGTTTCAGAGGGAGCCAAAGTCAACTTCTTCAGCACAATGCCAGGCAAGCTAGACAGATGGCAGCAGAGGAGCTATCAGCTCCTGAATTTCAAAGACCAGCCAAGGGGAGAGACAGAGCTTGGCCACCATGGAAATAGAGAAGCCCAAGAAGATAGGGGACCCATAATTTTCAGGCCTAGTAATTCTCAATGTCCATGTATAGTCCACTCATGTGACTTAATGTCTTATGGGCAGTATTTTTCAGTCAATTATGCCTTGTAAAACAACTCTGGGAAGAGGAACTATTCTGTGAAATTGCTGGGTCATATAGTAGTTGCATGTTTAGTTTTTTAAGAAACCATAGTCAGGTGCAGTGGCTCATGCCTGTAATCCCAGCACTTCGGGAGACCGAGGCAGGTGGATCACTTGAGGACAGGAGTTCGAAACCAGCCTGGGCAATATGGCAAAACCCCATCTCTACAAAAAATACAAAACATTAGCCAGCATGGTGGCCCATGCCTGTGGTCCCAGCTACTTGGGAGGCTGAGGTGGGAGAATCGATTGAGCCCAGGAGTTTGAGGCCGCAGTGAGCCATGATCACACCACTTCACTCCAGCCTGGGTGACAGAGGGAGACCCCAAAAGAAAGAAAGAAGGAAAGAAAGAAAGAAAGAAAGAAAGAAAGAAAGAAAGAAAGAAAGAAAGAAAGAGGAAAGAAAGAAACTGCCATACTCCCTTCCAGTATGATTGTATCATTTTACATTCCAAACAACAATGTACATAAGTGATTCCATCTCTCCACACCCTTACTAGCATTTGATGTTGTCTCTAATATTATTTATTCTGACAAATACATAGTGATACTTCAATGTGGTTTTAATTTGCATTTCCCTTACAATGAACATCATTAACTATGCTTATTTGCTATCTATATCTCCTCATTCATGGAATGACTCTTCATGACTTTTGTTCATTTTCTGATTGAATTGATTGGTTTTATTTTTTAACTGTTAAGTTTTTGGGAGTTCTTTAAATATTCTGTATACAGGTCCTTTGTTGGATATGTGGTTTGCAAATATTTTCTCCAAGCTTATAGCTTGCCTTTTCATCCTCTTTCGCAAAGCAGAAGTTTTTCATTTTGATTAAGTCCAATTTATAAATTTTTCCTTTTATGGCTAATGCCTTTGGTGTCAGGTATGAGAACTATTCACATAGCCCTAGATCCCAAAGATTTTCTCCTGTGTTTTTTTTTCTAAAACCTTTATAGTTTTGTGTTTTACACTTAAGTTCATAATCCATTTTGAGTTGATTTTTGTGTAAGATGTGATATATAGGTCAAGGTGTTTGTTTGTTTGTTTGTTTGTTTTTTGCCTGTGGATATCCAATTGTTTTAGCATCATTTGTTGAAAAAGCTATATTTCCTCCATTGACATTCTTTTGTGCATTTGTCAAAAATCAGTTTGCCATATTTGTTTTTAAGAGTCTGTCCTGGATTCTCTCTTCTGTCCCTCCAATCTGTGTTTATCCCTCCACCAATACCACACTATCTTGACTACCGTAGCATCATATTAAGTCATAACACAAGTGATTCCATATACTTTAATCTTATTAACTTATTTTCACTACGTTTTAACTATTCTAGGGCCTGTTGCTTTACATATAAATTTTAAAATAAACATGTCTTTGTCTACAAAAGTTCTTGCTATGATTCTAATAATTATTGCATTAAACTTGTATATCAATTTGGGGAGAATTGATGTCTTTACTGTGTTCAGTTTTCCATCCATGGTATGTCTCTCCATTTATATAGATCTTTGATTTCCTTCATCAGAATTTTGTAGTCTTCAGCATACAAGTGCTTTACATGTTTTGTTAGATTTGCACTGAAGTATTAAATTTTTTAGCTATTGTAAAAGTATTCTATTTTTCATTTCAGTGTCCACACATTCATTGTTGATCTAGTATCTGACAGCCTTGCTGAATGCATTTATTAGTTCTAGGTTTTTAAATGATTCCTGAGATTTACTGTGTAGACAGTTATGTCATTTGCAAATAGAGGCAGTTTTATTTATGCCTTTCTATTTTGTATGCCTTTTATTTCCTTTTCTCATCTTATTGCACTGACTAAAACTTCCAGCACTTTGTTGAATAAGAGTGGCAGCTGGGCGTGGTGGCTCATGCCTGTAATCCCAACACTTTGGGAGGCCAAGGCATGAGGATCACTTGAGGCCAGAAGTTGGAGACCATCCTGGGCAACATAGTGAGACCTTGTCTTAAAAATAAAATAAAATAAAAGAGTGGCAAGAGAGGGCATTCTTGTCGTCAGCTATAGGTTTTTGTACTTGCCTTTTATCAAGTTGAGGAATTTCCCTCTATTCCTAGAAAACTGAGTATTTTTTTATTCTGAATGGGTGTTGTATTTTCTCAAGTCACTTTTCTGCATCAATTTATGTGATCATGTAAGTTTTCTTCAGTGGCCTTTTAGTATCACAGATTACATTGATTGATTTTTGAATATTGAACTAGCTTTGCATCTCTGAAATAAGCACTATTTTGTCATTATGCATAATACCTTTTATACATTCTGAATTCTATTTGCTAATATCTTTTTTTAAAAAATTTATTTTTAATTTTGTGGTTATATAATAGGTTTATATATTTATGGGGTACATGAGATATTGTGATACAGGCATGCCATGTGTAATAATCACACCAGGGTAAAAGGAGCATCCATCCCCTCAAGCATTTATCCTTTCTTTGTCTTACAAACAACCCAATTATTCTCTTTTAGTTATTTTAAAATATACAATTATTGTTGACTGTAGTCACCCTATTGTGCTCTCAAATACTAGATCTCATTCATTCTATCTAATTATCTTTTTGTACCCATTAACCATCCCCTCTTCCCCTCCAACATTACCCTTCCCAGCCTCTGGTGATCATCCTTCTACTCTCTATCTCCATGAGTTCAATTGGTTTAATTTTTAGCTCCCACACATAAGTGAGAACATGTGAGGTTTGTCTCTGTGTACCTGGCTTATTGCACTTAACATAATGTCCTCCAGTTCCATCCATGTTGTTGCAAATGACAGGATCTCATCCTTTCTTATGACTGAATATTACTCCATTGTGTATAAGCACCACATTTTCTGTATCCATTCATCTACTGATGGATACCTAGGTTGTTTCCAAATCTTGGCTTATTGTGAATAGTGCTGCAATAAACATGAGAGTGCAGATATCTCTTTGATATACTGATTTCCTTTCTTCTGGGTATATACCTAGTAGTGGGACTGTTGAATCACATAGAAGTTCTATTTTTAGTTTTTTGAGGAACCTCCATAGTGATTGTGCTAATTCACATTCCCACCAACAGTGTACAATGGTTCCCTTTTCTCCACATCATTGCCAATATTTGTTATTGCCTGTCTTTTGAATAAAAGCCATTTTAACTGGAATGGTATATCATCTCACCCCAGTTTTGATTTGCATTTCTCTGATGATCAGTGATGTTCAGCACTGTTTCATGTACCTGCTTGCCATTTGTATGTCTTCTTTTGATGTTTATTCAGATCTTTTGCCCGTTTTAAAATCAGATTATTAGATTTTTTTTTCCTATAGAGTTGTTTGAGCCCCTTGTATATTCTGGTTATTAATCCCTTTTAGATAAATAGTTTGCAAATATATTCTCATTCTGTGGGTTATTTCTTCACTTTGTTGTTTCCTTTGCCAGGCAGAAGCTTTTAACTTGGTGTGATCCCATTTGTCCATTTTTGCTTTGGTTGCCTGTGCTTGCGGGGTATTACTCAAGAAATCTTTGCCTAGTCCAATGTCCTGGAGAGTTTCCCCGATGTTTTCTTGTAGTAGTTTCATAGTTTGAGGTCTTATATTTAAGCCTTTAATCCCTTTTGTTTTTTCATATGGTGAGAGATAGGACTCTAGTTTCATTCTTCTGCATATGGATATCCAGTGTTCTCAGCACAATTTATTGAAGAGACTGCCCTTTCCCTAGCGTACGTTCTTGGCAACTTTGTAAAAAATGAGTTCAGTGTAGATGTGTGGATTTGTTTCTGGGTTAAACAAATTTTCAAGAGAAAAACAACCTCATTGAAAAGTGGGCAAAGGACATGAACAGATGCTTTACAGAAGAAGACATACATGCGGCCAACAAGAATATGAAAAAAATCTCAATATCACTGATCATTAGAGAAATGCAAATCAAAATCACAATGAGATACCATCTCATGCCAGTCAAAATGGCTATTACTAAAAAGTCAAAAAATAACAGGTGCTGGCAAGGTTGTGGAGAAAAGGGAACACTCATACATTTGTTGGTGGGAGTGTAAACTAGTTCAACCATTGTGAAAAGTATCCTGGAGATTTCTCAAAGAACTAAAACAGAACTACCATTTGATCCAGCAATCACATTACTGGTATATACCCAGAGGAATACAAATCATTCTACCATAAAGACACATGCACACAAATGTTCATTGCAGCACTATTCACAATAGCAAAGACATGGAATCAACCTAAAGGCCCATCATTGGCAGACTGGATTAAGAAAATGTGGTACATATACACCGTGGAATACTATGCAGCCATAAAAAAAGAACAGTATCATGTCTTTTGTGGGAACATGGATGGAGCTGGAAGCTATTATTCTTAGCGAACTAACGTAGGAACAGAAAACCAAATACTACATGTTCCCACTTATTAGTGGGAGCTAAATGATGAGAACTCATGAAAACAAAGAAGGGAACAACAGACACTGGGTGCTCCTTGAGAGTGGAGGTTGGGAGGATGGAGAGGAACAGAAGAGATAACTATTGGGTACTGGATTTAATACCTGTGTGATTAAATAATCTCTACAACAAACCCCCATGACACAAGTTTACCTATGTAAAAAACCTTCACATGTACCCCTAAACCTAAAATAAAAGTTAAAAACAGAATATATCATTATTAACTATAGTCATCACATCGTGCAATAGATCTCTTGAATTTATTCCTCTTATCTAACTGAAATTTTGTATCCTTTGACCAACATCTTCCTCAACCCCTTCACTGCCCCCAGTCCCTGGTAACCACCATTTTATTCTCTACTTCTATGTGTTCAAATGTTTAAGATTCCACATATAAGTGAGATCACATGGTCTTTGTCTTTCTGTGCCTGGCTTATTTCACTTAACATGTTTTCCAGTTTTACCCATGTTGTCACAAATGACACGATTTCCTTCCTTTTTAAGGCGGAATAGTATTTCGTTGTGTACGTATACCACATTTTCTTTATCCATTCATCTGTTGTTGAACTCTTAGATTATTTCCATATCTTGGCTATTGTAAATAATGCTGCAATGAACATAGGAGTGCAGATATCTCTTCAATACACTAATTGTATTTTCTTTGGGTATATACCCAGTAGTGGGATGGCTAGATCATATGGTAAAAATTTTACTTTTAATTCTTCGAAAAATCTCCATACTGTTTTCAATAATAGCTGTACTAATTTACATTCCCATTAACAATGTACACGGGTTCCCTTTCTCCACATCCTCACAAACACTTGTTTTTTGTTTTTTGTTTTGTCTTTTTGATAATAGCCATTCTAACAGGTGTGAGGTAATAGCACATTGTGGTTTTAATTTGCATTTCTCTGACAATTAGTGATGCTTAGCATTTTTCATATACCTGTTCATCATTTGCATGTTTTCTTTTGAGAAACATCTATTGAGGTCCTTTGCCCAGGTTTTTTGTATTCCTGTATTTTTGTATTCTTTAATCAGGTTATTTGTATTCTTGCTGCTGAGTTATTTTAGTTTCTCATATATTTTGGCTATTAACCCCTTATAGGACATACGCTTTGCAAATGTTTTCTCTCATTACATACATTATCTTTTCACTCTGTTTATTGTTTCCTTTGCTGTACAGGAGCTTTTCGGTTTGATGTAATCCCATTTGCCTATCTTCACTTTTATTGCCTATGTTTTTCAGGTCATATGCAAAAATAATTGCCTAGACCAATGTCATGGTTATTTCCCCTGTTTTCTTCTAGTAGTTTCATAGTATCAGTTCTTACATTTAACACTTTACTCCATTCTGAGTTGATTTTGTATATAGCGTGAGACAAGGATCTAATTTCATTCTTTTGTACATAAATAATTGTTCAAACACCAATTATTAAAGAGACTCTCCTTTCCTGCTTTCCCCATTATGCTTTTCCCCATTTCCCCCATTGTATGTTCTTAGCACCTTTGTCAAAATCAATTGACCATAAATGGGTGGATTTATTTCAGGGCTCCGTATTCTGTTCTATTGGTCTATGTGTCTGTTTCTATGCCAGTATCACGCTGTTTTGATTACTATCGCTATATAGTAGATTTTGAAGTGAGGTAGTGTGATGCCTCCAGGTTTGTTCTTTTTCAAGAT
Organism: Homo sapiens; assembly: GCF_000001405.40. Classification (NCBI taxonomy): domain Eukaryota; kingdom Metazoa; phylum Chordata; class Mammalia; order Primates; family Hominidae; genus Homo; species Homo sapiens. The sequence goes on from NC_000023.11 coordinate 119,298,989, forward strand.
TGTTTTGGCAGTTTGGGGTCTTGTGGTTTCATACAAATTTTAGGATTGCTTTTTCTATTTTAGTGAAAAATGTCTGAAATTTTGATAGACATTTCACTGAATCAATAGATTGCTTTGGGTAGTATAGATATTTTAACAATATTAATTTTCCAACCTGTGAACATGGAATATCTTTCCATTTATTTGTGTCTTTTTCCATTTCTTTTATTAAAATTTTATAGTTTTTGGTATACAGGTTTTTCACGTCCTTAGTTAGATTTATTCCTAAGTATTTTTTGTAGCTATTGTAAATGGAATTATTTTCTTGATTTCTTTATTGGATAGTTTGCTGTTAGTATATAGAAATACTACCGAATTTTTGTATGTTGATTTTGCATCCTACAACTTTGCTGAACTTATTTGTTCTAACAGGATTTTTTGGCAGAATCTTTAGGGTTTTCTACACATAAGATCATGTCATCTACAAACAGGGACAATTTCATTTAACTTCTTCCTTTCTAATTTGGATGTCTTTCTTTCTCTTGCCTAATTGCTCTAACTAGGGTGTCCAGTGCTATGCTGAATAGAAGTGATAAAAGTAGTCATTCTTGTCTTGTTTCTAATCTTAGTGGAAGAGCTTTTAACTTGCCACTATTGAGTATGATGTTACCTGTGGGTTTGTCATTCATGGCTTTTATTATGTTGAAGTACATTTCTTCTATATCTAATTTTCCAGAGTTTTTTTAATCATGAAAGGATGTTTTCAAGCAATTTTGTTAAATGCTTTTCTGAATCTATTGAGATATCATATGGTTTTTGCGCTTCATTCTGTTAATGTAGTGTACCACATTTATAGGTTTGTGTATGTTGAACTATCCTTGCATCCCTGGAATAAATCCCACTGATCATGGTAATGATCGATTTCTCATCGAGCCTTAGCTACCTTCCCGCGGGGCAGGGCTCGGGACCTGCAGCCCGCCATGCCTGAGCCTCCCACCCACTCCATGGGCTCCTGTGCGGCCCGAGCCTCCCCAACGAGCACCGCCCCCTGCTGCAGGGCGCCCAGTCCCATTGACCACCCAAGGGCTGAGGAGTGCGAGCACACGGCGTGGGACTGGCAGGCCGCTCCACCTGCAGCCCTGGTGCGGGATCCACTAGGTGAAGCCAGCTGGGCTCCTGAGTCTGGTGGGGATGTGGAGAGTCTTTATATCTAGCTCAGGGATTGTAAATACACCAATCAGCACCCTGTGTTTAGCTCAAGGTTTGTGAGTGCACCAATCAACACTCTGTATGTAGCTGCTCTGGTGGGGCCTTGGAGAACCTTTATGTCTAGCTCAGGGATTGTAAATACACCAATGGGCACTCTGTATCTAGCTCAAGGTTTGTAAACACACCAATCAGCACCCTGTGTTTAGCTCAAGGTTTGTGAATGCACCAATCGACACTCTGTATCTAGCTGCTCTGGTGGGGCCTTGGAGAACCTGTGTGTCGAAACTCTGTATCTAACTAATCTGATGGGGACGTGGAGAACCTTTGTATCTAGCTCAGGGATTGTAAACGCACCAATCAGCGCCCTGACAAAACAGGCCACTGGGCTCTACCAATCAGCAGGATGTGGGTGGGGCCAGATAAGAGAATAAAAGCAGGCTGCCCTAGCCAGCATTGGCAACCCGCTCCGGTCCTCTTCCACACTGTGGAAGCTTTGTTCTTTTGCTCTTTGCAATAAATCTTGCTACTGCTCACTTTTTGGGTCCACGTTGCTTTTATGAGCTATAACAGTCACCTCGAAGATCTGCAGCAGCTTCACTCCTGAGCCCAGCGAGATCACGAGCCCACCGGGAGTAAGGAACGACTCCAGATGCTCTGCCTTAAGAGCTGTAACACTCACTGTGAAGGTCTGCAGCTTCACTCCTGAGCCCAGCGATATCACGAGCCCACCGGGAGGAATGAACAACTCCAGACGCTCTGCCTTAAGAGCTGTAACACTCACTGCAAAGGTCTGCAGCTTCACTCCTGAGCCAGTGAGACCACGAACCCACCAAAAGGAAGAAACTCCGAACACATCTGAACATCAGAAGGGACAGACTCCAGACGCGCCACCTTAAGAGCTGTAACACTCACGGCCAGGGTCCGCGGCTTCATTCTTGAAGTCAGTGAGACCAAGAACCCACCAATTCCGGACACAGTAGTGAAAGTCCAGGTTACACCCTTGGCCTCCTTTCATACCTGAAGGGGGCTGTTGAGTGGGGGTAGGAGTTCCAGCTCCCCACTCAGGGTCCACTGATACCTGGCCGAGAGGTACAGGAAGGCTTCTTAATGGTCTCCATGTGGGTTCTACTGACATAAGTGGAGGAGGCTCTTTTACTCCCAGGAAGTGGCTAAAGTCCTGACTCTCTTCCAAGCCTCCTCTGACAGCACCAGGCAGGAGGGTTAGGAGGCCTTCTTATATAACCTTGTGTGGGTGGAAGTCTAGGCTTCCCACTAGGCCTTTGCTGGCATGGATAAGGGTGTTGCTGCAATGGTCTATTGGGCTAGAGAAAACATTTTCCTTGGGGCCTTTTTTTATCTCTACTCATTGGCAGTTCTGAATTGCCAGCCTCTGCAGTTCTGGGTCGCTGCCTTCTTTAGCCCAAGTCTAGGATATATGAGGCAAAAAAAATAAAAATAACCACCCAAGAAACTCACCACCATATCATTTCTTGGGTCCCAAGATCCTTAGGCGGTCTGCCTTCTCTTCACCTTTCAGAGCCTTCTTATGTTTGTTTTATATACAATGACGAGTTTTTAGTTATACTTAGTGAAAAAATAGCAAAAGTTATGTGTACTCCACTTTCCCAAAAGCAGAAGTCCGAGACTTTAAAAAATAATTAATTCAAAGGATAGAGATCAAAGGTAAAAATATTTTCACACTCTTAGTCTCATTCAAATCAAGAAAATGGGTAGCCTCAAGGTGTGGGGCTCTGTCTCTAAGGAAATATTACCCTTGGCTTTACTATCCTTTAAGCAATAGGGAAACTATGCACTTTTAAAAGAGCCCCTTGTGTTTTGAGCTGCTTGTGTTCATTCTTATTCATCAAGTATTTTTTTTTTTCAAAGTGAGCTCCGCAGAGTACCTTCCTCAGCATTATCTTGAAATAATTTAAGACATAGAATACCATGTCCTGATCTAGACCTGCTGAATTAGAGCCCAGGATTGGAGATTAGGAACCTATATTTTAACAATCATCTCCTGCCCCCAAGGTATGAGAACCTCTGATTTAAGCCATTGATAAAATTTCTGAAGGAGATCAGGCCAATAATAAAGACTTGTAACAGGCCTGGAGACTGTCCTTGAGAAGCTATTAATCATTTATCAGGACCCTTGGGGCAGACTTGGTCAACCAGCTACTAAACCCCCTTATTATTCTCACAGCGAGTCCTTATTGTGCTGCTTTGCAAATATCATGAAAATCCTCAGGTAGTGCTTTGCCAAATTTCACTTGTTTTATCTGCTGCATTGCCCTGACCGATCATTCTAGTAAACCTATTAAAGATCATGAAACTAGGCCGGGCACAGTGGCTCACGCCTGTAATCCCAGCACTTTGGGAGGCCAAGGAGGGTGGATCACGAGATCAGGAGATCGAGACCATCCTGGCTAACACAGTGAAACTCTGTCTCTACTAAAAATACAAAAAATTAGCCAGGTGTGGTGGCAGGTGCCTGTAGTCCCAGCTACTCAGGAGGCTGAGGCAGGAGAATGGCTTGAACCCAGGAGGCGGAGGTTGCAGTGAGCCGAGATCGAGCCATTGCACTCCAACCTGGGTGACAGAGCGAGACTCCATCTCAAAAAAAAAAAAAATTAAAAAATAATAAAAAATAATAATGAAACTAGTCTGACAGGTTTCATTCCCAGTGAAATTACACTGGGTCCAGTGAACATAAACCATCCTTTTAAAATAATCCACTTTAGATTGTCTCCTGGAATCAACAACAAGCTTGTTCTGTCCATTTACACTTCCTCTATTATTTCCTTTTTGAAATCCATGATCACATTTGCCTGTCTTTAGGCTTCTACGACCCCCCTGCATATGCTCCAAATTGATGAAAATAAAATTATCCCCAAGGGTGGTTTAGAGGTCTCATTTGCTAGTTCTTCCAATATTCTGAGAGATATAATTTGTCCAGACAACTGAACTTGGTTAAAGCAATGAAATACTCTTTGACAACCATTTTACATACCCTGGACTTTTCTTCTTTTATCAATATTTGGTCTAAACTCTTGTTATTCAAAGTATGGTTCGAGGACCAACAGTAGCATTACCTGGGAGCCTGTTAGAAGTGCAAATTATTGGGCCCCACCCAGACCTACCAAACCACAATCTCATTTTAACAAAATTCCTAAGTGATGTATAAGTGTGTTAAAGTTTGAAAAGCATTGGGCTAGACTGTTCAGTATGTAAATTTCTCCTTGACAAAAAATATAGGTGCAAAGTGAGAACAGAGGAGTTCTGCTCTATCTTTATCATCCATCAGTATGTCAATATCAATTGGACCCCTTTCTCAATTGTCTTCTGGCTCTTAACACAACTTTGTAATAATTATTTATGTAACTTTGTAAAAATTCTTTATGTTGCTCTTATCATTTCTTGAAAGCCTCAGGTCTACATCTGGTGTTTAGCCTTCTGGACACTGTTTATGTAGGTCTACACCAGTCTCCTGCATTTATTATTGGTTTTGTGGGGGTCCTTTCCAAATTTAACCTGCTAAGAACTAAAAGTTTCTTTTTCTCTTTTCTTTTTTTTTTTTTTTTTTTGAGACAGAGTTGCCCAGGCTGGAGTGCAACAGTGTGATCTTGGCCCACTGCAACTTCCACCTCCCGGGTTCAAGCGATTCTCCTGCCTCAGCCTCCTGAGTAGCTGGGATTACGGGCATGAGCCACCACGCCCGACTAATTTTGTATTTTTAGTAGAGACGGAGTTTCATCATGTTGGTCAGGCTGGTCTTGAACTCCTGACCTCAGGTGATCCACCCGCCTCGGCCTCCCAAAGTGCTGGGATTACAGGTGTGGGCCACTGCACCCGGCCCATACCATATTTCTGGGAGTCCCACCATGTTTCTCCTATGCTGTTCCAGTTTCAACTTCTCCATGTCTTCTACCTGCAAGGTTACCTGTAGAAATCTAACTGCTTCGTGTCCGTCATGAAATGCCAATGTACATGCTAACAGTGCTTTCTATCACTTCTCCCAAAGCTTTCAATCTTTGAGATCCCCAAATGGTTTTGGATTAGAAGGGTGTCCTCCCCAGCTCTGTGCCATACTCTGTCACTGAGGCTTTGAAACAACTCAGCTTTTGCTCAGTCTCTTAAAATCTCCCTTAGGCAGGGCCAGCAATTTATTATGTTCATTCATTTAATCATGGAAGTTAAAGGTCCGGAAAGGGAATTGATGCCATATTATCCCCTTGGAGCTCTTCTTATCCTCTTCTAGCCCTTCTCATCACCAAAAGCTCTTGTCTTATCTCATGGTTACAAAGCAAATGACCCCACATATATAAGTGAATGCAAATAGACACTGATGTGTGTTTAGGAAACAGGAGGAAAGAAGAGACTGTATACTTTAGTAGTGACTGGATTCCAGTTCAGTCCATCAAATGTGCACAGTTATCACTGCATTTGATTAATTTTTAAACATTTAGGGAATTTCCCAGATATCTTTCTTTTTTGTTGTGGTTTTTTTTGTTTCACTTTTGTTTTTCCCAGATATCTTTCTAAGTATTAATTTCTACTTTAATTCCTTTATGGTTAGTAAGCATATCTTTTATTATTTTTATCATTTTATATTTTTTGATACTTCCTTTACAGCCCAGCATATGGTTTCTCATGGTGAGTGTTTTTCATGCACTTGAAAAGAATGTCTTCTGTTGTTTTGGGAGAGTGGGGAGGAGTGAACTATAAATGTCAATTAGGACAAGTTGATTGATGGTGTCTTAATGACTGTTAACTTGTTCAACTGATTACTGAGCAAGGAGTGTTAAAGTCTCCAAATATAATTGTGAATTTGTCTATTTCTCCTTTAAATTATACCAGACTTTGCTTCAAAAGTTTTGCAGCTCTGTTACCAGGTACACACACTTAGAATTTTGTCTTCTTACGAATGAACCATTTTATCAGTATGAAATATCCCTCTGTATCTCTGGTAGTCCTCATGTCTTAAAGTCTACTTTATCTCATGATAATATTGTCAGTAGATTTCTTATGATTAGTATGTGCATAGTATATTTTTCCTTCTTTTTACTTTAACCTGTCTTTATATTTACAGTAGGTTTCTTATCGGCAGCCTGAACAACTTATGCCTTCATTTGGGGTGTTTCCTATGTTTAATGTAATCATTGATATGGCTGTTTCTAAGTCTTCCATCTTGGTATTTTTTTTCCATTTGTCCCATATTTTCCTTGTTCTTTTTTTCCTCCTCTTCTCCCTTCCTTGACATTACTTGAATATTTTTAGTAGTCTATTTTGGCTTTTTAGCCATATTTCTTATTTGATTTTTTTATTTTTAGTAGTAGTATTTTATGAATTAAAGGGTTAATTCATACGAAGACAGAATTCTTAAAGTGTATGTACCTGATAACAAAGCTGCAAAACATTTGAAGCAAAAACTGGTAGCATTTAAAGGAGGAATAGACAAATCCACAATTATATTTGGAGACAGTAACGCTCCTTTCTCAGTAATCAATACAAGTTGATAGTCATTAAGACACCATCAATCAACTTGTCCTAATCTGGGGATTACAATATGCATCCATAACTTACTACAGCGTACTTTTTTTTTTTTGAGATAGGGTCTCTGTCTGTCACGCAGGCTGGAGTGTAGCAGCGCTATCTCAGCTCACTGCAACCTCTGCCTCCTAGGCTCAAGCAATTCTCCCATCTCAGCCTCCCAAGTAGCTGGGACTTCAGGTTTGAACCACCATGCCAGACTAATTTTTGCATTATTGGTAAATGCGAGGTTTTGCCATGTTCCCCAGGCTGGTCTCTAACTCCTGGCTCAAGCACTCCACGCATCTCGGCCTCCCAAAGTTCTGAGATTACAGGCATGAGCCACTGCACTTGGCCAATAACTTATTACAGTGTACTTTGAATTAATATTGTACCAATTCACACATATAATGTAAAAACCTTATAACAGTATATTTCCTTTTACTCCTCCCTTTTCCAGTGTACTATAGTTTTTATGCATATTTACTTCTATATAGTTTATAGATCCCATAATACATTGTTAGTCTTTTTGCTTTACATAGTCCATTGTCTTTTCTAGTACATTAAGAAATTCAAAAAACAAGTTTTTAAATATTTACTCAAGTGTTTACCATTTTCATTTCTACATGTAGCTTTGAATTTCCAGCTGGCATAATTTCCCTCAAGCCTGCAGAATTTCCTTTAACGTTTCTCATAGAGCAAGTCAGCTTGGGATGAATTATAATTGATTCTCATTATTTGGGGATCTATAAAGTCATCACACACACTGAGTTAAGAAATACTGAACCACTGATCCTAGGGGAAATACAGTAGGTTCATACAAGCCTCTGGTCACAACAGTTTCATCAACTGATCAATATGTAGCCGTGTGTTATATGTGTTTCTGTTTGAAGATATCTTCTATATTAGATACTGTTGATTCATTGACATTTAACTCATGGCCAATGGTATTTTAATTTATGCTTGAACAAAACTTAAATAACACATTTTTTTTTCCATTAGGCATATCACAGCCTTGTTGCACTTAGGAATGCTAAACATCACTTCAGTACTACATTTTGGGACCGTTTAAGATAGTGAAATTACTAATAAAAATGTGGAAAATGTGACACTAAATAGACCATGGAAATGACACTTTTTTACAGTATGAGAACTGAAGCAAGAAGGCAGAACATTGCATTGTTTGGCCTCAGCTGGGAACATGCACTTTAGGCAATTCAAATTTTTTGCTGCTCTCCATGTGTCCCTGAAAGCTGGTGAAAGTACCATGAGAATTGATTTGGGGTTACAAATAAATTGTAGCAAGTAGGTGAATTTGCAAATAAATAATTTGAATAATAACAATTGACTATATCTTATCTTTCTGGAATGTTTTGTCTTCCTTTAAAGAGTGTTGAGCTTTGGGGGGACATTGAATTTTTTTCTGGCAGGCTATTACTTATCTAATGTCTAAAAATATTTGTTCTATATATTTTATTTATATTTATTTACAGCAAGAAGGTAAATCTGATGCTCATTTCTCCATCATGGTTAAATCATCCCTGCATTTGGAGGGTGTGATGGTTAATACTGAGCGTCAACTTGATTGGATTGAAGCATGCAAAATATTGTTCCTGAGTGTGTCTGTGAGGGTGTTGCCAAAGGAGATGAATATTTGAGTCAGTGAACAGGGAGAGGCAGACCCACTCTTAATCTGGGTGGGCGCCTTCTAATCAGCTGCCAGCATGGCTAGAATAAAGCAGGCAGGAGAAGGTAGAAGAGTAGACTTGCTGAGTCTTCCGGCCTTCATCTTTCTCCCGTGTTGGATGCTTCCTGCCCTCGAACATCAGACTCAGCTTTTGGGCTCTTGGACTTCAGCTTTTGGGCTCTTGGACTTATACCAGTGATTTGCCAGGGGCTCTTGGGCCTTTGGCCACAGACTGAAGGCTTCACTACTTTTAAGATTTTGAGACTCCGACTGGCTTCCTTGCTCTTCAGCTTGCAGACGGCCTATCGTGGGACTTCACCTCGTGATCGTGCGAGTCAATTCTCCTAATAAACTCCCCTTCATATATACATCTATCCTATTAGTCCTGTCCCTCTAGAGAACCCTGCCTGACTAATACAGAAGGAAAGGCATAAATGAAGTAGTCACTCATCTCCCAATAGCTGTTGTGCGTATGTAGATGAAAAGGAGTACAGAGTTACCTATGCAAAATGTGGTCATTGTATAAAGAACGACTTTTCAACACTGTGCTAGGGGTTATGAGAAATAAAAGAGAAGGCAAAACCCAGCTCTTATTCCTAAGGACTTTAAGTTTCAGTTGGAAGGCAAGTTGTCATATGTGAAATGTCAATGTTTATCTTACTTCAACCCCTACCCCACTGGTCCTAACCCTGTTCCTCTGTGAGTCTTCCCCAGAAAATACTTACGGAGATGTCTTCAGGCTGAGGAGCCAAGGAAAATTTCTTTGGGTATTGTACACCATACCCTCAAATTGTTCTATTGTACTTAGGTCCTACGTTTACCATTTAGAGCTACCAACTCATTCTGCTTTGAGTGGAACGTTCCAGAAAAAGCCTTGTTTCAGGAACCCCATCAGTCCTGGGAAACCAGAATGGTTGGCTATCTGAGCCCATATTGCTCACAGCATTGCCAGTGCCAGCCTGGGTGACCAAGTGAGACCCTGTCTCAAAAACAAAAACAAAAACAAAAAAAGTTCCTGAGAGTTTCATACATTTTTTGGTGATATCAGCATGCAAATAAGATCCACATATCACAATTGGTTGATACGTCTTTTAAGTCTCTTTTCATCTATAGGTTCCTCCACTATTTCTTTTTTTTTCCCATTAGAATTGATTAGTAAAGATACTAGTTAATTTTTCCTATAGAGTTTCCCACTGTCTATGGATTTTGCTGATTGCATCCTAGTAATATATTTCAAGTAAACTGGTAGTTAGATCTAGGGGCTTGTTCAGATTCAGGTTTGATTTTTTAGCAAGACAGCTTCATAAGTGGTGCTGTGTACTTTCATCAGAGGTACATAATATCTGGTTGTCTCTCTTCTTATGATGCTGGCAGCCATTGATGACCATTGCCTAGTCCACTATTTCATTAGGAATTGTCAAATTGTTACCAGGGGGTCCTTGCTCCCAGAGCTCCCAAGATGGTGGCAAGCCTCGCGTTCTCTGACCTGGGGTTCTTGACCTCATGGATTCCAAGGAATGGAATCTTGGGCCATGCAGTGAGTGTTATAGCTCTATTAGAAGCCGTGGGTCATGGAAGAGAACCATGGAACCCAGTGACTAGTGTTCAGCTCCATCAGGATGAAACCCGGGCACTTAGCCGTGCAGGAACAATGGCAAGCCTTTAGCCTGATCGGGAGCGGCAATGGGCACCTTGCTGGATCAGGAGCACAGTGGACACCCTGCTGGATCCGGAGGGATGGAAGTCAGTGGCGGGTCTGCAACGGCGGCAAACACCAGTGGTGGATGGCGAGCGAAAGCTCAGCTGTAGCCATAAGAAACATGGACCAAAAGAGAGTGCAGTTGCAAGATTTAATAGAGTGAAGACAGAGCTCCCATACAAAGGCAGGGGGCCCAAAAAGGGTAGCCGTTGCAGGCTCAAATGCCTGGGTTTATATCCTGATCCTTGTCCCTCCCGCTGTGCTCTCAGGCAACAGATGATTGGCTATTTCTTTACCTCCTGTTTTTGCCTAATTAGCATTTTAGCGAGCTCTCTTTACTATCTGATTGGTCGGGTGTGAGCCAAGTTGCAAGCCCCGTGTTTAAAGGTGGATGCAGTCACATTCCCAGCTAGGCTTAGGGATTCTTAGTCGGCCTAGGAAATCCAGCTAGTCCTGTCTCTCAAAATGGCAATATTCTATCATTCTTTCTTCACCCATTAACTGGAATACTCCTATGAAAAGAAACTCCCCATCAACAAATTTTTTACTACCCCGTGGTACAATTGTATAGAAAAGACTTCAGTGACAACTTTGCTGATAGATCTCCATATGCACCTGTGAAAGGAAAATAAATCTTGGGACCCCAAAATCACTAAGCTAAAGGAAAAAGTCAAGCTGGGAACTGCTTAGGGCAAATCTGCCTGCCATTCTATTCAAAGTCACCCCTCTGCTCACTGAGAGAGATGCATATCTGATTGTCTCCTTTGGAGAGGCTAATGAGAAACTCACAAGAATGCAACCGTTTGTCTCTTATTTACCTATGACCTGGAAGCTCCCTCCCCACTTCAAGTTGTCCCGCCTTTCTGGACCAAACCACAAACTAATGTTCATCTTACATATGTTGATTGATGTCTCATGTCTCCCTAAATGTATAAAATCAAACTGTGCTCTGACTACCTTGTGCACATGTCATCAGGTCCTCCTGAGGCTGTGTCACGGGCACATGACCCCAACCTTGCCAAAGTAAACTTTCTAAATTATCTGAGACCTATCTCAGATATTCAGTGTTCAAATTTCGGTAACCACAAAGGGATTCTGAGTGGAGGTACCCCTGAACTTTGACAAATCTCATATTGGTGCTTGGTACCAGCATGAGCAACTTTGTGGCTCAAACCAATAGGACAATTTGCTGAGGTCTGGGAGCACCCCCTCCAGAGAATCCCTGATATCCCTAAATTTGGTAGAGATCTAAAGTTTATTTTGCTGTACAACTCCCTTTTTTTTGGAGTTTTACTTGCTTCTAACACGGAAGGCAAGATTCCCTGCTTCCATGACGATGGAAAGCAAGTACCTCCTTTATGGAGTTTGAGCTCACTCCCAACAAGAAAGACGAGTTTGAGTTTTTTTCCTGCTTCAAGGATAGTAGAAAGCAGTCTTCAACCTGAGACCCATTCCTAGGTAAGTTAACAACCAGCTGGTTTTAATTTCTCCTTACCATTAGAGTGCTCAGTGATCATATTGTCGGGGTTTTTTGTTGTTGTTTGTCCTGGTCTTTCTCCCATCAGATTTGACCAACTCCACCTGACTTGGTCAAATCCGAGTGAGAATTCCAAATTATGGATAACAAAGCCTCTCTAGTTTGGCAAAAATTCCTCGCAGCTGCAAAAGAGGAAAAAACAAAAAAAGCCATGCGCTTGGATTTTGTGTTTGCTTCCTGTCTTAAAAAACAAATGTTCTTTCGTTTACTTTTCTTCCACTCTATACCTCCTTCCCCCTATGCCATCTGCAGTACCAAAAAATCTAGAGAAGGCTTCCAATGACTTGAGCCCCTTTCAAGAAATCAGAACAAAGATACCACTCACCCCTTTTGGAGTGTTCTGTTTTCCTTGTGGAGTTCCAAGAGTCATGGACAGATTTTTCTTAGGTCTAAAGCTCTGTTTTCCTGTATTGCATGACCTGACCTTTTTGGCTTTGGGAGTACCAGAAATAACCTTGTACTATGAGAGAACTTGACCTCGGCATGTGTAATGGCAGACGAGAGCTACAAAATTAGGGGTGGCTGAGCACAGTTTACAGGAAGTGGTCTTCACTGTTGTTGTTGTTGTTTCCCTCCTAGGAAACTGTTATTTAAGGATCTTAATTCTAGTTCAGAGATGTATTCTAAAGGGCCTTCTCTATTGCTTTTTCTCCCAAAATTAATCTCGATTCAGCTTGTCTGTGCGCATTTGCGTGAGGAACTGAACTGTTGTTTTCATAGATAAATGAGGGACTGAGTTTTCTCAGCTCTGAAGAGAAAGGGCATTTTGATCCTCCCAGCCAAAAGGCACTCCAGGGTGTATTTCCTGGATAAGCCTTTTTTTTAAATTAATTTTTGTTGGGGATTTCCCTGTAGGGCCACTGAACGTTTCGAGGGGTCAATCCCCCAGACATTCCCACATGGCCCCCAGTCAAATCAGCTGTTATTTTTCTATTAAGATAAAAACCACTGTTTGGATCCAACACGGTTTTTTTTTGCAAGCTGGTGAATTTGTATTTACCTCATGGCTAAGGTTCTGAAGTAAAAGCGATAGGATCTTTGTGTGTGTGTGTGTGTGTGTGTGTGTGTGTGTGTGTGTGTGTGTGTGTGTGTGTGTGTATTTTAAAGGCCTTTATAATTTTTATAATTTTATGTTTAATTGGCAATTAAATCCGTTTTAATTTCCCTCTAGCACACCAAAGTATTTATCTCCATACCTTATGATGTATATCTTGCTATTTGATTTTCACCTGACTTGTTTCCTTTAATATGCAAATTTAAGCCTATTTAGCTGACAACTGCCTAGGGTAGTGAAACAGGTTATGAAGAATTTGAAAGCCCAAGATAGGGAAAAATAAAAGGTTTTTATGACTCTATAAGATGTACATTCTATCAGCATGCCTAATACGTCTATGTATTTATGTACCCAATGTTTCACTACTGAAAATATATGCAAGAGCTCTAATTAATTGGCTTAAGAAAATAAAAGCACTTGAATCAAATACTTTATCAGGAAAAAACAAAAGACTAGTCAAATGCTTTTTCAAGTTTACATAACTTAAGTAAAATCTTCAATAAATAAGCTAGCTTTAAAATTATTGGTAAAGTAATATTAAAAATGTCTTAAGAATTGCCAGCATACATTTTTGTTTGCATTTATTAATCAAGCAATTTCATACTTATCCCTGCCAAATACTACAAGGTGTCAAAATTTGGCATAGGGGTTACAAAACCATAAACCTAGCCCAAAACAGAATGATCTTTGTCATGTAATCTTTAATAAATAAGACATTGATATTAGTTTAATGAAAATAGCAACATCTTGAATTTAGTAAGATTGCCATAACTTCTAATCTTCTGGCTTTATGCAGTCCAGCCCACAGGCAGTAAGGTTTGTTTTCAGAAGGGACTGTTACCATCTTTGTCTCAAAGTCAAACTGTAAATTGAATTCCTCCCAAACTTAGTTTGGCCTGTGCTCAGGAATGAACAAGGACAGCTTGGAGGTTAGGAGCAAGATGGAGTCAGTTAGGTCAGATCTTTTCAACTGTCTCAGTTATAATTTTGCAATGGCGGTTCCATAACTTTAAATGATGACTGCCGCAGTTTTCATAAATAATCTAGGTAAACAATTGAAATAATTAGGTAGACGTAATGGGATGAATACTTGTAGACAACAAACTCATCATAATTTAGACTCTAAAGTTATATTAAATTAAATAATAGATATTTAAAATATTAAAAGTACAAAAATTAGCCAGGTGTGGTCTCGTGCACCTGTAATCCCAGCTACTTGGGAGGCCGAGGTGGGAGAATTGCTCGAACCTGGGAGGCAGAGGTTGCAGTAAGCCAAGATTGCATCACTGCACTCCAGCCCGGACGACAAAGCAAGACCCTATCTCAAAAAAAAAAAAAGAAAAGAGGATTTATTAAAAAAAAAACTTTCATATGATCAAGTTGTCTATTAATTAAAGGGAAATTATAATGGTCTTTCTAGAGATTGGGCTTGATGTAAGAAAAAACCACTTACACACTAAATAATTGGTTAGAATAATGAAATTTTCTTAAGGGATTGATTTACTCTTAATAAATTATGAGAGATTTTAATTTTTTAACCCAAAGTTCAATTTGTATTGCATCTTGCCATTTTTGGTTTTCTCTCCCCTTTTAAAGGGCAAGAAATAGTAATGCTCTCCAACTCATTTTTCAACTCATATAAGTTTTTCTCCTTGAGTTTTGTTTGTTGTGGCCTGATGCTAACAATGTTTTCTTAAAAGTCTAAAGGAAATTCTTTCTTCCAACATAATATTCTGTGCAGTGCCGAAGGTCTTTTCTTTTGCCTTTTGGTAACTGGCCTAACAGATTTTATGGTTTATTGAAACAATTCCTATGCTATTATTATTAAGTTTTGGTTTACTTAGGGAAAAAAATGAAATAAAAAAAATTTTTTCATTAAGGTTATTATATTCATGTATCTTTCTGTATGGGCTTGTAAAGTCATTGTGACATAGAGTTACAGGGCTTTGGCTCCTGGATCTAAAAAGGACACCAAGTCCTCCGAAATCTTAAACGCTGACAGCAATTAAAGCCTCATCTTCAGGCCCAGTAGAGATGCCAATCAAAATAAACTGCATTCCTGAGACACAGGCCAGAAATTAAAGCTATCTAACTCCTCAAGGCCAGGGACTATTGCAGAAGAGGTGGGCATGAGATTGTAAGGGCCAATGTTGAGAGATAAAATAAGTTCAGTTTCTCTATGAATTAATCATTAATGTCGAAGGCACACTGATGGAAGACCAGCATATGGGCCCCTGTGTCAGATTAATAAGTTTTTCTTGAAGCATTAACCAACTCCTTAATAAAGGTTATAAAGATTATAAAAGGCTTATTGAAGTTATATCTTATGCTCAAGATTAAAATTTTATAGATTGTTTATAAAATTTTGAAAAACAAATTTAATTGGCGTCATGCTGTTTTTATTAGGGCTTATTGTTTGGAAAATAAAGTCTCCTCTCTCAAAGAATGAAGGATTTTGTCTTTTTTTGAAATCCTTGAGTTACCAGTTTGGTGAAATGAATGGCTTATTTTACAATGATCTGTGATATCAAGTGTTTTAAACCTTTGATATTTGACACCTTCCAAAATCAAATTATAAATTATGTCTTTTTCTGATCTAATTAATCCTTTAAGATATTAGGTTCCCCAAAGTCCAAAAATGACATAATTTGGCCTATTTCATATAAACATCATACAGGAAACATTGTCAAGTGTGAAATGGTGTTTGGTTTTCTTTGAGCTGTATCTATATAAATATGTTATTGGTATGTGTTCCAAAATTATGGGAAAGTCCTATAATTCTGATATGACTTACTGTACATAATCAGTAATAATTATAATTGTTTTCTTAAATTATTGTGTGCCACAGAGGCAACAAATTTCCTTGTCCATTGTGTCTTTGACTATGGCTGCCCTAAAACTTTTTTCATCCATGGACAATTTTTGTCTTGTTTTCGTCCTCTTTAGAAGGTAGTTTTATAATCAGCTATAAAATTCTAACAGGTGCTCTTGAATACAAGTTTCTGAAAATTTTTGAGATTGTGACATCAGAATAAAAGAAAAATTTTCAGGACTCATGGAGAACTGAAATGTTCATGAATATCAAGCAGAACAGGAATTAACTACATGGACTGACATGCATAAGTACAATAAGAATCTGTTTTCATTTATAACAGGACACAATTTGAGAAACTGGTTATTTTACCAAAGCTTTGACTGGAATGGTGTGCTTTCCTTTAAGGAATCAAACTTGACTTATGGAGCCAATAAAAGTCCCATGGGAAAACTGGCCTTATACCTTGTCTACACAGTCCCTGTACAGGGTTCCTGACATGTGGTAAGTAAAGAATGCCACTTTCTGACAGGTGCAGGAGCCCTAAGTTTATCTTGGAACCTCAAGAGGGGAGGAATTCACCCAATTCATAGAGTGGTTTTTTTGTTTGTTTGTTTTTTGGCATAATCTCGATCTGTTGCCCAGGCTGGAGTACAGTGGTGTGATCTCAGCTCACTGCAACCTCTGCTTCCCAGGTCCAACTGATTCACCTGTCTCAGCTTCCCAAGTAGCTGGAATTACAGGCATGTGCCACAACACCCTGCTAAATTTTTTTGTATTTTGTAGAGACAGGATTTCACCATGTTGGCCAGGCTGGTCTCGAACTCCTGACCTCAAGTGATCCACCTGCATTGACCCCCCCCAAATTGCTGGGATTACAGGCATCAGCCACTGTGCCTGGCCCCAACTCATAGATATTTGATGGTACAAATCTATGGCTGGGCTTGGCTTTAAAAAAGTCTTATCTGAGATTCTTTCTATGGAACAAAGTTCCATCAATGCCAATTTAAAAGCCTATGTAAAAAATAATAATTCTTGCTGCACTGTATACAAATAATCAGGCCAAGTATAATAAAGCAAATCAGTCCTTCCATGATTTGTCTTTAGTAAAGATGGAAAACTGGAGAGAGAAAAATTATGTTTCAAAAACTATAATACACCTGTTGTTAGATTCCAGTCTTGCCTAATGTTTTTCAGTTGTTTTTTTTTTTTTTTTTTTTTTTTTTTAGATGGAGTCTTGCTCTGTTGCCCAGGCTGGAGTGCAGTGGTGCGATCTCGGCTCACTGCAAGCTCTGCCTCCTGGATTCACGCCATTCTCCTGCCTTAGCCTCCTGAGTACCTGGGACTACAGGCACCCACCACCACGCCCAGCTAATTTTTTGTATTTTTAGTAGAGACGGGGTTTCACCGTGTTAGACAGGATGGTCTCGATCTCCTGACCTCATGATCTGCCCGCCTCGGCTTCCCAAAATGCTGGGATTACAGGCATGAGCCACCGCGCCCGGCCTTTTCAGTTTTTATTATTTTCTACAGTCTGGACCAAATTCTATTTTTTCTTGGTTACAAGTCTTCAAGATAATGTTTTCAATTTTTTTCCTTCTTTTTTCCCCCATTTTTCCTAATTAGGAGTCATTGAAAACTAAGCGTGCTTTCATAAAGCCCTGTGAACTGAAGTCAGACAACTTAAACTTTAGAAGAAAATAACAGCAACCCATTTACATACATAAACCACTTTCAAACCTGCCTACTGATTATGGACTTCAGAGTAATATGGCTTATACCAATTTTCCAGGATTGTTCTTTTGTTTGTTGTTGTTGTTTGTTTGTTTTTTGTTTTTTTGAGACGGAGTTTCACTCTGCCGCCCAGACTGGAGTGCAGTGGCGCAATCTCAGCTCACTGCTGCCTCTGCTCCTGGGTTCAAGCAATTCTCCTGCCTCAGCCTCCTGAGTAACTAGGACTACTAGTTACTAGTTAGTTGTCGTAATTACTAATGCCCGGCTAATTTTTTGTGTTTTTAATAGAGACAGGGTTTCACCATGTTGTCCAGGCTGGTGTTGAACTCCTGACCTCAGATGATCTGCCCGCCTCGGCCTCCCAAAGTGCTGGTATTACAGGCGTGAGCTACCACACCCAGCCTGTTGTTGTTTTTCTCCCTATTTTCACTTCCTAGGATGTGAAACTTCACAACCTGCTAAAAATGAACTTTCCTAATAATTCAGGACCTAACCATCTAGAAATAAACCAACCGAGCCATAAGAGATCAGACGAAACCTGAGACCAGAGACTCATTTTCTTCTGAAATGCTTTCTCCAAAAGATTTTTAAAAAGAAAAGGGGGGGAATGTGAAAGGAAATAAATCTTGGGACCCCAAAATCACTAAGCTAAAGGGAGAAGTCAAGCTGGGAACTGCTTAGGGCAAACCTACCTCCCATTCTATTCAAAGTCACCCTTCTGCTCACCGAGATGAATGCATATCTGATTCCCTCCTTTGGAGAGGCTCATCAGAAACTCAAAAGAATGCAACCATTTGTCTCTTATCTACCTAGGATCTGGAAGCCCCCTCACCACTTCAAGTTGTCCCACTTTTTCTTCGAGTTGTTGTCCCCGCTTTCTGGACCAAACCAATGTTCATCCTACATATGATGATTGATGTCTCATGCCTCCCTAAAATGTATAAAACCAAACTGCACTCTGACCACCTTGGGCACATGTCATCAGGACCTCCTGAGGCTGTGTCATGGGTACATGTCCTCAACCTTGGCAAAATAAAATTTCTAAATTAACCGAGACCTGTCTCAGATATTTGGGGTTCACATAACTCAGGCTTTAGCTTCCAGTGTTTAAAACCACACCTTGAGTCTTCCTTTCCAAAGCATGCCTTCCATGCTAGTGTGTCTGGATCCAGCCTCAATAACAGCAAAATTTGAGAGAAAAGCTTAAAAATATATAAAATATCCATGTAGGAGGCCTAACATCCATTCATATGAAATTCCAGAAAGAAAGCAAAAACAAGAGAGGGAAAGAGGTAATTTTAAAAACAGAAAAAAATGTCTCATAACTGAAGAAAGATCTCAGTTTGAAAGATCACTGAGTGGGAATTAGGATGAAAGAAAAAGCCTCACACCTAAACACAGCCTCATGAAACTCTAAAATATCAAGAATAAAGGGATGATACTTAAGGCTTCTAGAAAAAGGGAAAAAATGATGTACAAAGAAATGGAAATCTTCATTAGCAGCAATAGATGTAAACAAAGCAAAGCAAAACAAACAAAATAATTTTCACTCGTGTCCGTGCGAAGAGACCACCAAACAGGCTTTGTGTGAGCAACATGGCTGTTGATTTCACCTGGGCGCAGGCGGGCTGAGTCCGAAAAGAGAGTCAGGAAAGGGAGAAAGGGAGATAGGGGTGGGGCCGTTTTATAGGATTTGGGAAGGTAATGGAAAATTACAGTCAAAGGGGGTTGTTCTCTGGTGGGCAGGGGCGGGGGTCACAAGGTGCTTAGTGGGGGAGTTTCTGAGCCAGGAGAAGGAAATTCACAGGGTTAATCACTCAGTTAAGATGGGGCAGGAACAAATCACAATGGTGGAATGTCATCAGTTAAGGCGGGGCAGGGCCTTTTCACTTCTTTTGTGATTCTTCAGTTACTTCAGGCCATCTGGGCGTATATGTGCAAGTCACAGGGGATGCGATGGCTTGGCTTGGGCTCAGAGGCCTGACATTCCTGCCTTCTTATATTAATAATAAAAATAAAACAAAATAGTGTTGAAGTGTTGGGGCGGTGAAAACTTTTGGGGCTTGGTATGGAGAGAGAATGGGCGATGTTTCTCAGGGCTGCTTCAAGCGGGATTAGGGGCGGCGTGGGAACCTAGAGTGGGAGAGATTAAGCTGAAGGGAGGTCCTGTGGTAAGGGGTGATATTGTGGGGATGTTAGAAGAAACATTTGTCGTATAGAATGATTGGTGATGGCCTGGATACAGTTTTAGATGAATTGAGAAACTAAATGGAATAAGAGAAGGAGAAAAACAGGTATAAAAGGTCTAAGAATTGGGAGGACCTAGGACATCTGATTAGAGAGTGCCTAAGGAGATTCAGCATAGTCCCGCCAGCAAAGATTATTTATTTACTTCAAGAGTTTAGAGTGGCAGTTTGGGGATAGCACCAGGAGATATCAGCTGTGATGGCTTGGAAAAGCAGTGTAAACCGGCAGTGTAAACAAGAGCAGGGCATGTATGAGTAGTTGAGAACGGTGAATAGGAGTATGACTAGACAGAAGATAGTAGGGATGACAAGTTTTTTGGGGGCACAGTCTAAGTTGGTCTGGTGTCTGGAATGAGACTGGGGCCTAATAAAAAGGAGCGTCTATACAGGAGCTTAAATGGGCTGTACCTTGTAGCATTCTGAGGACAGGCCTGAATTCTGAGAAGCTAAAATGGTAAAAGTATTGTCCAGTCCTTTTTAAGTTGGTGGCTGAGCTTGGTGAGGTGTGTTTTTAAAAGACCTTTAGTCCGTTCTACTTTTCTTGAAGACAGAGGACCGTAAGGGATATAAAGGTTTCACTGAATACTAAGAGCCTGAAAAACTGCTTGGCTGATTTGACTAATAAAGGCTCAGCTGTTATCAGACTGTATTGAGGTGGGAAGGCTAAACTGAGGAATTATGTCTGACAGAAGGGAAGAAATGACTATGGTGGCCTTCTCAGACCCTGTAGGAAAGGCCTTTACTTATTCAGTGAAAGTGTCTATTTAGACTAAGAGGTATTTTAGTTTCCTGACTCGGGACATGTTGAGTAAAGCTAATTTGCCAGTCCTGGGTGGGGGCAAATCCTGGAGCTTGATGTGTAGGGAAGGGAGGGGGCCTGAATAATCCCTGAGGAGTAGTAGAATAGCACATGGAACACTGAGAAGTTATTTCCTTGAGGATAGATTTCCACGATGGAAAGGAAATGAGAGGTTCTGAGAGGCGGGCTAGTGGCTTGTACTATATAGCATAGCCTGCCTTTGCTGGTGTGTGGCGATTAGGCCTGATGGAACTGCCATCAATAAATCAAGCGTGATCAGGGTGAGGAACAGGAAAGAAGGAAATATGGGGAAATGGGGTGAATATCAGGTGGATCAGAGAGATACAGTCATGGGGGTCAGGTGTGGTATCAGGAATAATGTGGGAGGCCAGATTGAAGTCCAGGCCAGGAACAATGGTAATTGTGGGACTTAAAGAGTGAGTACAGCTGAAGGAGCCGGGGAGCAGAAAGTATATGCGTCAGGTATGAGGAAGAAAATAGATTTTGGAAGTTATGAGACATGTAGAGAGTGAGGTGAGCATAGTTTGTGATTTTTAGGGCCTCTAACAGTATTAAAGCAGCGGCAGCCGCTACATGCAGACATGCGGGCTAGGCTAAAACAGTAAGGTCAAGTTGTTTGGACAGAAAGGCTACAGGGTGTGGTCCTGGCTCCTGTGTAAGAATTCTGACTGCACTAACCATGCCTAGGAAGGAAAGGAGTTGTTCTTTTGTAAGGGATTGAGGTTTGGGAGATTAATCGGACACGATCAGCAGGGAGAGCACGTGTGTTTTTATGAGAATTATGCCGAGATAGGTAACAGATGAGGATGAAATTTGGGCTTGATTGAAGTAATGGGGGCTGTCTGTGAAGCCTTGCGGCAGTACAGCCCAGGTAATTTGCTGAGCCTAATGGGTGTCAGGGTCAGTCTAAGTGAAGGCAAAGAGAGGCTGGGATGAAGGGTGCAAAGGAATAGTAAAGAAAGCATGTCTGAGATCCAGAACAGAATAATGGGTAGTAGAGGAAGGTATTGAGGATAGGAGAGTATATGGGTTTGGCACCAAGGGGTGGATAGGCAAAACAATTTGGTTGATAAGGCGCAGATTCTGAACTAACTTGTAAGGCTTGTCTGGTTTTAGGAGAGGTAAAATGGGGGAATTGTAAGGAGAGTTTATAGGCTTTAAAAGGCCATGCTGTAGCAGACGAGTGATAACAGGCTTTAATCCTTTCAAAGCATGCTGTGGGATGGGATATTGGCATTGATCGGGGTAAGAGTGATTAGGTTTTAATGAGATGTTAAGGGGTGCATGATCGGTCGCCAAGGAAGGAGTAGAGGTATCTTATACTTGTGGGTTAAGGTGGGGGATACAAGAGGAGGACGCAAAGGAGGCTTTGGATTGGGAAGAAGGGCAGCAATGAGATGTAGCTGTAATCCAGGAATAGTCAGGGAAGCAGATAATTTAAAGTGTCTCGGCCTAATAAGGGAACTGGGCAGGTGGGGATAACTAAAAGGAGTGCTTAAAAGAGTATTGTCTAAGTTGGCACCAGAGTTGGGGAGTTTTAAGAGGTTTAGAAGCCTGGCGGTGAATACCTAACAACAGTTATGGAGGCAAGGGAAACAGGCCCTTGAAAAGAAGGTAATGTGGAGTGAGTAGCATCCATATTGATTAAGGGGACGGACTTACCTTCCACTGTGAGAGTTACTCGAAGCTCGGCGTCTGTGATGGTCTACAGGGCTTTTGAGGTGATCGGGCAGCGTCAGTCTTCAGCTGCTAAGCCGAGAAGGAGTCAGTCAGAGAGCCTTGGGCCAGAGTTCCAGGGGCTCTGGGAGTGGCTGCCAGGTGAGTTGAACAGTCCGATTTCCAGTGGGGTCCCGCACAGATGGGACATGGCTTAGGAGGAATCCTGGGCTGCAGGCATTCCTTGGCTTGGTGGTCAGATTTCTGGCACTTGTAGCAAGCTCCTGGGGGAGGAGTTTCTGGAGGAACGCCTGGCTGCTGCGGTTCAGGCGTTTAGAAGTTCTTGTGTGCTGGAGATGTGGCTGGGGTTTGTCTCACAGTGGAGGCAAGGAATTGCAACTTTTTTTTTATTATTGTACACCTTGAAGGTGAGGTTAATTAAGTCCTCTTGTGGGGTTTGAGGGCCAGATTCCAATTTTTGGAGTTTTATTTAATGTCGGGAGCAGATTGGGTAATAAAATGTATATTGAGAATAAGATGGCCTTTTGACCTTTTAGGGTCTAGGGCTGTAAAGGGTCTCAGGGTTGCTGCCGAACGAGCCATGAACTGGGCTGGGTTTTTATATTTGATGAAAAAGAGCCTAAACGCTTCTGATTTGGGATAAAGAAAAAGGAGCATTAACCTTGACTATGCCTTTGGCTCCAGCCACCTTTTTAAGAGTAAATTGCTGGGCAGGTGGGGGAGGCCTAGTCACAGAACGAAACTGTAAGCCGGACCAGGTGTGAGGAGGGGAGATGATAAAAAGATTACAGGGTGGAGGAGCGGAGGCTGAGGAAGAATTGGAACCTAGCTTGGCCTGGCGAGGAGGGGAGAGGTCAGATGGGTCTGTAGAAAAGGAAGATTAGAGAGACTCAGCGACGCTTGGGGTTGGGACTGAGGGGACAGGTGGGAGGGAAAGAAGGAAGATTTGGGACGAGTTGCACTGGGCACAGAGACTAGGAAGGGACTGATGTGTAAAAGAATGCCTGGATGTCAGGCACCTCAGACCATTTGCCCATCTTACAATAAGAATTATTTAGATCTTGTAGGATGGAAAAATTGAAAGTGCCATTTTCCGGCTATTTGGAACTACTCGAGTTTGTATTGGGGTCAAGCGACATTGCAGAAGAAAATAAGATGCTTAGATTTTAGGTCAGGTGAGAGTTGAAGAGGTTTTAAGTTCTTAAGAATATAGGCTAAGGGAGAAGAAGGAGGAATGGAAGGTGGAAGGTTGCCCATAGTGAAGGAGGCAAACCCAGAGAAAAGAGAGCATAGAGACACGGAGGGAAGGGGTTCAGGGGTTCTTACCCTCCAGAAAAGCGGGAAGGGTGGTTGGGGCATGGAAATAAGGGATTGGGGCACAGAGATAAGAGGTTGGGGTGCAGAAATAAGGGATTGGGGCACAGAGATAAGAGGTTGGGGTGTGGAAATAAGGGATTGGGGGTTCTTGCCCCCTAGAAAAGCGGGACTTGCTGCTAAGGGTGAAGGAGAAGGGGTTGAGGGGTACTTGCCCCTCCCCCAGAAAAGCAGAGAAGGGGTAGAGACACAGAGAGAAGGGGTTGGGGTACTTGCCCCTTCCCCAGAAAAGCAGGACTTGCCACTAAGGGTGAAGGACCAAGGCAGGCATCCCTGTGTGGTCTGACACCTTTGAAACATGGGTGAATAATCAGAGAGGCGTCCCTGCAATGATTAAACACCTAGGGAAGGCTGCCTTCCCAGTCCATGACCGGCGCCGGAGTTTTGGGTCCACGGATAAAACGTGTCTCCTTTGTCTCTACCAGAAAATGAAAGGAATTGAAATTAAGAGAAGGGAGAGATTGAAGGGTGGCACCAAGATTGAAAGGAGAAAGAGGTTGAGGGATAGTGAGGGAAGCTGGAGAAGAGAGTAAAAAGAGGCCGCTTACCAGATTTGAAATTGGTGAGATGTTTCTTGGGCTGGTCGGTCTGAGGACCTGAGGTCGTAGGTGGATCTTTCTCATGGAGAAAAGAGCAGGAGAACAGGGGATTGATCTCCCAAGGGAGGTCCCCTGATCCGAGTCACGGCACCAAATTTCACTCGAGTCTGTGTGAAGAGACCACCAAATAGGCTTTGTGTGAGCAACATGGCTGTTTATTTCACCTGGGTGCAGGCAGGCTGAGTCCGAAAAGAGAGTCAGCAAAGGGAGATAGGGGTGGGGCCGTTTTACAGGATTTGGGAAGGTAATGGAAAATTAGTCAAAGGGGGTTGTTCTCTGGTGGGCAGGGGCGGGGGTCACAAGGTGCTCAGTGGGGGAGCTTCTGAGCCAGGAGAAGGAAATTCACAGGGTTAATCACTCAGTTAAGATGGGGCAGGAACAAATCACAATGGTGGAATGTCATCAGTTAAAGCGGGGCAGGGCCTTTTCACTTCTTTTGTGATTCTTCAGTTACTTCAGGCCATCTGGGCGTATACGTGCAAGTCACAGGGGATGCGATGGCTTGGCTTGGGCTCAGAGGCCTGACAATAATACCTGTGAATTTTGAGGGAAAATGACCTTGAACCTAGAATTCTATATTAGTCAAATATAAGAATAAAAATAAAAAGACATGTTTAGGCATGAGAGAACTCAGAAATTTTACCCCTAGCCCTCTTCTCTGAAAAAAATTACTTGAGGATGTATTCTAACAATAAAAAAAAAAAGAGATCCAAGAAAGAGAAAGACCTAGGATGTAAGAAACAGAGATGATAACCCAGGAATGCAATGAAAAAAAAAATCCTAAAATGGTAGCTGTGAAGGAGTGAGGCATAGAAAGAGTGGGTATATGTTAGAGCATTTAACAAGTCGTCTATGTGAACAATTGGAAGGTATCAGTAATATGGTGACAAAGGCACCTATATCTTCTGCCAAAAAATAATTAGAAATTTTAAGAAAGGAAAACTTTCCCAAAAAGTCATGATCCATATATCAAACAATCTAAAATGTGGCATAACTCAGCAATTGGAGTGTAAGAAAAGAAAAACCATTTGAACTGGAAATTTGTACTATTTCCCTTCAAGTGGCCTAGGTATAGGGATACAGGATTACATCTCCTCCAGTGATCAAATCACACATTCTGTTTTCTGCAACTAATAACATTTACAAAATTATAATTTTGTAAGTGATGTTTATTGGCTTTCAGAATCAACCTATAGAAAAAGTATGAAAGACAAATATAGTTATAGAATGGAATGTAAATATGAAAATGGTTTAAACTTTAACAATGTTAAAGTACTCAAATAACCAGGAGGAGTGGGGAGTAATTTCTTCATTTGACACAGTAAGCCTCAAGAAGTAAGTGTAAATGGAAGCTTAAGTACATTATGCAAAGTGTTAATGGTAAACAATTGAGGAGCTAACAAAAAAGAGGAAAGTCAATACTGCTTAAAGGAAATAAATCAAGATTTCAAAGTAAAAGCATCTTATTAAGAATTATGGAAATAACCAACAGAAAAAAAAATCCCAGAAATGGTCAAAAGAAGCTCAAAGGTATCAAATGATACTCTGATTAGTAAGACTGAGGGTAAGAGCAGGAAGAATCTTTGTACTTTTAATTTTGTAACCTCCCACATAGCTATTCCATTCAGTCATTCATTCCTTCAGCAAATACTTATAGAACATTATTATTGTACCAGGCATGATTCGAAGCACAGGGATACAGGATAGACAAGGCGGAGAATATTCCTGCCCTCAAGGAACTCATATTCTAGTGGGCAAAGGTATACAATAGACAAGTAAATTGTTTCCCCAAAAAGATAGGTACAAATATTAAGTGCAATGAAAATTATAAAACAAAATAAAGTGATAATAACTTGAGTGATCAGGGAAGGCCTCTCTGAAGAAGTAAAATTTGAGCTAAAATACTTTTTTATATGAGAAACGTATAGGATTTCTTTTCTTTTTTTTTTTTTTGAGACAGAGTTTCACTCTTGTTGCCCAGGCTACAGTGCAATGGCACGGTCTTCGCTCACCACAACCTCCGCCTCCTGGGTTCAAGCGATTCTCCTGCCTCAGCCTCCCGAGTAGCTGGGATTACAGGTATGCACCACCACACCTGGCTGATTTTTTTTGTATTTTTAGTAGAGACGGGGTTTCATAATCCCTTTCTTCCAAGGAGGCTCCCTGGCCCCTATGCAAATTTACATACTTCCTCCCCAGCAACCAGCTCAACAAACCAAGGAATTTGCGGAGAGGCAGTCTTTGTCAAACCACAAAAGATCTTGTTACACCCTTAGCCCAAAGCAATAATTACCTACCTGCCTCAGATTTACCCAGAGAGCATTTCCAAGTGATTGTTCCCAGCACAAGGAAGACATGCTGCAAAGTGACTTGTTGGAAAATGTTCAAGTACCACTTTCTTTCCCTATGATTCCCTAACCCGTGTCCAGCAGCACCAGGAAGAGATCCAGGCTCATCTCAAGGTGGGGTCTCCAGAGAAGCATAGTGAAGGGAGACCCACTACATAGGCAGAACTGCCTGTTCATACCTGACAGCAAAGCCCTATATGTAGGTCCTAAGTCTGTGCTACGATGCTATTGTAGCTCGTTACCAATGCTCTTTTGAAACACACAGCATGAAGCACCTTGACTTACTCAACATCCTGTACTACACTGAGGCATGTTTTTGGCCACAGGAAAACAAAAAAGGCTAAAGAAGCTCAACAGAGCTACCCCATCCTCCCTCAATCACCAAGCATTCCTAGGAGACGTTCCTTACATTCCTCACCAACTCTCTGCCAACTGTGGTCATAGCATAATAATCATTGAAGTCAACACCTTCATGAGAACAACCCACTTTCTCTCTTCAGCTGGACCACTTTCTGCCCCAGTTATCTCTACCTTATTCTTCAGAGACATAATTGTTCCACCTCTAAGACAGCCTACCCTGTAACATCTGACTGGGGAGCCCAATTTGTGCAAAGTTTCTATAGAGCACACTTCTGATCCACCATGTCCAAATCCACTTGTCCATTGCCCACAACAATCAAACTGAACAACAGCCAGATAGATTTTGGAGGAGACTTCTGGTTGTCATTCACCTTCAACAAATAAGATAACTGGGACACACACCTCCCAAATGCTAAATTTGCTTACCATACTCTGCACCCATCTATTAGAGGACCCTTTTTCATAGTCATTGCAGCTTTCTTTCTCATACCAACCAGCTGCATCACCATCTTTTGCTTTCGGTCAACAGATGTCAATTATCTATTATGCACCAGACACTGTACTGGATGTGAGGGTCATGGCTGCCCATAGGCCATGAGGTGACTGCGTGCAAATTTGAAAAAGGCTCTCCAGATGCACACCTCTGCACCAGGTTGCATGAATTGGTGAGTACAGCGAAGGCTGGATTTCAATCCTTACTGATCCTCTCAACCAGATTCCCTTGTACAGTGAACAATTGTACCCAGCAGGCATATGGGGATTGAACAATAAGAGTCTTGTGGCTAACTGGAAGCATTCTAGATTCCCCCAGGAAGGCCAAAGGGACATCTGCATTTTCCAAATATTTCATCAAGTTCTCCTACTACAGTGTCTGCTCCACCTGCTGCTATTACATACCCAAGGACCACTCCCAGGGCCCAGTTACATATCTGGAGATTATGAACCCTGTCACCTTTGCCTCCAGCTTCCCCTTTTTCATGTATACCCACCTCATCTTTCACCATTCCTCACTAGACTCAGCTGGCCTCAACTCCACCCAGCACCTCACTGTGTACTTTATACCCATAGGATCCAATGTTGCACAATAAGAAACCCAAAAGACACAATACGGGAAATTTTGGAGCAAGACACTACCTCCAGTACTGATCTTACCTCACCCCATTTAGCAGGGAGGAAGTGAAAGGCAGGAGGGGACATGTCCAATCCTGCTCTTTCTTAGGCTGATCAAGTCACCCCCAAATAGATGGCCAACCTCTACTGAGAGGGGCCTTCACATCCCTCTGCCTTGGCCAAACACTGTGTTCTTTGTACCTCATTCCCAGATTGAGCCAGCTGAAGCAAAACCCAGTGAAGACCACCTTTACCGTTTTTTAATAGAATACATAAAACCCCAGTCTACAGCATCTGCCTTCCCCTTTTCCACCACCATCGAGGAACACTGGCAGATAGGTAACTTACTAAGAGGCCTCAATGAAGTGGTCTGTCCCAGAGAAAGGGCAGGTTTGACCCAAGACAAATTCCAGATCCTCTGCTTAGAGCCGCAGGAAGAAATGCTGAAACCAAACCAAGCCAAACAACAGAAACCCCAGCAGTCTTTCATCTGCTCTAAATCTAGATGATTTCAAAAGTGTGTCCATCATGAAAAGATCCCTAGGGGTTTGCTTGTACTAGAAGAGCATAAACATTTACATTGCCTTTTTTCTGCTGACAGAACAGTGAGAGGGAAGGGCCTCATCTGGCAACTTAAAGCAATACCATTCAATCATCCCAAAGCCAGTTCTTTGTGTATGTAAGTAGCTGCCCTTGCAGGAGGCTTAAGGTGCTGGGAGCTCAGGGTCCTGAGTCAAATGATCTGGCTTCAAATCTCACCTCTACCACTTACAGTTTGAACTATAAGGAAGCTGTATGGTGTTACAGAAAGTACACAGGCTCTGGACACTTGGCTGCCAAGTGTAAATCCCTGCTGCCCCACTTACCAGCTGTGTGGCCTTTATGATATACAGTGCCTCAGTTTCCTCATCTCTGAGATGATAGTTATACTCCCTGTAACATCACGGGACTGTTATGAGGCTTACATGGGACCATCCACAACCTCACCTACAGTAAATGTTTACTAAATCTTAGTGATTATTATTCCATTCTGAGTCTATTTCTCATTCCTTGAAAATGAGAAGAGAAAGGGGCACTGCTCTGCATAATCATGTGAGGCACCATCGCCCCTGTGAGCTGGGAAAGTTGGGAGAAGGTTTCTTTTCTTCCATTTGGATTTAGACGGCATTCTCTCTGAGAATCTGTTGTTTAGCCTGAAGAGATAGACGTGCGTATGTGTTTCATCCAACCATCACCCACGGGATATCAGGAAAAACAAAAAAGCATTTATCTCTCTGTGACCCCTACTGATGGGGACCTTTGGAAAGCGATGACACCTGGAATGCCAGAGCCTACCCTAACCTGTCCATTTGGAAGGCTCAGAGCCATATGCCAGGCTGAATAACTAAGATGTGGGCCAGTGGGCTTCTAGGGAAGATAGAGGTGGGACCTGGGGCAAGACCAAGCCCTGTGAGTAGGTAGTGGGTGGAGCTTCATTTGATGGGTTGAAAGAAGAGGAAAAAAGTGAAGCTGAATTCAAGGAAGAAGGGCATGAGGGTTCTCTCTGTGATGGGCCTCTCTGGTGATTTTCTCTTGGTCTACAGACATGGACATGGGCAGTAGATTATTTTTTAAAAGTCCCCATACTTGAAATTCCTTTCAGTTATTCACAGGCCTTCTGCAAAATCTGTACAACCCTGGTGGTGATGTTGGGAAGTATAAATGAGAGGACAGT
The DNA here is from genome assembly GCF_000001405.40 of Homo sapiens. Lineage (NCBI taxonomy): Eukaryota > Metazoa > Chordata > Mammalia > Primates > Hominidae > Homo > Homo sapiens. Next base: position 119,328,477 of record NC_000023.11, read on the forward strand.
ATAGGAATGTATGGTGTCCCCTCATTCACTCACCAGTGTCTGTTTATCCTTCTTAGAAGGGGACTTGAGTGCTGGATTTCTGGAGGAGATCAGTGGAAAATTGAGTGTTGGTCCATGGAACAGCAGAGAAGAGTAGCCGCCAGATGAATGGCTCAGGGAGGGATGTGGGCCTAACCCTGTACTTTGTGATATGTATACTAGAAGAAAATGACTGGTAAAGGAGGAACAGCGAGATGACATTGGAGCTATTGTGTATCTTTGGGTGTGTTACTTAACATCCTGGTGCCTCAGTTTCCTCATCTGAAAAATGAGGATAATGATAGTACCTAGCACATAAGACTGTTATGAGGATAAAATGAGTTAACATTTGCAAAATATTTCAGTGACCAGCACACGTTAACCATATTAGAAGTGTTTGTTAAATAAAATTAAAGTTCAACTGACAGAAGTGTGGAGTGACTGATAAATGATATATTGAAAATGCAGAGCTGGGCAGTAAAAATTTATCTTCCTCTTCAGGGGAAAGACACAAGTATTCTGGCCACGAGAATGTGTACTCCAATATGGAGCAGGGGGCCAGGGCTCCACTGCTTTCCATGTTAAGCTTATTTTCCCACAGAGGACCAGACTCCACCATGGTCTAATGCACATTTGTTTCCCGTCCAGCCAGAATACAAAGCAGAAAGGTGATTCCAACCCCAAGTGAAGAAGAATTTCCTTCTTGAAATACCCTTGCACATATGCACAAACATACATCAACAAGGGTGTTCACTGCAGCATTTCTTGTAATAGTGAAAAACAGGAGCCAATAGAAATTACAACTAACAAGGACTGGCCGACTGATAAAGATTAAACCAAAAAAAAAAAAAGAGGTGCATGTATGTGGATGTGCACTGATAAGTAGCCAAAATATACTGTTTCATGAAGAAAATAGAAGCAGAATAGTATGAATAAATGTCATCTTGTTACCAGTGGAGGATATCCAGGTTCTTGGCATTTTGAACAAAGAATTGGACAAAATGCATAAACAAAGCAAGGAAAGAATGAAGCAACAAAAGCAGAGATTTATTGAAAACGGAAGTACACTCCACAGTGTGGGAGCAGGCTGAGTAGAGGCTCAAGAGCCCTGGATACAGAATCTTCTGGGGTCCAAGTACCCCCTAGAGTTTCCCATTGGACACTTTGTGCTCACCTCATGTAAATAAAGTGGTGGCCCGCAATCAGTGTGATTCCAATCAGAGGCTGAAGTGAAGTTACAAAGTTACACCCAATTAGTATTGGTTGCAGCAACCAATTAGGGGCTGAAGTGAAGTTGCAAAGTTGCCCTCCTATGCAAAAAGCAACCAATCAGAGGTACTTTCAATTTCCCATCTGTGGTGCAGAAAAGGTGGGGGTTTGCAAAGGCAGTAGCCTCTGGTCCTTTTGTTACTTAGGCGTGGAAAGTTAGGGTTTTCCTTTCAATTTAGTTCTAGGAAGTCAGCATGAAACAGCTTTAGGTTCCCTGCCTCCAGACGTTATTCTCCTGCCTCAATCTCATCTGTGGGGGGTGTGTGTGTGTGTGTGTCTGTGTGTGTGTGTGTATCCCTTTCAGACACACACACACACACACACACACACACACACACACACACGGTGTTTATCCACCCAGCAAAAACTCCTGGGTGGATAAACAAGAAAATGGTAACAGTGGTTACCCCTGCGGAATGGAGCTGCGGATGAGGGTAAAGGGAAAGGAGATTTCACTTGAATTTTGGGAGTTTATTTTTATTTTGGCTTATTTTCACAATAAAACTAGTTTTTTGTGTTTTTTTTTTCTGATTATATAAGCAATATATGTTTATTCTTTTTTTCATATTTTAACTTTTGATTTGGAAATAATTTCAGACTTATAAAAAACTTGCAAAAACAGTACAAAGAATTCAAATATCTGCCCCCTACCAGCTTCCCAAATGTTAACATCTTATATAAATCAAACCCAGGAAATTAACATCAATATGATACTATTGACTAATCTAGAGGCTTTATGCAGAAGTTGTCAATTGGCTCACTGCTGCTCTTTTTCTGGTCTAAGATCCAATCCAGGATCCCACATTGTATTTACTTGTTATATTTCCTCGGTCTCCTGCAGTCTGGTACAGCTTCTCGGTCTGTCTTTGTTTCTCATGACCTGGACACTTTAGAAAAGTAACGCCTAGTTATTATGCAGAATGTCTCTCAATTTAGGTTTGTCTCATGTTTTCTTATGACTAAGTACAGGTTATGCATTTGGGAAAAGAAAATCACAGAATTAATGCAAGGCCCTTTTCGCTGCATCCTATTAAGAGACACACAATGTATATGTCTAATTACTGGTTATGTTAACTTTGACCACTTGGTTAAGGGGTGTCTGTTGGGTTGCTCCACTGTAAATTTACTCCTTTTCTTTTCCAAATTAGTTTATAGCTTGTGGAGAGATAGCTTGAGCCTATATGAATATCCTGTTTCTCATCATACTTTGCCCACTAACCCTTTGATGATTCTTGCCTAACACAATTATTACTGTGATATTTGTCAAATGGTGATTTTCTATTTCCGTCATTCCTTCTACATTTATTAATTGGCATTCTACTGTGAGAAAGTGCTTTCCCTTCTCCCTATGTATGAATTCAATTATTTATTTATGTAACTATGGACTTGCCAACAGAATGTATTGCCGTACTTTTTAATTTTTGCTGATCTGATAGGGGGAAATGATATCCTGGTGTTGCTTTAATTGCATTTACCTAATTATATGTAAGGTTACAAGGTTAAGGAGCTATTTACTGATGATAGATAATTGTCTGTTCACGTATTTCTCCATTTTCCTATTCAGTTTTGGGGACCTATGCCCATCAATTTTGAAGCATTATTTGTAGAGTCACAATTTTAGCCCCTTTATCTGTGATGCATATTGCACATATTTGCTTCCAGTTTCTCAGTTGTTTTTTGGTGTTGATTATGATGAGGCTTTTTGCCATGGAATTTTAAAATGTAGTCAAGTTTATCCATTTTTTTCTTTTATTGCTTCTAGATTTTGAGTCATGATTAAAGAGCCTTTCCCTACACCAAGGGTAAAAGGGAATTTGTTCACATTTTCTTTTTTTTTTTTTTTCTTTTTTTGAGACAGGATCTCACTCTGGCTCGAGTGCAGTGGCGTGATCTCAGTTCACTGCAACCTCCACCCCCCAGGCTCAAATTGAGAGGTGACAGCGTGCTGGCAGTGCTCATAGCCCTCACTTGCTTTCGGCGCCTCCTCTGCCTGGGCTCCCACTTTGGTGGCACTTGAGGAGCCCTTCGGCCTGCCGCTGCACTGTGGGAGCCCCTTTCTGGGCTGGCCAAGGCTGGAGCCAACTCCCTCAGCTTGCAGGGAGGTGTGGAGGGGGAGGCGCGAGCAGGAACCGGGGCTGCGTGAGGCGCTTGCGGGCCAGCTGGAGTTCCGGGTGGGCGTGGGCTTGGCGGGCCCTGCACTCGGAGCATCTGGCCAGCCCTGCTGGCTCCGGGCAATGAGGGACTTAGGACCCGGGCCAGTGGCTGTGGAGGGTGTACTGAGTCCCCCACCAGTGCCAGCCGACCGGCGCTGTGCTCGATTTCTCACCGAGCCTTAGCTGCCTTCCCGCGGGGCAGGGCTTGGGACCTGCAGCCCGCCATGCCTGAGCCTCCCACCCACTCCAAGGGCTCCTGTGTGGCCCGAGCCTCCCCGACAAGCACCACCCCCTGCTCCATGGCGCCCAGTCCCATCGACCACCCAAGGGCTGAGGAATGCGAGCGCACGGCGTGGGACTGGCAGGCAGCTCCACCTGCAGCCCTGGTGCGGGATCCACTAGGTGAAGCCAGCTGGGCTCCTGAGTCTGGTGGGGACGTGGAAAGTCTTTATATCTAGCTCAGGGATTGTAAACACACCAATCAGCACCCTGTGTCTAGCTCAAGGTTTGTGAGTGCACCAATCGACACTCTGTATCTAGCTGCTCTGGTGGGGCCTTGGAGAACCTTTATGTCTAGCTCAGGGATTGTAAATACACCAGTCAGCACCCTGTGTTTAGCTCAAGGTTTGTGAGTGCACCAATCGACACTCTGTAGCTAGCTGCTCTGGTGGGGATGTGGAGAACCTTTATGTCTAGCTCAGGGATTGTAAATACACCAATGGGCACTCTGTATCTAGCTCAAGGTTTGTAAACACACCAATCAGCACCCTGTGTTTAGCTCAAGGTTTATGAGTGCACCAATCGACACTCTGTATCTAGCTGCTCTGGTGGGGCCTTGGAGAACCTGTGTTTCCAAACTCTGTATCTAACTAATCTGATGGGGATGTGGAGAACCTTTGTATCTAGCTCAGGGATTGTAAACGCACCAATCAGTGCCCTGACAAAACAGGCCACTGGGCTCTACCAATCAGCAGGATGTGGGTGGGGCCAGATAAGAGAATAAAAGCAGGCTGCCTGAGCCAGCAGTGGCAACCTACTCCAGTCCCCTTTCACACTGTGGAAGCTTTGTTTTCTTGCTCTTTGCAATAAATCTTGCTACTGTTCACTCTTTGGGTCCACGCTGCTTTTATGAGCTGTAACACTCCCCGTGGAGATCTGCAGCTTCACTCCTGAGCCCAGCAAGACCACAAGCCTACTGGGAGGAATGAACAACTCCAGACGTGCTACCTTAAGAGCTGTAACACTCACTGTGAAGGTCTGCAGCTTCACTCCAGAGCCAGCGAGACCACAAACCCACCAGAAGGAAGAAACTCCAAACACATCTGAACATCAGAAGGGACAGACTCCAAACACGCCACCTTAAGAGCTGTAACACTCACTGCGAGGGTCTGCGGCTTCATTGTTGGAGTCAGGGAGACCAAAAACCCACCAATTCCGGACACAAAATGATCTTCTCACCTCAGCCTCCCAAGTAGCTGGTACCCAGGTGTGTGCCACTCAGAGGTGACAGCATGCTGGCAGTCCTCACAGCCCTCATTCGCTCTTGGTGCCTCCTCTGCCTGGGCTCCCACTGTGGCGGCACTTGAGGAGCCCTTGAGCCCACCACTGCCCTGTGGGATCCCCTTTCTGGGCTGGCCAAGGCCAGAGCCGGCTCCCCAACGTGGAAGGAGGTGTGGAGGGAGAGGCACCAGTGGGAACCGGGGCTGCACGCAGCGTTTGCAGGCCAGCTGGAGTTCCGGGTGGGCGTGGGCTTGGCGGGCCCCGCACTCGGAGCAGACGGCTGGCCCGGCCGGCCCCGGGCAATGAGGGGCTTAGCACCTGGGCCAGCGGCTGGGGAGGGTGTACTGGGGCCCCCAGCAGTGCCAGCCCACTGGCGCTGCGCTCAATTTCTCACCAGGGCTGAGCTGCCTTCCCGTGGGGCAGGGCTTGGGACCTGCAGCCCGCCGTGCCTGAGCCTCCCACCCCCTCCGTGGGCTCCTGTGCAGCCCGAGCCTCCCCGATGAGTGCTGTCCCCTGCTCTACTGCGGCCAGTCCCATTGACCACCCAAGGGCTGAGGAGTGCGGGCGCATGGCGCAGGACTGGCATGCAGCTGCACCTGCAGTCCCGGTGCAGAATCCAGTGGGTGAAGCCAGCTGGGTTTCTGAGTCTGGTGGGGACGTGGAGAACCTTTATGTCTAGCTAAGAAATTGTAAATACACCAATCGGCACTCTGTATCCAGCTTAAGGTTTGTAAACACACCAATCAGCACCCTGTGTCTAGCTCAGGGTTTGTGACTGCACCCATCAACACTCTGTATCTAGCTACTCTGGTGGGGCCTTGGAGAACCTTTATGTCTAGCTCAAGGTTTGTAAACACACCAATCAGCACCCTGTGTCTAGCTCAGGGTTTGTGAATGCACCAATCGACACTCTGTATCTAGCTACTCTGGTGGGGACTTGGAGAATCTCTGTGTCCACACTTTGTATCTAGCTAATCTGGTGGGGACGTGGAGAACCTTTGTGTCTAGCTCAGGGATTGTAAACGCACCAATCAGTGCCCTGTCAAAACAGACCACTCGGCTCTACCAATCAGCAGGATGTGGGTGGGGCAGATAAGAGAATAAAAGCAGGCTGCCCGAGCCAGCAGTGGCAACCCGCTCGGGTCCCCTTCCACACTGTGGAAGCTTTGTTCTTTCGCTCTTTGCGATAAATCCTGCTGCTGCTCACTCTTTTGGTCCACACTGCCTTTATGAGCTGTAACACTCACCACGAAGGTCTGCAGCTTCACTCCTGCCTGAGCCAGCAAGACCACGAACCCACCAGAAGGAAGAAACTCCGAACACATCCGAACATCAGAAGGAACAAACTCCAGACGCGCCACCTTAAGAGCTGTAATAGTCACCGCGAGGGTCCGCGGCTTCGTTCTTGAAGTCAGTGAGACCAAGAACCCACCAATTCCGGACACACCACCACTCCCGGCTATTTTTGTGTGTGGGTATTTTTAGTAGAGGCAGGGTTTTGCCATGCTGCCCAGGTTGGTCTTGAACTCCTGACTCAAGCAATCCACCCATGTCAGCCTCCCAAAGTGTTGGGATTACAGGAGTGAGCCACTGCGCCCAGCCTCTTTTAATATCTGTATAGTTTCATGTATTACACTTGGATCCTTGATCCATTTAGAGTTAATTCCTGTGTGTGGTGTACAGATTGGACCTCATTTTATATTTTTCCAGATAACTAGTCAGTATACCCAGCACCTTTTACAAATCTTTGTCCCAGTAACATATATTTATTCTTTAAAAATTCTGGTGATAAATACAAGTTTAAGGAAGAAAAAAATCACAAACAAATCCTACCCAGAGATAACCGCAAATTATGTTTTGGTAGACTGCTCTGGTTTAAATATTTGACCCCTCTGAAACTCATGTTGAAACGTACTCCCCAATGTAACAGTATTAAGAGGTGAGGCTTTTAAGAGGTTATTGGGTCATGAGGGCTGTGCCCTCATTAATGGATTAATCCATTCATGGATTCATGGGTAATCATGGGACTGGGTCTGTTATAAAAGCCAGTTTGGCAAGTTCTTGTCCTCTCACCATGTGATGCCCTCTGCCATATTATGATGCTGTAAGAAGTCCCTTACCAGAAGTGGTCCCTCAACCTTGGACAACCAGCCTCCAGAACTGTAAGAAATAAATTTCTTTTCTTTGTAAATTACCCAGTCTCGGGTACTCAGTTATAGCAACAGGAAACAGATTAAGACAATGACCATACTTCCCTACCTTTCCCTATTCATACGCGTGCGTGCACACACACACACACTTTTACAAAGATGGGATCTCATACATGCTGTTTTTATCACGGGCATGTTTATTCACACTTTTTTTTTTTTGCCCCATCCCTAAACATAATTAACAGCCTGTTATGTGACTTTTAGCACCTTTAGTCATGTCCAGTTATTCATATACAAACCTATTCATACATGCATAGGCTGTTCTTGTTGTTTGCTTTACAAATAACAAAACGGGTTCATACTGTATATGCTTCTCAGCATTGTATCCTTGCTGCTTAATGAAACTTTGAGGAATTCCTCTAAGTCTGCTGGTATAGACTTAATTCCTCCTTTTTTGTTTTTGTTGTTGTTTTTTAGAGACAGGATCTTGCTCTGTTGAACAGGCTGGAGTGCAGTAGTGCAATCATAGCCTACTGTAGCTTTGAAGTCCTGGGTTCAAGCAATTCTCCTATTTCAGCCTCCTAAGTAGCTGGGACTAAAGGTGTATGCCACCACACCTAGATAATTTTTTTTTACTTTTTATTTGTAGAGATGGGGTCTTACTGTATTGCCCAGACTGGTCTTGAACTCCTGGCCTTAAGAGATCCTCCCACCTCGGCCTCCCAAAGTACTGGGATTATAGGCATGAGCCCATACCCAGCCCTAATTCTTCCTTTTTTAATGGCTAATAGTCAATATTATTGATGTATTATTAAATACTGATGGGCATTAACTGTTTTCCTTTGCCACTGCAAACTGAGCTATCACTAACATCCTTGTACACATATCCTTTTATAGTAGTGTTCTCATTTCTGTGGTACTTTTCAACTTAAACTCGTCTATATTGTGAATTTTTATCATGAGCAACTATTAATTTTATTTTAAAAAGCAAAATCTATCACTGTATAGAGCTTGAGTTTACAATCAGATGCATCTGAATTCAAATCCTCTAAAACTCAGACACTGCTGGTGGGAGTGTGAAATAATGCATCCACTTTGGAAAACCATTTGGCATGATTTACTAAACTTGAGCATACATATACACTGTGAGCCAGCAAATTTACTTCTAAGCATATCCAACACAAATACATGCACATGTATAACTCAGAGAAGTGTCCAAAGATATTCTTATCACTTCTATTTGTAATAGCTCAGAACAGAATATTCCAAATGTCTGACAATAGTAAAAATCAATAGATTGTAGTATATTCTGACAATATAATGCTGCATAGCACCTTTTCTCAAAAATGTGATCTGTGGATCTCTGAGGAGTCCCCAAAACCTTTACAAGGGGTCCTCAAGGTCAAAATCATTTTCATAACACTAAAAGGATATTTGCCTTCTTCATTGCATTGACACATTGACATTTGTACTGATGGTGCAAAAGCAAAGATATATATATTGCCAGCACCTCAGCACAAATCAAGGCAGTGGTACCAACTGTACTGGTATTCATGGCATTCTTCACCCTACACACTCAGTAAACAAAGTCCTTGATGAAGAAGTAAAAATCAATTCTATCAAATCTAATCATTGGGTACATTGTCCATATGATGAGCTAGGAAGCATGCATAAGGCACATCTGTTACACACCAATGTATAATGGTTGTCTTGAGGAAAAGTACTTGTTAGAGTTGTGAGCTGAACTAGACAATTTTGTCATGGAACCCTATTTTTACTTGAAAGAATGGCTAACAGACGAACTACAGTTATTCAGATTTAGGCTTTTGGCAGACATTTCCTGGAAAATGAACAAAGTGAGTCTGTCACTTAACTAGCAGTATATGCTACCAATGATAATATTGGAGCTTTCTCCAGGCACAGTTCCTCACGCCTGTAATCCCAGCACTTCGGGAGGCTGATGTGGGAGGATTGCTTGAGCCCAGGAGTTCAAGACCAGCCCCAGTAATGCGGTGAGAGCCCATCTCTAAAAAATACATAAATGAATAAAATATATGGGAGCTTTCAAGTAAAAAAGAGAATTTTAGAAAATCTGTATGAGCTTGACAGCGTCCCCATGCTTAAAGACTGTCCTGATGAGGTCTGTGGTAATAGTAACAAATGTGATTTTTTAAATAATATATGGCAAAATCTGTTAATATTTGGAAGGTCTGCCTGCATACCTCAGTAAAACAATATTTTCCAAAAGCATATTGTTACAAAATTAAGCATGGGTAAAAGATTAATTCAAAGTACGAGATAAATTAATGGATTTTTAAAGCAACTATATTAAGGAATAATTGACATACAATAAACTGCACATATTTAAAGTGTATGATTTGATAAGTTTTGATAGACGTGGATACCCGTGAAACCAGCATCATAACAAAGATGATGAGCATACCTAAAAACCCAAAAATTAGTTCATGCTCCTTTGTATTCTCTCACTTGCACACTTCTTTCTCTTCTCCAAACCATCCCCAGGCAAACCCTGGTCTGTTTCCTGTCCCAATAGATTATTTGCATTTTCTACAATTTTATAACAATGGAATCATATAGGCCAGGTGCGGTGGCTCACGCCTGTAATCCCAGCACTTTGGGAGGCCGAGGCGGGCGGATCACGAGGTCAGGAGATTGAGACCATCCTGGCTAGCACAGTGAAACCCTGTCTCTACTAAAAAATACAAAAAATTAGCCAGGCATGGTGGCAGGCGCCTGTGGTCCCAGCTGCTCAGGAGGCTGAGGCAGGAGAATGGCCTGAACCCAGGAGGCAGAGCTTGCAGTGAGCTGACATCACACCACTGCACTCCAGCCTGAGCAACACAGTGAGACGCTGTCTCAAAAAAAAAAATGGAATCATATAGTATGTGCTCTTTTTGTCTAGCTTCTTTTACTCAGTATAATCATTTTAAGATTTATCCACATTGTTGCATGTAGTATTTCACTGCATGGATACACCACAATTTATGCATTCACCTACTGATGGGTATTTGGTTTGTTTCTAGTTGTTGGCTATTATAAATAAAGATGCCTTGAACATTCATGTACAAGTCTCTGAATGTACATAGGCTTTCATTTCTCTTCAGTAAATACCTAAGAGTAGAATGGCTGTGTCATATGGCAGGTGTATGTTTAACATTTTTAGAAACTGCCAAAATGATTTCCAAATGGGTTGTGCCATTTTGCAGTCCCACCAGCAGTGAATGAGAGTTCCAGTTGCTCCACATCCTCATCAACACTTGGTATGGTCAGTTAAATTACTTGGAAACAGTTTGATTCTTCTGGGTTTGCTTTTGTGGTTGGTTAGGTGGGTCTGCAACAGCACTTAGTCTTGGCTAGTTATTTCCCATTACTTAGGCAAGACCTCCTGACTACTCAATGTCCCATGAATTATGAGTTTCTCCAGTCTGCCTGGAGGGAAGAAGCACTATTTCTGGCCCTATGTGAGCACAAGGCACAGTTCCCTCTAATCATGTCAGATGGTTATTTGCCACCCTTGAGTAGTTTTCTCACACATACATGCTGATCAGTACTCTGCTGAATACTCTAGGTCTTTCTTAGAGTAGCTCTTTCCTCTCTGGTGTTCTGTCCTATGAGCTCTCCTTTCTTGGTCTCCCTTGACCTTCAGTTCTGTCTCCTTAATTCAAGGAGGTCCACCAGGCTCTACTTCAGTACCCTTCCCTATGTCACTTTCTGAAATTTTCTCAAGGAAACAGACTAAGGTTATCATAGGGCTCCCCTTGTTTGTTCCCATCTCTCTGGGATTACTGTCCTTCATTGCCTAACGTTCAATGTCTTAAAACCCATTGTTTCATGCAGGAGGGTATACCTGGGTTCTGTTACTCTATCTTGGCCATGAAACCTAAGTCTCCCATTCTTTTTTCAGTCCAGGAAACTGAGGCCCAGAACAACAAATTGGCTTGCCCAAGTTTTTACCAGTTAATGAAGAAGCCACAGCTAGAAACCAACACCTCCTGACCTCTAATCTGAAGTCGAGACAGGGCTTTTTCTTATCTTTCCAGCTTCAGAGATGGCTTGACAACAGAAGGTTAATTAATCAGCCACAGACAAAGTAAATATGCATGACCTATGGTCTCTGAAAGGTACAGACTAGCCTGCCCACCCATCCTTGATCAATCAGCAAATATTTATTGTGCACCAACGTGGAATGCCCCATATGAGACATTGCTGGGGACAGAAAATGATGCGCCACTATCTCTGTGGACAAGGGCTCAAGTCTAGATGGGAGAAAGCCTGCATGTGAAACATGTCCATCTTTACATTCTCATATACTGTGTCACTCAACTCCCCAGCCAAAAGAATCAAGAGGCATCACAATTTGTGGGCTTTTCTCAGGAAAGGCTTCCCAGAGAAGGGAGGACTTGGAATCAGAATATGTGATATGCCCTTACTGAGGAGGATGGTAAAGGCAGGACATTATCTCCCTATGGCTCTTGTTAAAAATATACTCATAACTTCAGAGGGTCTTTGGCTATGTGAAAAGCCTAAGCTTTGGGATAAGGGAAGAAGGTGATATTGTCCTTAACCAGAGGGCAGACTAAGGGATTTGATGGAAATCCTGTGGTGAGGAAGACGCCTCATGGGCCGCCCCCGTCTCCTACTGCAGTGCTATGACCAGGGCTGCCTCTACGCTTTCTTAGCAAAAACAAATACTCCCAAGTAGATTTTTTAAAATGTGAGAACAGACTATTCCTGCATTCTTTATCTTTTTCCTGTCTCTTTCCATCCATTCTTGCTTCATAACTTTTAACAGGACCATTGCTCTTCACTTTAGAGGAGATAACATGTTACTATGTGTGTGTGTATATATATATATATATATATATATATATATATATATATGCAAGTGTCTTACCAGGTCACGAAGAGCTGAGCTGTCCACTTGAAGCTGCAGGACAAACACTACAGACCTCAGGCATTTTAATAATTCAGTGAGCATGTATTGAGCACCTACTATATGCCTGGAATTATGTTTGGGGCTGGGTACTCACAGGTGTCTAAGACTCGTGGCTTGCTTTATCTAGTTCTTGGTCTAGAGGGGAAGACAGACACTTGGACAATAATGACACGAGTCAAATTCTGAAATAGGAGTAAGCACAAAGTGCTCTGGGAACATAGAAGAGAATGATGAGCTAAGATGCCAAGGCGAGGAAGTAGGTCAGTGTCTGGGCAGGTGGGCGGGTGTGTGGGAGCAGGCATTTCGACTGGGTCCTGAAGAATCATCAGGAATTTAACTGACAGTAAAGGAGAGACAAAGAAGGGAGGTTATTGCAGGTAAAGGAAATAGCATGAATAGTGGCAGAAATGTGTGTGTGTGTGTGTGTGTGTGCCTGCCTATCTGGGGAATGAAATGGCTGGACCATGGGACAGAGTAGCAGATGGGTCTAGAAACAGATTGAAGCCATAAATAACACACTAAAGGGTTTGCCATGCACCCTGAAAAGTAGGTCTTCTGCCTCCCAAACAAGCATATTATTTTCTGCCACCACTCCCTTCCCTACTTGCCTTGTCTGTGCCCTCCCATTATCGTCATTTCCCACCCAAAGTGATCAACTTTTTTTTTTTATCACATCATGCATTTACACATTTACCAAATTGATTGGGTCCCTTCCATGTACCAATGTCATGTCTCCTTGGAACACTCATTCGGACCTGCTGCTTGTTGAAGTATGAAACCCAGAGACTGTGGAACTATGCATGGTCTCCATCGTAGTGCCTCCTGCTGCCATCATTCCTGTGCTCTTCTGGGGTTTGGCTAAGACCTCTGGAAGTCAGCCACTGCATACACTGTGAGTATTCTAACATATTTGCCAGGACTCTAGTTTATACTCAATGCCATATTTCTCACTAATCTTTTTCTTTTGGAAAATATAATTATATTCACTAAAATATGTTATTTATTTATGTTAACATGTAATGGGTTATTTAATTAATAAATATTTTTAAATTTTTCCCAGGCTGGAGTGCAGTGGCGCGATCTCGGCTCACTGCAACCTCCACCTTCCAGGTTCAAGCGATTCTCCTGCCTCAGCCTCCTGAGTAGCTGGGATTACAGATGCTCACCATGATGCCTGGCTAATTTTTATATTTTTAGTAGAGACGGGGTTTCACCATGTTGGCCAGGCTGGTTTCGAACTCCTGACCTCAGGTGATCTGCCCGCCTCAACCTCCCAAAGTGCTGGGATTATAGGCGTGAGCCACCATGCCCAGCCTAATTTCTAATACAGTAAATATCAATGGCTATAACCCATATAAGCAAAATCTATTTGGTTCCTCAATAATTTGCATACATTTAAAGGGATCCTGAGACCAAAAAGTTTGAGAACTGCTGTGTAATTCTCAATAAAAATAAATAAAAATGAGCAACTACTGCTACTCACAACATTTCTAAATTTCACAAACATAGAGCAAAAGAAGCCAGACACAAAAGCATATATACTATTACATCCCACTTATATAAAGTTCAAAACCAGGAAAAACTAATTTATGATGTTAGAAATCAGGATGTTGGTTACATTGGGGTAAGAAAGAGGGGTAGTAATTTAGAAAGGAAGCATGACGCTTCTGGGATGCTGCCAATGTTCTATTCCTTGGCCTGAGTGCTAATTTAAAAAGTGTGCTCAATTTGTGAAAATTCATTGGTGTTAAGAGCACTTTTCTGTATGTGTCATTTGCTTTGTTTTTTAAACATTGAAAAAATATGACTCTGTAAATCTTAGCTCTGCCATTTTCTAGCCATGAGTTGGAAAAATTACTTGACTGTGTATCATTTATTCAACAAATATTTCAACATTTCTTGAAGATCTATCTACTGCTGGGTACTGTGTTATACATTACAGATAGCCGCAGTATGTAATGCACAGTCCCAGGTTTATCTAGTGCAGTGCGAGAGACAATTATCTTAGCCCACTTTGTGTTGCTATAAAGGAATACCTGAGGCTGGGTAATTTGTTTTAAAAATTTGGCTCACGGTTCTGCAGACAGTACAAGAAGCATGGCCATAGCATCTACTTAGCTTCTGGTGAGGTCCTCAGGCTGCTTCCACTCATGGTGGAAGGCGAAGGGAAGCTAGAGTGTGCAGATATTCCATGGCAAGAGAGGAAGCAAGAGAGAGTCAGGGGAGGTGTCAGGCTCTTTTTAACAACTAGTTCTCAGGTAACTAAGCAAGAACTCACTCACCCACCCCAGGGAAGGCATTAATCTATTCCTGAGAGACCCACTCCCATGACCTAAATTTCTCCCATTAGGCTGCACCTCCCAACACCATCAAACTGGGGACTGAATTTCAACATGAGCTTTGATGGGGACACATATTCAAACCATAGCAACAACCATTAAAAGTATCATCACGGCCGGGCGCAGCGGCTCACTCCTGTAACCCCAGCACTTTGGGAGGCCGAGGCAAGCGGATCACCTGAAGTCGGGAGTTCGAGACCAGCCTGACCAACATGGAGAAACCCCGTCTCTCCTAAATATACAAAATTAGCCAGGCGTGGTGGAACATGCCTGTAATCCCAGCTACTCAGGAGGCTGAGGCCGGAGAATCGTTTGAACTCAGGAGGCAGAGGTTGCAGTGAGCTGAGATCGCACCATTGCACCCCAGCCTGGGCAACAAGAGCGAAACTCCGTCTCAGAAAAAAAAAAAATCATCACGGGGGTGTTAATTTTTACAAAAAGAGAGGTACAGCATGTTGTAGAGTGTATAACAATGGACTTAACCTTACCCAGTGAGTCCAAAATGAAGAGATGACACTTAGCTGAACTGTGAAAGACAAGTAGGACTAGTCCACCAATGGAATGGTAAGAGTTACTTGGCATCTCCATTTGGCTGCCTAACAGGCATCTCAACTTATCATGGTCACACTGAACTCTTGATCTTCCCCCTCTCCGCCCTCTCCACTTGGCCCACCTTCTCCTCCTGAGGTGTTCACCATCTCAGGAATAGCAACTTCATCCTATTCATTCCTCAGGCCAAAACCTTCAGAATCATCCTTAATGTCTCCCTTTCTGTCACACCCCATATGCAGTGCCAGCTTTACCTGAAGCTAATGAAGTTTTAGCCTCAGGAACCCTCATATTCCAAGGCCCTGGAAAGGCCCCTAGGAATGTGTTCACATTGTCATATATTTTTGTAAAATTTGCGACAGTAAGATATTCTTACTGCAGTCAGTTAAGACCACTGTATCTTTCCATTCCAAATTTCCTTCCATCATGTTTCCCCTTGTATTAGGTGCTGTTGGAGTGACCAAGAACATTTTTGGGATCCTGCTTAGGTGAAGTTGAGTTAGGGATACATTTAGCTGGGCTTTGGCAAGATACATTTATGTGGTTTGCAGTCACTTCCTTGTGTACTGCATACTGCTGTCCCAATAAAAGGCTGGCTTCCTGGAACACCCCTTACAGCCCATGTGCTGACTCACCTGGTATAGTGACAGAACAGTAGAGAACCAGAAGTCATAAAGTCATATTGTGATATGAATCTGTCCTATGGTACTTGACACTGGAAGCATAGAGGTAGTAGAGGTGACACAAGGTTTGAAATGTACACAGCCAGAAGCTAGACTGTGGGAAATCCTTCTAAAACATAGACTTGTATGCAGAAGATTTGGCTCTTACTGATGCCTAGATTAAAATGGGATTTCTCATGCCAAGGCAGGCGGATCACTTGAGCTCAGGTGTTCGAGACCAGCTTGAGCAACATGGCAAAACCCCGTCTCTACAAAAAAATATAAAAATTAGCCAGGCTTGGTGGCGTGAACCTGTATTGTAGTCCCAACTGGTTGAGAGGCTGAGGTGGGAGGATCGCTTGAGCCTGGGAGGTCGAGGCTGCAGTGAGCTGTGATTGTGCCACTGCACTCCAGCCTGGGCAACAGAGCAAGACCCTGTCTCCAAAAAAGGGATTTATTAACTGTTAAGAATATACTGGACAATGCAGCATACACAATTATAAGTGCAGCATACTCTGTTTTTTTTTTTTTTTTTGATGGGAGTATCATTAAATAGAATTGTTCATAGGACACAGACCTGTAGCAGTACTACAAGCAATGAGTATGTGTGTGAAGTCACGGGTTTTATGAATCCCAGCATATCAAATCACGCATTAGATAGAGTATCTGACTCATCTTTTCCTGACAAAGTCTACCTGATTGGCATAATTTTTCTCATTTTATATACATACTCACATTTGTACTTTATTTTGTATGTTTTTTAAACAAGGCCCCACAAACTAGGTAAGTTTCAGATCCTATGTATAGGATATGGCCCTGCTCACACTTTATATCTAACCAGCAAGTCCAGATGGCTATACTGTCAAAATATGTCCATAATCCAACCCCTTCTCACCACCTCGAATGCTACTACTCTGGCCCAAGCCACCATCATCTCTCACTTGGGTCACTGTAATATCCTCCTGAACAGTCTTCCCACTTCCTCTTCCCCCACCCACATCTTCTCTTGAGTCTATTCTCAACATTGCATAGAGGGATGTTGGAATAAATTTAATTAGATTATATGACTATTCTGCTCAAACCCCTCCAATAGCTTCACAATTCACTCGGAGAAAAAAGCCAAACTCCATAAAGTGGCCTCCCAGCCCCTTCACAGTCTAGGCTCCAGCTGTCTCTTCAGTACCATCTCTTACTGTGCTTGTCCTTGCTTACTCCACTTCAGCCATACCATCTTCTTTGCCATTCCTCCAACACAGCATGCAAGAGTCCCCCTCACAAGTTTGCAATGACGACTTCCTCTCCCTAGAATGTTTTTCCCTCAGATATCCACATGGCTTGTTCTCTCACCTTCTTCAAGTCTTTGCTTAACTATCACCCTCTCAAGGAGGCTTACGTTGACCTTGCCATTGAAAATTTCACCAACCCACCCTCTTCTGTACTGTAGATCCTGCTTACCTTGCTCTCTACCTTTTCTTTTTTCCATAGTACTTATCACCTTCTAAAATACCATGCGGTTTACTTAATTATTGCCTTCATTAATTTTTCTCTCTCTCCTCTGGCTAGAATGCAAGCTCCACAAGCATAAGAATCTTTATTTTGTTCAGTGCTATATCCCCAATACTTAGAACAGTGCCCAGCACCTGGTAGGCACTCAATAAATATTTGTTGAGTGAATAAATAGATGAATAAAGAGTTGTCCAGAAAGAGGGAAGAGCATGTGCAAAGATCCAGGGATGAGTGTTTGACTTATTCAAGAAACTTAAAGAATCCTCAAGTAGAAAGATCAAAAATGAGAGTGGCTCAAGCTGAGTCTGGCAAGACAGGCAGAAACAAGAGGATGAAGGGCTCTGTAGACCGGAATAAAGATACTGAACTTTAGAGCAAAGAAAATCCATCAAGGAGTTATAAACAAGGGAGTGGTGTGATCGTAGTTTGGAGAGGTCATTGGCAGTTGTGTAGGAAACAGATTGGGGGTGGGCGGACTGGAGGCAAAGAGACCAGTTAGGAGGCTAGAAGAGTAGTCCAGGCAAGAGTATACAATGTCAGACCAGTTTGGGTGGGGACAGTGGATATGGAGAGAAATTGAAAAATAATAAAAGTATTAAGGAAGTGAAATAAAAAAGCTCTGAATATGAACCAAAGGAAGAAGGGGTTTTGATAAGAAAGGGATGATAATCTGTGCTAACTGCTGCTGTAAGGTTAAGAGAATAAAGACTGAAAATTGTCTATTGGGATTTAGTGACAGGGAAATAATTGGTGATCTTGTCAAGAGCATTTGCCACAAAATGGAGATGGTGAAAGTCAATCTGGAGTGTAATGCCAAGTGAGTGAGATCTGAGGACATGGAGGCCACTCCTAATATCTGCAAAGCACCTGACACCTAGTAGGCTCTCAGTAGGTGCCACTTTCCTCTCTCCCTTCTCTGTATTATGATGTTGCAGAACTGTGACAGTATTGCTAATTAAACAAACTCCAAGTAAAGAAAACATGTTAACATATTAAAATAATACCATATGTAGTTAAATATTTACTATTTCTTTGGCATCAAATTTCTTAAGGTAAAATATTAAATTCAAATATTACTGAGGGAAACAGCTGGTACTGAATATTCAAGCTCCCAGAGGACCACGTTAATGAATCATTTAAAAAACTGGACAGCTTCACATTTAATCTGTTCAAGGAATAGAAACACAGTCTTTTCTCAATTATTGTCTTATGAGATGAATATAAATTTCTGATTAGTCTGTTCCCAAAATGGAAATGGCCTTTTGACATTATAGTAATAAATGTTTATTATAAAAAATTCAGGCATTAACTTAGTATATAAAGAAGAAACAGGGTACAGAGTTTCAATGTTGCAAGACAAGAACTGTTCTGTGGGATGCATGGAGGTGATGGCTATACTACAGTGTGAATATACTTGATGCCAGCAAACTGTACATTTACAAATTGTTAAAATGATAAATTTTATGCTATGTATATTTTACCACACTTTAAAAAAAAAGTACCTTTTTTAAAAAAGAAGAAAAGGGGCCGGGCACAGTGGCTCACGCCTGTAATCCCAGCACTTTGGGAGGCCGAGGTGGGTGGATCACTTGAGGTCAGGAGCTCGAGACCAGCCTGGGTAACATGGTGAAACCCCATCTCTGCTAAAAATACAAAATTAGCTCAGCGTGGTGGCACACGCCTGTAATCCCAGCTACTCGTGAGGCACGAGAATTGTTTGAACCTGGGAAGCGGAGGTTGCAGTGAGCCGAGATTGCGCCATTGCACTCCAACCTGGGTGACAAGGGCTAAACTCTCAAAAAAAAGGAGAAGGAGAAGGAGAAGAAGACCCTCTAATCCCATTGCTTAAATGGGCATATAGGATTTGTCCTTCCTTCATTCATTCAGCAGATATTTATTGGATGCCTGCTATGTGCCAAGCACATGTCTAGATGCTCTGGATACATTAGTGAACAGAATAATGTCCTCTCCCTTGCGGAACTTACTTTTAATGGGGGACAAAGAAAATATATAAATATACAGGGAAGTATGTATTATATCAGATGTGATAAGTGATATAGAGAAAAATAAGGCAGAGAAGGGAGATAATGAATGATGGGGAGGCTGTAATTTTATATTAGGAAGGTCTCACTGATAAGGTGACATTTGAGCAGAGACCTGAAAGAACTGAGGGGGTAAGTCATGCAGATATCTGAAAGAAGAGCGTTCCAGGTAGGGGGAATAGCCAATGCCAATGCTCCAAGATAGAAGTATGTTTACTCCATTCCAAGGAGACTAGAATGGAGCAGGTTAAGAGAGAGGAGCAGGAAAGGAAGTCAGAGAGATTTGTGGGAGCACAGGTCACATAGGTCTCTGAAGGGCACAAAAAAAGGACTTTGGATTTTACTCTGAGTGACGATGGAAACCACTGGAGAGTTTTGAGTAGAGGAGGAACCAGATAGGACTTGGCTTTAAAATAATCGCTCTGGCTATTCTGTTCACATTAGACTACAAGAGGACAAGGGAAGAAGCAAGAAGAAAAATTAGGAGGCTATTGCAATAATCCAGGCAGAAAATGAGGGTGGCTGAGACCAGAGTGGTGGGAGTGAAGATGGTGAGAAGTACTCAGATTCTGTACAGATATTGAAGGTAGAGCCAACAGTATTTGCTAAAAGACTGCATATAAGGAGGATAGATCTAGGCTTGTGTGGCCTAACATACAATTTGGGGGGTTCTCTCTTAAGAAGAACAATACAAAATTAGGTACAAAAGTGAATATTTCTTTAAACTGAGAAAAGAAATCACAATATATTACAAATTTATAAAAGCTTACAAATACTACAAACATCAGAAAATCTAGAAAAATAATTTAATATTAACTTCCTGACACACTCCCTATAACTTTCTCATATTGTAGGTTGCATACCATTTGTTTCCCTGCCCATATGATGATTTTATAACATTTTCTATAAAAAGAATAGAAAGATAACTTTGTTTTTCCTTTAACATGATTAACCAAAATTTGTATTTTATTGATACTTCTATTTTGTTTTAATAAAGTTTTTAATTGCCATTGTAATAATAATAAGACAAGTTTTGACAAGCTAGTCTTCTTTCTTTCAGTTTACATATTTGGCTTTCTTCCTTCCTATCATATTTAAATTTAGGTTCATCAAAAATCTGAAGAACAATACAAAATTCATCTGAAAATAAGGCATTTATAAGAACAATTGCAGTGTATTGAAAAATGGACACTGCATTGTATTGAGTTATGTAATTATATAATCAAATCACTTTTAATACTGCATACATTGAGTTACTGATTAATATGTTTAGGCTTTTTGTGATTGGAACACTTGTTTCTTCAGGTTATTTTCCTGTGTTCGTGACAATTGCATATGCCATTTCATCTGAAACTGCCAGTCTTCATCAGAACAAGATGAGTCAGATACACTAAAACATGATCCAATATGTTAAAATGCATAAAACATGCAAATTCATACATAGACAAAAATCATGATTTATAATACTGCTACAGGCTTATGCTCTGAAAACAAAGCATTTCTGATAAATTCTATTTCACAAGATTTCCTGGAAAACAGTATGGCAGTTCCTCAGAAAATAGAATTACCATGTGATCCAACAATCTTACTTCTGGATATTTATCCAAAAGAATTAAAATTGGGGTCTCAAAGAGATATTACCTCTCCCATTTTGACTGCAGCATTATTCACAATAGCCAAGATGTGGAAACAACCTAAATGTCCATCAGTAGATGAATGGATAAAAAAAATGTGATATATACATGCAAAGGAATATTAACCAACCTTAAAAAGAAGGAAATCCTGCCATATGTGACAACATGGATGAACCTGTAGGGCATTATGCTAAAGGAAATAAGCCAGGCAGAGAAGCAAAACTACTGCGTGATTCCACTTATATGTGGTATCTAAAATTACCAAACTTGGCTGGGCATGGTGGCTCATACCTGTAGCACTTTGGGAGGCTGAGGCAGGAGGATTGCTTCAGCCTAGGAGTTCAAGACCATCATGGGGGACATAGTGAGACCCCATCTCTACAAAAAAAGAAAAAAAAATCTGAGCATGGTGGCATACACCTGTAGTCCCAGCTACTCAGGAGGCTGAGGCAGGAGGATCCCTTAAGCCCGGGAGTTCGAGGCTACAGTAAGCTAGGACTGCACCATTGCACTCTAGCCTGAGTGACAGAGTGAGACCCTGTCTCTAATAAAATAAAATAGTTAAACTCACAGAAGCAGAGTTGAATGGTGGTTGCCAGGGGCTTATGGGAAAGGGAAGTGGGGAGTTGTTCAACAGGTATGAAGTTTCAGTTCTTCAGGATGAAGATTTTCTAGAGCTCTGCTGCAAAACATTGTCCCTCCAGCTAGCAATACTGTATTGTTTAGTTTAAAATATATTAAGAGGGTAGATCTTATGTTAAGTGTTATTACCACAATAAAAACCATATGTTATGCTTATAGTTACACATGTTGCATTATTGAGTATATTAGTGACAGAAGAAAACTCCCATTCCGACTAGGCGGAACTGACTTCTCCATATATAGTTTTACATGTCCAGTGAATAATTTTCCACAGACTAGTTTCTGGCTCTGTACATTCCAAATCTATTTCTCCTCAGCTACACATATTCCCAATGCTGGGTGCTATAGGAGGCGGTAGTATTTGAGATATGATCTTTGGCCCTGCACCACTAGCCAGCATAGTAAGGTAATTGAGGTGAGAGTATTTCTGGAAGCCACTCCTATGCTGAGATGGTTAACAGTGGTATAGAGGTGACTGCCAGCCATGGAAATATATCTGATCAAATCAAAAATAAATGTAAACCCAATTCAATTTCCCCTCTGCATGATCCCAACAATGTTCACAGCCACCCCAATGCCAATCCCGCCATGAAGGAAGAGTGATACAGGGGAAGTCAGAGTGAAGAGACAGCTGTCTTAACTGATTGTAATTAAAATATTTTACTTTTGCAAATTTTACAAAAGCACATGACTGTGTTACCCCACCGTAAGGAGCCTTGTGTCTCGTAAGGGGCTCCTGCAAGTGAGCGGCTCTGATGCTTAAGCTTCATTAGCTTCACAGTAAATTTGGTACTAGATGTGGAGTGTGTGAGAGAGAGGAGTCAAGGATGATGCCAAGGTTTTTGGTCTGAGCAACTGGGTGAGTGAAGTTGTCATTTCCTGAGATGTAGAAGACTAACAGAAGATAAGTTATGGGGATGAACATCTGAAGATTCAGTTTGGAACAGGAAAAGTAGTTTAAGATGTCTATAACACAGCTAAGCCATGTCAAGTAGGCAGTTGGATGTATGAATCTGGAGTTCAGGAGAGAGGACTTGCTGAAGAAGTAAATTAGGCAGACAGCAGCACATGGGTTATATTTGAAGCCATGAGATTAGATAGGAGCAAGGAGAGTGAGAGAAAATAGGTGGACCAAGACCAAGCCCTTGGGAAATTCTAATGTTGGAGAAGTTGGGGAAAAGAAGAGGGATTAATAAAAGAGACAAAGAAAGGAACCAATGTGGTCAAAAGAAACCAGGACAGCGTGAGGTCCTGGAAGCCAACTGAAAAAGTGTTTCAAAGTCGGAGTGATCAACTATTTCAAGTAATGTTAGGACTGACAGTTGAACATTAGATTTTGCATCAATGGTAATGGAGAAGTTGCCCAGAGGTGGTTGGAGTGAGTCAAAGAGAGTGGACAGAATAAACAACCTACAGAATGGGAGAAAATATTTGCAAACTATATATCCAACAAAGGACTAATATCCAGAATCCACAAGGAACTCAAATCAGCAAGAAAAAGCAAATAATCCCATTAAAAAGTGGGCAAGTGACATAAACAGACACTTCTCAAAAGAAGATACACAAATGTCCCACAGGTATATCAAAAAATGTTCAACATCACTAATCATCAGGGAGATGCAAATTAAAACCACAGTGAGATACCATCTTACCCCAGCCAGAATGGCCATTATTAAAAAGTCAAAAAACAATAGATGTTGGTAAGGATGCAGTGATAAGGGAACACTTTTACACTGCTGGTGGGAATGTGAATTAGTACAACCTCTATGGAAAATAGTATGGAGATTTCTCAAAGAACTAAAAGTAGCTC
Source organism: Homo sapiens (assembly GCF_000001405.40). Lineage (NCBI taxonomy): Eukaryota > Metazoa > Chordata > Mammalia > Primates > Hominidae > Homo > Homo sapiens. The sequence goes on from NC_000023.11 coordinate 119,351,708, forward strand.
TACCATTCGATCCAGCAATCCCACTACTTGGTATCTACCCAACAAAAAACAAGTCATTATATTAAAAAGACACTTGCACACATGTGTTTATCACAGCATTATTCACAATTGCAAAAATGTGGAATCAACCTAAGTGCCCATCAACTGATGAGTGAATAAAGAAAATGTTGTCTAGTCACAATAGCAAAGACATGGAATCCACCTAAATGCCCATCAATGATAGACTGGATAAAGAAAATGTGGTACATATACACCATGGAATACTATGCGGCCATAAAAATGGAATAAGATCATGTCCTCTGCAGGGACATGGATGGAACTGGAGGCCATTATCCTAACACAGGAAAAGAAAACCAAATACCACAAATTCTCACTTATAAGTGGGAGCTAAATGATGAGAACACATGGACACATAGAGGGGAATGGCATACACAGGGGCCTATTGGAGGATGAAGGGTAGGAGGAAGAAGAGGATCAGGAAAAATAACTAATGGGTACTAGGCTTAATATCTGGGTGATGAAATAATTTGCACAATAAACTCCTATAACACAAGTTTATCTGTGTAACAAATTTGCACATGTACCCCTGAACTTAAAATAATTTTTTTAAAAATAAATAAAATGTGGCATATATACACCATGGAGTACAAACTACTCAGCCATCAAAAAAGAACAAAATAATGTCTTTTGCAGCAACTTGGATGAAACTGGAGGCCATTATCCTAAGTGAAGTAACTCAGGAATGGGAAACCAAAAACCACATGTTCTCCCTTATAAGTGGGAGCTAAGCTATGGGTATGCAAAGGCATACAGGGTGGTATAATGGACACTGGAGACTCAGAAAGGGAGGAGGGTGGGAGAGGATAAAGGAGGAAAAAAATTACCTATTAGGTACAATGTACACTATTTGGGTGACAGGTACACTGAAAAACCAAACTTCACTGCTATACAATTCATCCATACAGCCCAAAACCACTTATACCCCCTGTGTTAGATCATTCTTGCATTGCTATAAAGAAATACCTGAGACTGGGTAATTTATAAAGAAAGGAGGTTTAATTTGGCTCATGGTTCTGCAGGCTGTACAGGCATGGCACCAACATCTGCTCAGCTCCTGGTGAGGGCTTCAGGGAGCTTCCAATCATAGGAGAAGGTGAAGAGGAGCCAGCATATCACATGGTGAGAACAAGAGCAAGAGAGAGAGGGTGGAGAGGTGCTAATGTTGGAGACATTTAAACAACCAGATCTTACATAAACTCAGAGCGAGAGCTCACTTATCACCTAGAGGATGGCACCAAAGCCATTCATGAGGCATCCACCCCCATGATCCAACACCTCCCACCAGGACCTATCTCCAACACTGGGGATTATAATTCAAAATGAGATTGGGAAGAGACAAATATCTAAACCATATCAACCCCTAAAACTATTGAAATGAAAGAAAGATAGAAATAATCTAAAGTTAGGTTGTAATTATGGTTGCATAGCTCTATAAATATACTAAAAAGCTTGGAATCATATAGTAAAAACATGAGATAATTATTTTATATAAAATATACCCCAGGTAAAGCCTTTTTAGAAATAAATGTCAAAAAATACCAGAGACAGTGATCATACTTTGTGGCTTGGAACTTGCTTTTCTCAGTAATAGTTCTTGGGATTTTTTTCCTATCAGTGCATATAGATCTACTTCATTAATTTTAAAAATTGTTTAGTGTAAGCGGTACCATAATTATTTACCCAATTCCCTTTGATGGACATTTTGGTAGTTATCTCCTTGGCAATCATAAATAATGCTGCAATTAATATCTTTGAACATATTTTTATGCATGTGCAAAATACAGATCTCTGATCTCTGGAATTGCTAAATAACAAGTATGCACATTTTGAGTTTTGACACATTACCAAATTGCACTCAATTGACTTTTCTCATCAGTAATATTTCAGAATGCCCTTTTGACACACCATTTTAAGCACTAGATACTAATAATCTTTTAATCTTTGCCACCCCGGTAGGTTTGTAAAAATAGCAATATGATTTTAATTTGCATGACTTTGATCACCAGTGAAGCAGAACACATTTTAATCTTTATTTCCATTTATATTTCTTACTTTGTATCACAACTGGGTCCTTTCCAATTTTTTCTATTTAAGCTTGTATCTTTTTATGTTAATCAATTAGTTAGAATCATCTCATATAGGCTGCAAATATTTTTTTCTAAATATATTGTTTGAATTTCAACATTATTTATGGTATTTTAATAGAGTTTTAAAATGTGGTCTATGCTTTCATTCTTTTCTTTTAATGGTTTCTGCCTCCAGCATCACATCTGATTGTTTTTTTTTTTAACAAAAGCCAGAGAAATAGGTTTTCAGATTATTAACCCAAAGCTTAAAGAGAGCACGTTCCCTTTTCATAGCTAATCAGGTATCTGCAATGGAAACAAAATTTCCCCTCCCCATTCCCAACTTTAATCAAAATGTTTTTCTCCTTATGTTACTGACAAAAAAAAAAGCCACTGCCTAATTGAGACTTCTGTGTATTCAATTAATGCTTCTGTGCATTTGGCCTGACAACGTCCAGGGGCTAATGGGACCATGTGCTATCTTTAACAAAGATGAGAGTACAAACATGAGTAAGACAGCCTATTATGGGCTTTCTGGGGCCTTTTAAAAATATTACATTTTCAGCATGTGAATTACACCAAATGGTGGCAACACAGGTTTCTGGGGTTTAATGCATTTCAGTTCATTCCATTTATAAAGCAAAATTGAAATAAAGTAATTCTATTCCAAAATATGTTTTAATCGTGAGTTTTTGAAAGCTCTTTAGGTAAGATGTTTTTGCCTTGCATGATTTAGAAAATTAACTGGGTTTCCACAGTATTTGAATACTGCAAGTTGAACTTACTTTCAATCTAAAAGCAGGCAGAAGAGAATTTTGATGTAAACTGAATTATTCGAGTAATTTTCTTAATGATTAAGAAGTCAACTCAAAAAAACAAATGCTAGCCACTGCCTATAGAATAAAGAGTTATCAATCCTTGTTTTTCCAAAGTAGTCCATATGTTTTAGAGGTAAATTTTGAAGTAAATTTGAAGTAAATGTCCAAAGTAAGAAAAATAAAATCGAACATTCAGACTTCAATTACTGCAAAAAAGATTTACAAAAATCTTTCAGATCACAAGAAATTGTTAAAACAACAGAACCCAAAAACAGAGGAGAAAGGAAAAAGTATGGGTTGTGAGGTTAATTCCAGCAGGTCTAGAATTAGCCCTAGTTGTTTTATTGAAGTTCTGGCATGACACTGACCTCCTATCAAGACACAAAACATACTGGTTAATGGTGTTGTTTTGTAGCCATGAGTCTTCAGATTCATGGTGGTTTGTCCGAGCTTGTCGACATTATGTATTGGTAACAGTGAGACTGATTATTTGTACCTGGTCTCAGTGTGACACCTGTCCCTCCCTCAAAGGGCTCTACTGTTAAGGCTAAAATATGCCTGTGTGACTGTCAAAAAATTGTTTAAAACCCATCTGAGAGTCCATTTTGGACTCCCTGGTTCTGAGGTGTTCTGTGCACATGTCAGTGGTTCCTGGTCCAAGTGATAAAGTGCATCCTGCTGTCACGGCTCTTAGAGAGGAGGACAATAGGATCCTGTACCTGACCACTCCAGACCCCTGGCTGTATCCTTTTCCTGTAGTAAACTATATACTTGAGAGTAATGCCATTTGAGTCCTCTAAGTCTCCTTTAGCAATGGAACCCTGTTCACTTGCCATAGTTAATGCAGCATGAAAAAGTCATCCAGGAGAGTGGAAGAGATTATTAGTGGGCATACACATTGTTCAAAAATAGTGCTGAAAAAAATGGTGCTGGGACAAATAGTGTAGTAGATGTGTCTGCCCAGGTAACAGTGATTCTTCCCAGAGAACTTCTATCTTCTATCTTCTCCTTTCCAATTCATAAGGTTTCAGGAGTGGGTCCACAACAGCCATGTACACATTAAGTGACCCATGTTCCCTAGCCAAAGCTAGTTGGATCAGAGGTGAACCCCTGACCCAAGCTAGACTGATCAGAGTCTCTTCCAGTCTGAAGGGTTGGCATCTTTAAGTGAGGAAACCTAAAAGCTCACGTGTTGAGCTTTGGTATACACAGCTTCCACCAACAGGACCAAGTAGCCGAGAAAGCCCAGCCACAGAGATGAATGAAGCCAAGGCTCAGAGGGCAGCAGAGCTGAGGAATGGCAACAAGCTACTCTTTGCATTCCTGACACCATTTCCTTCTCTGATTCCAGCCGTTTGGGAGATTAAGCTCCATCCAAGATCTGGGTTCCAGAGAAATACTCCATATTCTTATAATAAATTCCTTTTTTTTCCCCCATCAAGCTAGCTTGAGTTAGCACCTTTACTAGCACCTAAATATCCTTAACTCACTAGCCATGTAGAAACATATAGAGCTAGATCCCTACCTCACTGCCTGCCCAAAAATACATTCCAGATGGAATTAAGATTTCAATTTCAAAATAAAACAATATAGGGAGTAAAATCAAATGTAGGAGAATTTATTTATTTATTTATTTATTTATTTATTTATTTGAGACCGGGTTATGTGTTGCCTAGGCTGATCTCGAACTCCTGGCCTCAAGCGAGCCACTCACCTCAGCCTCCCAAAGTGTTGGGGTTACAGTTGTGAGCCACTGTGCCCCAGCCAGGAGAATATTTTTATAATCTTGGAATCTACAATCAAAAATAAAAAAGATTTAATCATTTGCCTGTATGACATTTGAATACTTATAAACAGCCAAAACACAGCATAAACAAAGCCAAGAAGCATAAAAATAGGGAAAGTATTTGTAACAAATATACAAAGCAAATGACTAGTATTGGTAATACACAAAGGACTGTTATAAATTAATAAGATTGGCCAGGCACAGTGGCTCACGCCTGTAATCCCAGCACTTTGGGAGGCTGAGGCGGGTGGATCACCTGAGGTCAGGAGTTCGAGACCAGCCTAGCCAACATGGTGAAACCCCATCTCTACCAAAAATACAAAAATTAGCCAGGCGTGGTGGGCAGGTGCCTGTAATCCCAGCTACTCGCGAGGCTGAGGCAGGAGAATTGCTTGAAGCCGGGAGGTGAAGGTTGCAGTGAGCCGAGATTGCACCATCGCACTCCAGTCTGAGGGACAAGAATGAGACTTCGTCTCAAAAAAAAATAAATAAATAAAATTAATAAGATTAAAAAGGCAGGCAAATCGACAAAGGATGAAAATTGAGAAATCATAGAAGGCAAGTTACAAATTACCAGCAAACATATTATATGAAAAGATGTTCAACCTGACACTTATTTAAGAAATAGAAATGAAAACTACAGATTGGCAGATATTAAAAAGATTAATAGCCCTAGTGATGACAAGGTTTTAGAAAAACATATACTGTCTTTTAACTATTGTTAAAAACTTTTTGGAGTGTGATTTGGCAATATCAATTAAAATTTTAAATACACAATAACTTTTGACATCAGTAATTCCACTGCTGGGAATTTATCCTACAGAAAATCACATAATGTGCATGACACTATATAATAAGGTTGTTTATTATAAAATGGTTTATAATAAATTTGGACATACACAAATGTCTATCACAAGGCATTGCATTTTTTAAAAATCTAGCATAACCACAGAGGGTAATAAACTGCAGCAGTTTAAAAATATTGAGGCAGCATTGTGTGTACTGACATGGAAAGCTACTTGGGAAATATTTTAAGAAAAAAGCAAGTTGCAGATCACAGGAATAGCATGATCTTATTTTTGAAGACGTGAGGGAGACCATGACCTGATAACAGTGGTTACTTGTGGGCAACAGGAAACCGGGAGGCAGGGAGGGGGGCACAGAAAGCTGATAATTTTTAATGTATACAGTTCTAAGTGTTCTAAAGCTTCTACAACAGACATTTATTAATTTTGTAATGATTTTAAAATAAAATATTTTTAGAAACTTCAGACAAAAATGGAAAGATAGCTGGGTGCGGTGGCTCATGCCTGTAATCTCAACACTTTGGGAGGCCGAGGCAGGTGGATCGCCTGAGGTCAAGAGTTCGAGACCAGCCTGGCCAATGCGGTGAAACCCCATCTCCACTAAAAATACAAAAATTAGCCGGGCATGGTGGCGCACGCCTGTAATCCCAGCTACTCGGGAGGCTGAGGCAGGAGAATTGCTTGAACCCGGGAGGCAGGTGGAGGTTGCAGTGAGCCGAGATTGTACCATTGCACTCCAGCCCGGGTGACAAAAGCAAGAATCTGTCTCAACAACAACAACAACAAAATAATACAATTTAATTTAAAAATAAATAAATGAATAATAAGACTCAACATCAAAATAGGTCAATTCTCTTTCATTTAAATTACAAATCTAACATGATCCCAGTAAAACTGCCTATTCTGGGGACTAGAGAAGCTTGTTTGATGTTCATATGGAAAATAAGAAAGAATAACCAGAAAAATGCTGAAAAGGAAGAATAATGGGGCAGGAGGAACTTGTCTTATTAAAGTATATACAATAAATACGGATAGCAAGGATGTTTATTAACCAGTGTTTATATTAGAGACCAACTGTAGACCACTAAAATACCTACCAATATAAGACTAGTTAAATAAAATATGATATGTCCATGTTGTGCAATATTATGCAATTATTGACAATAATGTAGATGTATTGATGTGGAAAGATGCTCATGACATATTGCTAAATACAATAAAGCAAGTTGCAAAACAATAAATACAATGTAATCCTATTTATGGAAGAAAGGCACATGTATATATGAGCACACATACATTACATGTATGTAAATACATGAAAAGTAGACAGAAATTATGCCCACTGAACTGGTAACAGTGGTTACCTTCAAGGAGAGGACTGGGATTCAGGGTATGGGTGGTGGGAGGGAGAGTAGTAAGGATTTTGTTCTGTATGCTTCTATAATGTTTGAATCTTTTATGATGAGAATGATTCCTGTATCACCTGTATACTTTTTAAAAGACAAAAAATGTCTGTAATCCCAGCACTTTGGGAGGCTGAGGCAGGTGGATCACTTAAGGTCAGGAGTTCAAGACCATCCTGACCAACATGGCGAAATCCTGTCTCTACTAAAAATACAAAAATGCATGGTGGTGCAACGCCTGTAATCCCAGCTATTCAGGAGGCTGAGGCACAAGAATCGCTTGAACCTGGGAGGTGGAGGTTGAAGTGAGACGAGATCGCACCATTGCACTCCAGCTTGGGTGACAGAGGGAAACTCTGTCTCAATAAATAAATAAATAAATAAATAAATAACAAAAAGAGCAGTTACCACAGTCTGCTTTTCTGTGAATGTTGGGACAAACTGGACCACAAACAAAAGTTTACATTCAGTCACACATTTATTTCTTCATTCATTCAACAAATATTTCCTGCTGAGTTCTAGGTACTTGGTACTCACTAGCGATTAACAGACAATGCTCTGATCCAGGGCAGCTCATCCAGCTGGGTGATTGCTGAAGCCAGCTGTCAGATGAGGTGACTGGAACACAGGTGCAGTTGATGTGGCTCTTTAGAAGCCACATAGATCAATTATGTATGGTTAATGGCTACTAATAAAATAAGAAGTTAATGCCTGTCGCAGTAATGTCCAAAAGTGACAGACAATGCGACAGAGGCAAAAAATCTAATGATTTTTTAATCCAATGATGCAAAAAGAGAAAAGCAAGCAGCAGTGGAAAAATCCAACATGTCTCTTGTAAGACTTTTACCTAAAGCCTTTCTCGATCTCTGAACCAGCCACGGAATCAACTCTGCCCTCACTTGTACTTTCTTCGTGTGCCAAAGTGGAAACCTACCCATGGAAATTTGCATTTTCCTTCTTGGACCATGGCAGACTCAGGGAGTGGAGGGTGGCAGGGCATTGCCAGGGCAGCTAGTGGGGACCTCAGGAACCATAGATTTGTGGCTAAATACCTGAACCCTCCCATCCTGGGGAGGACTGGGATTTATGTGGTCAGAGCCAGAGTGTGAAGCTTCTGCCAGAGGCAGCACAGTCTGCCAAGGACCTGAAGGTCAGGTCAAGCCAAAGCCCTCAGGAGAAAGCTGGGGTTTGATCACCAGGATGACCTGGTGCAGGCCTAAATCCAAAGAGTCCAAGACAAGGCTCAGACTGAGCAAAGAATCCAACACTGCTTGCCTGGCCACATCTCCCTGAGCTACTGATTTCCCTCCTCATGTTCCCCTTTCTGTCCTCTGAATTCAAGTCCTGGCACTGGCTTTCCTGCTACAGCCTTGGCCCTTCTCCACATAAGTATCTGGCTTTCTGCCTCAGGCTGCCTGAGGAAAAGCCCTGAGACAACCTAGCCCCTGGGACCCTGCTACCCAGGAGTCAAGCCCATGGCCTGCACTCCCGGCCCATTTGTCCTGTTCCCTTCGGTGGCAGAGAGACCAGCACCCTACTCATGGGCATTAGAATCTCACTATCAGACCCCTGGCAAGGCCCTGTCTGGGCAGCTCTCCCGTTTCAATATTGCTCTCTGGTTGCAACACTTTGCAGGCATCTTTCTCAGTGTAAATCCACAAATTGGTATTCTGGATTCGCAATCAACCAGTTACAAATTTAGGTAGGGCAATCCCATCCCTAGACCTGAACACTTTTGGGAGAGCTGACAAAGTTTCTGAATCCTCAAATTTGCAAAACAGACCCTCCACCCCTGGGAGGACCCGCTCAAACAGCCAACTGGTTTCTTTCTTTACTACCTCATCACTGAAACAGGCAGAGTCCAAGAGACGATTCTGAAATATAGAACCCTGTCTAGGAAGGCAGGCTTAAGGAGGGCCTCCAGGAAGGGACTGTGAGCAAAGCATAAAGTGTATGCAGGTGTATGGTGGTGGGGGGGGCAATGGCAAGAAGGAGGAATAGGAATAAGAGCGTAGTTAAGAACGTGGGTGGGAGAGGGTGGGTGCTGAGAATTACTTAATAGATACAATGCACATTATTTGGGTCATGGATACACTAAAAGCCTGGATTTCAGACTGTGCAATACATCCACAGAACAAAATTGCATTTGCACGTTTTAGATTTATACAATAATTTTTAAGACAAATGTAGGCTCTGCCTGTGTTTGCATCTCAGTCCAGTTTCCTCATTTGTTAAACAGAATCATAATATCTGAAGTCCAGTTTCCTCATTTGTAAAATGGGATCATAATAGTATTTACCACTATATTATGAGAATTAAATGAGATAGTACCACGGAAGACTTAGCACAATGTCCAGCACATAAGAAGCACTCAGTATATGCCACCTGTTCCTAGAGGAGAGAGTGAGGCCAAGGAGGTTCCAACGGGAAGAAAGGAGAAATAAATGCAGGGAGATGAGAAAGACTCAGATAAGCTGCCTAATTTCCACTTTTTTCCGAGGGCCAGCTTTGACTATTTTAGGTGTTTTACCAGAAATGTATTTGCATCATTTGTAAATTTCCCTGTCACTACCAATTTCCACTTCCAGCTCTGTCCTTTTTTATCTGTGTGTGACCATGGGTAAATCTCCTAATCACTCCATACCTCAGTTTCTCCAAAAATACAAGTAAGTGGTTATTGTAGAAAACTGTTCCTCTCCCTCTCCCTCTCCCTCCCCCTCCCCCTCCCTCTCCGTCTCCGTCTCCCTCTCCCCACGGTCTCCCTCTCCCTCTCTTTCCACAGTCTCCCTCTGATGCCGAGCCGAGGCTGGACTGTACTGCTGCCATCTCGGCTCACTGCGGCCTCCCTGCCTGGTTCTCCTGCCTCGGCCTGCCGAGTGCCTGCGATTGCGGGTGCACGCCGCCACGCCTGACTGGTTTTCGTGTTTTTTTGGTGGAGACGGGGTTTCCCTGTGTTGGCCGGGCTGGTCTCCAGCTCCTGGCCGCGAGTGATCCGCCAGCCTCGGCCTCCCGGGGTGCCGGGATTGCGGGCAGAGTCTCGTTCACTCGGTGCTCAGTGGTGCCCAGGCTGGAGTGCAGTGGTGTGATCTCGGCTCACTACAACCTCCACCTCCCAGCCGCCTGCCTTGGCCTCCCAGAGTGCCGAGATTGCAGCCTCTGCCCAACCGCCACCCCGTCTGGGAAGTGAGGAGCGTCTCTGCCTGGCCGCCCATCGTCTGGGATGTGAGGAGCCCCTCTGCCTGGCTGCCCAGTCTGGAAAGTGAGGAGCATCTCTGCCCGGCCGCCATCCCGTCTAGGAAATGAGGAGCGTCTCTGCCCGGCCGCCCATCGTCTGAGATGTGGGGAGCGCCTCTGCCCTGCCGCCCCGTCTGGGATGTGAGGAGCGTCTCTGCCCGGCAGCCCCGTCTGAGAAGTGAGGAGACCCTCTGCCTGGCAACCGCCCAGTCTGAGAAGTGAGGAGCCCCTCTGCCCGGCAGCCGCCCCGTCTGAGAAGTGAGGAGCCCCTCTGCCCAGCAGCCACCCTGTCTGGGAAGTGAGGAGCGTCTCCGCCCGGCAGCCACCCAGTCCGGGAGGGAGATGGGGGTCAGCCCCAGCCAGGCCAGCCGCCCCGTCCGGGAGGGTGGTGGGGGGGTCAGCCCCCTGCCAGGCCAGCTGCCCTGTCCGGGAGGTGAGGGGCGCCTCAGCCCGGCCGCCCCTACTGGGAAGTGAGGAGCCCCTCTGCCCAGCCAGCCGCCCTGTCCGGGAGGGAGGTGGGGGGGTCAGCCCCCCGCCCGGCCAGCCGCCCCGTCCGGAAGGTGAGGGGCGCCTCTGCCCGGCTGCCCCTACTGGGAAGTGAGGAGCCCCTTTGCCTGGCCGCCGCCCCGTCTGGGAGGTGTACCCAACAGCTCATTGAGAGCGGGCCATGATGACAATGGCGGTTTTGTGGAATGGAAGGGCAGGAAAGGTGGGGGAAAGATTGAGAAATCAGATGGTTGCCATGTCTGTGTAGAAAGAGGTAGACATGGGAGACTTTTCATTTTGTTCTGTACTGAGAAAAATTCTTCTGCCTTGGGATCCTGTTGATCTATGACCTTACCCCCAACCCTGTGCTCTCTGAAACAAGTGCTGTGTCCACTCAGGGTTGAATGGATTGAGGGCGGTGCAAGATGTGCTTTGTTGAACAGATGCTTGAAGGCAGCATGCTCGTTGAGAGTCATCGCCACTCCCTAATCTCAAGTACCCAGGGACACAGACACTGCGGAAGGCCGCAAGGTCCTCTGCCTAGGAAAACCAGAGACCTTTGTTCACTTGTTTATCTGCTGACCTTCCCTCCACTGTTGTCCTGTGACCCTGCCAAGTCCCCCTCTGCGAGAAACACCCAAGAATGATCAATAAAAAAGAAAAAAAAAAAAAGAAAAGAAAACTGTTAAGATCATTCCTATTCCAACATTCTTATTCTATCTTAAATTCTTGTCTTTTTCTTTGTGAAAGGGTTATGGGTTGAATTATGTCCTCAGAAGGATATATTGAAGTCTTAAGCCCCAGTACCTGTGTTACTGGTGGAAGGTGTCCAGGTTCTTGGCATTTTGAACAAAGAATTGGACAAAATGCACAGGTTTGTCAAAGGTCAGATGGCTGTAGGTGTGCAGTTTTATTTCTGGGTTCTCTATTCTGTTCTGTTACCAGTGGAGGGTGTCCAGGTTCTTGGCATTTTGAACAAAGAATTGGACAAAACGCACAAAGCAAGGAAAGAATGAAGCAAGGAAAGCAGAGATTTATTGAAAACGAAATTACACACCACAGGGTTGGAGTGGGCTGAAGCAGCCGCTCAAGGGCCCCGACACAGAATCTTCTTCGGTCCAACACTCCCTAGAGGTTTCCCATTGGCCACTTGGTGTTCCCCTTATGTAAATGAAGTGGTGGCCCACAGTCAGAGGCTAAAGTGAAGTTACAAATTGCACTTCTATGCAAACAAAGACTTGGCCCGCAATCAGAGGCTGAAGTTACAAAGTTACAATCCTATGCAAAAAGCAACCAATCAGAGGTATTTTCAATTTCCCATCTGCCCCACAGAAAGGGTGGGGATTTGCAAAGGGAGTAGCCTCTGGTCCTTTTGTTACTTAGGCGTGGAAAGTTAGGGTTTTCCTTTCCATTTCCTTCTAGGAAGTCAGTGTGAATCAGCCTCAGGTTCCCTACCTCCAGACCCTATTCTCCTACCTCACCTGTAAATGAGAACTTATTTGGAAATAATCAAAGATGTAATCAAATTAAGATAGGTCATTAGGGTGGGCCCTAATCCAATATGGCTGGTGTCTTTCTAAGAGTAGAAGATGCACAGAGACACGGGGAAGAAGACAGCCATGTGATGACAGAGGCAACAATTGGAGCGATCCATCTACAAGCCAAGGAACACCCATGATTACCAGAAAACAACAGAAGCTAGAAGGAGACAAGGAAGGATTCTCCCCTCCAGGTTTCAGAGGGGCAGGCTCTGAAAACACCTTGATTTCAGAATTCTAGTGTCCAGAACTGTGAGAAAATAAATTTCTGTTATTTTAAGCCACCCAGTTTGTACTACTTTGTTACAGTAGCCCTAGGAAACTAATCCAGAAAGTGTCCCCAAAACATGTCTATCTTGTGCTATCAAACTGTTGTTTCCAAGAGTCCTACCTTCTTTCATATCTCCATTTCTAATTAAAGAAAGTTTAAACACAGCATTCTAAATTCCTGATTTAGCAATTTCATTAAATGATAAAAATTAATGCATGATATACCAGATATTCGGAAAACATAAATTGCCAGAAGATTGTTATAGCAACATCCATACTAATTAACATGTCTTAAGAAAGGCCATGCGTGTTTATCATCTAATTAGAATCATACAATCAAAAGAATAAAGAGTACTTCCTTGGGGGATATAAAATAAATAAATAACTACAATATTTTCATTAAAGTTGGCAATGTTCCTTTGAACCTATTTGAATGCTAGAAATTGATGTATAAATTAAATGGTTTTATAGTTTAGATTTGATATTTAGAAGAGATTTAGACCATTAGTGCAAATTATTTTAAAATGTATTTTGTGTTTGAAAAATACTATGATGCTTACAATGCTATGTGAAGAAAATGAGCTACAACTCATTTAAAATCGTGAATAAAAGGGTGTTTTAGAGACTGATGTCCGTATTCCTATGAGACCTGAAAAATTTTCCAAAGTTCAGAGTGTTTGACAAAAAAATGCACCAATTCCTAGATATGGGGTTTGCCAAATTGTAACCCACAGGCCAAATCCATCCCATCACTGGTTTTTTGTACAGCCTACACGCTAACTACACACACACACACACACACACACACACACACACATATATATATATACACACACATATATTAAACAGTTAAAAAAATTGAAAGAAGAAAAATGTTTTGTGACTCGTGAAATTTACATGAAATTCAAATTTCAGTGTTAATAAATAAAGTTTTATGGGAACACATCCTCCCTCACTCATTCATTTACATATTGTCTATGGCTGTTTGCATCACTTTCCTGTTGCTGTATAACAAATTACCACAACTTTAGTGGCTTACTTAAAACACAAATTTATTATCTTACAGTTTCCACTGGTCAGCAGTCCCGGCAGGACTGGGCTGTTTGTTCAGGGTCTCACCAGGCTGAAATCAAGGTGTTGGCCAGGGTGGTAGTCTCATCTGAGGCTCAAGGTCCTCTTTCAAGCTCACCTAGTTGGCAGAATTTAATTCTTTGCAGTTGTAGAACTGGGACTCCCATTCTTATGCTGGCCACCAGCCAAGGGCTACCTTCAGCTCCTAGAGGCTGGTTACATTCCTTGCCACATGGCCCCTCCATCTTCAAAGTAAGCAATAGAGAGTCTCCCTCACATTCAACCTCTTTAACATTTTGAATCTCTCTTACTAGGAAGAGCCCTATCCCTTTTAAAGGCTCACCTGATTAGGCAAAACCTACCATGCATAATCTCCCTATTTTAAGGTCAACTGATTTGAGACATTAAGTATGTCTCCAAAATCCCTTCACGGCAGCACCTAGATTAGTGTTTGATTAAATAACTGAGATAAAGTTTGTATGCATCAGGGGCCAGGAATCTCAGAAGCCATCTTAGAATTCTGCCTACCACACTGTTGCCATGCTATGATGGGAAACTTCAGTAGTTGCAACAGAGACCACATGGCCAGCAAAGCTTAATATTTGGCCCAGAGACCATACGGCCCCAAATTACTTACTATTTGGCCCAAACAGAACAAGTTTGCTGATCCCTGTCCCAAATTAAGCTGAGTTTCAAACTTGAAAACTGCATGATCTCCGTTCAGCAAATAACCCTAAATCTGGGACAGTGTAAACAGAAGGGAGAGGCCATGAGAGTGAGACAATAGTAGCATTACCAAACTGTTTCAACTTTTCAACTCACATACACACACACACACACACACACACACACAAATACAGATGGTACTGAACTGGTGGTACTTTTTTCTTTTCTTTTCTTTTCTTTTTTTTTTGGAGATGGAATCTTGCTCTGTCACCCAGGCTGGAGTGCAGTGGTGCAATCTCAGCTCGGCTCACTGCAACATCCACCCCCTGGGTTCAAGTGATTTTCCTGCCTCAGCCTCCCGAGTAGCTGGGACTACAGGCGTGCACCACCACGCCCAGCTAATTTTTGTATTTTTAGTAGAGATGGGGTTTCACCATGTTAGCCAAGCTGTTCTCGAACTCCTGACCTCAGGCAATCCACCTGCCTCGGCCTCCCAAAGTGCTGGGATTACAGACGTGAGCCACAGAGCCTGGCCAATACTTTTTCAAATGAGTCTTTTCAAGCACACACTAGGGGACTAATAAAATGATAACTCGCGTCATAATATTATCACTGCCCATCTTTGTCAAATCTTAACATGTTTGCTTCTTTTAAAAGTAATAAAAATTGGCCAGGCTCGGTGGCTCATGCCTGTAATCCCAGCACTCTGGGAGACCAAGGTGGGCAGATTACATGAGTCCAGGAGTTTGAGACCAGCCTGGCCAACATGGTGAAATCCTGTCTCTACTAAAAATACAAAAAAATTAACTGGGTGTGGTGGTGCATGCCTGTAATTCCAGCTACTCGGGAGGCTGAGGTGGGAGAATCACCTAAGCTTAGGAGGTCGTGGCTGCAGTGAGCGGAGATGGCACCACTGCACTCCAGCCTGGGTGACAGAGTGAGACTTTGTCTCAAATAAAAAAAAAAGTAATAAAAGCCATAACAATGTAGCCTCCTCTGATCTCATGCCACTCCCTCCACCTTCAGAGGTAAACACTATCCCTTCCACCTATTCATCTATCCACAGAAAACATATTGCAATTTGTCATCTTTTGAACTTTACAGAAATCAAACTATATAGCACGTATTCTGCAATTTCCTTCTCTTGCTTAGTGTGTTTATGAAATTTATTCCCATCAATGTGTATAGCTAAAATTTGCTCATTTTTACTGACATACAGCATCCCATTGTATAAGTATACCATGGTTTATTTTTCTATTCAACTGGTGGTGTACATTTGGGTTACATGTAGTCATTTACTATTACAAACAATGCTGCTATGAACATTCTTGTGTGGTCTCCTGACTCAGATATGAAAAAGTATCCCTGGCTGGGCGTGGTGGCTCACACTTGTAATCCCAACACTTTGGGAGGCCGAGGCAGGCAGATCACCTGAGGTCAGGAGTTCCAGACCAGCCTGACCAACATGGTGAAACCTGTCTCTACTAAAAATACAAAAAATTAGCCAGGCATGGTGGTGCATGCCTGTAATCCCAGCTACTTGGGAGGCTGAGGCAGGAGAATCACTTGAATCCAGGAGGCTGAGGTTGCAGTGAGCCGAGATCGTGCCACTGCACTCCAGTGTGGGCGACAGAGAGAGACTCCGTCTCAGGGAAAAAAAAAAAAAAAAAGAAAAAACAAAGAAAGAAAGAAAAGAAAAAGAAAAAGTATCTCTAGCATATTATCTGAGAGTAGAATTTCTGGGTCTTAGGGTATGTGTATGTTTATCTTTATTAGATATTATCAAATTCTTGGCCGGGTGCAGTGGCTCACGCCTGTAAACCCAACACTTTGGGAGGCTGAGGCAGGCAGATCAAGAGGTCAGGAGATCGAGACCATCCTGGCCAACATGGTGAAATCCTGTCTCTACTAAAAATACAAAAAGAAATTAGCCAGGTGTGGTGGCACGTGCCTGTAGTCCCAGCTACTCAGGAGGCTGAGGCAGAAGAATCGCTTGAACCCAGGAGGCAGAGGCTGCAGTGAGCCGAGATCACGCCACTGCACTCCAGCCTGTGCGACAGAGTGAGACTCTGTCCCAAAAAAAAAAAAAAAAAAGAATTGTTCTCCAAAATCTTTGTGCTAATTTATACTCCAACTAACAGTAAACAGTTCCCTTTTCCCTATGCCCTTACCAATAATTAATACCATCAAACTTTTAATTTTTACCAGTCTCTTGGGTATGATGTGGTGGTTTCATTATTGTTTAATTTTGTATTTTCCTGATTACAAATTATATAAAATAGCTTTCCGTATTTTTACTGTATCTTCAGATTTCTTCTTCTGTGATCTGCCTATTCATAAGCCCTTGACAATTTTCCTATTGGGCCATTTATTGGTTTTTAACTAATCTGTAGTCTTTACATATTCTAATACTAACCCTTTATCACTTATATTCATTTATTCATTCATTCAACAAGTATTTATTTAGTATATAGTATATGCCACACATTATTTGAGGACAGAAGGATGTGGCAAGTCAGCAAGGCAAAGTCCCTGATCTCAAGGAGTTTGAATTCTAGTGGGGAGACATGCAATAAAGAGCAAATAGATATATAATATCAGGTAGTAATAAGTGCTATGAAGATAAAACAAATGGAGAAGATGAAGTGACGATGGTTTTATTTTCAATACGGTGGTCAAAGAAGGCCTCTTTGAGGAGGTGACATTTGGACAGACACATTCATTAATTGAAGAAGAGAGTCAGATGTATATTTGAATGAAGAGTATTCTTCCAGGCAGAGAAAAATCAATTGCCAAGGGTCTGGGATAAAAGCAAGCATGTTGCAATTATCTTTTCCTAGACTGAAGCTTGTTTTTTCATTTTGTTTATGACTTGTCTTTTTGTACGCAAGTTTTAAATTTTTAATGTAGTATAATTTAGCCAGATTTTACTTTATTTATGGCTTATCTAGCTGTATTTTGTTTATGAAATCCCTCCTTACTACAAGGTCATAAAGATATTTGCCCTGACCAGGCGCGGTGGCTCATGCCTGTAATCCTAACACTTTGGGAGGCCAAGGCGGGTGGATCACCTGAGGTCAGGAGTTCGAGACCAGCCTGGCCAACATGGCGAAACCCCGTCTCTACCAAAAATACAAAAATTAGCCAGGCGTGGTGGCAGGCGCCTAGAATCCCAGCTACCTGGGAGGCTAAGGCAGGAGAATCGCTTGAACACAGGGGGCAGAGGTTGCAGTGAGCCAAGATCATGCCACTTCACTCCAGCCTGGGTGAAAGAGCCAAACTCTGTCTAAAAAAAAAAAAAAGATATTTTCCCATGCTGTCTTCTAAAAGTTTGTAACTACTTATCACATTTAGGTCATAAAACCACTTTGGGCCGGGTGCGGTGGCTCATGCCTGTAATCCCAGCACTTTGGGAGGCTGAGGCAGGTGGATCATGAGGTCAGGAGATCGAGACCATCCTGACTAACACAGTGAAACCCCATCTCTACTAAAAATACAAAAAATTAGCCGGGTATGGTGGCACGTGCCTGTAGTCCCAGCTAGTCAGGAAGCTGAGGCAGGAGAATCGCTCAAACCCAGGAGGCAGAGGTTGCAG
The DNA here is from genome assembly GCF_000001405.40 of Homo sapiens. NCBI lineage: Eukaryota > Metazoa > Chordata > Mammalia > Primates > Hominidae > Homo > Homo sapiens. The sequence goes on from NC_000023.11 coordinate 119,369,507, forward strand.
TGAGCCGAGATCACGCCACTGCACTCCAGCCTGGGGGACAGAGTGAGACTCCATCTCAAAAAAATAATAAAATAAAATAAAACCACTTTGAGTTTGTTTTTGTGTACAATGTGGGGTTGAGATTTTATTTTTTTCAAAATAATAACCAGTGGTTCCAACAACATTTATTAAATAAATCATTTCCACACTGATCATGTATTAAGATTTTCTTTACACGTGGTTTCTGGGCTCTTTGCATTCTGTCCCACTGGTCTATTTTTCTCTGTACTGCCTTAATTACTACAGCTTATAAGAAGTGCTGCCATCGGGTAGGGTATATTGTACTGCTTTAATATTGTCTTGCTTATTCTTGGTTCTATTTAGAATTTTAATTGGAATTGCATTCAATCTCTAAATGAATTTAGGGAGACTTTGCATCATTACATTATTAAGTCTTCCTATACATGAACATATTTTATCTATTAACTTAGATTTTCTTTAATGTTATTCAATAAAGATTTATACTTTTTTGCATATAGGTCTTGTACATCTTTTGTTAGATTTATTCCTGGGTGTCTTTCAGTTTTTGTTTCTACTGTAAGCTCTAATTGGTACACTATTGTTTTTTTATATTGCTCTTATATCCTAAAACCTTGCTTCAATATTTTACATATACTTTTGTATTTTCTATGTGGACAGTCATGTCATCTGCAAATAATAAGCTTTGTTTCTCCTTTTTTGATCCTTACTTTTTATTTATTTTCCTTTTCTTACTACACTAATTGGGACCTACAGTACAAGGTTGAATAGAAGTGCTAGTTTTGCTCCTTTGTATCATTATGGTGACGTAAATTAATAGTTTTCTTAAGTTAGATCACTCTTTTATTACTGAGATAAACCCACCTTGGTCATAGGTATTTTCAATGCATTTTTCATTCTGATTGCTAGTATTTTGTTTTAGATTTTGGCATGTATGTTCACAAGTGAAGTTAGCATGTAATTTTTCTTTCTCATAATATCTTTGCCTGGTTTAGCATAGAGGTTATGCTAGCCTTATAAAACGAGTTGGGGGAGATTTAATCCAACAGTTTATATAGTATTGAGATTATCTGTTCCTTGTATATCTGATAGAATTCACCTATACAACCAACTATCTAGCAGGTAGGTGGTGGTTGTTTGTTGGTTGATAGATTTTAACCACTGCTTCAATTTAGTTCACAAACATAAGTCTGTTCAGTTTTCCCCATTTTTTCTTGAGTCAATTTTGGTAAATTTTAGCTTTATATAAAATTATCCATTTAAGTGTTCAAATTTAATGGCATAAAGATGTTCATAAAGTTATTTTTATTTCAATGTCCTATCTACTGTTACTTACTTTACACCCATTTATGGTTTGGTTTTTTTTTTTGTTAGATGGAGTCTCACTCTGTTACCCAAGCTGGAGGGCAGTGGCGCGATCTCAGCTCACTGCAACCTCCACCTCCCGGTGCAAGCGATTCTCCTGCCTCAGGCTTCTGAGGAGCTGGGACTACAGGCATGCGCCACCATGCTCAGCTAATTTTTGTATTTTTAGTAGAGATAGGGTTCGCTATGTCGGCCAGGCTGGTCTCGAACTTCTGACCTCAGGTGATTCACTCGCCTTAGCCTCCCAAAGTGCTGGGATTACAGGCATGAGCCACTGCGCCCGGCCCCATTTTCTTTTTTTATTCATTGATGGCACTGAATTTATTGATGAGTAGGTGATTTTTTTATGGCTTATCTCATGATTTATTCAGATCTTTAATGTCTTTCAATGAAGCTTTACAAGTTTGTTCTTAAATGCTTTATTTTTTGTTGCTCTTGAAAATGGCCTTTTTAAAAAAAATAATGTATTTTTGTGTATAGTAACCCTATTTATTCTATTTTTAAAATCTTTTATTTTAAGTTCAGGGGTACATGTGTAGGCTTGTTACATAGGTAAATGTGTGTCATGAGGGTTTGCTGTACAGATTATTTCACCACCAGGTATTAAGCCTAGTACCCATTAGTTACTTTTCCTGATGCTCTCCCTCCTCCCACCCTCCACCCTCTGAAAGGCCCCAGTGTGTGAAAGACCCCTCTATGTGTCCATGTGTTCTCATCATTTAGCTCCCACTTATAGGTGAGGACATGCAGTATTTGGTTTTCTGTTCCTGCATTAGTTTGCTAAGGATAATGGCCTCCAGCTCCATCCATGTCCCTGCAAAGGACATGCTCTTGTTATTTTTTATAGCTGCATAGTATTCCATGGTGTATATGTACCACATTTTCTTTATCCAGTCTATCATTGATGGGCATTTAGGTTGATTCCATGTCTTTGCTATTGTGAATAGTGCTGCAATGAACATACATGTGCATGTGTCTTTATAACAGACTGATTTATATTCCTTTGGGTATATACCCAGTAATGAGATTGCTGGGTTGAATGGTAGTTCTACTTTTAGCTCTTTCAGGAATCACCATACTGCTTTCTGCAATGGGTGAACTAATTTACACTCCCACCAATAGTGTACAAGTGTTCCCTTTTCTCTGCAACCTTGCCAGTGTCTGCTTTTTTTTTTTTCCTTTTTATCATAGCCATACAGACTGGCTTGAGATGGTACCTCATTGTGGTTTTGGTTTGCATTTCTCTAATGATCAGTGATATTGAGCTTTTCTTCATATGCTTGTTGTTCATACGTATGTCTTCTTTTGAAAAATGTCTGTTCATGTCCTTTACCCACTTTTTAATAGGGTCGTTTAGTTTTTTCTTGTAAATTTGTTTAAGTTCCTTATAGATGCTGGATATTAGACCTTTGTCAGATGCATAGTTTGCAAAAATGTTCTCCCGTTCTGTAGGTTGTCTGTTTACTCTGTTGATAGTTTCTTTTGCTGTGCAGAAGTTCTTTCATTTAATTAGCTCTCCTTTGTCAATTTTTGCTTGTGTTGCAATTGCTTTTGGTGTCTTTGTCATGAAATCTTTCCCTGTGCCTATGTCCTGAGTGGTATTGCCTAGGTTGTCTTCCAGGGATTTTATAGTTTTGGGTTTTACATTTAAGTCTTTGGTTCATCTTGAGTTAATTTTTGTATGATATGGTATAAGGAAGCGGTTTAGTTTCAATCTTCTGCATATTGCTAGCCAGTTATTCCAGCAGTATTTATTGAATAGGGAATTCTTTCCTCATTGCTTGTTTTTGTCAGGTTTGTCAAAGATCAGATGGCTGTAGGTATGCAGTTTTATTTCTGGGTTCTCTATTCTGTTCTGTCACGGGTGGAGGGTGTCCAGGTTCTTGGCATTTTGAACAAAGAATTGGACAAAACACACAAATAAAGCAAGGAAAGAATGAAGCAAGGAAAGCAGAGATTCATTGAAAACGAAAGTACACTCCACAGTGTGGGAGTGGGCGGAGCAGTGGCTCAAGGGCCCTGGATACAGAATCTTCTTGGGGGGAGGGAGAGCATCAGGATAAATAGCTAATGCATGGGGGGCTTAATATCTAGCTAATGGGTTGATCTGTGCAGCAAACCACTATGGCACACATTTACCTATGTAACAAACCTGTCCGTCCTGCACGTGTATACCGGAACTTAAAATAATTTTTTTTTTGAGATGGAGTCTTGCTCTGTTGCCCAGGCTGGAGTGCAGTGGTATGATATCGGCTCACTGCAACCTCCGCCTCCCAGGTTCAAGCGATTCTTCTGCCTCAGCCTCCCAAGTAGCTGGGACTACAGACACACGCCACCACGCCCAGCTAATTTTTGTATTTTTAGTAGAGATGGGGTTTCACCATATTGGTCAGGCTGGTCTCAAACTCCTGACCTCAGGTGATCCACCCGCCTTGGCCTCCCAAAGTGCTGGGGTTACAGGCGTGAGCCACCGCACCTGGCCATAAATTTTTTTTTAATGGAATGTTCGGACAGAGACCGAGACATGGGGAGAAAGCCACGTGAAGAAAGATGAAGGCAGAGATTGAAGCAATGCATCTACAAGCCAAGGAATGCCAAAGATTGGCTGCAAACCCCCAGAAGCAATGAAAGAGGCATAGAAAAGATTCTCTCTCTCAGCCTTCATAAGAAACCAACCTTGCTGACCCCTTGATTTCAGACTTCTGTTCCCTAGATCTGTGAGACAATACATTTCTGTGCTCAGTTTGTGCCACTATGTTATAACAGCCTTAGGTAATGAATGCAGCATTAGTTAATGAAGCATTGACATTGTCCAGCATAATACTGGACTAGATGTCCTTAAGGGCACTTCTTTACTTCTCTAATACACAATTTTTAAAATGGTTCAATTCAATGACAGAAGACAATAAATTGTTGGAAATATATTTAATTCATTTATTCATTCAACAAATATTCATTGAACACACTACATGGCACAGTAGGGAACAAAACAGACAATCCCCTACCCTGGTGGAGCTTACATGCTAATGAAGGAGACAGACATTAACAAAAAAAAGATAAATACATAGCCACAAACTTGTTAAGTGATATTAAGAAAATACAGGGTGTGGCCGGGTGCAGTGGCTTACACCTGTAATCCCAGCAGTTTGGGAGGCCGAAGCGGGCGGATCACCTGAGATCAGGAGTTTAAGACCAGGCTAGCCAACATGGTAAAATCTTGTCTCTACTAAAAACACAAAAATTAGCCGGGCGTGGTGGTGCACACCTGTGGTCCCAGCTACTCTGGAGGCTGAGGCAGGAGAATCACTTGAACCTGGGAGGTGGAGGTTGCAGTGCACCGAGAAAGTGCCATTGCACTCCAGCCTAGGTGACAAGAGTGAAACTCCATCTCAAAAAAAAAGAATGAAAGAAAGAAAGAAAGAAAAGAAAAGAAAAGAAAAGAAAAGACAGGGTGCTAGGAGAGAGTATAAGAGAGTATTCATAGACGTCCTCTCTGGAGAGACAATATTTAAACTGGAAAGTTGAAGGAAGAGAAGGATCTCTATGTGAAGACAGGGAAGCTCATTTCAGGCAGAAGAAACTGCATGTGCAAGGGTCTTGATGTAGAAATATGTTGGCATGGGTAAAGAACAGAAGGGCTATTAGAACTTGATATGCTTGGGAAATAAGAGAGAGAAAAAAAGTCAAAGATGACTAACTGGGAAACTGAGTGAATAGTGGGAGCTATTGACTGAGGTGTGGAAGAATCTAGGAAGAATGAAATGGGTCAGGGTAGGAAGCAAAAGTTCAGTTTTAGACATGTTAAGTTGGGAATCAGTAAATCTTCAAGTGGGAAACAATATATAAGCTTAGAGCTCAGGAGAAAGGCGTGGGCTGGAGATAGAAATTTGGGAGTCATCAGTATAGGTGGTATTTATAGCCCTGGAACTGGAAAGGATTATTAGCAAGGGAGTAAGTGGGGCTAGAGAAGGGAGAAGGGCCAAGGACTGAGTCCTGGGGCATCCTGACTCAGAGATTTGGCATTGTCAGATCTGCATTGTCATCTGAGACTCTCCCTTCCCAACTATACTGCCTTTCCCCTTTCTATCCGCAAGTGTCAAGTCTGTGTCATGGTCTGAGGCATTTCCTGCCCAATCTTGCTTCCTCCCCTTTTGTAATTCACAAGCAGACCCCAATAAACTTCTTACACTGCTAATTCTGTCTCAGTATCTGCTTCCCAGAGGACCTGAACTGACACAATTGGTACCAGGATTGGTCTGAGAAAGCAGGAGATGATTGGGGTTTTGGCACTGGATCACTTAATGAAATGAAATGAGGACTTCTTCCCAAGTAGTATGTGGACCATGGATAGTCCCTGGTACAAGATGGTGGCCCAACTGCTAAAACTGTCACTGGTAGTAACTTGGGAGAGTGTTCTGGTAAAAAGAAAATGCTCTGGCAGGTGCAATGAAGAGTAGAGATGAATAACTTTGCATAGAAGGACTGTGGACTTGGCTGGCTGTCATTAAGGTGCACAGACACCATATGAAGGGACAATTAAGTGGCTGAGGGCAGTTAACTATTGAAAACTAAGCATGAAGGCCAGAGGACCTCTTTGGTAGCTCATAAAGATGTTCTTATCTCGTTCAGTGAGACAGCAGAAAAACCTAGAGATCAAACTCAGAATGACCAAGCTTCAAAGGTGACTGTATACTCATCCAAGCCAGGTCCACGATACTCAAGTCAGCACTCCAGTTAGGCAAACCCAGGATCGTGGCAAACAGCATGGGAATGTCTAAGTGGGTGCTCCCAAAGATTTTGACTCCTCAGACTGCTCTGAACCTTTAGAGCCTGCAGCAGTAACTCATCTCTCCCTATTAAGGGCTGGCATCCACCCCATCCTTTGTGGGAAGACAGCACAAAGGCCTTTCCCTTATAAGGCACCAAGATCTGCCTCCACCTTTTCTCCTGGCTATAAGACCAGTAAGTAGGGTTAAGTCAGGGTGTAAGCCTGCCAGGGATGCGCTGGGCCTGGTAAGAAAGGAAAAGATCTATACCCCAAAGGAGTTGTAAGATCTAGCCAACATATACTAGGAGTCAGAGAGGTCCCACGGACTGGATTTAGAGTGTTTGAGCAATGGGGCCAGAACATAAGACTAGGTAAGGGAGAGTTTATTGATTTGGGGGCACTGTCCAGGAATACAGGACTTAGCACTGTGGCAAGGACCCTAGGAGTTGGTGTAAACTGGCAGTCAGGGTGGCCCCTAGAACCCTGGGGAAAGTGATAACTCACATTGAGTGAGGGTGAAATGCCTAAATTGCCAGGACAGATGGTAATGAAAGGAACTAAGTAGCGCAGGAAGGTGAATATGCTGGAGTGGTTATATAACCTGAGGCCCGAAGACCAGCCAGAGAATTATGTTGCACAGGAGGGCTCAGGAGATGCACGATTTACCAACGCCATGTGGAATGCCCTGGTGAAAGGGGTGCCAGCATCACCAAGATGTTCCATGGTGTTGCTCCTCTGCAGGCCAAGGTGGACTACAGGAGAGGCAATCACAGAGCTGGGCTTGTTAATGGAAGCCAAAGTTATAAGGGCCGAGTGACTGTGTTTAACTGCCCGAAGTCAGAAGGCTGCACTTAGACCACAGTGATTAGCAATCAGAGGAGCAGCCAAAGACACTCCAGGAGTTAAGAGGATTAATAGTGCATGTTGTCCCTAGAGGCAAAATAGGTGGATTGCCAACAAGAATATCGTTTAATTACATAATTTTTAAGTGGCAATAGATGAGGAGGAGGTTGAAGGTCAACACTCCTATAAAAAGCCATGATCTCCTGCCTAGTTCCTGGATCTGAGTTATCAGACTTAGGACTCATTGACTGAAGAGGTGGCTAGGTCCCCTGGAAGAAGAACCCTACACATCACCATGGCAATTATAAACCATAGTTTGAGTCCTTCTCCCAAAAGGACCTAAGACTTAGATGACTCTACACGAAGGACAGACATTTAGAGACTACTGGAAATTGATGTCTAGAGACCCAAAAAGTTTCTCTAACAAGGAATTCCAGGTAATAAGCAAGGAGACAGAACACAAATTTGGATAGAAGATAGTTTACCAATATAGGAGTACTCTCCTGGTATACACCCGGGGAAGGGCCCTGGAAGACAGCACAAACACAATGCTAGGATAGATCCTAGAAGCATGAAAAACATGTTGTCTGACACTAAGTGCAGTAGAAATGCCTACATTGCCCTGGCAGATAGTGAAGAAAGGAATGAGAAGGCTCAGGGAGGTGGACACGCTGGAGTGCGTATGTCATGTGAGGCCAGAAGACCCACTGGAGGATTCTCTTGTACAGAAGGACTCAGGGAACATCCAGTTCACCCAGTCCATAAGGAATGTGCTGGAGAGAGGGATGCCAGCATATCACCAGTAAATTCAATGTGGCTCTCCTCTGCAGGCCAGAGTGGATGATAGGAGGGGCAATCACAGAGCTGGGCTCATAACTAGCAATGGGGATGACGGGGCCTCTTCCATCCTGGAAGGGCCAGCAATTCATTCTCACAGGATGGACATTCTTTCTGAATATGGTTTTGCCTTTCCTGCCCACAGAACCTCATCCAGCACCACCATCCAGGGGCTTAAGGAGTGCCTGATCCACACCATGGAATCCAACACAGCACAGCATCCAAACAGGGAATTTATTTCATAGCAAAGGAAGTTTGGGAGCGTGCCTATGACCATAGGATCCCCTAGGCATGCAACATTCCACACCATTCATAAGTAGCTGGCCTGACAGAGTGATGGAATGGCAAGGAGCAGCTGAAGCACCAGCTCAGAAGCAACACTCTGCAAAGATGTGGTAGCATCCTCCAGGATGCAGTGTAAGCACTAAATTAGAGACCTCTATATGGCACCATCTCGCCAAGAGGAAAAATACATGGGTGCAGGAACCAAGGAGTGAAAGCAGGAGAACCATCATTCTCAATAACCTACTAGTAGCAAGACATTGTGCTTTCAGTCTCCACAACCTGGGGCTCTACAGTGTAAGAGGTGAGCACACTCTTGCCAGGGGCGTAGCAGGAGTCCCATTGAACTATACGCTACAGCTGCCACCAGAGCATTTTGGAGGTCAGAGACATGGGGAGTAAAAATTAGAAATACTCTGTTATAAGATGCCTGCACTACTCATGAAGCAGTATAGTGTTAGTTGAAGGTTGACTTACATTAGTTAAAAATGTACGTTATAGGCTGGGCGTGGTGGCTCATGTCTGTAATCCTGACACTTTGGGAAGCTGAGGCAGGAGGATAGCTTGAGCTCAGGGGTTTGAGACCAGCCTGGGCAACATGGTGAAAACTTGTCTCTACAAAAAAATACAAAAATTAGCCAGGCAGCATGGCACGCATCTGTAGTCCCGGCTACTTGCAGGGCTGAGGTAGGAGGATCACTTGAGTCCAGAAGGTCGAGGCTGCAGTGAGCCGAGATTGAGCCACTGCACTCCAGCCTGGGTGGCAAAGTGAGACCCGGTCTCAAAAATAAATTAATTAATTAAAATGTATATTATAAAGTATAGGGCAACCATTGCAACTGATACATTAGGAGAGGAGATAAAATGGAATCATATGAAAAGCTCAATTTAAACCAGGGAAGGCAGAAAAAGACAATAGGGAAAAAACAAAGAACAAGAGCAATAAATAGAAAACAGTTATAAAAATGGACACAAATACACACTTAGAAGAAATAAGACCTGGTTTTCAATCATCAGTAGAGTGATTAAAGTTAACGTGAATCAATTGTACATTCCAAAATACCTAGAAGAGGCCGGGCGCGGTGGCTCACGCCTGTAATCCCAGCACTTTGGGAGGCCGAGGCAGGTGGATCATCTGAGGTCAGGAGTTCAAGACCAGCCTGACCAATATGGTGAAACCCCATCTCTACTAAAAATACAAAAATTAGCTGGGCGTGGTGGCATGCGCCTGTAGTCCCAGCTACTCGGGAGGCTGAGACAGGAGAATTGCTTGAACCCAGGAGGCAGAGGTTGCAGTGAGCTGAGATCGTGCCACTGCACTCCAGCTTGGATGACAGAGCAAGACTCTGTCTCAAAAAAGCAAAACAAAACAAAACAAAATAGCTAGAGGAGAATAATTCAAATGTTCCTAGTTAAAAGAAAAGATTTATGTTTAAGATGATGGATATTCTAATTACCCTGATCCGATTATGTAAATGCATCAAATTATCACATGTATCCCAAAAGTATGTACATCTAATATGTATCAATTTAAATAAATAAATATACGAAAGAAAATAGTTATAAAGATGGTAGATATTAGTCTGACTATATCAAAGTCACTTTAAATGTGAATGGTCTAAATGCACCAATTAAAAGACAGAGATTGTCATAGTGGATAAGAAAATAAGCTCCAATTACACACTGTTTATAAGAAATCCACTTTTAATATAAAGACATAGACATATTAAAAGTCAAAGGTATGGTGGCTCACACCTGTAATCCCAGCACTTTGAGAGCCTGAGGCGGGAGGATTGCTTGAGCCCAGGAGTTTGAGACCAGCCTGGGCAACATAGTGAGACCCCATCTCTACAAAAAACTTAAAAATAAAGTAAAAAGATAGCCACAGATATACTAAAAAAACAAAAAACAAACAAACAAAAAAACAAAAAAACACTGAACACAAGAAAGTTGGGGTAGTTATATTTCTATCAGATAAAGCAGGTTTCATAACAAGGAATGTCATCAAGAATAAAATGGGGATCATTCTGCGACCGGCACTCCACAGGTCAGATGGCTGCAAAGCAGTGGCGGAGGTGACCATAGCCACATAATGTCCATAGTTCGTTTATCCGTCCATGCCAAATGGATTATGGGGAAGGTGACTGGGACAAAAATGCAAAAGACTGCTAAAGTGAGAGTGATCAGGCTTGTTCTGGATCCCCATTTATTAAAGTATTATAATAAGCAAAAAACGTACTTTGCTCACAATGCCCTTCAGCAGTGCACAATTGGGGATATCGTGCTTCTCAAAGCTTTACCTGTTCCACGAACAAAGCATGTGAAACATGAACTGGCTGAGATTGTTTTCAAAGTTGGAAAACTCGTAGATCCTGTGACAGGAAAACCTTGTGCAGGAACTACCTATCTGGAGAGTCCATTGAGTTCGGAAACCACCCAGGTAAGCAAAAATCTGAAAGAACTCAATATCTCTTCAGCACAGTGAAGGAAGAATGGAAGAAGAAGCCAAAGGGAAAGATTTACATGTTTGTTTATTTTATGGAAAAAGAAATTTTTCTAAGTTTCATCACAAACTGTGTCCAATTTCTCTTGTGGTATTTATGAAATAGCTAAAAGCAAATGAAGTAAAGGGCATATTATGGTTTTTCACAAAGGTTTATGGTCATGCTTCAAATTTTCTTTTCAGTGAACATACTTTCACGTTACACTAAGTGTGTCTAGCGGTCTGTTGCGTTTTGTAAGCTCACTGTTTTAGAAGGTTTTGTTTTCGTTTTTTGAGACAGGGTCTCGCTTTGTCGCCCAGGCTGGAGTGCAGTGGTACAATCTTGGCTCACTGCAGCCTCGACTTCCCTGGCTCCAGCAATCTTTCCACCCCAGCCTTCTGAGTAGCTGGGAGCACAGGAGCGTGCCACTACACCTGGCTAATTTTTTGTAAATTTTGTAGAGACAGGGTCTCCCTATGTTGCCCAGGCTGTTCTTGAACTCTTGGGAGTGAAATGCTCACATTGGCCTCCCAAAGTGCTGGGATTACAGGCCTGACCCATTGTGCCCAGCCAGTTTTCTTTTTTTCATTCAAAAGAATCTTGAATTTACCTTAGAACCTTTATTTTGAGGGAAGAAAGCCTTTGAATATAAACAAATAAGGCCACATTAAGTGAATCTTTTGGATGCTATATATTCAAAATAAATATTTTATTTTTCTGACTTCACCAGTTCCAAAGGGAAATAATCAACATGCTTATGGTCAGAATTTTTTTTGATCAAGCTGTATTATTAAGAATGTTGACATATAGAAAATAAAATTTTACAATTCTGAAAAAGAAATAAAATAAAATGGGGCATTATGGGGGTCAAGTCTCAAGAAAACAATACAATCTTAAAACGTGTATGCCCTAACAACAAAGCATCAAAATAAATGAGACAAAAATTGATAGAACTGTAAGAATAACTAGACACATCTACTATTATCATTGGAGATTTCAACACCCCTCTGTCAGCAATGGATAGATTAAGCAGGCAGAAAATCAGTACAAATATAGAATGGATTGTGGAGAAGGAAGAAAATGAAACCTAGTGGCAGCCCTGAGACCAACTGCAGCAAGATGAGCTATTGCTCTTCCCACTAACCTCCTCTTCTAAGTCTTCCCTCAGGAAGAGAGGTTCACAGGAACTCTGAACAAGAACTCTGAAGTTAATCCAAGCAACACAAAGGATGGACTGTGGCAAGCATGGAGCTGCATAGCTCAGAGCTCCCATCAAGAAAGACTTTGCCATGGAACTATGAGGAGTGAAGTTAGCTTACAGCCTCAGGTTGCAGGACCTTCCAAGACTGGCTGCAGTATTCTTGACAAAACCATGCTTTCCCTGGGCAGCCTCCAGTCAATAACTAAGCAAGGTGGCAGTTCTAGGGCCTGGCCACTTCTGCCCAATGTGAGACTCTTTTAAGAGGCAGTCTTTCCTCCAGAACTCCCCACTGGGTTGAGACCAAGACTTTGTCATATTTGCCTCAAAGTCTAAGGCAACTCTGCCAAATTCTGTTTCCACCCCTTATCCTTTCACATGTGTCAGATATGCATTGTAGTTTGAATGCCTTTCCTGCCCAATCTTGCTCTCTGCCCTTTTATCTTTCACAGGTATTAGCCACAATCAACATCCTGCATTCCTAACTCCGTATTAGCATCTGCTTCCTAGAGGACCCAAATAGACACAATTAGCCACACACCACTGCCATCCACTTTGGGGAAATTCTTCAGAATACACTTAATCAAGCATTTCAAGAGTCTCTTCATTATGATCAAAATGTTTTCAGCAAGTTCTTCAGTTTAATTCATAACTAGGAAAATCAGATAATGAAAACCATTTAATACCACAGCCTCACAATCTCCATCAAGGCATGTGTGCTGCCAGTTGCAGTGGCTCACACCTGTAATCCCAGCACTTTGGGAGGCCGAGGCAGGCAGATCACGAGGTCAGGAGATCGAGACCATCCTGGCTAACATGGTGAAATCCCGTCTCTACTAAAAACACAAAAAATTAGCCGGGTGTGGTGGCACGCGCCTGTAGTCCCAGCTACTCGGAAGGCTGAGGCAGGAGAATGGCATGAACCCGGGAGGCAGAGGTTGCAGTGAGCCGAGATCGTGCCACTGCACTCCAGCCTGGGGGACAGAGTGTGACACTCAGTCTCAAAAAAAAAAAAAAAAAGGCATGTGTGCTGTAGCTACAGTTTTTACAATCACTGCATTCGGTTTATCTGGAAGGATAGAACACTGATGAAGCTTGTCATACAAGCATACATTTGGGCTGCGTAAAGTTAATCTTAATCATGCTTATGATCATTCAGATTAAGGGTTTTTGTTCCAGAAAGATACAAGATTTTTCTTGAAACTCAGTCAAGTGATGAATTTTCCTTAGGGAAGTCAGTGACTTCCTTGAGCAAAAGTAGTTATTTATGGTCATTACCCTAACCTCATAACAAAGCTGGAAAAAAAAAACTTTAACATAACTGGCAAGCATTAAGTGCTTCTCATAACCTTCATGTGTAGCTCAGGTAGAGAGGGCTTTCTTGTGGTCAACAGTGTGTAGCTGTGTTAGTTAGTGCTATTGTTTGGATGTTTGTTCCCCCAAAACTCATGTGGAAATTTGATCCCCAGTGTTGGAGATGGGGCCTATTAGGAGATGTTTGGGTAATGGGGCAAATCTCTCATGAATAGATTAATGCCCTAGGGAGGGAAGTGGTGAGTGAGTTCTCACTCTATTACTTCTCATGAGAGCTGGTTGTTAAAAAGAGCCTAGTACCTCCCCCTTCTCTCCCTTGCTTCCTCTCTTGCCATGTGATCTCTGCATACACTGGCTCCCCTTTGCCTTCTACCATGAGTGGAAGCACCCTGAGGCTTTTACCAAGATGCCCAACATTCCAGCCCGTGGAACCATGAGCCAAACAAACCTCTTTTCTTTATTAGCTCAGATATTTCTTTTTCTTTCTTTCTTTTTTTTTTTTTTTAGACAGCGTCTCACTCTGTGACCCAGGCTGGAGTGCAGTGGCACAATCTCAACTCACTGCAACCACTGCCTCCCAGACTCAAGCAATTCTTGTGCCTCAGTCTCCCGAGTAGCTGAAACTACAGGTGTGCACTACCACATCCAGCCAATTTTTTGTATTTTTAGTAGAGATGGGGTTTTGCCACATTGGCCAGGCTGGTCTTTTTGTTTGTTTGTTTTTGTTTTTGTTTTTGTTTTTGAGACAGAGTCTGGCTCTGTCACCCAGGCTGGAGTGCAGTGGCACGATCTTGGCTCACTGCAACCTCTGCCTCCTGGGCTCAGGCGATTCTCGTGCCTCAGACTCCCAAGTAGCTGGGACTACAGGCACACACCACCATACCTTGCTAATTTTTTGTATTTTTAGTAGAGATGAAGTTTCACTATGCTGGCCAGGCTGGTCTCGAACTCCTGGCCTCAAGTGATCTGCCTGCCTTGGCCTCCCAAAGTTCTGGGATTACAGACATGAGCCACTGCGCCCAGCCAGATATTTCTGCATACCGACACAAACAGACTGAGACAGTCAGGTAGACTAGAATCTGCTGTGGTAACGAAGAAACCCTGAAATTTCAGTGGCTTAACCAAAGGTTGATTTTTCACTCACACAAAGTCCTATGAGATGGTTCCTGTATGAGCAACTCTCCAGGGTGGTTTTCCTCTGAGGGGTAAACCCAAGGATACAGGTTCCTTGCATCGTGTTCCACCATTTCAGAGTCCTTTGCTTCCTGCTGTACAAGAGCAAAGAGATTTATTAATAGCATGAAAAATCATGAAGGGTATTACATGGTTTAGGCCTAGAAGTGGCAGTTATCAATCCTACACATGTTCCCTTGCCAAAACAAAACCACATGGTCCCATTTAGGCAAAAAGAAAGCTTGGAAATGTAAGGGAGCATGTGGATATTGGTGGATAGTCTCTGGCATAATAGACTTTGCTTTTGATATAACAGCTTGAAAACATGAAACAAGCTCTAACGTTGGATTTACCTAAGCTTTCACACTCTTTATAGTTTATCCTGACACATCACCTTCAGTCTAAGTTATTCACATAAAGTCATCAATAAGCTTAAATTTCTTCTCTATCTCAATTAATTACATCACCATCCACCCATTTGCTCAAGTGCAAAACTTAAAATTTATCTGTGTTTCTGCTACATAGAAACTGGATAAAAGAGCCGGGCATGGTGGCTCACGCCTGTAATCCCACTACTTTGGGAGGCCGAGGCGGACAGATCACCTGAGGTCAGGAGTTCGAGACTAGTCTGGCCAACATGGTAAAACCCTGTCTCTATGAAAAATACAAAAATTAGCTGGGCATGGTGGCGGGTCCCTGTAATCCCAGCTACTCGGGAGGCTGAGACAGGAGAATCGCTTGAACCCAGGAGGCAGAGGTTGCAGTGAGCCAAGATCCCACCAGTACACTCCAGCCTGGGCAACAAGAGCAAAACTCCATCTCAAGAAAAAAAGAAACTGGATAAAAGAAAGCCAAAGAGCCCTGTGCAGGAGTGATCCCAGAGCAGCTTCTATGAATATTACAATTCCACTTGGAAGGAATTCCTAAAGTGAAGATGGATTGGCAGAATTACCTGTGAAGTTATGCTCACAATGTCAGGTTCATTTAAAAAAAGAAAATAAAATAGAACGACCTATGAAGAGTATTTTAATATTTCCCTTTGCTCTAAGGCTGTGTTTTATACTAACTTCTTATTGCAGTGTGATAGCCCATTAAGACTTCCCTAAAGGGAAGAGGGTTCCCTGAATATCCTATGTGAGTATTCAGGTCTGCTTAACAGTTATAGTTCTCACTGTCAATTAATAAACTGACATTTTGGTTCATATATATCTGTAACTTATGAGTAGAATCATTCATTCATTCATATATTTAACAAATATTTATTGAGTGCCTAGTAGGCTACAGTTTTAAATGCCAAAAATATAGAAGTATACCAAACAGATAAAACCTCTGCCCTCACAGAGCTTACATCTTAGTAGGCTAAAGAGAGACAGATTTTGGCCCAGAGTGGTGGCTCACACCTGTAATCCCAGCACTTTGGGAGGCTGAGGTGGGCGGATCACTTGAGGTTAGGAGTTTGAGACCAGTCTGGCCAACATGGTGAAACCCCATCTCTACTAAAAATACAAAAAATTAGCCACATGTGGTGGTGCATGCCTGTAATCCCAGCTACTCAGGAAGCTGAGGCAGGAGAATTGCTTGAACCCAGGAGGCAGAGGTTGCAGTGAGCCAAGATCGAGCCACTGCACTCCAGCCTGGGCAACAGAGCAGGACTCTGTCAAAAAAAAAAAAAAAAAGAGAGAGAGAGAGAGGTTTTTTTAAGAAAAATATATAGTGTGTCAGATGGATAGTGGTAAATTCTATAGAAAACAAGAAAGCAGGGAAGGGGGACAGAATGTACCAAGGTGGGGGTTACAATTTTAAACAGAGTATTCAGGCCTCACTGGGAAGAAGACATTTGAGCAAATCTCTGAAGGAGGTGAAGAAGCAACCATTCAGATGGCTATGGAAAAGCATTCCAGGCAGAAGAGACACCAAGCGCAGAGGCCTGAGGTGGGGAGTGCCTGGTTTGTTTATGGATCAGCAGAAAGGCCAGTGTGACTGAAGTAGAGTGAACACAGGAGAGAGTAGTGGCGAGGAGTCAGAGAGATAATGTGGGGGCAGTGGGGGGATGAGGGAAAGATTGTGTAGGGCCTTGCAGAGCAGTATTAGGATTTTGGATTTTTGAGATGTAGAGTCATTGGAGGGTTCCAAACAGTGAAGTGACACCATCTGACTTTCATGCTAAAAGGATCAATTGGCCGTATGTGGTGGCTCACGCCTGTAATCCCAGCACTTTGGGCCGAAGTGGAAGGATCACGAGATCAGGAGTTCGAGACCAGCCTGGCCAACATGGTGAAACCCTGTCTCTACTAATACAAAAATTAGTCAGGTGTGGTGCTGTGCACCTGCAGTCCCAGCTACTAGGGAGGCTGAGGCACAAGAATTGCTTGAGCCCGGGAGCAGAGTTTGCAGTGAGCCAGGATCACAACACTGCACTCCAGCCTGGGTGACAGAGTAAGACTATGTCTCAAAAAAAAAAAAAAAAGTTTCCATTTGCCACGATGGGGAAGGCAAGGGAGGGACAGATTTGGTGGGGTAGATCAGGGGTCTCACTTGAGACACTTTATGATTGAGATGCATATGAAATATCTAAGTGGAGCTACTAAAGGGGCCTCTGAACATGGTGTGTCCGGAATTGGTGGGTTCTTGGGTCTCACTGACTTCAAGATTGAAGCCGCGGACCCTCGCGGTGAGTGCTACAGCTCTTAAGGTGGCGCGTCTGGAGTTTGTTCCTTCTGATGTTCGGATGTGTTCAGAGTTTCTTCATTCTGGTGGGTTCGTGGTCTTGCTGGCTCAGAAGTGAAGCTGCAGACCTTCGCGGTGAGTGTTACAGCTCTTAAAGAAGCACGTCTGGAGTTGTTCGTTCCTCCGGTGGGCTTGTGGTCTCGCTGGCTTCAGGAGTGAAGCTGTAGATCTTCCCAGTGAGTCTTACAGCTCATAAAAGCAGTGTGGACCAAAAGAGTGAGCAGTAGCAATAGCAAGATTTACTGCAAAGAGGAAAAGAACAAAGCTTCCACACTATGGAAAGGGACCCACGTGGCTTGCCACTGCTGGCTCCAGCAGCCTGCTTTTATTCTTTTATCTGGCCCCACCCACATCCTGCTGATTGGTAGAGCCGAGTGGCCTGTTTTGACAGGGCACTGATTGGTGCATTCACAATCCCTGAGCTAGATACAAAGGTTCTCCACGTCCCCATCAGATTAGTTAGACACAGAGTTTCGACACACAGGTTCTCCAAGGCCCCACCAGAGCAGCTAGATACAGAGTGTCAATTGGTGCATTCACAAACCTTGAGCTAAACACAGGGTGCTGATTGGTGTGTTTACAAACCTTGAGCTAGATACAGAGTGCTGATTGGTGTATTTACAATCCCTGAGCTAGACATAAAGGTTCTCCAAGGCCCCACCAGAGCAGCTAGATACAGAGTGTCCATTGGTGCACTCATAAACCTTGAGCTAAACACAGGGTGCTGATTGGTGTGTTTACAAACCTTGAGCTAGATATAGAGTGCCGATTGGTGTATTTACAATCCCTGAGCTAGACATAAAGGTTTTCCAAGGCCCCACCAGAGTAGCTAGATACAGAGTGTCCATTGGTGCATTCACAAACCCTGAGCTAGACACAGGGTGCTGATTGGAGTGTTTACAAACCTTGAGCTAGATACAGAGTGCCGATTGGTGTATTTACAATCCCTGAGCTAGACATAAAGACTCTCCACGTCCCCACCAGACTCAGGAGCCCAGCTGGGTTCACCTAGTGGATCCCGCACTGGGCCTGCAGGTGGAGCTGCCTGCCAGTCCCGCGCCGTGCGCTCGCATTCCTCGGTCCTTGGGTGATCGATGGGACTGGGCGCCATGGAGCAGGGGGTGGTGCTCGTCGGGGAGGCTCAGGCGGCACAGGAGCCCATGGAGTGGGTGGGAGGCTCAGGCATGGCGGGTTGCAGGTCCCGAGCCCTGCCCCGCAGGAAGGCAGCTAAGGCTCGGTGAGAAATCGAGCACAGTGCCAGTGGGCTGGCACTGCTGGGGGACCCAGTACACCCTCCGCAGCCACTGGCCCGGGTGCTAAGTCTCTCATTGCCCGGGACCAGCAGGGCTGGCCGGCTGCTCCCAGTGCGGGGCCAGCCAAGCCCACGCCCACCTGGAACTCCAGCTGGCCCGCAAGTGCCGCAGGCAGCCCCGGTTCCCGCTCGCGCCTCTCCCTCCACACCTCTCTGCAAGCTGAGGGAGTGGGCTCCAGCCTTGGCCAGCCCAGAAAGGGGCTCCCACAGTGCAGTGGTGGGCTGAAGGGCTCCTCAAGTGCCGCCAAAGTGGGAGCCCAGGCAGAGGAGGTGCCGAGAGCAAGCGAGGGCTCTGAGGACTGCCAGCAGGCTGTCACCTCTCAATGGGAGTCCAGAGTTCAGGGGAGAAGTCCAAACTAGAGATACAGTAGTCCTCTCTTATCTGTAGGAGATCTGTCCCAAGATCCCTGGTGGACGCCTTAAAACATGGATAGTATTGAACCCAATATATATACTGTTTTTTTTTCACCTGATAACCGAGAGAGCTACTAAGAGACCAACAGGCAGGTATCATGGACAACTTGGGTACAATGGACAGAGGGATGATTCACATCCCAGGTAGGACAAAGCAAGATTTCATCACACTACTCAGAATGGTGCATAATTTAAAACTTATGAATTGTTTATGTCTGGAATATTCCATTTAATATTTGCAAACTGTAGTTGACCACAGGTAACTGAAACTGAGGAACATGAAACTTCAGATGAGGGAATACTACAGTATATATTTGGGAGTCATCGGGACATAGATGACATTTAAACCCATGAGACTAAATGAGATCAGCATGGAAATCGGTTTAAATGGAGAAAAAGCTCAAGGAGTTAGCCTAGAGCACTCGAATATTTTAGAGGTCATGGAGATGAGGAAGAACCAACAAAGGAGACCAAGAAGGAGTGGCGGTAGTTATCAAGAGTCAGCCTTCTGAGCCTGCTGGCTGCAGGGTATCCTGATAAAGCTGAATTTCTGGATCTGCAGAGCTAAGAAATCAACAGCAGGGACCCTCACCAAGGTACTGCTGTCTGGAGAAGTCTAGCTAAGTAGTCAGTCAGTGTTTTCCTTTGATATCTTTTAAATGCAACAAAATCTGATGCAAATTATAGGCAAAAACATCAGGACGGCAATATTGTGGTAGATATGGCTAGTCTCTTGTTTGGGGACAGACATTAAACACTACAGCCATGCATGCCACACTGGCAGGAGGAGCTCCACCTTGTGACCCTCCAACCAGGCCCTCAGGCCAACCTTGGAGAACACCCAGCAGAGACACTGAAAACCACTCCCAGTGAGGCAGGAGAATAGGGACTGGAGTTAAGGACCCTAAGGCCATTTCATGCTGACTTCCTAGAACTAAATTGAAAGGAAAACCCTAACTTTCCACGCCTAAGTAACCAAAGGACCAGAGACTACTCCCTTTCCAAACCCCCACCTTTTCTGGATGGCAGATGGGTAATTGAAAGTACCTCTCATTGGTTGCAAAAAGCAAAAGAGTGTAACTTTGCAAAGGAGTGTAACTTTGTAACTTCACTTTAGCCTCTGATTGCTTGCACCAGTCAGATGTTTGCATAGGAGTGTGACCTTTGTAACTTCACTTCGCCTCTGATTGTGGGCCACCACTTCATTTACATGGGGTGAACATCAAGTGGCCAATGGGAACTCTCTAGGGGTTATTTGGACCCAAGAAGATTCTGTATCCGGGGATCTTGAGCCGCTGCTCTGCCGCTCCCACACAGTGGAGTGCACTTTCATTTTCAATAAATCCCTGCTTTCATTCTTTCATTGCTTCATTCTTTCCTTGCTTTGCTGTGCATTTTGTCCAATTATTTGTTCAAAACTTCAAGAATCTGGACAGCTTGCAGTCAAGACCTTCTACTGATAACACCAATGCCCCAATAGCAAAAGGCTACTGGCTCACTGCACCCCCTTTCATTGATGCTGCCAAATACCAACTGACCTAGAAGTAAAAGAACACTTTACACTCCAACTGCTGGACCTTATCAGCAGGTTAGGTTGAGAGAGATTTAAGTTAAGCTTAGCACTCCAAGTCTATGATGGGTTAAATCCCAAAGCCTCAAATCTCTCAAGATATTCTTCCCCCATCCCTGCTGTAATTGAAACCTTGGCTGTCTGCTGACCCCTTTCAAGTGCGAGCTGTTTATTTTCTCATCCCCCCCACAGCTAAATGCCTCAGGGAGTGCCAGGAGGTGGAGCTCGAGCTCTCGTCGCTCCCCAAGACCACTTTCTGATCTTTGTTCCTCCTCCCTCCTGAGAAATCTTTGGTTCTTCCTTGGCTCATGCTATCCGCTTGTATCATCCTCTCCCATTCCTGGTAGCAGTCTTCTATACCTTCCCAGTCACTACCCTCATTTGTGAAGAATTTAGTTCTGTACTCACAGTCTCTCTGTCCTCTTTGTCCCAGCTTCCCCTGTCATTCTCAGTGATTTCAACATTCACGTGGCCAATAACCCAGCGTGCACACCTCATGTTTCCTTGATCTGCCCATTGCAAATAACTACTGCCATTTTGGGACATACTTCACAACCCAGAGCAGCAAGATGGGGCCTTGTATCTTGAAGGTTCATAAACTTCAATTAATTTTTTTCATTGGTACACCAGCACATGGTTTATAAAAGTTGACAACTCTTTAGAACAGGAAATAGGTAAAAGTGTGTATTGTTTTTATTAGAAGTTGGGCCTGTGCTTCATTCTTTCTGTTTTGTTTTCTGTTAAACTCACCGTGGGTCAGTGATTACAAATGGGATTTTATTTTATTTTTATTTTTCAGAGATGAGGTCTTGCTGTGTCACTCAGGTTGGAGAGCATAGCTCACTAGGGCCTTGAACTCCTGGGATCAAGGGAGTCTCCCACCTCAGCCTCCACAATAGCTAGGACTACAGGTGCACACCACCACACTCAGCTAATTTTTAAAATTTTTTGTAAAGACGACATCTCACTATGTGGCCCAGGCTGGTCTCAAATTCCTGGCCTCAAGTGATCCTCCTGCTTTGGCCTCCCAAAGTGCTGGGATCATAGGCTGAGTCACCATGCCCAGCCTATAAATAGGATTTTTAAATGTCACAGTAGATGAAGATAAACCCCTAATGATCCAAAGATACATATGCACAAGGTCATTCATCACAACATTGCTTAAAATTGCAAAATATTGGAAATAATATAAATGTCCATACATAGGTTTATAGTTGAATAAGCTATGGTACATCCATACAATAGAATACTATGTGGCTGTAAAAAAAAAAGTGAGAAAACTCTCTACAAACTGAAGTGGAGTGACTTCTAAAATAAAGTTACAGTGAAAAAGCAAAGTGCCAAAGATATGTCTATAGAATGCTACCTTTTAGGTAGTAAATAAAAGGAAGCATTTTCATACAAACATCTGTACATGAATGTTCACAGCAGCATTATTCATAATAGCCAAAAACCAGAATCAGACCATCAACGGATGAAGGGATGCTATCATTTGAATGTGTCCCCTCCAAAATAAAGGTGTTGCCAATGTGATGGCATCAAGAGGTGGTGCCTTTAACAGGTGATTAAGCCATTAGGGCTTCTCCTTCATTAAAGGGAATAAGGCCCTTATAAAAGAGGCTTCATGTAGCATTTGATTAGTTTGCTATTCCACCTTTTGCCATGGGGTGGTGCAGCAAGAAAGACTCACCATACCAGATGCCAGCACCTTGGTTATGGACTTTCCAGCCTCCGGATCTGTAAGCGATCAATTTTTGTTCTTTATAAATTACCCAGTCTTGGCCAGGCACGGTGGCTCACGCCTATAATCCCAGCACTTTGGGAGGCTGAGGCGGGTGGATCACGAGGTCAGGGGTTCGAGACCAGCCTGACCAACATGGTGAAACCCTGTCTCTACTAAAAATACAAAAAAATTAGCTGGGCGTGGTGGTGGGTGCCTGTAATCTCAGCTACTCAGGAGGCTGAGGCAGGAGAACTGCTTGAACCCGGGAGGTGGAGGTTGCAGTGAGCCGAGATTGCACCACTGCACTCCAGCCTGGGCGACAGAGCAAGACTCTGTCTCAAAAAAATAAATAAATAAATAAATAAATTACCCAGTCTCAGGTATTTTGTTGTAGCAGCACAAACTAAAACAATGGATAAACAAATTGTGGTACATCCATACTATGGAATACTACCCAGCAATCAAAAGGAAGAAACTATTGATGAACACAACATGGATAAATCTCAAAGGTATTGTGCTGAGTGGGAGAAGCCAGTCTCAAAAGGTAACATGCTATATGCTTCCATTTATATGACATTCTCAGAAGGCAACATGATAGAGATAGAGAACAAATCTGTGGTTGCCCAGGTGGGGGTTGGGGAGGCCTTGACTACAAAAGGGCAGCACATGAGAAGTTGGGAACAGCTCTGGATCCTTATTGTGGTAGTGGTCACACCAGCCTATACATGTGCTCAAATTCCTAGGACTCTACACCAAAATATGATGTGATTATGCTGCATATCAATTACAAAAAGTATAGTGGTGGAATTTGTGGTAAAAATGTTATGACTTTAATCGTAGGTCTTCAGATAGTTATTAGAGATGTATCACTCCAACACTTGGACCGTCTATTGGTATAAAAAAAAATACTGGCCAGGCACGGTGGCTCACACCTGTAATCCCAGCACTTTGGGAGGCTGAGGCGGGCAGATCACCTGAGGTCAGAAGTTTGAGACCAGCCTGACCAACATGGAGAAACCCCGTCTCACTAAAAAAACAAAATTATCCAGGTGTGGTGGTGCATGCCTGTAATCCCAGCTACTCAGGAGGCTGAGGCAGGAGAATCACTTGAACCCAGGAGGCAGAGGTTGCAGTGAGTCAAGATCACACCACTGCACTCCAGCCTGGGCAACAAGAGCAAAACTCCGTCTCAAAAAAAAAAAAAAAAAAATACCAGCAGTGCCAGGCACAGTGGCTCATGCCTGTAATCCCAACATTTTGGGAGGCCAAGGCAGGAGGAGGATTGCTTGAGCCCAGGAGTTCAAGACCAGCCTGGGCAACATAGTGAGACCTCATCTCTACAAAAAAATTTTGAAAATTAGCTGGGCGTGGTGGTATATGCCTGTAGCCCTAGCTACTGCAGAGGCTGAGGTGGGGGTATCACTTAAACCCAGGAGTTGGAGGTTGCAGTGAGTTATGATCATGCCACTGCACTCCCGCCTGGGTGACACAGCGAGACCCTGTCTCTGAAAACAAACAAACAAACAAAAAAAAAAACAGCAGCAAAGAAACTAAAAGTATCATGCAACTCCCATGAAAAATAACTGAAATTTGGATTACCATGACCTGGTGTATTGGTCCATTTTCACACTGCTGATAAAGACATACCTGAGACTGGGCAACTTAGAAAAGAAAGAGGTTTAGTGGACTTACAATTCCATGTGGCTGGGGAGGCCTCATGATCATGTCGGAGGGCAAGGAGGAGCAAGTCACTTCTTACACAGATGGCAGCAGGCAAAGAGAGAGCTTGTACAGGGAAACTCCCATTTTTAAAACCATCAGATCTCGTGAGACTTATCCACCTAGAATGGAAGGACATTTCATCATCACCTAAAGCTAAACACAACAGGCCAAAGGCAAAAGCTATGGAAACCACATTTTATAAGGTTGTACTGAATTGCAAAGGTTAGACCTACTGAATTCATTGTTCACACACTTACCAAAACTGCTGCCAAAGACATAGTGAAAATGATGACTGGGAACAAAGCAAGTGTATTTGTCAAATATCACAGTTCTTTTTAAAATTACAGATGTGGCTGGAAACTTAAAATAGCAAATATCCAACTTCTGAGGAAGTTGATATTATTTGCTGCAAATTGATGAGTCTACTGATCTTGTGAATTTAGCTAATATTTTGGTATTTATCATATTTAACTTAAGCCACTTCATGAAGACATCATGTTCTGCCAATCTTTTGCAACTTGTACAACTGAAGAAGAGATTTCCTTCTCTTCCTTCCTTCCTTCCTTCCTTCCCTCCTTCCTTCCTTTCATCTAACTAATGATTGCTGGGCACTAATGTGCCAGCCACCATTGCAGGTAACAAGGACACTGCTGTGAACAAGAGACAAGATCCCTTCCCTCATGGATCTTACATTCTGGTAGGTGGAAACAGACAATAAAATGACAGGAAAGAAAAACAGCAGACAGGGATAAATGCTATACAGAGAATTGAAATGGGGCAATGTGGTAGAGTGAATGAGGGCCCTGTAGATGGGGCAGTCAGGCAAAGCCCTCTGACAGGAGGTAACATTTTTTTTTTTTTGAGACGGAATCTTGCTCTGTCACCCAGGCTGGAGTGCAGTGGCACGATCTCGGCTCACTGCAAGCTCCGCCTCCCAGGTTCACGCCATTCTCCTGCCTCAGCCTCCCGTGTTGCTGGGACTACAGGCGCCCGCCACCATGCCCGGCTAATTTTTTGTGTTTTTAGTAGAGGCGGGGTTTCACCGTGTTAGCCAGGATGGTCTCGATCTGACCTCGTGATCCGCCCGCCGCGGCCTCCCAAAGTGCTGGGATTACAGGCATGAGCCACCGCAACCGGCCGAGGAGGTAACATTTAAGTTGAGCTCTGAACGACAAAAAGAAATCAACTCTGCAAACTGGGGAAAGAACATTCCAATCAGAGGAAGCAGCTAGAGCAGTGGTTCTCAACAAGAATAGCACCACCTCCTAGGAAGCATTTTGGAAATTTGCGGGGAAGAGTACCACAGTGATTGGGGTATTCTGCTGGCATTTACTGGAGAAAGGCCAGGGAAGCTGCACATCTGCAATGCGTAAGACAGTCCTGCATCCTTCATGGCTCTCAAAGATCCCATCAGACATTCATGTAGGTGGAAAACCTGTTTACAATTATCTGTGTCAAGAACTTAACTTTGCTTTACTGCTAAAGACAAAACATTTTTTGCACAGTGTTTTTGTACATGGCATTTTCCAGGATCGCAAGTACCATGTAAATAGAAGGAAGGTTGTATCTTGTTTGTTTCTTTCAGAACTTCATCAAGAGTTGTTTAACATTAAAAAAAAAAAAAAGTTGCCGGCCAGCTGCAGCGGCTCATGCCAGCACTTTGGAAGGCCCAGGCGGGTGGATCACCTGAGGTCAGGAGTTCAAGACCAGCCTGGCCAACATGGTGAAAACCCATCTCTACTAAAAATACAAAAATTAGCCATTTGCCGGGTGTGGTGGTGGGCGCCTATAACCCCAGCTACTCAGGAGGCTGAGGCAGGAGAATCGCTGGAACTCAGGAGGCAGAGGTTGCAGTAAACCGAGATCGCGCCACTGCACTCCAGCCTGCACAACAGAGTGAGACTCCATCTAAAAAAAAAAAAAAAAAAAAAAAAAAAAAGTTGCCAAGGAAATAAAGATGTGTCATTAAAAGGAAAAAAATCTCACCAATGGCAAGGCAATGTCACAGAAAACACTGCACCTTCAGAGAAAATTGATGGAGAAGAGAATTTTTTAAATTGATGATACATGGCCACGGCAAAACAAAACAAAACAACAACAAAAAAAAAAAACAGGAGAAAAAGGTAAACAGTATAAAAAGGCACACAGGGTTGGGTGCGGTGGCTCACGCCTGTAATCCTGGCACCTTGGGAGGCCAAAGGGGGCAGATCACTTGAGGTCAGTAGTTTGAGACCAGCCTGGCCAACATGGTGAAATTCCGTCTGTACTAAAAATACAAAAATTAGGGCCGGGCACGGTGGCTCATGCCTGTAATCCCAGCACTTTGGGAGGCCAAGGCAGGTGGATCACGAGGTCGGGAGATAGAGACCCTCCTGGCTAACACGGTGAAACCCCGTCTTTACTAAAAATGCAAAAAAATTAGCCAGGTGCGGTGGCGGGCGTCTGTAGTCCCAGCTACTCTGAAGGCTGAGGCAGGACAATGGCATGAACCTGTGAGGCGGAGCTTGCAGTGAGCCAAGATTGCGCCACTGCACTCCAGCCTGGGTGACAGAGCAAGACTCCGTCTCAAAAAAAAAAAAAAAAAAAAATTAGATTGGTGAGGTGGTGGCTGCTTGTAGTCCCAGCTACTGGGGAGGCATGAGAATTGCTTGAACCTGGGAGGCAGAGGTTGCAGTGAGCTGAGATCGTGCCACTGTACTCCAGCCTGGGCAACAGAGCGAGACTCTGTCTCAAAACTAACTAAATAAATCAATAAATAATAAAAGAAAATAAAAGGGCACACAGTCAAAACTCAATCTCCCTTCCACCTCTGTTCCCAAGTCTCCAGGTTTCCTTCCCCAAAGATAACCTGATTATCAGTTTTTTGGGTATCCTTCCAGAGGAATTATTTCTTTTCTGTTTCAAAGGAAGGAAAGAAGGAAGGTAAGAAGGAGGGAAGAGCGGAAAGGAGGAGAAAGCAACCCCATATAAATATTTATTGGTCTGAGCATGAAAAAAAAATATGAGGAAAAACATTCACACACGCACCAAGCTCTTAACCGTGGTTACCTCAGGGCATGGGCAGGGGAACTTAACTTTCTTTAATACACTTCTGGACTATTTGTCTTGTTACAACAGGTATAAACTACTTTATAATTTACAAATTTCCCAAAAAGTAAAAAATAAAAGAAAATTAGGAGAGCAGGAATCAATCAACATTAGTATAAATATAACAAGATAAATTATATTCTAAGAAATACTAGCAAGTTAAACTAAAGTAATGTACTGAGAGATTTCAGTTGGTGAGAAGATAAACTGAAAAATGAAAGCTGGAGAATTTAAAAAACTGTTAGCATCTCCCAAGCCCTGACTGGGGCAACGAGAGGCTGCCTAGGGCTTAACTCTCAGCTGGCCACCTTTCTCCTTATATTGCAACATAACTTCTAAGATTTTTTTTTTTACTCACTGCCTCTTCCTTTTTAGTTATCATACATTTATTTTTAGCATAGCACCCCAATTTCACATCATGTACATTTTCCAAAGTTGGAGCTTGTTAACCTACTATGCTCTCCACAGACTTTTCAACAAGTGTGAAAAAGAGGCAATAAGGTTGGCTTGAGTATACAAGTCACAATCCAAATACAGGATATCCTCGGAGATTTATTTATGTTTAGGATGAATATACATAAGGTGCCCAATGCTAAGCAGATGAATGAGACTCTGGCTGAGTAAAATATGAACACCTGGTTAGCACATGATCATGAAAAGACAGAAGGCATCCAATATATAGTTTGGTGTTATTCATTTTATGCTTCAGTGTACCTGCAGTGAAAAATATACATTTTACTTTCTTTTTTTTTGAGACGGAGTCTCGCTGTCACCCAGGCTGGAGTGCAGTGGCGTGATCTCGGCTCACTGCAGGCTCCGCCCTCCAGGGTTCACGCCATTCTCCTGCCTCAGCCTCCCAAGTAGGTGGGACTACAGGCGCCCGCCACCTCGCCCGGCTAATTTTTTGTATTTTCAGTAGAGACGGGGTTTCACCGTGTTAGCCAGGATGGTCTCGATCTCCTGACCTCGTGATCCGCCCGCCTCAGCCTCCCAAAGTGCTGGGATTATAGGCGTGAGCCACCGCGCCCGGCCATACATTTTACTTTCAAGGTTAAAATAGGCCAGGCGCGGTGGCTCATGCCTGTAATTTCGGCACTTTGGGAGGCCGAGGCAGGTGGATCATCTGAGGTCAGGAATTCGAGACCAGCCTGGCCAACATGGCGAACCCCATCTCTACTGAAAATACAAAAAAATTAGTTGGGTATGGTGGCACATGCCTGTAGTCCCAGCTACTTAGGAGGCTGAGGCAGGAGAATCGCTTGAACCTAGGAGGCAGAGGTTACAGTGAGCCAAGACCATGCCACTGCACTTCACCCTGGGCGACAGAGCGAGACTCTGTCTCAAAAAAAAAAAAAACATAACTTGGCTGACCCAATCTCCATACAATGGGGTTATCACATGAAATGTTCCAGACCCACGAACTTCCTGAAAGAGCTTTAGAATCTTGTCCCGTTATCCAACAAAGGGCTTTAGGAAGTACCAGTACCCGAAGGTTTCCTTATTGTAATCCCCAAATTCCAATTCAAGCCCTTTTAAAGTCGGGGTCCTCCGGTCTTCAGAGTCATACATCTTTCTCAAGCTTCCCCCAGCCATCAAATTAGCTTACAACAAGACAGAAGAATTCACAAAACATGAAAATAAGCATTCCCCAATTGTTGAGAGCAGAGTATGGCTTCTGCAACTAGAACAAGTTCTCACAGTCAAAACCTTGTAATGTCATACTCAAGTGAGATTGACAGTGAAAAATAAAAAAGGAGAAACCCTGCAATGCCTTTTAGAAAACGTTCCTATAGCATTGTGTGTTAGTAAATGTAAATAACTATACAAGCCTAAAAACAACTATGTACCCGGAACATCTTGCTCACACCAACAGACTGCTGACAGTTCCTTTCCTTGTAATTATTAGTGACATGGCTTTTTTAGAAAAAAAAGAGACAGAAAGAAATTCTGAAATTCTGAAATTTTTGAACTGATTAAAGAATCCTCGGATTCTGGCCAAGCCTCTCTTAGCCATTCTTTGCCTCTATTGTTCTCTTAGCTTACAGAACCACTGAAAATGTCCCTACTGGAGTTAACTCTGCAGTCCTAGTAGACATATAGTGTAGCCGTTAGTGGAAACTGACATAAACCGCCCTAGATTTCAAACCGGTCTCTGCTTTGTAGGTAGCTGTGTGAGCCTGAGCAAGTCCTCTCTGTGTCTTGGTTTCCTCTCCTGTAAATGAATACCTAATCAGAACTAACACATATAAACTGCTTACCCATACCAGTCATTGTTCATTAATCCTTACAACAACCCCTAGGAGGAAAAAATTATAATCTCTGTTTTATAAAGCAACTGACACACAGAGAGGTTGAGTGACTTCCCCAAGGTCCCACAGCTGGTAAGCTGCAGAGCCAAGAATCTTACACAGGTTCAAGAGTCCAGATTCAAGTCCCCACACCCACACAGCCTCTGTCAATGAGGACATACGTACTTAGGGCCGTTTTGAGGATTACATGAGAACGTCTGTAAAGCCCAGTACTTGACAAGTGCCTGAGAGATAGCAACTGTGGTTGTTAGAATTTTTTACCTTCTGCACTGGGAAACCATCAAGGCTTTTTGGTTAGGCAGGAAAAAAAAATGGGTTGGAGGCAAGAGGAGGAGGAGGGAAGCGCCAGGGGAGGAAGACAGAGAAGTGGCACGTGAAAGGGAGAAAAGGGGCAAACCAGAGGAGAGGCAGGGAGGGGCGGCGGGGGCGCACTGAACATTTAGGAAGCAAGATGTCTAGCAGGCTGGGCCTTGAGAGAACAGTAACTGTTTCGCAACTGAAAGTCGCTACTCGAGCCTTGCCAACTGGGGAGACTATGCCCATGATATCCGCGGCCTCGGACCCCGGACCCTCCAGGCCCTCGCGCCCCACCCCCGACCAGCCTCGGGCCAGGCTAGGGCGTAGACGGGGCTTCCCGTCCCTCACGCGGGCCCGCCCCATGCCGGGCGGGGCCTGGGGCCCGCCACCTCCGCCCGTGGCCGGAGAGCCCCAGGCCCGAGCCACGCGGTCTTCCGGGCCCGGGTCGGGGCTCGATGGCTACGTGGAGGCGGGACGGCCGACTGACAGGCGGCCAAAGGCTGCTGTGCGCTGGGCTGGCGGGGACGCTCAGCCTCAGCCTCACCGCGCCCCTGGAGCTCGCCACCGTGCTGGCCCAGGTTGGCGTCGTGCGAGGCCACGCCCGGGGACCGTGGGCCACAGGGCACCGGGTGTGGCGGGCAGAGGGGCTCCGGGCCCTGTGGAAGGGGAACGCGGTGGCGTGCCTGCGCCTCTTCCCCTGCAGCGCCGTGCAGCTCGCCGCCTACCGCAAGTAAGAGCCGGGCGGGGCCGGGGAACCGGGAGACCGGACGGGGGTGGGGTGGGGGAGCCGCGGCCCGACGCCGCCCTGCTGCCTGGACTCGGGGCCCTGGAGTAGGGACGGCCCCCTTGTCGATCACCTGGGGACCCCTCGGGGCGGTGGGCCACCTCTATGGCCCCCAGAGTGCAGCCCCAATGCTTTTCACGTTCTCTTGGGGTTACCGCCCTGCAAGATGCAGTTTTGTGGTCCGCAGCCCTGGTCCGAGAGGCTTTCCGGATTGGACCGGGCGAGGAGGTGGAATGCAGCAAAGGATTTGGAGGAAAGGAATGAAAAGCTCTCCAGAGAGATGAGTCCTAACCATTTCCACCGTCCTCCAATTTGGAAACTTTTGCTTAGGCTGGCTTAGGAAGAGAGAGACCCTTTTAAAGGTGTTTTTGTCTGTGTGACCCAAGCCCCGAGAAGAAAGTGCTTGGTGTGGGGAAAGGACCCGATCCATCGATACGAAAAGGCCGCAGATTTTTGCCCACACATCTCCCCAACTTAAATGAAGCTTGACTTCAGGCTCCGACAGAGGCTGCAGCTTCCCCTCCCCAAGCTGAGAACGGCCCCCTCAGCCTACCGCTTCACCCCACTGGCCTCATTTATTTGGGCCTTTTCCACCTTCTCCCACATCAACAGCTGCTCCTTAGGAAAAGATCTAAAGGTGTAAATGCAGCCTTAAAGCTTCCACCGAGCTCAGAGGTACCTGCATTTGAACTGGAAACCAAGCCTGAAAGAATGAATTGGTAGTGATGGCATTTCAGGAAGCAGAGATGTTTCTGTATTGGGGGGACGGTCCCTGTGTTCCTCATTCAGTGGGCACAGTGGCATCTTTGATATCGCCTTGGCTCTGAATTAGACAAACAGCCCACATTTGGGAGAGTCGGTCTTGACCGCATAGTTTAGTCTTGGCGGCTAATAGTCAAAGGATTTTGCCTTGACACTGTCACTCACCTGGGAGGCCAGAGGTGGAAGGCTCACCTGGCAGCCGACAAGCCGAACGGAATCATCCTTATTACCTAGGCCTCTAGGCCAGTACTCATTTTGCCTCTGCCTGGAAATAGAGTTCCCTTCTCTTCCTCTGCAGAGGGACTCATGGGTGGGACCATGACATTTAGTTAAGGCCCTTTTTCCTCCCCACCTCTGCTTGCCCTCATCAACATCTGGCCTGCAGTCTGTAAACAGTTCTCCTCTGAGTCTTAATGACTCAGTTTCTCCCCCACTTCACCCTCTTCTCTACAAAGTAGTGTGGAAATCTTCCTTTGGATGGGATAAAATATGTCCAGAGGGGTGGGGGGCAGAACTTCAAAGGCTGGTTTAAGTATTGTGGCTCTTCTGCTAAGCACCTAGTATATGCACATTAGATTTTTTAAGCTCCTGCCTCCTGCCCTGTAAGGTCCATAGGACAGGAAGCATTGTGCCTGTTTTACAGATGCAGAATTGGGCTCAGAGTGATGACACCTCTTGTCAGTGACCGAGCTGAGCTCCACTACCTGGCCTTCTGACTCCAAATCTCATAGTCTTTCTGTTACATCATGCTGCCTCCCTGCATCCATTTGACACTAATTTAGTCAGGCTACATTAAGTCCCCACTGTGTGCACGATGCTGAGGACAATGCCAGGATGGAAGGGGCATGGTCCCTGTGCCCCAGGAGCTTACAGAGTAATAGAAGAGTAAGACTAATATGTCCATGACCATAACACACAAGGTAGCATGTGATTGTCATGGATAATGTGCTCTAGAAATGTACCCTTCTGATGAGCGATGAGGAGGAGAAAATGTGAAGACTTCATAGAGGAGAAAAAAATTTGAGTTTGGCATTGGGAGAATGAGGAGTCTGCTGGGCAGAGATGGAGAGAAAGATACTGCAGTTGATGTCAGCAAATGCACAGAGGTGGGAAGGCAAGCAGCACAACAGGAAGTCCAACCAGAAAAGCAGGTTGGAATGAGATATTAGAGGGTTGGATTAAGGGATTTGGACTTGACTTGGTATCCAAGGGTAGCTGTGGGAGGTTTTTGTGGGGGGTGGGGGGAGGTGTGTTGTGATTAAAGCAATTCAATGGAAATGATCGTCACATCGTGGCAGAGTAAGATGACTAGAGAGGAGGAAGAGTGGAGACAGCAGGGCCAGTTAGGAACCTGTTGCACTAGTCCACATAGCAGCTGAGGGCACCGGCAATAGGTGACCATGGGAGCAGAGAGGAGGAGATGTCTGGGAGAACGAGAACAGAGACTTACCTGGGCTAGGTTTGCTAGGAATTTTTTTTCCCCTACAGGATTATTTTCTTTCTGAAAACTAAAAGGAAGTATTTTGGTGAATGGCAAGGCATAGTTGGAAAGCAAAGTGTTTGATTAATCGCGATGCCATCCTTCCTACATCAACATGATACTCTTGATTCATCATTATACTGATTCATTTCTACTCTTTTCTGACCATGAATTTGCAAAACAGTTGGCTGGGGGCCTGTGATCATGGGTTTGAACAAAACATAAACATCCAGAATGTTCAGGGAATGGGGTAGTTAAGTGACTTGTCCACAAATGCAATTAATGGAAGAGCTGGAACTTGAAGCCAAGTCTTCTGGCTCCTTAGTTCAGGTCTCTGTCTACCATTGCACAGCAGAAATATCTGCTTAGTTGGATTGACGATCAAGAGTCCACTCAGTAGTCTGTTGGGAGCTAGGTTATTGTAATGGGTGGCTTTCAGATGTATCAAATAGAAGACCCCCCCGCCCTGGAACTTCACAACCGCTTGTCTATCTTATCTAATAAACGTTAGTTTGGGTCCCTGCAGCTCTGAAATTGTTCATAACCAACACTATTTCTTTATTGAATAAGCACTTCATGAGCTTATGTTTGGCTGCACTGGCTGCCAACCTGTTAGGTTGAAGTATTGGCAGTTATAATTACACATATCCAGGGTGTGTGTTGTATCTGTGCTGGCTGAAAGGAAGGGGTTGCTGCAATTCACCAGTGTATCCAGTCTCACTGGAAAAAGCTTCTGTGCATGTATGTGTGGGGGTGGGAGGAAGAACAGAAAAGGGAACAGTGCCGCCCTAGCAAATCAAAAGTTTAAGATGCATGGACTGAGATGACATCATTGGCGGATTATCAGGGTTGCCTGCCCTGACTCTGAGATTCTAAGGGGAACAAT
Source organism: Homo sapiens (assembly GCF_000001405.40). Taxonomy (NCBI): domain Eukaryota; kingdom Metazoa; phylum Chordata; class Mammalia; order Primates; family Hominidae; genus Homo; species Homo sapiens. Next base: position 119,402,861 of record NC_000023.11, read on the forward strand.
TGATAGGACTTATCTCTGTATCAGATGGGAGAAGTCTGCGAAAAAAGGACTTCCTATGGTTCTTCTTTTTAATTGTGTATATTTGATATTGAGACTCTATAAAAGAAACTGATATAAAATACGGCTCCTCTTCCTAGTTCATCAAGTCATTCAGTGAATTAAGGGCCTGTTTCCTCTCCGCTTGCCCCTACCAGTCATTTCCTTGTCAGAAGTGTTGAACTCCCTTAGGCTCTATGCTGAGGACTAACACAGGGTCTGATACATTGTAGACCTTCAATAAATGAGTAGTGAATTAACTATGCCCTAGAAGTGACCAAGTGGGATGGGGAATAAGAGTGGGACAAGGAGAATGAATGGTATTTCTTTGGGCATTTCAAACTCCACCTTCTAGGTGGTTCCAGCTTGCTGCAGACCGCCCCTCCAGTCAAAAATTTCTTTTTTTTTTTTTGGAAGAAGTATTGCTCTGTCGCCCAAGTTGGAGTGCAGTGACGCAATCTCGGCTCACTGCAACCTCCACCTCCCGGGTTCAAGCGATTCTCCTGCCTCAGCCTTCCGAGTAGCTGGGATTACAGGTGCACGCCACCATGCCTGGCTAATTTTTGTATTTTCAGTAGAGACGGGGTTTCACTATGTTGACCAGGCTGGTCTCGAATTCCTGACCTCGTGATCCACCTGCCTTGGCCTTCCAAAGTGCTGGGATTACAGGCGTGAGCCACCACGCCCAGCCCCAGTCAAAAATTTCTACTTCCTCTGTTTCCCCTGTCCTTTCTGAGGTCCCCCTCCAACTTGACTGGCCAGGGTATAGAAGAGGGAGGAACGAGGAAGTGGGCAGGCAGGCAGTACAACTGAGGCAGATAGTCTGTTGGTGAATGCCACCTGTTTGAGAAAAACCTCTGTCAAACTTGGTTTTTCCTCTGCTCTCACACCACAACAACAACCCTCAACACAGAAGACTTCTGTGACCAAATGAGTGTGGGGAACCCCACACTCTGATAAATGGACACCAACTAGGTGTCCTCTGATTCAGTTCTGACACTGTCTACCTGGACATAATGTCAGACCAAGCCACAGGTTAAGGGCTTGGTCCCCAAGAATGGCCCCCAACCAGACACTAGTCACAAGTCCAGGCCTCCAGAACTTTTTTTTTTTTTTTTTTAAGACTGAGTCTCGCTCTGTGACCCGGGCTGGAGTGCAGTGCGTGATCTCGGCTCACTGCAACCTCTGCTTCCCGGATTCAAACTATTCTGCTGCCTCAGCCTCCTGAGTAACTGGGATTACAGGCGCCCGCCACCATGCCCAGCTAATTTTTGTAATTTTTTTACTAAAGAGAAGGTTTTGCCATGTTGGCCAGGCTGGTCTCGAACTCCTGACCTCAAGTGATCTGCCTGCCTCGGCCTCCCAAAGTGCTGGGATTACAGGCATGAGACGCCATGCCTAGCCAGGCCTCCAGAACTTCTGACCAACCAGCTTCAAGTTGGGGTTCCCACGACCCCCTCTTTGGGTTCGATTAATTTGCTAGTGCGGCTCACAGAACTCAGGGAAATAGTTAATGTTTACCAGTTAACTACAGAGGATACCACAAAGGATACAGAGAAGAGATGGGCAGGGTGAGGTAAGGGGCAGGGGGTGTGGAGCTTCCATGCCCTCCCTGGGCACGCCACCCTTCAGGAACCTCCACATGTTCAGCCATCCAGAAGGTTCCCAAACCCTGTCCTCTCGGGTTTTTATGGAAGATTTGTTACAGAGGCATGATTGACAACCATGTAGAAATGTGACTGGATGAAAAGCACATGATCTAAACCCAGCAAGGCCTGTCTGTTCAGACTTTTCTTGGCCTCTATGCAGCGTTCCTTTCTCTAGGGCAGAGGTGTCCAATCTTTTGGTTTCCCTGGGTCACACTGGAAGAAGAATTGTCGGGCCACACATAAAATACAATAACACTAACGATAGCTGATGAGCTAAAAAAAAAAAAATTGCAAAAAAATCTCATAATGTTTTAAGAAAGTTTGCAAATTGGTGTTGGGCCACATTCAAAGCCATCCCGGGCCACATGCGGCCTGTGGGCTGTGGGTTGGACAAGTTTGCTCTAGGGTATGGGGCAGGACCCTCTCTGGGATGAGGATCTTTTAACCCACAATCAGATTAGAGTCCTACCTTGGGCAGGTAAAAGGAGGGCAGGAGAAGGTCAAAGAGAGAAAGATTCTGTTTCCTGAGACCTAAAGTGCCCCAACATTATAACAAGGACTAGGGAAGTTAGGAGCCAGGAACCATGGGTGAAAACCAATGTATGTATCATAGCACCACATCACCTTTACTTCCCTGTATGTTTAAAAGCAGCTGATTAACTCAAATGACTGTTTCAGTTAATGCGGCTAAGGTAGGTTGACAAAATGAAGTCAAGACTCCTACAGCTTGAAGATGTTTTTAATCAGTGAGTGTTTACTTGAAAGCAAAAGAGCTAGCCTAGAACCCCTTAAATGCTTTCACCTGAATGCCCACTCTTATTTCTCATGCAGCAGCCCCTGGCCTATGGGCAACTGAAAGAACAGGAAATGCACCTCCTCACTGGAGGTTTGAAGGCTAAGGAACTGGGGATGCTCTCATTTTAAAAAGATAGGCCGGGCACAGTGGCTCACACCTGTAATCCCGGCACTTTGAGAGGCTGAGGCGGGCAGATCACTTGAGCCCAGGAGTTTGAGACCAGGCTAGCCAACATGGCGAAACCCTATCTCTACAAAAAAAAAAAAAAAAAAAAAAAAAATAGCCAGGCATGGTGGCGCACATCTGTAGTTTCAGCTACTCAGGAGGCTGAGGTGGGAGGATCTCTTGAGCCTGGGAGGTGGATGTTGCAGTGAGCCCAGATCATGCCACTGTACTTCTGCGTGGGCGATAGAGTGGCCACCGCACCCGGCCCAGAACTGGGCACTTTGGGAGGCCGAGCGGGGTGGATCACCTGAGGTCAGGAGTTCGAGACCAGTCTGGCCAACATGGTGAAACTCCGTCTCTACTAAAACTACAAAAATTAGCTGGGCATGGTGGCGTGCGCCTGTTGTCCCGGCTACTTGTGAGGCTGAGGCATGAGAATTGCTTGAACCTGGGGAACGGAAGTTGAAGTGAGCCGAGATCGTGCCACTGCACTCCAGCCTGGCCAACAAAGTGAGACTCTGCCTCAAAAAAAAAAAAACGTAATTACTGAGATGCTCGAAGTTATCATTTGAAGAAATTTTGTTCCTTTTTAAGTTTCAACAGAACTGAAAGACTGCACTCCAGTTGGTATTTACCAGGTACTTCTGTGCATTTACACCCCACAGGCAAGCCAGTGTTGACAATTATGTAGATAAAAGTAGAAAATGCTTTAAGTGGGAAGGACTTGGGATAGATGTAAATTAAGAAAGTTAGGCATCTCTTATAGCCAACTAGCATCATATAAATATAGAAAAATGTAAATGTATTATTCATGAATGCTTATATAGTACTATAGTAACTTTTCACTTTGTAAAGTACTTTGAAATGCTGGAAAATATTTCAAGAACTAGTGGAGAGAACTCTAGCACAATCCATAGTTGATTTCTCTGGCCTTTCCCCCTATTTTCTCCCAGATTTGTTGTGCTGTTCACAGATGACCTGGGCCACATTTCCCAGTGGAGCTCCATCATGGCTGGGAGTCTCGCAGGCATGGTTTCCACCATTGTAACATATCCTACAGACCTCATCAAAACCCGGTTGATCATGCAGAACATACTGGAACCATCGTACAGGGGGCTCCTCCATGCTTTTTCTACTATTTACCAACAGGAAGGGTTCCTTGCCCTTTATCGAGGGGTTTCCCTCACTGTTGTAGGTAAGATGGACCTTTTCACCTTGTCCAAGAAAAGGCTATGTTCTCTGAAATTACAAATGTATTGTATACCTTTGTGAGCCACTAAATCAGTTTTACTGAGATCAAGGTTATATGGATTCAACCTACATAGAGGCAATTAGCTTCATTCTATTCCATAGCCATACACTCCACTCCTAAACTTTGGCCAGTTACATCCCCGGGAGGGGAGTAGACCAGAAAGTGGAGGTGACTCAGCAAACTGGTAAGAATGCAATTCTAACCACTCTCCATCTGACTGCAGAAGGAGTATTCAGTGTACATACACATTGATATGCCATGAGGGCAACTAGGGTAGCAACTGTGTCTTCTGGGGTCTTTGTAACCTTTGCCAGAGCTACACATTTATGGCCCAATTGCAAAATCCAGTAGACTTTTTCCCTTTATCTGAACTTGGTTGCAGCATTTGATAAGGTTGACCACCCCTTCTTCTGGAAACTTGGCTTCCAGGACCCCTCCAAGTCCTGGGTGTCTTCCCATCTCTCTGGCAGCTCTTTCTTATCTGACTTATCCGGCCCATCTGGGTCGTCTGATACTGCCAGCCCCTACATGTTGCTCTTCCCCTGGGCTCCTTCCTTAGCTTTCTTTTTACCCTCCCCTTTAGCTTGCTTCTCATCCTCCAAACCCTCCCTAGGTGGCCTCATCTATGCTAGTGGCTTAAGCAAGCGTCAGTGTATTCTGTGACCCTTATTCTCTACCTCTTTAGTAACAATGGCCAACTTTTGGGGGGAAGTACTTACCATGTTCTGGGTACTGGGCCAAATGCATTGCATGCGCTTTCTCATGAGGCCTTATTTTACAGATGAGGAGATAGATGCTTCAGGAAGCTAAGTGACTTGCCCAAGTCCACATAGATAGAAAGCAGGAGAAACTAGCAATAGAACTCCAGAGCCCTCTGTTAGCCCCTGACTGACACCAATTCCCAATGGTAGTATGAGTCCCTGCTGTTGGACACCTTCACCTCCATGCTCCCTAGGCACATCAAATTCAAGATTAACCCTGATGTCCTCGTTGGTCTCAAACTAGCTCTTCCTCCTGTGTTCCCTAATGAATGAGACTACCTTCCTTTCACCCCGTGGCCCAAGCCAGAAAAAAAAGCCTAGGGATCACTTCAACTTCTCCTCTCACTCCACCCCCACTTGAATCACCAAGTCCCGTCGATTTGACTCATCCTCTTTCCCACAGGTCCTTACAACTCAGACTCTCAGGGTCTCCCACAGACTCTGGCTCCTACCTGCTTCCACTCTTGGTATCTCCTGCCCCAGTCTTCCCCGTGCACTGCTGCCCGGCTGAGGTGATCTCTCCACGTGCAATTTCATCGTTTCACGGCCCTCATTTCACTGCTCTCCTTAAAAAGTATTCAGCGACTCCTGAGCTACAGGAGAAAGCCCAAATTCCTTAGGACATTCTAGATCCTTCAGACCTGGCCCCTGCCAGTTTGTCCTACCTCATCTCCTGCCATACCTCCACCTGCATTCATGCTCCAGCCCTTCAGAAAAACTTGGATTTCCTGGAAATACCACTCCCTTTATACATGCTATTCCCTTTGCCTTTCCACTCTGTCAAAGTCTGATGAACTCCTATTTATTCCTCAAGACCCAGTTCAAAAGTTCTCTCTTTCATCAAGTCCCTCCTGACTCCCCCAGGCAAAATTAATCCCTTTGATCCTTGTGTACCTAATGCATTTCATATAGCCCCCCTGTTGTGGCACACATCAGGGGTGTTATACTGACTTTGCCCTGGCTGTCTGTTCTCCTCGATGATGAGCATCTCCAGAAATTAGCCCGCTCCTCTTTCGATTCCCAGCACCTGACATAGGGCCTGGCACATAACCTAAGCTTTCCAGACATTTTCTGAATGAAGGTAAATGGAAGGTTGGTGAGCCAATTAAATAAACATTACATTTTTCTAAAGATAAGCAATTTCACTTGTATTATCCCCTATTTTAAATTTCATTTTGAGGGAGAAATTTAGTCCCTCTGTAAACTAAAGATGGCTCCTAAAGGTTCTGGAAGTTTGTGAAAGTGCCACCTACTATATTACTTACTCACCATCTCAGTTCTTAGAAAGGTGAGGAAGCCACACAGTGTAGGGTGCCCACTGGGCCATGATATGACCATGTCATTCCCAAAGGTGAAGTCAGGTGACCTCCCTCACCATCGAGAGTCTCTCACTTTCCAGTTTTCATAAAATGTTTCCTTCTCAGCTAGAGATCAGTCCCTCCTGTCCTCCAAAACATAATGAGGTGCTGCCCACTGGCTTTTTTTACTTGAGTGATTTTTTCCCCGAACATTAAAAAAAAGCTTCAAACATCTAGAAAAATTAAAAGAAATCTAGAGTATACATCCATGGACCATCTAGATGCTACAATTAACATTTTGCTATTCATCCCTCCAGCCATTCATCAGTCCATTTTTATTTTATTTATTTATTTATTTATTTATTTATTTATTTATTTTTTGAGACAGAATCTTGCTCTGTCACCCAGGCTGGAGTGCAGTGGTGCAATCTCGGCTCACTGCAACGTCTGCCTCCCAGGTTCAAGCGATTCTCGTGCCTCAGCCTCCCAAGTAGCTGAGATTACAGGCACGCACCTCCACGCCCAGTTACTTTTTGTATTTTTAGTAGAGATGGAGTTTCCGTTTTAGTAGAGATGGAGTTTAGTAGAGACGAGGTCAGGCTGGTCTCGAACCCCTGACTTCAAGTGATCCGCCCACCTCGGCCTCCCAAAGTGCTGGGATTACAGGCGTGAGTTACTGTACTCAGCCAGCCCACCTTTTTTTTTTTTTTAATGATTTCAGTGTAACTTGCAAATATCAATACACTTCACCCCTAAACCCTTCAACATGTGTGTCATTAACTAGAGTTCAATATTTGTGTATGGTTCTTTTTTTTGAGATGGAGTTTCTCTCTTGTCACCCATGCTGGGGTGCCGTGGTGCGATCTCAGCTCACTGCAACCTCTGCCTCCTGGGTTCAAGTGATTCTTCTGTCTCAGTCTCCCAAGTAGCTGGGATTACAGGTGCCCAACGCCACACCCAGTTACTTTTTGTATTTTTAGTAGAGATGGGGTTTCACCATGTTGGCCAGGCTGGTCTCAAACTCCTGACCTCAGGTGATCCTCCCGCCTTGGCCTCCCAAAGTGCTGGGATTACAGGCATGAGCCACCACGCCCAGCCGTATGGTTGTTTTTTAAAGTACAATTTACATCCAGTAAAGTGGACAAACCTTTAGTGAACCATTTGATGCATTTTGACAAATGACACAACCCCTACCAAAATATAGCACATTATCGCACTCAAGAAAGTTCCCTCATGCTCCTTGGGTTGGAGGGATTTTAGCAACCCCAGAGCCCCTCCTGTTTTCTTTCCCCGGAATCCCCCCAGGAATTTATGTTCTCAAGCCAGTGTTTTCCCAAGACAGCAGCAGCTTCTCCCTGGCCTTGTTTTGCAGGTGCTCTCCCGTTCTCTGCTGGCTCCCTTCTTGTTTACATGAACCTGGAGAAAATCTGGAACGGACCCCGAGATCAGTTCTCTCTCCCACAGAACTTTGCTAATGTCTGTCTGGCTGCTGCAGTGACCCAGACCCTCTCCTTTCCCTTTGAGACCGTGAAGAGAAAGATGCAGGTGAGGAGTTATCAGAGTGGGGTAGGGGGTGGAATGCTTTGTAGTGTTTGTGGTCGGGTAATAACAGCAAAGAACACTGACCCCAAGTGATGCCAGGTTTCCAAGGAGCTTCTGACTGCTCATAAATACTGTGCAAACCCCCACTCTGTGGCATTTCTGCTGCTAACCTCAGAGCTGTTGGCTTGAGCCCCGGCTGCCTCCTCATTCCCATCCTCTGTTTTTTGGTCTTTTAAGAAGCCTCCAGGCTAGGGGCGGTGATTCACGCCTGTAATCCCAGCACTTTGGGAGGGCGGAGGCGGGTGGATCACTTGAGGTCAGGAGTCCAAGACCAGCCTGGCCAACATGGTGAAACCCCGCCTCTACTAAACAAACAAAAATTAGCTGGGCGTGGTGGCAGGCGCCTGTAATCCCAGCCACTCAGAAGGCTGAGGCAGGAGGATCACTTGAACTTGAGAGGCAGAGGTTGCAGTGAGCTGAGATCGCGCCATTGCACTCCAGCCTGGGTGACACAGAAAGACTATGTCTCAAAAAAAAGAAAGAAAAATAAGAAAGAAAGAAAAAAAAGAAGCCTCCAGATGAGGCTTCTCTTTTCTTTCCTGACTTCCTGATTATATCACTTGTGGCTCTCCTTCCTCCAAGACCAGCAGAGAGTAGAATATGAAATGCAGCCTGCTAATGCTCCCTGTCCTTGCTGCCTCCACAGCAAGGATGCCACTCTTGGTTTCCTCACTGTGCCTTACCTCAGTGAAGCAGACTGGATAGGACCAACATAAGCTAGGAACTGTAGCTAACAAGGGTCCAGCATCCCTGACTCCCTCGCTGAGGAAGGAACTGCATTTAAAATGTGGCAGCATCAGGCCGGGCACGGTGGCTCATGCCTGTAATCCCAGCACTTTGGGAGGCCGAGGTGGGCGGATCCCCTGAGGTCGGGAGTTCGAGACCAGCCTGACCAACATGGAGAAACCCTGTCTCTACTAAAAATACAAAATTAGCTGGTTGTGGTGGCACATGCCTGTAATCCCAGCTACTCGAGAGGCTAAGGCAGGAGAATCACTTGAACCCGGGAGGCAGAGGTTGCAGTGAGCCAAGATTGCACCATTGCACTCCAGCCTGGGCAACAAGAGCAAAACTCTGTCTCAAAAAAAAAAAAAAAAAATGAGGCGGCATCTTAGTGAGACCACTGAGGCAAAATCCTAGAATCAGAAGTTCCAAAGTGAGTAATTGTCTTAGCCTAGAATAAGCCAATTTTGATCAAAGAAAAATCAGACTAGTTCAAATAAGGTTGGGTGGGTAACAGTTATATCTGTACAGTGGGGGCAGGCCCAGAATCCTAGCAGGGCTGAGGTGCTGTATCTTCTCTTAGCCCTGCTCAGGCCCTTAAAATTCAAAAATAGCTAATGCATGCTGGACTTAATACCCAGGTGATGGGTTGATAGGTGCAGCAAACCACCATGGCACATGTTCACCTACGTAACAAACCTGCACATCCTGCACGTGTACCACAGAACTAAAAATAAAAATTTTTAAAAAAATTCCACTTCCATAGGCTAGGCTGTCTCCATGGCCTCTTCTGGGCAAACCCTGATTTATACAAGCAATATATTCCTGAAGAACTCTATAGAAATTAATTTGGGGTCAGCTGAATCCAAGTTTAAATGAGCAGTCCCAGCCAAGTTTGGTTTTCCCCTGTGACTCTAACTTGTCCTCGCTTGCTCAATGTCCCTCCCCGCTCCCGCTTTCCCTCTGTAGTAGTCCCGGCTGCCCTGGGCCATCGCTTACCTCAGCACTAAACAGCCTGAAGGTGCTTATCAAAGCTGCCACTCCACTCCCTGAAACTTCATCTGTCTGGGTTGCATTCCTTTCCTGTCCTTGTCCAAACAGATAATTGTCGCATCATTGTAATGGTAGTATAGGTGCAAAATTTTTCTATTCGTTGGTAAGAAGTCTTTATATATTAAAGATATTAACCCTTTGTCATACATTTCACACAATTTTTCCAGTTTGACATTTGGTGTTTTTTTTTTTTTTGAGAGACAGAGTCTCACTCTGACACCCAGGCTGGAGTGCAGTGGCACAATCTCAGCTCACTGCAACCTCCTCCTCCTGGGTTTAAGCGATTCTTCTGCCTCAGCTTCCCAAGAGCTGGGACTACAGGCATGTGCCACTACACCCAGCTAATTTTTGTATTTTTGGTAGAGATGGGGTTTCACTATATGTTGACCAGGCTGGTCTCGAACTCCTGAGCTCAAGAGATCCACCCGCCTCAGCCTCCCAAAGTGCTGGGATTATAGGCATGAGCCACTGGGCCCAGCCAACATTTGGCTTCTAGTGCTATTTATGTGTTGTTGGTGGTGGTGCTTTGTTGTACATATTTGTAGAATTTTATCTAATTATATCTATTACTTTTTTGTTTGTTTGTTTCTGACTTTGCTTTTCTGCTTAAATGTAAAGTCTGCTTAGTGCATGCTTATCTTTTTTTTTTAAGTATTTCTAATTTTAAAAATAATGCACATTTGGAAGGCCAAGATGGGAGGATCACTTGAGCCCAGTAGTTTGAGACCAGCCTTAGCAACATAGCGAGACCTTGTCTCTACTAAAAATAAAAAATTACCTGGGCATGGTGGTGTGTACCTGTGGTCCCAGCTACTTGGGAGACTGAAGCAGGAGGATTACTTGGGCCCAAGAGGTCGAGGTCACAGTGAGCTATAATCCTGCCACCGCATTCCAGCCTGGGTGACAGAGAGAGACCCTGTCTCAAAGAAAAAAAAAAGTAATGCACATATACTTTAAAATGGTTAAAATGGTTCATTTTATGTATATTTGACCACAATGAAAAAAAAGTAATACACATAAGTTGTAGAAAATTTGGGACATACAGAAAAGTGCAAAAAGGAAAATAAATTACCCATAGCCCAACACCCATGGATTATAATGATTAATAGTTTTCCTTCTATGGACCTTCATATATATACATAAACACACTCACACACATATAAAGATATATAAGGTTATTTCTTTTACAAAATTGTGTTCACACTGTATATAAAAATTAGTATCCTTAGGCCGGGCGCGGTGGCTCACGGCTGTAATCCCAGCACTTTGGGGGGCCGAGGCGGGTGGATCACCTGAGGTCAGGAGTTTGAGACCAGCCCGGCCAACATGGCGAAACCCCGTCTCTACTAAAAAATACAAAAATTAGCTGGTCATGGTGGCACATGCCTGTAATCCCAGCTACTTGGGAGGCTGAGGTAAGAGAATCCCCTGAACCTGGGAGATGGAGGTTGCGGTGAGCCGAGATTGCACCACTGCACTCCAGCCTGGGCGACAGAGCGAGACTCCATCTCAAAAAAAAAAAAAAAAAATTAGTATCCTTTTTTCACTTATTATATAATGGGTATTTCCCTGGGCCATTAAGTATTTAATTATCAAATAATATTCCACCATATGGATGTGCCAAAAATATGTAACAATTTCTCCTTTTTTTAATATTTAGGCTTTTTCTAATTCTTGAGTTATACTAACATTGTAATGAAAACCTTTGCATTTTTTCATATCTGTGATGATATCCTTAGGCTATATTCCTAGAAATTGACTTATAGGTCACAAAATATGAACAATTCTAAGACTCTTCATGAAATGTGCACTCCAGAAAGGTTGTAAGTTTGTAATTCCACCAGCACTAAAGCAGTGGCTCAGCTTCTAAACTCTCAATATTCATTGATATTAATTATCAATATTAATTGTCACTTTTTAAATCATTATGAACCTAATAGCTGAAAAATAGTATCCCATCATTTTAATTTTAATTTGATTGATTATAAGCAAGGTTGCACTGGCCCTTTGTATTTCTTTGTAAGTTTTGTATTTATGTCCTTGCCCTATTTTTCTAGAATATTCAACTTTTTCTATTCATTGGTAAGAAGTCTTTATATATTAAAGATATTAACCCTTTGTCATACATTTCATATATTTTTCCCAGTTTGACATTTGGCTTCTAATGCTGTTTATGTGTTGGTGGTGGTGGTGGGTTTTTGTTTTGTTTTGTTTTTTTAGACAGGGTCTCGCTATGTCGCCCAGGCTGGAGTGCAGTAGCAGTTCAAGCATTTCTCCTGCCTCAGCCTCCCAAGTAGCTGGGATTACAGGCACCTGCCACCATGCCTGGCTAATTTTTGTATTTTTGATAGAGACACGGTTTCAGCATGTTGGCCGGGCTGGAGTGGTGATGTTTTGTTGTACATATTTTTAGAATTTTATCTAATTATATCTATTAGTATTATCTTCTGTTTCTGACTTTGCTTTTGTGCTTAAAAGGCCTATTCTATCCCATGATCCTATGACTATTCACTTATATGTTATTTAAATACTTTTTTAGTTGTGATTTTTACACTTGGCTTCTTTTTTTTTTGAGACAGGGTCTCACTACTGCCCAGGCTGGAGTGCAGTGGTGCGATCTCAGCTCACTGTAGCCTCGACTTCCCAGGCTCAGGTGATTCTCTCACCTCAGCCTCCTGAGTAGCTGGGACTACAGGCATGCACCACCACACCCAGCTAATTTTTTTTTTTTTTTTTTTTTTTTGAGACGGAGTCAGGCTCTGTTGCCAGGCTGAAGTGCAGTTGCACCATCTCGGCTCACTGCAACCTCCATCTCCCTGGTTCAAGCAATTCTCTTGCCTCAGCCTCCTGAGTAGCTGGGACTACAGGCACGTGCCACCACACCCAGCTAAATTTTTTTTTGTATTTTTAGCAGAGACGGGGTTTCACCAAGTTGGCCAGGATGGTCTCAATCTCTTGACCTCGTGATCCGCCTGCCTTGGCCTCCCAAAGTGCTGGGATTACAGGGGTGAGCCGCCGTGCCTGGCCATCATACCCAGCTAATTTTTGTATTTTTTGTAGAGACAGAGACTTGCCATGTTGCCCAGGCTGGTATCAAACTCCTGGACTCAAGCAATCCTACCCATCTCAAACTCCCAAAGTGCTGGGATTACAGGCATGAGCCACTGTGCCCAGCCTTACACTTAACATTTTAATACATTTAGAATTTACCTGGTGTGGCAGGGTGCAGTGGCTTGTACCTGTAATCCCAGCACTTTGGGAGGCCAAGGTGGGCGGATCACCTGAGGTCAGGAGTTCGAGACCAGCCGGGCCAACGTGGTGAAACCCTGTCTCTACTAAAAATGCAAAAATTAGCCGGGTGTGGTGGTGCGTGCCTGTAGTCCCAGCTACTCAGGAGGCTGAGGCAAGAGAATCACTTGAACTCAGGAGATGGAGGTTGCAGTGAGCTGAGATCATCCCATTGCACTCCAGCCTGGGCAACAGAGCAAGACTCAGTCTCAAAAAAAAAAAAAAATTTACCTGGTGCACAGGTGCCGTGACTCCTGCCTGTAATCCCAGCACTTTGGGAGTTTGAGATAGGTAGGATCACTTGAGGCTAGGAGTTCGAGACCAGCTGGCCAACATGGTGAGACCCGTCTCCATAAAAAATACAAAAATTAACTGGGCACACCTGTAACTGGTGCACACCTGTAGTCCCAGCTACTTGGGAGACTGAGGAGGGAGGATCACTTGAGCCCTGGAGGTAGAGGCTGCGGTGAGCCGTATTTGTGCCACCACACTCCAGCCTGGGTGACAGAGCAAGACCCTATCTCAAAAAAAAAAAAAAAAAAAAGAATTTTCCTGGTGCATGATATGAAACAGTCATCTAAGTTTTTTTTTTAATAGTTTACCAATTGTTTAAGCACCATTTTTTGAATAATTCTTTTCTCCACTACTTTGTGCTGCAGCTTTCACCACATACTAAATGTTTATATCTATTCTAGGGTCTCTATCTTAATGACCATAACTTTAGAAAAATGCCTTTTTTTTTTTTAATTTTTTTGAAATGGAGTCTCGCTCTGTCGCCCATGCTGGAGTGCAGTGGCGTGATCTCAGCTCACTGTAACCTCCGCCTCCCAGGTTAAAGCGATTCTCCTGCCTCAGCCTCCCGAGTAGCTAGGACTGCAGGCATGTGCCACCACGCCCGGCTAAGTTTTTGTATTTTTAGTAGAGACAAGGTTTCACCATGTTAGCCAGGCTGGTCTCGAACTCCTGGCCTCATGATCTGCCCGCTTTGGCCTCCCAAAGTGCTGGGATTACAGGCGTGAGCCACCGTCCCCGGCCAAAAAACACCTTTTAATGTCTAGTGGAATATAGCCCTCCTCATTGTTTTTCTTTTCAACATTTCCTTGATTATTTTCGGGCATTTGTTCTTCCTGATAACTTTAGAATTACCTTGTGATTATGATTGGAATTATGTAAAACCCATACACTTGGAGTAATTTATGTAAAATATTTCATCTTTTATTCAGAGACACAGTATGTCTCTCCTTTACTTTCAATCTTCTTTCTTTAGCTTGAACCAGATGAAATTACCAATATTCAACTTTGTTGACATCATTCAAACAGCAATTTCATCTGGTTCAAACCTTAGAAAAGTTGTTTTCTTCAAAGGGAAATTATGCTCTCTCTAAACAAACAAAAAAATAGTTTCTCTTAAAAAATCTGGGGAGAAGTAGGGTAGGAAAGAAGTATGATATACTGTAAGTGTTTTATTCATTTTTTAAAAATCCTGGTCCTAAGAATTTCTCACTGCCAGGGGCATCTCTCCAGCACTTTCAGCCACTTCATGCCTAGTTCAAGGCTTCGCCAGCTTAGCTTCCTCCCCATAGTGGGCCAGTCCAAAACAACCAGGGCCTTGAGCCTCAAGGGGTAGGGCTAGTCCGTGAAAAAGGGTTTCAGGCCAGGTGCGGTGGCTCACATCTGTAATCCCAGCACTTTGGGAAGCCGAGGCGGGTGGATCACCTGAGGTCAGGAGTTCAAGACCAACCTGACCAACATGATGAAACCCCATCTCTACTGAAAATACAAAAAAAAAAAAATTACCCAGGTGTGTTGGCACGTGCCTGTAGTCCCAGCTACTCAGGAGGCTGAGAGAGGAGAATCACTTAAACCTGGGAGGCGGAGGTTGCAGTGAGCTGAGATTGTGCCACCACACTCCAGCCTGGGTGACAGAGCGAGACTCTGTCTCAAAAAAAAGAGAAAAGAAAAGAAAAAGGTTTCAGATGAAGTTCAATGACATCTAAATGGGACGGGTAAGGGTCCCAGTCTTCCCCATAAACCTTAGTTTTGCTTTCTCTTCCTGAGAGCTAGAACAGTGACCTCATCTGGGAGAATCCAGCCAACACCGCATTCTACACCATCTGCATTCTATACCCCTACCACAACAACCCACTATAAACTGGGGTAAGATACACTAGAAGTGGGTATTTGGGGGTAATCCTGATCATCTTTTTCCTCGTATGGGAGCCTTCCAAATAATGCATATATAGAGCATAAGAAGAAGTTTCAAATAGATGCAAAGTCATGATGGTTGTAAAAAAAAAAAAAAAATCCAAAGAGGTAATTGCACTGTTTTCACAAAATAGGATCAACATGTAATTATGAATAACAATATAAATGTCATCCAAAGATATAGGAAGTGAACTTTTAGGGTTTCAGTGAAAGTGTTATTTTGCAGGGGTTAATAAACATACTAATACTTTGTCCACCCTATGTTAAAAAAAAAATTCACCCCCAAGACAGAACTGCAGGCTGCTTTTAAATGCAAACATGGCATTGGGCTTCTCTGGCCATTAGATGTCACTGCAGTAAATGGAGAGTAGCTGAGCATCACCTGATTGGAGCCTGAAGTTCGGTGATCTCTGTCCAGTTAACAACTTCATAATCCCTGCTTGAAATCCATCTTTGGTTTGGAGAATAAGAGGCCTAGAAACCACAGGCTAATGCTAAACTTGTTGGTTTTGTTGTTACTGTTACTTGTCCTACAAAGCACACACTCCAAATTCACCAAGAAGAGAGGGCTTTAATAACAGTCTGTCCTCGCTGGAGCAGGCAGGGTTTGCCAGCAGAATAAGTAACGAGGGACCTTTGCAGGGCCACTGGGCTGCTCTGACCTGAGCACACTTAATGGCAACATTTGCATTCCATTGGCTTTCCCCATTGCACTGCCTGTCATGAAGCAAATCAATGGCAGGTGTCTGTTGGATAACGAGCTACACAGGGAATTTTTCTCGATCCCTGCACTGACTGGCCCCTTTGTCTGGATGTTTCTTTCTCTTAATATGCTTTTCTCTAGACACACACAGCCCATTTAATGGCACATCAGGTTGGAACTCTTTTGAACATAATGACAGTAATCAGAAGTCTTGTTTAACCAGCTGAGCCCTTCCTTCACCATGCTTACACTCATTTTATCCCTTTTTCCTTTTCTTGCCTTGGCTCCTGGCTGGCATGCTAGAGAATGGAGAGGTAAATAAATTATGCATGTGCATGTCTTGATAGAATGGCTTCTGGTGGGAAGGGGGGTGGGTCAGGCCTGTGCACACATGGAATGAGGTGCCCCCAACTTGGTGTGCTTTCACGGACCCCAACCACCCTGCCTGAAATCCCCTTCTCCACGCTTCAGTGCATCTTAGCTCAAGCCCTTCCAGGTATAGCCTGGCCTTTTTGTCTATCTCCCACACCTAGCCCAGGGCCTGGGCCAGAAGAGATGGCAGAACTTAGTGTATTGAGAGAACAAGTAGGAAGGGTAAAATATTGACAGAGATGAATTCATCTGATTAATCTGTGCACCCCGAATAAGAACCAGGGAGTCCTGAGAAAATGGCTCTCTGCACAGGTGCATGTGAAGAAGAGAGGGAGATAGGCTGGGGAATACTGCCCTGAAAATCCAGGGAGCAGCTGAGAATGTAGGAGCCTTGGAATCTGGCAGGCCTTCTGAAAGGATCAGGAGGGAGGTACCAGACACATGCTCGGTCCCCCCACAACTCTGCCTGACACCCTCCCCTATTGCCCATATTAGGTGTCTCCATTTCATCAAATATAAAACCAAGTGTGAGCCTGTTGCTTTATACCCCAGTGGACTTTGACCCCATCACAGCTCACAAGGTAAGCAGGATTGGGCCAGGTCAGCATTTGAACTGAAAGCACATAAGATGAAGGACAAAGGTGGTATCCGAGTGGTACAGCTGACTGAGCAGAATATACATGGTCAGTGAATAAACAGAGGCCCCAGCCTACTCAAATAGAGATGCTCGACACCTCGGGTTACCTTTGTTGAATTGGACACAGTCACTTCATTCATTCCCTCTCAGGGTGCTCATCCCCTCTTGTAGTTTTTCATGTTCATATCTACATCTTCAATCCTGACCTCCCTTCTGAGCCATGGTCCCACATTTCCCACAGCCTGCTCGACATCACTATTTGGCTATCATATCCCCACTGTCACCTCTAACTTAATGTGCATCAAGCTGACCTCTTCTTTTCCTAACACTGTTATTCCAGAGTTTTCCATTTCAATTCCATCATTGCCCCAGTGACTCAGGCTGGAAATCCACAACTTGTGTTTGACTCTTCCCCTTCCCCTCACCCGGTTAACCTTGAGCCCTGTTGCTTCTTCATTCCTAACATTCCCATGCTGGTCTTTCTTTTTGTCACTGCCTCTTGCCCTAATCTTGGACCTTATCAGCTCATACCTAGGCTATTACAGTAATCTCCTCATTGGTCTCCAGGATTAATTCTAAAAATGATCTTAAGCATTGAATATTAATATGTACTAGGCACTGTGCTAAGTGCTTTATGTTCATTATCTCATTTAATCCTTACAACAGCCCTACAAGGTGGGCACTGTTATTATTAAGTCCATTTTACAGATGAGAAAACTGAGGCACCGAAAGGTTTTGTAGCCTGCAAGTTCACCCATCCAGTAATTGAGCTGGGATATAAGCCCAGGGAGCTTGTCTCCAGAGTCAGTGCTCATTTCAATCCTCTCCAGCCCAGCCCATATGGGATTCTGTCAGATGAATCTTTCTCAGATCTGTCTGCGTTAGATCCTTTTTTTTTTTTTTTTTTCTTTTTGTGAGACAGGGTCTTGCTCTCTCTCCCAGGCTGGAGTGCAGTGGCACAATCACAGCTCATTGTAGCCTCAACCTCCCGGGCCCAAGCAATCCTTCCACCTCAGCCTCCCAAGTAGCTGGGACCACAGGCATGCGCCACCTATGCCTGACTAATATTTTAAATGTTTTGTAGAGATGAGGTCTCCTGGTCTCCTTATGTTGCCTAGGCTGGTCTCAAACTCCTGGGCTCAAGCCATCCTCCCGCTTTGACCTCCCAAAGTGGTGGGATTACAGGCATGAGCCACTGTACTCAGCCTGTTGTTGTGTCCTTCTTGATGGTCCCCAGAGAAAAAAGGCTGAGCCCCTTGGCTTGGCATGTTTCCCTTACCAACTGTGCGATCCTTGTTGCACAGAGGCCCTTTATATAAGAAGTTACAAAAACAAATGCCTGCAGAAACTTGGAAGTAACATGAAAAAGAGAATGTAGGGAAACCCAGATAACATACACTCACCCTGTAAAGAATAAGCCTTCAGGCTGGGCCTGGTGGCCCACGTCTGTAATCCCACCACTTTGGGAAGCCAAGGTGGGTGGATCACTTGAGGTCAGGAGTTCAAGACCAGCCTGGTCAACATAATGAAACCCCGTCTCTACTAAAACACACACAAAAAAATTAGCTGGGCATCATGGCAGGTGCCTGTAGTCCCAGCTACTCAGGAGGCTGAGGCGGGAGGATCGCTTGAACCTAGGAGGTGGAGGTTGCAGTGAGTTGAGATTGTGCCACTGCACTCCAGCCTCGGTGACAGAGCGAAACTTCATCTCAAAAAAAAAAAAAAAAAAAAAAAAAAAAAGCCTTCAAATGCATTCCGAGCCATCATGGCTTTCAAAAGCATTCTGGAGAGCTAAACTTCACTGTGCTCACAAAATGTGATTTGCATCTAAATATGGATGACAGAAAGGAAGAAAGAGAGCCAGTAGAGGCTGTGGCCAGTTCCTCCTCTCCAAAGGACGGATGCCATTTAGAAATGTAGGCCCAGTTTTCAAAGGAGTCTAAAATCCAGATTTTTATGTAAAATCTCCCAGTTTTTCACTGCTGGCAAATGAAAATTGTTAAGTACTGGCTGGGCTAAACAAAACACACATTCGTATGACCTCTGCTCTATTCAAGCCTCCAAGTTCATCAAACTAATCTTCTTAGCCCCTTCTCCCAAGCCCTGAAGACTAAGTGCATTTCACATTCCAGTCACCAGGCCTTTGTTCATGAGGTTACCTCTGTCTTGGAACATCTGCCCAATTTTCTTAAAGGCTCAACTGAGGTTTGTCTCAGTGATGGCTGTCTTTTCTGACCTACTGTAGCACATACCTGTTGTTTAAGAAATGAGTTGGCTTTTCCCATCCCCAAAACAGCTGTCCTATCTTGATGGATCAAGGTAGATGTTTTGCCTTTGTAGAACCACAATGGAGGTGCTCCAGCCCACTTCAGAGGGGATTCTGGGGCAAGAGAAGCTGAGTTAACTAACAATCTACTCAGTTAATAACTGCAGATGCCGTATTTTCACTGTCCCCCACCCAACCCCCAAGGGCATAGTTATTTTGTTCTAAGAGCTTTGTGGGTGAATACCACCCACCCCCTTTTTATTTTTGAGACAAGAGTCTCGCTCTGTCACCCAGGCTGGAGTGCAGTGGTGCAATCTCGGCTCACTGCAACCTCCGCCTCCTGGGTTCAAGTGATTCTCCTGCCTCAGCCTCCCGAGTAGCTGGGACTACAGGCATGCACTACCACACCCAGCTAATTTTGTATTTTTAGTAGAGATGGGGTTTCACCATGTTGCCCAGGCTGGTCTCGAACTCCTGACCTCTGGTGATCCACCCGCCTCAGCCTCCCAAACTGCTGGGATTACAGGCATGAGCCACCGTGCCCGGCCAAATAACCCCTTTTAAATGATGCTGTTAGCCTATACGTGCCCTCTGATCCAGCCAGTTTCTTTTCCATGGCATTTCTGTCCATGCCCTACCTCTTCCCATCTTAACACTATTGCCCTGCTGTTCCCTCACTATCAAAGCCGC
Organism: Homo sapiens; assembly: GCF_000001405.40. Classification (NCBI taxonomy): domain Eukaryota; kingdom Metazoa; phylum Chordata; class Mammalia; order Primates; family Hominidae; genus Homo; species Homo sapiens. The sequence continues at coordinate 119,422,357 of NC_000023.11, forward strand.
CTCCTGAAGTCTTCTCCCATCTCCCCAAGCAGTAGTCTCCCGCTCCTGAATGGCTCACTCTTGCTAGAGCTGTCTTATGGCCCATGCCACATGCTTCCTTTTGTTATAATCTTTTGTGTCCCTTATTTCCTCTAGATTGCAAACTCTTTGCCTGTGGGAAGTATGTCTTACACATTTGTATATCCTCACAACACACAGCCTCATGTAGCAGACATCTAATACTTGTTTAAAAATGAAGTTTAGGGACAGCTTAGGAGATCTCGCTGTCTGCTAGGTGAGTCCCAAGTCCGTGTGGTTGTACCTACCCAAGATGAAGGTAAGAACACCCAAGCCTGCCTCCTGCTCAACCTGCTGCCCTAAGAAAACCTCTGCATGTCCCCTGTCTAAAACTGTCTATGCACTTCGCTCTGAGAATGCACTGTCTTCCATCTCCTACCCTAGCAATCAGGTTCTATGCATCTCAGTGCAAACAGCCGTTAACGTTTCAGGATAGACAAATATGCTAAAAGGACAAAAGGAAAAATTCTTGACACCATTTTGATTTACACCTCCTCTTCATTCCAGCCTCCTGGCGCTTTGTATGGTGGCTGGAAGTGCTTGACAAATCATAGCACCATCAAATTTATACAGTCGTCCCTAGGTGTCTGCAGGCCATTGGTTGCAGAATCCCTCTCTGATACCAAAATCCACTCATTTCTCAGCCCTGAAGTCGGCCCTGTGAAACCTGTGGACACAAAAAGTTGGCCCTCCTTATACACAAGTCCCGCATCCCAAATTTGATTGTGGATGCAGAACCCACAGAAACAGAGGGCCGACTGTATTTATTGAAAAAAATCCACATATAAGTGAACCAGCACAACTCAAATCCATGTTGTTCAAAGGTCAACTGTAGGCCGGGCGCAGTGGCCCACGCCTGTAATCACCACACTTTGGGAGGCTGAGGCAGGCCGATCAACGGAGGTCAGGAGTTTGAGACCAGCCTGGCCAACATGGTGAAACCCCGCCTCTACTAAAAATACAAAATTATCCTGGCATGGTGGCACACGCCTGTAATCCCAGCTACTCAGGAGGCTGAGACAAGAGAATAGCTTGAACCCAGGAGGTGGAGGTTGCAGTGAGCTGAGATTGCACCACTGCACTCCAGACTGGGCAACAGAGCAAGACTCTGTCTCAAAAAAAAAAAAAAGAAAAGAAAGAAAAGGAAAAAAAAGAAAAACAAAAGTTGGTTGCTTTCTGTAAATGTGACCAGATTTGAATGAATGCATGTAAATCTATGCTGTACTTTGCTGGGGAGGTTTTTGTCAGGGATAAGGATGGGGGCAAACTATGTTAAGGGAAGTGATGACAAGAAAGCCTTCCCTGCGATTAAGAAATTATAATAATATATGCTTAACTGGCAGGGGAGATACCATGATCACAAAGGTGGTTTTCCCAGGGCGAGGCTTATCCATTGCCCTCTGGATGTGCTGACCCCTGCGATTTCCCCAAATGTGGGAAACTCGACTGCACAATTTGTGGTAGTGGGGGACTGTGTTCGCGCTTTCCCTTGAGAAAAAAAAAAAAGAAAGAAATTATAGGCCGGGCACGGTGGCTCACGCCTGTAATCCTAGCACTTTCGGAGGCCGAGGCAGGCGGATCACGAGGTCAAGTGATCGAGACCATCCTGGCTAACACGGTGAAACCCCGTCTCTACTAAAACACAAAAAATTAGCCGGGCGTGGTGGTGGGCGCCTGTGGTCCCAGCTACTTGGGAGGCTGAGGCAGGAGAATGCCGCGAACCTGGGAGGCAGAGTTTGCAGTGAGCGGAGATCGCACTACTGCACTCCAGCCTGGGCGACAGAGCAAGACTCCGTCTCAAAAAAAAAAAAAAAGAAAGAAATTATAATAATATAATAATAACTACCACTTATTGGTCACTTAATGTATACAAGGCAGTTTATTATCCCATTTAACTGTCTTTATTGACCCTATGAAATAAGTACTCTTAGTACTCCTATTTTATAGATGAGGAAACAAGGCACAAGGTGTAAGTCACTTACCCAACCATCACATAGCTAGTAAGTAAGTGGCGAAGCTGGGACTTGAACCTATGTCTCTCCTTCCTCAGGCCCTTTTTTTATTCACCAAGAGTACAGGAGCCTAATCCTGTAGGCAAGGGAACTGGATCATTTTGACTTTAGTTCCCTTGCCCCAGGTGTGGGACTAGAGGATGAGGGAGCGGGAAAGCAAACCTTGATATTGGGAGTCCACAGCCTCAGTGCAAGAGTTGAGAAAATCAATACTTTGCAAGCTCAGAAACTGAGAGGCCATAGCCTTGTCTTAATCCGTTCAGGCTGCAATAACAAAATATCATAAACTAGATGGCTTATAAACAACCAAAATGTATTTCTCACCGTTCTGGAGACTGAGAAGTCCAAGGTCAAGGCAGATTTGATACCTGGCGAAGGCCAGCTTCCTAGAGCCTTCTTGCTTTGCCCTCACATGGTGGAAGGGGGAGCTAGCTTTCTTCCATCTCTTTTAAAAGGACCCGAATCCCATTCATGAGAGCTTTGCCTTCATGGCCTAATCACCTCCCAAAGGCCCTGCCTCCTAAAACCATCACCCTAGGAGTCAGGATTTCAACAGATGAATTTTGGGAGGACACAAACACTCAGAGCATAACGAGCCTGGCTTTGGCCAGGGAATGGTTAACTCAAGTTAGAGAGAGGAAAAAAAAAAAATCTTTGGAAAACTGGGCTGTCCTGGGGTCTGCTTTAGTCCCTGGCAGTCTGGCAATGGAAAGCCCTACTTGTTGCTTTGACTTGAGAAGCCGTAATGAGCAGTGAGCCACAGGCATAGACCATTCAGTAGACACAGGTCTTTGGCCAGCCTTGAACGACAACTGCTCAGAGGGACTGGGAAGAAAGCCCGCCTACCACAGGGGGCAGGGCTGGGAGCAGAAGCAAAGCCCCAGGATGGGAGAGTAAATTGTTATAACTATCCCTGCGAGGAGGTGCTAACAAAGTTCCAGGTTTTCTGCCTACTTCAATATTTCCCGGTTGGCATAGCATCTACTCTTAGTAGGAACAGAGTTCTATTTGCCTAACAGAGTCAAATTACCTGTCCAGAGGTACAAACACTGCTAGGTTCTAAGCCTTCAGGGTAGTGGAGAGGAGTGGAGCCTTACCTTTAGTTTGTTGTATTTTCAACTCTCTGCTGTCATCTTACTTTTAGGTCTGGCCCCTTTGTGAACCAAATTCTTCTAACTGAGTAGCATTGCGTTAGCAGTCAGAAAAAAAAAAAAAAAAGATGCTTTTCAAATATAGGTAGATGTCTGGACATCCCTTAGGCAAGGTGGCTCTGTATGAGCGTCACTATTAAAGTGAAAGGAAAGGAAAAGTCTCCCCACCCTTGTTTTTTTTTCAAAAGGTATAGAGTGCCCGAAATACTTTAGGGATGGCAGCTGTTGAGCATGGAAACAAGACTTGTCCCTAGAGGGAAGGCAAGGAAGGCATGGGGAAGAGCCTTCCTAACTCCACTTAGTGTAAAATCACTCTGTCCTCTTCCCCTGACCTGAGCTGGCTTATTCCTTGGAAGAGATAAAGATCTGGGAGTCAAAATGACCACCCTGTGCTGAGCAGGCTTCTTTGAACTCCAGCTAAACGGTAACAGCACCTAAGATAGGATGTTCCCACCCTCACTCCCCACCTCAAAGTGGAGGTGAAGAGGGAGATAAGGGAAAGGGAGAGAAAGGTCCCAGGAAAGGTCTGCTGTCAAGAGGGAGGACCCGCAGCTGGCTGGGAGCATTCACAGGAAGTACCAATTTTCACCTCCTTTTTTCCACAGAGCTGTTGCTTATTTGCCTACGACGGCTGTGTTCCTCTTGAGGCTGTAATGGGCAGACTAGCTCAGTGGGTAACAGTGTGAGCTTTGGATCCCAGCCTTGCCACTTACTCCCGCGTGAACTTGTGTACACCACATAACCCATCTGAGCCTCATCTTCCTCATCTGTTTTGAGGGTAAGAATGGTGCCTACCTCATCTACTTGCAGCAAAGACTAAATTCGTTTAGTGCAAATGCAGAGCCAGGCCCATAATAAGTACTGTCAATAATGCTAAGATGCCATGTTTATTGTTCTTGAAGCATCACTTCAGAATCTGTGCACAGCATGGAAGGCCTGATTAGAACCATAAAAACCAGTCCAAGGCCGGGCGCGGCGACTCACGCCTGTAATCCCAGCACTTTGGGAGGCCGAGGTGGGTGGATCACTTGAGGCCAGGAGTTCCAGACCAGCCTGGCCAACACGACGAAACCCCGTCTCTAATAAAAATTAAAAAATTAGCTGGGCATGGTGGCGCGCGCCCGTAGTCCCAGCTACTCAATAGGCTGAGGCATGATAATCACTTGAACCAAGGAGGCAGAGGTTACAGTGAGCCGAGATTGCACCACTCCAGCCTGGGCGACAGAGTGAAACTCTATTTAAAAAAAAAAAAAAGCCAGTCCAGATGTGTTTCCATGTTTCCTATGATTACTATAAACACACAAATGAGCTGGGCTCACAGAACCTCAATAGACCTTGGATATGTATAGCTAATGATGAGCAGCGACAGGAATCGAGAGTTCGTACAGAATTTTTTGGTTTGGTTAGCGTAACAACAGGCTTTACAGACAGGCTCCATGTGCAAGCACTGCACACCTCTGTATGTTCTCAGCCTTCTGAGAACTGTCACTGCCAAATCTTTTCCTTCACCCTCCCCACCCTATCTCACCCCCAGGCAAGGTGACACTTTCAAAGTTGGCACGGCAGGCAGCACATGCCAGGCCTGTGACCCAGGCCTCAGCAGCTCTGCTCACTTGCATGGCAATTGCTTTCTACAGTCAGGCCCAGCTGCACTTTGGGTCTCCCCAACCCCCACCCCCAATCACCACACAGGAACTGGCTGTTTCTCTTTTCTTCGTCCAAGCTGAATACTAACCTACTGTGGTTTGCTTGCTTCCCCCATTGTGATCGCAGGCTTTCTGAGCAGCTAGTCAACCCTCTAGCCTGCCACTGAATCGGAAGGCATTCACACTGGAGGGGATCAAGGGGAGCTTGTAGGCTTGCCTTGCTGGCGGGCAGCTGCCTACACCCACTCGTACCAATGTCCCCGCTGCAGAGCCCGGGTGCTTCCCAGCTGTACAAGGACAACTATTTGGGTCCCGGCTATGCCAAGAGAAACATGGGTCATGTGGTTCACAGGACAGAAAGGTTCATTTACTCCAATATGACTGGCATTTTTTTTTGTTTGATTATTGGATATTTGCCAAAAGACTGAAGCCTCCTGCCACAACCACCTCCCCCACATATATGTCCTCAGATGGTTTGGGAATTGGACAGCTTAGTCATCAGGTCCTGTCCTCCACATCCACAGAAGATACAAGTTGTTTCCAGATAACATGCAGAAGGTTCTGAGCTCCTTCCTGTGTGCTCCAGCTCGAAGACTCTTTTCTTTTCCCTATGAATTTTTTTTCCTTTTCTTTCTCTGGTCTTTCCTTTTTAATGCCCTTTTAAAATTAAGTATTCTATCTTTTGAGTGGGTAACACATACACATGATACAAAATCCAAAAGGTGCAACGAGTATATGCTGAAAAGTAAACCTCTCTAACCTTTGTCCTTAGCCATTCAGCTCTCCTGTGAGTCAGTACTGTTGTTAGCAGTTTACCTGTATCTTTCCAAAGATGGTCTATGCAAAGATCCACATAAACTTGTACATTTATGTTCTGTTTTTAGGTCAGCAGCAGCACACTACATACACTCTTCTGTGCCCTGTTTTTTTTCCACCTGAAAATGTATCTCGGCTGGGCACGGTGGCTCACGCCTGCAATCCCAGCACTTTGGGAGGCCGAGGCAGGTGGATCACTTGAGGTCAGGAGTTCAAGACCAGTCTGGCCAACATGGTGAAACCCTGTCTCTACTAAAAATATGAAAATTAGCTGAGCGTGGTGGTGGGCACCTGTAATTCTAGCTACTCAGGAGGCTGAGGCGGAGGAATCACTTGAACCTGGGAGGCAGAGGTTGCAGTGAGCCGAGATCACACCATTGCACTCCAGCCTGGGTGATAAGAGTGAAACTGTCTCAAAAAAAAAAATGTATCTTGGAAATGATACCACATCAATCCAGATAAAGCTGCCACATATTTTTCATTTATGACATAGTATTCAACGGTATGATATACTATTTATTTAACTAGTCCCTGATTGGTGGACATTTAGATTATTTCCAGTCTTCTGCTAGTACTAACAATGCTGTAACAAATCTCCTTGTTACATACATTTTTCACGCACATGCAAATAGATCTGTAGGATAAAAAGGGGTCCCCAACCCCTGGTCCGTGGCCTGTTAGGAACCTGGCTGGGCCACACAGCGTGAAGTGAGTGGCCAGCGAGTGAGCATTATGGCCTGAGCCCCGCCTCCTGTCAGATCAGCGGCGGCATTAGATTCTCATAGCAGTGCAAACCCTATTGTGAGCTGTGCGTGCAAGGGACCTGGGTTGCACACTCCTTATGAGAATCTAATGCCTGATGATCTGAGATGGAACAGTTTCATCCCAAAACCATTCCCCCCAACCCCTTGTCCGTGGAAAAATGGTCCTCGGCAAAACCAGTCCCTGGTGCCAAAAAGGTTAGGGACTGCTGGGCTAAATTCCTAGAATTTTTGCTTTGGTCAAAGGGCATATGTGTCTTACATCTTTTTTTTTTTTTTTTGAGATGGAGTCGCCAGGCTGAAGTGCAGTGGCGCAATTTCAGCTCACTGCAACCTCCACCTCCTAGGTTCAAGCGATTCTCCTGCCTCACCCTCCCGAGTAGCTGGGAGTACAGGCACACGCCACCATGCCCAGCTAATTTTTGTATTTTCAGTAGAGACAGGGTTTCACCATGTTGGCCAGGATGGTCTCCATCTCCTGACCTCATGATCCGCCTGCCTCGGCCTCCCAAAGTGCTGGGATTACAGGCGTGAGCTGCCGTGCCCAGCTGTGTTTTACATCTTTATAAATATTGTTCAGTTATTTCAGTACTCATGGAAAGACTGAACAACCAAAACGTTGCCTCTGTTGGAAGACCTCTGAGGAATTTATCACAGGAATAATCAAGTGCTTTGCTTTTAAGTCTTTGTTCTTTATTTGTATCTACTGCAAGTTTGTTATTTCTTTCCTTCAATATGTATTAAACACCTCGACCTCTACCATGCACCAGGTAAGCTTTGAGGCCAAAACCATAAACACAACAAATGTGGTTGCTGCCCCCACAGTATTTACAGTCTAGGAGATGGAGCAGTTGGGGGCAGGAGTACACATGAACGAAATAATTATACACTGAGTCATTACAAACTGTGTTAAGTGCCATGAAGGAGAAGCACAGGGTGACTGAAAGTGTTCAGTAGGCTCCTGACTTCGTGTGGAGGTCTCAGAAGATTTCCCTGGGGAAATGATGTTTATTCTGATCAATAAGACAGACTTAGTGAGGCCGAGGAAATGGCAGGTTTGAAGTCCTAGAGGAAGGCAGGAGCAAGGATTCTGGCCAGCAGCATGGATTACAGGATCTGGAAAGGGTCTTCAAGGACATTTTGTTTCAGTCTCCTCATTTGACATGTGAGAAAACTAAAGTTTAGGGAGCTAAATGACTTGACCAGGGTTATACAGATAGTAACAAAGTCAGGCTGCAGAATCCAGTGTGCTCATCCTGGGAGCTGTGGGTCTGAACTAGACAGCTATGGGATAGTTGCCTGGGTTTGTGTAGAAGGACTTAAGTTCAGGTTCTTGTGACAAGCTGCGTGACATGTTTCATTTCTCTTTACTAGTAAGATACAGTTTGGATGAATGGCCATTCCAATCTAGCGGGTTGGTTTGTTCTTCAGCATACTTGTCTTTCTTACAAGTTTAAATAATAATAACAATGGTGGTTAATTCTTTAGCGCTTGCTCTATGTCAAATACAGTTCTAAGCAACTTACATGTATTAAATCATTTCATTTTGACAGCAGTTCTTAAAGTTGGTGTTATTATTATTACCCCATTTTACAGATGAGGAAATTGAAGCTCCAGAAGGTAAAGGCACTTGCCAACCATCACAGAGCTAGTGAGTGGCAAAGCAGGGGGACCGAGTCCAAACAGTCTGGCTTCAGGGCCCATGTGCTTTGTCTCCCAGGCACTCTCAGTGTCAGCAGCAGGCTGATGGACTCAGGTTTGAGCCCAGAGCTGCCTTGTGCCATGGAAGGTCCAATCAGTGGCTCTCAACCCTGGCTGCACATCAGAATCAGCTGGGGAGCTTGTAAAAAGTGCTAATGTCCAGGCCTCGCCCCCGTTCAGTTAAATTGCAATCTCTAGGGGTGGATCCCAGTCACTGAGGGTTTTTAAAAGCTTCCGTGGTCAGCCTAATGCAGCTAACGGTTGAGATGTACTGGGATCTAGGCTTGCCATTGCTTTGCCCTTTGGGAGCAACCAGCACCCCATACTTGCCTTTGTGTTCTGGACACCCACTTAGTAGGACACTTGTAGAGGCACTTATTCATACCACAGCACAGGCTCCTGTCTCAGCCTAAAGAACTCATTCAGTGTACATGCTTTGGCAGCCACATCCACCAGTGATGTGCGGTAACAAGTCTGTAAAGGGCTAAGAGAATATTTTCAGTCCTGAGCGTCAGAAGACAGTGGAGCTTAGTGGAGTGGAGCTTGGCTCTGAGTCAAACAGACCCAGATTCAAGTTGATGCTTTGTGTCATGGTCTGTGATTTTAGAGACTGGCGTTTATCCTCTCACCAACTCCATTTTGTCATCCATATAATCAAGCTAATACGATAATACTACCTCTTTCATGAGGCTTTTGTGAGGATTAAATGAGATAGTATATAGAAAGCAATCAGTGGGCCAGGCGCAGTGGCTCATGCCTGTAATCCCAGCACTTTGGGAGGCCGAGGTAGGCAGATCACCTGTGGTCAGGAGTCCAAGACCAGCCTGGCCAACATGGTGAAACCCCATCTCTACTAAGAAAAATTAGCCAGGCTTGGTGGCAGTCACCTGTAATCCCAGCTACTCAAGAGGCTGAGGCAGGAGAATCGCTTGAACCTGGGAGGTGGAGGTTGCAGTAAGCCAAGATCGTGCCACTGCACTTCAGCCCGGAAGACAGTGAGACTGTGTCTCCAACAGAAAAAAAAAAAAGAAAAGAAAAGAAAGAGGAAAAAAAAGAAAGAAAGAAGAAAAAGAAAGCACTCAGTGCTAGGCCATGTCTTTATTTCATGACTATCCACGTAGCTTATGTGAGTAAACAGCTATATTTGGGAAAAGCTACTAGTGACACTGATATTGACAGGAATTTGATTTGACATTTAATAAGTGCCTGGTATGTACAATGAAGAGTGAAAGATCCTGAAGAGCTTGGATGACTAGGAAGGCCCCGTGCCTGCTGACTGGCTTGCTGGCTGGGAGGGAGCATAAAGACACCCAGATAACTCATATAAGGTAGAGTGTGCCGCAGCAGAGGTCTAAACGAGAAGCTAAGGGAGGCCAGGGGCGGTGGCTCATGCTTGTAATTCCAGCGCTTTGGGAGGCTGAGGCAGGTGGATCACTTGAGGTTAGGAGTTCGAGACCAGCCTGGCCAACATGGTGAAATCCCATCTCTACTAAAAATACAAAACAGCTGGACATGGTGGCAGGCACCTATAGTCCCAGCTACTTGGGAGGCTGAGGCAGGAGAATCACTTGAACCCGGGAATGGGGAGGTTGTAGTGAGCCGAGATCGCTCCAAAAAAAAAAAAAGCTAAGGGAGCACAAGATATGGAGAGAGAAAGCCCCAATTCAAACAGAAGCTGGAAAACAATTATAAAATAACCAAGGAAATATGAATACTAACTGAACTCAATATGTGATGATATTAAGGAATTATAAATTTTTAGGTGTGATAACGGTATTATACATATATTTTTGAGGAGCAATTATAGTTTAGATAAACATAATTCTAATTAATAATATGTAAGTCAGATGAATTGAAATGATGTCTCGTGGGGGTAGAGATGAAAGAAGATTGGCCACGTATAGCTAATTGTTGAAGTTGGGTGATGGAACTTTGTGTTCATTTTACTGGCCTCTCTACTTTTATATATGGTTGAGATTTTTCACAATAAAAAGTTTTAAAAAGAGGGCCGGGCACAGTGGCTCATGCCTATAATGCCAGCACTTTGGGAGGCCAAGGCAGGCAGATCACTTGAGGCCAGGATTTCGAGACCAGCCTGGCCAACATCGTGAAACCCTGTCTCTACTAAAAATACAAAAATTAGCTGGGCGTGGTGGCACACACCTCTAATCCCAGCTACTTGGAGGCTGGGGCAGGAGAATCACTTGAACCTGGGAGACAGAGGTTGCAGTAAGCCAAGATCGTGCCACTGCACTCCAGCCTCAGTGACAGAGCGAGATTCCATAAAAAAAAAAAAAAAAAAAAACTTTTTAAAAGAGGTAAAGTTGTGGCCAGGTACAGTGGCTCACGCCTGTAATCCCAGCACTTTGGGAGGCTGAGGCAGGTGGATCACAAGGTCAAGAGTTCAAAACCAGCCTGGCCAAGATGGTGAATCCCCATCTCTACTAAAAATACAAAAAAAATAGCCGGTTGTCTGTAATCCCAGCTACTCGGGAGGCTGAGGCAGAGAATTGTTTGAACCCGGGAGGCAGAGGTTGCAGTGAGCCGAGATTGCACCACTGCACTCCAGCCTGGGCAACAGAGCGAAACTCCGTCTCAAAAAATAAAAATAAAAGAGAGAGGTAAAGTTGAAGAAAAGGAAGGAAACAAGCAGTACACAATTGTGGAATCTGGAAAATTTTCAGGATGAGGTGGCATCTGACTTGGGCATGGGTGACTAGGGAGAGTTGATGTCGCAGTTTAAATCTGAAGGGAGTCTGCTGGCAGAATCTCCTCTTCCTTGAGGGGCTTCAGTCTTTTTTCTTTTAAGGCCCTCACTGATTGGAGGAGGCCCACTCACATTATGGACAGGAATTTGTTTTACTCAAAGTCTACTGATTTAAATGTCAAACTCATCTTAAACATGCCTTTACAGCAACATCTAGACTAGTGTTTTTCCCAAATAGCTGGGTACTGTGGCCTAACCAAGTTGACATATGAAATTAATCATCACAGGGTGGCAGTGGGAAATGATACTAGGAAAACCGGTAGGGGCCAAATTGTAAAGGGTTTTGAATTCTGTTAAAATTGTCTTTAGTAAACTTCTTTGGAAAATTTTTCTTCTCAAAATGTTTTCTTTAGAAAATTGGGAATTGTTGAAGGCTTCTGAGCAAAGCAATGGTAACATCTGATGAGTTTGGAAGGGTACTTGGCTGCAATGTGGAGGATGAGTTGGAGAGGGCAGAGACTGAAGGTCAAATGATGGGTAAGGAAACTGACCCTTGCTTAAGAGAGATGATGTGAGGTACTGGGAGTAGAGCTGAAAAGTATCCAAAGCATAGAATATAATGCAGGTAGCAGCAAGAGATCAGGCTGAGCAGTAGGCAGAGGCCAGGTCATGGAGCACCTGGTAAGCCAGATTAAAGAGCCTGGAGTTTATCCTGATGATAATGGGGGACCCACTGAAGAGTTGAAGTCAAGGGAGTAACCTGATTAAATCGCTCTGACTGCTAGATGGGGAATAAGGGCAGGTAGACCAGCTAGTAACAGTTGTAGTAGTGTGGGCAAAAGATGATGGTGGCTTGGACTAGGGTGAGAGTGGAAAGAAAGAAAAGTAAACAAATTTGGGACATGTTTGGAGCCACTGGAACTTGGTTAGTGATGGATTAGATCAGAGAAAGGTGAGAGACAGAGAAAACTTAAAGGTGACTCAGGTTTTGGGCCTGAGCAAGTAGGTTGATGACAGTGCCATTTGCTGACATGAGGAAAACTAGAGGACAGTCAGGATTGGAGTGGAGCAAAATCAAGAGTTCTGATTAGGACATATAAAGTTTCAGATGTTCAGTAGACTTCTGAGTAGCAATGTCAAGTAGCTAGTTGATTACATGATCCTGTGGCTCAGAGGAGAGATACAGATAGAAATTTGGAAATCATCAAGCAGAGGAGAACAGAAAGAAGGCCAGTGCAGTTGAAGGGTTTTGTGACCCTTTATCTTGGGTCACAAAAGAGTGACCCAAGATAAAGTTGAAAAGGTGGGAGGGTCAGGCATGGTGGTGCATGCCTGTGGTCCCAGCTACTAGGAAGGCTGAGGAAGGAGGATCACTTGAGCCCAAGAGTTCTGGACTGTAGAGCACTAAGCTAATCAGATGTCCACATTAAGTTCAGCATCACTATGGTGACCTCTCGGGAGCGGGGGACCACCAGGTTGCCAAAGGAGGGGTGAACCGGCCCAGGTTGGAAACAGCAGATCAAAACTCCTGTGCTGATCAGTAGTGGGATTCCACCTGTGAATAGCCTGTGTTGCCCACTCCAGCTTGGGCAACATAGTGACACCACATCTCTGTTAAAAAAAAAAAAAAATTTTGAGACAGAGTCCGCTGCGACGTCCAGGTTGGAGTGGAATGGCGTGATCTCGGCTCACTTCTTCCTGGGTTCAAGCCATCTCTGCTTCCTGGGTTCAAGCCATTCTCGTGCTTCAGCCTCCCGAGTAGCTGGGACTACAGGCATGCGCCACCACGCCTGGCTAATTTTTGTATTTTTAGTAGAAATGGGGTTTCACCATATTGGCCAGGCTGGTCTCAAACTCCCAACCTCAAGTTATCTGCCCACCTCGGCCTCCCAAAATGCTGGGATTACAGGCGTGAGCCACTGCACCCAACTTAAAAAATATTTTTTTAAAAAAAGAAAAAAATCGGTGGGCAGAGCAGATCATATAGGACCTTGTAGCCTACGAGCATGCTGGAACCACTTCCTACTGGCTCAGGAGAACTGACTGTTAAATTTCAGGAAATTTGGGAGCTGGTCGACTTCGCATTTGGCAGCCTGAAATCAGCCATAGTGGGAGTACTGATGCTGTTGAAATTGGTAAATGCTACAATTCAGCCCTTTTTTATTTTCCCCCAGAGAACCAGTTGTTAAACTTTGCCACCATATTAGTACTATGGCTTGTAGGCTCCAGTAAGAAATTTAGATTTTATTCTTTTTTTTTTTTTTTTTTTTTTTTATTATACTCTAAGTTTTAGGGTACATGTGCACATTGTGCAGGTTAGTTACATATGTATACATGTGCCATGCTGGTGCGCTGCACCCACTAATGTGTCATCTAGCATTAGGTATATCTCCCAATGCTATCCCTCCCCCCTCCCCCGACCCCACCACAGTCCCCAGAGTGTGATATTCCCCTTCCTGTGTCCATGTGATCTCATTGTTCAATTCCCACCTATGAGTGAGAATATGCGGTGTTTGGTTTTTTGTTCTTGCGATAGTTTACTGAGAATGATGGTTTCCAATTTCATCCATGTCCCTACAAAGGATATGAACTCATAATTTTTTATGGCTGCATAGTATTCCATGGTGTATATGTGCCACATTTTCTTAATCCAGTCTATCATTGTTGGACATTTGGGTTGGTTCCAAGTCTTTGCTATTGTGAATAGTGCCGCAATAAACATACGTGTGCATGTGTCTTTATAGCAGCATGATTTATACTCATTTGGGTATATACCCAGTAATGGGATGGCTAGGTCAAATGGTATTTCTAGTTCTAGATCCCTGAGGAATCGCCACACTGACTTCCACAATGGTTGAACTAGTTTACAGTCCCACCAACAGTGTAAAAGTGTTCCTATTTCTCCACATCCTCTCCAGCACCTGTTGTTTCCTGACTTTTTAATGATTGCCATTCTAACTGGTGTGAGATGATATCTCATAGTGGTTTTGATTTGCATTTCTCTGATGGCCAGTGATGATGAGCATTTCTTCATGTGTTTTTTGGCTGCATAAATGTCTTCTTTTGAGAAGTGTCTGTTCATGTCCTTCGCCCACTTTTTGATGGGGTTGTTTGTTTTTTTCTTGTAAATTTGTTTGAGTTCATTGTAGATTCTGGATATTAGCCCTTTGTCAGATGAGTAGGTTGCGAAAATTTTCTCCCATGTTGTAGGTTGCCTGTTCACTCTGATGGTAGTTTCTTTTGCTGTGCAGAAGCTCTTTAGTTTAATTAGATCCCATTTGTCAATTTTGTCTTTTGTTGCCATTGCTTTTGGTGTTTTGGACATGAAGTCCTTGCCCATGCCTATGTCCTGAATGGTAATGCCTAGGTTTTCTTCTAGGGTTTTTATGGTTTTAGGTTTAACGTTTAAATCTTTAATCCATCTTGAATTGATTTTTGTATAAGGTGTAAGGAAGGGATCCAGTTTCAGCTTTCTACATATGGCTAGCCAGTTTTCCCAGCACCATTTATTAAATAGGGAATCCTTTCCCCATTGCTTGTTTTTCTCAGGTTTGTCAAAGATCAGATAGTTGTAGATATGCGGCATTATTTCTGAGGGCTCTGTTCTGTTCCATTGATCTATATCTCTGTTTTGGTACCAGTACCATGCTGTTTTGGTTACTGTAGCCTTGTAGTATAGTTTGAAGTCAGGTAGTGTGATGCCTCCAGCTTTGTTCTTTTGGCTTAGGATTGACTTGGCAATGCGGGCTCTTTTTTGGTTCCATATGAACTTTAAAGTAGTTTTTTCCAATTCTGTGAAGAAAGTCATTGGTAGCTTGATGGGGATGGCATTGAATCTGTAAATTACCTTGGGCAGTATGGCCATTTTCACGATATTGATTCTTCCTACCCATGAGCATGGAATGTTCTTCCATTTGTCTCCTCTTTTATTTCCTTGAGCAGTGGTTTGTAGTTCTCCTTGAAGAGGTCCTTCACATCCCTTGTAAGTTGGATTCCTAGGTATTTTATTCTCTTTGAAGCAATTGTGAATGGGAGTTCACCCATGATTTGGCTCTCTGTTTGTCTGTTGTTGGTGTATAAGAATGCTTGTGATTTTTGTACATTGATTTTGTATCCTGAGACTTTGCTGAAGTTGCTTATCAGCTTAAGGAGATTTTGGGCTGAGACGATGGGGTTTTCTAGATAAACAATCATGTCGTCTGCAAACAGGGACAATTTGACTTCCTCTTTTCCTAATTGAATACCCTTTATTTCCTTCTCCTGCCTGATTGCCCTGGCCAGAACTTCCAACACTATGTTGAATAGGAGCGGTGAGAGAGGGCATCCCTGTCTTGTGCCGGTTTTCAAAGGGAATGCTTCCAGTTTTTGCCCATTCAGTATGATATTGGCTGTGGGTTTGTCATAGATAGCTCTTATTATTTTGAAATACGTCCCATCAATACCTAATTTATTGAGAGTTTTTAGCATGAAGGGTTGTTGAATTTTGTCAAAGGCTTTTTCTGCATCTATTGAGATAATCATGTGGTTTTTGTCTTTGGCTCTGTTTATATGCTGGATTACATTTATTGATTTGCGTATATTGAACCAGCCTTGCATCCCAGGGATGAAGCCCACTTGATCATGGTGGATAAGCTTTTTGATGTGCTGCTGGATTCGGTTTGCCAGTATTTTATTGAGGATTTTTGCATCAATGTTCATCAAGGATATTGGTCTAAAATTCTCTTTTTTGGTTGTGTCTCTGCCCGGCTTTGGTATCAGCATGATGCTGGCCTCATAAAATGAGTTAGGGAGGATTCCCTCTTTTTCTATTGATTGGAATAGTTTCAGAAGGAATGGTACCAGTTCCTCCATGTACCTCTGGTAGAATTCGGCTGTGAATCCATCTGGTCCTGGACTCTTTTTGGTTGGTAAACTATTGATTATTGCCACAATTTCAGAGCCTGTTATTGGTCTATTCAGAGATTCAACTTCTTCCTGGTTTAGTCTTGGGAGAGTGTATGTGTCGAGGAATGTATCCATTTCTTCTAGATTTTCTAGTTTATTTGCGTAGAGGTGTTTGTAGTATTCTCTGATGGTAGTTTGTATTTCTGTGGGATCGGTGGTGATATCCCCTTTATCATTTTTTATTGTGTCTATTTGATTCTTCTCTCTTTTTTTCTTTATTAGTCTTGCTAGCGGTCTATCAATTTTGTTGATCCTTTCAAAAAACCAGCTCCTGGATTCATTGATTTTTTGAAGGGTTTTTTGTGTCTCTATTTCCTTCAGTTCTGCTCTGATTTTAGTTATTTCTTGCCTTCTGCTAGCTTTTGAATGTGTTTGCTCTTGCTTTTCTAGTTCTTTTAATTGTGATGTTAGGGTGTCAATTTTGGATCTTTCCTGCTTTCTCTTGTAGGCATTTAGTGCTATAAATTTCCCTCTACACACTGCTTTGAATGCGTCCCAGAGATTCTGGTATGTGGTGTCTTTGTTCTCGTTGGTTTCAAAGAACATCTTTATTTCTGCCTTCATTTCGTTATGTACCCAGTAGTCATTCAGGAGCAGGTTGTTCAGTTTCCATGTAGTTGAGCGGCTTTGAGTGAGATTCTTAATCCTGAGTTCTAGTTTGATTGCACTGTGGTCTGAGAGATAGTTTGTTATAATTTCTGTTCTTTTACATTTGCTGAGGAGAGCTTTACTTCCAACTATGTGGTCAATTTTGGAATAGGTGTGGTGTGGTGCTGAAAAAAATGTATATTCTGTTGATTTGGGGTGGAGAGTTCTGTAGATGTCTATTAGGTCTGCTTGGTGCAGAGCTGAGTTCAATTCCTGGGTATCCTTGTTGACTTTCTGTCTCGTTGATCTGTCTAATGTTGACAGTGGGGTGTTAAAGTCTCCCATTATTAATGTGTGGGAGTCTAAGTCTCTTTGTAGGTCACTGAGGACTTGCTTTATGAATCTGGGTGCTCCTGTATTGGGTGCATAAATATTTAGGATAGTTAGCTCCTCTTGTTGAATTGATCCCTTTACCATTATGTAATGGCCTTCTTTGTCTCTTTTGATCTTTGTTGGTTTAAAGTCTGTTTTATCAGAGACTAGGATTGCAACCCCTGCCTTTTTTTGTTTTCCATTGGCTTGGTAGATCTTCCTCCATCCTTTTATTTTGAGCCTATGTGTGTCTCTGCACGTGAGATGGGTTTCCTGAATACAGCACACTGATGGGTCTTGACTCTTTATCCAACTTGCCAGTCTGTGTCTTTTAATTGCAGAATTTAGTCCATTTATATTTAAAGTTAATATTGTTATGTGTGAATTTGATCCTGTCATTATGATGTTAGCTGGTGATTTTGCTCATTAGTTGATGCAGTTTCTTCCTAGTCTCGATGGTCTTTACATTTTGGCATGATTTTGCAGCGGCTGGTACCAGTTGTTCCTTTCCATGTTTAGCGCTTCCTTCAGGAGCTCTTTTAGGGCAGGCCTGGTGGTGACAAAATCTCTCAACATTTGCTTGTCTATAAAGTATTTTATTTCTCCTTCACTTATGAAGCTTAGTTTGGCTGGATATGAAATTCTGGGTTGAAAATTCTTTTCTTTAAGAATGTTGAATATTGGCCCCCACTCTCTTCTGGCTTGTAGGGTTTCTGCCGAGAGATCCGCTGTTAGTCTGATGGGCTTTCCTTTGAGGGTAACCCGACCTTTCTCTCTGGCTGCCCTTAACATTTTTTCCTTCATTTCAACTTTGGTGAATCTGACAATTATGTGTCTTGGAGTTGCTCTTCTCGAGGAGTATCTTTGTGGCGTTCTCTGTATTTCCTGAATCTGAACGTTGGCCTGCCTTGCTAGATTGGGGAAGTTCTCCTGGATAATATCCTGCAGAGTGTTTTCCAACTTGGTTCCATTCTCCACATCACTTTCAGGTACACCAATCAGACGTAGATTTGGTCTTTTCACATAGTCCCACATTTCTTGGAGGCTTTGCTCATTTCTTTTTATTCTTTTTTCTCTAAACTTCCCTTCTCGCTTCATTTCATTCATTTCATCTTCCATTGGTGATACCCTTTCTTCCAGTTGATCGCATCGGCTCCTGAGGCTTCTGCATTCTTCACGTAGTTCTCGAGCCTTGGTTTTCAGCTCCATCAGCTCCTTTAAGCACTTCTCTGTATTGGTTATTCTAGTTATACATTCTTCTAAATTTTTTTCAAAGTTTTCAACTTCTTTGCCTTTGGTTTGAATGTCCTCCCGTAGCTCAGAGTAATTTGATCGTCTGAAGCCTTCTTCTCTCAGCTCGTCAAAATCATTCTCCATCCAGCTTTGTTCTGTTGCTGGTGAGGAACTGCGTTCCTTTGGAGGAGGAGAGGCGCTCTGCGTTTTAGAGTTTCCAGTTTTTCTGTTCTGTTTTTTCCCCATCTTTGTGGTTTTATCTACTTTTGGTCTTTGATGATGGTGATGTACAGATGGGTTTTCGGTGTAGATGTCCTTTCTGGTTGTTAGTTTTCCTTCTAACAGACAGGACCCTCAGCTGCAGGTCTGTTGGAATACCCTGCCGTGTGAGGTGTCAGTGTGCCCCTGCTGGGGGGTGCCTCCCAGTTAGGCTGCTCGGGGGTCAGGAGTCAGGGACCCACTTGAGGAGGCAGACTGCCCGTTCTCAGATCTCCAGCTGCGTGCTGGGAGAACCACTGCTCTCTTCAAAGCTGTCAGACAGGGACACTTAAGTCTGCAGAGGTTACTGCTGTCTTTTTGTTTGTCTGTGCCCTGCCCCCAGAGGTGGAGCCTACAGAGGCAGGCAGGCCTCCTTGAGCTGTGGTGGGCTCCACCCAGTTCGAGCTTCCCGGCTGCTTTGTTTACCTAAGCAAGCCTGGGCAATGGCGGGCGCCCCTCCCCCAGCCTCGTTGCCGCCTTGCAGTTTGATCTCAGACTGCTGTGCTAGCAATCAGCGAGATTCCGTGGGCGTAGGACCCTCCGAGCCAGGTGTGGGATATAGTCTCGTCGTGCGCCGTTTCTTAAGCCGGTCTGAAAAGCGCAATATTCGGGTGGGAGTGACCCGATTTTCCAGGTGCGTCCGTCACCCCTTTCTTTGACTCGGAAAGGGAACTCCCTGACCCCTTGCGCTTCCCAGGTGAGGCAATGCCTCGCCCTGCTTCGGCTCGCGCACGGTGCGCACACACACTGGCCTGCGCCCACTGTCTGGCACTCCCTAGTGAGATGAACCCGGTACCTCAGATGGAAATGCAGAAATCACCGTCTTCTGCGTCGCTCACGCTGGGAGCTGTAGACCGGAGCTGTTCCTATTCGGCCATCTTGGCTCCTCCCGCTTTGTTTTCTTTTTCATCTCAGTTTTTGAGGATAAGAATGCTTTGTTTTAAAAGGGATCATCTGTGTCTTTTTAAAAGCTTACTGAATTTTCCTGGTGTGAATTATTTGCACGTACTCATTTTTGTGGTTGATTTGGATTTTACAGTGATTAAGATTTTACAGTACCTGCTCCACCGGGCCCAGATCCTGCTTCCCAGATCTTCCTGGGAAGCACCAAGAAATTTAGATTTTATTCTAAGTGTGATGTAAAGTCATTAAAATGTTTTAAGCAGGTGAGTAAAAGGATCTGATTTTTAAAAATCACTGTACGTGGCCAGGCGCAGTGGCTCACGCCTGTAATCCCAGCACTTTGGGAGGCCGAGGCAGGTGGATCACATGAAGTCAGGAGTTCAAGACCAGCTGGGCAACATGGTGAAACCCCGTCTGTACTAACATACAAAAAAATTAGCCAGGCCTGGTGGTGCACACCTGTAATCCCAGCTACTCAGGAAGCTGAGGCAGGAGAATCGCTTGAACCCGGGAGACGGAGGTTGCAATGAGCCGAGATTGCGCCGCTGCACTCCAGCCTGGGTGACAGAGCGAGACTCCATCTCAAAAAATAATAATAATAATACATCACTGTACAAGAATGGACTCCCAGTGGGAGAAGGCAAGATCGCTAAGGAAACTGCTGCAACAATCCACATGCGCAGTGGTGCCTTGGCAGTGCAGGTAAGAGTTCAGTCAAGAAATTTGGAAGATTGTTAACATCCTAAGACTGGATATAGATGGACCTTGATTTATCACAAGTTGATTATAATTGACCTGTTATGTAATTCGTGTTACTTAGTGTCTTTTTGTTTTAGTTGTGGGGAGCACCAGATTACAGAATGATTACCTTGACTCATGACCCAGGGCTCTTTACAATTCTTACCAGAAACTGGCAGATGATAAATCAGTCATCTTATTTGGTAGCAAAATAAGGAGGTTACTTTCCTGCATGAACATAAATTTCCTCTTTTCAATATTTCAGTCTTACATTAGCAGGAGGAACTTGAAGTCTTGTGATTAGGCAGATTCTTTGTAAGGGAAAAGGCAGCTTACTATCCTTTTGGTAACAGTTCTTTACTGATAGGGTAAGAAGGAAAGGAGGTTGAGTCCGAACAATGCTAAAGGAAACACTTTAAAGTAAGACATCCACTGAAGACCCCTAGCCATTTTGCCTACTGTAAAATAGAACCATCTACAATGTCTTGTGAAGAGAGAAATGAAATGAATTTTGATATTTGTTTTCTGCAAAGATTCTACATTACATTGTGTAAGTCTTGACCCACGATTTTTATAACTCATGCATAAAATTATGTGCAAATGCTTTAAAAATTCCAGCCCACTCTTATACTGAGCATTTTATGTACTCATTCAGCAAACCATTCATTGAGCACCAGTCATGTGTCAGCTGCTGCTTAAGGCACTAGAGATACGAAAATTAAAAAGACCCAGTCCTCACAGAGTTCACAGAACACTAGGAAAAATAGACATGTAAATTGGACATGATTACAGTACAATTGTGAAAGAGGTCTCTTTGAAAGAGTTGTCTGTATTTATTTACCATCTCCAGTCTTTCTTTTCCCATTCTCTCTCTTTTTTTTTTTTTTTTTTTTTGAGACAGAATCTCACTCTGTCACCCAGGCTGGAGTGCAGTGGCACAATCTTGGCTCACTGCAACCTCCACCTCCCAGGTTCAAGCGATTCTCATGCCTCAGCCTCCCGAGTGGCCGGGATTACAGGCATCTGCCACCATGCCCGGCTAATTTTTGTATTTTTAGCAGAGACAGGGTTTTGCCATGTTGGCAAGGCTGGTTTCGAACTCCTGACCTCAGGTGATCTACTTCCCTTGGCTTCCCAAAGTGCTAGAATTAACAGGTGTGAGCCACCGCGCCCAGCCCCCATTCTCTATTCTCTCTCTCTCTCTCTTTTTTTTTTTTTTTTTTGAGACAGAGTCTTACTCTGTTGCCCAGGCTGGAGTGCAGTGGCACAATCTCAGCTCACTGCAACCTCCGCCTCCCGGGTTCAAGCAATTCTCCTGCCTCAGCCTCCCAAGTAGCTGGGATTACAACCAGGCTGGGAGATTCAGCTTGTCCATTTCATGTTCTGTTTCTCACAATCATCTGTGTTTGCTTGTCACTGCACTTTAAAGAGAAGGCATAACTCAAAAGTTTCACCCTTCAACTTGATGGAGAATTATTTTTTATTTATTTATTTATTTATTTATTTATTTTTATTTTTTTGAAACAGGGTTTTTCTCTGTTGCCCAGGCTGGATTGCCGTGGTGCAATCTCGGCTCACTGCAGCCTCAACTTCCTGGGCTCGGTCGATCCTCCTGCCTCAGGATCTACTCCCTCCTGAGTAGCTGGGACTACAGGTACATGCCATCATGCCCGGCTAATTTTTTTTTCTTTTGTAGAGATGAGGTTTCGTCATGTTGCCCAGGCTGGTCTTGGACTCCTGGGATCAAGCGATCTGCCAGCCTCAGCCTCCCAAAGTGCTGGAATTACAGGCATGAGCCACTGCACCCAGCCATTCTATATTTTTAAAGCATAGAATATTGATTCTTTGAGCTGGATTAATGAGGAAAGATATAACAATCATTAATATAAAATAAAGAATTGTGAAACCTCATTAATTTGCATGCCACTAACCTAAAATTGTAATAACCCAGGGCTTAGTAAGCAAATTAGTCATATAAACAGCATAACTATAGGGATATTTAAACTGTTTACCAAAAGAAGCTGCTTTTAAAGCCTGCTGAAGTACTTATTTATTACTAATAATGTCTAATATTATTGACACTTATAATGTTGCTGGCACTCTTCATTGTCTTATTTAATTTCCATAGCAACTCTAAGAGCTAGGTATTATCACTCCCATTTTTGAAATAAAGAAATTGAGGCCAGGCGCAGTGGCTCATGCCTGTAATCCCAGCACTTTGGGAGGCCGAGGTGGGTGGATCACGAGGTCGAGAGATCGAGATCACCCTGACCAACATGGTGAAACCCCATCTCTACTAAAAATACAAAAAAAGCCAGGCATGGTGGCAGGCACCTGTAATCCCAGCTACTTGGGAGGCTGAGGCAGGAGAATCACTTGAACCCAGGAGGCGGAAGTTGCAGTGAGCCAAGATCGTGGCATTGCACTCCAGCCTGGGCAAAAAGAGTGAAACTGTGTCTCAAAAAAAAAAAAAAAAGAAGAAATTGAAGCTCAGAGAAGTTAAGGAACTCACTGGGTGCAGTGGCTCACGCCTGTAATCCCAGCACTTTGGCAGGCCGAGGTGGGTGGCTCACTTGAGGTCAGGAGTTTGAGACCAGCCTGGCCAACATGGCAAAACCCTGTCTCTACGAAAAATACAAAAATTAGCCAGGCGATGTGGCACGTGCCTGTAATCCCAGCTACTCAGGAGGTTGAGGCACAAGAATCGCTTGAAACTGGGAGGCAGAGGTTGCAGTGAGCCAAGATCATGCCACTGCACTGCAGCAGCCTGGGTGACAGAGTAAGACCCTGTCTCCAAAAAAAAAAAAAAAAAAAAAAAAAAAGGAACTTGCTTAAGATCAAAAATAGCTAATGAGTAGAAGAGACAAGGGTTCCAATCCAGGTCTGTGTGATGCTGAAGCCCACAGGCAGAAGATTCGCACTCTACCTAGGCTTCCACAGATCACTCAACCATGCATGAAAGTAAGGCCTGAAAAGTGTCTCTACTAGGTTGCCCTTCATTAATCTAGTTCCAGTCATGTATAATAAAATGGAGTGTCTTTCCAAAATTTCATAATTTAGATTTCACTCATTTAGGCCGACTTCCCCCCTATACATACCCACTAGTTGGAATTAGTTGCCTTTTACTATATGCTGTATTGAATGTCCTTATAGTTGGGGGTCATGAGAAAAGCTAAAGTCTAACTTGGACAAGATGACGACTGGCATTGCCAGGGTTGTGCAGCAACAGTAGTGGGGTGGGGTGTCCTGCAAGGACATGAGTTAGGTGGCTGTTAGGGGCAGCATAAGTTGTAGTGTAAAGCCTTGGAGCCTAGATGCCAAGGTCGCAGAGTCACCAGGAGGCAGGATCCTGGAGTACAGATTGCAGTGGCCCAGTAGGCACAGCATCTGGCCTCTAGGTCTGCCTCTGCTATGCACCAGCTGGGGGCTTTGGTTAAGTTGCTCTGCTTCTCCAGGTCATAGGTTTTTGTTTGTGAAACGAATAATTGGAAGGGAAGATCTTAGGGTCCATTTCAGATTGGGGTCTCTGGTTTAGGGATCTGCGTTATCAGAGTCTAAAGTAATCAAGTCCTTGGAGATCTAGTAATCAGAAGGAGAGCAAGAAAGAGCCAGCTTTCATTGTCAGGGGCAACAAAGAGGTGGCTCATGCCCATAATCCCAGCACTTTGGGAGGCCGAGGCAGGAGGATCACCTGAGGTCAAGAGTTTGAGGCCAGCCTGGCCAACATGGTGAAACCCCACCTCTACTAAAAGTACAAAAATTAGCTGGGTGTGGTGGCATGCACCTGCAATCCCAGCTACTCGGGAGGCTGAGGCAGGAGAATTGCTTGAATCTGGGAGGCAGAGGTTGCAGTGAGCCGAGATCAACCACTGCTCTCTAGCCTGAGTGACAGAGTGGGACTCCATCTCAAAAAAAAAAAAAAAAAAAAAAAAAAAGAAAGTCCAGAAAGCCTGGTTTGAATCAGTAAAATCGAGTTTTCACACTGCTTCACTGATTGTAATTCATTCTTCTACAGATTTTTAAGGAGGGTGGAAGAGAGAAAAGCTAAGTAAAATGTGGTCCTAGCCATCACAGGTCTCATAGTATCCTGAGGGAAAGAGACAGGAAACAACTAACTGGAATATAAAACAGAATAAAATGTGTTCATTACCTGCTGTATGACCTTGGTCAAATCACTTAACCTGTCCCTGAGCCTCAGTTTCCTCAACTTTAACAGACACATAAGCAGTCAATAAATGTCAGCAGCTATGCATCAGTAGTGGCAATAGTAATATGGACTACATGTGTAATATTTTGTACTATGCCATTACATCTTAGTAAAATAGAACCATCTACAATGTCTTGTGAAGAGAGAAATGAAATGAATTTTGATATTTGTTTTCTGCAAAGATTCTACATTACATTGTATAAGTCTTGACCTACCGTTTTTATAACTCATGCATAAAATTATGTGAAAATGCTTTAAAAATTCCAGCCCACTCTTATACTGGGCATTTTATGTACTCATTCAGCAAGCCATTCATTGAGCACCAGTCATGTGTCAGCTGCTGCTTAAGGCACTAGAGATACAGAAATTAAAAAGACCCAGTCCTCAGAGTTCACAGAACACTAGGAAAAACAGACATGTAAATTGGACATGATTACAGTACAATTGTGAAAGAGGCCTCTTTGAAAGAGTTGTCTATATTCACCATCTCCAATCTTTCTCTTCCCATTCTCTTTTTTTTTGAGACAGAGTCTCACTCTGTTGCCCAGGCTGGAGTGCAGTGGCGTGATCTCAGCTCACTGCAACCTCCACCTCCCGGGTTCAAGTGATTCTCATGACTCAGCTTCCTGAGTAGCTGGGATTACAGGCACCCACCACCATGCCCAGCTCATTTTTGTATTTTTAGCAGAGACAGGGTTTTGCCATGTTGGCCAGGCTGGTCTCTAACTCCTGACCTCAGGTGATCCACTTGCCTTGGCCTCCCAAAGTGCTAGAATTACAGGCGTGAGCCACCATGCCCAGCCCGATTCTCTCTTGAGTCCATTCCAGTCAGACTTTTGCTCCACCATCCAATAAACTTCTCTTTTATTTTTTGAGACATGGACTCACTCTATCGCCCAGGCTGGAGTACAGTGGCACAATCATGGTTCACTGCAGCCTCAACCTCATGGGCTCAAGCAACCCTCCCACCTCAGCCCCCCCAAGTAACTGGGACTACAGGTGTGCACCACCACACCCAGCTAATTTTTATATTTTTTGCAGAGATAGGGGTCCCACTGTGTTGCCCAGGCTGGTCTTGAACTCCTGGGCTCAAGCAATCCTCCCCCTATGGCCTCCCAAAGTGCTGGGATTGCACATGTGAGCCACTGCACCCAGCCAAAACTTCTCTTTTTATGATAACCAGTGACCTCCATGTGTTTAGATCCAATGGTCACTTCTCAGTCTTCATCTTACTGGGCCCTCAGCAGCTCACCACTCCTCCTTGACATACCACCTTCACTTGGCTTCCTGGACACCACACTTTCCTTTTCCTTCTTCACCAACTGCTCCTTCTCAGTCTTCTTTGTGGGGTCTAATGTGGAAGTATCCCCAGGCTCAAGCCCTAAGTGATCTCATCTGGTCTCCTGGCTTTAAATACCACCCATGTACTGATCACTCCCTAATTATGTCTCCGGCCCTGACCTCTCCCCTGAACTCCAGACTCATGTAGCCAACTCTCCATCTCCATTTGAATGGCTAACAAGCATTGCGCAGTTGAACTCCTGATGTTTTCACCCACCCTCAAAAAACAAAAACAAAAAGCCAACCTGCTTCTCCCATAGCGTCCTCCATCTCAGTTCATGGCACTTCTGTCTATCCCGTCACTTAGGCCAGAAACTTTAGAGCCATCCTTGACTCTCCTCTCACACCCTCATCCAGTCCATCAGCCAATCCTGTTGACTCTACCTTCAGAATATATCGAGTCTGATCACTGCTCACCACTCCACCACTAGCATCCCAGTCCAAGCTACCGTCATCTCTTGCCTAAATTACTCTAGTAATCTCCTAACCAGTCTCCATCCTACTTTTCCCTCCATTCTTGAGTCTTTTTCAACACAGCAGCCAGTGATCATGTGAAAATATAAATTAGGTCATGCCATTCTTCTATTCATAACCCCCCCCAGTGACCAGTCTTCTCAGTAAAAGCCAAAATTCTTACTGTGTGCCCTACCAGCCTTATACAACCTAGCCACCATTTACTTTTGTGAAGTCATATCCCATTACTCTCTATTTTGTTCATTCCATTACCACCACATTGGCCTCCTCATTGCCTCTGTAACACCCCGGACATGCTCCTGTCCCAGGGCCTTTGAAGATATCTGTACAACTTGCTTCCTCACTTCCTTCAGATCTCCAAAAAGCCATCTTCTTGGTGAGGTCTTCTCTGATTACCCTAATAAAAACTTCAGCATCCTCCAGACACTCCTTATGTTCCCCCTGCTTTTATTTTATCCAGAGCACTCACCTCCTCTTAGTATTTGGTGTAATTTACTTATTTATTTTCTTTCTTTGTCTTGTCTTCCCCTGCAATTAGACTTTCAGCTTTATAGGAACAGGGACTTTTGTCTGTTTGGTTCACTAATGTATCCTGAGTGTCGGGCATATAGTAAGTATCAATAAATATGCAAATAAATGAATAGTCTTTAGAGGAGATAATGGGAGTATAAAAAAGAGCTAAGGAGTGCAGTCAGTATGATTGGGGTGAGTGATGCTTTTCATGTTGGAAAAGTTGTCATGAAGGGCCTTACATGTCATTCTAAGGAGCTTAGATTTTATCCTATAGGCGGTAAAATGTCAGTAAAGTAGTCAGTGGTCTGAATTGGAATTTTAGAAATGCGTTCTGGCTGTAGTATAAAGAATGAGGCCGGGCACGGTGGCTCATACCTGTAATCTCAGCACTTTGGGAGGCCGAGGCAGGTGGATCACCTGAGGTCAGGAGTTCAAGACCAGCCTGCCCAACACAGGGAAACCCCATCTCTACTAAAAATACAAAAATTAGGCAGGTGCGATGGCATGCACCTGTAATCCCAGCTACTTGGGAGGCTGAGGCAGGAGAATTGCTTGAACCCAGGAGGCAGAGGTTGCAGTGAGCCGAGATCGTGTGACTGCACTCCAACCTGAGCAACAGAGCGAGACTCTGTCTCAAAAAAAAAAAAAAAAGAAGAAGAATGAATTGGAGGCTGGGTGTAATGGCTTATACCTGTAATCCTAGCACTATGGGAGGCCAAGGTGGGAGGATCACGTGAGCCCAGAAATTCAAGACCAGCCTGGGCAACATAGGGAAACCCTGTCTCTACAAAAAATACAAAAATTAGCAGGGCATGGTGGCACATGCCAGTAGTCCCAGCTACCAGGGAGGCTAAGGTGGGAGGATCACCTGAGCCCAGGAGGTTGAGGCTGCAGTGAGCCGTTATTGCACCATTGCACTCCAGCCTGGGTAACAGAGCGAGACTCTGTCTCAAAAAAAGAAAGAAAAGAAAAGAAAAGAAAAGAATTGAAAAGGACAAGAGTGGGTCCAAGAGGCCAGTAACAGACTGCTACAGTAATGCACACATGAGATGGTGGTAGCCTGAATTATGGGAGTGCCAGTGGGGATGGAAAGGAGGATTGCTTGGATAGGGCAGTAAGGGTGGGCGAAATGAAGGAATTCCAGGTTTCTGGCTTGGGGTAGCTTGTTAAAGACTTGGGCCATTCATCACTGAGATAAGAAATACAGAAGAAAGAATAAATCTGACACTGTCAAGAAGAAAGGCAACGATAGATTCTAGGTGTGTCGAGTTTTGAGTACTTGTGTACTATCCAGGTAGAGCTGCCCAGTAGGCAGTTAGGTGCTTGGTTTTGGAGGTCAGTGGGAGGTCAGAGCCAAAGATAAAGATTTGGGAGCCATCTGCCTGTAGGAGGTGTTTAAAGCAAAAGCTATGGTAGAATTTCCTAGAAAAGGTATATAAATTGAGGAGGACCAAAAGAGTTCCTGGTTATCAGTGCCAAATATTGCCCCCTAAGAAATCCAGTAATAATATAGCCAAAAAGAGCCACTGGATTTGGAAACCAGGAGGTCGACAATGGAATACATTTCATTTATTCAAATGTTTATTAAATATCTACTATGTGTTAAGAATACTAAGGATACAGAAGTCAATAAAACAGATCAAAAAATCCCTCCTTACATGTAGCTGAAATTCTAGTTGCAGAGAAGGAGCAGATAAATAAAGGAAATAAATAAGTAAATTATTCCAAATATTAAAAGGCAGTGAATGCTCTGAAGGTTAGATAAGCTGCCTAGGGTCACAGGGCCAAGTAAGTGAAGAAACTAGGACTAGAAACGAACCTGCTCAACTCCAGAGTTGTGCTCTTCTTACTGTTGTACCACACCTCCTCTCCCACATCGATAATCTTGGTTCCATTGCCACAGAATGCCATATAGCCCCAACTAAACATTTCAGAAACAAACCAAAGTATGTGTATAGCTTAATCTAAACTCAACACCATTTCTGAAAGCCAGCTCTGAGGGGACATCCCCTTCACAGTGGACAGGTAGTACCAGTTTTATATGTAGATGGTATATTGAAAAGTCATTTCATCTGATCGTAAAATTATTTTTCTAAGAGGATGGCTGGGTGCAGTGGCTCACGCCTGTAATCCTAGCACTTTGGGAGGCCAAGGCAGGTGGATCACTTGAGGCCAGGAGTTTCAGACCAGCCTGGCCAACATCGTGAAACCCCATCTCTACTAAAAATATAAAAATTAGCCAGGTGTGGTGGTGTGCACCTGTAGTCCTAGATACTCAGGAGGCTGTGACAGGAGAATCGCTTGAACCCGGGAGGTGGAGGCTGCAGTGAGCCGAGATCATGCCACTGCACACCAGCCTGGGCAACAGAGTGTGAGACTCTGTCGCAAAAAAAATAATAATATTAAAGGAGAAAACGTTCCTTTCAGAGATGGAGCATTTTGGTAATAATAGGGTTCCGTCAGGATGGCTCTGAAGGTGGTGATGATGTCCACGGGGTGGCCAAAATGGTATAAAGGTGAGGATCACTGAAGCCGAAGGCCAGAAACTGGTCATGGGCTGGGTCGTCTTTATAGATGCCAAAGTTACCTAAGATGACGGCGAGGCTAGGAGAGGGTGAGCCACCAGGTATCACAGTCTTCAATGAACGTGGAAGAGTGGCCAGA